>NC_000014.9:24611713-25861713 GCF_000001405.40 Homo sapiens
TATCTGGCAATTCAGAGATTTCTTCTTGGTTTGGATCCATTGCTGGGGAGCTAGTGTGATCTTTTGGAGGTGATATAGAACTCTGTTTTATCATATTACCAGAATTACCTTTCTAGTTCCTTATCATTTGGGTAGACTATTTCAGTGGAAAGGTCTGGAACTCAAGTCCTGCTGTTCAGATTCTATTATCCCATGGGGTGATCCTTTGATGTGGTGCTCTCCCCCTTCCCCTAGGGATGGGACTTTCTGACCACTGGACTGCATTGGCTGTTACTGCTTTTCTGGGTCTAGCCTCCCAGTGGCGCTACCAGGTTCCAGCTGGTGCTGGGGAATGTCTGCAAAGAGTCCTGTGATGTGATCTCTCTTCAGGTCTCCCAGCCATGGATACCATTACCTGCTCTGGTGGAGGTGGAAGGGGAGTGAAGTAGACTCTGTGAGAGTCCTTGGTTGTAGATATGTGTAGTGTGCTGGGTTTCTTGAATGCTGGTTATGCTAGCAGTGAAGTTTTCATGTGGACACACTCAGGACCTCTGTTTAGCCAGGATGTTGCAGGCATTGGAATTAGGTGTTATCTTCTCCTTCCTGGGTTCAGGGTTATTCTGTCATGAGTTGCTGTAATGGCCTGTGTTGTTTGGCCTCCAGCCAAGAAGTGGTGCTTTCAAGAGAGCACCAGCTGCATTGGTAGTAGAGGGATCTAGGTTTGCCCTAAGTTGGCCAGGGTGAGTATTTTGGTTTCTCAGATGATGGGTGGGGCCTGAAAGCTCCCAAGAGTTTCTATCTTTTGTGTTTGGTTACCAGGGTGAGTAAAGAAATACCATCATGTTGGGGCAGGGTTAGGTGGGTCTGGGCTCAGAGTCTCCTTGGGTGGGGTTTGCTGTGGCCACTGTGCGGGATGTGGGGGTGGTTCTTAGGCCAATGGGGTTATTTTCCAGAGGGGATCTTGGCTACCTCTGTTGTGTCATATAATTCACCAGGGAAGTGGCGGAAAGCTGGTAGCGAGAGGTCTCACCCAGCTCCCACACAGTTGGCAAGGCCAGTCTCACTCCCAAAGTGCCCCACTCAGATCTTGCCCAAGGCTGTGAACTTTCCCACTGAGAAAGCAAGCATGGATTTCAGATATCACCCCTCCCCATCTGCCCACTCCAACGGGAGTGGCTTCTTTGCTTCTGAGTTCATGTGCTCATATTGCCAAAGCTCCCACTCGTCCCCTAGACTCCACTAAAGAAAGTTTGTGTCCAATTGAAACCACTACCAATTTCAGTTGGAAGCTTCCTTCACCTGGTGACCCCTCCCCAATTCCACTGGCTGCCTTCCCTGAGAGATCCTGTGAGATATAGTCAGGAATGGCTTCCCTGGGCTCAAGCTGAAGATTGGAAGTGCCTTGCAGTCTTCTGATACTGATACTTCTACTTTTATATTTTGTGTGACTGCCTACATTTGTTTCAGTTCAAGGTAAGGTTAAATTCTCCCTTGATCTGGATTTTCAGATTCCCCAGTGGGGATGTGTGTTCAGAGGCAGGTTTTTTCCCTCTCACACTTTGGGAACTTACAGTTTTTCACCTGTTTTGCAAAATTTGCAGCAGTGTCCTGCTTCTTTCAAAGGGTGTGTGAATTCCTTTGGTTTTCCTGGTGTGTTCCCGTGGTGGTTCTTGGAACAAAAGAACACAGTATGAGTCTTCACATACTGTTGTGTCCATCTAAGTGGGAGTTGCATGTGGGTTTAAAGAAACCTGACTCATGAAGGACTTCCCATTTTTTGTACTGCCATGATCATCAGTGCATTATTACTGTCTCACACTGTTTCTTCATAGTGTCTCTCATCCTTCAGATCTCACCTTTTACTGGTATTATTATGGATCCTAGTAATTTATTTAAAAAACAGCAAAAGCTTAAACTCTCCTCCTTTGAGTCTCATGGGGTTGGAGTGGAGTTGTTGGTTTGGATCCTTGCCCAGGTAGCTTTCAGATCCAGCCCTCATCTTCCTGCTGCTCTTCTCTGTGACACAGTCTACATCACACAGATTTCTCTGTCTGACAGCTCTGTCTTCTTGGACCAAGCCAATGGGTGGTGCTGAAGAATTAGGGTCTTTTTCCTTCCCACTCTTTCTTCTTAGCTTGCGGACTGTTTCAGGATGACTCCTCTGCTCTCCTCCTGGCTCCAGCTCTCACCTGGCAGGCTAGATATGGTTTCATATTCTGCCAGGTGATCAGGGTCCTGGCAACACTGCTTGCTCCCTCCATGCCTCCAGCTAGGTGTGGTAGTGGCTTCCTGCTATTGCTAATCTCTCGGTTGATTCATTTTACCCTCTTTGGCTCCTGTCATGTAATCAGTTCCCTGGAATAAACTCCTTTTGTTTGCAAATATTTGGAGTGGTTTCTGTCTTCTTGGACCCTGACTAAGACACTCTGGGGTATTAATTTCTTAGTGCTGTTATAACAAAGTATTACAAACTGCTGGCAGCAGGCAACAGAAATTGATTCTTTCACTGTTCTGGAGGCCAGAAGCCTGAAATCAAGGTATCAGCAGAGTTGGTTCTTTCTGGAAGTGTCTGGCAAAGTCTGTCCCATGCTTCTCCTAGCTTCTAGGGGTATCAGCAATCCTTGCCACTGCCTCGGCTTGTAGATGCATTGCTCCAATCTCTGTATCTGTTGCTGGGTGATCTTCCCTGTGTGTCTGTGTCCACATTTACCTGTTTTAAAGTGATGCCAGTCATTTGATTAGGGTCCCTCTTAATCAAGTATGAACTTATTCTAACTTAGTTACATCTGCAAAACCCTGCTTCCAAATGCTGTCACATTCATAGGTGGTGGGTGAACATAAACTTTGGGGGGACACTATTCAACCCAATACAGTTGGATTTTAGTTTGAGTCTTTTGTTCAACAAACAGGCCGAGACAAGGATTTAGTTAGAGGTAATTAATTTTTTTTCTGAGATAATTCCAAGAGACTGGAGCGAGGAAGTAGGAAGAATGAAACAGGGAAAATAAGGAGAGCTAACCATGAGTGCATTACTGAGCTACCTATTGCTGTGGGTATCTGGAGCTGAATCCTGCTGGGGACTCTTTGAGAATCCATAAAGAATGGATGTCAGCATTGTCTTTCCAAAATTCAGGAGGCTGGGTCATTTGCCTGGTAATTCCTGTTTCCAGGTGGTTGAAATTTGTCTCTAGGAGCATTAATTCTTTCTCACTTGAGGGCTAAGACTGCTCTTGGACAGAACAAATTTTTATAGCTCCAGAGAACGTCCTGAGAGAAAAGCTCAGAGGTGCTTGGGTGCCTGGGCACTCGAGGGGCAGCCCAAGGCACAGTGGGCCAAAGTGATGTATTGCAAGGAAAATAACATCTATTTCCAGGGCTATCTATGACCCTCCTTATTATCCAGGTCTGGCCTGTGTCTTATGGAGGAGGTGAACTCTCTTTAATCAGTTTACTAAGGTTTCTTCTTTTCGCTTGTCACTGCTTCAGTCTTCTGAAGAGGCAAGGTCCCTCCCCTGGGGCTCCTGCTGCTCTCATTCACTCTTCAAGTGTGGCCGCTCTCTTCTGCATCTTCACCTCCTCTGATGATGGAAGAAGACTTGACTCATTGGCTGTGAAGGAAAGTTAAAAAGAAGTCATGTTTTGTGTTTCTTTTCTATTTCTTTTTTAAATTTACAGTTTCTATTATTGACAGTACTTATTATGTGTTTGTTGTGTTAGTGATGTTTCCGCACTCATCTGATTCAGAATTTGTACAGCCACCTTAGCTTTAGTGCTTTTGTTTCCGGTCCACTCACCTAGTGGCTGGCTGATGGAAAGAATATCCTAAGGTAACCGGTCTGGGGCCCCAGGAGCTGTGTGTGATGTGCTGGATGATACTGGCTAAGCTGGCTCACTCCACATGCTGAGTATAGGTGCCAGGGAGAGATTATGTATATAGTTTGTCATTTGGGGTCAGATCAGGGGGTCTAATGGCAGTCAGGGCTGAGTCATAGGGTCAGAAGAACACAGATGTGCAAAACATGTGAGCTGGGATACATTTTCTCTAATATTTTGAGGAGAGCTGGTGCCTGTAAGCTCGGGGATATCAGAGCTCATCACATTTCTAACTGGCCTGCCTAACTAAACAATCAATAAACAACTGAAGATAAAATAATGGCCAAAAAATCTGTGGCTTGATTATGTTAAAGTTGATTGAAATGAAACACAGTGACAAGTGCAAGAAAAAAACTTAAAATGTACCTTAGAAAGAGTATGTGGCTAATTAGTTTGCTGAATAAATGAGAAAATACTCTATATCATAACAACAACTAGAATTTACTGAGTCCTTATGTTTTTAAGTACTTTATGTTCTTCCTATCATAGAATTATCCCAGAAATTATGCAAGGTAGGTATTGATACTATCTCTATTTTTACATGAAAAAGTTGTGATCAAGAGAAGTTAAGTAACTTGCTCAATCTCACACTGTGAGGAGGGAGTAGCCAGGGTTTGAGCATCATAGCTTGATTCCAGAGCATCTGATATTAACCACTACACCACTAAATTCCATGGAATCTGGAAAAAAAGAGGGTCAAAGATTTTTCTACAGCTCTTATGGGGTCCTTTTCTGTGTGAGACTCACAGATACTGGAGATGAGATTCCTTGGCTCTGTTGGAGGACACAAAAACACTAGTGATTAGATAAGGATGGTGAAGGCCATGCTTAGAGGAATGGAAAGAATGATGTGGAGAAATGCAGAAGAAGGTGTGCTTCAGCACTAAAGATTTTAGTCATTTAAAACAATAACAATATTTACCTTGCCCACGAGCCTGCAATTTGGATCAGGGTTGGTGTTGATAGCTTGTCACTGCTCCCCTCCATGTCAGCAGGGGCAACTTGAAGCCTGGAGGCTGGAATCATTTGAAGGTTCACTCACTCACAGGTTCAGCAGTAGTTGCTGGGAGCTTCATGTCTTCTTCATGGCGGCCTCCCTATGTTGCTTCACTGCATGGTATTGTTTCTCACCACTTGGTGGCTGGGTTTCCCAGAGTGATCATCCTCCCAAAAAGTGAGCCAGGCAGAAGCTGTGTCCTTTTTGTTACCTAGACTTTGAAGTCATATGGTATCCATTCTACAACATTCCATTGCTTGGAGCAATCTAAAGCCCCCACCCAGATTTAAAAGAAAGGGACATAGACTTTGCCTCTCAGTGAGAGGAGTGTTGAAGTCATGTAAGGAGAGCTGCTGGGATGGGAGATGTGCAGTGGCAGTCATTACAGAAAGTACAATCTGCCACATTGCGTTAGGTGCATGAAGGATTCGTCAGAGAAGAGTTGAAGCTACTTTGATTGGTATAAGCCTTGGGCATAGCTTTTGGATAGACTGAGATCTGCTTTGTCTAAACTTTATATACTATGAATGGAAGGAGGGTTAGTTTTCCAGGAAGACAATCTCTTTAGTGAATTACTAATTCCATGTGAACTAAAAACTGATGCCAGGGAGCCAAATAGTATCCTCACATTTCTGTCTAGGACACATTTCTGATATCCTTGTACAATAGTCTTCCTTTATCTGCAGTTTCAATTTCTGCAGTTTTGGTTACCCATGGTCAACAGTGCTCTGAAAACAGTAAGATATTTTAAGAGAGAAACCAGATTTACATAACGTTTATTAGAATATATTGTTATAATTGTTCTAGTTTTTTTATTTTACTTTAAGTTCTGGGATACATGTGCTGAACGTGCAGGTTTGTTGCATAGGTATACATGTGCCATGGTGGTTTGCCACACCTATCAACCCATCATCTAGGTTTTAAGCCCTGCATGCATTAGGTATTTGTCCTAATGCTCTCCCTCCTCTTGCCCCCCACCCCCCAATAGGCCCCAGTGTGTAATGTTCCCCTCCTTGTGTCCATGTGTTCTCATTGTTTAACTCCCACTTACGAGTGAGAACATGTGGTGTTTGGTTTTCTGTTCCTGTGTTAGTTTGCTGAGAATGATGGTTTCCAGCTTCATCCATGTCCCTGCAAAGGACATGAACTCATTCTCTTTTATGGTTGCATAGTATTCCATGGTGTATATGTGCCACATTTTCTTTATCCAGTCTATCATTGATGGGCATTTGGGTTGGTTCCAAGTCTTTGCTATTGTAAATACTGCTGCAATAAACATACATGTACATGTATCTTTATAGTAGAATGATTTCTAATCCTTTGGGTCTATACCCAGTAATGGGATTGCTGGGTCAAATGGTATTTCTTGTTCTAGATCCTTGAGGAGTCACCACACTGTCTTCCACAATGGTTGACCTAATTTACACTCCCACCAACAGTGTAAAAGCATTCCTATTTCTCCTCATCCTCATCAGCATCTGTTGTTTTCTGACTTTTTAATGATCACCATTTTAACTGGTGTGAGATGGTATCCCATTTGGTTTTGATTTGCATTTCTCTAATGACCAGTGATGATGAGTTTTTTTTTCACATTTTCATTAGCTGCATAAATGTCTTCTTTTGGGAAGTGTCTGTTCACATCCTTTGCTCATTTTTGATGGGGTTGTTTTTTTCTTGTAAATTTGTTTAAGTTCTGTGTAGATTCTGGATATTAGCCCTTTGTCAGATGGATGGATTGCAAAATTTTTCTCCCATTCTGTAGGTTGTCTGTTCACTCTGATGATAGTTTCTTTTGCTGTGCAGGAGCGCTTTAGTTTAATTAGATCCCATTTGTCAAATTTGGGTTTTATTGCCATTGCTTTTGGTGTTTTAGTCATAAAGTCTTTGCCCATGCCTATGTCCTGAATGGTATTGCCTAGGTTTTCTTCTAGGGTTTTAATGCTTTTAGGTTTTATGTTTAAGTCTTTAACCCATCTTGAATTAATTTTTGTATAAGGTGTAAGGAAGGGGGGTCCAGTTTCAGTTTTCTGCATATGACTAGCCAGTTTTCCTAGCACTATTTATTAAATAGGGGATCCTTTCCCATTTCTTGTTTTTGTCAGGTTTGTCAGATGGTTGTAGATGTGTGGTGTTATTTCTGAGGCCTCTGTTCTGTTCCATTAGTCTATGTATCTGTTTTGATCTGTTTTGCTACCAGTACCATGCTGTTTTGGCTACTGTAGCCTTGTAGTATAGTTTGAAGTCAGGTAGCGTGATGCCTCCAGCTTTGTTCTTTTTGCTTAGGATTGTCTTGGCTATATGGGCTCTGTTTTGGTTCTATATGAAATTTAAAGTAGTTTTTTCTAGTTCTGTGAGGAAAGTCTACCATTGACTTTCCTGGTGTCTTGTTGGTAGCTTGATGGGAATAGCATTGAATCTATAAATTACTTCGGGTACTATGGCCATTTTCATGATATTGATTTTTCCTATCTATGAGCATGGAATTTTATTCCATTTGTTTGTGTCCTCTCTTATTTCCTTGAGCAATGGTTTGTAGTTCTCCTTGAAGAGGTCCTTCACATCCTTTGTAAGTTGTATTCCTAGGTATTTTATTTTCTTTGTAGCAATTGTGAATAGGAGTTCACTCATGATTTGACTCTTGGCTTGACTACTGTTGGTGTACAGGAATGCTTGTGATTTTTGCACATTTATTTTGTATCCTGAAACTTTGCTAAAGTTGATCAGCTTAAGGAGTTTTTGGGCTGAGATGATGGGGTTTTCTAAATATACAATCATGTCATCTGCAAACAGACAATTTGACTTCCTTTCTTCATATTTGAATATGCTTTATTTCTTTATCTTGCCTGATTGCCCTGGCTAGAACTTCCAATACTGTGTTGAATAGGAGTGGTGAGAGAGGGCATCTGTGTCTTGTGCCAGTTTTCAAAGGGAATGCTTCCAGCTTTTGCCCATTCAGTATGATATTGGCTATAGGTTTGTTATAAATAGCTCTTATGATTTTGAGATATGTATCATCAATACCTAGTTCATTGAGAGATTTTAGCGTGAAGGGTTGTTGAATTTTATCGAAGGCCTTTTCTGCATCTATTGAGATAATCATGTGGTTTTTGTCATTGGTTCTGTTTACATGATGGATTAGGTTTATTGATTTACATATATTGAACCAGCCTTGCATCCCAGGAATGAAGCCAACTTGATCGTGATGGAGAAGCTTTTTGATGTGCTGCTGGATTTGGTTTGCCAGTATTTTATTGAGGATTTTTGCATCTATGTTCATCAGTGGTATTGGTCTGAAAAATTTTTTTTTTGTTATGTCTCTGTCAGGTTTTGGAATGAGGATAATGCTGGCTTCATAAAATGAGTTAGGGAGGAGTCCCTCTTTTTCTATTGATTGGAACAGTTTCAGAAGGAATGGTACCAGCTCCTCTTTGTACCTCTGGTAGAAATCAGCCGTGAATCCATCTGGTCCTGGGCCTTTTTCGCTTGGTAGGCTATTAATTACTGCCTCATTTTCAGAATTTGTTATTGGCCTATTCAGGGATTCGACTTCTTCCTGGTTTAGTCTTGGGAGCATGTATGTGTCCGGGAATTTAACCATTTCTACTAGATTTTCTAGTTTATTGGCATAGAAGTGTTTATAGTAGGCCGGGCGCGGTGGCTCACGCCTGTAATCCCAGCACTTTGGGAGGCCGACGCGGGCGGATCACGAGGTCAGGAGATCGAGACCATCCCGGCTAAAACGGTGAAACCCCGTCTCTACTAAAAATACAAAAAATTAGCCGGGCGTAGTGGCGGGCGCCTGTAGTCCCAGCTACTTGGGAGGCTGAGGCAGGAGAATGGCGTGAACCCGGGAGGCGGAGCTTGCAGTGAGCCGAGATCCCGCCACTGCACTCCAGCCTGGGCGACAGAGCGAGACTCCGTCTCAAAAAGAAAAAAAAAAAAAAGAAGTATTTATAGTATTATCTGATGGCAGTTTGTATTTATATGGGATCAGTGGTGATATCCCGTTTATCTTTTTTTATTGGGTCTATTTGATTCTTCTCTCTTTTCTCCTCTATTAATCTGGCTAGTGGTCTATTTTTTTGATCTTTTCAAAAAACCAGCCCCTGGATTCATTGATTTTTTGAAGGGTTTTTCGTGTCTCTCTCTCCTTTAGTTTCACTCTGATCTTAGTTCTTTCTTGTCTTTTGTTAGCTTTTGAATGTGTTTGCTCTTGGTTATCTAGTTCTTTTAATTGTGATGTTAGGGTGTCGATTTTAGATCTTTCTTGCTTTCTGATATGGGCATTTAGTGCTATAAATTTCCCTCTTAACACTGCTTTAGCTGTGCCCCAGATATTCTGGTATGTTGTTTCTTTGTTCTCATTGGTTTTAAAAAGCTTCTTTATTTCTGCCTTAATTTCGTTATTTTCCCAGTAGTCATTCAGGAGCGGGTTGTTCAGTTTCCATGGAGTTGCATGGTTTTGAGTGAGTTTCTTAATCCTGAGTTCTAATTTGATTGCACTGTGGTCTGAGAGACTGTTTTTTATGATTTCCTTTCTTTTGCATTTGCTGAGGAGTGTTTTACTTCCAATTATGTGTTTGATTTTAGAATAAGTATGATGTGGTGATGAGAAGAATGTATATTCTGTTGATTTGGGGTGAAGAGTTCTGTAGATGTTCATTAGGTCTGCTTGGTCCAGAGCTGAGTTCAAGTCCCAAATATCCTTGTTAATTTTCTATCTTGTTGATCTGTCTAATATTGACAGTGGGGTGTTAAAGTCTCCCACTATTATTGTGTGGGAGTCTAAGTCTCTTTGTAGGTCTCTAAGGACTTGCTTTATGAATCTGGATGCTCCTGTATTGGGTGCATATATATTTAGGATAGTTAGCTCTTCTTGTTGAATTGATCCCTTTACCAATATGTAATGGCCTTCTTTGTCTTTTTTGATCTTTGTTGGTTTAAAGTCTGTTTTATCAGAGACCAAGATTGCAACCCCTGCTTTTTTTTTTTTTGCTTTCCATTTGCCTGGTAAATATTCCTCCATCTCTTTATTTTGAGCCTATGTGTGTCTTTACACCGTGAGATGAATCTCCTGAATAAAGCACACCAATGGGTCTTGACTCTTTATCCAATTTGCCAGTCTGTGCGTTTTAATTGGGGCATTTAGCCCATTTACATTTAAGGTTGGTATTTTTATGTGTGAATTTGATCCTGTCATCATTATGCTAACTGGTTATTTTGCACATTAGTTGATGCAGTTTCTTCATAATGTCATTGGTCTTTATATTTTGGTGTGTTTTTGCAGTGGCTGGTACTGGTTTTTCTTTTCCATATTTAGTGCTTCCTTCAGGAGATCTTGTAAGACATGGCTGGTGGTGACAAAATCTCTCAGCATTTGCTTGTCTGTAAAGGATTTTATTTCTCTTTCGCTTATGAAAATTTATTTGGCTGAATATGAAATTCTGGGTTGAAAATTCTTTTCTTTAAGAATGTTGAATATTGGTCCCCACTCTCTTATGGCTTGTGGGGTTTCTGCAGACAGATCCGCTGTTAGTCTGATGGGCTTCCCTTTGTAGGTAACCTGACCTTTCTCTCTGGCTGCCTTAACATTTTTTCGTTCATTTCAACCTTGGAAAATCTGACAATTATGTGTCTTGTGCTTGCCCTTCTTGAGGAGTATCTTAGTGGTGTTCTCTGTATTTTGTGAATTTGAATGTTGGCCTTTCTTGCCAGGTTGGGGAAGTTCTCCTGATTAATACCCTGAAGTGTGTTTTCCAGCTTGGTTCCATTCTCTCCATCACTTTCAGGGACCCTAATCAATCATAGGCTTGGTCTTTTCACATAGTACCATATTTCTTGGAGGCTTTGTTCTTTCCTTTTTAATTTTTTTCTCTAATCTTGTCTTCACACAGTATTTCAGTAGGTTGATCTTCAGTCTCTCATATCCTTTCTTCTGCTTGATTGATTCTGCTATTGATACTTGTGTTAGCGTCACGTTCTCATGGTGTATTTTTCAGCTCCATCAGGTCTTTTATGTTCTTCTCTAAACTGGTTATTCTAGTTAGCAATTAGTCTAATCTTTTTTCAAGTTTCTTAGTTTCCTTGCATTGGGTTAGAATATGATCCTTTAGCTCAGAGGAATTTGTTATTACCCACTTTCTGAAGCCTACTTCTGTCAATTTGTGAAACTCATTCTCCGTCCAGCTTTGTACCCTTGCTGGAGAGGAACTGTGATCATTTGAAGGAGAAGAAGCATTCTGGTTTTTGAAATTTTTAGCATTTTTGCACTGCTTTTTCCTCATCTTCATGGATTTACTTTCGATGGGATTTTTTTTTTATATGTGTGTGGGGGTCCTTTTTGTTGATGTTGATGTTATTGCTGTTTGTTAGCTTTTCTTCTCACAGTCAGGCCTCTCTCTGCAGGTCTGCTGCAGTTTGCTGGAGGTCCACTCCAGACTCTATGTACCTGGATATCACCAGCGGAAGCTGCAGAATAGCAAAGATTGCTTCCTGGTCCTTCCTCTGGAAGCTTCATCCCAGAGGGGCACTGGCCTGATGTCAGCTGGAGCTCTCCTGTATGAGGTATCTGTCAACTCCTGTTGGGAGATCTCTCCCCGTCAGGAAGCATGTGGATCAGGGATTCACTTGAGAAGGCAGTCTGTCCCTTAGCAGAGCTCGAGTGCTGTGCTGGGAGAACTCTCTTTGTCAGGATCTGCTGCTCTCTTCAGAACCAGCAGGCAGGAATGTTTAAGTCCGCTGAGGCTGTGCCCACAGCCACCCCTTCCCCCAGTTGCTCTGTCCCAAGGAGATTGGAGTTTTATCTATAAGCCCCTGACTGGGGCTGCTGCCTTTCTTTCAGAGATGCCCTGCCCAGTGAAGAGGAATCTAGAGAGGCAGTCTGGCCACAGCCACTTTGCCAAACTGTGGTGAGTTCTGCCCAGTCCAACCTTCCTGGCCTCCTAAGCACTGTCAGGGGAAAACCGCCTACTCAAACCTCAGTAATGGTGGACACCCCTTACTCCACCAAGCTCGATCTTCCTAGGTGGATTTCAGACTGCTGTGCTGGCAGTGAGAATTTCAAGCCAGTGGTTCTTAGCTTGCTGGGCTCTGTGGGAGTGGGACCCACTGAACATGACCACTTGGCTCCCTGGCTTCAGCCCCCTTTCCAGGGGAGTGAACGGTTCTGTCTCACTGGGGTTCCAGGTGCCACTGGGGTACAAAAACAAAAACAAAAACAAAAAACTCCTGCAGCTAGCTTGGTGTCTGCCCAAATAGCTGCCCAGTTTTGTGCTTGAAACCCAGGGTCCTGGTTGTGTAGGCACACAAGGGAATCTCCTGGTCTGCGGATTGCAAAAACCATGGGAAAAGTGTAGTATCTGGACTGGATAGCACAGTCCCTCACAGCTTCTCTTGGCTGGGAAATGGAGGCCCCCCACTCCTTGCACTTTCTGGGTGAGGCAACGCCCCACCCTGCTTCTGCTCACCCTTCATGGACTGCACCCACACCTAACAAGTCCCAATGAGATGAACAGGATACCTCAGTTGGAAATGCAGAAATCACCTGCTTTCTGCATTGGTCTCGCTGGGAGCTGAAAACCAGAGCTGTTCCTATTCCACCATCTTGCCACATCTCCATTCTACTTTATTGTTAGTTATTATTGTTAATCTCTTACTATGCCTAATGTATAAATTAATCACAAGTATGTATATATAGGAGAAAGCATAGTATACAGTAGTATACAGTATATAAGTTTCAGTACTACCCGTGGTTTCTTGCATCCACTGAGGGTCTTACTGCTTATTCCTGGCAGATAGGGGAGGACTACTTTACTGTTTGCTTAACAAATTTTGCTGGTTATTCCCCCATAATGGAAGAAAAAAGAAGGGTCATGACCTTGAAAATCTTGTTGGTTCTAAATATCTTCATTCCAGTTCTTTTAAAAAGCAACAAAACCTTTGTGAAAGAAACAAAGCACACTGTCAACAGTGACCTTGGCAGGGTGGGTAGCCACAGCAATCTAGAGTGGGGTGCCTAGATCTGTGTGAGGTGGGGAAAACACCCACACCAGGCCTTCTTCCAATGTGGTCACACTCCTTACCCCACATGGGCTTGGACACCCTGCACTAAGCAGCTCTAGTGGGCTTGGGATGTCAGAATACATGTAAGGTGAGGAAGCTCTTCCTGTGGGAGGGCAGCCTAGCAGTGGGAGTGGAAGTCACTTGTGGTGAGGAAGACATTCATGCAAGGGGGTGATCTAGTACATGGTATCCAAGCTCAAGTGGGGTGACAGCAGCCTTCACAGATGCTTAGGTAATCATATAGAGAACTTGAGAAATTTAGGCCTATGACAACGGTTTCTCATAAAAAATATGGTGATTTGGTTCTACATATAATTTTCTAATCTTGGCTCATGTAAGTCCAGCCTAACTTATGTCTCTGACCTTGATGTTTTGATGAAATTTTCTGAGTCTAAAAGTTTGAAAATGAATAGTTTGTGTAAATTTAATATGGCAATGCAACCCTGTGAGTCTGTTAGGAACCAACCCTCAAGAATTTTCTAGCAGCACATACAAGGAGATATGGCTTTGTGACTGCCACCTCATGGAGGCTGCCCAAGGACAGCCAAATATGTAAAAAAATTCTAATAGCCAAGGCACTCTTGAGTAAAAAGAATAAAGCTGGAGGCTTTGTTTGGAGAAAGTATTTGTGATCCTTAAATCTAATTAGGGATTTATATCCAAAATATATAAGGAATTCAAACAACTCAATAGCAAGAAACCAAAAATCCCAATTAAAAAATGGGCAAAGGAACTGAATAGACATTTTTCCAAAGAAGACATGCAACTGGCCAAGAGATATATGAAAAAATTCTCAACATTACTAATCATCAAAAAATGCAAATTAAAACTGCAATGAGCTATCACTTTACACCTGTCAGAATGGCTATTATCAAAAAGACAAAAAATTATAAATGTTGGTGAGGATGTGGAGAAAAGGAAACCATTGTACACTGTTGATGAGAATGTAATTAGTATGGCCATATGGAAAGCTGTATGGAGCTCCTCAAAAGACTAAAAGTAGAATTATATGATCCTGCAATCTCACTTCTGAGATAGATCCGAAGGATTCGAAATCAGTACATTGAAGAGATAGTTGCACTCTCATGTTCATTGCTGCACTATTTACAATAGCCAATATATGGAATCAACAACCTAAGGGTCCATCAGTGGATTAATGGATAAGGAAAATGTGGTATATATACCCAATGGAATAGTATTCAGCCTTAACAAAGAATGAGATTCTGTTATTTGTTGCAACATGGATGAACCTGTAAGACACCATGCTAAGCAAGATAAGCCAGGCACAGAAAGCCAAATGCTGCATGATCTCATTTATTACGTGGAGTCTAAAGCAATTGAACTCATAGAAGCAGAGTGTGTAATGGTGATTACCAGAGGCTGGGAAGTGGGGGAATGAAAAGATGTTAGTCAAAGAGTACAAAGTTTCAGTTAGGCAGGAAGAATAAGTTTTTAAAGATCTATGGTACATCATGGTGACTATAGTTAATAATAATAATGTATGTTTTGAAATTGCTAAAAGTAAATTTCAAATGTTCTCACTACAAAAAATGTTAAGTATTTGAGATGATAAAATGTTAATTGGCTTGATTTAATCAGTGTACATTGTGTATATATATATCATAACATCACTTTATACCCCATAAATATATACAATAACAAATTTTAAAAAGTAAATTTAAAGCTGTCATTTGATAGCAGATTTAGTTTTTTAAAAATGTATAAATCCTAGCATGGAAAAAATAGCAAAGGGAGAAGGTAAAGGGAGTTAAATTTATTCATTACTTACCATGATCCAGAGGACACATTAGTTACTTTACATTTGTTGTGTTATTTAAAAATTCTAAATGGGAGCTATTATTATCACTTTTAAAGAAAAATTAGTACATCAAGGAGAATGGGATCCCTCAGTACACACTTGTATCCAAATGCAAGTTTTCCACTGTCTCGTCTTGTAAATAGTGATGGTCACAGGTAGGCAGATCTCAGCTCAGCTGTCATGGCATGTGAGTCTGATGACCTCAGGATCTCTCTCTAAGGAGGTATCTGAGTAGAGGTTGGAAGGGCTCTTGGCCAAGGAGGCTGGGAAGTCATTATGCGGGTGGGTGTTATACCATCTCTGAGAAGCTGTGCAGAAGACTTTATCTCAAGAAGCCTATCTGGTATGATTCTTTATCTGTTGTAGTGCCTCAAAATTTCCTTTTAAAGGGTCTTAGTAGTCTTATCTTTTGGGCTACAGTAGTCCTCCAATGACCTTCACTAATGGTCATGGAAATATTAGGAGGTATCTCAGTGAATCCCATCTTCCCATGGCAATCAGGATTAATCACCCAGCTACTAAAGTAACCTACTTATCTGACTGTTGACTTCTTTCTCAGGAATTGAGACCTCTAGACCAGTAAAGCTCAAGATTATGGTGTAACTCCTAATCAGAGGGGCAAGGAATGTTTGGAAACATTCCCTGTTTCCAAAACAATGTATTCTAGCTATGAAAGAACCAACATTGTATATTTATTATTGCTTAAAAGCATATGCTACATCCTCCCAGCACCTTGGGAGGCCGAGGCGGGTGGATTACAAGGTCAGGAGATTGAGACCATCCTGGTTAACACAGTGAAACCCCGTTTCTACTAAAAATACAAAAAAAAAAAAATTAGCTAGGTGTGGTGATGGGCGCCTATAGTCCCAGCTACTCAGGACGCCAAGGCAGGAGAATGGTGTGAACCCGGAAGGCGGAGCTTGCGGTGAGTCGAGATTGCGCCACTGCACTCCAGCCTGGGCGACAGAGCGAGACTCCATCTCAAAAAAAAAAAAAAAAAAAAAAAAGCATATGCTACATCCTGTAGCACAGCATCCCAATCTTGCCGGTAGCTGTTTCTCAGCTGTCATTATTTTCAGTCTTCAGTACGCTATTCTGCAATTCTCTCAGGTCAGCTACTTCTAAGTGTTATGGTCCATAAACACATTGCTGCCATGGTGACATATGTTAGTTGGTCAAAAGCAATGTTGTGTGGGTTACCAAGATAAGAAGTAAACCCTATAAGCTGTGTAAGTTCACAAAGAGTGGTACTGGGAGAAGCATGGTGGTGGGCTGGGAAGGCAGTCACACCAATACATATTCCCAGAAACAACTTAGCAAGATTTTGCTTTCTTTGGGGTCTATCTCCTCCATGAGCCCACTTGGCAGTTCTCTTCCTGACTGTGCTGGGACCTGATTCTTCCTGTGGCCCTGGAGGAAAAGAGGGATGGTGGGAGTAGATCTCAGTGGGCTGAGGCATTTCCTTTCCTAGAGTCAGTAGGGACACTAGAGAGATTTTAAGCAAGGGAAGGATTATTTCTTCATATGGTAGGGGTTGGGGGGGAAACTTCCACAGACCAAGGAGATTTGAAGCAGTCAGCATGTTTAAAGTACTTACCTGCCTCTGAGTCCACCCAAATGCACCTGTGGACAGATTTCAGCTTACCAAAGGGAAGTGCTTTGAATACTTCTCACTAAATAGCTGCTGGAGAAGCCCAAAGTCTTTCTTTCCAGGGAGGCGTCTGAGCATAAACTTAATTCTTGTCTGGAGATTCCAGAAAGTCATCTTGGGGTGAGCATTAGAAGACTTTTAAAGCTACTTTCTGGCCTGGTTGTCAGGGGGCATGGGCTCTGTTCAGGCTCTGTCCTAACTTCTGTGATATTTTCAGTCAGTCACTACCCTTTCCTGAAACTTTGTTTCTTTCTTCTTGCTCAGAAGTGGATAAAGTCCTACAACAATGATTTTCAAGCCTGTTTTAAACCACAGAACCATTTCCCCAAAGTAAGTATCATACCTAAACTGATTATGAATGTGACCAGGCAACTTTAAAAAATACTATTATTTTGTTTTGCTGCCTGTGTTTTCCTTTTCCAATGAAGGAACCAAGTCATTAGTATGTCTTAGGTGCAGGGATTTTTTTTCCAGCTCCAAATCAGAAGCTGTGTGACACCCACTTATTTTATAAAAGTGCCCAAGATTATTAAGAGATTGAGTTGCGGCCGGGTGTGGTGGCTCACACCTGTAATCTCAGCACTTTGGGAGGTCGAGGTGGATCACTTGAGGTCAGAAGTTCAAGAACAGCCTGGCCAACATGTTAAAACCCTGTCTCTACTAAAAATACAAAAATTAGTCGGGTGTGATGGCGCACACCTGTAATCCCAGCTACTCAGGAGGCTGAGGCAGGAGAATCGCTTGAACCCAGGGGGCAGAGGTTGCAGTGAGCTGAGATTGCACCATTGCACCCCAGCCTGGCCGATAAGAGTGAAACTCTGTCTCAAAAAAAAAAAAAAAAAAAAAGGATTGTGTTGCAGCATGCTTTGTGCACACTGAGATGAGAAAGGGCGCAACTTTGACAGTTACATGATCCTAGAGGGAGATTTTACTCCATGCCACAAGAGTGTAGCTGTGTATATTTGAGACAGGGAAGCATTAATCTAGAGCTAGTACTTATGTTCAACTCCCAGGCAGTACTCCATATTAGTGGCAAGACCTTGGAGAGGTGGTTGCTGGGAGTGTTTGGCAGGGTGAGCTTAACACTGGGCAACCCTTATTCAACAATATGTCATATACTCTATCGGTGGCCTCCAAGCCAAGAACTTCCTAACATTCACAAGTCCAGGTAGTTCTGGAAACTATGAATGTAGCAGTAATCAGTGGCCTAAACATTCGAGGCATTGTTCCATTTTTCCAGCCTGCGTGAGCCTTCCTGATTCTAGTTTCATTCTGTACAGGCAGGAGCCTGTATAATGACAGGGATTATGCTTCTGAGTGGTCCAATCAAATGGGTGTTTTTCCTACAATTTGAATCTTTATAATGACATTCATCCTTGCTACTTTTTAAACAAATGAAAATAAGCCTGCCCTAGTTGTCTTCTTCCTGCCCTGCTACTCTTCCCCCTAGGTGAAGATGACGCTCCATTGAACAGTTTGACAACTTCATGTCTAGAAAGTAAATGATTAAAGTTGTTTTCAAATCCCATACATTGCTGTTCTGGGGTCGCACGTGACAATACTTATACAAACTGTGTGAATATCTGGCCTCTTTCTCATATCTTCCAACCTACGATACCCAGAGACCCACGTGGTTCCATAAGGGCCTTGCCACTGAGATGCCAGCCCACCTCATGCCCTGGCAGGGAGGGGCCTCAGAAAAACCAGAAATAAAAATAAGATACAAATACTTTAATCCCATGGATTTCCATATACATCTCGCTCTTGTGAACTAATCTGAAGGACAGAAAGTGAGTGAAACAATTTGGATGAAAATTCTCAACATTGTCAGTTTCACTTGGGTTCAGATGATAGAGTCTGTTATTGTGTTCTCTTACTATCCTCTATGCCTGGTACATAGTAAGTGCTCAATGAGTATTTGTTTGTTGATTGATAGAAAAGATTGTGCTTTCTAGTCCTTCTGCAGAAAGGAGTCCTTTTGAACTCAAAGGGCTGATGTAGCCCAGGTGGCTAGCAGGGAATCTTAGCCTAGAGGCCAGCAGTGACCAAGAGGAACAGGTTTAAAGGGGCTCAGCCTGCTGACTGCCCAGGTGGGCAGTGAACCTTGAGTGTATGGGAGGACACTGGGCTGGATGGGAGGGGTTGAGCTGGCCCTACCTAGGGGAGAGATGGAGCCAAGGGTTGGAGAGAGACCGTGCCAGCCTTGTCCTCCATGGGTCTTACCTGGTTGCCACACAGGCCTGGTTTTTCTGAGGCCCCTCTCTGCCAGGGCATGAGATGGGCTGGCGTCTCAGTGGCAAGGCCCTTATGGAACCACATGGGTCTCTGGGTATCTTAGGTGGGTAGATATGAGGGAGGGGCCAGATCAGATCAGTGTGGTCTGGAGAGGACAAGAGTTGGTGGATTCTGAGAACACTCAGCAGGGATGAAGAGAAGGGGCAGCCAAGAGGCTGGAGGACGAGCTGAGCCTTGAGCTCAGAGGAGGGTAGAGAAACTAAGCCCAGGGGAGAATGAGGAGCCCCAGTGGGGGATGAGGAGTTAGGTCCCATGGTATTATCCCTTTTTTCTCTGTCATGTAACACTGGAGAAGGAGGTAAGAAGTTTACCCAAAGCCCCAGGACCAAAGTGGTCCATGTTGTCTCCTGATGGTGCTCAGCTTCAGCCTTGGCAGAAGGGCAGGCCCTGGAGAAACTGGTGTGGATAGGAAGGAGCTGAGTATCAGCTTCATGTGGGGGTTTGGGGAGGTGGCAAGGGGTGAGGGGAGAGGAGAAAGCAGAAAACAGCAAAATTGTGTCATTGGCCTGCATAGCGCAGATGTGGTGCCTGAGAATGAGGGTCAATGAATAAACAAGAAACCAGCTTTTCCACTCAGCTAAGAGGTATTTATTCAGTTGCTGGCACCTCTCCCAGTGTAAATCTGGACTTGGCTCCAGAGAAGGTGTTTCATTACAGCGGGGGCTTAGTTTGCTTCCTGTAGTTAGTAGCGTTTCATGGTTTTCTTTATCCAGTGTACAAAGCTTGAGACTTTGGTGCAGGCTCGTGGAGGCATGCCATTGTTTCGTCCATAGGAGACAATGCCCTGGGCCACCTTGTTACACACAAGAGGGCCTCCAGAGTCCCCCTGTGAATAGAGAGTGGAAGGACTGAGCTGATGCTCCTCCGGGTCCTGCCCTCTCTTCCATCTCAAGCCCCCTTTTAGAAAAGGCCAACTTGCACAGCCTACATGTGGGAGACCAGAGGGCAGGGCAGGCCGCTGGTGGCCCCCAGCTGCCAAGCTCTGGCCCTGGACATTGTTACTGCTTCACCTCATCCCAGGGGCCAGCCTCCGTCATGTCCCCCAGATCCTGAGATCGGAGGTATGTGGGACCGTTGGCTGTTTAAGGACCCAGAAGTGGGCAAGGAGGGCTGATGTCCACCATGGAGGACCAGCCCATTAACCACGTTGGGTACCAGCCTCTGAAGACACACCTGGTTATAATTACTGCACCCCCAGTGGGCACAGTTTCCTAATATCTGTGACCTGGAGTGGGTGGAGTGTTGCAAATTCATCCTTCCAAAGAAGCACCATCCACCATAAGCCTCCTGGTAAGTTTGCAGAGGCCCTAATTTCTCCCCAGCTCAGTCTAGTCCCCTCTTCTCTTTCCAGAGAGAAATATCACAGTCTAGTGGGTGAAGGAGTCCCCCACTACTTGAGTCTCCAGGTCTCAGATATTCCCCAAACATCTTTCTCCCAAGAGCCAATCCAGGCAGGTGCATAGTCTTACCTTAAAGGAAGTCTTTTTAATCTCTGGGTCCCCCACGCACAACTCAATGGTACTGTCGTAATAATGGCGTAAGTCAGATTCGCACTTTCGATCTTCCTGCACTGTCATCTTCACCTCTTGTAGTGTGTGTGAGTGTTTTCCCAGGGGGGCCGTCTGCCCCCAGCCGGCCACACTGCATGTCTGCCCTGGCTTCACCTGGGCCTTGTTGCTAGGTAGCCTGAGGGGCTGCACAGCTCTGGTCCGCTTGGCCTTTCTCTCCAGCTGGTGGGGAAGAGGCAAGAAAGTCCAGGTCAGCCAACGAACTTCTGGGCCCCGACACAGTGATGGGGCTGCACAATCTTCCCTCTCCTCTGAGGCATAGGAACTAACCAAGAGGCCAGGATGGAAAGGAGGGAAGGGCCGGCATTCCAGGGGGAGTGGAACCAACTGGACCAAGAAGAGCAAGAGTGGCAGGAGTGTGCCTCACCTGCAGTAGCATGATGTCGTTGGAGAAGTTCTTAGGATTATAGGCTGGATGGGGGATGGGTCTTTTCACAGGGATAAACTGCTGGGTCGGCTCCTGTTCTTTGATATTGTGGGCCCCCAAGGTGACATTTATGGAGCTGCACAGAGAGCAGAGTGAGGATGGGGGTGGAGTCACAGGGTATACAGCCCAGAGACAGTGAAGAGCAGGTGACAGCTGGGGCAGGGCTGCAGCTGAGGGGAAATTAAGGGGACAGTCGGTCCCCAGGAATTGGAATTCTGGTAATTGCACCAGGTTTCTCAGGGTTCGGTTCCCCCTAGAAACACAGGTGGAATTGCTTCAGTTTGTATTCTATGCCAAAGTATGCCCCCAGTTCTAAATATGGCAGGCTTGGTCACTCTGCTGTTTCTTACTTCAGCAGCACCTCTGGAACCAACCTTCCCCTCTCTCCACAAACTTAACTGCCCTTTTCTCACCCTCTAAGGAGACCTCCTGGCATGTGTGTTCACAGGAGCCCAGGGAGCTCCTTGGGAAGAAGGCAGGGGTCTCTGTGGAGTGTTTCCAGGAGGGTGTGGGCTGTTTTCTGCTCCTCACCTTCCCCAACAGTGAGCAGCTGTCAGCACGAAGTCGTCTCGTATCAGGAAGCCACCGCACCTCTTCAGAGACTTCTGATCCCAGATCATAAGATAAGCCATGTAGGGGCGGGAGTGGGGCTTGGCCTCATGTCCCCCGATGATCTCCCCTGAAGGAAAAGTCTGTCTGCTTGTGGGCACCCATGGAATCTGCTGGGTGGGCACCTGCTTAGTGGCTCCAGAACTCCTGGGCATTTGGGAGCCTGGGATAGCCTGGAGTTGGGAGTGGCCTGGAGGAAGGGGCTTCAATTTCCTGCTCTGAAAAAGGGAAGAACAGCAGACTTTGGTCTGTAAATCTTTCTTCCATATGTAGTTGAAGGCGAGCATACCTGTCTTAGGGACAGTGAAATCCCAGAGGCTCCTGATCATTCCTCTCCTGACTTTGCTTTGTTTCAGGTGAGTTTCCAAGACCCTTATGAGTCCTGTGGTGTCTAGGATAGTGCTGCTTTCTAATGGCCAGGGTGTAAGTGGAGGGATCTAGATACTGTCATATCCTGTTTCCTAGAGCCTGACATGTAGTGGGTGCCCAGTAAATGTTCATGGCTGCATGATGGACTGGCTCCAGTTAGCCTCTGGATGAGGGCTGGTAGAGCAGTGCTGGTGGAATTCTAGAAAGCAGGGAAGCTGGGGCCTGCCGTAGTGCCTCATCCTTGGAAAGAGGGGAGCCACCAAAGGCCAGGGAAGAAAAGCAGAGTTGGAGAATGGGACTGAGCAAACACATTAACAGTGTTCTGAGGACAGTGATTGTACCAATTCTGCTGTCAGCTGAGCTCTGGGTTTCTCTCCTAAGTAGACAGTGAGAGAAGCACCTGTCTTATCCCAGAAACAGAAGCCAGGCCTACTCTAGAATAATTTAATATTTCTCTTTTCTAGTTTCCCATCCTCTGCCATTTACTTCTAGGAAAGTCCTACTCTCCAGGTGACAAAGGTGGGCTCTGGGGAAGGGATAGTACCCACTGGCTCTTCTTGAGAATGGCCTGCTGCTCTGCCATTCCTGCTGATAGCTTATCCAGCATCACACTTGGGGGGTCTTGGTAGAATGGGAGCTGGAGTTCAGAACATTCCTGGTAGATAGATGGATCAGGAATGTGGAGAAAGGGCAGGAGACCTGTGGGATGGGGTTGGGCCCCCGAGGGTGGAGACGGTCACTCACCTGCATCTGCCCTGGGCAGCAGGAGGAAGGCCAGCAGAAGCAGGATTGGTTGCATCTTCTCAGGAAGGCTGCCCTGGTTGGAGCTGCTGTTGTTTCCTCCTTGCTCTCTTTTAGCTCTTGGGAGAGGAAAGAGGTGGAGCAGGCTCAGTGACTTCATGTTCCCCTCTGGTTTTGTGGTGTCTCATCACAGATTTTCTGTAAATGCTGCCCACCCCCACTGCCTCTGCCTGATGACGTCCTCTGGGTGCTTGTGTGAGAATCATGCAGTGACCACATCATCACCCACAGCTGATGACTCAGAGTGGACCACCTATTCAGCCCAGAGCAGGAACCCAAGCCTATGAAGTGAATTGTAGGATGTGGTATCAGCCAGTAGAGGTACTGGAGCACCAGAAACCTGAGTTCCCAGTGATAGAACCGCCAATGCCTCATGGCCATGCTGCTAAATCCATCAGGATAGTTTCTTTAGCAGGTATGTGTTTGAGCCCTTCTGTTGTGCTAGAACCAAGCATGTTGGAGATGTGTCTCCTTCACTTAGAGAGCTGACCATCTGGTTGAAGAGACGGAAATGCCAGGAGCCAGAGTACAGTTTGGGGAGGGCTATGGTAGCACAATACACAAGGCAGTAACAAAGCATGGCCACCATCTACTAGACCCATCTAGCAACCCATTTATTATCATAGCTTCCTTTCTAGAGAATTTCTAACATCCCTTATTTAGTTACAAATGTTTAGTGTGAGAGTCCACCTCTTTTCTGAATGCTTTCAATAAAAGTCCTGTACTTGACATTTTATTGGGCTAGATTAATGAATTGCTAGGAGTCAAATCCACTTTGGGTAGGCTGGGGTCAGTCTACTCAAGCCACTAGAACCAAGAATGAGAAAGGGCTGGTTCTCTAAAGGACGTTTGTGGTGCTAAATTGCTGATACCATATGAAGTGAGGAAGCATGCCAGGCAGCCAAAGATCAGTAGTTGTGTTGTTTAGTATTCTGTCTCCTGTCCAGAGAGCCACACTTCTTACATAGCAGGCTCAGCACATAACAGGCTCACAGTAAACATTTGCTAAACAAACTACACTAATGCTATCATTATAATGGATGTGAAAGATTGTTGTTTCTGAACAGCCCGTGCCCAATTCTGTTAAAAGACAACTAAGTCTCTCTACATGGTTCGATTCTTGTGATTTGTTTCCACCTTTATATTTTCTGTGAGGAAATTTTTCTATGAGGAATGGTATATCTCAAAATATAGAATTCCAGTGTAAACGTCTTCCTTGTCAATAGCAAGCCAACTACATTTATCAAACTTCTATTTTTTGAACCTAGCTTGCCCCATAGTAGACGTTTTAAAAATAATTTTTTCTGATTATAGTCATAATATATGTTTGTTAAGAAAATTTGGAAAGTAGGAAGGGAAAATATCACTTTTTAACCTGTCTCCCACAGACTGACTGTTACCATAAGCAGTGTGTTTTAAATACTTGGGATCACATTGTACATACAATGCAATTTATTTTATCCTTGATTAACCCTACAAATTAAGCATTTTCCCCATGCTCGTAGAAATCTTAGTCAATACAACTATAGTCTTTCTTTCCTAGGCATTAAAAAATTTAATATGCAAGTAATTTTTAAATAATTTTAGCAAAGCGAAAATAATAAACATTACCTAATTTCTCATCATTCACTGATAACCATCTTTAATGTCTTGAAATATGCTCTAGCACATTTTTTCTCATGTAATATCTGCATTTTTTAAAATTAAAAGGGGATTATGCTAAACATAAGTTTATGACCCATTTAAAAAATTGAGGTAAAATTCACATAACATACAATTAACCATTTTAAAGTATTCAATTCAGTGACATTTAGCACATTCAAAATCTGCAACCACCACCTCTGGATATTTCATATAAACGGAATCACACAATACATGACCTGTTGTGGCTGGCTACATTCACTTGTAATAATGTTTCTGAGATTCATACAAGCTGTAGCACATGCCAGTATTCGTTCTTTTTAATGGAAAAATAATATTCCCATTGTATGTTTATACCACAAGTTATTTGTTCATCTGTCAATGGACATTTGGGTTGTTTTCATCTTTTGGCTATTGTAGCTAATGCAGCAATAATAAGCATTTGTGTACAAATTTCTGCATGAACAATATGTTTTCAGTTCTTTTGGATATATACCAAATATATATACTTTTGGAATTTCTGAGTTATACAATAATCCTATTTTTAATTTTTTAAGGAACCACCAAACTGTTTTCCACAGTGGTTGTACCCTTTTGCATTGCTTATCAGCAACATAGGAAAGTTCCTATTTCTCTGCATCCTTGCTGACACTTGTTATTTTAAAATTATTATCTTCATCCTAATGGGTGTAAAGTAGTATGTCATATGGTTTTGATTCACATTTCCTTTATGAGTAATGATGTTGAGCATCACTTCATGTGTTTGCTGGTTATTCGCATATCTTCTTTGGAGAAATGTTGATTCAAGTCCTTTGCCCATTCTTAAAATTGCGTTGTTTTTGTTTTCATTGTTGAGTTGGAAGAGTTTGTTATATATTCTGGATACTCAGCCCTTATCAGATATGTGGCTTGTAAATATTTTCTCCCATTCTGCAGATTGTCTTTTCATTTTCTTGATATTGTCATTCCATGTGCAAATTAAAAAAATTTTATGCATTCAAATGTATCAATTTTATCTTTTGTTGCTTGTGCTTTTGGTGTCAAATTTAAGAATCCATTGACAAATCAGAAACCATGAAGATTACGCCTGTTTTCTTCTAAGAGTTTTATGGTTTTGGCCCTTATATTTAGGATTGATTTATTTTAAATTAATTATTGTATGTGACATAAGGTAGGAGTCTACTAGAGTATTTTGCACATGGCTATCCAATTGTTCCAGCACCACTTGTTGAAGATATTATTCTTTCCCCACTGAATGTTCAAGACCCCCTTGACAATCCTTATCAAAAATCAAATGGCCATAAATGTTGTGTTTATTTCTGGACTCTGAATCTATTCCATTGATCCATATGTCTATCCTTATGCCTTTGCCATGCTGTTTTAATTACTGTAGCTTGTAAGTTTTGAAATTGAGAAGTGTAAGTACTCCAACTTTGTTTTTCTATTTCAATATTGGTTTTGCTTTTTTGGATCCTATGGAATTACATATGAATTTTAGGATTGGCTTTTCCATTTCAGCAAAGAAGACCATTTGAAATTTTGACAGAGATTGCATTGAATCTATAGATTGCTTTGGGAAGTATTGCCATTTAACAATATTAAGTATCCCTATCCGTGAACATGGGACATCTTTCCATTTAATCAGCAATTATTTGTGGTTTTTAGTGTACAATTCTTTCACTTCCTTGGTTAAATTTAGTCCCATGTATTTTATTCTTTGGGATGTTATTATAAAGGAAATTGTTTTCTTAGTTTCCTTTTTTTATTGTTCATTGTGGGTTTGTGTATAGAAACACAACTGATTTTGTACCCTGAAATTTGTTGAATTTGCTTATTAACTCTACTAGTTTTTGTGTGGATTATTTGGGATTTTCTTTGTATACAGTCATGTCATCTGCAAATAGAAATAGTTTTACTTCTTCCTTCATAATTGGATACCTTTTCTTTCATTTTCTTACCTAATTGCTCTGTTTAGGAATTCCAGTGCAATATTGAATAGCAGTGATGAAGTGAGCATCTGGTTGGATTTTCTATTTCTTCTTGAGTCTGTTTTGGTAGTTTCTGTGTTTCTAGTAATTTGTCCATTTCATCTAGACTACCTAATTTGTTGGTGTACAAATGTAGATAGTATTCTTTTTATAGTCCTTTTAATTTCTCTAAGGTTGGTAGTAATGTCTCCACTTTTATTTCTAATTTTAGTAATATAAGTCTTCTACAAACTTCACCATCTCCTATATTTTTCAGGGACTTGGGGAGAAAAATTAAGGAGGTGCTGAAGAATAAAAGTCTTTTGTCTATATCTCTGATGTTAGATTCTGATTCTGTTAGAAGAGAGAGGTACCTCAGTGGCTACCATATGGTGATGGAAAAGTTTATTCATATTACACACGCTCTTCCCTTTTATTCCTTATTTCCCTGCTGTTCTTAATCTGTAGAAGAATGTCATGCCTTGCCCATGAAGGGAAATACTCTTGGGTATTAGCCTTTCACTGAACCACAGCTAGTCCCTTTTCGAAGTGGCCAAGGCCAATCCTTACAGGTAAATGAGAACAGCACAATGACATGACATTCCCACACTCATACATGACATTTGATTCTGATGTTGTGACCTGATTTCCCTGAGCTTGATCATTCTCTTAAGTCATGGCAAAGTCAGAACTTACAGGCATAAGGAGCCAGAAGTTGGCCCTAGATTTCATTTGACCATGAGACTCAGCTATGTTGTAGAGAAGAAAATCTGTTTTTTTGTTTTGTTTTGTTTTTTGAGACGGCATCTTGCTCTGTCACCCAGGCTGGAGTGCATTGGTCCGATCTTGGCTCACTGCAACCTCCGCTCCCTGGGCTCAAGTGATTCTCGTGCCTCAGCCTCCGGAGTAGCTGGGATTACAGGTGTGTACCACCATGCCCAACGAATTTTTGTACTTTTAGTGGAGGCAGGATTTCACCATGTTGCCCAGACTGGTCTTGAACTCCTGGCCTCAAGTGATCTACACACTTTGGCCTCTTAAAGTACTGGGATTACAGGTATGAGCCACCACACTTGACCTGTAGAGAAGAAATTCTTGTCTCAGTTAAAAGTTATCTCTGTATTCCTATTAGGATAGGATGCTAGTCAGAATTCCTGGGATATGTACATAAAATCAAAAATAATTTGAGATAAAAAATCTGTCAGCAAAGAAGAACTTAGGTAACATATTAGAGTGGAGAATGTGGTACTTCCATTTTGCTTCTGTGGTAGTAAGGATTGGGAAGAGGGCAGAGATGGGAAGAGAAAAGTGTTTCTAGGACAGACATACATCTATTATTTTTCTGGAGTTTGAGTATCTACTAGAACAACCTTTAATTTTCCCTTATTGCCTATTCTTATCATTGCCCAGCCACCATCACAAATGAAAAAAGGATGGAGAAGAACAAGTCTGGATGTTGGGTTGGGGACAATCCAGTAAGACTCTGGAGTGGGTAAATGTCTGGTGTGGATGAAAAGAGGCCTACAGAAGAAGGGGGAGTAGAAGTAGGTTTGAGTGAGAACAGTGCGCCCACCTCCACCAAACCGGGAGCAAGTGTGACAATACAGACTCAGAAAAGTAAATTGGCATGGACTGCACTTCCGGGTTGGAGCAAGTTGAAAGGCATCAATGTTCTGGGCTGTGATGTCACCTTCAATGTGACCTTGGGTCATTCTCAAGATCCACCCCACATCCCCATAACCTGGGGGTTTTTACATTCCCAGGATCTTTGCCCACCAAGGCCACTGCCCTTTCCCAAAGCATCTTGTTTCCACAGAGTCTGAAGTTCACATACTAATGTTCTGGAGTGATGGACTCTCTCTTAAGTATCTTGTTTACAGTCTCATGCTGTGCATTTTTTTTTTTTTTACCATGTCTGCATGGGATATGGCAAAGGGTTTGGTTTAGTGTAGATAAAAAGAATGCTGCAGAATCATTCGCTAGAACCTTTAGCATATGATTGCAAAGTTGGTGGGTCTTTCTCTTTTTCTCTCTATCTCAAAGTTCAGGGCAAGTATAATAATAAGTTATTGTGTTTGGAAACAAATTCATGCTTAAGCATTCTTATGTTATATCCCCTCTCTGTTCCCCAGACGTGGTATGACATCTACTTGTGGACACACTCTGCTTTCTGGTTTTTCTGTTTCTGATTAGAAACTCAAAAACAATATGAGAAACATACCTGAAAACAGCAGAAGATCTGGATCATTCCGGCCAGCAATTCAAAGTCTGCCAAAGGGAAATCAAGTATTGTAGAAACCTACGGGGCCTCTCAGAGCATTTTACCAGAACTGTGGCAGGGTGACTGATTGTGGTATTCTCTTTGTATTCTCTATGCTGAATCATTTGCCAGAACTTCCAATATATGATTGCAAAACTAGACTTTTTTAATGTTATCTTGTCTCAGATTTCTAAGCCTGAAAGATTGAGGCTGTTGCTGAACGATGCTTAATTAACCAAGGCATTGAGCTCCAACCATGAGGCTTTGAGGAGTTTGATATCTAGCCCCTCTTGGCATCATATGCTAAGACTGGCTGTGAGGCTATGAGAATCTTAAGTACCTGCACGCTGTTCATAAGTGGTACTCTAAAACTCCTGAGGAAATAAGGGAGACTGGAATTAGTGGGATTAGCTTGTGGGATTAGCTTGTGTCCTTTGGCTTAGCCTCTTTCTCTCCAGAAATTTCACTTTTGGCTCAGTCCTCACAGGGGAAGAAAGTCTTGTCCAAAGATGGCGTCTACCCTGTGCTCCACTGTGTATCCCAGAGGAGAGCATCTTTACTGTGGAATGGACTTCCAGCTGACTCATGTTGGGGAAAGGTGAGCTGGGGCATAGGCACCTCATAGCTAGCTTCTAATAATCTGAGGTTCTCATTTGGTAGCAGAATTAGTTGTTTTGAGCATGACTCTGGTGAAGGAGAAATCAAGGAAGAGGGACAGAAAGGGCATTAATATGAATCCCTATCTTACTGTATTACAAAGCGTATAAAAGCGGGTTTATATATGTTATCTCATTGCATTCTGTACATGCTGTATGGCAGTTAACCTTGATCACATTTTAAAATGAAAGACTCAGAGATATTAAGTGATGTGCCCCAGGTCACATGGTTACAAAAAGTGTACACACACACTACATGCCTGAAAAGCTGCAAACTTTCCTCTCTATCAGTCTTAGAAGTGGGGAAGCTTCTTCTAAGTTGGCAATTTCAACTCAGCGAAGCAAAGTGCCCTCACAATTAGAGTTCTCTTGGGAATGGCTGTTCTGGTGAGCCCGTGTACTTTCTCTCCAGGGAGTTGTTGCAACAGTGGCTGGAAAACATCTTAGGGCAACTGGGAGGTTATCATGAGCATGCACATAAGATCTTTTAAGACCTCTTGCAACTGTGAGCATTTGCCTCTCAGCTGGAAGAGATCTGATCTGGGATTCGATTGCCAATTTCTGGGCCTCTTACCATCACCTATCAAAAGAGGATATGGGCTACAATACAGGTTTTAAAATGTTTTTAACTATAGAATCCTTTCTTCAAATGGATTATGTATGTGTTAAGGTAGCTTTTTGAAATCATATGTCTATATTTATCTATATTCTGTATACCTAAACCTATATCTCTATTTTTACATATCTATTTACACATATCTTTATATATCTTTACTTATCTTTACATATGTATTTACACATAGACATACTTAAATATACATAATTGTCTATATTTATTTTATATATAATTACAAACAGACAACACATGTGTATATGTGTGTGATATATATATGCATGTTCATATATATGTGTATGTGTTTGTCTGTTTAGTTGTTGTATATTTTTGTTTGTTTTGATCACTTCATTTCCCTTTCCAAACATGATCTTGGTACATTTATCTCAGGAGTATTTTCAGAAGGTGTGAAGTAAACTACTCTCCCCTTATTATGAAAGTGGCCAAGATCATTAAGATATTCTGGTTGAGATTTTGAAATTACCTGGCACATATTTCATACAAACTTGAAGATAATTGGAGGGAATAAGACAACATGAAGTGTCATAATAGATATGATAAAGAACTAAATAGATCTTCCAAAAATAAAAAGTGAAATAAAATTAAACGCTAAATGAATATGTTTTCTTGCAGATTGAAGACGAACAGAAAAGAGAATTATCAACTGAAAGAACAATCAGAATAAATTAGAGTACAACACACAAAAAACAAAACTAGTCTAGTAACTAGAAACTGCTAAAGGAAAATGAACACTTTTTATATAGGATGATAATCACAATTCCTATTGGCATTTAAAAAAAGTGTAGAATTAAAATACAAAAATGTTGGGAGATGATAAATGAGGTTTAAAGTCCTAAGTTTCTTGTATTTTCAGGAAGGAGGGTAAATTATTGATTAAATTTAGTTTTGATGGGTTTAACAAAATATGCTGTAATTTTGCCTTGTATTTTTAGTTTACATGTAATAATTGTACATATTTATGGGACACAGAGTGATATTTCAAATACGTATATACAATGTATAATGATAAAATCAGGATAAGTAGCATATCCATCACCTGAAACATTTATTATTTTTTTGTGTTGGGAACCTTCAAAATCCTCTCTTCTAGTTCTTTGAAAATATACTATAAATTATTGTTACCTATATTCACTCTACAGTGCTATAGAGCAGTAGAACTCATTCCTCTTATCTAACTGTAACTTGAATCCATTAGCCAACCTCTCCTTCCCTTCCTCTATCCCTTTCCCAGCTTCTAATAATTCTACTCTCTACTTCCACAATTCTACTCTCTGCTTCTATGACTTCATTTTTTTTTTTTTTTTAGATGGAGTCTTACTGTGTCACCCAGGCTGGAGTGCAGTGGCATGATCTCAGCTCACTGCAACCTCTGCCTCCTGGGTCCAAGCGATTCTCCTGCCTCAACCTACTGAGTAGCTGGGATTACAGGTGCCCACCACCGCACCCGGCTAATTTTTGTATTTTTAATAGAGACAGGGTTTCATCATGTTGGCGAGGCTGGTTTTGAACTCCTGACCTCAGGTGATCTGCCTGCCTCGGCCTCCCAAAGTGCTGGGATTACAGGCCTAAGCCACCGCGCCCGGCCTATGACCTCAATTTTTTTTTTTGGCTCCTATATATGAGTTAGAAAGTGGTATTTATGTTTCTGTGTCTGAATTATTTCACTTAGCATAATGACCTCCAGTTCCATCCATGTTGCTGCAAATGACAGGATTTTCTTCTTTTCATGGCTGAATAGTACTCCATTGTGTCTGTATACTACATTTTCTTTAGCCATTCATCTGTTGATAGTCACTTAAATGATTTCATATCTTGGCTATTGTGAATAGTGCTGTGATAGTTTTCATTTCCAAGATGGTAGATTAAAGTCATTGTTAGCATGCCTCTCTTATTTGGAAAGACAAAATAGTGTGTAGAGATTCACGCTGTGAACTTTTTTTCCAGGAAGCAACACAGGAGCTTAAGAGGAAAATTGAAAGAAACCACAGACCCTTTGAAAGAAGTGGCAAACTGCAGCTTACACCATGAGCCAGGCAGAAAACTCTGAGTCCTCAGAGTGTGAAAGGAAGAGAAACTGCCTCTGGGATATGCACTCCCACTGGGGAACCTGGCAATCCAGGCCACGGGGAAGACCTTAACCCTACCCAGTGCTGGAGCTGATTTAATGAGCTGAGGGGAGTATATGAGAAGGAGCAGCTTCAGGATGTGCTTTGCTTGCACTCCTAGACTCTACTGGGGACAGAGGGAAGCCATTCCTGATCCTACCTCACAGAGGACCATGCAGAAGTCAGCCAACTAGCTCAGGCGGTGGCCATGGGCTGAGAGGAGTGAGAAGCTCCCAACTGAGATTCACAATATAATCTCTAGCAGGGATGGACCTCCTTGACCAGAACTGAGGGGCAAGTGGGAAGTGCGCTGTGCCCACAGGTGTAGGAGCTGGGTGCCCCTGCTTCGCTAGCAGATCAGGAGGGGCATGGCCTGAGCAGTTTTTGTCTTGGCAGCCAGAGAAGGCTTATGGTCTGGGACAGTTTTGAGTGCTGAATGCAGCCTGCTTGCAACCTAGATGGCCGCTGCCAGTAGAACACTGTGGGTCTGAGACCTGTCTTGCCAAGTGCATAGGGGCTGAGTGGGGCTTACTGCCACCTGTACTCCCCACTTCCTGTGTGGACTCTTCTGTGCGGCAGGGGCAACTGCACTCCTCCCTGGAACATTATCCCAGCATCCAGAGAACTGCCCTCTGATCCCCACTGGGCCACTGATTGCACCTGCACGTGGATAGCCAGAGCGCGAACTTGCCTGACTCAGCCCCGACCTGGTTTGCCTTTTTACCCACCCTGGTAGCTTAACACAAAGGACAGAAACTTTCGGGAGTGTTATGGACCTGCCCATTGCTTGAGACACCAGAGTACCTCCCCTGGTCACATAAGCCAAGCATGAATTCCACCACTACTACTGCAGTCAGTGCTCTTTCGCACCAACTGCACCTCCTGGCTATAGGCCAATCAACATAGTCCATTACAACATCTGTAGGCAGAATAACACAGCACTGGGAAGGAGAAAACTTTTGCATGACTACAGCTACCACCATTGCCTGCATCACCCTGGCTAACCAGGAGGTCTTGAGTCTGTTCACATGACCAGATCATTACTACTACAACTGAAATTAGAGAAAGCCAGCACACTAAGGCTATTTGTAACCAAAGAATCTCACAGAGTTTACTTTACTCCTCTGCCAGCCCCATCAGAGCTGGTGCTGGTACCCACTGCTGGGAGACTTGAGGATAAGTCACATCGCTGGACCCTTTGCAGACATTCCCTAGCACAGGCCTGGAATGTAGCAGCCCCATTGGGTGGCCAGATCCAGAGCCGCAGCAGCAATCATAGTAGTCTGGCACTCAGGGACTCCTACTCCTAGGGTAAGCAGGAGTGCACCACATGAAGGGAGCACCCTGTGGGACAAAGGAATCCAGATGGCAGGCTTTGAGTCTCAGAACTTTACAATTGTGGGAAATTTCTTTCAGCAGAGAGACAGGTGCAGTGCTGGGCTCAGTGGGGAAGTCTGTGGCTCTACCTCACCAGTCAGGCAGCCCTGGTGCTTGTGAAGGGTCTTGGAGAATAGGACTTCTCCCCCTCATGCACCACTGCTGACACAGCTGGGGTTTCTCACAAAGGAACTCGGCATGAGTGCACCTGTAGACAGCCTTTCTGGGACCCTTCAGGTGACTGCATTCCCACAGGACAAGTGCCCTCCAGGCTCAGGCTTGTATGAGAGGTAGAGTCACAATTCATCTCTACATTCTTGCAGCTGAAAAGACGTGTCTGTCTGAAGGTCTAACATCCAGTATCTGTAAGGAACTTAAACAAATTTACAAAAAACCCCTAACCCACCCCATTAAAAAGTAGGCAAAGGATATAAACACACACTTCTCAAAAGAAGACATACATGCTGCCAACAATCATATGAATAAAAACTCAACATCACTGATCATCAGAGAAATGCAAATCAAAACCACAATGAGATACCACTTCACACCAATCAGAATGGCTATTACTAAAAAGTCAAAAATAACAGATGCTAGCGAGGTTGTGGAGAAAAAGGATCGCTTCCACAATTTTGGTGGGAGTGTAAATTAGTTCAACCATTGTGGAAGACAGTATGGCAACTTCTCAAAGACCTAAAGTCAGAACTACCATTTCATCCAGCAATCCCATTACTGGGTATATACCCAAAGGAATATAAATTGTTCTATTATAAAGACACAGGCATGTATATGTTTATTGCAGCACTATTTACAATAGCAAAGACAGGGATCAGCCCAAGTGCCTGTCAGTGATAGACTGGATAAAGAAAGTGGGTAGATATACACATGGAATAGTACACAGTCATAAAAACAATGAGATCATGTCCTTTACAGGGACATGGACGGAGCTGGAGGCCATTATCCTTAGCAAACTAATGCAGGAACAGGAAACCAATACTGCTTGTTCTCACTTATGAGTGTGAGCTAAATGATGAGAACACAGAGACACACAGAGGGGAACAACACGCATTGGGGCCTTTCAGAGGGTAGAGGGTGGGAGGAGGGAGAGAAGCAGGAAAAGTAACTGGCGGATACTAGGCTTAATACCTGGGTGATGAAATAATCTTTACAACCAACCCCCCTGACACGTGTTTACCTATGTAACTAATCTGCACATCCTGCACATCTACCCCTTAACTTAAAAGTGAAAAAAAAAAAAAAAAAAGAAAAGAGGTGCCTGTCTGATCTGAATAGCTAGAACACTGGGTCAGGAATGTGACTGGGAGACAGATTGCTTTCCTGCTGGCCTGTGAGGGGATCTAAGGTGGGTCCCTCCCTTCCACCTGAAAAGACCTCAGTGAGTTTCACTGAGCACTCCCCTAGACACCTCTGTGAAGGCTGGTACTTCCGCCCACCATTGGTTATTGCATTTACCTACCAGCTTTAGCCACAGCCAGTTTTTGCCTGTGGCCACCTCTTACTGGCCTGAAGCCTGAACTGTTCGACCCAGTGAATAAAATACTGGGTAAATAAAGAAAGAAATAATTGAGTGAACACCACTGGGGAATGAGATAAGCTTCAAGAGACCTCTGCCATTCCAACTCCACAGGAGACAGTAAATTTGCTCACACACCAAGCACATTGCTACTGTAACTAGCATCTGAGGAAGCCATCACATAAAGAGTCTCTATAACCAAGGAGCTCATACAGAATCTTCACCCCTGAAAGCACTCAGAGCCAAATTAGGTTATGATAACTTATAAACATTAAAGTCACATCCTCAAGGGGAAAAAAAGAAACAAACAACAACAAAAAACACAGTCAAATAAAAAGTGAGCCAGAAATAAATTAAAAAATAATTAGAAGAAATAGACTACCCAAAAGAGAAGAAAACAGAAAAATAATTCTGGCAATGTGACAGAACAGCATTCTACAACAACTTCAAAAGATCACAGCCACTCTCCAGAAATGGATCCAAACCAAGATGAAATCTTTGAAATACCACCAGCCTGGCCAACATGGTGAGACTCCATTTCTACTAAAAATCCAAAAAAAAAAAAAAAAAAAAAGAAAGAAAAATTAGCCGGGTATGGTGGCTTGCACCTGTAGTCCTAGCTACTCGAGAGGCTGAGTAAGGAGGATTGCTTGAACCTGGGAGGCAGGGGTTGCAGTCAGCTGAGATCACACCACTGCACTCTAGCCTGGGTGACAGAGTGAGACTCCATTTCAAAAAAAAAATTCTTTGAAATACTAGATAAAGAATTGAAAAGGTTGATTATTAAGTTACTCAGGGAGATACAAGAGAAAGGTGAAAAACAATATAAAGAAATGAGAATATCAATTTATAATATGAGTGAAAAATTTTCTAAAGAGGTAGATATTTTAAGGAAAAACCAGTTGGAACTTCCAGAAATGAAAAATATATTTAGAGAATTACAAAATGCAGTGGAATTACAAAACACAGTGGAATGTTTTAACAATAGACTAAACCAAGTAGAAGAAAAAATTTAAAAGACAAGGCTTTAAAATTAACCTAATCAGGCAAAAATAAATAAAAAAATTCAAAGAAATGAACAAAGTCTACAATAAATATGGGATTATGTAAAATGGCTAAACCTAAGAATGGCTGGTGTCCCTGAGGGAGAAGAAAATGCAAAAAGTTTGGGAAATTTATTCGAAGAAATAATTGAAGAAAACTTCCATGGCCTTGCTAGAGATTTAGTCATCCAAATACAAGAAATCCAAAGAACTTCTGGGAGATTTATTGCAAAAAGGACATTACAAAGGCATATAGTCATCAGCCTATCTAAATTTAATGGGAAGGAAATATTTTTAAGAGCAGGGAGAAAAAGGCATCAGGTAACCTATAAAGGAAAGCCTATCAGACTTCTCCGCAGAAACCTTACAAGCTAGAAGGGACTGGGGTCCTATCTTTAGCCTCCTTAAACAGAATAACTGTCAGCCAAGAGTTTTGTATCCAGCAAAATTATGTTTTATAAATAAAGGAGAAATACAATATTTTTTAGACAAGCAAATGCTAAGGGAATTTGTTACTACAAGGCCAGCCCTAAAAGCAATGCTAAAAGGAATTCTAAATCTTGAAACAAAAGGTTGATATGCACCAGAATAGAACCTTTTGAAAGTATAAAACTCACAGGGTCTATAAAACAATAACACCTGTTCACGCTGATGACAGTTTTTTTTGCTGTGCAGAAGCTCTTTAGTTTAATTAGATCCAAGTTGTCAATTTTGGCTTTTGTTGCCATTGCTTGTGGTGGTTTAGTCATGAAGTCTTTGCCCATGCCTATGTCCTAAATGGTATTGCCTAGGTTTTCTTCTAGGGTTATTATGGTTTTAGGACTTACGTTTAAGTCTTTAATCCATCTTGAGTTAATTTTTGTATAAGGTGTAAGGAAGTGGTCCAGTTTCAGTTTTCTGCATATGGCTAGCCAGTTTTCCCAACATCATTTATTAAATATCATCAGAGTGAACAGGCAACCTACAGAATGGGAGAAAATTTTTGCTATCTATCCATCTGATAAAGGGCTAATATCCAGAATCTACAAGGAACTTAAAGAAATTTACAAGAAAAAAACAAACAACCCCATCAAAAAGTGGGCAAAGGATATGAACAGACACTTCTCAAAAGAAGACATTTAAGTGGCCAACAAACATATGAAAAAAAACTCATCACTGTTCATTAGAAAAATGCAAATCAAAACCACAATGATATAACATCTCATGCCAGTTAGAATGGTGATCATTAAAAAGTCAGGAAACAACAGATGCTGGAGAGGATGTGGAGAAATAGGAATGCTCTTACACTGTTGGTGGGAGTGTAAAGTAGTTCAACCATTGTGGAAGACAGTGCAGCGATTCCTCAAGGATCTAGAACCAAAAATACCATTTGACCTAACAATCCCATTACTGGGTATACACCCAAAGGATTATAAATCATTCTACTGTAAAGACATGCACATGTATGTTTATTGCAGCACTATTCACAATAGCAAAGACTTGGAATCAACCCAAATGCCATCAAAGATAGACTGGATAAAGAAAATGTGGCACATATACCCCATGGAATACTATGCAGCCATAAAAAGTGATGAGTTCATGTACTTTGCAGGGACATGGATGAAGCTGGAAACCATCATTTTCAGTGAACTAACACAGGAACAGAAAACCAAATACCACATGTTCTCACACTTAAGTGGGAGTTGAACAATGGCAACACATGGACACAGGGAGGGGAGCATCACACACCAGGGCCTGTCAGTGGGTGGGGATCTAAGGGAGGGATAGCATTAGGACAAATACCTAATGTAGATGACAGATTGATGGGTGCAGCAAACCACCATGGGACATGTATACCTATGTAACAAATCTGCATGCTCTGGATGTGTATCCCAGAACTTAAAGTAAAAAACAAAAAACAAAAAACAATAACACCATGAAGAAAACAAAGTAACTAGGTAACAATCAATATGATGGTGAGGACAGTACTTCACATCTCAATATTAACACTGAAAGTAAATGGTCTAAATGCTCTACTTAAAAGATATGGATTGGCATAATGGATAAAAAAATTACAAACCAAATATCTTCTGTTTTCCAGGGATACATATAACACATAAGGATTCTTATAGACTCAAGGCAAAGGGGTGGAAAAAGATATTCCATGCAAATGAAAATCAAAACTAAGCAGGAGTAACCATTCTTATATCAGATAAAAGAGACTTTTAAACAACAACAGTAAAAAAAAGACAAAGAAGGTCATTATATAATGATAAAAGGATCAATCCAACAAGAAGATATTACCATCTTAAATATATATGCACCTAATTCTGGAGCTCCCACATTCATAAAACAATTGTTACTAGACCCAAGAAAAGAGATAACAGCAACACAATAATAGTGGGGGACTTCAACACTCCACTGATAGCACTAGACAGAACATCAAGACAGAAAGTCAACCAAAGACACTGGACTTAAATTGCACTCTAGAACAAATGGACCTAACAGATATTTACAGAACATTTTCCCCAAGAGCTACAGAATATACATTCTTCTCATCAGCGCATGGAACATCCTCTAAGATAGACCATATAGTAGGCCACAAAACATGTCTCAATAAATTAAAAACCATCAAAATCATATCACGTATCTTCTCAGACCACATTGGAATAAAAACTAGAAATCAATTCCAAAAAGGAACCCTCAAAACTATACAAATACATGGAAATTAAACAATCTTCTCCTAAATAATTTTGGGGTTAACAATGAAATCAAGATGGAAATTAAAAAATTATTTTAAATGAATGATAATGTGACACAATTCATCAAAATCTGTGGGATACAGCAGAAGCAGTGCTAAGAAGAAAGTTATAGCACTAAATGGTTTTATCAAAAAGTCTGAAAGTAGCAAATTGACAACCAAATGTTACACTTCAAGGAACTAGAGAAACAAGAAAAAATGAAACCCAAAGCTAGAAGAAGAAAATCAATAGCAAAGATCAGAGTAGAACTAAATGAAATTTGAAGCCAAAAATCCATACAAAAGGTCAATGAAACAAAAAGTTGGTTCTTTGAAAAGATAAACAAAATCGATAGATCATTAGCTAGACTAACCAAGAAAAGAAGAGTGAAGATTCAACTAAGCTCAATTTGAAATGAAAATAGAGACATTACAACCAACACCACAGAAATAGAAAAGATCATTCGAGATTGCTATGAACACCTCTATGTACATGTCTAGAGGAAATAGATAAATATCTGGAAACATACAACCCTCCTAGCTTGAATCAGGAAGAAACAGAAATTCTGAACAGACCAATAACAAGTGGTGAAATAGAATCAGTAATAAAAAAATTGCCAAGAACAACAAAAACAACAACAAAAAACTCAGAGCCAGTGGATTCACAGCTGAATTCTACCAGCCATTCAAAGAAAAATTGGTACCAGTCCTACTGAAACTATTCCAAAAGATTGAGAAGAGGGAATCACCCCAAATTATTCTATGAAGCCAGTATCATCCTGATACCAAAGCCAGGAAAGGACATAACAACAAAAAAAGAAAACTACAGACCCATATCCCTGATTAACATACATGTAAAAATTCTGAATAAAATATTAGCAAACTAAATCCAACAGAAAATCGAAAAGATATGTCATCCCAGGGATGTAGGGATGGTTCAACATACTCAAGTCAATAAATGTGATTCATCACATAAACATAATCAAATACAAAAACTACACGATCATTTCAATCAACACAGAAAAAGCATTTGATAAAATTCAGCATTGCTTTATGATAAAACTCTCAACAAACTAGGCATAGAAAGAACATACTTCAAAATAATAAAAGCCATATATGGCATACCCACAGCCATCTCATATTGAACCGGAAAAAGTTGAAAGCATTCCCCCTAAGAACTGGAAGAAGACAAGGATGCCCACTTTCACCACTTCTATTCAACATAGTACTGGAAGTCCTAGCCAGAGCAATGTGGCAAGAGAAAGAAATAAAAGGGCATCCAAATTGGAAAAGAGGAAGTCAAACTATCTGTGTTTGCCAGTGGTGTTATTGCATGCCTAGAAAACCCTAAAAATTCCTACAAAAGACTCCGAGATTTGGTAAATGAATTCAAAAAGTCTCAGCTTGCAAAATCAATGTACCCAAATGAGTAGCACTGATACACACAAACAATGACTAAGTTGAATCAAACGAAGAACTTGATCCCTTTTAAGATGCCTGCAAGAAAAAAGGAAAAAATCCAACTCTCTAGGAATATACTTAACCAAGGATGTGAAATATTTCCGTGAGGAGAAGTATAGAACACTGCTGAAGGAAATCATAGATGACACAAACAAATGGAAATACATCTCATGCTCATGAATTGGAAGAATCAATATCATTAAAATGACCATACTGCCCAAGGCAATCTACAGATACAATGCAATTCCTATCAAAATACCAACATTGTTTTTCATGAAATTAGAAAAAAAATTAAAATTCATATGAAACCAAAAAAAGAGCCTGAATAGCCAAAACAATCCTAAGCAAAAAGAACAAGTCTGGAAGCATCACATTACCTGATTTCATGTTATACTACAAAGATATAGTAACCAAAACAGCAGAGTACTGTTATAAAAGTAGGTACATAGAGCAATGGAACTGCATAGAGAATCCAGAAATAAAGCCAAATACTTACAATCAACTTATCTTCAAGAAAGCATACAAAAACATGAACTGGGGAAAGGACACCCTATTCAATAAATGGTGCTGGGAAAACTGGCTAACCACATGTGGAAAAATGAAACTGGATCCCTATCTCTGACCATATACAAAAGTCAACTCAAGGTGGATTACAGACTTAAGTCTAAGACTTGAAATCATAAAAATTCTAGAAGAAAACCCAGGAAAAACTCTTCTGGACATTGGCCTAAGCAAATAATTTATGACTAAGACCTCAAAAGCAAATGCAACAAAAACAAACATAAAGAAATCTAATCTAATTAAACTAAAAAGCCTCCACACAGCAAAAGAAATAATCATTACGGTGAACAAAATGGGAGAAAATATTTGCAAACTATGCATCTGACAAAGGACCAATATCCAGAAACTACAAGGAATTCAAACAAATCAGCAAGAAAAAACAAATAATCCTATCAAAAAGTGGGCAAATGACATGAACAGACATTTCTCTAAAGAAGATATATAAATGGCCAACAAACATAGGAAAAAATTCTCAACATCACTAACCATGAAGGAAATGCAAATTAAAACCACAACTTGATACCACCTTACCCCAGCTAGAATTGCCATTATTAAAACGTCAAAATATAACAGATGTTGGCATGGATGTGATGAAAGGGGAATGCTTATACGCTGCTGGTGGGAAGGTAAATTAGTACACTCTATGGAAAACAGTATGAAGATTCCTGAAAGAACTAAAAACAGTTCTACCATTTGACTTAGCAATCCCACTACTGGGTATCTACCCAAAGGAAAATAAGTCATTATATGAAAAAGACACGTGCACACATATGTTTATTGCAGCACAATTCACAACTGCAGAAACATAGAACCAACCTAAGTGCCCATTGGACCATGACTGGATAAATAAAATGTGGTGTATATACACTATGAAATACCACTCATCCATAAAAGGAATGAAATAATGTCTTTTGCAGCAACTTGGATGGAATTGGAGGCCATTTTTCCAAGTGAAGTAACTTAGGAATGGAAAGCCAAATACCATATATTTTCACTTATAAGTGGGAGTCAAACTATGGGTACACAAAGGCATAAAGAGTGGTATAATGGACATTGGAGACTCAGAAGAGAGGAAGGTGGCAGTTGAGTGATAGATAAAAAACTATATATTGGGTACAAAGTACATTACTTGAGTGACTGATACACTAAAATCTGACTTCATTACTATACAGTTCATCCATGTAACCAAAAACCACTTGTACCCCTAAAGCTATTGAAATTTAAAAATAAAGGAAGGAAAGAAGGAGAAAGCAAGAAAGCAAGCAAGAAAGCAAGAAAAGCAAGAAAGCAAGCAAGCAAGCAAGCAAGCAAGCAAGCAAGCAAGCAAGCAAGAAAGAAAATAGTGCTGTGATAAACTTGAGGGTACAGGTATCCCTTTGATATACTGATTTCCTTTCCATTGGATACATACCCAGTAGTGGGATTGCTGGACCTTATAGTAGTTCTAGTTTTAGTTTTATTTAGAAACCTCCATACTGTTTTCCATAATGGTTGTACTAACTTACATTCCCACTAACAGTGTGTAAAAGTTTCCTTTTCCCTCATCCTTGCAGCATTTGTTATTTTTTATCTTTTTGATAATAGCCATTCTAAGTGAAGTGAGATGACATCTCATTGTGGTTTTGATTTGCATTTCCCTGATGGCTAGTGATGCTGAGCATTTTTAAATACATGTATTGGCCACTTGTATGTCTTTTATAGTGAAAAATGTCTATTCAGATACCTTGCACATTTAAAACATCAAATTATTAGTTTTTTTTTTTTTTTGCTGTTGAGTTCCTTGTATATACTGGACATTTGTTCCTTATTGGATGCATAGTTTGCAAATATTTTCTTCCGTTCTATAGGTTGCCTTTTCTCTCTTGATTGTTTTCTTTGTTGTGTAAAAGCTTTGTAGTTTGATATAGTCCCATTGTCTAGTTTTTTATTGCTTGTGCTTTTGAAGTCCTACTCATAAAATCTTTGACTAGACCAATGCCCTGAAGAGATTTCCCTATGTATTGTTCTAGTAGTTTTACAGTTTTTGGTCTTTCATTTAAGTCTTTAATCCACTTTCCTTTGATTTTTGAGAGATAGGGGTCTAGTTTCGTTCTTCTGCATATGGATACCCAGATTTCCCGGCATCATTTATTGAAGGGGATGTCCTTTTCTCAGTGTATGTTCTTGGTGCCTTTGCTGAAAATCAGTTGGCTCTAAATTCTTATACTTAATTTGAGGTTCTCTATTCTGTTCCACTGGCCTATGTGTCTGGTTTGTTTATTGATACATAATAATTGTATACATGTAATATTTTGATCCATGCATACAATATATAATGATCAAATCAGGGTAATTGATCACTATAATCACCTCAAACATTTATCACTTCTTTGTGTTGACAACATTCCAAATCTTCCTTTCTAGTTATTTTGATATATAAAATAAATTATTGATAACTACAGTCACTGTATTGTGCTCATACAGTAGAAATTATTCCTAATATTTTACTGTATTTCTGTAGGATTAACCAACCTCTCTTTATCCCAGCCTCCGGTAATCACCATTTTACTCTCTACCTCCATGAGATCAACTTTTTTAGCTCCCACAGGTAAGTGGGAACATGCAACATTTGTCTTTCTGTGCCTGGCTTCTTTCACTTAACATAATGTCCTCTAGGCTCATCCATGTTGCTGCAAATGACAGGATTTTATTCTTGTTTGTGGATGAAATGATATCCCATTGTGTGTATATATATAACAGCTTATCCATCCATCCATTGGTGAACACTTAGGTTGATTTTTCTTTTAAAGAAGAAATAACACAAATGCTTCTCAAACTATTCCAAAACACTGAAGAAGACTAAATTCTTTCTAATTTATTCTATGAGGCTAGCTTATCCTGATACAAAAATGAGGCAAGGTCACAAGTGAAAAAGAAAACTATAGGTCAATAAGTGATGAACATAAATACAAGACTTCTAAAAAATACTGGAAAATTGAATCTAACATCACATCAAAAAGATAATGCACCATGATCATGGTGCATGATTATGTTCTGCCGATGTAGGCTCATCAATTGTAGCAAATGTATTACTCAGAAGCATGTTTGCTATATTTATAGTAACCAAAAGAAAACCATTATAGTTGCATTAATACCAGATAAAATTGACAAACAAAAATTGAAAGAACTCCAAGAATAAATAAATCTATCAGTATCTCAGGAATTGGCAAAATAAAGATGATTTAAACAGGTCATTTAATAAACTAGACCTAAGAGTTCTAGAACACTGTGCCCACCCACTGCAGAATATATCTTTTTGTAAGTTCCCCACTGCAGGATATATATTTTTGTAAGTTCGCTAAAAAACTTTGCCAAAATCAATCACTTACTGGGCTGCAAAGCAACTCTTGAGAAATTTCAAAGATGTATTTTTTTCAAATGTTGTCTAGTCACAGCATAATCAAACAAGAAATCAATAATATAACTATAAAAAAACTCTATAATATTAGAAAAAGAGAAATAAACTTTTAAATAACACATAAATCCAAATAAAATTTATTAAAAATGAAAAGTTTAGAACTGAATAACAATAATAGCACTTATTGGATTGTAGCAATAGCAGGTAGAGGATCTTTTTAGTCTTAAAACTCATAAATCACAACAAACAAATTATTGAACTGATCACTTATCTCAGGGACTTAGAGATTAATAAGTGAGATAAACTCAATAAAGTAGGAGGAAGAAATAATAAGAGACAGAAGAAGTTAATAAAACAACAGGCAAACATACAATAGAGAGATTTAATACAGCAGAGATTAACTATTTGAAAAGACTAATAAAGTTAACAAACCTTTGGAGAAACTAAGAAAAAAGAGAGAAGGCGCAAATGTTTAATATCAGGAACTCAGAATACAATACTTTTACAAATGCTGTGGACCATTAAAAGATAAGCCAAGAATATTATAAAAACATTAGTGCTAATAAATTTGAAATTTTAGACAAAATAGAAATATCACCACCTAATATGGACTTAAAAAGAAATTACAAAGTTGAGTAATACTAGAACAATCAAAGAAATTGTGCCAGTAGTCAAAAATTTTTCTACACAGAGAACTGACCTAGATGACTTTACTGTTAATTTCTACTGAAACTGAAGAAAGATTTTTATTATTCTAAAAACTTTTCCAGAGAAGAGAAAAATGAACACTACCCATCTCAATTTATAATGTTGGCATCACCTTGATACAAAGAAGAGAATAAGGAAGGAAATTTATAGGTCAATCTTATTCGTGATTCACTGAATCAAAGCCCTACACAAAGTATTAACTCTCAAAATTAGTCCACCAATATACAAAAAGGTTGATACATCATGAGCAAGTTAGGTTTGCAGATCTAAGAATGCAGATCTCATTTAACCTTAGATCAATTAACATAATTTGCCACACATATTTAAGAGAACAATCCTAAAATCAGCTCAATAAACTTAAGAGCTTTTGATAAAATTTAACATCTCCTCATAATAAAAATACCCTTTTAGTAAACAAAAATGGAAATAAATTTCCTTACCCTAATAAACAATATTTGTAAAACCTACAGAAACCATTTAATCCATCCCTCCTCTAGTAAGAAGACCGAGGTTTCCATCTTTCCCACAAGAATGCATGAAAGCCCTTCTCTCCAGGCTGCTTTTCACACAAGCCTGTGATTCTGGTATTCTACTACCAGCTCTCTTCCTTGAGCAGGCTTGAATTTGGAAGTGGTCCCCAGTGGAATGCTGTTAGGGAAATCTTTCGAGATTGAAGAGAGAGGATGTGAATAGACTGAAGAGAGAAGCAGAGCTAGATCAGAGATGGGGAGAGTTCGCAGCGCTAGCAGGTCTTTTTCTACCTTTAGTCACAGCTCCCTGGACCAGATGCCCTACTCTGACATGTGTTCCCGTGTTTGGAGGCCTGGGGTTCTCTTGTTCAGGGGAGATCACCAGGGCACGGAAACCAAGCTCCACCCCTTCCCTGATAGGGCAAACCTGCAAATTACTGTTATGTAGTGGGTCCAGGTGTGGTAAATCCCTGACAAGAGGGATCATTGTAATGGTCTCTCATGAGTTGCACAGTGAAAAGGCTTTGGCTTCTTCACGTTTTAGGTAAAATCAGAATCAGACGTTTATGGAGGGCAGTGTGGGGATAGTAGTTTGGGGCCAAGAGTTCCATTCGTTTTTGAAGGAAAACTGAGAAAGAAGAGGAACTGAGATTCCTAGTAATTCTGGGATATTATTCCCTGTGGATAAACCCCACTTTGGTCCCCTCATCAAGAAAGGTTTGTGCCTTAGTCTTCACGGTCCAGGACCAGGCTCTCTAAGTCATCTGCTAACTTAATGTTCCATGACTAAACAAGCAGTACTATTTCTTTCCTTTTTTCTTCCTCTCAGTTGGTGCTCCATCTATACCAGGTTGCTACTTCATGTTTGGACTTGGATGAAACAGCATACTATAAGGCATGAAACCTGGCTTCCTGAGTGACAGCTGAGAGGAGAGATGTAGCTGAACCAATCAGCTACAACGTCATTCCAGTGTCCATACTTACATAGTGGAAAATCCTCTAAAGCCCACTTCTGAGAGAACACTAATTTCTAGATTTCACATTTCCCGAATCCCGTATAAGATCAGTTCTTTCTTGGTTCAGAGGCACTACTTTACAAATATTGTTCTCCCTTGCCTAGCGAGCAATAAACTTAGCTTTTTGTTTCAGACACTGAATGCTATTCTTTCCTGTGACACTCCTTGAGATTGTTCTAGAGAAGTAAGTCCCACATGCTGAATGTCCGAGCTTGCTAAGCAACTTGCCTTGTCTCTTAGCAGCTTGTTGTGAAGTAGTGGGCAGCTATGGTACTATAACACACCAAACTGCATGGCATCTTTACTTGACTCATTCTTTTTCCTCACTATCATTGCCCTGGATTTGTACCTCCCAAACAAATTGTTATCATTTTTATCCTTGCTTCAGGCTCTGCTTTTATAGGAGTCCGGATAGGACAAAGTGGGAAAGTACAATTTTTGATACTTCTTCCTTTGTCTCAGGCTGGAAGTTAAAAGGTAAGACAGAATCTTCTCATAAATTAAAACAAGATAATTTCCTTGGACATCATGCCATTAATTTTGTTTTTCTCAGCTGAGTGAGGTGGTGTGTCCTATAGTACCAGCTATTCAAGAAGCTGAGACGGGAGGATTGCTTGAGCCTGGGTGTTTGAGGCTGTAGTGTACTATGATCATGCCTGTGAATAACCACTGCACAACATAGCAAGACCCTATTTCTAAAAGAAAAACAAAAAGTCTTTTATCTCCTGGAACTCTTTAAATATTTCTCCCCTCTGTTTAACTAAGGTATGTGATAAGAGGGTCTTTTCTTTTTCCCTTTTACAATATGTTTCTGGGAGACTGACCAGGAATTTCACCTAAATACTTCCCATTGGTAGAGTAAAGCCAGCATTGCAGCCTTATAAAGAACATTCTGAGATTCTCAGCCCAAGTGAGGGAAGGAAGACTGTCTTGTGCTTTGATATGGTTTGGCTCTGTGTCCATTGTAAGTTTCCTGAGGCCTCCCCAGCCATGCAGAACTGTGAGTCAATTAAACTTCTTTTCTTTATAAATTACCCAGTCTCGGGTATTTCTTCATGGTAATGTGAGAACGAACTCATACATGCCTTCTACAGGCAAAGCACATCATTGGGAAAATGAGATGTCTATATTGGCAAATAATTTAGTGACAAAGGAAGAGCTGTGGCTCAGTCCTCCAGAAGAAACTGCTGGTCTCAAAAGAGACTGTCTTTTCTTTCACACTTCCATATACTTCATTATTCTTGTATTGCAGTTATGTGATTATCCAACCAGACAGTGATGGCAACAACAGCCAAGGAATAATTGAATGTCCACTATGGCGTGCTCAATGACAGTCTTGAGGACAATGGAGAGCTTTTATGTTGTCAGGGAATGATGCAGATGTTAGGAAATGATGCAAAATACACAAGATGTGGATGTTAAGGCATGGGATGAGTATGGAGTCATAAGGAGAGAGGTAGTGAGAAACCGATAGTTTGTAAGTTACTTAGTAGATACTCAGAAGACTGTTGAAGGATGAGTGATAGAATAAAAGAGTGACTTTCCAGTAGCTTCTTGAGATCTCCAGTGAATCAGGCTTGGAGGAAACTTAGAATGAATTAATTATCTGCAAGTGAATTTTTGCATTTTTCTAAGTTTATGCAGCAAATCCATGCAACTTTTTATGTCTCTCCACAGATTATTTGATTTCTGACATTTGATCTCATCCCCTTTGTCTACGTTTTAATGGTTGTTTTTAAATTGAGTGATGTTCAGGCCCCTTCCTGCATATCTCTACCTTCCATCATTAAGGCTCCTTTCTAGGAACATGACATTCTAAAATGAAGACTAATTGTTTATCTTCAGTGTTGCCTTTTTATATAAAGAATAGATTTTCATCTTTAGGAATTCCACTAACTGTCTTTATTTTATGTAATTTCCATGCCAGTTTTTTCTTTATTATAAAGATTTCTTAGCCGGGAACGGTGGCTCACACCTATAATCTCAGCACTTTTGGAGGCTGAGGCAGGTGGATCGTGGTCAGGAGTTCAAGACCAACCTGGCCAAGATGGTGAAACCCTGTCTACTAAAAATGCAAAAAAAATTAGCTGGGCATGATGGAAGGTGCCTGTAATCTCAGCTACTGAGGAGGCTGAGGCAGAGAGCTGCTTGAACCCGGGAGCCGGAGGTTGTAGTGAGTGGAGATCGTGCCACTGCACTGCAGTCCGGGTGACGGAGTGAGACTCCATTTCAAAAAAAAAAAAAGTTTCTTTATTATAAAACGATTGCACACTACATGCCTGATGCTTCACCTCAACGTTTGCCTCTGGCATCTTGCTTCCAACCTGAACTCTGACCAGATGAAAGGGAGGAGGGCACAAATGATACACTTGGGGAAACCTGCAACAGGCAGACACCAGGAGCTTGGTGGGTGGAATCCATGTGTGAAAACCCTCTGTGCTATGGCTTTCAGATGGATGGTAGACCTTCCAACGTGGCCTGAGTTAGTCATGATAAAAAACCTTGGCAACATTTTCAGTGCCCTAAATTTGATAAAAACAAGATAATACCTTGAAGAAATGTCATAGAAAGATGAAAAATATTGAGGGAATGAGTTAGGGCTGTGAACGTACTGTGATTACTCAATAACCACAAACTTGCAATTAACTGCTGTAACCACAAATCACCCTTCTAGGGTTCGCTGTGTAGAAAGAGCCGTTGATTTTTTATAGTCACTGTAGCCACAGCTGGAACCTCATAAAGAGTTCATGGTGGGCCTTCGATCAAAGCTGGAGATGCTATTTCTTGCAAATTATGAATCTTTCTGTTGCTGTGAGCTGATATAGGGGATAGCCAAATTATAGCAACATTGGAGAATCAGTCCCTAGCAAAGGGTTTTGCATAATACAGATGAAGACAGAATGTCTCAAGTCTGGGAAATGCTTTCATTTAAAAAAGATGTATTAAGTACTCGCCCTGTAAGTGTTACTGTCAAAGCACTGGGAATCAAATGGTGAACACTAACAGATTTAGTTTCTAATCTTGAGGAGTGAGACATAATTAACCAAAGAGAACTTACTTATATGATTATAAATGGTGGCAAGTAATCTGAAGGAAAAAAATTATCAGAGAGTATGATAGGCTAATTGGATATTATATAGGGGTCAGGAAAGACTGCCAGTAATGCAAACATACAGCTGAAGATGAAAAGTGTTCTCTTGCCTGTCAAAGAAATCATCTTGAGGATCACATATGTAGAGTTTCTGGAGTGTTCTGAGAAATAATGATAAATTATGCTCAAAATTAATTTCTTCTCTTTTCCATCAATATGTGGAATTCAAAGGTAATTGGCAGAAATCGATAAATTGAAGTCTTTGAAATTGTAAATCTACTGTTCAACCAAAGGTATCATAAAGTGCAAAAACAAGTCTGGATTGGGAAATAATATTTATAATGATTTACCTGATGAAAATTGGTATCATAGAGTTGCTTCACAGAGTTGCCAGAATGAGATTTTCATTTTAAAATCCGGTTAATGAGACTTATTTTCCAAAAGCTGTTTGATATTTTCAAATTTCATATCAGATAAAACCTAAGTTTCTTAAATGCCAAAAGTGAGAGTGTGGGTGGGGTTTGGGAGGGCCTCAACCAGCTCAGTCTTGTCCAAATCACTAACCCTTCCATTTGGTAACAGAATAATACAGAATTACTTGGGGTTATCAGGAAATGCCCAGTTTTGACTCTCCAAGCTGCATTTTCATGGGCGGTTTGGCACACTCAGAGTGCCTTGAGTGTGTCTCCCTTTGGTCTGACCTCTGTTTGAACACTACCACCTCTAGGAGCCTCCCTTCATGCCCATGATGTTTAGGAGGGGTTTCCACTATACTTCCATGTCTTTCTAACTTCATTATACAACTTATGATGACTTAGGACTGCATTGTCCTAACTTACTGGCAGATAGTACATCTCCTTTAGACTATAAACATTTTAAAGGCAGGAGGTATGCCATTTAACCTTTGGATTCTGAGCCCATAAATGTTCCGGATGGTAGAAGCTGTTTGTTTCTGGGTCTATGCCTGTAAGGCTGAGGCATTATGGGGTTCCTGGAAAGAGAAGGGCTTAGGACCATTTCACTACAAACCCCTCTCAAAGGGGACAGGACTCTCAGATGCAGCACTAAAGGGCATGCCCTAATCCTGCAAAGAGGTCAGGAAGACATATTTTCAGCTAGGGCAGCCAGTGTACAGACAGTGGGCAGAATCTAGAGAGGGGAAACCCAAGCGACTTAACCTCCAGACTGAGAGATGGACAGCCTGTCTGTCTGTGGAGAGATCAGAAACCCAGGGTGGGGTACTAACTAATGAAGAAAAAAAAAACTTTATTTTATATCTTGACTTTTTAAATTATTCCCCAAATGAGTAAAAGTCCAGAAAGTCTTTATAAGAATAAAAGACAAAATAGTAAATGATAACATAGCTAACATTTATCAGGTGTTAGTAGGGGCCTGGCTTTTTTCAAAGTGCTTTATGTGTATTAACCCTTTTAATTCTTAAAACAAGCTCTCGAGTGGGTACCATTGTGAGGAAACCAGGGCAGAGGTGTGTAAATATCTGGCACAGTGTCTCAGAGCTAGAGGCAGAGCTGGCTTTCAAATCCAGTGGTGTGGCTGCGGAGTCCATGCTTGTAACTGCTATGCTCGAATGCCACTTATGAGTGAATCCTTAATCTTGTACCTGTTGTTTTAATCTGAGGTCTTTTTGATTTGCATTTGAACCATTGTTACCAGAGACTGTGGTTGAAGAGGAAAACATCTCCCTGTATTGTTAAAAGTTGGCATATTGGATACCCGGGGCACACCAGTACTTTCATATAAGAGACAGTTATTAATGACCCAGGCTGGGAGCTTTAAATAGAAGTCTAGATGCTATTTTCCACCAACTTCAAGCCTGTAGAGGATGACAGCCGAATGGAGGAATATAGGTATCACTGTGTTTATATAAGAAGCACATTACATAGAAAGTTTTTCTACAGGAAAAGAGAAAGTGTGGCAGCAAATATAGCACAAAATAGTCACGCTGAAGGGTAAAAGGGAATGCAGTTAAAGAGACTGTTCTGGGAAGTTAGCCTCACTTCCTTACACCCCCTTCTCTAGTTTCCTGACATTCTATTCGTTGAAGTCACCCAAGGGGGGCTGGCCTCACTTTGGCAGCTTCTGTGGATAGGAAGTTGATAGGGAACCCAGGCCAACTTTGTTGAGAATTCGGGGAGGTCTGCTCTGTGGTGGCTCTGATTGGGTCTAGTCGCATCTGTGGTGGCTGCTAGGGTGAAACAGACCTTCTATTCCTTTGTGGTCTCCTGCTGCAGACTGGAGATCCTCATTCTAATGTTATGCTTTCTGCAGAGGGCACAGTTTATGAGAGGCAGTTACTACAGACGTAATGTTGAGGTGGGGTGGGGCAGATAGTTGTCATACACAAGTGGAGCTCCAGTCCAAGAGGTTTCCATGGGCAGGATGGCCACGGGGCCTCTGCTGGCCTGCATGGTGCCATTATACAAATTAGGAAAAGGCACCTTTTTTCTGAGATTGTTTACTTCTATCTACCAGAAAATTATCACAGTATACTGACTGAGTTAGAAAAGGGCACTTTGCTAAAATCTGTTGTTGAATTTGTCATAATAAATATATAAATCAGCTGATGTCTCCAGTGTGAATGATCACCCTGTCAGGTGTCTAAGGACTGTTGTCTTTTAGTTCTGCTCTCAAGGAAAAGAGAACCCATCCTTCCCTTGGGTCCCTCCAACTGGAGGATAAGACCTAAGCTTTAATAATCGCTTGACAGTTTCTCAGATCACTAGCCCAGTCTTCCCCCTCATTATTAAGTTCCTCTTCTTTGCCTCCTGCTAGCCTAGACTTTTCCTTATCACTGGAAGCTGAACCAGTCTTCATATTTCTTGGAGGAACCCATGAGAAGAAAATACTCTTTTTCTTACAGGGTCCACTGAATGTCCTGACTTTCCACTGATGACTTGTGGTCCCTAAATCCTGGTCTCCCCTGACCTCCCAGGTCAAATCTAGGTGACCATTGGCCACCCACAGGTCCACCTGCTCTTGTTTCTACCAAGGCCTCTGTGCCTTCTGATTGGATTAGTGTTCACTCCCTTAGCGTCTAAGCCTTTGAGGTAATCTTGAACCTGATCCAGAGAAGGTCTAATGTCCTAGGAGGGAGAGATCCCAAACTGAGCTCTTCAACTGACCCTGAACTGCCTCCTGCCCATTTTTCTCAATTATAACTCTTGAACTTCATGGCATTTGTGGCAGGCAGAATCCTAAAATGACCCCCAGTGATCCTCACCCTTCTATAATCCCTACCCTCTGAGTGTGGTTGGAACCTGTAAGTAGGCTGGAATCTGTGGCTAGGATGATTATGTTAGATTGTACAGCAAAATGGGGGTTGTCTGGGTGGGTCCAATCTAATCATATGAGCCCTTCAAAATCAGAGCATGTTCACAGCTTGTTGCAGCAGAGAAAGTCATACATAGAGGTTCCAAATTTGAGAAGGATTTGAGGTACTCCTGCTGGCTTGAAGATCCTGGGGTTCCTGTGCTGAGGACTGAGAGCAGCCTCTAGGAGCTGAGAGCTGCTCTCTACCGAGGGCAGCAAGAAAATGGGCCTGCAGTCCTACAACTGCAAGGGATGAAATCCTGTCAACAACCCGAATGAGTTTGGAAGCTCATTCTTCCGCAGAGCCTTCAGATGCGAGCTCAGCCTGGCTGACACCTTGATTTTGGCTCTCTGGGATCTGGGCAGAGAGCTCAGTTGAGCCTGCCCAGACTTTTGGCCTACAGAACTATGAGATATTAGGTGTTATAGTAGGCTGATGAATTTGTGGTAGTTTGTTACACAACAATAGAAAATGAATAAGCATTAATCAGAGATAGTCCACCTAAAAGAATCTTGATATGTTCTCAGGGTTAAGCAAGAAAAGAGAAGGAGAAAAAAAGAAGACAACAACAATTTCACCCGGAATGTGACCTAAAGAAATAAAAAATGACCTTTCTTTTATGGTTTTTTTTTCTAAGTTAACTTACTCTGGCTCATCTGAATCTTTTTATTTCCCCCTTTTCCATTTCCCCTAACCCTAACTTTCATCTCACACCTAAATTGAGACTGTGTGTGTGTGACTGTGTGTGGAGTACGTGGGAGTGCATGAATAAGAGGCATGGGATAATAACCAGCAGATATTTATTGAGCATCTATTCTGCATTTAGTAATATTTTAAGTGATTTATATAAATTCACTTCACCTATGAGAGTCCTGGGAGGCTATGCTAATATTGTGACTGTTTTATAGTTGAAACCAAGGGATGGATAGCCAGGTTAAGCCAAGTTTGTGTATTTAGGCAATGGTGGAACCAGGATTGAGTTCTAGGCAGTATGGCTGTAGAGTGTGCAGACTTAACTACTACACAGAAAATCTTTATCAAAGTTAAACTTCCTTTTGGTATAACAATGTATCCCGTGTGTGATGGTGAATTCCAAGCCCCCTTGAAACTTCCCTGCACCATCTGCATAGCGACTGTTCCCTGGTCCCCTTAGAGGCCTCCTGATATACAGATAAGGTCAGATCACCTGCACCTCCTAAGGGTGGTGATGGTGGGGAGTGGTCTTGTGATTTTCTTGCATCAGGAGTATTCTTGAGAAGATTTCTGAGTTAAATTGAGAGGGAAAAGTCTGAGAGAGAAAGTTTTATAGCACACCTGGGCCCCAGCTAGGCTAGGTCAGGAAGGGGAAATATCAGATCAAGGACTGAAAGAGAAAGTGCCAAGGAGGTAGAGTCTGAGGATCATGGAGACTCGCCCCTGCATGGCCCTGCTTCCTGAGATTCCAGGGGAGAGTGCTCCTGCCACAGTCTAATTTACACAGTCATCAACTCTGCCCAGGCAGGGAGCCCAAAGAGACCTCTGCCCCACCCCTAGTCCGATTAAAAAAACATCTGGTGGTTTCAGAATGAGTTTCCTGTCACTGGCTGGGGAAGATTCCGTAAGACCATAGGTGTTTTGGACACTACAATGAAGAAGAAACATAGGCTTGTGGCTTTTCCCACTAACCCTTCAGCTGCACTGACATGAAGACATGGTGAGATAGGGTGGGCCAATTTTTTTCCTGTGCACTATCACAGGTCTGGTTGCATGGGTCCCCTCCGTGGTGACTAATCAACCACATCCAAATGTCTCTTATAGCTGCAAGCTATAGCCAGGGCCCCTTATATCTGGGCTGCCAATCTGAAGTACATAGTTTCATTACAGAGTCCAAACCTGTCTGCCCTGGGAGATGAGTTTTATTAAGATCCCTCCAATCATCCTCAAGATTTTCATGGTTCATGTTTGTGGAGAAGGCTGTAAGATTCAGTGGTTTTACTTTTAAAATGGGGATATTATTTGTGGCTGACACAAATGCCCTGTTGCCTGCCCAATACCCATCTCCTCTTACTTATTAAAGAACTCAAATTTTTATCCAGTGGTAATGTACCCAGCTAAAAATATTCAAGTCTCCCAGACTCCTTTGCATGTAAGAATTTACAAGTGATACAGTTCTAGCTAATGAAAGTCAACAAGCAGGGTCTCAGGAGAGATTTTTTTTAAAGGGTATCTTCTCTTCAGTCTTTTGTTCCTTTCTTTTTTTTTTTCTTTTTTTTTATTATTATACTTTAAGTTTTAGGGTACATGTGCACAATGTGCAGGTTAGTTACATATGTATACATGTGACATGCTGGTGCGCTGCACCCACTAACTCATCATCTAGCATTAGGTACATCTCCCAGTGCTATCCCTCCCCCCTCTCCCCACCCCACAACAGTCCCCAGAATGTGATGTTCCCCTTCCTGTGTCCATGTGTTCTCATTGTTCAATTCCCACCTATGAGTGAGAATATGCGGTGTTTGGTTTTTTGTTCTTGCGATAGTTTACTGAGTATGATGATTTCCAATTTCATCCATGTCCCTACAAAGGACATGAACTCATCATTTTTTATGGCTGCATAGTATTCCATGGTGTATATGTGCCACATTTTCTTAATCCAGTCTATCATTGTTGGACATCTGGGTTGGTTCCAAGTCTTTGCTATTGTGAATAGTGCTGCAATAAACATACGTTTGTTCCTTTCTTATCCTGCTTGGAACTTGAACACTGCCTAGAGAAGGAGGAGTCATCTTATGATTATGACATGATAAGATTGAGGGCTTCTCTCTCCCTCTTTCTCTCTCCTTTATTAGTTGGCTTTCTTCTTTTATCTCCATCACAATGTCTTGTTTACAATCTAAGTTTTCTGCTCATGGAATAGCTGGTGATGGTGATACTCTGGTGAAGCACTCTATTGAATTCACTACTCTGTTATGGTTTCTAGAGGATGTCACCTTCTCTACAGAATGTTCAGTGATATTCATTCATGTGGAGATGTGGGTCTGGAAACATCATGCATCTGGAAGTGAGAGGGATAAGCTCATTTCAAAGACCATAGGGCCCATACATTGTCTTAATAAAATGTGACAATTCTCTGATCTCATGGAAAGAAGCCTTCTTACTAAGGGAAGATAACAATAAATGCCAAATGCTCTTAGCTTAAAATAAAAAAAAAATCAAAGAGGCAAGAAGAAGAGAGAAAAAGGAGAAAGAAGAATAAGGAAAGAAAACAGAGGGAAAGGAATCAAGATGAAAAACAGCCAGAAGCATTAGAAAGTAGCAGTGGAAGTGGAAACTTGTGAAGGGCTCCCAGGGAACAACCCTGAAATGCAAAAAAGAGAAGCCCTTGGCAGAAGAAAGCTGGATCATCTCTGAAAGCTTAGGGCAGAGCACACCTGACTTCAAGAACCCTCCAAAAGCAGTACTGCACCACAGTAATTAAAGATACATAAAATATCGGCAGTTTGCAGGAACATTTAGATACAAGGCAAGCTATTGGAAGTCTCTGCAAAAGCTTCTGAGGCATGCCGATTGCTCAGCAAGTAGACTGTGGAAGATTCTCTGCAGTACAGCAGAAGCTAATTCACAGCACAGTAGAGTTTTTATTCCCAGAAAGTAGTGTGAATACAAGCAGGACTACAGAAATGGGCATGTTGACAAAGTTATTCTGTTATGAATATCAACATTTTTCAATTAAAGGCAAAAAATTAAAATAAGTAATAGTGAAGAAGAAAAAAACTTAGAAGAGGTAAGCATACAAAAATGTTGTCAAATCAGCTCAAAATTTCTTCATGGAGGTTATGTGATAGTAATTCTCAGAAATGATGGATGATTGAGTTCCTTGTAGAGTATGAGTATCTTTAAGATTTGAGCACCATTTTATGTAGCCAGCAGGATACATTGATGATTAAGACATGTTAAATTTGGAAATGTAAATGTTTCATTTTTCTTCCTTTGAGAGAAGGAAGAAACTAGAAACTCCTGAACTAGAAAGATGGAAAGAAATACTTCTCCCCAAACTTTGTTAGGGTTTGAAAAATTAATCCTAGATTCTGGGTTTGGAAGTTTGTGAAAGACTATTGGGAAAGGAAAAAGGAAGGATAAAGTTTGAGGGGGAAAGCAATGTGACTTGAAGATTCAGGAGGTGGGGAGGGGTTTTCCTTAGCCTAGAAAAAGATATCCCTTGCCTGGGGGTTGGGTGAAGGCTGTGCATTCTGAGACCTCTGAGACTTTCTCAAGCTCTTTGGAGGCAGAGACAGATAAGAGCCAGATTTCATGGAAGTGGCAGAAAAAATGGAGCACTGGGCTTAGGGCTATTAGCTTCCATTGAAATTCCTGTCATCCTAATGGGTGTGAACACTGCAGAGAGTCACAGAATGGTAGGAGACTCTGCTCAGAGAGAACAAACGTGTTATCAGTAAACCTCCTGGATTGATGGCATGTGACCAGGGAGAGAACTTGCCAGCCCGTCAGCCTTGGTGTTAAGACCCTGGAACTATTACTTGTCCTTAGGTTGAAGTAAGTCTCAAGAATGGCTAACTAAAGTTAAATTCCTTGCCAGCTCAAATGCATGGCATGCTTGAGTCAAAATTACATCAATTTATAGAAAATAAAAGATGTGTTATATTTCAAATTTTGTAATTTTAGACTTTACACATGTATGTTGATAAGTTTGAGTGCCATATTTTATACAAATGCAATGCTTATTTGTGAAAAGATAACTGAACAACCTAACAGAATCTACAAACTAATAAAAAGTTCAACAGGGTTGCTAGATACAAGATAATTATCAGCATCAATTAAGTTCTAGACACTTACAAAAATTATGACATATAATTTTAAAAAGAATTTTATTTACAGTAGAAACAAAGTCTCTAAGGTATCTAAAAATAAGTAATAGGTACCTGAGGCTTTTATGGAGAAAGTTATTTTTAAAAAAGAAAAGTAAACAGGGAAACATACTTAATCTCTGGATGAGAAGACTCAACATTTTTAAAGATGTCGATTCTCCCAAAATTAATTGACATGTGATACCATTCTCATCAAAAGCCCAATAGGGGTTTTCAAGGAAATTATGTTGTTTTTAAAATTTGACTAGAAAACCAAAAGGCCTAGAATAACCCAGAAAAAAATTAGAGTAGAAAAATATGGGAGCTTACCTTACTAAATACGAATATTTGTTACAAGACTACAGTTATTAGGACAATGCAGCATTTATACAGAAATTAAAAAAAAAACTAGTAGAAGAAAGTAGAAAGTTCAGAAATTGACCTCCTCATCTATGAACTCAATATACTACAAAGCATGAGGAACTAATAGGGAAAAAAATGGAGCCTGATCAGTGGTGCTGGATGATTCATTATTCATGTGGGGGAAAAATTAAGTTACACCTTTAATTTACACCATTACCAAATAGAAGTTAAAGACAGTTATAGACCTGAATGTAAGAAACAAATGTTTATAAGTTTAAAAGAAAAGATAGAATATCCTATGACTTTAGGGTGTAGATAGAGTATCCTATGACTTCAGGGTAGAGAAGTTTCCTTAACTAAACACAAAAAGCACAGACCACAAAAGAAAATGTTAATATATTAACATTTAAGTGAAAAAGATCTGCACACTAAAAGAAACCATAAAGAAAGTTAAAAGACATGAATTCCAGAGCAATCTATTCCCATGAAGCATGTTCTTTTGGCAAGACATAGGTTTGGCAACAGATTTACTCAAGTTTGAATATTAGCTTGACCGTTTACTAACTTTGTGACTTAAGACCAAGTTATTTGAACTCTTGAGCTGTTTCCACATACATTAAAAAATGTCAGCACACAGGACTGCTAAAATGATTAAATGAGATAAGGTATGTGAAATACCATGCCCAGAGCTTGGCACATGGTAGGTACCAACCATAAACCAATTTAATGGTGTGGTTTTACCCAGGTAAATGCTGGTGAACTTTACATCTTCATTGTGAGCCAAATACATAAAGCTGACCTAGTTCGCAGATTTTAACCCTATAATTTCCCCTGCACATGCCAGCCATTTAGAAATAGTGGAACAACTCTTATGTCCCCCTTAATTATTTTATTTTTTTAAAGAGGGCTGTCTTTAATTTTCGATTTATCTTCTGAGATTATTTCAAATCTTCTTATCCATGTCAAATTTTATCTTCACTTCTTATTGACCCAATGGATGTTAACCATCTTCATACTCCGGAACATTCTTTATGGTAACCTAAGTGTAGCCTGTTATTTAGAATAGGAAACCATCATCAAACTGGTTTATTCTGCAGGCACTAGTCATGTATGAAACCACCTAACTTAGTACCTGGAACAAAATTGATGCTTAATAAACTTGTGTGGAATATAAGTCATCATAATGTTAAAGATTCTATTAAAAATTATAAATATTTCAACATTTAAAACATGGAGAAAATAGTGCCATAATACCCATGCACTCATCATCCAGATTAAACAGTTGTCAAGGCTTACTATATTTTAAAAAAAATGCTACTTTAAGTATTGCACACTGAAATCTGTTCTGAGTCAAACATTAGAAAAGATTTGGAAAAAAGTATGACCTGGTATTACCTCAGCCATGGCATCACATCCCTTCTTGTGACACATCAGTCATGGGTGGGCTCTCCAATAGGCTCACCACAAACACCTGGGATCGAATGCCAGGAAAGGTGAGGGAGGACCCTTCTTCACACTTCAGGCACACAGAAATGAAAGTTGAAGAAGAGGTGACTGTGGTTGATTGTTCCAGTAATGTGCAAATCATAGGTCAGGTCTTTTAAATACTATTCTGTCATATCAAATGAATCCAACCATATTACAGCAAAGGCTTTTCTGGAAGGTGAAAAATTTACATGCCATACTCCACTTTAATTAAAAACAATGAATGAATGTAAAGTCCACATCGACACGGAAATTTTTCCTGGAAAAATGACAGGGTTTCTCCACTGGGGCCTATACTCCACTTCATTTGTGTTAGGAAACTCTGAGGAGAACCCACACCCACATGTGTAGATTGAGTTTCCATTATCCACCTGATGATTCTCAAATATAGAGGTCCAGTCCAGAATTCTCTCCCTAGCTCCAGATTGATAATCCTAATTGACTTCTGGCACCTTCAGTTGGATTCTCCATGGACATATCAAACTCAAGGTACAAAACTGGGCTAATTATTTCCTCTCCCTTTCCAAATGGAACCTTCTGGAACACCTCAGTATTCTTGGGTTTAACTTTCATAAACTACTCCTACTTTTAGAAAATTGAAGTAAAATCTACATGACATAAAATTAACCATTTTAAAGTGCACAGTTCAGTAGCATTTAGTACATTCATACTGTTTTGAAATCATTATCTCAAGACATTTTCATCACCCCAAAAGGAAACTTCCATACCCATGAAACAATCACACTCCATTCCTCCATTTCCCCCAGCCCCCGAAAAACACAATGTATATCTATGGATTTATCTGTTCTAGATATTTAATATAAATGGAGTCATGTAATATGCAACCCTTTGTGTTTGTCTTCTTTAACTCAATGTAATGTCTTCAAGGTTCACCCATGTTGTAGCATGAATCAGTACTTCATTCCTTTTTAAGGCTGAATAATATTCTACTGTATAGATATATCACATTTTATTATCTATTCATCAGTTGATAGATATTACCCACTTTTTAGCTATTGTGTATAGTGCTGCTAATGTTGAGCAACTGTCAAACTCTTCATCATTTTACATTTACATTCTACCTTTTATATTCCTGCAGCAACGTACAAGGATTCTAATTTCTCCACATTCTTGCCAACACTTGCTTTCCTTTAAAACATTAATTTTTATTTTAGCTATCCTAGTAGGTATGAAATGGTATCTCATTGTGGTTCTGATTCCTGTTTCCCTAATGTCTAATGATATTGAACCTCCCTCTCCCTATCTGCTCATGTCTAGTCTTGTGACATTAGGAAGAGGCAAATTTATAGCTCATTTTAGAAACATAACTGAAGTTTGAGGCAATGCATTCTTGGATACCAACCTTAATCCTGGCTTCATTTATATTAGCACCCTTACTTCCCCTTTATTTTTAACTCTTCATTTAAAATTTTTATTTATTATGTGGTACAAAATTTTTGCAAGCTGCCTTTTTTATTTTTTAAAATCTAGAGTATAAGTAAATTTAAAAGTCCCATGTCATTTACCTCTTATCCTTTTTTAAAAAGCAAAACAAAACAACTTTTATTGTTTTCTTTAAACACACATAAACTAAATGTTTATTTTGGAAATTTACAAATTGGACTCAACACGTAAAAAAGTAAAAAGAGTAAAATAAAAATCTTCTATAAACACACCACTAACCATGGTTAGTATTTTGGCATTATTTTTTCAGTCTTTACCTATATACCTATATATCATCTCTCTAGTCACACTACTTTTTAAAAATGAGATTATATTATACATTCTTTTTTCATAACATACTATTTTCATCTAACAATATATCATGATCATTTTACCTCATAATTAACTATGCTGCCATGGTTGTAAATTTTTAAACTTTGATTTGCATTATCACTGGAGTTACCTATTAAAATAAAGATTCCAAGTCTACTCCCAGTGCTTCTGACTCCGTCATTGGGATCCACATCCAGAAATCTGTATTTTTTACAGGCTTCTGAGCGATTCTAATATGGGCCATCTTGGGCTCTTTGAGATTACTTCCACACTACTAATTTCAACTATTGCTGAATTTTTCATTGTGTGGATACAGCACTATTTATTCAACCAGTTACTTATTTGGGGTCATTTAGATTATTGGTATTTTTCATTATTTTATTCATCTGCTGAAAAAATCCTTATTCCTACAACTTTGCTGTCATCCATGACTGAGCATTTGTTGCTTATACCCAAACTGTGTGGTATGTTACAGTGATGGGGCTTGGTGAGTGCTCTTCTCATCATTGAATGGGGATTGAGATGCAGATGCTGGAGAAAGCCTCTCAAAAAGCCACATCAGGCCCTGAAATGTGATTGAGAGGACTTAGGGTTTCACAGGAGAAGTGGAAAGGGGAAGCAGCTCAGTGTGTGAGGAAGTGAGATTCAAATTCCGTGTGCTTGAACCTGGAAGCCAAAAGAGCTTATACACCTGGGGCCCAGCCAGCAGTCGCTTATTTCTCTAGAAACTAAGAGAGGGACTAAAATACTCCCTTTTGTTGAAAATTTCAAAGTGGGGGCATCAGCCTTGGGTCAAAAAGAAGGAATAATGGGAGGAGAGAGAGCAGAATGAGACAGCACAGCTTTCTGTCCCAGCACAGCTCATGAAAGAGAGGCCATGCAAAATGAAAGCATTCTTTGCACTAAAAATTTCTGAGAGACACCAAGGCACAAATAGAGTTGCTTTGGTGTTGAAATGTCAAAAGAGGTGTAGCCACCATTTAGGGATGTGACACATTGAGGTTTGGATGCTTTAAAGAACTTCAAAGAAAACGCAGCATCTTTTTGGGTCTTGATGGCCGGTGCCCTTTCAAAGAACATTAGAGAAGATGATGGCTCAGTGGTGTCACCACAGATAGTGCTGAAGTGCTTTGATGTAGCTTTGCGGGCTGTATCAGTCTCAGCAGGAAGAAGGATGAGTCAATGTCGAAGAAAGGAAAACCTAGTTCCGGGGACTGGCCAAGGACTTGCGTGTGAGAACTTGCGATGCATCTCCTTTGAGGGACTTTCAGGAATTATGTGGAAGGAGGGAAAAGGTGAGGATGTGAGTAGTGTACCTGGAATCCCAAAATTCTACATTAGGAATGGAGACAAAAGGCAGAAAAATTCAGGTCACTCATGGACCAGAGCTACAAGGGAAGTGCCCACCTAAGAAGTTGTAGAGGGCGGTGTGTGCTGGAAAGGATTGCTCATGTCCATGTGGGGTGTGTGATTACAGGAGTGGGTGAGGGAAAGGGTATCCTCTGAATCATTTATCAGAAGCCCCTCAGGGGCGACCAGAACCCCTAGGTTATTTCTTAGCAAACTCAGCCTCTTTTCTCATTTTGAGGTGGGTGAGGAAAACTAATTTTCCTCTCCGCCCCCATTTCTCCTGCTCCCCACCCTAAGCTCACTGAGAGTGAATGTTTGCCCCTGAAATAGAATCAGTTCTAAGAAAACTCCCTCGACATCCTGCTCCATGTCAAAATAAAATATGACTGTGGGTGGGGGAATGGAAAGAGGGGTGGTCGGGGGCTGAGGTCATTGCTGAGGATGGGCTGTCCTTGTGCAAAAGGAGCTTATGGAGTGGCCCCATGGAAGAAGCAGGTACATGCTGTAAGTAAAGCACAAAATCTCTAGGTGTCTGGGTTGGTCCCAGCAAAAGCCTAAGAGTGCCCAGAACCGGATGTAGCAGCTTCCTGTTTGCTATTTCACACAACTCTGCAAAGAGCAACAAGGTTTTTCAGCCATATCCAGATTACACTTGTCTACTTGAATTTATTAATTAATCTGGGGAGAATTACCATTTTTAAAACTTTGTGTGTTCCCATCTGTAACATTCAGCAATATTTTTGATTCAAGTGAGAGAAACCTGACATAGCAGTGCAAACAGTAACGGTTTCTGTTTCTTATATGACAACCAGTCTGGAGATGAGCAGTCCAGGGCTGCTGAAGTGACTGTGTAATGTTTCTCATCAGTGTCTTGGACTTCTGTATGTATATGTTGATATTCCCCCTTATGCTTATTGCTTCCTTGCCACAAGATGGTTGCAGCTACTCCAGGCATCAAGTCAGATTTGTATCAGGAACAAGGAAGAAGAAAGAGGGTTGATGCCTCACCCAAAAAGCAAAAGAAAAAATAAAATAACAATAAAATAGAAATGATCTCAGACTTTTGTTTACCTTTTATTGGTCAGAACTTTGTAAAATATTATGCCTATCTGAAAGAAAATTTAGCAAAAATATATTTTATACTCCTCTCTCCCTAAATTTTGAATTTTGTTCACAAAAAAGGTGATGCCAAGGTTTCGTATAGATAACTTGTAGCTCTGCTACACCATCCATCAATATTTTATATCTTTTCAATTTATTAAGTCTTCTTTTATGTTCCTTATAAGCTTTTATTATTTTAATCTGTACATATCTTACATCTCTGTTGGATTTGTTTCTAGACATCCTGTACTTTTATTACTGTTACCTTTAAAAATACATATTTTCATTGGTTGTTGTATAGGAATTGGTTTTTGTATATTGAGCTCATTGAGTATAATTAGTTGTACTAGTTTGTAGATTCTCTTGGGTCATCTATGTAGAGAAGATAGACAGGCATATCATCTATAAACATTACTACTTTATTTTATTTCCCAATCCTTACATTTATTCCCTTTTCTTATCTTATTGATAGGTTGGGACCTCAAATACAAGCCCATTTAGAAGGAAGGCTAGAAAGGTAAAAGTTTCTAAGATTATACCATTTAGATATTTGCTATTTTTTTATTATTTGTTTTTGTAGTTCATGCAAGAGGGGTGGTTTGTATTAGGGTAGTGGCGGTAGAGAAAAATAGAAGTGACTATGTTTGTTGAGGTATTTAGGAAATGGAACCACAGGGACTTGGTGATTGATGCATTTGTGGGGTAAGGAAAAGAATGAAGCCAGTTAAAAAAACATTGTATTTTGACATAATTTCAGGATTACAGAAAAGTTGCAAGAATAAGACAAATAATTTCTGGACACCCCTCACCAAGATTCAAAATGTCAACATTTTCTACATTTCTCACTCTTTCTCTCTCTTTCTTCTTCTTATTATTATACTTTAAGTTTGGGGATACATGTGCAGAACGTGCAGGTTTGTTACATAGGTATACACGTGCCATTGTGGTTTGCCGCACCCATCAACTCGTCATCGACTTTAGGTATTTCTCCTAATGCTATCCCTCCCCTAGCCCCCCACCCCCCAGCAGGCCCTGGTGTATGATGTTCTCCTCCCTGTGTCCATGTGTTCTCATTGTTCAACTCCCATTTATGAGTGGGAACATGCAGTGTTTAGTTTTCTGTTCCTGTGTTAGATTGCTGAGAATGATGGTTTCCAGCTTCATCCATGTCCCTGCAAAGGAAATGAACTCATTCTTTTTTATGGCTGCATAGTATTCTATGGTGTATATGTGCCACATTTTCTTTATCCAGCATTTATGTGGCCAACAAACATATGAAAAAAAGCTCATCATCACTGGTCATTAGAGAAATGCAAATCAAAACCACAATGAGATACCATCTCACGCCAGTTAGAATGACAATCATTAAAAAGTCAGGATATGCTGCAGAGGATATGGAGAAATAGGAACGCTTTTACACTGTTGGCAGGAGTGTAAATTAGTTCAACCACTGTGGAAGACAGTGTGATGATTCCTCAAGGATCTAGAACCAGGAATGCCATTTGACCCAGCAATCTCATTACTGGGTATATACCCAAAGGATTAGAAATCGTTCTCTTTCTTTTTTTCTTTCTTTTCTCTCTCTCTTCCATTTAAAAGTAATTTGCAGGTATATTGCCTTTCTACAACTAAATTCTTCAGTGTGTTTTTCCAAAAGCAAGAAATTCTCTTTTAAACCTTGACCACTATTAAAATCCAAAGTTAATAATGCTATGTGCTATTATTTAATCTACAGAATTTTTTCATATTTTTCCAATTTTTCTAATAATGTCCCTTATAGCAATAGAAAATTCGAGATCATGCATAGCACTTTGTTGTCTTTCTTTCTTTAGTTTCCTTTAATCTGGAGCAGTTTCTGAGTCTTTCTATGTATTTCATGGCTTTGACAGTTTTTAAGAGGACAGGCAGTTGTTTTGTAGATGGTCCTCAGTTTGGGTTTGTCTGATGTTCCACATGATCACATGCAGATTATGGACTTTTGGCAGGGATCTCACAGAAGCAATGCTGAGTTTTTGCATCACATCAGGAGGCTCTGCTGTCAACGAGTTTCATTATTGGAAGTGTCACATTCCATCAACTGGTTAAAATTAAACCTGCTTGGTTTCTCCAGTAAGTTAGTACATTTACCAATTTACCTTTTGTAATCAATTAAGTATCTTGTGGGGAGATACTCCTTAAATGTTCTCCTACTAGTTGCAATCGTCTTGCCTAAAAGAATTATTATTAGGATGACTGACAAATTATTTTCTGATTTTGTCATTCTTTCTACATTTATTATTATCTGACTTTCTTCTGTAAAGAAAAGCCTTCCCTTCTCTCCTACTTACTGTTTATACATTCATTTATTTATATCAGTGTGGACTTTGGAATTCTTACTTTATTCAATAGGTTATAATGCTATTATTTATTTTGATGCTCAAATTGTCCCGTGTTTGAGGAAGTAGTTGATTTTAATTTTCAGGTGTTTGGCTTAGACAACTGATTGAGTGAGCCTGCTTTTAACTGAAATAAGAAACCAAGGAGGAGGAGAAATATGTTTCCACTTGTTGCTTTACTTTGCATCCTTTGACTACTTGTAAACTTTAATTCACATGTATTTATCTCCTTTTGTGAATCATTTATTCATATCCTGTGTCCATTTCCCTATTTGTTTTCAGAATCTTTTATTGTTTAAGGATATCAGTTTTTCTCTGACGTGAACATTACAAATTGCTTATTGAGAGGATACAATGAACTAGAAGTTTTACCAACAATCTTATTTAACCCTCACAACAATCCTCTGACATAGTACTATTATTATTTTCATTTTATAGATGAGAAGGCAAGAGGTCTTAGAAATATTGCTCCAAATCATGGGCTAGCAACCACTGAAAGCCAGGATTTAAACCCATATCTGTGATACCAAAACTTTGATTCTTCATCTATAATTTTGCATGCTGCAGGCATGCAAAACTTTTTTAATGTTTTAAGAATGCTGGGAAATTGAATGTCATCCCCACAGCCCTTTTAAAGTTGTAGCCACAAAACCAGTTATTGTAATTACATCTTAAATGCAGATTTATTGTATCTAGCATGTCAGTACAAGTTGTATCATCATACTTATGCCATAGCAGCATTCCACATTCGTACTTGACAGTTCATTTGGGACTCAGCAAAATAAATATGTGAAGTAAGTGGGTGCTCACATTAAGGCTTGTTGAGAATGATGTGACATCTAGGAGACACCTGGTAAGGTTCATACACTTTGTGAAGATGACATGGTAGGGAAATGAAGACCACTGACTGAGAGCACAGCAACCCTGGGAGGCCTCCAAACTTAACTCCAGGAAGCACCTCAGCCTTTTATCTGGGAAACAGAAAGTTCAATAAAAATGGTCTTTGGGCAGGACGTGGTGGCTCACACCTGTAATCCCAGCACTTTGGGAGGCCAAGGCAGGTTTATTTCTTGAGCCCAGGAGCTCCAGACCAGCCTGGGAAATATGGTGAAACTCCTTCTCTACAAAAAATACAAAAATTAGGCGTGATGTTGTGCACCTGTAATCCCAGCTACTCGGGGGGCTGAGGCGGGAGGATCGCTTGATCCTCCCAGGGTGGTCGGGGTGAGCTGTGATCACGCCACTGCACTCCAGCCCGGGTGTCACAGCGAGACCCAGTTTAAAGAAAAAAATAAAAAGTCTCTGAGGCCCTTTCTGTCCCTGACTTTCTGGAATTCTCCCATTCTTCTATAATAGGCACTTCTTGGTTTCCCTCATTTTTGCTTACTTTATTTTTCTTTCTCTTTCTCCTTGACGTGTCCTCTCTCCTTAACTTCTTTTTTCTCCTCTGATGTGCCTTAAATTTGCCAGGGGCTCCCTTTGGAAAAACCCTGCCTGGCCCTATTATCCCCCTGATCAAAATGGTCACACGTTGGTGGCCTGGGGGCTGCCCTCCTTGACTCATAATGCCGGGACCCCTGATTTACACAGCAGGAGAGGGAGTGATCTGCGAACTCCTGAATTGCCGCCTTTCAGTTCCTGCGGCTGCTCTGACTGTCTGCATTGCGCCCTCTAGTGTCCAGACTGAGTTCTTTTACTGTCTAGACTGGGGAGTCCAGAGCAGATTCTTTTACCCGCCACGTGAGGGAGCAATTCAGGGAAAGTAAAACTATTAGTAAAAGACATTATTTTATTTTCAAATAATCGTAATTTTACCGAGTTCCTAGAAAAATGCACATTCTTAAAATTTATATTGTAAAACTTGTTGAATAGACGATCAATTAGAATATGGGAAGAAAGGTTTGGTTTCTAAAATATTAATAAGCATATTTGACATAGCAACCCAGGGAAAGCATCTAGTCACTTATTCCTTGTGTTCATACAGTCCTGTCCTTTACAGATCCCCAAGAGTGTGCATGTGTTTGATCTAAGTTTAGCCCCGAAATAGCTGGAAGGAGCTATCTCTAGCCCTGACATTTCCATGAAGCTCCAGATGGCCCGCTCAACTCTCCACATGTACCGACAGACAAAACAAATGCAATTGTGTGCAAAGCAGAACTCTAGATTCCTCCTCTCCCGACCCTGCTCCACCCCATTCCCCCTTGGCACCGCCAGCCACTTATTACCATAGGCCCAAAGCCTAGGAGTCATTCTTGACCTTTCTCTTTCCCGCACCTTGCAGCCAGTTCACTGGTCATTCCTGTTAGCTCCACTTTCAAAATATATTCCAAATATAACCACTTCTTGGCACGGACACCGCTACCATCTTAGTCCAAGTCCTCATTATCTTTCTTTTGATGACAGCAGTAACATTCTAAGTGGTCTGCGTCGTTCTCCCCTCCCCTTGCCCTCACTTGCTTCACTTAAACAACCACAGCGATCTTAGAAAAATGTATCACATCTGTGTTCAGAACCCTCCAATGACTTCCTGTCTCATTTAGAATTAAACTGCAAAGTCTTTCCCATGGCCTACTCTCTGACCTTGCCCTCCTCCACTCTTCCCACCCCTCACTCCTTTCCACCTGCAGGAATGTCCTTTCTGAAATGCTCTATTCCCAGATCTTTATTTTCTCCTTTGCTTTCTTCAGGTCTCTACTCGAATGCCAACCCCTCAGAAAAGACTCTCTTAGCCACCCTGTCACGGGTAGCCACCTCCACACTCTCTGGTCCCATATCCTGATGTATTTTTCTTTCAGCATTTACCCCTGAGAGAAGATTCCCTGTCTCTGTGTGTTCATACTCTGCCCTCCCCTGACTAAGATGTAACTAAGATGTCAGATTCATGGCCAGATCATTTGTTTTGTTCCTTGCTGAATCCTCAGCTTTAAGCATATAGTGGCCATTCATTGATGGATGAAGGAATAAATAAATTATTAGTTTGAACCTTGTGAAATTGTTGACATTCTAAAAATTCTGGGCCACAAAAATAGCAATTCCAATAGTTCATCTTCATAATATAATATCGTTAGCATTTTATACCTAGGAAAACTGAAACTCAATGAGTCAAGTGACTTCCCCAAGTGAAATAAAGAAAGAATGAGAGGCAGACTGAGAGCACTTCATTTCGTTCATGCAACACTGAATTGTGTTCTGGACACTGCTAGGTGTGGGAGCCACTGAGGAGAAGGGCCTGCCCCATCTCCTAACTCAGCCACTCTGCCTTTGTGGCTAAAGGATCTCTTGCCAGCTCTGACTGGCGGAATGGGCAGGGCTACGTGTGAACCCAGAGCAGCCACCACCTCTCTGCAGAAGGGCCAGTGTCAGGGCAGTGTGGACTGATCCCCACTGCTTCTGTGACCTCTGGCACTCAGGGCTCCTGCCTGGTGGGCCTCGACCCTATTCCTTCTGTCTCAGAGGAAATGTAGAAAAATGTAGAACTGCTTCTGCATAGTGCCACTCCTCTGTCTATCCCCAATCTCCTCTTCAACATTGTGAAGCTGGAAATGACGCACATAGGGCACCCTCTTGACTGCTACTCCCCATGCATTTCTGACCCTCATAAGAGAGGCTGGATGGGAAACCACACTGATCCTCCAATACTTCTATGCTCAATAAGCCATCTGTGAGTTGGAAAGGAATTCAGAAATGGGGAAGGGGGCAGGTCGACCTATTTTGCTTTCACAGCAAAGGGTGTGTAGCATCAGGGTGACATTCAGGGCTGATTATTAGGTTGGTGCAAAAGTTATTGTGGTTTTTGCCATTACTTTTGCACCAACCTAAAAAATGTGTCAAATTTTTCTTCCCCAGACAGCTGGCCCTCTGAGTCACAGTGGGAGCAGTATGTAACAGGAGGGGAGAAGAAAATGAAAAAGCCACACAACTGTCTCTTTCTTTGAGCCCTTTTCCAAGCTCTCCTTAAATTTTCAGTTTCTCCTCTTGGTCATTCTCCCCAACAAGTGCTTTGTTTCAGAATTATTAATAACTGGAAAAGTTCTGTTTTTTTTCTCTTTAACTGGCATTTTGCTTATCCTGTGGCTTATTGAGCCCTAGGGAATTTATGCCCTATAAATAAATGACTATTATTATTATGTAGCTGTATTCAGAGCATTAGTTGAAAGGGAGAAGTGACATTTTTCTTTATTTGCTTTAGAAATGTGTTGTAGTCACAATAGCTCTCCTCCTGCCTGGGATTAATGGCATAATTATTCACACCGGGCAACAGAGATGGAATGAGTTTGAACTTGGCATGAATTAATACACCAAAATATGCCTCTTGTTCTTGCTCACTGCCTAATTAATTCTGAATTATGAAATTCTCTGTGAGCTACCCAAAAAGCATGGTCACCGGATTCTGGTGCAATTGTTCTTTCTTTGCACTAAAAATCAAGTGATTTGATAGTTATGGGCTGTTTGGAAAGAGAATGTCCATTTGAATATCCTAGGAAGGAAGGAACAGACCTCATAAGGGATTTTTCTAGAGGTTTTATAGTAAATAACCTGTGTATGATGGACATGCAAGGGCCCCCAGGGGAGACTGAGCTTTGCATGAACCAGCTTTACTGCTAGAGAAATAGAGGACTTAGGAGTACTGTGCCTTGATGTCTAGAATTTACACTATAGAAGGCCATGCCTTTGGATTAGGATATTTTGTTCAGAGGTTCCCAGTTAAATATGAATGAGTTGTCCATGGAGAATAGCACAATCACCTACCAACTCCCAACATAGGGTAAGGAGAACTTGCCACTGCATGACCAACTTTACTCACACTTTGCTAGCTTTTGCCAACACCTCTGCCGGGGATGAAGAATCATGTGAATTATTGGAGCTCAAGACATTGAGTATATGAGCAGTTTCTTATTGTGGCATAAGAAACACAAACACAGCCCCTGCTCCCTTGCTCTCTCTTTCATCCCATGGGGGTATGAAAGTGAATTCAGGACTGATCACTCTCTTCAGTTGCCCTTTCTGCAGTTACCTAGAGAGGATAAAATCCCATTAATTGGATTCAGGACTTGGACAAGAAGGTTGAGCTGTAGGGTCTTAGTCAACCATTATTAGGACTTTGACCTGGAGTTTTGGGGCACTTGTACACCATCAGTACAGGATATTTTAATTCTTATTTGTTTTATTCTTTGTGGGTGCCCCTCCCACAGTCCTCGGAGAACTGAAGGGGAGAGAATAACTGGCATGACAGTATTTTAATATCTTTCTTTGTGTTTTTGGCAATGATATGATCTAACACTATCAATATAAAAATTCTAATGTTAAATATGGTATATTCATTGCTCATCTGAGCATCAATTAGTGCATCCTCTTACCTTGAAATGATGGCTTTCTACTGGATTTCCCCATCCACATGTACACATCCTGTGCTATCTCTCATTTGGAAAACAAAATGAGACAGGAGTCTGTAAACTTCTTCATTCCCTTCAGGTAATTCTTCATGTCTCTGCTTCCCTTTAATGAAAATTTATAAAAAAAAATGTGTATTTTTGTCTTCATTTTTTCAACTTATATTCTATCCAATTCTTGCCAATCTATGTTTCCCACCAATTAATGGAAATCATCTTTGTTAAAGTCATCAATATCCTCCTCCTTGCTAAATTTAGTATCATTTCTGTATCTTTTTCTTTTCCTCAGCAGTGTCTGACACTATGGACTATGCTGTCTTTCATAAAGCACGTTTGTTTGTTTGTTTGTTTTTTTACTGGCCTCTCATCTGGTTCTTTCCTGCTTCCTTCTAACATCTTTGTCCATGGTTTCTCAGTCTGTTTTCCTGGAGTCTCCTCTTCCCAGGCTCAGTCTGTCTCTTTATCTGTGCTTATTCCCTATGTAATCTCATTGAGTTCTATGGCCTTAAATACATTACCCATACACAGATGACTCCTGTGTTAACTAACTACTGTCACAGTAGCAGGTAGCCCCAATATCTCACTGCCTTACAAAAACGATTTATTTCTTGACCATTTACGCTAAGGCTGTGGGTCAGCTGTGGCTCTGCTTAGCTTTGCTAAACTCAGTGTGACTTATCCTAGATTGAAGAGCCCTTTTCTGGAATACGTTGTCTTATTGTGGAAAATAGAGCAAGAGAGTGCAACACAAACCATGAAATCATATTTAAAGCTTTTTCTCAGATATGTACATGTCCTCACATCTTATTAACTGAATTATTTCATGTATCCAAATATGTGAAGTGGAGACACATTGTCTCTCCGAAGAGGGAAGACAACTCACATGACAGAAAGTGAGTGAGGATAAATCATCCTATTAGACTATGGGAACAAATAATTGGGAATAATAATCTATCATGATCCAACATTGATCACATATATTTTCTTCCCTCAGAATACATCATATTCTTGCCCATAAAAACTTAGCCTAAGGGCTGGCTGACACCTGTGATTCCAGCACTTTGGGAGGTTGAGGCAGGAGGATCACTTGAGCCCAGGAGGTTGAGGTTGCTGTGAGCTGTGATCACACCACTGCACTCCAGCCTGTGTGACAGAAAAAGACCCCATCTCTAAAGTCATTTAAAAGCAAATTAGCCTAAGGGCCAACTTTGCTTTTCAAATAGTCACAGACTGGCAGCACTTTTGACAACCTAACTCTCTCAAACACTTTGTTGTATTGTTTTAATCTATTTGGTACTGGTTGGATCCATGTTCCAATAGACACAACCATTACTCATTTCAAGAAAGACTTTCTCTAGACTTGATTATGGGTATGTGGGTATATCATGCTTTCATAGGAACGTACTCTTGATCTCTTTTCCCTGAGCCGTTTTGTCCAGTGGTGGAAAAAAAAATGTCTGCAAGTCACCTTAATCCAACCAGAAATCTTAACATAGGCCTGATGATGACACCTTTGGTTCTGTCTTTGCCCTGAGATGGAGTATTAAAAGGCCTTTCTATTTCAAGGAATACTTAAATTTTATATTTTATAGGTGGGAGGTGAGAAGGATTTTATTGTCCAAACTTGAAGGCCCAGAATTTCTTTGCTGCCTATTTTCCATCTCATTCATTGAAATAGGTGAATTCTTTCTGAGCTCACCTCTTATTCATATTACCATCATGCTCTCTTTCAATTTTTCAATCCTTCTATATTTGTCCATATGCAGCAAGTCCATTAGGAACATTATCTGCCTTCCAAGTTTAGAAGACACAATTTGACCAAACTTTTCACGACTGCATATCATGAATCTTACTTGTCCAACCTCCTGGAAGAATTCCCTTGCTACCTAGCCCTAAAGTTAATGCCTCATATTTTATATTTTTAGATATGGTAGCACTTCTGTTACCAATTTTTTTATTAGTTGGCCTTTACTGAGGTTGCAAATAACTCCAACATATCAGTATTTAACAACAATAAACATTTATTGATTTCTTGTTCATGTTACATGAGGGCTGAGGGATTATCTGTGACTCAGCTCAGCTTGACTGTGTTCAAGTCCATGCGTCTTTTTATTTCAGGACCCAGAACTGATGTAGCCACCCTTATCTTGGACATATTGTTCTTATAGTGTGGAGAGCAGGAACAATAGAAACAGAGGTAAACCAGATAATCACATCAGAAACTTCTAGTTTGACATAGGAAACTTACATCTGGGTGGCCAGAACATGCTCATAAATTCCATGAGGAAGGAAGGTATAGTCATCCCTGGAAGAAAAAGTCACATGACCAGAAAGAGAGCAAATAGCTGGGGTCAATAATACAATCTTCTAAGACTCCCAGATGTATGTCTTTAGCACTGGCATCTCTTCCTTTTGAGCACCAAACATATATTTAACTGCCTACCCAACATTGCTATTGAGATGTCCAATAAGCATCTCAGATTTAATATGCCTTAAACAAAACTCCTGAGTGCTCTGTTCACCCCAACCTGTTATGCCCTGCCTTCCATACCTCAATAAATACCATCAGTATTCTCCCAGGTAATCAGGAGGAAACCTCCAAGTTTTATTTGATTCGCTTTTCCCTTTCATAGTCAATGCATGAGTAAATTCTGCTGGTTCTACCTTCAATATACATCCCGATTTCTTACCATCGCCAGCACCATCATCCTAATAATCTTCTAACTTGTCTCCCTGCTTCTATTCTTGCCTCCCTAGAATAAATTCCTCATACAGAAGACAGAGAGATCTTTGAAGCATGCAAACTATATCTTGTTAGTCCCTGCCCCAAACCCTGCAACGTCCTGGTTCCTACACAGACACTGGGTTTCTATTCTACATGGTCAAGTCAATAGTAGGTTCAGAGTGACAGAAAGATCAGTATTAGAAATTTATACACTTGGGTAAATCAAAAGAAATCTACTTCTCTAAAGGACAGTAAAAGCCCCTGTAGACTACACATCAAATGTATCAGCAACATTTTTCTGGACAAGTGGTGATTGTAAGCTTTTGGATCTCGAAATGTTTCATTAGCTATGAGTTCATGTCCTTTGTAGGGACATGGATGAAATTGGAAACCATCATTCTCAGCAAACTATTGCAAGGACAAAAAACCAAACACCGCATGTTCTCACTCATAGGTGGGAATTGAACAATGAGAACACATGGACACAGGAAGGGGAACATCACACTCTGGGGACTCTTGTGGGGTGGGGGGAGGGGGGAGGGATAGCATTAGGAGATATACCTAATGCTAAATGACGAGTTAATGGGTGCAGCACACCAGCATGTCACATGTATACATATGTAACTAACCTGCACATTGTGCACATGTACCCTAGAACTTAAAGTGTAAAAAAAAAAAAGTTTCATTAGCTAGCCACAGGTCACAGATAGCAATGTCTGAGTGAGTGAGTGTCACATCAGAACATTTGGAAGCTCAACCATCTCATTTTAGGTTCATTAAAAAAATTTGTATACATTTAAGGAGTACAAAGTGCAGTTTTGTTACATGGATATATTGCATAGTGGTCAATTCTGGGCTTTCAGTGTAACCATCACCCAAATAATGTGCATCGTACCCATTAAGTACTTTCTTGTCCCTCACCTCACTTCCACCCTCCCCACTTTATAGTCTCCAATGTGTATCATTCCACACTCTATGTCCATGTGTCCACATTATTTAGTTCCCACTTAAGTGAGAACAAGTGGTATTTGACTTTCTGTTTCTGTGTAGTTTCACTTAAGATAATGGCCTCCAGTTCCTGCATGTTCCATGTTGCTGCCCCCATCTCTACTACAAATACAAAAATTAGCTGGGTGTGCTGGTGCGCGCCTGTAGTAGCAGCTACTTGGGAGGCCGAGGCAAGAGAATCGTTTGAACCCGGGAGGCGGAGGTTGCAGTGAGCCGGGATTGTGTCACTGCACTCCAGCCTGGTGACAGAGTGAGACTCCATCTCAAACAAACAAACAAACAAACACCAGCAACCATGAGTTCATTCTTTTTTTATAGTTTGTATAGTATGAGGCTGGAAGAGTTCCGTGTGTCTCTTGGTATGGACTGTGGTTGGAGCCCAACTCTGCTGAACCAGGTACATTCAGGGTTATCCAACATCTAAGATCACTGGAGAGAACAGCATGCCACCATAGGTTTAGATGCAAATACAGCCCTCAGTTGACACCCCATCTTCCCCAGGCTGATAAAGCCTGATCCAAGTGATTCCTGAATGCAGTCATGTAGATCTAGGCTCTGTTATCCAGGAGTCCCTGAGAGTCATGCTAACTGGCCTTCAATGTGGTTCTAGTCCTCTCCTGCAGTTCTCCAGCATACTTCAAATAAAATTCAAAGTCCCGAAAATGTTTTTAAGGTCCAACATAATCTGGTTACTGCCTAACTTATTTCTTCTGCTGTGGCTACATTGGCTTCTTACTGGTCCTAGAAGATGCCAAGCTCATTTCTGCTTCAGAAATTGCACATGTATGGTCCCTTGAATGGATGCTCTTCATAAATCCCTCAGATGCCTTCTCTCACCATTTCATTCAGGTCTCTATCCACATGTCACCCCTCAACAAACACTTTTGGTCACTCAATCCAAAATAGCTCCTGCTCACATTCATATCACTTTATATTGCCTTTTTGTATCCACAATACTGACCACTCATCACTTGACATAATATGTTTATTTGTTTACTCTTTGTCTTCCCCACTAGGACATAAAATCCACAAGGGCAAGCATTTTGACTGTATTGGTTCCTTATGTATTCCCATCAATCGGAACAGCACTTAAAGAATTAAAAATGCTTAATAAATATTTGTAGAATAAATAATAAAATGCACGAGTGAATAAATGAGACAAAAGAGTTTGAAGAGGAATAAAGAAAATGTCTAGATGATGAAAATCCTTCTGACAACACCACACAGAAGTACAGTATTGTTTTATTGATGAGGAAACTGAGGCTTAGTTATTTTCCCCACAGTTGGTAAGGGGTAGAGTCAAGGCTCATTCCCAAATCAGTCTGATGCCAATGACATAAAAGCAAACCTTATGTCATGCGTGCATCCAGGGGGAGCATGAGATGAAACTTGGGTGTGGCAGGAAAATGAAAATGTCTATTTCTGTTCTTTTATAAACTTATGTGATTTTAATTTCTATTTTTATAATATATGCAATCATATAGTATACCACTAATGCATGTATATTTTATTACTAAATACTCACAGATAGGGAATATATGCTCTAAAAATATTTGGAGGCCACTTATCTGAGTTGCCATCTGTTTCTAGGAGGTTCTGAGCAGGGTGGGGTTAGTGGGTGTCCATGGTGATAAGGAACAGAGAGGAAGTGGAAATGGAAGGGAATAAAATGTTGACTTCTTCAGCCTGGGTCTGTGGGTGGGGCAAATATGTAAGTGTGACTGTAAGGGTCAATTTTCTCAGATGTGTGTCTGGTGAGAATCCCCAACTTGCCACCACCATAGCGAATAGTGGTCTGAATTAGTTTCAGGACAGGACTGGGCACGTAACCAATGGAGGCTAACGTCTCTAAAGACATACTTATCCATCCAAACTCAGGAGAGGGCCAGGTTGGGAATTGCTTCCTCATTCCTTTCCTTCCTGCTGTCCTCCATCTTCTCACGTGCATTCGCAACTGTGTGCTCTTGCACACACACCCAGCACAGATACACACTTCTGCACTTAGAACTTCTCACCAGCTCAGAGGAAGACCTGGGTTGAAATGGAGACCGTAAGAAAGTGAAGAGGCAGAAGAAATGATCCATTCTAGATCTCTCATTCTGTAGATTAGGAGACCAAGACTCAGAGAAAGAAAATACAGTAGTTCCTGGCAGAGCTAGGATTAAGTTCTCTCAGTCTCTTGACTTCCAGCCTCTGCAATCCTCACCCTTCCACGGAAGCCATTTTACCTCATTTATGCCCATTTTCTTACAGTGTAGTTTTATGCAGAAGGCTGGCCACATTCTCACAATACCAGGTCTTTAGAGCACTGCAACCCAGGAGGCCCTCAATAAGGAGGGTTCACATAGATGAACCTTCCACATGAAGCATGTGCTTTTCCTTCAGTTTCATATGATGTGATCCTCACTCAGTAAAGCCTGTGAAATATATTCCAGGAAGCACTGAATACTTCTTTCATCTTTATTTATAAACTTCTATGAGTCCTCCCAGCCCGTCCTCCAACTAGCACATCCTCACTGCCTTACAGAGCAGGAACCCAAGCAAGTACTTGAAGCTTAATTGATCTGGATGTTTAGAATCAAACTTCATTAGCTGAAATTACTGCAGTTTGCCTAATTTGTTTCTCTATGTGAGCTCTGATAAGGTTGGTTTAACATCTTCTAAACTGTGGTGTTTATCATCATCAATGCCTACTCAAATTACCCCTGCAGAGTAATGGGCCAGGAGAAAAATGGTTTAAAAGTTATAGCTATTTTTTGTGGACATTTCTACACATACCATATACAGTATGTGGTGTCCAAGTCACTACAAAAAAGCACTTATTTCCACAGGGCAACTTCACTTTTTAAAAACAAAACACTGCCAGAAAAATCTTGTCAATCATCAATATTCAAACATTTTTAGGTGTTAGAAATTCTATACATTTTGAGATTTTTTTTTCTATTTATAGACAGTGATTAAACCCATTGTTTTGTTATTTTTCCAGTCTGTTAGAGACTTTTGACTAACCTGTGTGTGTGTATGTGTTTGCAAATACATACATTTGTGTTTGTGAACAAAGCATTAATTTAAAAGAGGTTTGTCTCTAAGAATGACTCTATTGATCTATTCCAAATGCAAATAAACTTTTAGCATGATTGAAAGTCGTATTGAGTCTCCAGGAGGAACAATGGCTACTTACAGAAGCAACGGTTGCTTGTATAAGGAACAATGGTTGCTTCTATAAGAAGGGGCACTGTGAGGGAAACTTTCTCCTATAAACCCATTTATCTATCTTTAATTGCACATGTTATCTTCTCCAATAATTAAAAACAAAAAATGCATTGTCAGTAACAATAATCCCAAATAATCATTTTTCCATACTACTACTACCTGTTAGTGGTGCTATATATATAGCTTATATTACTATCTACATACAAATACGTCATTTCAGTGTGTTCTGGCAGTAGCCAGGTAGGTGTTTGAGCGTTGTGTTGACAGTCTAACCATTGGTAATTGCTTTAACATGGAAATTTAATGTGAGGAAGCATGGCCAACATGCAGAATATAGAGACTTATTTTAACATCATCACACGTACCTCAGTATTTTGTGTCCTTCTCCTAGGATGAATGAACATTTCATTCATTCATGCTGACAGAAGCTCTGGTTTCAAAAGGGACAAGTCGCCACCAGATTTGTAAGAAGTGTGTCTTTTAGATGGTCTAGTTAACCTTTCTATATTGATAAAAACCAGCATTATTTCCACATTTCCTCATACTTCTTAAGTATACCCACTTGTGCTAGAAATGGAAAATTCAGAAAATGAAACATGTAATCCAGAGCCCAAACACCATGCCTACAAAAAATAGGGAACTCAGCTAATAAAGCAACATTTGTCTTTCTTATTTGTTAAGTTATCTACATGATTGTATCAATTCTTGACTGAAATACCATGCACCCCTGGACTGACTGCCTGGGAGTACAAATGATGTAGGGAGTAATTGTGGTCACACTGGCATGTGTATTTAGGTTTCACTTAACAGTTCTCACCAGGGGAAATGTGAAGCACCTGGCCCCTTGTCCCTTCTCAATGTCTCCCCGACATCTGTTATTTTAAGGAGCCCTCCAGGGGTCACTCTTCACTTAAGGCTCACTCTAGAATACCTCTGAACTCCTTCTCACTCCTCTGGCGGCTTGTGCTTTGCTGTTGTTCACTTGCAAGCCTCTTTCCAGGCGCTTCCTCCAGGTTAACATGACACCACTGGAGCTGCCCACCTGGCCAGGAAATGCCACCTGCCCTGTGTGTGGGCCCTTGCTGCTGCCATCCACTTGCCAATGGAGAGGGAAATACCCACCGTCTTCATTGGGTCTGACCCTCTTACCGGGATCCCACAGCCAGGTTTCATGGCCCAGAGCTGCTCCAGTGCTTTGGCTTTTTTTTAGAAAACAGCTTTATTCAGATAATCACATACTATACAACTTGCCCGTTTAAAGTGTGCAAATCAGTGTTTTTTGGTATATTGTGTTATTAATTTTTAAAAATTATAAAATGTATACAACAGAACATTTACCGTTTCAACCACTTTTAAGTGTACAATTCAACGGCACTAATTACATTCACAATGTTGTGCAAACATCACTATTTCCAAAACTTTTTCATCATCCCAAACAGAAAGTCTTAACCATTAAAAAATAACTCCTTATTTCTCTCTCCTCCAACACGTGGCAACCTCTAATCTAATTTTTACCTATGCATTTGCCACATTCTAAGTACCTCATATATGCAGAATCATACAATACTTATCTTTTTATTTTGGTGTCTTTCATTTAGCATAACGTCTTCCAATTCATTCATGTTGTAGCATGCATCAGAACTTCATGACTTAATGGCTGAATAATATCTCGTATGGCTATACCACATTTTGTTTTTACCTGTTCATCTTTTGATGGACATTTAGGAGGTTTCCATCTATTGGCTATTGTGAATAATGCTGCTATGAAAATTGGCTTATAAGCATCTATTTGATACAATTGTTGGATCATATGGCAATTCTATGTTTAACTTTTTGAGAATTGCCAAACTGTTTTCCACAGCAGCTGCACCAAGGTACATTCCCACCAGCAATGCGTGAAGGTCAACGCTTTTACTTTTACACAAATACCACGTTTTCCCCCAAGGCAGGTAAACACTGACAGGGCTGCTTGGAAAGGACAGTTTCAGTTCACAGGTGGATGTTCAGAGGTACCTAGTGCCTCATTCTAACCTGGTTTCTCTTTGCTCCTTCAGTTGTCTGCTAGTCATATTTGTTCATGCCTGGCCCCCAGTTATTAATACAGGTTGAGTTCTAGTCCCCGAAACTTTTTAAGCCTTAATGCAAATTAGTCAAAAAAACGCAGATATAAGAAAGGGGACCCACTGCTAGTTCCAGACCCAAATGTCTACTTTGGCTTAGCTGGGTGAAACTTTTAATACTGTATTTATGTAGAGACTGAGCTGGTGGCTCTGCCTGAAAAGGCTAAACAATTTAACGAAAAAAAAAGTCATTCATTCGATGAGTTATGAACTGGTTAATAAGCCATGTGAGTCCAGGCCCTTCAGGAAGCAGGCACCGAGATGGGATGAAGGCTGGACATGGTGGCTTGTGCCTGTAATCCCAGCACTTTGGGAGGCTGAGGCAGGAGGATTATTTGAACCCAGGAGTTTGAGATCAGCCTGGCCAGCATAGGCAGACTCTGCCTCTATAAAAAGTAGAAAAAAAAAAAGAAAAATTAGCCAGGCACTATGGTGCACACCTGTGGTCCCAGCTACTTGGGAGGCTGAAGTGGGAGGATGGCTTGAGCCCAGGAAGTTGAGGTTGCAGTGAGCCATGATCACACACTGCGCTCTAGCCTGGGCAACAGAGCAAGACCCTGTCTCTCTCTCTCTCTCTCCAGAAATACATTATAATATATAATTAAACATATAGAAGTTATTATATATTTATAATTTAATTATAATTTTAAAACAATTTAATTATAATTTAATTCCTATATATTTAATTATAACATATAATTAAATATATATTTATATTTATACATTTAATAGAACTATATATTTATTTATATTTATATATTTAATAGAAATATATATTTATATTTATCTATTTAGTAGAAAAAGAAAGAAAAAGAAAATAAAAAAAAAGATGGGATAAGATGTGCAAGAGATCTCTTTGGGAAATGTCTGAGGTGGGCAGGAAGTCAAAGGGGCCAAAAGAGTCATCAGTTTGAGACATAGTTCTGGCTCCTAGTCAAAGCTGGGCATCAGAGGAGGCCCTCATTTCCGAGGAATGGGCCTGTCTCAGTCTCGGTCATGCTCAGTTTTGAGCTGGAAGCAGCCCTGGGGAGGCAAGGTCTCAGCACAAACACAGCGATGGGTTTCAGAGCAATAGCTGGGGCCGCAGTCGAACTTCTGAAAGGCGCAGTTCCATTGAGATGATCAAGTGGGTTTGTGCATAGTGACATTTAGAGCGATTCTTAGGAAGTTTCCGGGAAAAAAAAAATTCTACTGGGAGGATCTTTCGGCATTTCCTGTTAGAGGCCTTCTCTTCTGACAGCCCTCTAGAAATTTCACACTGTACTCTATTTACTTATCACAGCAATCTGACAATGTCTCACCTTCCAAAGTGCTTGGGGTTTGTGGTCAGCTATGTGTTAACTTTTTGATCAAAGTGGGGGGTTCTAAGTAGAACGACTTTAACAGAAAGTCATTTGGCACTGAATCTGCTGAGTGACTATAGCTTTGAGTGCTTTGACAGCTATGAAACCACTCTATTTTGATTAAGTCCCTTACCCAAATGGCTCAAGTGGTGGGGTCAGAACTGGAAAACAGACCTCCTGACGCCCAACCCAATGCTTCTCTCAGTATTTTTCAATGGTATTTTATTTTCCCCTTAAGTTCTCCTTCATTGTTAGCGATAGTTTGGACCCCTGAAAACTTCACCCTGGCTTGCAAATCCCCTGGGACCTGTGGGACCTGTGGGCATCTAAGAGGGATGTTTTGCTCAACGTGGTGGGAGGACTTCATTCTATGCCATCTCACCTTATCTCTGATGCCTGCATTTACCATTTCCTCCTCATTAAAATCTTCACTCACTTATCCTTTGTCTCCCAGCATCCTCTCTCAGTTCCAGCCACAAACCTTGGCTGTGTTATCCCTGCTGCCTCTGGCTCCCCTCTTTTGACCCAGAGTCCCACTGGGTGGATCAACCAGGAGCTGTCTACACATTGGACATAGCTTGGGGCCTTCCCACCCTTGTGTTAAGGGACCCCACGCAGGAAGGTTGGCACCTGCAGCTTGGCCACGCATCAAGGAGTGAATTACTGATGTCATGGAATAGGCTTTTGAATTCAGCGGACCTAAGATACCTTCCCACCCTCAGAATCTGTAAACTTTTAGAACTCTATTCATAGCAGGAATATACTCTTCTCTGTGGCACTGAACTAAATTAGAGAAAATGCATTGACTGCGGACAGGGAAGGGAGTTTGATTAATTAGGGGCCTAGCTCAGGCATGGCAGCAAACTTTCACTGCTCCTGCTGTTGCTGTACATTAGCATTCAGCTGTTGCCGAGTTTTAAATAGCACCTCTCCCCCAAAGGAAAACTTCAAGGTCCATTCATTTACTAAAGCCTACAAATTTTCCCAGGGGATCAAATGCTAGACTGTCAGCCCTAGGGTCAGGGAGGCTATGCTTACACAGTTCAAGGAGAGCCTAGGGAAGGTTTCTTTTCCCTGCTTTCTGTGCATGCTCCTGGGGAGGGAGTCTTGTGTTTGCTACACTGTCTTTCCTTATTGGGAATGGGGGCAGTGCAGCTTTTGCTGTCTGGATACAACATTTTTACATATAAGACAATGGGGTTTACAATTCTGTTTTCATTTCACTCTTATTAAAAACAAAATGGAGGCACTAAGACATTTTGGTCAAGAAAAATACAAGTCAAGGCTGGGAAGTACAAACAGCAACACGAGGACCCCATGTTTGTAGAGCCTAACACAAGTTACAATGCCTTTCATACTCAGAAACTGATTTCATCTTACATACATCTTGAAGGGTTTACAGGGCAAATGCTGTTATCTCCATTTTATATGAAAAACATTCATTCTTTTAGCAAGCAAGTACTTAGTATCTACTAAAGTTTCCTTCCTAATATTTATTGAGTGCCAGGCATAAGTTACTTGCTATCTAATCTAAAGCCCAGAGTGACCCTGTGAAATAGTTGCTATTGTTAACCCCATTTGGCAGGTGAGAAAATGAAACCACAGAGGAGTGATATGGGATGGCAGAGTTAGGATCTGAGTTTGTGCTGTCTGACTCCAGAACCAGTGCTCTGGACTGTTCTGCGGTACCCACAAGCAGTCTGTTAACCACATGAAGAAATAATGACTCAGGTCGAGTGGATAAATGCTGCGAGGGAAAAGTGCAATGTGCCACAAGAAAATAGAACAAGTGTCCTAACAATCTAGAGATTGAGGAGAGGCTTCTTTAAGAAAATAACAATTAAACTGAGGCCTGAAGAAGGGGTAGGAACAAGACAGGGGAGTGGGGTGAGTGTGGGAAGAGTGTGCTAGAGAAAGAGAACAGCACAGGCAAAGTCTGAGTGATGGAAGGAGACCACACTGTGAAGGACTTGAAAGAAGCTTGTCTGTTTGCTCTCTAGAGATCATGGGGGACAGAGGGAGATGAGGTTAAAGAAATAGGCAAGGTAAGGCTTGATGGTTCATATTAGGAATTGACTCAAAGCACTGGTAATCCACTGGAGGGAAGATTTCAGCCCATGGAGATGCATGTGGCTGCTGTGAGGCGAGAGGATTAAAGGAGGCAAAAGCAGAAGTGGAGAGAGTGGCCAGGAGACCATGACAGGAAGTGGACGCAGAGAAAGGAACAAGTCGGCTGATGTTGAGGAGGTAACGTAAAGTTGACATGACCTGGTGACTGCTGTGAGCTGGGAGGAAGGAAAAGCAGACAACATCCAGATGCGTGGCAAACCCCTCAGTTGACAGTGATGCCATTTCCTCAGAGCAAACACCAGAGAAAAGCCAGGTTGGTGATGTGGTGAATAAATAGAACACAAGTGAAATTTTGAACAAGTTGAATTTCAGATGTCAGGGAAATATGCAGAGAAGCACATGAATCTGGAGCTCACAAGGGAGTTCTGTGCTAAATATACACATCCATGAGTCACTGAGACGAGCCCCAGGGAAGAGTAAAGTTGAGGCCTAGATTATAACCCAGCACACTACCATATTTCAAGGTCCTGTAAAGAAGGGAGACCCACAAAAGAACAAGGAGGAAAAAAGAAAAAAACAGAACTATGGAGTTAACGAAAGGGGTGGAAAAAAAGAGGGACTATGTAACTAATGTGAAGACATCAGGTAAAATGAGGGTTGAAAAGTGATTTAGGTTCTCAAGGGCATGAGTGGTCTTAGCAGGGGCCATTTCAGTGCTGTGGTGGGTAGAGACATTATGTTACAGTGAGTGGAGGAGTGAGGGAGTATAGGGTCAGTGAGTGGCAGAATGAGTGGACAATGAGTGAGCGAAAAGAAAGTGCATGGAAGAGTGAGTGAGTGGAGGAGTGAGTGAGTGGAAGAGTGAGTGGAGGAGTGAGTGGAGAAGTGAGTGAGTGGGGGAGTGAGTGAGTGGGGGAGTGAGTGAGTGGAGGAGTGAGTGAGTGGAAGAGTGAGTGGAGGAGTGAGTGGAGAAGTGAGTGAGTGGGGGAGTGAGTGAGTGGGGGAGTGAGTGAGTGGAGGAGTGAGTGAGTGGAAGAGTGAGTGGAGGAGTGAGTGGAGAAGTGAGTGAGTGGGGGAGTGAGTGAGTGGGGGAGTGAGTGAGTGGAGGAGTGAGTGAGTGGAAGAGTGAGTGGAGGAGTGAGTGAGTGGAGAAGTGAGTGGGGGAGTGAGTGAGCAGAGGAGTGAGTGAGTGGAAGGTGAGTGAGTGGAGGAGTGAGTGGAACGTGAGTGAGTGGAGGAGTGAGTGGAAGGTGAGTGAGTGGAAGGTGAGTGAGTGGAAGGTGAGTGAGTGGAAGGTGAATGAGTGGGGGAGTGAGTGAGTGGAAGGTGAGTGAGTGGAGGAGTGAGTGAGTGGAGGAGTGAGTGGAAGGTGAGTGAATGGAAGGTGAGTGAGTGGAAGGTGAGTGAGTGGAAGGTGAGTGAGTGAGTGAGTGGAAGGTGAGTGAGTGGAGGAATGAGTAAGTGCAGGAGTGAGTGAGTGGAGGAGTGAGTGACTGGAAGGTGAGTGAGTGGAAAGTGAGTGAGTGGAGGAGTGAGTGAGTGGAAGGTGAGTCAGTAGGGGAGTGAGTGAGTGGAAGGTGAGTGAGTGGAAGGTGAGTGAGTGGAGGAGTGAGTAACTGGAGGAGTGAGTGAGCGGAGGAGTGAGTGAATTGAAGATGAGTGAGTGGAAGGTGAGTGAGTGGAAGGTGAGTGAGTGGAGGAGTGAGTGAGTGGAAAATGAGTGAGTGAAAGATTAGTGAGTGAAGGAGTGAGTGATTGGAACATGAGTGAGTGGAGAAGTGAGTGATGAAAGGTGAGTTAGTGGGGGAGTGAGTGAGTGGAAGGTGAGTGAGTGGAAGATGAGTGAGTGGAACGTAAGTGAGTGGAAGATAAGTGAGTGGAAGGTGAGTGAGTGGAACGTGAGTGAGTGGAAGATGAGTGAGTGGAAGGTGAGTGAGTGGAGGAGTGAGTGAGTGGAAAATGAGTGAGTGGAAGATGAGTGAGTGGAGGAGTGAGTGAGTGGAAGATGAGTGAGTGGAGGAGTGAGTGATGGAAGGTGAGTGAGTGGGGGAGTGAGTGAGTGGAAGGTGAGTGAGTGGAAGGTGAGTGAGTGGAGGAATGAGTAACTGGAGGAGTGAGTGAGTGGAGGAGTGAGTGAGTGGAAGATGAGTGAGTGGAAGATGAGTGAGTGGAGGAGTGAGTGAGTGGAAGGTGAATGAGCGAGTGGAGGAGTAAGTGGAAGGTTAGTGAGTGGAAGAAGTGTGTGGAGACAAAGATTGCTGACAAGAACTCATAGTATTTCGCTGTGTTGTGCGGGATCTCCATGCTGAGAAAGATGTAGTGTCCCTGTAGGCTGCATGGTAAGCCACGGTTTCAGGCAGGCGCACAGGTGTGCCCGGTGGAGAGTAGTGGTTTTTCAGCCACCAGTACGGACTGATTCTTCGGTAACAAAACTTGCTCCTGTTGACTCCTATCCTGTGTTAATTTTTAAAAGTTTTCCTAATGACTGCTGAATGAGTAATACTCTGGGTCAGATTTTTTTTTTTTTTTTTTTTTTTTTTTTTTTTTTTGATGGCGTCTGGCTCTGTCACCCAGGCTGGAGTGCAGTGGCGCGATCTCAGCTCACTGCAAGCCCCTCCTCCCAGGTTCACTTCATTCTCCTGCCTCAGCCTCCCAAGTAGCTGGGACTACAGGCGCCCGCCACCACGCCCGGCTAATTTTTTGTATTTTTAGTAGAGACGGGCTTTCACTGTGTTAGCCAGGATGGTCTGGATCTCCTGACCTCGTGATCCGCCCGTGTCGGCCTCGCAAAGTGTTGGGATTACAGGAGTGAACCACCGCACCCGGCCCTATTCTGGGTCAAATTTTACAATTTTTCTTCTGGTTGGACCTGTCTGTCTTATACATAACTGATGGTTTTGGCTCCCTATAATAATGTAGAATTCATGTCTATATTTCCGTTTCAGGCCTTTTGGTCCATAAGAAAATCTGTTGTTTTAGATAAGCGAAGTGAAGACTATGCTGAGGTTATGTGCGTGCATTTAATTAATGTGTAGCATCTCGTTTTGTGGCACTTAGGAAAAAGCCGCATGAAGAGGAGGGTATTTTAGGAAATCTAAGACTGAGCACTGGTTTGTCCATGGCCTGTGGCTTTGACAAAGCCCTCTTCCACCTTTGGGGTCACGTGCAAATCAAAGTGAGAAGTAGGCAGCATTTTTGTGTGCTCAGCCACAAACCCTAGGAGTCCTGATGGACATTTCATCGTGATGCACAATGGAGGCATCTTGATGAGTGTCAGGAGGACAGATTGTAATGCTACATTCATACGAGGCACTCCTTTGCCAATTATTCCCATCCAAGAGTCATTCATTTTTTATATTAGAATGATATTAAATTATAACAAGAATGAAAGGTGAACTAAGAAATCTTACTGCCCACATAAATCTTCCCTTCTGGTACCATCATTCTTCAAAAGGAAGAAGGCATATTCTCCCATATTTGTAGAGGTCCTGCTTCTGAGGGTCCTAGGGACCCTGTAGATGTCTGGAGGACACAGCAAAAAAAAAAAAAAAGCTTTCTAATTGTGTGTGTGTGTGTGTGTGTATCGTTTGGAGCCAGTGTGTAAATTGAGATCACAAAATTCCTGAAGAAGTTCAAGGTAGTGTTTCTAGAATGTTGCAACACTCCATATGAAAGGAAAAAGTCAACTGTTTACTTGGACTTAAAGGGTGTGTCTGCAAAAACGTTACCTGGATTTACTAGATATTTTGCCATTGAGTAAATGTAACCTGGTCTAAATTTCATCCTAACTTGGCACCCATAGATTGCTCTGACATCCAGCTGTTATTATATCCTGGCTAATGGTAAAGTGGGTCATTGTTTCTAATTTTTCAGTAGACTCATGTCTCAGGTTGTTTTGAGCACTTCCTTCTATATGGTAAATCATTAGTTGCAGTTCCCAGAACTCTGCTTCCTCTTTCTATCTTCTTCATGTGGTAGCAATAACAGTATAGAATAAAGCTAAATAGCACATTCATCTATGAAATGCAATCACATTCAAATGAAACTCACTTGTTTGAGGCTTTTGAGCCTGCAAAGTAACTACCTATTTGATGAACCAAAAAGGAAGACAAGCCATTTGACTTAAGAGAAAAGACCAGGGGGTTTCAGGGTCTTTGTCACAAAGCTATTGCTTCTTGAATGGCATTGTCCCAGGCCTGGAAAGCAACTGACTTCTGAGACAAGTGCAGTTTGCCTCAAGCCTCACTGCATTGTGCCATTAGATAGAACCTGAGTGAGACCCAAAGATGATAAAACTGTGCAGCCTACCTGACTTCTTGAAATTCCTTTGTTGAAAGAATCCTTAATTTTGAAATTTCTCCAAGACATTTAATTTGCTCAATTTCTTAATAAATCTTCCTGTAATTTCTCAGTGGGCCATGCAGGCAATATTTACTTTATTTGAATAATGACTAACAATATAGATAAGGAAGCTTCTCTTTAAAGTGTATCAATTGATGAATGACTTGGGCAAGATTCACTTTACGGCTCTTGGCTGTATTATTAGTCATTTTATAATAATGAGTTTTTGTCACTTGAAAATTCAACTTTCTTTGTGAAAACCCAGTTATAGTCACATGTGTTTGGTGCTGTTAGCTAGGGAGAATGTGACCATACTCACCCTGTGACAATTCAATGACTTTGGCTTTGAAGGAAAAATTTACTAAGCTTTTTGATAGTACACCCTTGAAGAGCACTGCCCAATAATATGGAGAATCACAAAGCTGGACAGGCCCTTAGATCTCTTCCAGCCAAAGCCCCTGATTTACAGAAAAGTAAACTGAGGCACAGAGCCGACCACAGGGTTACCTGTATTGTTAGGCTGCCCACCCTAGATCAATACAAGTTTCCCATGTGCTTCTGCTTTTAGGAAATACATGGGGTTTTGTCCCAAATTTACCCTCTAGTTGGGGAGGTAAAAGTGGCACATGTAAACGTTTAAAGATAGCACACAGCAAGATATCAAGTATAATCAGATGTAGCCCGTACTCAATGCAACAGGCTGCATTTTATAGCCATGCTGCATATTAGGACCAGTCCGTAGTTCAGGTTGGAAAACAAAGCAAGTTTTGAGGCAGAGCAGAGCAGAGAGAACCATCATTCTGTGGTATAACATAATCTGGGCCATCTGCCGCTTTAGTCTGGGTTACATGTGGCAAAACTGTCGAGTGCATCAGCCAGAGGGACTCCAGGATGCAGATAACCCAGCTTAGAACCACTCTGACAAGAAGATCAGGAAAGCCTGAAGCTCTTGCCCCACGGGACTTTCTTCCATCTCATTCTGGCAGTGTCTCCTAAACAGGAGGCCCATATAGTACAGGAGCTAATAGCACAGGTTCTAGAGCCAGATGGACCTGGATAGGTCCCAGCCCTGCTAGTATGTCATTGTGTGACTTTGAGCACATTATTTTACTCAAGTTTCATTTCCTCATCTGTAAAATGAGGATATAATTAATGCCTGCCTCACTAATTCTGTGAAGATCAATTGAGATAATGCATGGAAGTAAAACATCCAGCAATTTCTGACATAGAACAATGCTTATTGCAAAGATCTATTATTAATATACTCAAATAAACTATGCTATTAGCAATGAGAGAGTGTGTGTGGGGGTGCTGTGTGTGTGTATATGTTTCCATATACCATTTTCTGGCTGTTTTAGCCATCAAGGAGAGATTTGAATTATGGAATCCAATTGGTTGTACAAGGAATAGCCATATAATGGCTGGAAACAACAAATGATGTTAAGGTGGAATCCTAAGGAACAGCTCATTTGTAAGTGGTCCTGTGAATTGTTAGAAGTTTATCAATCGGCTTCTTTTTTACAGGCACAAAGGAAGACTACATTTCCCAGGCTGCCTCACAGTCAGGTTCAGGCCATTTGACTGCATTATAACCAATAAGATGTGAGAAGAATTCATGTGCACCACTTCCATGTTGAATGTAAACCCACTTGATGATTCTCTACTCTTGCCACTCTTTCTTCTCTTTTCCATGGTCACATGTTCCAGATGGAGTAACTACCACATGGAATGAGCACATATCCCTTAGTTATTGCTGGTAGCAGAGCCAAGGAGTGCAGTTACCCACAGTTTATAAAATATTGCATGAGCAAGAAAGAATGTTTTACTCTGTTAAGTCTCTGATTGGAGATACTATAATAATATTAGAATAATAATTTGGAAATTATTATGGAAACTAGTGCTAATTATCCTAATGCCTAATTATGCAAACTGGTTGACTAGAACTATTCAAATGCAAAGAAAATGAAGATAACAAAAATGTCCATATTGAAATAATTCAAAGACCAAGTTTAATAACACTCAATCATATTAATAAAACATACAAGCCATTTTTAACATCATCCCAAAAATTATGTTATTGGGTTGAGTTTACTTTTGATTATGCAGTTAACCAAATAGTTTTTTTTTTTTATAATATCCCAAAAGGCAACATTCTGACTTAGGACTGAAAACAGGGTATATGTTTAGTTGTTGCCTGAAAATGCCCTTCACTACATGCTGCTGAGTGAAAAACAGGAGCATGTTTCAAAAAAGTATAGATTGACTTCATTGAAGAAAAAAACAATTACAGTGTCTACAGTGATGTTTCTCATGGCAGTGGGGTTATAAATAGTCAAGTAATTTTTCCCATGTACTTTATTATATTTTCTAAATCTTCCACAAAAGCACATATGACTTGTAAACATGGAGATAGTAAAATGCTGTCTTTAAAGTATGCTTTAAATATTATTTCAAGTTCTTTATTCTTTTACAGATAAATAATCCCTGAAATTACTAAAATAGAACAACAACAACAACAAAATAGGCTATTCATATAGATTTTGATAGCAAAATCTTGCTTTACAAAGATTTGTATCTTTGAGCTTATGGGCTTGAGCAAGTCAAGTCACATCATTAGTTGCAGGTTGTGGGAGGAAGGGCCACAGCTCAGCTAGCAATACCAAGGTGATTTTCAAAAGGAAGGTTTTAAGCTGAAATAGCAGAAAGACCAGAACATTGGCCTGAAATATCTGTGCTTGCTTTGGAAAAATATCGGTAAGAAAAATTCACCGTAAGAAAGACATTTCTGGTGAAGTTTCTTTAAGAGTCTTCTAGTGGCCTAAGTTTTTAAGTTTTTTAACTGCTTTATTGAGGTATAATTGTTATATGAAAAAAACTTTCCCATATTTAATGTATACAATTTAATGTTAGGCCATAAGCATACACCTGTGAAACCATCACAATAATCAAGGTGGTAAATATATCTATCACCCCCAAAGATTTCCTGTTGCCCGCTCCTTCTTTGTGCAGGTAAGAACACAACATGAGATAGACCCTCTCAAATGCACAATACAATACAGTATCATTAACTATAGAAACTATATTGCACAGCAGATCTCAGGAAGTTATTCATCTTGAATAACTGAAAGTTTATACCTACACAACAACAACTTCCTATCTATCCCTGCCCGAGACCTTCCCCCAATCACCATTCTCTGCCTCTGTGAGTTTGACTATTTTAGATACCTCACATGAGTGAAATCAGGCAGTATTGCCCTTCACATACAGTCCTCCAGATTCATCTATGTTGTCACATATGGGAGGATTTCCCTTTTTCCAATGCTGAATAATATTCCATTGAATGTATATACTGCATTTTCTTCAATCCATTCATCCATCAATACAATTTAGATTGTTTCCATATCTAGAATATTGTGATAATGCTGCAATGAACATGGAGTGCAGATATCTCTTTGAGATTCTGATTTAAATTTTTTGGATCTATAACCTGAAGTGGGGTTGATGGGTTATATGGCAGTTCTATTTTTAATTTTTTGGGGAACCTCCATACTGTCTTTCATTGCGGCTGCACCATTTTACATTCCCACTAACAGTGTACAAGGGTTTAAATTTCTCCGTATATTCAGCAATTTATCTTTTGACTTTTTGATAACAGCCACCCTAACAGGTATACAATGTGCATCATACACCGTGACCTAGTGGGATTTATCCCTAGGATGCAAGAATGGTTCAACATGTGGAATTCAATGAATGTGAATTCTGTGTCCCTTCTGTGACATCTCATCACCTCCTATGTGACTAGGTCTTGGTGGGAGAACCAAGATCTCTCTTGCCAAACTTCCTTGTCTTAGAACTTGCAGATATCCATTGTTGCCCAGTCATGCCCCAGCGCAGCATAAGCCTGCCATGCGTGCTGATGGCTAGGAACTGGGGTGGTCAGAGACAACTGAAGAGATGGGCTTTTCTCCAGTTGGACCGAATTCTGGACAGTGACACTAGTTTCTTCTCCGTAATAGCTTGACCCTTTTGCCTTGGCTTAAGTTTGGTTTTCTCTCATCCCACTTATATCCAACTGAAGCTCAGTCTTCACAAAACTTCCTGAGAAAGTGTCTGAACTCCAACACACAGTTGCAGAACCTTCACTGAGCATTTGCTAAGTGCTAGCATCGAGTTAGGCCTGATGACCCACTCAGACTTTGTCGTAACATCTGTATAGTACCACTGCATGTCACTCACATTGGAGAAAACTCAAGCTCAAATGGCTGCCTAAGTGTTCTCTCTTAGATTAATTTTAAGGATGCCAAAGTCAATCTGGTAGATAGACTGGAGATGGGCATCGTTTCCCTCACTGACTTGATTTGTTATTTAAATTATTAGGGTGATAGTGGAGGCATAGAAGTGGGGTTCTGATGGAAAAACCTCCAGCTCGCTTGTACATTGCGGTTCCCTCTGTCACAGGTACTTGGAGCCAACGCAGGCACAGCAAATGAAGCAGGTCTCTGTTTGACATCCAGAAGACATAAGCTTTATTTTTTCTCACTTCAGGGTGAGAGGAGAGGAAAAGAATATTTCTCAAAAGTTTTTTCCTCTATGGACATCTGCACATAACATGACTTTGCTGAGGTGCCTGGCTGCAGGTGCAGTATGTGGTATTGCTGTATGAGTTTATACTTCCCCCCAGCCAGAATACATCATTTGCTTGCCCTGACACTGTAACCCAAATGCTCATACAGCCTCTTCCTTTGGCTTAGATATGTAAACAAAAACAAATAAAAATCCTATTAAATTGTGTCTTACCTCCAAAGCCACCTTATCGTTCAATAGACGATTACATTACTGAAGGAACCCAGAATACACTACCTAGATTACTTACTTGCAATAAATCATGGTCTGTCATCCAGTGGCATTCTTCCTAGCTCTCTTAACTTTTCCTCTATTTGTGTCTGCCAATGAATATTCCAATTGCTCAAGAGTAAGGATTTTATCTTACTTTTTTTTCTTATCATCTGTAGTGACCCAGAATTCTTTAAGGTAGGTGCTGAGTGGATATTTTCAGTGGGGCTAAATAGTGATTTGCTGCTGCTATCCATTTATTTCTTAACTCAGTTTAGATTTAGAAATGATTGGAGTTGATGCTAAAGACTGTTTTATCCTATCCCCCAAACCCACTTCCCCAGCATTGTGTAAATGAGAAAACTGCAATAGTTATGAATTGCCTAGGATAACACAGCTCATTAGTGGAAGCATCAGGACATGGCTTTTCAGTTCAATGCTCTTTCTACTATAAAGTGCTGCATCCAGGCATCTAATGGGGTCAGGAGGAAGTGGGACATAAAATAGGTAAGTTCTATAAAGGAGGAAGCACCAGGAAGTGACAGGAGAGTGAGGTAGAATCTGAGGCTGGGAAAGGGGAGGCTGCCAGGGATCATGGTGAAATCTAAAGGCAAGAACAACAAAAAAGGGGAGAAACATGGGGCAGATCTACAGGAATGGAGAGGCAAGCTTCATCTAACTGCTCTCTTGCCAAGGTCTGAGCCAGCTGCGGGCAGGTACCATGTTCCAAAAATGGCTGCAACAATGCCTCAGGTCCCATGAGCTCCTCTACAGCAGGGCCTTACCACATCCCCAGCAGGAGATGTGTCTAGTTCTTTTCCCTTGAACCTGGACTGGCTTATGACTTTCTAGTAACCAGGAGAATGTGGCTAAAGGGGCATATGCGACTTCTAAGGCTAAATGTAAGAAGGCATTCAGCTATTGTCTGGTTCTCTTGGAACACTTGCAGGGGGTGGGGGTGGGGAGCAGTGGGGCAGCCAGCTGCTATGTAACAAGTCCAGCTACCCTGAGACCGTTGTGCTGGAGAGGTTGCAGGTGGGCACTCCAGTAGACAGTCCCAACTGAGCCCAGCTTTCCAGCCATTCCTGCCAAGGTGCCAAGCATGTGAATAACCCCACCTGCGACTCTCTAGACCAGTCCATCTGCCAGCTGAACACCACTGAGTGACCTCACTGATGTCTTCGGGGTAAGAGGAGAGCAGAAGAATTGCCCAGTCAAGCCTGACTGAATTCCTGATGTACATAACCTGTAAAATATAGTAAACATGGTTTTAGAGCACTAAGTTTTGGGGGTAGTTTATTAGATAGTAACAATTAGGGGAATACCAGCTTCTCCTATACTTATAAACATACCACTCAGGTCTTTCTCACTGAGAGAATCTCACTTGTTTTGCCCTCACACATAGCAGAAAAGTTGCATGCCCAGTGTGAACAGGCTTGAGCCCCAGGGGCCTGTGGGTGGCAGTCAGCCCCACCTTCTGTTTGTAGGTGGACACCGAATGGTGTTATAAGTCATGGTGTAGCTCAATGGTAAAATCCATTTTTAGTTCGGTGTGCAAACAGGAACTGATACTATTTGAAAAGGGGAATTTAAAACACCCCACGTGGGTACCACAGTGCAAAGGAGAAGGTTAATCGTGGAAGAAAGATGCTGCCAAAGCACATGGTCCCAGAATGCTCAGCCCAGAAAGACAAAGTATTGCAGTCTTTCACAGCCATTTTCATAACAAATTGATAGCATATTCCCTGAAATCTGGGTCTGAAGCAAGGTCTTCTGAAGGAAGGTCTTCTGAAGCAAGTCTGAAGCAAGACTGAAGCAAGGTCTTTCTGTCTAAAATCCGTCTGGATATAGAAAGGCACATGAGTCCCATTTTTGTGCTGGGGTTCTGAAAGTTAGGGCCGGGCATGGAGATGGCATGGGTGTGTCAGTGTGTACGGAGTATTGTATTTCCAAAGATAGCTTCAGCAATATCTCCTCTCTCATGTGCCACTCTTCCATCAAGAGGAGAGTCTGTTCTCTCTCCCTTAGAATGAGAGCTGACCTTGTGATTCTTTTGAGCAATGAAATGTGGTGAAAGAGATGTTTTTGGACTTTGAAAAGCCTGGCAGCTTCCACTTTTGCTTTCTGGAGGAAGCCAGCTTCCATGTTAGAAGTCCAACTCTCTTGGGATGGCCATGCCACAAGAAGCCCAACCTTGCCATATGGAGAGGCCTGGGGGAAGGGAACTCAAGCCCTCAGCTGACAGCCCCGGCTGAATCCCAGCCACCAGCCAACACCAACTTGCCAACCACATGAGGAAGGCTGACGTGGCAGCGGATCCTTCAATTCCAGTCAAGCTGTCCCAGCTGACCGTACGTGAACAGAGGTGAGCTCTGCCCCCTGAGACCTGGTCAAGCCGCCGAATCGTAAACAAATAAATGGCTCTGTTGTCTTGGGCCATGAAATTTGGAGGTGGTTTGTTATGTAGTCATAGCTAACCAAAACAGGAGGAAAAGGCATAGAGTTGGCCTGTGCCCGTGGATGTAGAGCAATGGGGGTATGAAAGCAAGTTCCAGGACAAAGGCCTGGGAATCCAGGGACAGGCCACAGCATTGGATTCAAAAGGGGTGGCCGAGAGTCATCAAACAGATCCCAGATGGAGAGTCTGCATCAGAAATTCGAGAAAGCAGAAGAACAGGGGACAGATACAAGGAGAGGATACCAAGGCAATTGTTCATTAAGTTTGTGGGTTTTTTTAAAGTGTCAGATCGAGAAGGATTTTTGAGGGATTTTCTATGATCCCCTTCATAGAAATTGCTTAAAGGATACAACTAAAGTAAGTATAAAACAAGCATTTCTGAAATTTGATTTTAATAGGGCCCTGAAGCAAGTGTACACCCTCAGTCTCATGGCAGGGGCAAGAGCAGTATGAGACACAGCAGAGAAAGGTCGCCACTCCACCCTTACCTGTGCCACATAGCATCCCATGCAGTCCTGATGGCTGAGGCAGGACGGGGTGAGGATTCACTGCAATGCATTGTTGTTATATAGTAAATTTCATATGAGTCTAATTTCTTGCAAGGTCCCTGTTATCGTCATAAAGCCTTGACTTAAAGAACCCTTCTAGGTACTATTATATAAATACACATTCAGGAGGGACCTTGTGGATATGAAGATTCTAGCACTCAGAATCTGTAAAAAGCTAGGTAAGCACCACCATTTCCCGAATTCTATCTTCACTGCGTCTACTTCCAACTGTGTGCCCTATGTGGTACATTAGCATAGATCATAACTGATGCATTGTCACCTTAAATAAATTGGATTTATTATTCTATCTCTTGCTTCAATCACATTCAGAATGTTCTAAATTTCTAGTGTCTCAGCAAAAGCTATGCTGAGGATAATGTTAGTCCCACCCCTTAACAGAGCTTGGCCTAAGCTAAATTATGGAATATTCCAAGGTTGCTTCCTATTTCTTTTTTGTAATATGTTGTTCCTTTCCCCAGGGGAGACAGGAGCACCATGTCCTCCCATAACTAACCTCAGTCCTAGGGTGCCCATGGAGGCCTGGCCCTCTCATGTCCTTTATGCTTCTGACCTGCCCCTTCCTCCAAGAACACGTACTCATTTTGATGATGAAATATGTGGGTTTTTTTGAATAATTTTTGACACAGTAACATGTTCATAATGTTGTTTGCTTGAAAAACAATACAAAACTATACGATATACACAGCATTAAAAATGTAATAAGGGTATAAATTTCATTATTTTAACTACTAATAGCAACATTCCTTTTAGGGAGAAACTGTTCTGCTTTAGAAAATAACTTGATAGGCCGGGCGCGGTGGCTCACACCTGTAACCCCAGCACTTTGGGAGGCTGAGGCGGGCGGATCACGAGGTCAGGAGATCGAGACCATCCTGGCTAACATGGTGAAACCCCGTCTCTACTAAAAATACAAAAAAAAAAAATTAGCTGGGCATGGTGGCGGGCGCCTGTAGTCCTAGCTGCTCAGGAGGCTGAGGCAGGAGAATGGTGTGTACCCGGGTGGCGGAGATTGCAGTGAGCCGAGATCGCACCACTGCACTCCAGCCTGGGCGACAGAGTGAGACTCCATCTCAAAAAAAAAAAAAAAAAAAAAGAAAAGAAAAAAAAAGAGAAAGAAAAAGAAAATAATTTGATAGAGGCATTTGACTTAGAAGGAGAGGCCTGAGGGTGAAGAGTTGGTAGGAGTATAAGAAACAGCAGGCAGTGGCTAAATTGCTCTGCATGAGCCCCGAATCAGGGAAAGAGAGCCCAGAGGTATTTCCAGGCTGAGGACAGTAGGGCATATGGTGGCTGGTGGGGATCCTGGGGCAGTGGGGATGGCCAAAGGACATTGTGCGGAAGGCCTGGCTGATGTTTTATTTGAAGCTGTATGCTGCAATGTACTTTTACTCTCTGGTCGTCAGCCTACCACAGGCACAAATATGAACTGTGTGTGTGTGTGTGTGTGTATGTACATGTGTGCTTGTGCATGCACTCACACATGCACAACTGTGTGCATTGGGCAAGGGGGCAGACCTGGTAATAAGCAGGGTAACATTTATGGAGGCAGAAGCTGGAACCAAGAGCCAACTGTGAAAAAATAAAATCCTCATCCATCTGCAGAAATTTAGGGGAGGGCTTTGGGCTCTTACAAGGAGAGAACTAAGGTTTGCATCATTTTATCCAGACCTCAAAGTCCATGCAATTCCAGCTGACCTATTGATTATAGATAAATCCATAATTATGTAGCTGGAAAGAAGAATCAAATGTTAAGATTAGTTGTCTCATGGTGGGGATAATTTTCTTCTTTAGGGTTTTCTCTATTACATTTTCTACAATGAGCATTTAGTATTTTTAAAATTAGAAAAAGTTATTTTAAAAATGCACTCATCCTAAACGTCCCTGAATTTAGCCATCAAGTTAGGAAGGAATTAACAAATTAATCTCATACCTGGTGTTAAAGATTAATAACATATAAAGGATGAATAATAATAAACATATCTAAGAACATGTGTGTTTTAGCAGGGGCCTCCTGGAGACTGTAATTCTGAAAGGCAAAGGAATAGAATTTTAAGCAGAGAAAGACAGCATGACTCAAGTTAAGTAGCTCCATATTCAATATCTGAAGGCTAATGTTGCCCTTTAGCTAAAGGTGTGGATAAACTCTGGAAATAGAAGGAGAATTGTATCTCATTAGTGATGTCTGAGAAAAGGAGAAGTTCTCAAGGCATCCAGAGACATACCTGTGGAACTTCTACCTCTGTTTGGGAAAATTGGCACTAATATTTCCTAGCGGGCTCTTGAGCTATCATAAATTGTTTTCTCTTGGATTTTTAAAAACATACTTTGGGAGCTTTACTCTTCTTTGCCCTCCAGTATGGATAAAATCCCTGACAGCTTGAAGCCCAGGATTTGTGGATATATGTTTTATGAGGGCAGGGGCCATGCCTGTCTTCCCAGCTGCCTCCCGAGGAACCTAGGACAAAGCCTGAGACAGAGAAGGATACAATAACGACTAATAATAACTTATTTTATTAAATGTTTACAGTGTGAAAGGTCTTGTTCAAAGTACCTTAAATGTACTCCAAGCATCTCATGCATTGTTAGAATATGCCTATGAGGTAGGTAAAATTTTTATCCCTGTTTTATAGATTTAAAAACGTGGGACACAGGGAGATTAAGTCACTTACCCTAATTTGCACAAATGGCAAATTGTGAAGCCAGCCTGTGAACTCAGACTGCCTGTGTCCATATTTTGACGGCTATGCTTTGGTAGCTGCTCAATAAATGGAAGGGAGCTAGAGGAAGAGAGACAGGGAGGAAAGTGTCAGTCATTTCGAGTATTTTTCTTCCCCCTTGGCAAGAGGATGCCGTAGAGGTCAATAATTCCCTCTGAATTCAGGTGGGGTCCCTTTGAAAATAAGCGACAGAAAATTTTGTGTTTCTCTATCACGGGAATAGGAATTTGAATCCCCACCCCCATCTCAACCCCTTATGTTGAACGAGTTATCTGGGGTCAGCCTTGCATTTTTTTAGCTTTCCTTTGGAGATGCATCAGCTAACAAGCTGGTCGGCCAAGCAGTTTCCCAAAGAGGTTGCGCCCATCCCTGAACACTAGAGGGCAGTATCTCAACAGGCCTGAGAATTTTGAACGCATCATAAAGTATGCTTTCATTATTTTCAGAAAAAAAAAAAAAAAAAAAAAAAAAGCCTGTTGGACTGATTATTTCAGCTCAAGAATTTGAGAGTCCAGGGGAGGATGCATTTTAATGACTCCAGGGAACGGATCAAATTAAACACATTATCTAGGATTTTCTTCTCTGGCCTCCTCTCAGCCGCCTTCTCAGCGCTTCTGTCTGCGCTGCGTGAGTTGCAGCCCTGTGCCCTGAGTCTTCCCCCTTGCACAGAAGCAGCCCTTGCCGAAGAACCCAGGACCAGAAGAGGCCTCAGCAGCTTGTCTTGGCGCAGATCCTCCACGGTCACCTTCCAGCAAGACAAACTTAAAAACCGTTGAATGTTGTGTGCCTAGCCAGCATGCCTGCAGCTGGATAGGATGGCCCTTGACATGGAAAAACCAACCCAGTCCTGGCGGCTGCCACATCCCTGAAGACCTAGAGCTACACATTCGGCTGGGAGCGTTACATATGTGATCTCTAATCTCAAAAACCTTGCAAGGAAAATAGTTTTACCATTTTGCAGACAAAGAAACAAATACAGAGAGGTTAAAAAAAATGTGCCCACGGTCAAAAAGCCAGCAAGTACAGAACTGGACTCACACCAGAATGTCCAACCCAGAGCCTAGGATACACATGGCATCTCCAATAGCTACTGCCTCTCCTTCTCTTATCCCTTAAATTACTGCTATAATTGGCCAGAACATTAAGTGGATACACTACATGATTTCCCTTGAGGGGAGGATGGACAGAGATGCAGGCGTCTACTTTGGACCCTGTGAGTGTGAACTTCAAAGTTCTATTCGTCCTCCATCCCCTGCAGCTCCTGGAATAAACTGGCACTTAATGGTTGCTCAGTGCTGTAAAGCTGGACTTCATTTCACTTAATAATATTCTGTGTTGTCCTGGCGCTGTGGCTTGCGCCTGCAATCCTAGCACTTTGGGAGGCCGAGGCGGGCAGATCACGAGGTCAGGAGATTGAGACCATCCTGGCTAACAGGGTGAAACTCTGTCTCTACTAAAAATACAAAAAATTAGCTGGGCGTGGTGGCATGCTCCTGTAATCCCAGCTACTTGGGAGGCTGAGGCAGGAGAATGGCGTGAACCCGGGAGGCGGAGCTTGAAAGTGAGCGGAGATCGCGCCACTGCACTCCAGCCTGGGCGACAGAGCGAGACCCTGTCTCAAATAATAATAATAATAATAATAATAATAATAATAATAATAATAAAGTAAAAAATAAAATAAAATAAAAATTCTGTGTCTCCTTGGGTTATTTGATGGATTTACTGATAATTGTGAAGAAGTTTGTTTCTGCTTCGCTTTTATACAGGAGCTGTTTCTGCTCAGCTTCTTGTTAAAACACCCTTAGAAACCCGTAAGTAAATGTTGCAATTGCATTCTTAGCTTTATTCTCACTGATAAGAGACATAAGTGATTTTTAAAAGGCAGAACTAACTAATCAATCAAAACAAGCAGCTGTAATCTGATTTTAGAGCAATCTGCATGATAAGAGTTGGCCAAGGAGAAATAATTTCCTATCGCAGTGGGATAATGTGCAAATGAAATATAAACTCTAGGCTCCCTCACATCACAGAATGTCAGAGAAGTGCCAAGCAGAATGTGTTTATGAATGGGAAAGCCAATGGTGTTATATTTTCTCTCAGGTTATTCTCAATCTCATTTTCAGAAGGGACAAAATAGCTCTAAACATTTCTAAATATTTTACTCCATATGGTCCAAATCCCAAACTTAAAAATATCCACCAACTGTCCACAGAAAAGGTGTTTTAAAGAAAAATAAAGAATCAATTTAATTGGAAATCTCCTTAGAAAAGTTTTCTCAGCAGTAAAATAGTGGCTGCCTGCCCTGTGGTGTAGTTGAATCTATTCTAGCAAAGGCCAGACAATTATTCATTAACCATGTCATGAAAAGTGTCACAGTTGGTGGAACGTTGAACTAGGTGACCCTGGGGGAGGTTTCACTCATTCTAAAATTCTTGAAAATTCTTGAAGCACATAAATAGTGATTGCCTTTAATCTTAACAAAGTCCACCATATTATCTTGCAAAGAACCAGGACCAGTGATCTCATCCTCTTGCTGTTAGAAGGCTTGTCAACTTTCCCCACACCCATCTTTCAACTCCTGGAAACAGGACAGGCCACCTGCTGTGGATACACTTCAAAGAAAAGCAAAGAAATCATCATTAAAAATGAGTGGGGAAACTGTTGCTGTACCTAAAATGAGAAAGCTCTGTGGCTGTCCTCACTATCTTGAAAACCAGCTGGTACATGACAGATGCGACCATCAGCCCAAATCCTATAATTTTTTCTTTCAACTGTGGACCCAACACGGAAGCCCTGGTGAGAGAATGGCTTTGTTAATGCCCTGGTGTGCTCCCCTGAGGCCTGCAGCATGCCTGTGAGTGTGTGTGCTTCCTTTTGGACAGGTGGAGCAGCTGGCCTCCCTATCCAGCAGCCCCAGACAGGCCACCCACCACCGTCCTTTCCTCAGCTCTCTAACAAACACTTCTCGAGCGTCTACTGTGTGCCAGGTGCGGCTCTAGGTGCTGGGACCATAGCAGTGAGCAAGTAAGCCAGAGTTCCTGCTCCTAGAGGACTTACATTCTTCTGGGGAGAAAGTCAGGAAAAGAATGGACAAATCAGAAAATAGTAGAAATATGTGCTCGGAAGAAAATAAGACATGGAGGAGGGAAGGGGAAGGCCTGAGGAACTCCTTTAGGATGTCTGGTGAGAGAGGCCTCTGAAGAGTGGCCTGAATGATGAGAGAGGCCTCTGAAGAGTGGCCTGAACGATGAGAGAAAGCCATCCACGCACAGATCCAGACAAGAGCATTCCAGATAGGGCAAACAACAAGTTCAAAGGCTCTCAGGTGGAAATGCCCATGGCATGCATGAGAAACACCAAAAACACCAGTGGGGCTGGAGTGTCATCTATGCAAAGATTGTGGTATGAGCTGCGGATGGGGGAGAAGTGGCTATGCTGAAACTGGTGAGTGACTGAATCCTAAGTGCACTTTGAACCATGTAGATTCAGCCTCAGTCACTAGATAAAGGACAATTCAGGACAACCACAGTTCCTGATCCTTATTCAAGGTACCCTTTAGCGTCCAGCCATAATTACAGTTGGCAGAGATGGCCAAAATTCCCTCAGAATGACTCCCCATGTGAGCCTTGAATCTGAAAAGTCGGCTGGGGAATAAAAAAACAGCCACTCTTGCCCTTCATCAACTTTGAAAAATCTATCAAACCTACATTTTTTTCTGGGATTGTAAGTGCAAGGCCAGTATTTCAAAATCTCCCAAGCGTCGGTAATTTTTCCCATTGTATCTCTGACTCACCCAAGAGTTTACCTCAGAGTCCCATCAAAACAGCACTCTCTCTGCTGATCTGAACAATTTTTAAAACATCCTATTATTACAGTCAACTAGAGTTATTTTTCCCCAGAAGGGGAATGACATCGATGGCTGGGATTTTAGTGTGTGCTGCAGCCTCAAGCTCTGCCACACACCACACACAGTTCCCCCCCATCTAGAAGCTGTATTCTTCTTCCCTAAATTTTCTATTACATTTATATTCTATTTGTAAAAGTAGGTGGAAAATTTTTGGTCTTAGAAAGTAGCTTTGAATGAGAAACAATTAAAAGGCATCAAAAAAGAACCCCATTGAGACTTGGTTCTTTTGGAGAAAGGTGTCCAGACCCCAGCTCACCAACATCTGAGCAAAATCAGGCCGAGATTCCTCCTGCTCTTCCTCGCCTCTCCTTCCCTGTGACGGTTTCATTTCAGAAGCCAGCATCCTCTTACTTTGGCCTCCACCCTGTATCTCAATCTTGCTCTGGGTTTGCTGCCAACCAATCCTATGGAGTCACCCCAGGTGAGAGTGCAGTGTATTGGACTAAACCTGAGCTGCCTGGAGTCCCAGCCCTGCTCCTAACAAGCATGTGTCTGGGTGCCACCTCGCCTCTCCCAGCCACAGCACCTCAACTTGTAAGGCCTGCCAACTAAACCCACTACCAGGACTGTCATTTGACTAGACTCTGATGGTTAATGGCTTTCCTTGGGTGGGACAACTCTAATGGGATGGGTGTCTGATGAGCATCTTTGGAGAGACTCTGAGACCCTTTTGGTGCAGTGTGGGCAAGTCTCTGTACTGACATAGAGTTCTGAAAAATTAATCTCTGTACTCTTCACACTTTCCTACACCTCTTGGACCCTTCTCTCAGTCAGTCAGAACATCTGGATGGAAAGAGAAAGAAACAGTTCCCATCTAGTTTATTTTCTTTGGTTTGACTTCCAAATTAGGCCCCTAAGAGTCAATAAGAATAAAAGGGATGACTCTGAGGGGAACAAAACATAGAGATACCATAATAAAGATTAATAAGAGACGGAGGAGAGGCTGATGGTCATGCCTTCTTCCCTGACTAGAGATTAGGAGGGCTGTCTGGGATGGAGGTGGGGGGAAGCAAACAGTGACCCTGGACACACTGTGGAAGCAGCTAGAGGCCATATAGAAAGGAACTGACTGGATGGAGGCAGAGGAGAGGCATGAATAAGGGCCATCACTACCTAGAGAGGCAAAGTACCACGCAGACTGCTGCCCCTGCCCACTGCCTGTGGCTCATCCGGCAGAGGGACACCTGCTGAATCCTAACATGGCTGAGCTGCCACCCAAGCTGTCCTGTATGGGACATTTACAACCTTTGTCACTGCCCCAGGATACTGGTAAGCTCTTCCCTTATGAAATAGAGCAAGGGACATTGATTTAGAGAAGAGTGGGTGGTGTAGAAAGACAAACACCACCACCTGAAACCTGTGTGGGGCTGGATGTGGGGGAAATGAGCCTTATTACACATCTCTGTGACCAATTATGATGACTGGCATTGGCATAGGAGGATGATAGAGTTTGGAGTCCAACAAATAGCATTCTTTTCCCCAACACTTGGAATACTAGCCAGGAACCTTGAGAGACACATGAGCAGTAGTATTTGGAGAGCCAAAAACATAAGGTTTTGATGGCGTTAAGCCTTAGGTGGAGTAAGCATGGATTGCAAGATTTTTTTTGTTTTGTTTTTTGAGATTTGTGGGGCTTGGACACGCCACATAGCTGATTCTTACAGTTGTGTAATTGGCTTTTGACTGATGGGACTGTGATGGCAGCTTTGGGCCTTAGGTGTTAGTAAGCATAGTCCGATGGGATTTTGACCTTGTAGCGAATGGAAACTTTATCCACAGGCAAGTAGCTGTTTTTATACAGATGGGGCAGCAAGTGCCAGCCCTATAAACACGCAAGAGCTTCTCTGGGGTCAGTACACAAAGAGAGCCAAGGCAAGGCTGTGATTAGAGGAAAAAGAGAATGTTTTCATATGTCAGTCTTTTAAGTATAGGAGATGGAAAAATTTCTTCATTGCTTAGCTGCAATAAATGGTCTAAGACTTTGCAAAGCAGAAGAAGATACATTTTATGTATTCTACAAACAATTTATATGTGAGGTACTACCTTTAAAATGATGAGCCAGGCTAGATCAGCCCCCCAGTTTCTGGTCCTCTTTTATAATATTTGGAAAGCTCAACAAAGACTATTGCTAGGATAGACAGAGACATTATATAAGAAGTGGTCAATTCACCAAGAAAGCAAAACTATTCTAAACGGACACAGATACTATATCCATTACCTAATAATACAGCTTCAAAATCCGTGAGGTAAAAACTTATAGAACCAAAAGAAGAAAAAGGCAAATTTACAATTATACTTGAAGATTTCAAAACACCTCTCCAAGCAATTGATAGAAAAAGTAGACAGAAAATGAGTAAAGAAGTCTTAAACAACATTATCAGTCAAATTGGCCTAATAGAATACTTTGCTCTAAAACAACAGAATACATGCTTTGTTCATGTGAACCTGGAATATTCATCAAGATTCTCAGTCATAAAACAAGTCTCAATCTCAATAAATTTAAAAGGATCAAAACATACAGGAGAATTAAACTAGCACACAATGGAATTAATTAGAAATCAAGAGAAATATGTCTAGAAAATAACAAATTAAAAATATATATTTTTATATAACATGTGGATCAAAAAATACCTAACAAAATTGATAATTTTGGGTTGAATGAAATTGAAAACACAATATATCAAAATTATTGAGATATATCTAAAGCTGTATTTAGGGAGAAATCTATAGCATTAAGTGTTTTTATTATAAAGGAAGAAATATTTCAAATCAAAGATCTAAACTTCTACCTTAAGAAAATAGAAAAAGAGAGCAAATTAAGTCAAAAGCAAAAAAGGAGGAAGAAAATAACAGAGACAACAACGGATATTAGTAAAATAGGAAATTGAGCAAACAAAAGAGTGAAACAATAAAATCAAAAGCTGATAGTAGTAGGCTGAATAATGGTCCCTCAAAGATGTCCATGTCCTAATCTCTGGGACCTGGGAACATGTTACCTTATATGATAAAAAGAACTTTGCAGGTGTGATTACTTAAATAGTTAAGGGTTTTATCCAGGTGGGTCCTCCAGTGTAATCACAAGCATGCTTATAGAGGGAAGTAGGAGGATCGGAGTCAGTAGCAGGAGATGTGTTGAAAGTTGGAAAATGCAGGGCAGGATCATGAGCCAAGGAATGCAGGTGGCCTCTAGAAACTAAAAAAGGCATAAAAATGGATGCAGACTTCAGAGTCTCCAGAAGGAATCAGTCCTGCTGACAGCTTGACTTCAACCCCATGAGACTCATTTTAGACTTCTTACCTTCAGAACTGTAAAATAATAAATTTATGTTATTTTAGGCTGCTAAGTTTGTGGTAATTTACTGAAGCAGCAATAGGAAACAATTTCATCAGTCCTTTGAAAAGATCAATAAAATAAATAAACCTGTAGTCTGACTTATAAGGAAAACAAGAAAGAAAAACAAAAAAGAAAATATAGGTATAAAAAGGGGGTATCACTTCAGATTTTCCAGATGGTAGAAGAAAATTGTGAATAACATGGTGTCAATGAATTCTACAGCTTAAATGAAATGGACAAATTCCTTACAAGACATAAATTACCATAGCTCTGTAAAAATGAAGATAGGAATCCATGAGGTTGATATGTATCCTTTTGAAAGCATAGAAACCTAAAGAAAGAAAATAGATAACCTAAAAATTATAGATAAATAACCTATATCCATCAAAGGAATTTAATCCATAATTGAAAGCTTCTAACAAACAAGAACACTTCAAGCCCAGATGGCTTTACTGTGAATTATTCCAAATATTTAAAGAAGAAATAATAACAACTCTAGTTGTTATTAATAATTCCATAAAATAGAAAAAGAAGTAATATTTCTCAGCTCACTTATGGGGTCAGCATTACCTGGGTACCAAAACCAGACAAAAATATTACAAGAGAAGAAAACTACAGACCAATATTTCTCATGAATATAGATGTAAAATTCTCAAAGCAATTTTAGCCAATTAAATCTGAAAACATATAAAAAGGATAATATATAATGACCAAGAGGGGCTTATTTCAGAAATGCAAAGTTGATTTAATACTAGAAGTCAATTAGTGTAACTCATCATATTAACAGATGAATAAAGAGAAAGGATAAGACCCACACATGAGGATAAATAATTGGAAACTAAAATTTAAAAATATCATTTATGGTAGCATTTGAAAAACATGAAATTCTTAAGATATATTTAACAAAATATGTGAGAGACTTATATGCTAAATTGCAAAATACTGTTGAGAAAAAATATTAAAGACTTAATAGCGAGATATACCATATTCATAGATTGGAAGACTCAATGTTTCTTTCCAAATTGATCTACAGGTCCCAAGCAATGCCAACATAAATTCTTGCAAGAATTTTGTAGAATTTGGCAAGGTGATTCTAAAATTCATATGATGCTGCAAAGGACTAGAATAGACAAACTAATTCTGACAAAGAACAAAGAGAACTCACCCTAATTTTAAGACTTCCTGTAAAGTTACATGTAATGACAATGGGTTATAGGCATAAGAACAGACGTACTTATTAGTGGATCAGAATGGAGAGCTCAGAAAGAGACCCATGCGTAGACGATCAATTGATTTTTGAAAAAAGTACCAAGATAATTCAACAAAGTAGAGATAGTCTTTAAATGCAGCTAGAACAAGCACTGTGAGGAAAAAAAAATACTTTGATTTTTTACCACATATGATATACAAATATTAACTTGAAAAGAACCATGGACCAAAATGTAAGAGCCAAACTACAACATTTCTGGGGGAAAAAAGGGAAAAAAATATTTGTGACCTTTAGGTAGATAAACATTTCTTAGGTATGGTTTTGAACATTAAAATTAAAAACTTCTACTCTTTAAACAGCATTGTTTAAAAAATGCAAGGGCAAACCATAGCCTGGGAAAAAAAGCATTTGTAAAACATGTATTCTGCAAAAAGATTTGTTTTCAAAGTATATAAATAATTCAATAACAAGAACAGACAACTTAATTTTTAAAAACAGGCAAAATGTTTAAACAAGCACTTCACTAAGGAAGATAGAAGCTTGAGCAAAAGCATATGAAAGATGCTCAACACCTGTAGCCATTAGGAAAATGCAAATGAGACAGTGCTACACATCCACCAGGGTGGCTAACGTTACAAAAACTGTCAAAATATTGAAAGACAAAATATTAGACATTTTCACATTTTAAAATAGGAAAAGACTTCCCCCTAAATGAGAAGATTGTGGAGCAACTGGAACCCTCATATGCTGCTGGTGGGAATGCAAAATGATCCAACCTCTTTGGAAAACAGTCTGGCAGTTTCTTTCAAGTTAAATACATACTTACAATATGGCCCAGCAGTATATATATATGTGTGTGTGTGTGTGTGTGTATATATATATATATATATATGTGTGTGTGTGTGTATATATATATATGTGTGTGTGTGTATATATATATATACATATATATGTATATATATATGTATGTATATATATATATGTATATATATATATGTATGTATATATATATATGTATATATATATATCACTCTTAGGTATTTATCTAAGAGAATTTAAAAAATGTTTTCATAGAAAGACTTGAATGCTCATAGCAGTGTTATTCATAATTGCCCAAAACTGGAAACTACCCAAATGTTCACTAACTGGTAATTGGACAAAGACATTCTGGTATATCCATACTATGGGATATTACTTAGGGATAAAAGTGAACTACTCCTGATACATGCAGAAACATGAATGAACCTCAAAACATATGGTAAGTGTATGAACCCAGACCTTTAAGACTACACTGCATGATTCACTTATATAAAATTTTAAAAGAGATGAAATATAGTGACAGAGAGCTAATCAGTGAATCCTCTGGGCTGTGGGTTGGGGAGGGTGTTGACTTCCAAGAGACACAAGAGAATTTTGGGGAGTGATGAAAATGTTTTGTGTCTTGATTGTCATGGTGGCTCCATGATGATGTACATTTGTTAAAGCTCATCAAACTGTATACTTTAAAATAGCAAGTTCTATTGTATGTAAATTATACTTTGATGAAGCTGATTAAAATAAAATTCACTGAATTTTTCAGAAAATAAGAGAACCGAGGGAATAGAGCATTAATGCCATATTCTACTTCTACAGAATAAGATGTAGTTCAAAGGAAGGCTACTCAGAGATGGGACCTTTCAAAAGCTGAGGACAGATGGGTCTTGAGGAACACCTGGCAGAAGTCTTCTTTCTCCCTGGACCCCAGGGCACAACCTTCAGAAGCATCAGCAGCTTCCCTTCAGGAATCTGCTAGGACTGATATTCCAGCTGAAACTAATGCGAGATGAGAGCGAAACCTTCCCTGAGAGGCAGGCTTCCTGGGTCTGAGTGATTTCAGAAAAAGAAAAACAAAAACAAAAACAACAAACAAACAAACAAAAAACAGTGACAAGCACCACTGTGGCATAGGCCTGAGAGTGTTTTTTTAAAGAGATAGTGGAGAGTAAGTCACTAGACAGAACCCACATTCACTTCAGCAGTGTGGTGGCAGAAACAGTCCTCAAAGGCAAATGGAATTACTTTTCAACATGCTGGACTGGAAATAAAGGAACCAAAAAATAAAGCCCTGTGACAGGAACGATCACCATTGCAAATTTCTACATTTTGTTAGAAAGTAGCCATGTCTCAAAGTCCACCCTCTAATTGCCAAGACAGTATGCACAGGTGGCCTTGTTCCTTCTCTCTAATATGGTGCAAATAGTGCATAATTAGCCTCTAGTTAGGAGAGATTATTCAAATTTTGGGTTCAAAGTCATGTTCTCCAAAAAAAGACATAGAATGACAATCATCATGGCAAAGTTGAAACTAAGAATTCTGTCTCATTTAGGTTTATCAGTCTCTTTCTCAGATATCACTGGGTCTCCACTATGGTCTTTGGCAATAGTAAGGAGAAGGTTTTGGGGATATAATTTTGCCTGGGATATCTGCTAACTGCTAAGGATTGATATGTTTTCTAAAACAAGTGGGTGTGAGACTGGGACTTGAATAATCTTTAGTGTTCTCCTTATCTCCTCCAAAGTGAGGCACATATGAGTACAGCTGAACTTTTAAGATCCTAAGAGAACTATACCTATTCCAGTGGAAGAGAACTCCACTGCAGCTGCTAAAACAATGATAATTCTACCTAGATATAAAATTGTCTCTCTGACAGGCTCAGAAGAATAAGAATCTGGGGAGGGGGGATGAAATTTGGGTCTTTGATTTCTTTTGGCTTTTAACACAAAGGCAAGATAATTTGATTTTAGACTTTAATATTCAGAGGATTTAATTTTGGAGTTATAATTTCAGCCTCAGAAATTCATGGTGGGAGAAAGTTTATACTCTTTATACTCAAATTTGGAACATCTTATCATTGACATTTTATTGGAATATCTTAGTGTCATTTGATTTCACTGCAGAATCTCTAATGAGCTATTTTGGATAATGTGGCTGGGTGTTAATTTAGGATAGGAAATAGAACAGGGAATACTTGAGTCCAGTATGATCTTTGAGTTAATTTATGTTCTAATTGATTTTATAGCTTTCTGGGGACAAAAATCATGTCTGTCCACTAGCATTCCTATGAAAGACTAATGGTCAATATTGGAGAAGCCTCGTGAAGTGGGAGCTACATGATTCTGACAGACTGCTGATTCTTTCCCCTGGAGGGAGTGCCACAGCCCTGCTAAACCACTGGATTAAGGGTTAAGCCTTGTGGGTTAAAAGGGAAAAAAGGCTGAGGAATGATAGGAGGAGACACTCACTCCTCTCTCCTTGTGATTCCAATGTTTGTCAAGGTTGAGAACAATTGCATAAGAGCAGTGATTCAGCATCATTTAGGAACGTGTTAGAAATGGACATTCTCAGGCCTCACTCAGACATACTGCACCAGAAACTCTTCAGTGGGTCAAGAAATCTGCATTTATAGCAAGCCTTCCCAGTGATTCTGATACACATCAAGTTTGAGAGCCACTGCCGTAGAGTGACTCTGCTGGCTGCCTGCTGCCCCCTTGCTTACCCCTGGTGAATGGGAAAAGGTGGGAGTACTGATCATATTGATGAGTTTGGGAGAAGAAACTGGGCATGTGAGACACTTCTGGGACTTCTTCCTTTAGTGCCGTGTGGTTTCTCTTTCTTTGGGAACTGCCTGCAGATGGAAACTATGCTGCTTGGGTCTATTATCCCAACTATGTGGCAAGACTGAAGGGCAGGCACTGCCCCTCTCAGAAAGGCTGGAAGTGAAAGTGGGGGAAGTTAATTTAGGCAACAGTAATATGTCCATTTGTTTCTCATCCAAGACAGTTTCCCAAGAGCTCTATCAGTGATAGTTGGTTTCCACCTGTCTGCTCCCTCTATTTGTTACTCAGTTGGTTCTGAACTTGGGCAGGAAAGAGGGAATGCCCTCAACACTGCCATGCAGGGAGCTATGGCACATATGGATTGGGCCAGTTAGGATGGTCTGGCCAGTGCCCTACTCTGTGAAGGCACTTTGGTGTGTGGATGAGAAACGGGAAACAAATAGAAATTTACTAGGTTTGGCTGTCAGAAGACCCAGCACATTCCTAAACACCTCTATTACCATGAGTTTGTTTTTAAGAAACAAAGTCAAGAAGACTATTATTAATAATATAGGTTGAGGGCTCTCTGTCAGAAATTAGTCAAGAACAGGAAGCAATGAAGACTCAGATTAGTTCATTGTGTTGCTTGTTAGACCCAGATTACTTTCACCAGTAATTGTTCATGTCAACTTTTGGATTCTGTATGGACTATGTGTTCAACTTAGCACTGTCCATTCACGATCACAGATAATCAAGAGTCATTCAGACTTGAGGGAGATCTAACATGGAAGACACTTCCAGAATTGGATGGAGGCAAGCTGCTAGGAAACTTCTTCAACCTGATTTTTAAATTTTATGATTGCAATCATGTATGTTTCCTCTCTTGTGGCAATATTTTGTGATTAACTGTGCATTTTATTTTCTCTTTAGTCTCTAGATCTCTAAGATTACATTAAGTGTGTGTCAATAAACTCTATATTTTTATCATTTCAACAAAACTGTGCTACTTCCTAAGATTAATTATTGAAGTTCAGACTAAGACACAGCCACAGGGAGGAAGATATAATAGAATGGTAGTTAAGTGCAGGTTTTTGTGTCTTGCTGAGTATTTTTCCCAGTGGATTAGTCTCCTAATTTTTTTCCTTAAGTAAGGATTTAATCAGAATCAGATGTTATACGGACACTTCTCAAAGAAGACATACAAGCAGCCAACAAACATGAAAAAATACTCACCATCGCTAATCATCAGAGAAATACAAATCAAAGCCACAATGAGATAGCATCTCACACCAGTCAGAACGGCTATTACTAAAAAGTCAAAAATAACAGATGTTGGCAAGATTCTGGCAAAAAGAGAGCTTTATACACTGTTGATAGGATTATAAATTAGTTCAGCTGTGTGGAAAGCAGTTTGGAGATTTCTCAAAGAACTAAAAATAGAATTACCATTTGACTCCATAATCCCATTACTGGGCATATACCCAAAGGAAAAGAAATCATTCTATCAGAAAGACACCTGCACTCTCATGTTCATTGCAGCACTATTCACGATAGCAATGACATGGAATTAACCTAGGTGCCCATCAACAGTGGATTGGATTTTTACAAAATGTAGTTACATATACACCATGGACTACTATGCAGCCATAAAAAAGAATTAAATCATATACTTTGCAGCAGCACGGATGGAGCTGGAGGCCATTATCCTAATTGAATTAACACAGAAACAACCAAATACTATGTATTCTCACTTATAAGTTGGAGCTAAACATCGGGTACACAGGGACATAAAGATGGGAACAATAGACACTGGGGACTCCCAAAGTAGGGAGGGACAGAAACGGAAAAAGGTTAAAAAATGATCTATTGTGTACTGTGCTCACTGGTTGTGTGATTGGTTCAATTAAAGCCCAAACCTCAGTATCATGCAATATATCCATGTAACAAACTTGCACATGTATCCCCTGAATCTAAAGAAAGAAAAAGAGAGAGAATCAAATGTTAAAATTATGAACATGCAGAACATGGAAATACAAATAACCAAGCATGATTTCCCACCAGGATTCTGTGCAACTTGGCCCAGTACTGAGGTCCACCTTCAGGATGGATAAAATTAAGTAAGGGGCCAAATGTGATAGCAAGATTTATTAAGCGTTAGCACCCAGAAAGAAAATCAGATCAGAATTATACTACAGCCTATCCTTGGCTTATAAATAGGTTACACTGATTGTACTCTAAAATTTCATTTACTGTCAATTGTTTAAACCTATAAATGCTTGAAAGTCACCTTATTAACAAAGATTAGGTCCCTGTCTAATCCACAGGGGCATTTAATCCATAATTTGCCTACACATTTACATGAGATACTATATATTTGCAATAAAAAGTAATGTTATTTATAGCTGTAGAGATTCAGCCAAACAAAAAAATGAATATTAAATAGCTGTTGTTTATTTTGAATGTTTTAGAGGATAAAGGATAGAAAAATGATTTCGATTAAATTTTAAACAGGCTTTCTGTGACATTCAAGTGTTCTAGAATTTGATGACACTGAAACTTTAAGGGTAGTTTTCTCTTACCTAAAATTTTTAGGGAATTTTGAGTAATAGTTTCCCTTTCTTCAAGATAAAGTACGTTTTAAGAAGAAAAGAATGGTTTTCAAAGAGAAAGGAGAAGGAGGGATGGGGTTAAGGTGAGTGTATGTCTTGATTTAACAAATAAACGTTGCTTAGATGAATTAACTGAGCTCTGAAAGCTGGCAATGCTAAGGAATAGTAGGGAAGGTGGCATAGGAGGTCCATTGAAGCAACTCACAACAGAGAGAAAGAAAATGTGTTTGAATGAGATAGATGCATTGTTTCTTAGATGGTATTCACCCAGAACTTTGTTCCTTCTTGACTTGGGGGACAACTTGAGTAGTCTCCAGGAGGCTGGGTGTATGTGCTTTACTAATGTCCATTTGTGCATATGGAAGCTCCTAGGGTGAATGCTCATAATAGGGGTCCTGTAGGCAAATTGATTTGCCTAGCAGCTAGCATGACTGAATTGGCCATGCCACTTCCATGTACCCTTGGGTATTACTCAGAAGCAAATCAGTGGCTTCCAAATCAGTGGCATTGGAACTACTGCTGAATTCCTGGCCTGAATTGATATTCCCCTCTTTGTCTGGGCTCAGCCAGCATCTCAGTAGTGGGGCAGTGAAAGCCTGAGGGGAAGAACTCCTGCCCTTTACAAATTGCTCATGAATTTTCAAGTGTGCCTGTTTGCCGCTGATAATAGCAGCTTCCTTAGACCTCCTGCTGGATAATGCTTTTGGACACGATTGCTAGAGAGGCAGAAAATGAACTGAACTCCTTGTCCAGCACGTCAGATCAAAAGCAAATAGGCAGGGCTGTGCCAAGTTTAATTCACAAAAATGGCCCTAAGGAAACAAATGCAAGTGTAAGCTGGGCTGTTCTCTACAAGGATAAGCAGTCCTATCTGTTGTGTGAGGGCATCTCTGTTGCAGAGCAGAGTGCCCCAGAGCTGAAAACCAATTTGAGGAAAGGCAGATATGGAGAAGTCAAGTGCTCATGTAGGAGTTTTCTGCTGTAGCAAAGTGTCAGAGAGGACCTCAGCTGAGAAAAGACCAGAACCACCAATGGATTAATTTCTGAATTGCAAAGAGAGAAGTAAATGCATATATATATATATATATATATATATATATATATATATATATATGTTTAGGGCTTCATAATTAGCAAATTCCATTTGCAAACAGAACATTGCATTCCTCTCTGCAATGCTTTAAGTGGCTTTTGATAACCAGTCTCACAGAGTGGGTTAATTCTGAGTCACTCTTAGCAAATGAGTTTCCCGAGACATTGAGAAGAAAGCCCTGAATCAAGCTGAAAGAGGGACAAGCATGTTTAAAAGGAAACTCTGATCCTCCTGTCTGACAGCATCTGGTATTTCCATTTGGGCTTACTTATTTGCAAATTAAACTTTCTACAAAAATCTTTTGCGGGGGGTGCAAAATGGCTGACTAGAAGCATCATCTTTTGGAGGCTCCCATCAAAAAAAAAACATAATAAGCATGTGAATCCTTCACCAGCAACCAAGGTACCCAGGTTGTCTCATCAAAATTGACTAGAAGGCTGGCGTGACCCACGGAGAGAAGGAAAAGCAGTGTGGTGCTGTGGCCCACCTGAAGCCACAGGGGAAGGGGAACCCCCTCCTCCCAGCCAAGGGAGGTGGTGACTGAGTGTGCTACCCAGCCAGGGAAACTGCTTTTTCCATGGAACTGTGCAACCTACAGATTGGAAGATCCCACTTGCCAACCCATGCCACCAGGGCCTAGTGTCCCAGTCCCGGAATGCGCAGATTCTTATGGCCTCTCAGGTGAAATCTGCCTAAGCCTATGGAACTCCCCGGGGGAGGGACGACCAGCACCGGCTGCGCCTGCCTGCTGTCCAAACTGTTTGAGCTCCTTGAGGGAGAGGCAGCAGCCAGCACTGGGACTCACAACTGCCTAATATGCTAAGCTCCCTGGGCAGGGGAAGGGTGGCACCCATTTCTATAGCTGCAGGCCGTGCTTTTCCCCTGCTGGAGCCAGGGAGGCTAGATGGCTTGGCCCTAAGCCTTGTCCCCACAGCCCAACTGTGGCAGTCTGTGGCCAGAGTACCTCTTCAGGTCTAATCCTGACCCATCCTTCCTCAGTGGGCTGGGATTCCCTGCAGGATCTCCAATAACTCCAGCCAGAGGCTCAGGGAGAGAACTGGGATCTGCCTGGGCCTGAGCCCCTAGTGGGAGGGGTAGCTGCAGTCTCTGTGGACCAGCAGACTTAGCCTCTCCTCCTGGTAGTTCTTAGGAATCCATGCAGCCCAGATGAGTGGGTTTTCCCCTAGTGAAACCCACACCCTCCACCAAAGGACAAAGTGCTTCCTTAAACAGGTCCTGCTCCCTGTGCTACCCAACTGGGTGAGACCCTCCAACAAGGGTTGTCAGACATCCTATACAGGAGTGATCCTACTGGCATCAGGTTGGTGTCTCTTGAGGGCAGAGGTCCCAGAAGAAGGAAGAGGAACCCATCTTTGCTGCTCTCCAGCCTCCTTGAGTGACATCTCCAGGCACAGGAGTGAATCAGATGAATAAGGCCTGAAGTGAACCCCCAGGAAATTGTAGCAGCCCTACAGAAGAGGGACCTGACAATTGAAAGAAAAACAAACAAGCAGAAAGTGACAACAACAGCATCAATGACAACAACATAAAAGGCCCCCACAAAGACCCCATCCAAGGGTCAGGAGACTGAAAGACCAAAACTAGACAAACTCAAGAAGATGAGAAAGAACCAATGAAAAAATGCTGAAAACCCAAAAGGCCAGAGTGCCTCTTTTCCAAATGATTGCAGTGTCTCTCCATCAAGCGCACAGAACTGGATGATCAGATGGATGAATTGACAGAAGTAGGCTTCAGAAGATGGGTCATAAAAAACTGCAATGAGCTAAAGGAGCATGTTCTAACCCAATGCAAAGAAGCTAAGAACCTTGATAAAAGGTTAGAGGAATTGCTAACTAGAATAATCAGTTTAGAGAGGAACATGAATGATCTGAAGGAGCTGAAAAACAGTACAAGAACATCGTGAACCATACACAAGTATCAACAGCTGAATCGACCAAGTGGAAGAAAGGATATCAGAGTTTGAAGTCCACCTTACTGAAATAAGATATTCAGACAAGAATAGAGAAAAAAGAATGAAAAGGAATGAACAAAGCTTTCAAGAAATCTGGGACTTTGTAAAAAGACCAAACCTATGATTGATTGGAGTACCAGAATTAGATGGGGAGAATGGAAACAAGCTGGAAAACACACTTCAGGATATTATGCAGGAGAACTTCCCCATCCTAGCAAGACAGGCCAACATGGAAATTCAGAAAATACAGAGAACCCCATTAAGATACTACATGAGAAGATCAACTCCAAGACACATAATCATCGGATTCTCCAAGGTCGAAATGAAAGAAAAACTGTTAAGGGCAGCCAGAGAGAAAGGTCATGTTACCTACAAAGAGAAGCCCATCAGACTAACAGCAGACCTCTCAGCAGAAACTCTACAAGCCAGAAGAGGCTGGGGGCCAATATTCAAGATTCTTAAAGAAAAGAATTTTCAACCCAGGATTTCATATCCAGCTAAACAGCTTCATAAGTGAAGGAGAAATAAAATCCTTTCCAGACAAGCAAATGCTGAGGGATTTTTTTTACCACCAGGCCTGCCCTGAAAGAGCTCCTGAAAGAAGCACTAAATATGGAAAGGAAAAATTGGTAACAGCCATTGCAAAAACACCAAAATAGAAAGACAATGACACTATGAAGAAATTGCATCAACTAGTGTGCAAAATCACCAAATAGCATCATGACGACAGGATCAAATTCACACATAACCATACTAAGCTTAAATGTAAATGGGCTAAATTCCCCAATTAAAAGACACAGACTGGCAAATTGGATAAAGAGTCAAGACCCATTGGTGTGCTGTATTCAGGAGACCCATATTATATACAAAGACACTCACAGGCTCAAAATAAAGGGATGGAGGAAAATTTACCAAGCAAATGGAAAGAAAATAAAAAGCAGGGGTTGCAATCCTAGTCTCTGACAAAACAGGTCTTTAAACCAACACAGATCAAAAAAGACAAAGGAGGGCATACATAATGTTAAAGGGAACAATTCAACAAGAAGAGCTAACTCTTCTGAATATATATGCATGCAATATAGGAGCACCCAGATTCATAAAACAAGTTCTTAGAGACTTAGACTTCCACACAATAATAGTGGGAGACTTTAACATCCCACTGTCAGTATTAGACAGATCAATGAGACAGAAAATTAACAAGGATATTCAGGACTTGAACTCAGCTCTGGATCAAGTGGACCTAGTAAATGTCTACAGAACCCTTTACCCCAAGTCAACAGAATATACATTCTTCTCAGTGCCACATGGCACTTATTCTAAAATTGACCATATAATTGGAAGTGAAACACTCCTCAGCAAATGCAAAAGAACTGAAATCATAACAGTCTCTCAGACCACAGTGAAATCAAATTAGAACTCAGGATTAAGAAACTCACTCAAAACCACACAATTTCCTGGAAATTGAACAATCTGCTCTTGAATGACTCCTGGGTAAATAATGAAATTAAGGCAGAAATCAAGAAGTTCTTTAAAACCAATGAGAACAAAGGGACAACATACCAGAATCCCTGAGACACAGCTAAAGCAGGGTTAAGAGGGAAATTTATAGGACTAAATGCTCACATCAGAAAGCAAGAAAGACCTCAAATCAATACCCTAATATCACAATTATAAGAGCTAGAGAGGCAAGAGGAAACTAATCCAAAAGCTAGCAGAAGACAAGAAGTAACTAAGATCAGAGAAGAATTGGAGAAGATAGAGACATGTCCTCCAAAAAAATCAGTGAATCTAGGAGCAGTTTTTTTTGAAAAAATTAACAAAATAGATAGATCATTAGCTAGACTAATAAAGAAGAAGACAGAGAAGAATCAAACTGACACAATAAAAAATGATAAAGTACCAACCTACTATCAGAGAATACTATGAGCATTTCTATGCAAATAAACTAGAAAGTTTAGAAGAAATGGATAAATTCCTGGATACATACACCCTACCAAGACTAAACCAGGAAGAAGTTGAGTCCCTGAATAGACCAATAGCAAACTCTGAAATTAATAAAGCAGTAATTAATAGCCTAATAGAAGGGAGTAATTAATAGCCTACCAACCCAAAAAAGCCCAGGACCAGACAGATTCACAGCTGAATTCTACCAGAAATACAAAGAGGAGCTGGTACCATTCCTTCTGAAACTATTTCAAACAATTGAAAAGGAGGGACTCCTCCTTAACCCATTTTATGAAGCTAGCGTCATCCTGATGCCAAAACCAGGAAGAGACACAACAAAAAACACAAAACTTCAGGCCAATATCCCTGAGGAACATTGATGTGAAAATCCTCAGTAAAATACTGGCAAACTAAATACAGCAGCACCTCAAAAAACTTATCCGCCATGACCAAGTTGGCTTCATCTCTGGGATGCAAGGCTGGTTCAACATATGCAAATCAATAAATGTAATCCATCACATCAACAGAACAAAAGACAAAAACTGCATGATTATCTCAATAGATGCAGAAAAGGTCTTTGATAAAATTCAACATCGCTTCCTGTTAAAAACTCTCAATAAACTAGGTATTGGTGGAACATATCTCAAAATAATAAGAGCCACTTAGGACAAACCCATAGCCAATATCATATTGAATAGGCAAAAGCTGGAAGCATTCCCTTTGAAAAAAGGTACAAGACAAGGATGCCCTCTCTCACCACTCCTATTCAACATAGTAATGGAAGTTCTGGCCAGGGCAATCAGGCAAGACAAAGAAATAAAGGGTATCCAAAAAGGAAGAGAGGAAGTCAAGTTGTCTCTGCAGACAACATGATTTTATGTTTACAAAACCCCATCACTTCAGCCCAAAAACTTCTTGAACTGTTAAGCAACTTCAGCAAATCTCAGGATACTAAAATCAATGGGCAAAAATCACAAGCATCCCTTTACATCAACAATAGGCAAGCAGAGAGCCAAAACAGGATTGTGAATTCCATTCACAATCACTACAAAGATAGTAAAATACCTAGGAATACAGATAGCAAGGGATGTGAAGGACCTCTTCAAGAAGAATACAAACCACAGCTCAAGGAAATAGGAGAGGTCACAAACAAATGGAAAAACATTCCATCCTCATGGATAGGAAGAATGAATATTGTGAAAATGGCCATACTACCCAAAGTAATTTACAGATTCAATGCTATTCCCATCAAACTGCCATTGACATTCTTCATGGAATTAGAAAAAAACAATTCTAACTTTCATATTGAATCAAAGAAGACCCCGTATAGCCAAGACAATCATAAGCAAAAAGAACAAAGATGGAGGCATCGTGCTACCTGATTTCAAACTATTACAAGGCTATAATAACCAAACAGCATGGTACTAGTACCAAAACAGACATATAGACCAATGGAGCAGAAAAGAGGCCTCAGAAATAACACCACATACCTACAACCATCTGATCTTTAACAAACCTGACAGAAACAAGCAACGGGAAAAGGATCTCCTACTCAGTAAATGGTTCTAAGAAAACTGGCTAGCTATATTGATAACTGAAACTGGACTCCTTCCTTACACCTTATACAAAAATTGGACTCAAGATGGATTAAAGATTTAATGTAAAACCCAAAACCATAAAAATCCTAGAAGAAAACCTAGGCAGTACCATTCAGGACATAGGCATGGGCAAAGACTTCATGACAAAAACACCAAAAGCAATTGCAACAAAAGACAAAATTGACAAATGGGACCTAATTAAACCAAAGAGCTTCTGAACAGCAAAAGAAGCTATCACCGGAGTGAACAGGCAACCTACAGAATGGGAGAAAAGTTTTGTAATCTACCCATCTGACAAAGGTCTAATATCCAGAGTTTACAAAGAACTTAAACATATTTACAAGAAAAAAACAAGCAACTCATCAAAAAGTGGGCAAAGGATATGAACAGACACTTCTCAAGACAAGATATTTACATGGCCAACAAACATATGAAAAAAAGCTCAACGTCACTGATCATCAGAGAAATGAAAATCAACACCACAATGAGATACTATCTCACACCACTCAGAATGGTTATTAAAAAGTCAGGAAACAATAGATGCTGGTGTGGCTGTGGAGAAATAGGAATGCTATTACACTGTTGGGAATGTAAATTAGTTCAATCATTGTGGAAGACAGTGTGGCGATTCTTCAAGGATCTAGAACCAGAAATGCCATTTGACCCAGCAATCCCATTACTAGGTATATACCCAAAGGAATATGAATCATTCTACTATAAAGACAATGCACACATATGTTTACTGCAGCACTATTTACAATAGCAAAAACATGGAACCAGCCCAAATGCCCATCAGTGATAGACTGGATAAAGAAAATGTGGTACATATACACCAGGGAATACTATGCAGCCATAAAAAAGAATGAAATCAGGTCCTTTGCAGGAACATGGATGGATAAAGCTGGAAGCCATCATCTTCAGCAAACTAACACAGAAACAGAAAACTGAACACCACATGTTCTCACTTATAAGTGGGAGTTGAACAGTGAGAACACATGGACACAGAGAGTGGAACAACACATACCAGGGCCTATTGGAGGGTGGGGAGTGAGGGGAGGGAACTTAGAGGATGGGTAAATAGGTGCAGCAGATCACCATGGCACATGTATACCTATGTAACAAACCTACATGTTCTGCACATGTATCCTGTTTTTTCTTTTTTAGAAGAAATAAAGAAAAAAATCTTATGGAGAAGCTCAAAAATAAGCTTTTATTGTTTTCCTGTGAATACTAGCAGTGGTAAAAAGCATTACTCCAAAATTACAAAGAGGAGCTGTCCTGGTTAATAACTCTGAGTGCCCACAAAGCCCCAAACAAGTTTATGAAACTTTGAGACCAATACAAATGTATACTACAGGCCTCATATTTTGCTGCAGTCTGGTTCTAATTTTCCCTGTTGGGGTCAGGGTTTTGAGACACTACAATGCCACTTTTTAATGATGGTAAATTTTTAGCATTGCCTTCACATTTGGGGGTAGCATCCATTTTGATCCTCTTCCTTATCTTCTCCTTCTCCTTTGCCTTTTGCATTATGATTCTGCCTTCCTTTCTCACCCTTAGGAAGTAGACTTTCAGATCCACTCCAGTGATTAGTTGATGATTGGCGGGGCCTATCCCTTTGAGGATTATTTTGTCTTCTTTTCCATCAAATCCCCTTAGGCTCCAAATCATAGGCCTAGGGACAATATTCTCACTCCCTGTTCTTTATCCTCTCTAAACATCTCTGGCATCTAGCTTTGCACAAAAACTAATACAAAATCAGCACAATCACATTGCAAAACCTTTTGGCAGCACCTGTGCAAGCTGATTGTATGCACATACTATGTCCTGTGATCCAGCAATTACACCACTTGGCAAATACCTAACAAAAAAGGGTATATATGCATGCAAAACAAATGTGTATAGATGCTCATACCAGCACAATTCAGAACAGTAGCTAGAATAGTAACTGGAGTCAACTCATCATAAGAATCGATTAAAAATTGTGGTACATTTATTAATATAGCAATGAGAATAAATTGCAACTAACAACATGAATTTCCCTCACAAAATAATGTTGAGCAAAAGAAACTTGACACAGAAGAGTATATATTCATGTATGTGTATGTGTGTATATTATAAAAATAGGCAAAATTCATCTACGGCATAGAAGTTAGGATAGCAGGGATGGGGCTGTGGCGAATGACAGGAAGGAGACACAACGAGGTCTTCTGGGTGCTGGAATGATCTGTTTCTTGATCTGAGTTCTGGTTAGGTAGTTGTGTTCACTTTGTGTACCTTTCCATTTGCATGTTATATTGCAATGAAATTTTACTTTAAAAGAAAAAAATCACACATTGAAAATCACTCTGAGACACATTCATCTTTTTCGAAAACATACAGCCATTTCTGTACAAAATACAGCCACATAGCAAGCTCAATTCTACCACTGAACAAGCTACTTTTGATTATCATCTTAGCAGTCTTGATTATTAGTGTCAGTGGTAAAGCTTTGTACCTAGCTAAGAGCTTTTCTAGGAGAAGTAAGCATGATACCTGCAGAAATTTTCCAAATGTTTGAGAGCCTAGTATGAGTTCAGGTATTGTGTCAGTCGCCATGGTGAGAACAATGAGTCTCTGGCCTCAGAGGCCTCCTTGGCTATTTCTTTGTTTTTATTATACTTTAAGTTTTAGGGTACATGTACACAACATGCAGGTTTGTTACATATATATTACATGTGCCATGTTGGTGTGCTGCACCCATTAACTCGTCATTTAACATTAGGTATATCTCCTAATGCTATCCCTCCCCTATTTCTTGACTGTCTCACTCCCCTGCCTTTCTCCCCCCGGGCCCCATTCACATACTCTGCTGAGTCTACCATGTTGTGCCATCTCCCTCTCTTTTCTCCTGTGAATACATCAACTTTCTGTTTGTGAGACCATCCTGTAATGCAGTTGGAGGGCAATGGGGCAAGAAGGCAACTGAGAATTGGATTTCAGATATCGCTAATCATGTACCTATGTATGCCACCTCCTAGATACCATCTCCACCCCCACTCTGCTGTTCATCGCTGTTGCTAACCTGTTACCTGAAAACCTAGGCCACGATATGACCAGTTAACACACCAAAGTAATTTGAAGAATTATATGCAAGTAACAAGAAACATTTAGCGATCATCCAGAAGTGCTTACTAGTAAAGTAAGAATATGTCAGAAACATGCCTGTTGTTTAGGTACTGAGATAGACATTCTGACTCTATGGTTCAAAACCTGGGGTCCCTGGATCTCTGTGTAGGAACCAGGTCCTTAAGTTATGTGCAATATGTTAAAAAGTCACAGAAATTGCACACTTACCAACAATATTTTACAGGCTAGGTAAAGTATGAATTTTTATGTTGAACTAGAAATACATAACCTTTGTGTAGTAAGCTTGGTTACTGCATGTTGGTCACAAGTTCTGATTGGCAGTTTTCTATGACTTTAATAGATGCAAACTGGTAGACTAATAAATACGTAATAGACAGAGTTTTTCTGAAAGAAAAATTTCAAAATGTGACGTCTCTGGAGTTAATAAAATAATAAAACGGCTTTTCGGTAGTGAACAATGTGGCAAGTACTGATGTAGTTTCAGACATCTTGCCCTTCTACAGGACCAGCAGAGGGCGCTAGAATTAAATTATTCCCTTGATCCATTCTTGCTTCAAGGACTCAAGAAAAAAAAAGGTGGTGATGATTACAACGAGGCAGAGTCATGTGAAGATGCAAGAGTGACAACATACTGGGCTGGCAAGTCCATTTCATGTAATAACTTCTAAGGAATAGGAGGGGTAGCATGCAACGAGGAACAGTTTTTTTTGATGGCAGTTTTGTTTTTATTACAGTCAATAATTGCTCACAATTGTTTAGAACTAGGGCCTCCCTACTGTGCGTTCATTCAGGACATAGCTGAAAGAATAAGCCCACCTCTGACCCCCTGAAGTGTCATTTCATCAAAAGAGGCAGGTGTGAGTGTGTTGAAACAGTGACGTCTTGGCATTGCTGGGCTTGATTCCTCCTCCTCTTTCCATTGTTCCTCCAAGGATGACCCTGGAGGAATTATTTCTGGCACTAATAAGTAGGAAGGTGAGGTTCTCTTTGATGGGGGTTACAAATCTCCACTTTTTTCTCACCCAGCAGGTATTAGGAAGATGCACCCTGCCGTGCTATCCTGAAGAAAACCTCTGCCCCAGGAACAAACAGTCAGGACAGTCTGGACTCTATTATTTCATTTCTTCCACACAACTAATTGTTTGTTTCTAGAGAAACTGAACATGTGTCATCTTGTTTCACTGCTTTTGGTAACTACACATTTCAGTGATTACTATTCTACAGAGTCACACAGAGTTTCTTTAAGGCACATAACCTACTTAATTATAAGGATTCTTGTATTCATCACTTCTTCACATCTTCAATGGTCCTACTGTTTTCAACTTACTTGCTCAACCTGGATACTAGGCTTCCAAATTAATTTTATTTATTTGAACATGTTTTTATTTTATTCTTTAATTGACATATAATGATTGTACATATTCATGTGGTATGTAGGGATGTTTTGAGACACATAGTGTATAGTGATCAGATTGGGGCAAATAGCATATCTATCATCTCAAATACCTATTATTTCTCTGTGTTGGGAACATTCCTCTAGCTATTTAAGACTATATATTATTATTAAGTATAGTTATGCTACAGTGGTAGAGAATACTGGAACTTATTCTATCTATCTAGCTGTAACTTTATATGTAATTTTATATCCTTTAACACATCTCTCCCTGTCGCTCCCTTACCCCATCCTTCCCAGGCTCCACTATCCTCTGTTTAACTTTTTGTTTCTATAAGATCTACTTTTTTTAGCTTCCACATAAGAATGAGAACATGTAGTGTTTAAATTTCTGTTTCTGGCTTATTTCACTTAACATAATGCCCTCCAGTTCCATCCATGTTGCCTCAAATGAAAGGATTTCTTTCTTTTTTTATGGCTGAATCATATCCCATTGTGTATACAGACTACATTTAAAAAGGCATTCATCTGTTGTTGGACATCTAAACTGACTTTATATCTTGGCTATTGTCAATAGAGCTGCAATAAACATGAGGATACAGATGTCTCTTCAAATATACAGATTTCCTTTTTTAATTAGTCCATTTTCACTCTGCTGAAAAAGACATATCCAAGGCTGGGCAACTTATAAAAGAAAGAAGTTTATTGGACTCACAGTTCTACATGACTGGGGAGGCCTCACAATCATGGTGGAAGGTGAAAGGCATTTCTTACGTGGTGGTGGCAAGAGGGAAGAGCTTGTGCAGGGAAACTTTTGTTTTTAAAACCATCAGCTCTTGTAAGACCCATTCACATTATACAGCACATAAAAGACTTGCCCCCATGATTTAATTACCTCTCACCAGGTCCCTCCAACAACACATGGGAATTCAAGATGAGATTTGCGTGAGGACACAGCCAAACCATATCATTCCACCCATGGCCCCTCCCAAATCTCATGTCCTCACATTTCAAAACCAATCATGCCTTCCCAACAGTCCCCCAAAGTCTCAACTCATTTCAGCATTACATCAAAAATTCATAGTCCAAAGTCTCATCCAAGACAAGGCAAGTCCCTTCCTTCTATGAACCTGTAAAATCAAAAGCAAGTTAGTTACTTCCTAGATACAATGGGGGTACAGGTATTGGGTAAATAAAGCCATTGGGTAAATACAGCTACTCCAAATGGGAGAAATTGGCCAAAACAAAGGGGCTACAGGCACCGTGCAAGTCCAAAACCCAGCTGGGCAGTCAAATCTTAAAGCTCCAAAACGATCTCCTTTGACTCCATGTCTCACAGCCAGGTCATGCTCATGCAAGAGGTGGGTTCCCATGGTCTTGGGAAGCTCTATCCCTGTGCCTCTGCAGGGTACAGCCTCCCTCCTGGTTTCTTTCATGGGCTGGCATTGAGTGTCTGTGGCTTTTCCAGGCACACAGTGCAAGCTGTCTGTGGATCTACCATTCTGGGGTCTGGAGGATAGTGACCCTCTTCTCACAGCTCAACTAGGCGATGCCCCAGTAGGGACTCTGTGTGAGGGCTCTAACCCCACATTTCCCTTCTGCACAGCCCTAGCAGAGGTTCTTTATGAGATCCCTGCCCTAGCAGTAATCTTCTGCCTGGGCATCCAGGCGTTTGCATACATCTGAAATCTAGGGAGAGGTTCCCAAACCCCAGTTCTTGACTTCTGTGCACTTGTAAGCTCAACACCACCTGGAAGCTGCCAAGGCTTGGGGCTTGAATCCTCTGAAGCTATGGCCTGGGCTCTATATTGGCCCCTTTCAGCCATGGCTGGAAAAGGTGGGATGCAGGGCACCAAGTCCCTAGGCTGCACACAGCATGGGGACCTGGGGCCCAGCCTATGAACCCACTTTTTCCTCCTAGGTCTCCAGGCATGCGATGGGAGGGGCTGCCATGAAGAACTCTGACCTGCCTGGGAGATGTTTTCCCCATTGTCTTGGAGATTAACATTCGGCTCTTCATTACTTATGCAAATTTCTGCAGCCAGATTGAATTTCTCCTCAGAAAATGGGATTTTCTTTTCTATCATATTGCCAGGATGTGAATTTTCTGAACTTTTATGCTCTGCTTATAACTGAGTGTGTTTAACAGCACCCAAGCCACCTCTTGAATGGTTTGCCGCTTAGAAGTTTCTTCTGCAAGATACCCTAAATCATCTTTCTCAAGTTCAAAGTTCCACAAATCTCTAGGGCAGGGGCAAGATGCCACCAGTCTCTTTGCTAAAACATAACAAGAGTCACCTTTGCTCCAGTTCCCAACAAGTTCCTCATCCTGGACCACCTCAGCCTGGACCTTATTGTTTATATAACTATCAGCATTTTTGTCAAAGCCATTCAACAAGTCTCTAGGAAGTTCCAAACTTTCCCACATTTTCCTATCTTCTTCTGAGCCCTCCAAATTGTTCCAACCTCTGCCTGGTACCCAGTTCCAAAGTCGCTTCCACATTTTTGGGTATCTTTTCAGCAATGCCCCACTCTATTGGTACCAGTTTACTATATTAGTCCCTTTTCACGCTGCTGATAAAGACATACCTAAGAGTGGGCAATTTACAAAAGAAAGAAGTTTATTGGACTCACAATTCCACGTGGCTGGGGAGGCCTCACAATCATGGCAAAAGGTGGAAGGCATTTCTTAGATGGCGGTGGAACGAGAGAAGAGCTTGTGCAGGGAAACTCCCATTTTTAAAACCATCAGATCTCGTGAGACTTATTCACTATCACGAGAACAACACGAAAAAGATGCCTCCATGATTCAATTACCTCCCACCTGGTCCCTCCCACAATGCTGGGAATTCAAGATGAGATTTCGGTGGGGACGCAGCCAAACCGTATCACTTTCCTTTGGATAAATGCCCAGTAGTAGGATTGCTGGATCATATAACAGTTCTATTTGTAGGACCCTCCATACTATACTTTATAATGGCTGTACTAGTTTATATTTCCACCAATAGTACATGAGTTCCACTTTATCCACATCCTCTCTAGCATTAGCTATTCTTTGTCTTTGTGATAATAGTCATCCTAACTGAGGTTAGATGATACCTCATTGGGGTTTTGATTTACATTTCCCTGAGGATTAGTAATGCTGAGCAGTTTTTCATATATTTGGTGGCCTTTTGTATGTCTTCTTTGGGGAAATGTCTGTTCAGATAATTTGCTCATTTTTAAATTGGATTGTTCATTTTCTATTGAGATGTTTGAGTTCCTTGTATATTCTGGATATAGCCAAAGCATTCCTGAGCAAAAAGAACAAAGCTGGAGGCATCACACCACCAGACTTCAAAATACTACAAAGCTGTAGTCACCAAAGCATCATGGTCCTGGCATAAAAACAGACATATAGATTCATGGAACAGTATAGAAAATTCAGAAATTAATCCACATCTCCACAGCCAACTGACTCCTGACAAAGGCGCCAAGAATGCTCACTTGGGAAAGGACAACCTCTTCAATAGATGATGCTGGGGAAAACTGGATATCCCTATGCAGGAGAATGAAGCCAGACCTTCCCCACCACCCCCGCCTTTTATCCTATAGAAAAATAAACTTAAAATTCATCAAACACCTAAACATAGACCCAAAACTATAAAACTACCAGAAGGAATCATAGGGGAAATGTTTCATTCAGTATATTGGTCTGGGAAAAATTTGTATGAGTAAGATCTCAAAAGCACAGGCAACAAAAGCAAAAATAAACAAATGGGATTATATCAAACTAAAAAGCTTCTGTACAGCAAAAGAAACAACCAACAGAGTGAAAAGGTAATCTACAGAATGGGAGAAAATATTTGAAAACTATTTGAACTTTTAAAGATGTGTTTTTCTTCTTTCCTTTTATTTTGAATCAGTGCTTATGTGACTGGAATTATAACCCTCGTGTTGTGAGTCCACATAGGAGAACTCTAGAGTGGCTCAGCAAGGCCTTTAAAAGCAATCTACAACCCTTTCTATGGCAACCTTGACAGCTCAGTCATTTTCCTCAACCGGAAATACTTCAATGGTAGTGGGAGGATGCTCTAACTTTTGGGGCAGAATTTCAGAGCAGTTCTGATGTTCAATAGAAATCTGCTTCTTTGACTTGTTCAACAGTAGATGCAAGTTATGATCTTCCTGTCAACTGACTTTGGATTTTTGAAAGTCACTATGCAGTTTCCCCTCCATTTTTTCTTTCTCCAAGACTAAACATCTCCAAGATCTTTACTAATGTCTCATGTGGTATAAAATTCCTTTCTCTCCTTTGTCATCATGATCAAAATTTCTCTATTTGTCAGTATCTCTTAAAATAAACTCTGTCTATAGTCCTCTCCCAGATAAGCACTTGCCAAGGTTCTTCAAGATTCAAGGAGCTTAGTCTGATATGGAGGGGAGTCTAGACTGATCACAGGGTGGCAATGTTTACAGTCAAGAGAAAGCAAAAGGCAGGGTCTTCAGGCCAATCTGGGACTGAAAGCCAACAGATAATTCAAGCATAGCATTTGAATCTAAAATAACTGCAGCGAGAAGCAGAAATTGGCTAAGAGATCTGTTCAGAGCAGAGTACAAAGACTTCTTGAGGCACCAGGACAGCTCCTGCTGCATCTCCCTAAGGTGAGGAAGGGCTTTATGTACTTACTAGTTTCTATCATTGTGTCCGCATCAGTTTGACTAGCCTCCCTTAGCTCCAACAAATCACATCTTCTGAAGATATGACTAATAGTTGCTGATGTCCTAAATAATTGACAGCTGGTGATAAAAGTTTTCTTTTTATGATGAGATATTTGTTGAGCTCAGTAAAGATTTTATGGCTTTTATTAGAAGGGTGTGGATGGTGATTCTTTTGACACCACTTCTGATACCAAATGTGTGGATTTTTTCCATGCCAATTCTCCAATTCTATGACACCAACTTGGTGTCCAACAATTCAATTCAATTCTGACACTATCAAGTGTTAGTGTGGACCCCATAAATTAATGGCGCAGTTCCATAAGACTGCTCCACCTCAGATGCCTGCAAAGGGGTGCCAATACTACCCATATTTCTGCTTACATGGATTCCCATGACCGCCAGCTTTAGTAATTTGCTAGAATGACTCACAAAGCTCAGAAAAACAATTTATTATAAAGGATACAATTCAGAACCAGCCATATGGCAAGATATGGGGGGGTTTATTAATGCCCAGTTTCCACACCCACTCTGGGCCTGCCATCTTCCCGGAACATTGATGTGTTTGCCAGTCTGGAAGCTTTCTGAATCTTGTTCATGAGTGTTTATAACTCAACCTCTAGCCCCTCTCTTCTCCCAGATGTTGGGGTATGGTGGGGCTGAAAGTTCCCATCCTTTAATCACGTCTCTGGTCTTTCTGGTGACCAGTCCTTATCCTAAAACTGTCCAAACCCCCGCACCCCCACTCCCGCTCCAAGTTACCTTGTTAGCATAAACTCAGATGTGGTCAAAAGGGACTTATTATGAGTAACAAAATATACTCCTACCATTTAGGAAATCCCAAGGGTTTTAGAAGCTGTGTGCCAGGAATCAGGGACAAAGACAAAATATATTTTTTATTATGCCACAGAGTGACAGTGAAGCAGCCTGCAATCCTGAAGTTCAGGTTTCCCATTAAGAATGAGATTAGAAATATCAAACATTTGATGAATCAGATTAGCTCCAGTACTTCAGGGAAACATCTGGAAGTGAAGTGTGTGATGGGTAGTTTTCAAGAATACTTGAGCTTTAAAAATGTTAACCCATGTTCAGTCCCTATAATATACTTCAACATTTGCAGGTCTGAGTTGTAACTTCATCAATGTATGTAACCAGAATGAAAAATATAAACGTGATTAAAAAGAAAGATCATAGACATTCTGTAGGATAGAAAAAAGTAAGTGTATGACAGTTGTTTGGCACAGGCAGGGGAGAGAAAAAAACCTAGGTGTAGGAGAAGTGAGCATCTGAACTATTCCAGAGATGTTCTCCATTGTGGAGAAGGGATGACTCATCAGACCTTTGTGTGTTTGGATGAAATATTTCTCATGACTCTCCATTTTCCTGTGGTTGAATTCTGTGCTTACCAAGCAAGACACTAATTGTGGTTAAGGCTTTCACGTTCTTTGAGTCTAAGAAGAAGAAACTGTAGACAGTAGATGTGGCTAATCTGGCCACTGGCAAATGTAAACCAAAATAAAATTCTAAGCCCACTAAGCACCTGAACGAACCCATTTTCTCAGCCAACAGCATCCCAAAGTTAACCTAAAAAACTAGTTCAGGCCATGATGGGAAGGGGAGCCCAGACATGCCTCATTATATCTTCCTCCCTTTTGGAATTACTGATAGAACAAATTTTAAGTCTGATAAGAAATGTTTACAATCTATTCTCTCCGAAGCCTGCTACCTGGAGGCTTCTTCTGTATGAAAAATCTTTGGTCTCCACACCTCTCATCTTAAACCAGACATTCCTTTCCATTGACGCTAAGTCTTTAGACAATAACTTAACTCTTTCAACCAATTGCCAATCAGAAAATCTTTGAATCTACCTATGATCTGGAAGCTCTTGCATTCATTTGTGCTGCCTTTCTAGTTTGAGCCAATGTACACCTTACATGTATTTATTGATATCTTATGTCTTCCTAAAATGTATAAAACCAACTTGTAGTTCAACCACCTTGGACACATGTTCTCAAGATCTCTCAAGGGCCATTGGTCACTCATATTTGGCTCAGAATAAATCTCTTCAAATATTTTACAGTGTTTGACTCTTTTCATTGATGAAAGGAATATGGCAAATTGATAAAGTAGTGTATATTTACTCCCCTTCATGTGTAGAAAAAGTATGGTTTGTGTTCAATAATTAGTAGCAGACTAATGACTCCCTAATGTATAATCTCTGGCCCACCCTCTCTTGATAGATACAGCAAACTGCCTAATGCATTACCACTAGGGCACATCAGCAACTTACACTCAACCTGTTCGAAACTGAACTCAAGAAACTATGAGTTTCTCCCACCAATCTCCTTGAATGTCCCTACCTCAGTGAATGACACCACCATCCACCTAGTTGCCCATGGCAGAAGGCTGAGAGACATCTTAGTCCCCCACCATAGGCTGCCTCTGCTTTTGCAATTAATTACCAAGTGCTGTCCATTCCATCTCCTCCTCTCCAATCTGCCCCCTTCTTTGCAAGATCATCGCCTTTGCTCTGGCCTCATGGCTCCAACCACGATGGCTGCAATTTCTCTCTCAGACTCAGGCTGGTCTTCTGTTCTTCATTATGACCCTACAGCCAGGTGGTTGTGCTAAGATGTGAATCAGCTCATGTTAATTTTATGCTTAAAATTCTTAAATAGGTTCCATGATTCCAGATCCCTCCCCTTAGCCCCAGGGCTCTCCATGATTTGATGCTCACCTTGTCTCAAGTCCCTTCCCAAAAGACATCTTGCTTTCCAGACTTCCTTATAATTCCATGGATGCATCATGCAGTTTCACACCTAGATTACCTAATACAAGTTGTTTCCTCTGTACATTCTCATCTTCTGGGGTGGCTCCTCTCTTATTGTGCCAGCATCAACTGTCTTTCTCCAGAAAGCCATCTCTACAGACTCCCTTGAACCCATCCCACTCATTTGAAGGTTCTCGATTTTTCCTCAAATGACATTAGGAAATTGTCTATGCCATATCCCATGCTATCATATACTGCACTTTACACCCAAGATCTCTTGGAGGGCAGGGATCTAATGTCATTAAATGAGTAAATATATAAGTAGAATAGCTCTCATCAAATGTTTGAAGATCTTTTATTCATTTAATAAATTAATAATTTATCCCAAGACCCTGAGGAAAGAGTGAATACTAGACAGCAAAATTTAGATGGAGGACAAATTTGATTATTTTTAAGAAGGTGCTCCCTTCAAATTAAGTCAGGTGTTTATGAGACAGGGAGCTTCCAGTCACAGGAGAAGTTTAGATGAAGGTTGGAACTCTTTGTGGGACTGTTTCTGGGAGACTCAAACATCAAATAGGGCATGGGCTCCATGGTTGTCATTAGTTTGGTTACCAATGTTCTGCTTCCCCCAGCATGCCCTCAGTAGGATCATACTTTCCACCTCTTTGAAGCTAAACACTGATGTGTGATTGATTTGGGCCAAAGGAACATGAATAGCGGTGATGTGTGTCACTTCCAAGCAGATGCTATGTTAGTCATCATGGGGTCAATGTCAAGGTGATGCTTCTGTTAGTCTGAGATCCTGAGTGAACCCAGGGAACAGAGCTGACCTGATCAGACGTGTAGTGTGAATGAGACATGAGTTTTGTTGTGTTAAGCCCCTGAGATTTAGGGCTCATTTGTTTCTGAAGCATACCCTATCTTGACTGGAACTACCACTATGGTCCTATCCAAGCCCGTAATTCTGTACATCTGTGAGGGGAAATAGAGGGATTAGGAGGAATCATTGTCTGGGAAAGGTAGAGTGGGTCCTTGCAGTGGAGCTTCTGGGAAGGCGATGGCCTGTAAAGATCTTACGGGACACTGGAGAGGAAGGCCAAGGCAGATTGTAGTTTCTTATCATTTTGTCTTGGACCAGGCCCGTAGCCTTATAACTGCCAACTCTTCTCTTCTTTGGAAAGCAAATAGAATTTTTTTCTGTTACAGGAACATTATGGTAGAGAGATCTCCTTATTAACTTGAGACCAATAGAATACACTCAGTGGGGCACCACGTGCCAGGCAAAGGCAGTTGATTAGAGATTGATGAAGGTGCAGATTCCTGCCTTTCAAAGTATAACTTGAGAACTAATGTAAAGAAACCTGGGGTCAGAGGAGGCCAGGTGTGTGACTTTTGACTGGCCTCTTAACTTGGCTGAAACTCAGGTTCCTCAGAAGAGAAAGAGAGATAAGAAAAACACCTTTCCTGCCTCGTGAGAATTTTATGGCAATCCAGAGATAATGTGCCTGGAAGTGCTTTGTAAATTGAAAATCACCCATCAGATATCAAAGACTATTGCTCATATTCTTCCATTTGTATTATCAGGTTCTGCTTGCTTTGCCTGATTTTCTTTCTCTTATATGCTTTAGGTGATGTTCTTTATATAAAAGGTAGAAGTTGTACTGGCAAGTGCCTCCATTTTATAGTGTTTTCACATGTACAGGCCTGCCCTGTATACCCCAGTTACCAATGTCCCAGCAGAAATTTTCCTCTTGGATTTATTACCCAAACTTAGCAAAACGTACATATTCCTCAATAGTTTTTTGTTTGTTTCTTTTCTCTTATTATCTCTTCTTCATTTCTGAGTGACTCAATAGTTTTTTTGGCTGATGTTTACATTTTAAAAATGTATATTATATCCCCCCAAATCAATGAACCACGTTAACAAAACAGCATAAAAGAGAAGTATTGAATTAGCATTTCTAATACTATTGGTTGTCTTATCCCATTTTATGTTGTTATAACATAATACCACAGACTGGAGAATTTATAATGAAAAGTAATTTATTTGGCTCACAGTTCTGGAGGATGGGAGATCCAAGAGCATGGTGTCAGCATCTGGCAAGGATCTTCATTCTGCATCATCCTATGGCAGAAGGTGGAAGAGCAAAAGAGCATACACATGAGTGTGCATGCTTATTGGAAGTTAGGGCTTCAACATAAGAATTTGAGAAGGACACAAATACGCAATCCATAACATCCTGGGACAGGTTTTTGTCTCCACAAATATCAGCTGAATTCTCTTTAGTGGCATTTTCTCTGGCCTTTACTGGATGTGTAAGCTCGAGTTCTCAAATTAATTAATCATTGGGAAATAGTAGAAATTACTCAAAAATCACATTAGCCAGAACAGTGAAATGTATTTTAGAGAATAGTTGATTTCAGGAAAAAGAAACAAAATCAACCAATTTAAACAACAACAACCAAAAAAAAAAAAAAGATGGAAGATTGTTGGAAAGATAGAATGATAGCCACAGAACTCATGGGCTGGAAATGTTGCCAGGGCTCTCAAAGGATCCAAAGCAGAACCCACTGGCAAGGCGAGAGCTGCCATCTATGTTCCTTTGGGCCACATAGCTACTTACCTCTGCCTGCTTCTGGGTAAAGGCTCCTTTCACTTTTGTCTTTGCTACCACCCTTTTCTGTTCCACTTGAACTCAGGTTAAGTATGGCCCCTCTAGCCCTAGCTTTAAAAGTTCCCAGCAGAGTAATAATGGCCTTTAAGTATCAATTCAAATTCTTGGAAAGCAGAATCTAACTGATGTTACGTGAGTCAGATGGCCATGCTTTATGCTAATTTGATCAGTTATCACTGTATAAGGGGTTAGGGATATATAGGTATGCAGGGGCCTACTGTCAGGAGGTAGGGAGGGACACAGGACTTAGAGAAGGGATATTTGTTGGCAATTTCCAAAACCAAAAATCAATTACAGGTACATTTCATATTACCCTCCTGGCTCAAAGGGGAAATGGGAATAGGAAAAAAAAAAAAAAGCAGGATATGGTGGTGCATGCCTCTAGTCTTAGCTACTCAGGAAACCAAATCAGGAGGATCTTTTTAGCTCAGGAGTTAAAGTCCAACCTGGGCAACATAGTGAGACTTTCTCTCTGAAAATAAAAATGAATGAATGAATGAATAAATAAATATACACATAGCCTTTAATCATTGTGTGTGTGTGTGTATGTGTGTGTGTATTTGTATATGCACACACTTGCATAAACCTCTCTAGACCATCAGGGGTTGTGCTTTTTAATAAAGTAAGTCATTTCCCACCCCTCATCTTTGCCCTTTGTTACTTTCCTACCGTCTAAGGGAGAAGGGTGCTTCAGGGCTGAGGCCAGCAGGGAATATACCAGTTTCTTGGAACCTAGGTGACCCCAGATGATGGGGGTACACAATGTCGAAACTCAAGGTAAAATAGGGTGAGGGGTGAGGTCCAAAAGACAGCATCTGCCTTGGTCACTTCACTGCTGTCTCTGTCTGCAGCACCAGAATTGGGCCTGACCCATAATGGGCACTCAATAATTGTTAATGAATGAATGGATCTCAACTGTTTATTACAACAAGGAGGAGTCTACGAATGTATAACCACAGCTAAAATCAGAACACCAGGGCAGAGAGACTAAAGGATGACAAAAGAAGGTAATCAAGGAAGCAGCCCAGCAGTCATCCTGTGCTGTCTATTTGTTTTCTTTTTGCCATATCTGAGGCTAAATTGAAGGAAGGCGTGAGGAGAGATTGCCTTTATAGAGATAGGAGCAGGGTAGAGGTGATAATGACATCTTTAATCTTGTATCAAGTTTACTTTTATATTTCATTTCCTCTTTCATTTGTAAACTTCTTGAGAACAAGAGCAGTGTCTGATTTATCTGTCTATCCTGCCAGCCCCGTATAATAACATTCAGCAAATATTGATCGAATGAATTAATGAATTCAAATTTTAGAAAACCAAAAAATAGTTCTCAGTTGATTTAGATATATTATTTTTAGTGCAGAAAGTAGAATTTAATAAACATTTTTGTGCTCAAGGGCAAATGCTTGTCAAAGGTGTAAGCATGTTGGGGTTGCCAGGCATGGCTCACACCTCTAATCCCAACATTTTGTGAGGCTGAGGTGGGAGGATTGCTTCAGTCCAGGAGTTTGAGACCAGCCTGGGCAACATGGTGAGACCCAGTCTACACAAAAAATAAAAAAATTAGCCAGGCAAGGTGGTGTGTACCTACTGTCTCAGCTACTCAGGAGACTGAGGTGGGAGGCTTACTTAAACCTGTGAGGTCAAGGCTGCAGTGAGCCATGTTCATGCCACTGCACTCCAGCCTGGGTAACAGAGTGAGACCTTGTCTTAAAAAAAAAAAAAAAAAAAAGAAAGAAAAAAGAAAAAAAAGAATGTTGGGCGATAATTGCTTAATTTTTATTCTCTTTACTTTTTGAAAAAAGTAATTATTTCTACAAATAACTATGTTTCTTGAAAATTGATTTACAGGCTGGGCGTGGTGGCTCATGCCTGTAATCCCAGAACTTTGGGAGCCCGAAGCAAGCAGATCACAAGGTCAGGAGATCGAGACCATCCTGGCCAACATGGTGAAACCCCGTCTCTACTAAAAATACAAAAATTAGCTGGACATGGTGGCGGGCGCCTGTAGTCCCAGCTACTCCGGAGACTGAGGCAGGAGATTTGCTTGAACATGGGAGGCAGAAGTTGCAGTGAGCCGAGATCGCGCCACTGCACTCCAGCCTGGGTGACAAGAGCAAAAACTCCATCTCAAAAAAAAAAAAAAGGAAAAAGAAAAGAAGAAAATTGATTTATAACTGACTTTTAACACCTTATGTTGAATGACAGCATCTTTCAGTTTAATTTCCACTTGTAATATTTACTGTATATTTTGTGTACTATACATTCAATCAAACAATATGAATACTATCTGAATGATATTATTTCTATACATGTTTTTTCATTGTAGTCATTACACAAAATAAGCTGGGTCTAATATCTGGAGTGATTGAGTTTTTAATATCAACCTTGTGTCCTGTAACCTTGCTAAGTGCATTAGCTTTTATAGCTCTTTTATAGTTCCTGAATATTTTATATATACAATCATGCCACCCGTGAATAAAGGAAATTTAATTGTCTGCCAGAAAAGACAAACACCCTTTAAAGGAACACAGCAAATCCAGCACTCAACAACACAAACTTAATGTTCAGCATCCAATGAAAAGGTACTAGATAGTCAAAGAAGCAGGGAGTGACATATAACCAGTAGAAAAATCAGTCAATAGAAACAGACCCAGAAATTATAGCAAATGATTGAATAAGCAGACAAGGACTTTAGAATAGAAGAGTTTTAAGGAAAACCTAAACACAGTGAGGAGAAACATGGAAGATACAGAAAAGAATTAAACGGAACTTCTAGAGATGAAAAATATGATATCTCAAATTTTTAAAAATTAATGGGTGGATTAACACAGGTATTATTCTGGCCTGTGTCCCCTTAGGAGCTTAGAAGTCCACTTACTTTCCTTTGAATTATCTTTATCATCTTTGAACCAAACAGGCTCAGACATGACACTCTCTATCCTAGAATTCGGAAGGCAAAGATAGAAAAAGGTCGGGCTGCCAGAAATCTCACCACTGATAATGTTCTGTGATGATCTCTCATTCTGAAACATTTGGGGCCCCTCTCTCCTCTACATTTGGGAGGGAAGGGGAGATTACTTAGGTGATTATTTGTATAACTTGCTTTATGTGATCCTTTTTCTTGTTACTATTTATGTTTAGCAGTTTCAAAGGTTATTAAGCTGCTATTTCACAGTCCTCAGTCATTTTCCCTCTAAAATATATATGGTAGATTCAACGGCAGGAGCCTTGAGGACTCCTGGTCTCTAGTTGGGAGCTGCTCAAATTCTCTTTCCTTACAGATTTTTATGTAAAATGTAACCATATGCCCTTTGCTCTTAGAACCAGTACATTCAGGGTGTTGATTTTAGAGAAAATTGTTGAAAATGATCTTAGGCTATCCCATTGTTATAGGGATATACAGAGGGGATGAAAACTAGACCATAAAATCAATTTCCCAATTTTCAAAAAAATTCTTCCAGCATCTCCACAAAGAGCTTGTGTGACTAATAGGCTTTAAATAAATATAACTTTGATGCATTATGCAGCATGCATTCTGACTGGAACTGAGAGAAATGAGGCAAATAGATGCTCTATTCAAAATCATAGGAATATTTAATGTTACAGTTCAGCTGAAGGATATGTGTTTTTTTTCTAAGCCTATCACATGTGAATCAAGTACTTTTAGATGACCCTTATGTGCAGAAGTTAAAGTTTTCATGTGCAGAAATAAAAGTATTTTTATCTCTCCCTTCGGTAATATATGATAAAAATTGCAAATTTCCAAGAACACCAAATAAAATTAGGAAGAGTCTTAAAAATATACTACTGGGGGGATCCCCTTGAGTTACCTGTATCTGTCCCCTTTTTTTAACTATTATTTCAATTTAGTTTTAACAGATAATTATGATGGTTAATATGTCAACCTGATTAGGCTAAGAGACACTCAGATAGCTGGTAAAATGTGATTTCCAGGTGTGTCTGTGAGGGTGTTTCTGGAAGAGATTAGCATTTGAATCGGTAGACTGGGTAAATATTGCTCTCATTAATGTGAGTGGGCATCGGCCAATTTGTTGTAGACCTGAATAGAACTAACAGGTGGAGAAAGGGTGAATTGGCCGCCTCTGCTCAAACTAGGACATCCATCTTCTCTTGCCTTTGGACATCAGTGCTCCTGGTTCTTGGACCTTTGGACTCAAACCACAGCTTAGACCATTGGCTTCCATGATTCTCAGGTCTTGGGGTTTAGACTAGAACTACACCACTGGCTTTCCTGAGCCTCCAACTTAGACAGCAGGTCTCAGCCTATGTAAGTACACATGAAATTCTTTATAATAAACCTATCTATATATTTATCTATCATCTATCATCTATCTATGTATATATATCATATTGTTCTGCTTCTCTGGAGAATACTAATACAATAACACATGCACATGATTCAAACAAATGGAAGAACATTCCATGCTCATGGGTAGGAAGAATCAATATCATGAAAATGGCCATACTGCCCAAGGTAATTTATAGATTCAAGGCCATCCCCATCAAGCTACCAATGACTTTCTTCACAGAATTGGAAAAAACTACTTTAAAGTTCATATGGAACCAAAAAAGAGTCCACATTGCCAAGTCAATCCTAAGCCAAAAGAACAAAGCTGGAGGCATCACACTACCTGACTTCAAACTATACTACAGGTCTACAGTAACCAAAACAGCATGGTACTGGTACCAAAACAAAGATATAGACCAATGGAACAGAACAGAGCCCTCAGAAATAATGCTGCATATCTACAACTATCTGATCTTTGACAAACCTGACAAAAGCAAGCAATGGGGAAAGGATTCCCTATTTAATAAATGGTGCTGGGAAAACTGGATAGCCATATGTAGAAAGCTGAAACTGGATCCCTTCCTTACACCTTATACAAAAATTAATTCAAGGTGGATTAAAGACTTAAATGTTAGACCTAAAACCATAAAAATCCTAGAAGAAAACCTAGGCAATACCATTCAGGACATAGGCATGGGCAAGGACTTCATGTCTAAAACACCAAAAGCAATGGCAACAAAAGACAAAATTGACAAATGGGATCTAATTAAACTAAAGAGCTTCCGCAGAACAAAAGAAACTATCATCAGAGTGAACAGGCAACCTACAGAATGGGAGAAAATTTTTGCAACCTACTCATCTGACAAAGGGCTAATATCCAGAATCTACAATGAACTCAAACACATTTACAAGAAAAAGACAAACAACCCCATCAAAAAGTGGGCAAAGGATATGAACAGACACTTCTTAAAAGAAGACATTTATGCAGCCAAAAAACACATGAAAAAATGCTCATCATCACTGGCCATCAGAGAAATGCAAATCAAAACCACAATGAGATACCATCTCACAACAGTTAGAATGGCAATCATTAAAAAGTCAGGAAACAACAGGTGCTGGAGAGGATGTGGAGAAATAGGAACACTTTTACACTGTTGGTGGGATTGTAAATTAGTTCAACCATTGTGGAAGTCAGTGTGGCGATTCCTCAGGGATCTAGAACTAGAAATACCATTTGACCCAGCCATTCCATTACTGGGTATATACCCGAAGGATTATAAATCATGCTGCTATAAAGACACATGCACAAGTATGTTTATAGTGGCACTATTCACAATAGCAACGACTGGGAACCAACCTAAATGTCTAACAACGATAGACTGGATTAAGAAAATGTGTCACATATACACCATGGAATACTATGCAGCCATAAAAATGATGAGTTCATGTCCTTTGCAGGGACATGGATGAAACTGGAAACCATCATTCTCAGCAAGCTATCACAAGGACAAAAAACCAAACGCCACATGTTCTCACTCATAGGTGGGAATTGAACAATGAGAACACATGGACACAGGAAGGGGAACATCGCACACCGGGCACTGTTGTGGGGTGGGGGGAGGGGGGAGGGATAGCATTAGGAGATATACCTAATGCTAAATGACGAGTTAATGGGTGCAGCACACCAGCATGGCACATGTACACATATGTAACAAACCTGCATGTTGTGCACATGTACCCTAAAACTTAAAGTATAATAATAATAAAATTAAAAAAAATTGCATATAGATGTAATACATGTGTTTACGTGTATGTGTGCATGCAAATGTGTGTATATGCATGTGCGGTAAAGTTTCAAACTGTTTCCCATCTGCTCAGATTCATACCACCCCCTGCACCACTATTATTAATTGCTTGTTTATCCATTCAACATGTTTGCTGAGATTCAAGCTGATATCAATATATGTTCTCATTTTCCTACCTTTTTACCCAAATGGTTACATACTATACAACTGTCGTGTACCAGTGGCATGCTAAGGATATCCTACTGGTTCTGTTTCTCTGAGAAACCTTGACTAGTACAGTATAAAAGAATAAGGTATTATTCTTTTAATTTTATTCTGGGTCTGTTTGCAAATGCTGTTTTTTGGTATTTGGATATTGATATATATAAGTGAAACTGTCTATACGTTTTGTCGGTTTGTGCTACCATTGTCAAGCTTTGGTATCAAAATTATACTCAAATCGTGAAAATAATTTGGAAATTTTATGTTTTTCTTATGTTCTGGAATAGTTGCAATACCATTAGGATTATCTATTTTTTAAGGATGCAGTAGAATTCCCCTGTGAAGCTATTTGGGACTGATATTGTTTGGGGAATGCTTTTTCTGGTGTTTTGGGTAAGTTTATTTTCCTAGAGAGTAATCTATCTCATCCGAGTTTTAAAATTAGTTTGCACAGAATTTAGCAAAGTAATCTGTATGACTCTTATTTTTCTCTCTTTGGGAAGAAATATCCATTTATTATTTTTGTATTTGCACTTTCTCCATATGGGCTCTCTTAACTTCCTTTGCATTTCTTTACTTCCTCCTGAACAGCTTCCTCATTTATTACCTTTGAAGGATGCTAGTAGATTAATTCATTATTATGATAAGTGGAAATAAAGGGAAGAATCAGGCATTTATCTTGCCTATTTTCTATGAACTCAGGGTACCTCAGGGTAATGAAGTAGTTGCCAAGGGAAATTTCTTCTTTATGGAGGCATTCCAGCTGATAAATAGAAAAAAAAAATGATAGTCTCAGAATATCCCCTTCTTCAAGCCCCAATGGATTAATGATTCTGGGCAATGATAATCAATGACTTCCAACATTACAAAAAGGGACACAGCAAACATTATGTGTCTTCTATAAGATATGCAAAACATGAAGTGGTCTTGGCAAAATAGTGAATCTGAATCTGATCAAGCCTATAGCTCTAACTATCAGTTTATAGGAAATACAGATGAAAGTAAAGGATAAACAAAAATATTTCTTCTTCTTTGTGGAAAATTGGAACTTGGCTTAGCTTTGTTTTCTTGAAACCTGGACATTGCTATGGTAAAACTAACTCCTAACTGATTAAACAGGCTGTATTAGGAAGGCTATGAATAAGCTGTAAATACTTGCTGGGAAGCCATAGCCGTGGACTTCCCTGAGTGTGGTGACTCGTGTAATAGGCTTATTTCTTGCTGAACCTTAGAAGCTGTGCACATGGCATTGTGGGAGGAGATACTAGTCCTTTTTTGGGACATGGAGTTTCTAGGGCATGGGGTCTCTCACACCTGTCATGTGATCAAGTACAAGAGGCATTCTCTATTATTATTATTATTATTATTATTATTATTATACTTTAAGTTCTAGGGTATATGTGCACAACGTGCAGGTTTGTTACATACGTTGCTTTGCTGGTTGTTTGTTGGTTTGCTGCACCCATTAACTCGTCATTTACATTAGTTATTTCTCCTAATGCTATCCCTCTTCCTGCCCCCCACCCCACGACAGACTCACATGTGTGATGTTCCCCACCCTGTGTCCAAGTGTTCTCACTGTTCAGTTCCCACCTACGAGTGAGAACATGCAGTGTTTGGTTTTCTGTCCTTGTGATAGTTTGCTCAGAATGATGGTTTCCACCTTCATCCATGTCCCTGCAAAGGACATGAACTTATCCTTTATTGTGGCTGCATAGTATTCCGTGGTGTATATGTGCCACATTTTCTTAATCCAGTCTATCATTGATGGACATTTGGGTTGATTCCAAGTTTTTGCTATTGTGAATAGTGCCACAATAAACATACGTGTGCATGTGTCTTTATAGTAGCATGATTTATAATCCTTTGGGTATATACCCAGTAATGGGATCGTTGGGTCAAATGGTATTTCTAGATCTAGATCCTTGAGGAATCGCCACACTGTCTTCCACAATGGTTGAACTAGTTTCCACTCCCACCAACAGTGTAAAAGCATTCCTATTTCTCCACATCCTCTCCAGCATCTGTTGTTTCGTGACTTTTTAATGCTCGCCATTCTAACTGTTGTGAGATGGAATCTCATTGTTGTTTTGATTTACATTTCTCTGATGGCCAGTGATGATGAGCGGTTTTTTGTGTGTCTGTTGGCTGCATAAATGTCTTCTTTTGAGAAGTATCTGTTCATATCCTTTGCCCACTTTTTGATGGGATTGTTTGTTTTTTCTTGTAAATTTGTTTAAGTTTTTTGTAGATTCTGGATATTAGCCCTTTGTCAGATGGATAGATTGCAAAAATTTTCTCCCATTCTCTAGGTTGCCTGTTCACTCTGATGGTAGTTTCTTCTGCTGTGCAGAAGCTCTTTAGTTTAATTAGATCCCATTTGTCAATTTTGGCTTTTGTTACCATTGCTTTTGGTGTTTTAGACATGAAGTCCTTGTCCATGCATATGTCCTGAATGGTATTGCCTAGGTTTTTCTTCTAGGGTTTTTATGATTTTAGGTCTAACATTTAAGTCTTTAATCTATCTTGAATTAATTTTTGTATAAGGTGTAAGGAAGGGATCCAGTTTCAGCTTTCCACATATGGCTATCCAGTTTTCCCAGCACCATTTCTTAAATAGGGAATCCTTTCCCTATTGCTTGTTTTTGTCAGGTTTGTAAAAGATTAGATGGTTGTAGATGTGTGATGTTATTTCTGAGGCCTCTGCTCTGTTCCATTGGTCTACATCTTTATTTTGGTAACAGTACCATGCTGTTTTGGTTACTGTAGCCTTGTAGCATAGTTTGAAGTCAGGTAGCTTGATGCCTCCAGCTTTGTTCTTTTGGCTTAGGATTGACTTGGCAATGCGGGCTCCTTTTTGGTTCCATATGAACTTTAAAGTAGTTTTTTCCAATTCTGTGAAGAAAGTCATTGGTAGCTTGATGGGGATGGCATTGAATCTATAAATTACCTTGGGCAGTGTGGCCATTTTCACAATATTGATTCTTCCTACCCATGAGCATGGAATGTTCTTCCATTTGTTTGTGTCCTCTTTTATTTCCTTGAGCAGTGGTTTGTAGTTCTCCTTGAAGAGGTCCTTCACATCCCTTGTAAGTTGGATTCCTAGGTATTTTATTCTCTTTGTAGCAGTTGTGAATGGGAGTTTACTCATGATTTGGCTCTCAGTTTGTCTGTTATTGGTGTATAAGAATGCTTGCGATTTTTGTACATTGATTTTGTATGCTGAGACTTTGCTGAAGTTGCTTATCAGCTTAAGGAGATTTTGGGCCGAGACGATGGGGTTTTCTAAATATGCAATCATGTCATCTGCAAACAGGGACAATTTGACTTCCTCTTTTCCTAATTGAATACCCTTTATTTCTTTCTTTTGCCTGATTGCCCTGGCCAGAACTTCCAACACTATGTTGAATAGGAGTGATGAGAGAGGGCATCCCTGTCTTGTGCCAGTTTTCAAAGGGAATGCTTCCAGTTTTTGCCCCTTCAGTATGATACTGGCTATGGGTTTGTCACAAATAGCTCTTATTATTTTGAGATACGTTCCATCAATACCTAGTTTATTGAGAGTTTTTAGCATGAAGCACTGTTGAATTTTGTCTAAGGTCTTTTCTGCCTCTATTGAGATAATCATGTGGTTTTTATCATTGGTTCTTTTTATGTGATGTATTACATTTATTGATTTGTGTATATTGAACCAGCCTTGCATCCCAGGGATGAAGCCCACTTGATCATGTTTGATAGCTTTTTGATGTGCTGCTGGATTCGGTTTGCCAGTATTTTAAAATTTGAACTCATGATTAAGAAACTCACTCAAAACCACTAAACTACATGGAAACTGAACAACCTGCTCCTGAATGACTACTGGGTACATAATGAAATGAAGGCAGAAATAAAGATGTTCTTCAAAACCAATGAGAACAAAGACACAACGCACCAGAATCTCTGGGACACATTTAAAGCAGTGTGTGGAAGGAAATTTATAGCACTAAATGCCCACAAGAGAAAGTAGGGAAGATCTAAAATCAATACCCTAACATCACAATTAAAAGAACTAGAGAAGCAAGAGCAAACGCATTCGAAAGCTAGCAGAAGACAAGAAATAACTAAAATTAGAGCAGAACTGAAGGAGCTAGAGACACAAAAAACCCTTCAAAAAATCAATGAATCCAGGAGCTGGTTTTTCGAAAAGATCAACAAAATTGATAGACTGCTAGCAAGACTAATAAAGAAGAAAAGAGAGAGGAATCAAATAGATGCAGTAAAAAATGATAAAGGGGATATCACCACTGATCCCACAGAAATACAAACTACCATCAGAGAATACTGTAAACTCCTCTTTGTGAATAAACTAGAAAATCTAGAGGAAATGGATAAATTCCTGGACACATACACCCTCCCAAGACTAAACCAGGAAGAAGTTGAATCCCTGAATAGAACAATAACAGGCTCTGAAATTGAGGCAATAATTAATAGCCTACCAAACAAAAAAATTCCAGGACCAGATAGATTTACAGCCGAATTCTATCAGAGGTACAAAGAGGAGCTGTTACCATTCTTTCTGAAATGATTCCAATCAATAGAAAAACAGATAATCCTCCCTAACTCATTTTATGAGGCCAGCATCATCCTGATACCAAAGCCTGCAGAGACACACACAAAAAGAGAATTTTAGACCAATATCCCTGATGAACATCGATGTGAAAATCCTCAATAAAATAAAGAGGCATTCTCTTGCACTTGAGCTGCCTCTTGAGAGGCCAAAAAGACTAGCCATGGACAGGTGGAGGGAAATGCCCTGAGCTAGCATGCTGTGATTCCTGTCCTTGTATTTTTTTTTAAGTGATTTTCAATGCTAATTGTGGTCTTTTTGTGGTTGACTCAGTCTATTTGTCCAGTTGAGACTGAGAAGAGCCCTGGAATAGAAGCTGAGAGCAGAAAACAGAGTAACATAGTAAAGGGCACCAAGGTGATGCAACTAGCAAATCAACACTACGAAAATTTCTACAGGACAAATGACCCAGGTTTCCTCAACAGAGAAGCTGCAGAGAAAAGAAAGGGATAGAGGATGACCTATGGATTAAAAGAAATTTACAATAAATAGCAAACATTGCAATATATGAGCCTTATTTGGATCTTAACTCAAATGTACTGTAAAAAATAATATGAGACACAATGAAGGAAATTTGAGCACTGATTGGATATTTCATGGTATTCTGCAAATATTACCTTAGTTGTGATAATTTTATTGTGGTTATTTGTTTAAAAACACTTTTACAGAAAAATATACTAAAATATTTATGGATGAAATGATGATGATGTCTGAGATTTGCATCTACATAACTGAGCAGGGGTGAGGGGAATGTAATAATCACCCAGCTTCAACAATTATCAACACATGATGGTTACATGGTAGCTCATCAAGCTCTTCCCTCTTCTTTCAGATATGCTTGAGATTTCCCATAATGGAAAGTAAAACACTACTACGACTATTACTAAACATCATGAACAACATTATTCCAACAAAATTATTCCAACAATGTGAGAATCATTCAATTAAAAAAATAAATTAATACAATTCACCACATGAATTATTCTAAGATGAAAAACCATAGGATAACTTTCACAGATGCTGAAAAGGCTTTTGACAAAATTAAACGTCCATTTCTGACAAAAACATGTAGCAAAATAGCAATCAAAGAACGCTTACTTACTACACACACACACATACATATTCTTTTCATTTTTACTTTTTTATGTAACTCCTAGATAATTTAATATTATACATGTGGCTCATGTTATATCTATTAGTGCTACTTCAGGTCTATTTTATAGGAAAATAGAGGTTTATAGGAAATAGAGGATGGAGAAGTAGGTTAAGTGACTACATGAGGAAGCATTTAGCCAAATCCAAAAATCAGGATATCAACTGGACTGAAGTTTCAAAAAGTCAGTGTTATTAAAGAAAAGATAAAGTGTGAAAATTATTGTATATTAAAAGGGTCCCCAGAGACATGGCAACCAAATGCAATATGGCAAGCTTAACTGGATGTTGAGTATCAGGAAAAAAACAGACATTTTGGGGACAATTCAGAAATATCAATATAGATTGGATAGGTTTCAGGTGACATTATGAAGTTTTGCCACCTGAAGTGTTCTTAGCTATAATAATGATAATGTAGTTTTATAGGATAATGTCCCTATTCTTAGGATAGCCCAGCTGAAATATTTAAAGTTCATGACTGCAAGTTATTCTCAAACAGTTCAGTGCAAACGTGGCAAAATATTACCAGTCGTTGATGATATTTGGAAATTTGTTATATCATTCTTTAAACTTTTCTGTATCTTTGACATGAAGTAAATGGTTAAGGATAAAAACACATAGAAATCAATTTGAAGTCCCCAATAGTTTAAGATAAGATCATTTGAGCATCAAAAATAATGATGAATGCAAGTTTTTGGAACACTCTTGAATATATAAAAATTCACGAGTTCATAGGAATACTCCAAACAAACTAACAAATCAACTTCTCATTGCTCCCCATCAGATTTTGCTATTATTCTAATTTGTTATTTTGGAGAATGATAAAGAAAAGAGTAGATATTTCTTCCTATGCAAACTGTATTTCAAGGCACCAGATATTGGATGTGGAAAATACTTCTTAATGGAAAAATTACCATAATAAATGCAGAAAGAATGATAGGATTGAAAAATCACAGATATGAAATAATATTGCTTTAATGAAATAAAGGACCTAAGTAATGGCCCTCGTGGCTGCTAAAACCATTATATGAAGACTTAATGAGGACCTTTATAATGGATATCAGAACCTGATCAATTTTTATATCACTTAAAACATGGAGATATCATGCCGCTACTTACAAAGTGCCACTTTACTTTGTAAGCGCCACTTAAAAAGTTTTGTTGCTAAAAATACTTTACTTTAATCTTATCAAGCTTCCAGGTCTAACAACCAGTGTGCAGGACATACAGGGATAGAGGAACAAGTTAAACAATGTCAAGAGGAAGCAATCAGTGAAGTCTAGAATGTAGAATATCCTACAGAAAAGATTACTTGTTTTTTCAACAAGTATAAGTAGAAAAGCAAAAAGAGGGATAGATTAAAAGAGACTGAAATGATCTAACAGCAAATGTAATGTGTGACCTCATTTGGATGCTGATTCAAGTGAATCTAACATCAAAATATATATTTAAGACAATCAGAAAAAGTTGCTATGCTGACTACCAAATGATATAAATTTTCCCCGCAATCCAATTTCTTGTTGAGAGACAAATTTATCCAATATTTGGAATTTCAAAGAAACTGTTTATTCACCCATTGTGAGTTCATTCACCTATAAGATTTGTTCTGAGTCCATGCTATGTATACAGCACTATGAAGAAAGAAAAATTGTACAACATGGAGCCTGCCCTATAAGAGCTTACAGTGCACGGGGAGGTAGGATGTGTGTCTATCATCTCAATGCAAAGCGTTCTGGAAGTGCACTGCGTGAGGAATAAACCTATGGAATGGAAGCTCAGGGAAAGGGAAATTCTTTTGATTGGAGGTATCAGGGAAGGCTTCCAAGATAAGTGGTGAGCTGAGCCTTAAATTTTGGTAGGCTTGTTGGGTAGAGATTGAGGAAGCTGTCTTTATTGTTATCACAAAATATTTCTCTTGTTTTTTCATCTTGGTCATGTGGCAATGAACTCATAAATTTTGTCCCAATTCTCACCTCTTTCCCCCATGCCATTCTGTTTTTCAGTGGACACAAAGGTTAACACCCTTTATTTCCTGTTCTTCCTCAGGCAATTATATTATTTTTTAGAATGCCTGGAAAAATAAGTTCCTACCTTGACTTATCCTTTCCACAATTATTCACTGAGCATTCACTAAGCCTAGCTAAATAAATACACTAGCTTCTCTCCCACCACAAATCTGAAAGGCCAGATCTTAAGCTAACTCCATTCTGGAAAGATCAGACTAGCCAATTGTTGGGTTTTCAGAACATTTTCTTTCTTTCTGGTTAATAACAAGCCCAGGCTCTATTACTCCCATAGGGGAAAAAGACATCCATTTCCAGGGACCCCTGGGAAAACATTACCTAATGAAATTGCACGAGCCCTCTAAGTTCAAGTCTTTTTCTGAAACCCTTTCCTTCTGTGCCCATAAAGTTTGCAGAGTAAATCCTTATTACGCTGATAGCTATTATTCAAAATAGCTCACATTTCAGAGCAATTACTATTCCCCAGCCAACTAAATGCCCAAATAGTCTTTAATAAAAACAGCACCTAGTGCAGTGCCCAGTGGAGAAAGTATTTAACAAACATTTTATTGCCCAATCTATTCAACTCAGGTGACCTAAATAACATCTATACTTTTTTTTCTAAAATAAATACTACCCACAGTTTGACTCTAAAGAAATTATTTTGAATAACTCTCCTGTTCTAAAGAATACTAATCTACAACTGGAAAGGCTTATGCATTATTCTTTTTGTCCTTACATTATCCTTGTCAAGAACAGGACAACTGGTCATCATTATTTTTTTAACATAGCCTCAGTCTAGGGCAACAGTCATACAAGTTTCCTTTCTCTGTCCCTAATCACCCTCTTCTCTTGGTGATGTGTGGGCATGCAGACAGGCAGGGATAATGGTCCTCCCTGAGTATCAGCAATAGGAACCTCCAAATGGTGAACTCCACCTAGGACACACACACATGACCCCAACACTGTTGTAGTCAGGGGTCCTTAAAATATAATTATAACAAAGAGAGTTTTTCTTTAAAGTGAACTATCCTATGGATAATCTTAAATGGATTCAGTGGATTCCTCAAATAAACCTTTCAACTACGTTGAGCTTAATTTTGACTACCAGTTTCTCCCACCAGAGAGCAGGCAGTAGCTAATTACCTGGAGCATCCAGGTGCAATATCCATGTCCTGCCTATCTACCATTTTGTGTTGATATGTTGCGTTCTCTTTATTTATGTTGTAGACTCAGAAGATTAGCTCTTCAAAGTATTCAGTGTACAACTCTTCAGTTTAAAGAGATTTGCAAAGAAAATCTCAAAAAAAAAAAAAGAGAGAGAGGGAGAGAGATTTGCTATGCTTGCTACAAATTGATAAGGATTTTTTTTTCCCCTGTACAATCTAAATAACCTATGCCACCTTCCTCTCACTTTTACTGTTTGCCTTGAGTTTGACTAGTGCCCTCTGTTTGCTGTTTATCCCTCAGGTGCCCCCTGTGTGTGCATTTGCATTGGAACTGTCTCTGAAATCTATTGTCCATTTTGAGCTCTTTGTCTCTGTAGAAGCAATGGCTATTTGTCTTTAAGAAGCAGCATGCTGTTTTGGCATGAGGACAGACTTTGGAGTTGAAAGTCCCAAGTTCAAATCCTACATCTGTTGCTTACCAGACAAATGACTTTGAAAAATTCAATTAATGTCTATGGTCTTCAGTTTTCTAATGTATGAAATAGGAATAATAATATTATCAGCTTTATGGAATTTTGTGATGATTGAGACAATGTATAATATTTCTAATGTATAGTCTGTGTTTAATGTTGTATTTCATTAACATTGAGACACAACTGATTATAAAAAATAGCATTATGAGTTTCTAATATTTTGTGGGAGAGGATTTTAACATCAGAAGGATATGTACCAGACGAACCTGTGCATCTGAGGAAAGTGGTGATTTGAAATGGACAGAGACAAAAACAGGGAAACGAAGGGTTCTGAGGGAAAAACCTCCCCTGATTCTGTTTGGCCCAGGTATAAACCCTCAAGCAGAAAAGGAATAAAAATTTATTTCTCCACATCCTCTCCAGCACCTGTTGTTTCCTGACTTTTTAATGATCGCCATTCTAACTGGTGTGAGATGGTATCTCATTGTGGTTTTGATTTGCATTTCTCTGATGGCCAGTGATGATGAGCATTTTTTCATGTGTTTTTTGGCTGCCTAAATGTCTTCTTTCGATAAGCGTCTGTTCATATCCTTTGCCCACCTTTTGATGGGGTTGTTTGTTTTTTTCTTGTAAATGTGTCTGAGTTCATTGTAGACTCTGGATATAAGCCCTTTGTCAGATGAGTAGGTTGCAAAAATTTTCTCCTGTTCTGTAGGTTGTCTGTTCACTCTGATGGTAGTTTCTTTTGCTGTGCAGAAGCTCTTTAGTTTAATTAGATCCCATTTGTCAATTTTGGCTTTTGTTGTCATTGCTTTTGGTGTTTTAGACATGAAGTCCTTGCCCATGCCTATGTCCTGAATGGTATTGCCTAGGTTTTCTTCTAGGGTTTTTATGGTTTTAGGTCTAACATGTAAGTCTTTAATCCATCTTGAATTAATTTTTGTATAAGATGTAAGGAAGGGATCCAGTTTCAGCTTTCTGCATATGGCTATCCAGTTTTCCCAGCACCATTTATTAAATAGGGAATCCTTTCCCCATTGCTTGTTTTTGTCAGGTTTGTCAAAGATCGGATAGTTGTAGATATGCAGCATTATTTCTGAGGGCTCTCTGTTCTCTTCCATTGGTCTATATCTCTGTTTTGGTACCAGTACCATGCTGTTTTGGTTACTGTAGCCTTGTAGTATAGTTTGAAGTCAGGTAGCATGATGCCTCCAGTTTTGTTCTTTTGGCTTAGGATTGACTTGGCGATGCGGGCTCTTTTTTGGTTCCATATGAACTTTAAAGTAGTTTTTTCCAATTCTGTGAAGAAAGTCATTGGTAGCTTGATGGGGATGGCATTGAATCTATAAATTACCTTGGGCAGTATGGCCATTTTCACGATATTGATTCTTCCTACCCATGAGCATGGAATGTTCTTCCATTTGTTTGTATCCTCTTTTATTTCCTTGAGCAGTGGTTTGTAGTTCTCCTTGAAGAGGTCCTTTACTTCCTTGTAAATTGGATTCCTAGTTATTTTACTCTCTTTGAAGCAATTGTGAATGGGAGTTTACTCATGATTTGGCTCTCAGTTTGTCTGTTATTGGTGTATAAGAATGCTTGCGATTTTTGTACATTGATTTTGTATCCTGAGACTGCTGAAGTTGCTTATCAGCTTGAGGAGATTTTGGGCTGAGACGATGGGGTTTTCTAAATATACAATCATGTCATCTGCCAACAGGGACAATTTGACTCCCTCTTTTCCTAATTGAATACCCTTTATTTCCTTCTCCTGCCCGATTGCCCTGGCCAGAACTTCCAACACTATGTTGAATAGGAGTGGTGAGAGAGGGCATCCCTGTCTTGTGCCAGTTTTCAAAGGGAATGCTTCCAGTTTTTGCCCATTCAGTATGATATTGGCTGTGGGTTTTTCATAGATAGCTCTTATTATTTTGAGATACATCCCATCAATACCTAATTTATTGAGAGTTTTTAGCATGAAGGGTTGTTGAATTTTGTCAAAGGCCTTTTCTGCATCTGTTGAGATAATCATGTGGTTTTTGTCTTTGGTTCTGTTTATATGCTGGATTACATTTATTGATTTCCGTATATTGAATCAGCCTTGCATCCCAGGAATGAAGCCCACTTGATCATGGTGGATACGCTTTTTGATGTGCTGCTGGATTTGGTTTGCCAGTATTTTATTGAGGATTTTTGCATTGATGTTCATCAAGGATATTGGTCTAAAATTCTCTTTTTTGTTATGTCTCTGCCAGGCTTTGGTATCAGGATGATGCTGGCCTCATTAAATGAGTTAGGGAGGATTCCTTCTTTTTTTATTGATTGGAATAGTTTCAGAAGGAATGGTAGCAGCTCCTCTTTGTACCTCTGGTAGAATTCGGCTGTGAATCCATCTGGTCCTGGACTTTTTTTGGTTGGTAAGCTATTGATTATTGCCTCAATATCAGAGCCTGTGATTGGTCTATTCAGGGATTCAACTTCTTCCTGGTGTAGTCTTGGGAGGATGTATGTGTCAAGGAATTTATCCATTTCTTCTACATTTTCTGGTTTATTTGGTAGAGGTGTTTATAGTATTCTCTGATGGTAGTTTGTATTTCTGTGGGATTTGTGGTGATATCCCCTTTATCATTTTTTATTGCATCTATTTGGTTCTTCTCTCTTTTCTTCTTTATTAGTCTTGCTAGCGGTCTATGAATTCTGTTGATCTTTTCAAAAAACCAGCTCCTGGATACACTTTTACACTGTTGGTGGGACTGCAAACTAGTTCAACCATTGTGGAAGTCAGTGTGGCAATTCCTCAGGGATCTAGAACTAGAAATACCATTTGACCCAGCCATCCCATTACTGGGTATATACCCAAAGGATTATAAATCATGCTGCTATAAAGACACATGCATACGTATGTTTATAGTGGCACTATTCATAATAGCAAAGACTTGGAACCAACCTAAATGTCCATCAATGATAGACTGGATTAAGAAAATGTGGCACATATACACCACGGAATACTATGCAGCCATAAAAAATGATGAGTTCATGTCCTTTGTAGAGACATGGATGAAACTGGAAACCATCATTCTCAGCAAACTATCGCAAGGACAAAAAACCAAACGCCACATGTTCTCACTCATAGGTGGGAATTGAACAATGAGAACACATGGACACAGGAAGGGGAGCATCACACACTGGGGACTGTTGTGGGGTGGGGGGAGGGGGGAGGGATAGCATTAGGAGATATTCCTAATGCTAAATGACGAGTTAATGGGTGCAGCACACCAATATGGCACATGTATACATATGTAACAAACCTGCACGTTGTGCATATGTACCCTAAAACTTAAAGTATAATAATAATAAAATTAAAAAAAACACCTGGCATATAATGAAAAACATTTATAATTCTTCTGAACCACGTTTTGGCTATTTGTGATTTCTGGCTATATTTGATAAGACTATTTTGACTGTCAGTGAAAGGAAAAAAAGAGCTTTCAAGCATAATTCACAAAATTCAAGGTGAAATCAGATGGTCTGGAGCTGCTGCCCTGGCCTGGGATGCCTGTGTGGGTGGCTGTTTACCAGCTCTGCGCCATATGTTGGACCAAAGCTCTGTGCTCTCTCCCCACTGTATGTACTGCTTCTTGCTTATAAACAGAAGTTGGTGGGGGGGCGGTATGTGAAGAGCTGAGACTTGGGGGTGGGCCTAAGGGAAAGGGACTCAGTTCTTCCTAAGGGAAAGGCCCTAGATCTGTCTCTAATCTGGACAAAGAAATTCGCTGGCCACAAAGAGACAGCATGGGCTTGGAGGCAGATCACTGAGTATAGGATTTAAGGATTCAGGAGTCTGCTTCTTGACCTTGTTCAATGCCTTTCCATTTGCAACAACTCGTGTACCTACCTGCATGGACGGAGGGAAAGAAGGAGGAGTGGGGAGGAATCAAAAATAGTGAAATTAGGAACTTCAGTAGCAAAAAGGGACAGAAAAAAAATCTTTTGCTCCAAGGCATCTAGAACATGTGAGATAAATATGTTCTGTCCCTTAGTTGAAGACATGTTGACCCTACTTTCACCCCCATCCTCTTTTCTCATCCCTCTAGCAATACTTTCCCTTATTCTAATTCCATTAAACATCCAAAGACGTTTCAGATGGCATAGGAGAAATTCTAGGCATAACTTCTTTTCCAACCTTGGTAGAACAAATCACCTCAGAGGGTGGCCAAGAGAAACTTTGGGCTGAACATCCGTCAAACTATTTATATCCATCAAACATGCATCGAAATATTTCCGCATCCATCAGACCATTGACCATGAAGCAGCCTCTGGCTTCCCTCACCATGGGGACCTGAGTCAAGAAAAGGGGAGAGGGATGGATATCAAGGCCAGGAGCTGTTCAGTCTTGCCTCAGATGGCAGTTCTTGAAGCAGCAGCTTCATACCTCATGAGGAGCCTGATATCCAGTTGTTGTTGGGCTACCTTCAGGAGGGAAGGAAACAGGTAGGCACAGTGAAGGACGTCCCGAATGCATGGACTTAGGCCTGGGCAAGGGGTTTCAGAATTTAAAGGTCAGCATGACATCAAAATAAGGTCCTTCCTTTATAAGGTCAAGCTCAATAAGTGTATCCTGAAGCCAGGGGAATCCCAATGGGCATGAGGTTCTTTGGGTAGAAATAAAATTATTTCTCTACTTTTTGCTCTAAGCTCTAAACACTTCCAGCTTGCACATCAAAGTGCTTGCTGCCTTGTGTGTCTGCTGACGCAGAAGAACAGCACTTCCCTATAGCCTACCACCAGATGGTAATTGGATTCTAATCATAGAACAAAATACAGAGAATTCCCACTGCTTGGCTGGGTTTTAACTGATGTGATAGCTGAGAGTCAGCCCCTCTGCTGAGTGCTCAAGCGGGGATTGAGCTGTGAAGATTCTGGCCAGTTTGGATCTCATAGAAACACAGGGTTAGGGAGGAGTTATACAGTTACTGACTGGGGTGGCCCTGGGGGCTTCAGCTTTCTCCCTCTGCACGGAGTCTAGAAAATGCTAGACTCCTTGTCTGCTCTTTGTCACTGCATTTTCAGAAATCCCCAAAGGAGTTTGGGCCTCTGCGTTTGAAGGCAGCTCTACTCCCTTGTCTGCCATCTTCAGTGGGAGCTAGCCTTCTGGAACTAGAGCTTCCACCCCAGGGAGGAGGCAATTTCTTTATTTCCGACCTTTGGACCACATCCAAGTAGTGACTCCCAGGAAGGCGTTTGCCATAAAACATAAAATACTTTGGATAAAATGGATTTGTCCACAGGGTCTTGATTCTAACTTCTGGAAAATGGAAATGATATAATTTAGGTATGGGAAAAACAACCTACAGCACATCTCAATTTATCTGTAGTTACCTAGAGGACATTTTCTCAAGGAAGCTACTCATCACAAATGAGTCACCAGAAACTTGGACTCCCCTGAAAAAACAGGGTCAGCTGACTAATATAACTTCTGTTTTCAGAGGTAATTTCTGAAAATATGCCCATGATCTGGCAGTCCACTAGATTAGAGTCCATTTACTAAGGAATCAGGACTACAAAGCACCTGAGATAATCACTGATTCCTTGATTAATCCAACAATACCAAGCCCCAGTATTTGCTCACAGTGCTATAGGAGCCACAAATCAATCAATCAATCAATCAGGATATGGGGCCCCAGACCTAAAGGTATTTACAACATGAATCAATGAATTGTAGACTGAGACTGAGCCTCAGAAATCACCTAGCCCAGTCTCCTTTTTTTTTTTTGTAGATGAGGAAGACTGGGATCAGAGGAGCAAAATGACTGGTTTAAAGTCATGAAACGAAACGATAAAAGAGCCAGGATTGGCATGCCACATACAACGCACATCCATAATCCTATTGCCAATGCAGAAAAGTTTATTTTTATATCTAAACTATTGTGTAAGTTGAAATAAATTGGAAAAGGAAAAGGGGAAAAGTAGGGAGAAGGTCAGAACTTAAGTGTCTTGACCTCTGGCTTTGGGGTTAGTCTTGTGAAGGACTATAGATAGCCAGGTAGGCAGTTTGCAGAACCTGAATGCAGACACTCACATAAAAAGGAGCAAATACTGCATGTGTGAGGCTTTTACAGTCTCTGTGCTATGTAGGTTGAGAGAGGTTGCCTTCGGCTGAGCAACAAGGGAAGGGCCTCCTGGAGGTAGGGACATATGAACTAAACTTTAAAGGATGGCTACCATTCAGGAGAGGAGCAAGAAGAAGACCCCAGGCTACCCAGGCCCAAAAAGTGCAATCCTAGACAAATGTAGAACTGCTGTGTGGGAATAATAGTGGGCATAAGATGGCCAAATAGGAACAGCTCTGGTGTGCAGCTCCCAGGGAGATCTATGCAGAAGGCAGATGATTTTTGCATTTCTAACTGAGGTACCCGGCTCATCTCATTGGGACTCGTTAGACAGTGGGTGCAGCCCATGGAAGGTGAGCTGAAGTAGGGTAGGGTGTCGCCTCACTCAGGAAGGATGAGAGGTCAGGGAACTCCCTCCCCTAGCCAAGGAAAGCCATGAGGGACTGTACTGTGAGGAATGGTGCACTCTGGCCCAGATACTACACTTTTCCCATGGTCTTTACAACCCGCAGACCAGGAAATTCCCTCAGGTGCTTATACCACCAGGGCCCTTGGTTTCAAGCACAAAACTGGGCGCCATTTGGGCAGACACCGAGCTAGCTGCAGGAGTTTTTTTTCATACCCCAGTGACGCCTGGAATGCCAGTGAGGCAGAACCATTCACTCCCCTGGAAAGGGGGCTGAAGCCAGGGAGCCAAGCAGTTTTGCTCAGTGGATCCCATCCCCATGGAGCCCAGAAAACTAAGACCCATTGGCTTGAAATTCTTGCTGCCAGCACAGCAGTGTGAAGTTGACCTGGGATGCTCCAGCTTGGTTGGGGGAGGGGTGTCCACCATTACTGAGGCTTGAGTAGGTGGTTTTCTCCTCACGGTGTAAACAAAGACACCTGAAAGTTCGAACAGGGAACACTGCAGCTTGGCAAAGCCACTGTAGCCAGACTGCCTCTTCAGAATCCTCCTGTCTGGGCAAGGCATCTCTGAAAGAAAGGCAGCAGCCCCAGTCAGGGGCTTATAGATAAAACTCCCATCTCCCTGGGACAGAGCACCTTGGGGAAGGGGCAGCTGTGGGCACAGCTTCAGCAGACTTAAATGTTCCTGCCTGCTGGCTCTGAAGAGAGCAGCAGATCTCCCAGCACAGTGCTCAAGCTCTGCTAAGGGACAGACTGCCTCCTCAAGTGGGTACCTGACCCCCGTGCCTCCTGACTGGGAGACACCTCCCAGCAGGGGTTGACAGGCACCTCATACAGGAGAGCTCTGGCTGGCATCCAGCGGGTGCCCTCTGGGACAAAGCTTCCAGAGGAAGGAACAGGCAGCAATCTTTGCTGTTCTGCAGCCTCTTCTAATTAAACCCAGGCAAAGAGGGTCTGAAGTGGACCTGCAGGAAACTCCAGCAGACCTGCAGCAGAAGGGCCTGACTGTTAGAAGAAAAACTAACAAACAGAAAGGAATAGCATCAACGTCAACAAAAAGGATGTCTACACAGAAACCCCATCTGAAGGTCACCAGCATCAAAGACCAAAGGTAGGCAAATCCATGAAGATGAGGAAAAACCAGCACAAAAATGCTGAAAAATTCCCAAAACCAGAACACCTCTTCTCTTCTAAAGGATCACAACTCCTCGCCAGCAAGGGAACAAAACTAAATGGAGCATGAGTTTGACAAATTGACAGAAGTAGGCTTCAGAAGGTGGGCAATAACAAACTCCCCCGAGCTAAAGGAGCATGTTCTAAACCAATGCAAGGAAGCTAAGAACCTTGAAAACAGGTTAGAGGAATTGCTAACTAGAATAACCAGTTTAGAGAAGAACATAAATGACCTGATGGGGCTGAAAAACACAGCATGAGACTTTGGGAAGTATACACAAGTATCAGTAGCTGAAGTGATCAAGTGAAAGAAAAGATATCAGAGATTGAAGATCAACTTAATGAAATAAGCGTGAAGACAAGATTTGAGAAAAAATAATGAAAAGGAAAGAACAAATCCTCCAAGAAATAAGGGACTATGTTAACAGACCAAACCTATGTTTGATTAGTGTACCTGAAAGTGACGGGGAGAATGGAACCAAGTTAGGAAACACTCTTCAGGATATTATCCAGGAGAACTTCCCTGACCTAGCAAGACAGGCCAACATTCAAATTCAGGAAATACGGAGAACACCACAAAGATACTCCCTGAAACGAGCAAACCCAAGACACAAAATCTTCAGATTCTCCAAGATTGAAATGAAGGAAAAAATGTTAAGGGCAGCTGGAGAGAAAGGTCGGGTTACTCACAAAGGGAAGCCCATCAGACAAACAGCAGATCTCTCTGCAGAAACCCTACCAGCCAGAAGAGACTGGGGGCCAATATTCAACATTCTTAAAGAAAAGAATTTTCAACCCAGAATTTCATATACAGCCAAACTAAGCTTCATAAGTGAAGGAGAAATAAAATACTTTACAGACAAGCAAATGCTGAGAGATTTTTGTCACCACCAGGGCTCCTGAAGGAAGCAGTAAATATGGAAAGGAAAAACCGTTACCAGCCACTGCAAAAACATACCAAATTGAAAAGACCACTGACACTATGAAGAAACTGCATCAACTAACGGGCAAAATAATCAGCTAGCATCATAATGACAGGATCAAATTCACACATAACAATGTTAACCTTAAATGTAAATGGGCTAAATACCCCAATTAAAAGACACAGACTGGCAAATTGGATAAAGAGTCAAGACCCATTGGTGTGCTGTATTCAGAAGACCCATCTCATGTGCAAAGACACACATAGGCTCAAAATAAAGGGATGGAGGAAAATTTACCAAGCAAATGGAAAGCAAAAAACAGCAGAGGTTGCAATCCTAGTCTCTGATAAAACAGATTTTAAACCAACAAAGATCAAAAAAGACAAAGAAGGGCATTACATAATGGTAAAGGGATGAATGTAACAAGAACAGCTAACTATCTTAAATATATATGCAACAATACAAGAGCCCCAGATTCCTAAAGCAAGTTCTTAGAGACCCACGAAGAGACTTAGACTCCCACACAATAATAGTGGGAGACTTTAACACCCCACTGTCAATATTAGACAGATCAAAGAGACAGAAAATTAACAAGGATATTCGGACTTGAACTCAGCTCTGGACCAAGCAGACCTAATAGACATCTAAAGAACTGTCCACCCCAAATCAACAGGTATACATTCTTCTCAGCACCACGTCACACTTATTCTAAAATTGACCCATAATTGGAAGTAAAACACTCCTCAGCAATTGCAAAAGAACGGATATCATAACAAATAGTCTCTCAGATCACAGTGCAATCAAATTAGAACTCAGGATTAAGAAACTCACTCAAAACCACACAACTACATGGAAACTAAACAACCTGCTCCTGAATGACTACTGGGTAAATAACCAAATTAAGGGAGAAATAAATAGTTCTTTGAAACCAATGAGAACAAAGACACAATGTACCAGTTGAATTCTACCAGAGGTCCAAAGAGGAGCTGGTACTATTCCTTCTAAAACTATTCCAAACACTAGAAAGAGAGAGACTCCTCCTTAACTCATGTTATGAGACCAGCATCATCCTGATATCAAAACCTGGCAGAGACACAACAAAAAATGAAAATTTCAGGCCAATATCCCTGATGAACATTGATGCAAAAATACTCAATAAAATACTGGCAAACTGAATCCAGCAGCACATCAAAAAGCTTATGTACCATGATCAAGTTGGGTTCATCCCTGGGATGCAAGGCTGGTTCAACATATGCAAATCGGAAAATGTAATCCATCATATAAATAGAACCAATTACAAAAACCACATGATTATCTCGACAGATGGAGAAAAGGTCTTCATTAAAATTCAACTGCCCATCATGCTAAAAACTCTCAATAAACTAGGTATTGATGGAACATATCTCAAAATAATAAGAGCTATTTAGGACAAACCCACAGCCAATATCATATTGATTGGGCAAAAACTGGAAGTATTCCCTTTGAAAACTAGCACAAGACAAAAATGTTCTCTCTCACCACTCCTATTCAACATAGTACTGGAAGTTCTGGCCAGGACAATCAGGCAAGAGGAAGAAATAAAGTATATTTAAAGAGGAAGAGAGGAAGTCAAATTGTCTGTTTGCAGATGACATGATTGTATATTTAGAAAGCCCCATCATCTCAGCCCAAAATCTCCTTAAGCTGATAAGCAACTTCAGCAAAATCTCAGGATACAAAATCAATGTGCAAAAATCACAAGCATTCCTATACACCAATAATAGACAAACAGAAAGCCAAATCATGAGTGAATTCCCATTCACAATTGTTACAAAGAGAATAAAATACCTATGAATACAACTTACAAGGGATGTGAAGGACCTCTTCAAGGAGAACTACAAACCACTGTTCAAGGAAATAAGAGAGGACACAAGCAAATGGAAAAACATTCCATGCTCATGGATAGGAAGAATCAATATCGTGAAAATGGCCATACTGCCCAAAGTAATTTATAGATTCAATGCTATCCCCATCAAGCTACCACTGACTTTCTTCACAGAATTAGAAAAAACTACTTTAAATTTCATATGGAACCAAAAAAGATCCTGTATAGCCAAGACAATCCTAAGCAAAAAGAACAAAGCTGGAGGCATCACACTACCTGACCTCGAACTATACTACAAGGCTACAGTAACCAAAAGAGCATACTTCTGATACCAAAACAGACATAGAACAATAGAACAGAACAGAGGCCTCAGAAATAACACCACACATCTACAACCATCTGATCTCTGAAAAACCTAAAAACAAGCAATGGGGAAAGGATTTCCTATTTAATAAATGGTGTTGGGAAAACTGGATAGCCATATGCAGAAAACTGAAACTGGACCCCTTCTTCACACCTTATACAAAAATTAACTCAAGATGGATTAAAGACTTAAATGTAAGATCTAAAACCACAAAAACCCTAGAAGAAAACCTAGGCAATACCATTCAGAACATAGGCATGGGCAAAGACTGCATGACTAAAACATCAAAAGCAATGGCAACAAAAGCCAAAATTGAGAAATGGGATCTAATTAAACTAAAGAGCTTCTGCACAGAAAAAGAAATTATCATCAGAGTGAACAGACAACCTACAGAATGGGAGAAAATCTTCATAATCTATCCATCTGACAGAGGGCTAATATCCAGAATCTACACGGAACTTAAACAAATTTACAAGAAATAAACAACCCCATCAAAAAGTGGGCAAAAGATATGAACAGACACTTCTCAAAAGAAGACCTTTACGTGGCCAACAAACATATGAAAAAAGCTTATCATCACTGGTCATTAGAGAAATGCAAATCAAAACCACAATGAGATATCATCTCATGCCAGTTAGAGTGGTGATCATTAAAAAGTCAGGAAACAACAGATGCTGGAGAAGATGTGGAGAAATAAGAGCATGTTTACACTGTTGATGGGAGTGTAAATTAGTTAAATCATTGTGGAAGACAGTGTGGCGATTCCTCAAGGATGTAGAACCAGAAATACCATTTGACCTAGCAATCCCATTAGTCGGTAAATACCCAAAGGATTATGAATCATTCTGCTATAAAAACACATGCACACATATGTTTACTGCAGCACTGTTCACCATAGCAAAGACTTGCAACTAACCCAAATGCCCATCAGTGATAGACTGGATAAAGAAAATGTGGCAAATATACACCATGGAACACTATGCAGCCTTACAAAAGGATGAGTTCATGTCCTCTGCAGTGACATGGATGAAGCTGGAAACCATCATTCTCAGCAAACTAAGACATGAACAGAAAGCCAAACACCACATGTTCTCACTCATAATTGGGAGTTGTACAATGAGAACACATGGACACATGGAGGGGAACATCACACACCAGGACCTGTTGGGGGATGGAGGGCTAGGGGAGGGATAGCATTAGGAGAAATACTTAATGTAGATGACAGGTTGATGGGTGCAGCAAACCACCATGGCACGTGTATACCTATGTAACAAACCTGCATATTCTGCACATGTATCCCAGAACTTAAAGTATAATAGTAATAAAATAAAAAAAAGTGCTGTGTGGTTAGAGAGAGATCTATATGCCTGTATTATTTAGGAAAACTGTTAAAAATGCTCAAACAATCAGGGAGTAAATATCACTGTTAAGAAGGAGAAAAGGGAGGACTCAAAAATGTTGCCTGTTATAAGGTCAATTTTAGCCCTGAATCTGGATGTTTACATGTATGTGAGTGTGTATAGAGATCCATTTTCGCAGAAGGCCAATAAACTTTAAAGACTGATAAGATAACAAAAAAATCCTGTGTTGATTTTGGGGATTGAATATGAGCCAGAAGGAAATATCTGGTGAAGAGGAGAGGTCAGCACTCATGGAGCTAGATGTTCGCTGGGGCTAGGATTAGTGAATAAGTTACTTCGGAAATTACATACACAGATGTTTCCTGCCTAAATGGTGACCTAATATGTGATGCTGGCTCCTTCCTCTGAACCAACCCCAAAGTTGTCATATAAACAAGTTGGATGCATCTAATAACACAGCATAAAACCCCCACAAAAGGTAAAAAGATACTGGTGAGGCAGACGGTGATTGGGTCTCAGGGTATGTAATGATGGGGCAGGGGTGGGGGCAGTGAGTGTGAAGAGGGGTAGAGGATCTGGTGCCAAGATTGGGAACAGACTACAGAAAAGAGTTTTCTGGTTATATCTTGATCATTCTCTCACATTGCTACAAGCAGAAAATTTCTTGCCAGGCAGAAAAACAGCCCTGCTGGCTTAGCAGCAGCTAGAAGCATCAGGGTAACGTCAGAGCAGTGTTAGAGCCCACCTGGGTGGAGAGCAGATAAAACTGGGTCAGGCAGAAGTCCTGATGCCTTCAGCACCCATGCTCTTAATCTTTATACTATGGAATGCGAAGGGCTGGAGAAAGAGGGACCCTCTCTCATATACTCACTATCAGCCAAGGCAGTTGATATTCTCAGGTCCCTCTTCTCCAGCCCTCCCCACTCTGTAGTATAGAGATTAAGAACATGGGCTCTGAAGCTAAACTGCCTAGATTTTAATGCTGTCCCCATCATTTACTTCTCTGTGACTTCAGGAAACTTCCTTTTTTTCTCTGTTTCTCATCTCTAAAGTGGCCATAATATTACCCACCTTTTAGGTGGTTTAAAAGATGCAATACATGTAAAAGTACTTAAAACTGAAACTGATACATACTAAGTGCTCAAGCAGTCTTAGCTACTATTCTGAAAACTGGAGGATGTAGTTTGAGGGGCGAAGTAACTTATTTGGGAGTTGGGGAGTATCTAGGAAATGGTGCCCAGAAATTTTGTTTTCTTGCACCGTGCCAGCTCCCAAACTCACCAGCGGAGGCATAAGCAAGGACCTCAGCCTTCGGCCCTGAGCAAGGACCCTTTCTTTCATAAGCCCACTATCAGCCAAGGCAGTTGATATTCTCAGGGTAATATGAGTCTTAGAGAAAAGGTGACAATATATCTGCACCCTCAAATAAAGCAACAAAAGGAAACCAGAAAGCAAAGACTCAGACTTAATAAACCAGACAGAACCAAATTTAAAATAAGTATAGGAAGTACTCTATACTAGGATAATATGGTATAAGATAATATCCTATACTAGGGTAACGGAGGATTCTGGAGACAGGAAGCAAAAACAGTCAAAGAAAAACTGACTGAAGATGCTAGGAATGAAAAATATAATTGTTAACATAAGGAACTCAACAGATCACTTGAGAACAAAACAGAATGCACGTAGTCATGAAATGAACACATAAAGTAAAAAATCAGGTCAAGAACCCTCCCACAGAGATTAAAACAGTTAAACAAACTATCCAAGTAAAAGTTAAGAGACATGAAGGAGAAAAATAGAAGTTAATATTTGTATGTTAGGGGTCTCAGAGGGAGAGAGCAAAAATAAGTATCGGTGAGAAAATACTTTGAAAAGTCATCAAGATTTTTTCAGAATTAAAGGATGATGTGGTAGATTTTGCAAAAATGGCCCCCACGTTGTTTCACCTCCCTACAGCCATGCGCGTTGGTAGTCCTCTCCCAGACCACATTCTAGGCGTAGCCAGGTGACTTGTTTTAGCCAATGAGAAAAGGGCAAAATTGACGCAAGCAGAGATTTGAAAAGGGCGGCACACTGGGACTTACCATCTTTTGTTGCTTTCTGAAGCTGAGCCACTCTGTGAGTGAGCCCAAGCTAGCCAGATGGATGATGAGAAACACATGGCCCAGTGGCCCTCATTCTTTTATTATTCGCTGACTGCCAATTGACACTAGAAGCAGAGCCATTTAGCTGACAAGTAGCTGACTGTGAAGAGCCACGAGCAGAACCCAGCCCAAATTGTTAACCCATAGAATCACAGAAAACGAAAAGGTTGCTTGTTAAGCCACCAAGTTCTGGCATGTTTATTATACAGCAACGGAAAGCTGATATACAATATGTTAATATCTCAGGCTGAAAGGGCTTGTAGAGTGCTAAACAAGATGGATTTTAGAAATACATACACATTTAGAAGAAGAACACAAAAGACAAAGAAAAAATTCTAAATTCTTTTCGGTAAAAGAAAAAAGCAGATCATCTTCAAAGGAAAAATAATCAGATTGACATCAGAAGTCTCAGTAACCCTGGATATAGCAGAACTCATGATATTTTTCAAGCATTAAAAAGAAAGGGAACTTCAAAACCAGGAATTTTTTTCTTTTTTGGTTAATGGCTGTTGGTTCAAACAAATCCAGACGTTTGGTTAGATATAAAAGTCTAGATTGGTTGGAACCAATCATTTAAATAAGATGGTGAAATATTCTCAGGCATACCAGGCCCCGAAAGTTTTAACACATAAAACACTGCTTGAATATTTATTAAAATAATTACTCCAGCAAGAAGAAAAATGAAAACCAAGGGCTGGGGATATAAAATTAGAAAATAAGTTGGCAAATTCAAGTTATATCTAAATAAGTATTGCAAAAAGGAAGAAAGAGTGGAGGGAAGAAAGGGAATGTTGGGTATATTCTTAGTAATCAGAAAATCCTGAGTGATAATAATTGGGGAAATGCTAAATGACATTGTAGGTAAGTAGTAGGACTCTAGAGACGAATAATTTGGGTCTAAATCTTGCCTCAGTCATTCTGGCTGGATTGCCTTCAATAAGTTATTTAACCTCTCTGAGCCTCAGTGTCTCATTTGCTTAAAATGGGCTTGATGAAACAGAACCCATATCACAGGCTTATTCTGAGCATTAAAGGAGTCCAGTTGTAAATCCCTTGGATTCATAACTGGCTTACAGTAAGCTTTCAATAAATGTTTGAAGTTATTATTAATATGGGGAGGAGCTAAAGGAAGGTGGGAAATAAATAATCAAAACCACTGAACCACATTAATTCAGATATAAATAAACATTTTAAAGATAATAATGAATATGCTAGGAATGGAAAAGGTGTATTAGGTGGTCAGGAAAGGCCTCCCTGCCGAAGTGACTTCTCAGCTGCGACTGGAATGATAAGAGGATCATGATGAAAATTACCAAGGACAGAGCCCCACTCCCTTAAACCATTCCAGGGAGTGAGCAGGTCCTCAGTGAGGAATGGCTTGTGCTTTCCAGGAGGCACCCCCCAGATGCAGGGCTTGCAGATGCAAAAGTTCCTGAAAGCACGTATGACGTTGCAGTGAGTCTCCCATTTTCATGGAGCTATGGGAGCTTGAAATATGACCAGGGGCCTTCCTAAATTGGCTGTTCTGCAGAGGAATTTCAGGACTTTTGCATATCCTGGGGAGACAGTAGAGAGGAGAGAAAACTCTAACAATGACTAAAATTGAATTTCCCATCAATTCAGAGGGATGGGGATCTCAAAGTCAGCTTCATTAAAGAACACGTGACATTTCTTGTAAATTCCAGTTTGTGCAGTAAGATTCACATGCTTACTATAAAAGCGGTTCTTTGGCTTACTTGTTTCTTCTACCTTGCTTCCTCTTCCTTTAACCCAGCCTTATGATAGTCATATTTGAAGTTCCTTTGGGAAGGAATGCATATTCATTTGATGAAATTGGGGAAATGGTGTCAATTACTAGAGCCCCTGTAATCACAGCTGAGCCTTTTAATCACAGCAATGTCCACATGGGGCTCTGCTCAGTTAACATCATGAGGCTCAAGTTAGTATCTCTTTGGAGTGAAAAGCTCTTTCTGAATCATAACTTTGTGGTCAGATAAGAGAAAGTTTCTAGGTCTTAGCTCAGTAGGAAAGGTAACTGCCATCAGAATTCCAGACCATCTTTCATAACTTCTCGAAGAGGTGACAATAACTACCATCACCATCATTCCTCTGGCCCTATCTGTGACTCAGAACCAGTTCTGATATTTTGACATTGCCCATTGGTACCCAACGCTTCCCTCTGGTGTTCCTAGTTTCACTAGTGACTTTAGATCTCTGAACACTCTGACTGTCACGGTGGTGTTTTGGACCCTCACTAGGATAGAATGGCCATAGTTTTGGGGAGATGCTGATTCACTCTAATCTCCTACTGGGCTCTCAAATATATTATCGTGGAAGAACATTACCCTACTGGCTAATTTCATAAAGATATCGTGTTTGTTAAGGTCTGTGATGCGACGTATCTTATTGCATGGCCTTAGGCAAGTTACTTAACCTCTCTAAGACTCAGTCTCTTTATCTGTAAAGTGGAGGAAGTAATAGGATTGATCCTGCGAGGTTATGATGAGGAGTAAGTGAGATAATACATGTAAAGCACTTAATAAAGTGACTGGGTCATAATAGCTTATAGTAAGTGCTTAACACATTTTTGCTATACATGGCATTGGTGACAAGAGAGAGGTTTATATCAAATAGGATCCAATCTGTAAAATAGAAGCCATGCTATTCATCCCAGGATTTATGTTTTAATATAGAGAACTAGGGGCTTACACAACTACTGGAGAAGCTGGGGGAGCCAAGCATCAGAGAAACCATTCCTCAAATCTCAGCCTGAAGCTCTGGATTGGGTGCTTCTCATGAGCTCACCAGAAATCACTAAAATTTCTAGCAATTCCTGGGGTACCTCCACCAACAATCTCAGTCTGAGTGATGATGAGAGTGCAGCACATCCAAAGCTCGCTGAGAGAGGCTGTAACTGTCAGTTTGTCTGCCTCTGGTTGCCACTGTCATTCCCCAACTCTCCATCCCGAGTAAGGCCTCAACTTCTATCCTGCTTGCATGTCTCAAATGGGTGCCCCTCAGTGGTAGACTCCAATCAGGAACCATATGGTGGTGCGGGGTGTAGGGGTAGCGGGGGATTATATAGTTCCCAGCTCCTTGTTTGCATCTCCTTCTCATACCAAAGCATTAACCAGTATTTCTCTTACGGAGCAAACTGAACTGGTTAGATTTCCTCATCTATTTTTACTCTGGATGCAGAAGCTAAAGAGCAGGGGAAGAGTTCAGAGTCAAAAACCAACCTGGGTAATTGAGTGAGTAATCCTGGAGTAACTGAGGTTGTTCTGTAATCTGTATTTTTTTTATTATACTTTAAGTTTTAGGGTACATGTGCACAATGTACAGGTTAGTTACATATGTATACATGTGCCATGCTGGTGCACTGCACCCACTAACTCGTCATCTAGCATTAGGTATATAAAAAATCTCTTCCTATACCCCCAGGGTATATTTCTTATTAAAATAACAACTGCATGAATTTATATAACATCTTTCAGTTTGTAAAGAATTTCTATGATCATTATCTTCATTTTTATTCTCACAACAGCTCTATGAGGTATATATTACTCTAGGGTCACAAGTGTGAAAACCAAGGCTCCAAGACTCTCCCAGCCTAAATGTAGACCTCCTAAGCCAGCCCTACCATCATCTTCCTTAGTGTAATAAATATAGAAGTAAATATATCAATAAGCAAGTATCTGGAGAGCATGTCCATGCCAAAAGTAAAAATAATCCAAACACAAAATTTAAAAGCTATGTTATTGATGTTAAAAATGTTTCAACTATATAATACAAATCATAAGGGTCTTTTGACAAGTCATAATTAGACCAACAGGATATTAAATTCAGACAGGACCTTTACAGCCTAGTCTCCTTTGCCCAGAAGGCTAAAACACTTACCTGAGACATATGACTTGATAATAATGGATTTAGAATGGGAGTTTATGTTGATGAACTCCAAGACCCACTGGTGATTATTTTCATGTTGACGTGGACTTGGTACATTACAATGTTAGTTTTAGTACTAGAGATTACCTCCCGTTTTTAGTACTGTTCTTTCCCCACTGCCTATAGAAATTATGAATATCAGAAGCTTTTACACCAGACAGTAAGTCTTTGATTAAACTTGGGAGGCCCAAGCACAAAGTTTTGATTGACAATAATGTAATCCAGGGCAGGAAGCAAGCCTGAAATGGGTTCTAAGGAAGATAGTTCCGATATGCCTCAAGCATGCTGAAGACATCTGCACCAATTAAAAGGCAATTAAATGCGTAATAAATGGAAATTCTACAAAATTGTTCCGTAAAAAACTCCAAGTGGGAGCTGCTGGGGTGTACTTGCTGAGTGAGAAATGTGTGCCAAGATGAAGGTTACCCATTTTTTAGCTGATGTGCTGCTCTGCGATGCCAGCAAGACATCGTTAAAAGTGACAATTCAGAAACAGTTCTTTTAGGAGTTCCACTTCAGCATATGAGAATGGTGAAATTTCTGCTGGTTCCATGCGTGGGAGAAAAAGGAATGCAAAGCACACAAATGAGGGTGGACTGGAGATAGAGGGAAACAGGGAGAGTGACACTGCTTGGCAGTTCTGCCATGGCCTGGAGCCTGTGAATCTGAGCATTCCGTGATAATGAGGGGCAGCACAGAAGAGGCTGAACATGACAATGATGTTCTGAGCCAGTAAGATGAGCTAATGAGCTGTATAGACCGTAGCAGCCAATATGCTCCCTTTGGGATAATGGTCACCCCATCTTTTCTGTCTGATTTCATGCCACTCCATGGTCCAGGAAAAAATATGCCAGGGTTGAATCCTGATATAACAAATATTTATCATCCAGTCTTATATTACAGGCCTCTTGGGCACCAGATAACAGGGTGAATCACAATCATGGTCAATCGGGGAAACAGAATCACTATTTGTCATGAGATAAGGAGTTTCTTATAGGAGTTAGACCTAGCTCAATTATGAGAGGAGCTGGGGAGGTGATGGTGCAGGAGGGAAGTGGGAGGATCAGAGTAGTCAACATCCAGTGTGACTGAGAAGCCAAGTATGTCCAGCCTCCATGGGACTTTGCAGACAAGAGGGTCACAGGATGCCTCTGTGGGTGACTGTGCCTCTGCAGGTCTGCTGGCAAGCATCTGAGGTAGGACCCAGGGCTCTCCTTCGTCAACCAGATGAACGGTCGGGAAGAACTGGAAGCAGTGAGGAGGAGAGTGAGGACAAGCTGGAGCTCGCTGGTACCTTGGCATTTTTTGGTCACTGCATCTAACCTTGATGACCTTCAGCCAGAAACCATTGCTGCCTCACTTTTGCCTTCTATATCCCATACAAGTACCCTTTTGGCCAACTCTCAACCAGAAACATACAAGGATGGGGATCTTAGGAGGTGATTTAACAGAGTTGGCACAGGACAAACTACCCCCTAGGGTGAGTAGTGATGACTGGAATGATCTGGGTTGAAGCTGAGATTTCAGGTTAACATGCAAGGTACAGGAAGAAGAGAGAAGGAGGTGAGGACCCAGAACCAGCTCAAGAACTGGAGAGGCAAGGCATGGGAAAGTTGTGTGGTCTGAACAAATACATTTCAGGGAAAATAAAACTGGCTTTATTTCACCCTGGGTGCTGAAGCCATGCTCATTTTAAGCACTCAATGGACTTGACTTGAAGGTGGGCATGAGGCTCCTGAATGTTAAAAGGGCTGTCATTTATTAGAACATTCCTTAATCTGGTCTGCATAATCAAGACTACTCTTGTTCAAAGCACCAGGACAGGAACCCACAAACAGAGTTGGCTGGAGCCACCCAAATTCAAGTATTTCTCCATAACAGAAATGTTATCTACCTCAAGTTTTAGGATGACAGTGAAAGAAGCTGCTTAGAAGGACTCAGTTACTTTCTAGATGAATTTTGTACAGGCCTACCGAGATAGGTAGGTAGCTATAAAGACTTACAGATAAAATAAGCGGTCTACAAATAAAACTACAATGTGATCATCAACGATCAATTTTTCCTAAATCAGGTGTTAATTAGTAACTCAGGTTACATTCTAGATGAATTTTATACAGGCCTACCGAGATAGGTAGGTAGATATAAAGACTTACAGATACATAAAATAAGCACTCTACAAATAAAACTACAATATGTTTATAACAACTACTTTTTCTTAAATCAGGTATTAATTACTAACTCAGGTTATGATAGTAACTTGAGTATGGATATATACTTGCCCAGGAACTGATAAAGAAATATCTCTATAGGGGTTTCCTAGATCTTGCAGGTAGTGAATAAGAATGTACCTAATGCTAAATGACGAGTTAATGGGTGCAGCACACCAGCATGGCACATGTATACATATGTAACTAACCTGCACATTGTGCACATGTACCCTAAAACTTAAAGTATAATAATAATAAAATAAAATAAAATAAAAAAATAATAAAAGCTTAAAAAAAATGCCAAACCCACATGAAGGTAGGCTCAAGGTTACAATTTCTTACAGGAAACGTTTTACAAAATTTCCAACCAGAATTCATGCCAAGATAGGCCAGCTTCCTTATTTCCCTTTGCTGGTGAGGTGATTTTTTTTGTTCTATTGTGCCTTTTTCTAGGCATAGGCCTTTGAGGGATCTGAATTTCTGTGTGGCTTCCCATTGCTTAATTTGCAGGTCTCAAGGCCTTGTCTCCATCCTTCAGCACTGCCATTCATTCACACCCAAACCTCTTGGTTCCGAAAATGGGTCCTTGTTTTGGCTTATAGCTCCACTGGTAGCAGCCTGTTCATCTCCTGTTCTCCGGTTCCTTGAAATTCCCTTACTTTCTTCTGAATCCAACCATGCATTTGAAACTACTTGTTATATTTTATGCTAGATTTCTTGTATTTTGTATCAGAGTTGTTCAGTGGTTGTAGAATTCCAGATTTATGGAAAAGGAAGTTGCCAAGATGATCACTAAAATTCCTTCTGGTCAACAATGTGCTACACAATGTAGCACTGTCAGACTAGAATTCTCAGTATTACCCAGAATCCAAGAAAAACAGCCTTGGCCAAGAAAGGTTTCCTCATTTGTCTTCTAGGAGTCTAGGGGTGGGAGAGTATGCCCATCCCATTATCCTACACTCATTATATTGTTGGAGTTCTTTGAAATAGTGAAAGAAGTCTTTTCTTCTCTGGCATTTATGTTCTTTATGTTCATGGATGGCGAGAAACCCTAATCATTACCAATCTCTTTAAAGGCAAAGGTGTCTTAGTGCTCAGTTGTGATTTTGAAGCTCCAAATTAATGATCTGTTGAATAATGGAGATAAACTCCCGGGAATTCCTAGATCCAGCAAACCATCTGCTCTTCTCTCTGGTGCACTGAAGATAATTCGAACTCACCAGTCAGTGTGCCTTTTCCAGCTTAAGAACCAGTCGGTACCTGGAATAAAAGAAGACAAGTAGAAAATAAATGTTTTTTTAACTTCTAGCTGGAAACGTTAAAAGAGAGATTTTGATTTGTTCTTCTTTCTCAATTATTTGGATGCTTCTTCAATGAAAGTTATAAGTATTTCTTACCTGAGAGAAAGTATGAGAGTGTAGATAAAATTTGTTCATTCAATATATATTTATTGTGCAGCATCTATGTTGGTATTAGATATGGAAAAGGAAGGCCTTCCAAAACAGTGAGAAGATCAGGCCCATATTGTGGGCTGCTGAGACCCACAAGTCACCTCAGCAGAAACCAGACAACCAGGCATCTTTTATTAAAGGAAAGATAATGGCAGATAATGGGCTGCTCTGGACCTATATTTGCTAATTGGGGTAGATGTGGCTCACAGATAGGACCGAGTGCCCCTACTGAGTGCACTCTTGCATATGTGCAGCATCAGAGAGTTGGGACAGGTATGCAGAGATGGGGAGGCAAGACTGATGGGCTCTCCCAAGGCAGTCAAAAGACTGTTTGGCTGGAAACCCCAGGTCACAGCCAAAAGCACATGCACTCAGGTAATGTGTGAAATAAAAGTCATAATTCTATTCATTCTATGACAGCATAAGGAAATCAAGTCTTCATAAGGATAGAAAATGGATACAAATGACATAAATACAAAGCAGATAGAAAATAAATGCAAAGAAAGAGGAATCTTGTTCTTTTAAGTTATGACTCATTTTTTTCTTACCATTTTACTTCCCTAGATGTTTGATTGGTGGATTAGTATAGACTTCTCAGTTCACCCATGCTGTGACACTAGCTCCTGTCTCCTACTGTCCCAACGTCACCATCCACTCTCTTTTTAACTCCATCATCTTGGCTTCCATATATGCTCAAGAAATGGTAGGTATTTTCACAAAATTCTTGGGAGTACAGCCCTTTCATATTGAAGCTTTCTAGAACACTATGTTTTTTTCTCCCTTAGAAAGGAGTACTTTTGAGTACAGACAACATCAGATTAAGCAAAATAGTTAGGGTATGATCTTCAAGAGGGCAGAAACATATTATTTTGTTCATGCTGTATTTCCAGGACTGTATTCTAGTGCCTGAAGGTAATAGCTGTTCAATAATACCTGTTGCTATGTAAATAAATAAATGAGTGCATGAGTGAGGAAAGGAGGAGAGTTCAAAAAAAGGCTTTTGCAGAGAAATCTGTGGGAGTCCCAGCCAAGAGAAATTTCTCCCCCAAGTGGGTTTTTAAGGGGACGTTTAAAAGGGTATGGATCTGCTGCTTGCTGAAGACCAATGAAGCTCTTCCAAGTCCCTGACACCTGAGAATAGCCGGACATAATCTCAGGCCCTAAAAACTATGAACATTAAAGAAGAAAAGGAATTAAAGCTGGCAAGAAGTTAAAAACAGTGAATGGCTATCAATGCATTTTCCTGCAATGTCATCAGCAGCATCAGTGGTCTTAGCAGCAGCAGTACCACAAGGCAAAATGTGTGAAAAGTTTATGTATTGGACTATTGTGCTGAATATTGCAGAAAAGAAAAGTGACTGGCACCACCAGCCTCTCCTTCTGGAAGCTGGGAGAGTGCATTTGTCATTCCACTTGATATGGACTACCAACTCATCATCAACAGCTGTGTTTGCACTTGCCAATCCCTTTAAGAGGTATTGCCAGGCCTCTCCCTTTCCCAGATCTCAATTAAATGTAAGTTAGATCTGGCTGAAATTTATAACAGGTAAATAAATATAATTTACATATATAAAATCAATATAAATATACAAAACATAAAGAGACAAACATATAAGTCATCCCTCCATATGGAGGGGGATTTGTTCCAGGGCCCCCGTGGATACAAAATTCTGCAGATATTCAAGTTCCTGATATAAAATGGCATGGTATTTGCATATAACCTACACACATCCCCCTTTATGCTTTAAATCATCTCTAGATCATTTATAATATCTCATACAATGTAAATGCTGTGTAAATATTTGTCATGCTATATATTTTAAAAATTTATATATATTTTTATTGTTGTATTGTTATGTTTTACCATTTTTTCCAGAATATCTTTGATCCACATTTGGTTGAATCTGTGTTACAGAATCTGGGGATATGGAGAACCAAATCTATATAGTTTTATATCGAGACAAACAAGTATTTTCCAGCTGCAGAGGTGGGAGGGAGGAGTGGTTTGGGGATGGGGAGATGGAAAGGAAGAAGAGTCTCTAATACACTAGGAGTTAGGAAACCCAGAACTGAATAAAATTTGCCCACTCATAAAATTCCATAACACTGGGCTCTTTGAAATATCCCCATTAACAAAGATAAAGAGCCTACAGATGTTCAGCCAGTCTAAGCAGTTGACTAGCAGAACATCTAAATGCCTTCATTATGAAAAGTGATACTTTCTCATTCAGAAGCAATAATGAGCTATTTCTTACTGATTCCCCTAGGAGAGATCTAGAGGACTTCAATATTTTTTCCCTCTATGATGTTATTTAATGTTAAAGTGGAAGGTTAAACGTTAATGTTAAAAGTTAAAGAGAAGCCCATTCACCTCTATCCACCTACCCACTTCAAGGCTGAGGTAGCCTTTGTGCTGACCTCCCATAAACTCTCACTTCCATAAATTCCTCACTTTACTACAATCTGACTTGCCTTGCCCAGTTACTTCATGAAACCGTTTTAAGATATACTAAATTGTTTTTAAGATCATTATGACCCTAACACTTACCAAATACAAAAAACCACAACACATTATTTTGAACCTCTCTGCAGAATTTGACATTTCTCATTTAAATTCTTCCTCTCTTGGCTCTATCAAATCACTTCTTTTGCTACCTCAGATAATTTCGTGTGACTCCTTTCAGAGGGTCTTCCTTTGCTGGCCCTTAAATATTGCTCTTCCCAGGTGCCATACTTGGCCTCTTTTTTTCTCATGCTATTCACTGTCTTCAGGTGGTCCCATCCACTCTCATTTACTCAGTCACCATCTCCATATTAGGTGTTCTCACAAATTCAGCATCATAAACCCAATTGTTATATTGTTATTTTAAGCTCAAACTCAAGATATATTAAAAAATGTACCATCATATTCTTTCCTAAGCTGGTTCTCCTTCCATTATTTGCTCTCGTTTTTTTTAACCTCCATCCATCCATCCATCCATCCATCCATCCATCCATCCATCCAAACTAGAATTGTGGTAGGCAACTTTGGTTCTTCCCTCTCACTGTCCATCTAGTGGTCATTTCCCTGCTTTCCAAGTATATAATCAGTACATACATGGTACTTGGTACTTGGTAGAACCCCAACATTGGTTCCTTGAAACTAATTCCCCCTCCAGACCACGTAGAAAATAAAAAATATTCTTTTTCACGGGAGAGATTAGTACCACTCTTGAAGAACTGCAGGATGCAGGGTTAATGGACCCCATTTAATTCACCAGTGTGACTCTGACACACACATAAAAAAAGACAGCTATTAGATGCATGAGTACTGCAAATTCAATGAAGTGGTACCCTATTACTGCTACCATGCTGAGTGAGATGTGGTACCTTTACTATCTAAACAGTGTATTAACACAGCTTTAGCACAGGTTTTGTGGCCATTGATCTGGCATTGTGCTCTTTTCCATCCCAGTCAGGAAGGAGAGCCAGAAACTTCACATTCACATGGGATGGACAACAGTACACATTTATACTGACATATTCATTCCCCCAACTCTCAATAAACCACATGTAAGCAAATCTCTGTCTCTGTCTCAGAATCTGTTTCCCATGAAATCCCATCCATGACAAACACTGAACCATTGGCATGACAACCACATGCATCACTGCTTATTTCTTCAGTGCTTTCCTCTGTATAGAAAACAGATAGAGCTACCACTTGTGATAAAAGCCAGTTTATTATAATCAGAAGCTGATTTATTGCCCAGATTCCCCTCAGGAATGAAGGATTGATTTCTCCAGCACCTGCTGCTGGAAAATAGCCCTTAGCTATCAGCCTTCTTTGGAAGGAAATGGCAAACCCTAAGTCACACCTCTTTTCAGGGGCAGCCCTCATTTAGTGACTGACCAACAAGGTGGTATAATGGCCAGGCTCCCTCACTCCTGCTTGGAAAAACTCTGAATGGGCCACCTCAGCTCTAACCTCTCTCGGGATTGGTTGAGGACTTTGGACTGTATTACAGCTCAATTACTCCTTCACTCCAATCCTGTGTCCTTTCCCTCCCAAGAGCATTTCTTAATAAATCTCTATGTGCTAATACCCTTTTTAGAATCTGTTTCTTAATGAAACCAACCTGCAATGTCCTTCTCTCCCGAGATAATTCTTACTCATCCTTTAAGAACTCAGCTCAGAGGTCCCCACCTCTGGAACCTCCCCCAGCCATGTCGCATTCCCAATCTCCTCTTCCATTCTCAGTTAGTTTTCCTTTGATGGTGTTTCCATAACATCCTGTATATGCTTCCATCACCTCTGTCATAGCAATTCTCACTCTCTTTTAATAGTCATCTACATATGTGGCTTTCTCCTGCACTGAACTGTATGCTTTTTGTGTTGCCCAACTGATCATCCCAGGGACAGAAGAAAGAGCACCAAAGTGTGCTTCAGAAATCTGAATTTTGGTCTGAGCTCTTCTAGTAGTTTTCTATATGTCCTTGCCTCTTCATGTGTCAATTTGCATAACAGTAAAATGGAAATGGTAATCTCCATCTTTTTTTCTTTACTCAGTGAGTTTAAAATCTATCATTATAGCTGTGGTTTGGGAAACCCCAGGCAGTACTCCCTCAGAGATGCTTAAATATACTCTCCACTTAACCATGTCCACCTATTCAGTCTTCCACAGGGTGAACGTAAGAGCTAGCTGCCTGCAAGGAGACCAGTGCAGAATAGGAGTTTTGGTTCTCAGGCCGGGAATATACTAATGTGAACATAGCCCCAGGAATTTCTGGGGCAGCCTCAATTTAATTTTTTAATCAAGATAATTATTTAACCATATTTAAATATAATTAACATTTATGCATTTATAGCACTTTGCATATGAGCAACTTCCTAAGCCATGAAAAGAAATCCTTTATTAGGGCATGTGACCCAGTTCAGGTTTGGGAAATCATTATTCTATATAAATTCTAAATCAAAGTAGTAAATTGGCATTGTGATTTATATAAATGCCTCTTATGAGTTTGATTAGCTGAATCAATTCCCCAGATTCCTGGTCATACCTATGAAATGAAATTTAGTTGCCAAAATTTGAAATCTGAGGCTCTGACTTCTTGGAGTGCTCAGCAGTGTAAAGCCACTTCCTAAGGCCCAGCTTAAAATAATAATATGTAGGGACAATTTATCGAGCTCCTAGGATGGGTAGGCTTTGTTCTGGCCACTTTGCAGTTATTGCTTTAATCTTAAAAATGACCCTACAGGGTACCTTGTCCCTTTTGTACAGATGAAGAAGCTGGGGATCACAGCCAGGGATGTGCTACAGCCTGCTTACATGGGTTATGAGAGCCAATAGTACCAGTCTCTTCCCAACTTTGCATTCTGCGACATCACATTGGTAGCTTGAAATCAGCTATGGTGGGAGTATTTGCATCACAGAAATTGGCACATGTTACAAATGAGGGCTTTATTTATATATTTTGGGATCTTTGTGTTTAGCCATTTACCAGAATAACACAGCTTACAGCTAATAACCAGGCCAAGACTCAAACTAAGGTCTGTCAGTCTCCAAATTCTTGCCTGTCCTCCTGTGTTGGAAGAAGCTAGAGGCTGAGTTTCAGAGCCCGGTACTTTCTTAAGACTCTGCAGCTCTCTGCCCAGAGTCCCCACTCCCTGCCCCACCTTCCCCAACTAAATTCTGCTAACTCAAAATAGGAAGCAAAGTTCAGCCAAGGGCCATCCCCTTTATTCAGTTTCAACTCTTGCCAAAAAAAAGTCAAAAGATGAAGCTGTTAGAGAAAAACCAAAAAAAGACAAAGACAACTTGGCTTCTGTTTGTTCAGTATCCGTGAATAAATGCAAAGGAGGAACTGAATAAACCATTAGTTCCCAAATGCTTTCAGGAGCCCCACTGGAGAGCTCTTTTACTTGGCAGTGAGGAGAAGGACCCCATGGAAGCCTTAATTGGCACCATCTAATTACAGGAGATGGAGTAAATCTGTGGTCCAAGTGTCCATCTGCTTCTCATTTCCAATCAGTTAGCACGCATTAAAAGTGAATACAACATAAACTCAGGACAACCTCAGTGATGCATTACATTTCCAAGACAAGAGTAAGGCGAGAAATGAACTTCAAGGAAAATAACAGCAGAATGGGCCAAGTGCCCTACTAAAATCTGGCATGGACTAGAGTCAGACATTGAGAAAATGGCCTTTAACAAATAATTTAGTTTTTAATGACCCTGGACTCCCCACTGGCTATGATGACATTATCAATCCTCAGGCAATGTTTAATAGCCTTGCATATTCATTTTGCACATATTTTATAGTCCTTTTCTTTCTATATTTGTTTCATTTTTGGTTTTTAATTGTTAATCCTTTGGGGACAGAGATAATATCTATGAAGCCTATATGGAATGGCTGTATTTACCCAATGCCTGTACTCCTGTTTTATCTAGAAAGTAAATAACATGCTTTTGATTTTACAGGCTCATAGGTAGAAAAGACTTGCCCTATCTCAGATGATACTTTGGACTTTGGACTTTTGAGTTAATGCTGAAATGAGTTAAGACTTTGGGGGACTGTTGGCAAGGCTTGATTGGTTTTGAAGTGTGAGCGCATGAGATTTGGGAAGAGTCAGGGGCAGAATAATACGGTTTGGCTCTGTGTCCCCACCCAAATCTCATCTTGAATTGTACTCCCATAATTCCCACTTTTGTAGGAGGGACCTGGTGGGAAGTAATTGAATCAGGGGGGTGGTTTCTCCCCTACTATTCTCGTGGCAGTGAATATGTCTCATAAGATCTGATAGTTTGAGAAGGGAAAACCTATTTTGCTTGGTTCTCATTCTCTCTCTTGCCACTGCCATGTAAGAAGTGCCTTTCACCTTCCGCCATGATTGTGAAGCCTCCCTAGCCATGTGGAACTGTAAGTCCATTAAACCTCTTTTTCTTCCCAGTCTCAGGTATGTCTTTATCAGCAACGTGTAAATGAACTAATACAACTAATATCAAAAAATTAAAAGATAAGAAGTGTTGGCAAGGAAGTGGAGAAAAAAAGAACACTTACACACTGCTGCTGGGAATATGAATTAGTGTAGCCACTATGGAAAACAGTGTGGCGGTTCCTCAAAAAGTTAAAACTAGAACTACCATATGATCCAGCAATTCCACTACTGGGTATATATTCAAAGGAAATTAAATTAGTATGTCAAACATATATTTGCACTTTTATGTTTATTCTAGCATTATTCACAATAGCCAAGATATGGAATCAACCTAAATGTCCATCAGTGGATTAATGGATAAAGAAAATGTAGTATATATACAAAATGAAATATTATTCAGTCATAGATAAAATCCTGTTATTTGTGGCAACATGGATAAACCTGGAGAATATTATGTTAAGTGAAATAAGCCCAGCACAGAGAGACAAATACCACATGATCTCACTCATATATGGAGGCTACAAAGTTGTTCTCATAGAAGTAGAGAGCAGAATCATGGTTACCAGAGGATGGGGAGGGTAGGGGGAAAAGGGGGATTGTTTCAGATTGGTCAATGGGTACAAAGCTACAGTTAGATAAGAAGAATACGTTTGGGTGCTCTATTGTATAGTAGGATGATTAGAGTTAATAATAATACATTGTATATTTCAAAATTGCTAGAAGAGAGGTTTTTGAATGTCCTCTTCACAAGGCAACGATAAATGTTTAAAGTGATGGATATACTTATTACCCTGACTTGATAATTACACAATTTATACATGTATTGAAACATCATGTTGTACCCCATTAGTATGTGCGATGATTTTGTATCAATCATAAATTTAAAAAATGAAAAAAAAATTGAAGGGATTGCACTAAAGCACCAGAAGGTCTAACCTTCTATAGTTCTAAGAAAAACTGCAGGAGAGAGCCAGGATGTGGGAGCTGTCCTTCCCAGTGGGTCTCAGGGACACATTTTTGATGGTGGTGGTGGGAAACAGAACCACTACTTATGTCAAGAGACTTTAAGCCAATTAAAACTAAGCTCCTTTTAAAATTTTTTCGAGTACTAAGGAGATTTTTAGGTGGTCTAGCTCTCTTGGAATACAAACTACAAACTATTTTCTTTGGCTGCTCTTTACCTCTTATAAGTCAATGAGAGGATTAATGGTAAAAGGCTTTATTTCTGATCTTTGGAGGACAAGGGAAAGCTAAACAGGAGAACTAGATCAATATAGCATTGTTTCTTCTCAAAAGGACTTAGAATCATTGGGCATTAAATATGGGAGCCCTCAGCATCACCTGGGCCAAGTTTCATAGTTTATAGTCAGAAGTACTAAGGGTCACTCAAACCACTAGTTAGAGGGAGCATAGGGTTTAGAATCCAGCTGCTTTTTTGCAGGATTCTAAACTCTTCTGTGTAGAAAGAGGAGTACATTCTTGGGTCTGTGAAAACTAAAATTTGAAATACCACTTCTGCTTTTAGGGTAAACAACTTTGGGAGTATCTGCCTTGCTCAAGAATTAATTCTTCTCCCCTTTTCCCACAGAGTTGCAGTATGGCACTGTGGTGAGAAGTGGGACAACCATCTTAGCCAACCTGATGATGAGCTCCCCTGGGGATTGGGAATCAGGACTAAGTAATTCCAGCTTAGCCGGGGCTTCTCTCTAACCCTACAGCTATGCTAGGGCTATCTTCCATCAGCTGTGTGGGCTAACTGATCCAGAAGGATGGTCTTCAGGAGAATAAGAGATGGGAGATGGAAAGGGAGCACTCTGTGGCTTCAGGGACTTTCCATAACCTGGGCCAGTCCAGCTGTCCTGCCCAGTTCTGGGCCTGACCCACTGGGCAGGACAGCTCCCACCATCTTGGCTCTGCTACCTTCCATCTCTAGAGTCTATGACACACCTGCATGTTAATATGTAGCACCCTCCTACTCTCCAGCCCCTTAAGCTAGTTTGAATTGAATTGTTGCTGTTACATGAAACTAACAATTTTAACTAACATGGTTCCTTCTTATCTTAGAAGAGTCATCTTCAGGACTTGAACACATTTATTTCCACTTACTTTAATGGATGCTCTATCATATTCTTTTCAACTCTTTGAGAAGGCGTTCTTCTCTCCCATCCAATCAGTTGCTAAGTCAGGACAGTTTTCTTTCATAGAGACTCTCAAATCTATCATTCTTATCCATATCTAATGCCATTAAATTTTGGACCTTATTTCTTCATGTTGGTCATTTGCAATAATCTCCCAATTGGTTGGCTTGACTCTCATCTCTCATTTTTCATCCATTATCCCTTCAAATCTAATCCTAAAGCTTGCCTTGATCATGCCCTGCCTAAGTACTAAACTGTCTTTAGAATTCTGCCTGCCACAAGCAGGGCTATGTACGGGATTACTCACCTAAGCAACGTGGAAGAGATCAGAGGTACAAATTCAGGCATGTGTAGTGTGATGGACTGATGCACGGTCTGTGACTTGAGTTCAAGGCAGCAGCAGGGCCAAAGCTGAAGACAACAAGGAGACTTCTGCTGTGTATGTTTATGGGGTGGGAAAAGCAGTGTGAGAAAGGAGAGTAGTGAGTGGGGACCATGCCACAGGGGAAGGTGGTGGTGAGTGGTTTGTTACTGTACCAGCCTTAGGAACAAAGGGCCAGATGTGTCTAGAAAGAATATTTCCTTTCTTGGAGCAGCCAGAGCTCCCAGTCACTTTCCCACCCCAAATACTCAGGAGCTTCCCCTTTCGCTTCAGTGTGGCATTTAAAGCCTTACTTTTACAGACTCACACTTACATTCCAGGCTTATTATTATTATTATTATTTTACAAATCCTTCTGATGCATCTTCTGCTAAAGTTTTAGTAGAACTGGTATTTAGTGAAATCGGTACTATAGTGAAAAGATTGACGCCAGCCAATTGTTTCCAAAGAAGTGTCAGGGATGGTGCTGTCACCTTGGTGAGTGTTCAGTGATCTGGGGTCTGTCTGCAGTCTTCAGGCTTGGAAATTTGATTTTGTCAGCAGGTCAAATGCAGGGCCCCTTCCTGGGGTAGTGCTCTAATGGATGCTAATATTTTCTGTCTGTGTTTTCTTTGCTGAATGGTCTGATCTTTGTCTTCTCCACTTGCTGATCTCTGTTTACTGTGGGCTTTCCAGCCTCTTAACTTTGGCTCAGAAAGTACTCCTTCCTGAGCCCTCAGCAGTTCTATACTTTTCCAATAGTTGAAGCAGAACCAGCTACATAATTTGTGGAATTCAGTGCAAAATGACGGGCTCTTGTTTAAACACGTTTAATTATTTCAAGATGGTGACTGCAGAGTATGAAAGGGAACATGGGGTCCTGGGTCACTGCACTGGTTAATGCTCATAAAGCCAGCCCTCCTTTGTAAGATCTCTCCATTTCTCCCCATTCTCACTCCTTTTCACATCCACATAGTGAATTCTCAAAAATTGATTTTGAATGACAACGAAGGATATCAGATATACTGAAATGATACGGAGCTCTTAAAGGCTCTCTAAATCCATACACATTGCATTAAGAGAAAGCCTTTGGATTAATGCACGTTATAAAAATGATAACAGGAGTGTATGGCACTTTAAGTAGAAAACGACAATGGAATATTGGAAGAGTCATCCAGTCTTTGAAATAAATACCGATGGGCCAGAATCATGGAAGTAGTGAATACTAGGGAAGATGAGGGACCCCTTTTTGGATGTGCAAGAAGGAAAGAGGACAGAGTGAAAATATTAGACAAAAACAAAAACAAACCCTCCACCTAGCAAACATTAAGGCTTTTAGACTTTGGAGATCTGCTTTTTCTAAGGGTGCCAATGGTATTCCTGAAAGCACTTTGTGGGAGGGGGTGGGCACATTGGGGCTTGGGGGGAAGCGCAGGACAGGGGTGGGATAGGGGAATGGTCTCTCAAAAAACAACAATCTAATGAGCTTCAGTAATTAGCAAGGCTGCATTCTGCCTTCCCATCCTGGCCTGACAGGACAGTGAGAGTTATGAAACGGCTGCCAGCAGATGAATGGGGTTGCCTCCGCCATCTGTCTTCCAAATGATCCTGTAGGTACAGCTATTATTTCAGTCAGACACTGGCAGGTGGGCAATTGTTCACAGGCTCTGTGAAGAATAGCTGTTGCCAAGGGTTTGGTGAGTGTTACAACTTCCCACAGACCCGTTTTCGGCTTGTCTGAGACATTAAAACATGGAGGCGGCACAGGGTCTGTGACTGACCAGGATTCCTTCGTGGTCTTTTCCCCTCATGTATGCCACTCCGTGCTTCTTCCCACTCTTCCCTCCTCCCTCCAACCCCCCACCCCTCTCCTTCACGCTGTACCCTTTCTCACTCCTCCTCGTGCCCCTCACCTCAGGCTTCCCTCCTCATCAGTTGTTCCTCTTTTCTCTTTTTTCTTCTTCCTCTCACAAAACTACACAAATATCTTATGAGAAAAGTGAGGAGGAAGGGAAAGGAAAGGGAGTGTTGAGGTAGGTTGTGCAAAGCAAAGGGAAACTAGACTAAAATCACCTGCAGGCTCAACTAGAGGGCGGCCCGGGAGTCACCAGTGGTATCATCCCAGGGAAGGAGAGATATAAGGAGGAATTAAAAAAGGAAAAAGAAAAGAGATGCCCAAAAAAGACACCCAGCATTAAATGTTGTATTAATCCTGGTTAATAAGTTGGTCAGAAGATAAGAAAAAACAGCTGGAAGAGGGAGTCTCGTTTAAATCTCCCAAAGGTAGGTGTGAACTTGAGCATATTAAATAGCTTTCAATAATTCGATGTGCTCATTTTGTCAGCATTTTAATTCTCATCCCTTTATGGACCAATTTGAGTGACATAACTCAGCCCACACCTGGTTTGACGTGACAGATAGATTCGAAGCACCACACATTGTTCTCACCTTTACACTGCTAAGAAACTTACTAGAACAGATTCAGAGTTGAGTGAGTTGTGCTCCACTCTAACCTTCCACCCAGGGCATGACATGTCTTTGAAAGGACAGCACTTTGAGAATCAAGTTCAGGGGTAGAATCAACGATTGCTCTTCAAGCCTGGTAAATATGACAAGATATCTAGCACTGTCTTTTCTTTTCTCTTCAAGCCTGCTTATATTCTTATATTCTTTCTCTTAAACTCTTCCTCTTCTTTTCTTCTCCAACCCTCTACCCACTACCACCATCCTGCTCATAAGAATGGCTTAGAAACCAAACCAAACAAAACCAATCTGAAGCAAACCAAAGGCCTTCTCCCCAGCTGCTTTAGTTGTAGGAGGTGTTGTGTATTAAAACCGCTGTATCTCATTAGATAATGTAATTTAAATTTCCTCATGTCAACTTGCCAGTAAGAGAATCTAAATACTGTATGCCAATGCTATGGTTTAAATGTGTTCCCCAAAATTCATGTGTTGAAAACAACTCCAAAGGCAGCAGTGTTGGGAGGTGGGGCCTAATGGCAGAGCCCTCATGAATGGATTAATGCTGTTAGCCGGGGAGTGGATATTTTACAGTGGGAGTGGTTTTGTAATAAAAGTGAATTTGGCTCCCTCTTCCTCTCTCGCCTTCTCTTCTTTTTTCTCCCCTCCATTCACTTGTCCTCCCTTCTCGTCCCTTCTCTTCTCCTCTCCTCACCTCCCCTCACCACCTCCTTCCCCGCTCATGTTTTCTTGCCTTTCCACTCTTCTGCAATAGAATGATGCAGCCAGATGTGGCGCCTCAGTCTTAGACTTCCCAGCCTCCAGAAACATGAGCCAAATTAATTTCTGTTCATTGTAAATTACTCAGTCTCAGCTATTCTCTTATGGCAACAAAAAACAGACTAAGACAGTCAAGTATTATTGAAATGTCTGTTTTACTTACAATCTACTGAAAGTGTTTTGTACTGCGATTTCAGTGGCACAAAAACTTGGGGATCATTTTTGATACTGGATTGAAATTCAAACTCAAAGCTCTTCCTAACAGTGCATGGTGAATCTAGTGGCTTCCTGTCTAACACCCTATCAGAGTGACCATGTTGTTTACCATGAAGCCAGGCACTTTTGAGAATGAAAGGAATCACTATTCATGATTGCACCAAGACAATTGATATAAACCTGAACTGTCCTATACAAACATGATGCACAGTCCCATGCCTATTGTGGAAAGGCTAAATATGAGGAGCAGCATTTTCTTGCAGTCAAGCATGGGTCCATTCTCTGAATGCCTAAAGTCCTAGCTGAAGTTGTCACTCATTTGGAATTTAGCATAGTTTGCCTTAAAATTTTATTTTTCTTTATATGAATATATCCTTGAGATTGAGGTCTGAATTCACATTTCCATTTCCAGGACAGATCCATAAATCCTCAGTACATGTTTGTTGATCATGACCAAGGTTGCCCTAAGAGGAAGTATTGGTTCTCCCTGGTTTTGAGGGGATACCACTACCCCGCAGATTATGAGCAAGTTCTCCTGAATGCTTACACACTTTGCCTTGAGGGTAAAGGAATGTATTGCTTTCCTATTGCTTTTGTAACAGGTTAGTACAAACTTAGTGGATTAAACCAACAATTTATTATCTGATAGTTCTGGACATCAGACGTACTAAAACTAAGGTGTCAGTAAGGCCCTGTTCCTCTGGAAGCTCTAGGGAAGAATCTATTTTCTTGCCTTTTCTACCTCCAAGAGGGCATTTACATTCCTTGACTTGTGGCCCCTTCCTCTCATCTTCAAGGCATCTTTCTCTGCTTTCATCATCACATCAACTTTTTCTGACTCTAACCCTCCTATTTCCCTCGTATAAGGATCTTTGTGATTAGATTGGGCCCACCTAGATAATCCAGGTCTTTGTGATTACATTGGATCCACCTAGATAATCTTCTTCTTAAGGTCTGTTACCTTGAAGACGTCTGCAAAGTCTCTTTTGCCATGTAAGGTAACATATTCACAGGTTCCAGGGATTAGGATGTGGACACTTTTGGGGGCACATTAATCAGCTTACCACAAGGACCCTCTCAAACCAGACTTTTAGTTTATCTTAGTACTCCATTATCTGAAGGTCACAGCCATTGACAGTGTTTCTCATGGTTCTGTTTCCAGTCCAGGTGAACAAAAAAAATTGCTTGTACTAAACTGAAAGTGGTCTTAGTGTCTTTCTAAGGTAGCCAGGGGAGTGAAGGTCTCTGGTGCATGAATAGGTTATCAAAAGTACCATCAAGTCAGTTAAAGAAGAAAACATAAATTATTCCCAAGTGACTTAGACCTTCACCTGCTGTGGCTGCGTACTTCCTCTCAAGGTCTCTTCTGGCTCTTGGTTTGCACACCTTGGGGCAATTACATGCATGATCTACATACATACTTCTCCTGAGAAGAGTCTAGGAGGAAACCTTCAGCATACAATTGAGATATCTGGAATGTAAGAGTTCATTGCTGGTACCCTTTCCCAGGTCCAAGTCTTCTTCTAAAGGACCAGGTGTGCTCCTCCCATTCTCTACCGCGGGTTCTCCCCAGCTGCACCCCACCTGACAGTAAGGAGGCACTAGCTGTGCTGCTGGCATCTGCAAAAAAAAAAAAAAAAAAGAAGAAAGAAAAAAAATCTGCCATACTTCTATCAGCCACTGCCACACAAAGTTTCATTGGTCAAAACGGTTGGTGTCATTTCTGTCTTAGGCTCTCACTCACACCATGTAATGGCCTTCTGTTCCAGGGAGGTTACGCTTTCACCTTCTTTCTTCTTCATGACCAGTTAAGGGTTTATAGTATTCTTTGCAAGATATGCATTGGCATAAGTCATAGATGCCTATATTTTCAATCATCTTTTAAATTTATTTTATTCCGAAAATGAAGACTTCAGCTTTCTCATAGCCAAACATACATATAACCACCATGATCAAGTTAACATGCATTGAATGCCTGCAGTGTGCAAACCACCATGTTAATGCTCTATATGTACTGTCCCATTGAATCCTTACAACAGCCCTATGAAATAAGTATTACTTTCTAATGTTATGAATGAGGAAACTAATGTTTGGAGAAATGTCTTGTCTAACATGTGCATGCACAGACACACACACACACACTTCTCAGTAGAGTTTAGGCTCAAGAGAAAAAATATCAAAATTAATATATAAATAGAAGCAGTAAAATTATGTTAAAGAGAAAAATATTTAAAGTTGATCTTTTCTTGGGTTGGGGGTATCTTAGTTCACTTAGTATTGTTGTAACAGAACACTTGAGGCTGGGTAATTTATAAAGAAAAGAGTTTTATTTGGTGTATGATTGTGCAGGCTGGAAGGTTCGAGATTGGGCAGCTGCATGTGGTGAGGGCCTCAGGCTGTTTCTGCTAGTGGTGGAAAGTGAAAGGGGAGTGGGCATGTGCAAAATGATTGCATGGTGACAGAGGAAGAGAGAGAGAAAAACAGAGGAAGCCAGACTCTTTAACAAGCCACTCTCACAGGAACTAATCCACTTGAGAGCAAAAGCTCACTCACCCCTGCAGGAGGACGTTAATCTATTCATAAGGAATCCACCCCCGTGATCCAAGCACCTCCCTCTAGGCCTCATCTCCCAACACCACCATGTTGAGGATCAAATTTCAACATAAGTTTTGGCAGGAACAAGCTGCATCCAACCCAACAAAGCAGGACGGAAGAACTGATAAACCGTGATGGTAGCAGGTTGCCATCCATGCATTCATTGAATCAATGAACACCTATTTATCGGTCTACTAATGTAGACCTTAGATACACAGACATAATTGAGATTTAGTCTTAGTTCTCTACGAGCCACCTGTTTAGTAAGAAGACAGATCTCATCTGTGATATACAGCAGAATGTTCTAGAGTGCCAAGAAAGGCAATGAGCATGAACAGGAAGAAGTAAGTGATTACTTCAGCCTGGCAGAAAATCAGGGAGAATTTTGTGGGAAGAAGATGTACTGAGTGGAGCCCTGCAAGATAGGTAGAATTTGAATGAGTCTGTCGGGGAAAGCGCCCCAGGCCCAGCAGCTAGTGTGAGTCAAGACACCGAGGTAGGAAAAGTGGTGGCCTCTCAGAGCAGATTTGTTTTTATTTATTTATTTATTGAGACACGGTCTCATTCTGTCACCCAGGCTGGAGTGCAGTGGTGCCATCTCAGCTCACTGCAACCTCCACCTCCTGGGTTCAAGTGATCTTCCTACCTCAGCCTCTCGAGTAGCTGGGACCACAGACGCATGTCACCACACCTGGCTAATTTTGTATTTTTGTAGAGATGAGGTCTCGCTTTTGTAGAGATGAGACTACTCAGGCTAGTCTGAAATTCCTGGGCTCAAGTGATCCTCCTGCTTCTGCTTCCCAAAGTGCTGGGATTACATGTTTGGGCCCCTGCACCTGGCTTCTGAGAGCAGATTTATGACTGAGCTATCAGGTGTGAAAGTGAGGAGTGAGTTGGGAAGGTGGCTGGGGTTAGATCGTGTAGGAATTTGCATGTTAGACTGTGGAATTCACATTTTATTTTGTAGATAATGAGAATGCCCTGAAGGTTTTTGAGCAAGAAAGTGACATAAATGAGGGCTTCCAAAAAGGCAGCCAAAGGACTAGATGTTAACTACTGATGTGTTTTGTTTAGTTAAGATGGTATGTTTCACATAAAAAATGTCTATCTTGGCTTCTCTTTTAAAAAGTTGGAGGATCTGGTGGCACTGGCCTGCTTCCTTATTGCCACCCACAATGTCTGAAACGGAGTAGCAGCATGTCCTTTTAGGACACACACATGCAATTTCAGTTTGCCACAGTCTATGCCATTCCTAATTGCCTTCTACAAACCTATTTTATTTCATTTTATACCCTGTTTGGGCTCTGTTGGGATAAAATTTGTGAGCTCTGACATAAATTATCAGACTGTTTTTCTGAAGTTGGACCTGATATACTTGCAGGCAGGTTTGCATAGGGGAGGCGGGAGAATGCTATTGAAATCTCTAATCTCTGGTGCAGTTCTCATTTTAGTTACATTGTATTCCCACCACAGTAGAAAATAGCAATATTCAGACTGGGATGAATGACTTTAGTATCCCTCTTTCCAGGGAATATTCTCACAAGAATACATGCAAAACACATTGCTTACAGTAGATTATTGATAAAAGTTGAGCAACTTGAGTAGTTCAGCTAAACATTGGTGAGATTAGAGTTAGATCGGTCACCATGATGAAAAGACACATGTAGAAAAGGCTGTAGCTAAGAAATAGAATTGACAGGCTTGCAACTACTCGAGTGGTTGATATTAATGAAAGAAATAACTCTCCTAATGACTTTATAACAAAATTTTAGCCCTACACAATCTCATGAGATATGTGCTACTATTCCCACTTTATAGTTGAGGCAAGGGAGAGAGCTTAGGTTTAAGCTGATGCAGTATGTTAAGAGACGGAAAATAGTCCTGTGACAAGAGAAAATGAATTCAGATTTGAACATATTGAGCTATATGGAAATTTCCAGCAGGAAAGTCAGAAATTCAGTTCTGGAGTTCAGGAGAAAGGTCAAGGCCAGAGCAGTATTGTTATATAAAAGTTAAAAACTCAGTTTGTGGAATAAATTCATTGACTTGGAAAAAGTATATAAAAACAGAAGAGGGGGCAGGATGGAATTATTGGGAAAATGTGCTCTTAGGGATTGGGAAGAAGGCAAGACACAGAGCTAGAGTTTAGAAGCTTCTGGTGCTACTGCAGGGAACTGGCCACTGGATGTTTGACTGGGACATCCCAAGAGAACAGTCACAGCAGTGTAATTGGGAAGGACACCAACTTGTAAGGGCTCGGGAGTCAGGACCATTCTATCGTGGTGTTTTTTTGTGCAGAGTTGATGAGAAGATGGTATGTTAAAGATTTCACAATGGAGGAGACAAGCATAGACCAAAGGCACAAGGAAAGGGGGGCTTTTGTTGATGGAACAAGGTACTGGAAGCAGCAGGAGGAGAAGGGGATGAAAGGTTCTAGAAGAGGAGTCCTCCTCACTGTGGACGGCTATTACAGTTGGGCATGTAGAGATCCAAAATAACTTAGACAAGGAAGGAGGGGAAAGTGAAATTATTTTGAGTGGCATAGTCCTGATCTTAGCAAAGTAGAAAATTACATCGTTTGCCAAAAGTAAGGGATTTGCCAAAAGATGCTCGGGAGAATGGTAAAGGTCTGGCGCAGGGGCTACACCAAGTTGACTGAGCATCTACTGAGATGGTATATCAGGCAGGGCCCAGGCAGGACAAGGAAACCATGCCAGTTGTGTAAACAGGAAGATTTTAATATAAGGAATTGTAAATTAGTAAAAAGTAGTTAACCTTTAAGGAGCCCAGAAGCAGCAGGCGCAATGTTCACAGAGTCCAGGTCCAGCATAACACAGCAGGGCAAAGAAGGGCAGATCTGAAACTGGGAATGGTAAACTGAGAACCGGCATAAATGAATAAAAAGGTCACCCAATACCGGAAGTAACTTTGCAGCTTAGAAATCCATTATTTCTTCTTTTTTCCCAGATTTAGAATCCCAGAGAAAAGGAAGGCCCTGAAAAGTCAGGGAAGATGTATGGCTGCAGAAGTTGAATGGGAGCAGCAGAAGAACCTGCTGATAACAGATAAGAAACAGGACAAGAAGAAGCAGGTTTGTTTATTTATTTATTTGTCTTGGGGAATTAAGTGCCCTCTGATGGCTGCTTTCTGCCTTCCAGAGGCTGGAGAAACTTAGCGGCGGGAGAGGCTGGCGGCTGGAGACCTGCAGAGTGCAGACCCGGAAAGGGGCTGAGTCAGGAGGGCAGGCACAGGCAATTCGAAGCCTGAAAAATGTGATGGCTTCAAATATTTTGCCTTCTAAAATGTGGTCTCAATTCATCCTCCCATTCAATAGCATTTGATTGTCAAGTGTAATCAAGCTTTTGAAAGCTACCTTTTACAAAATTTGCATTTCTCTATGAGTGAGGCTGAATATCGTTTCATATGTTTAGTTACTTGGGTTTTTTTTTTTTTTTTTTCTGTAACTCCCATTTGTGCCCCTTCTGCATGGGGGCTTTAGCATAGGGCAGGTTTTTTCATTTAGAAAGAATCTATTATGTGCCTGATAAACCTTAGCAGCCTGGTGAACAAAATGGACATGGTTCCTGGCCTCTCAGAGCTGAATGTATCACGGGCAAGACAATAAAGAAGTAGACAAATGTACAAACACACATTTCCTTAGGTTCTGTGGAAAGAAAGAAGGGCAGGTCATGAGAAGGGAAAGCCATGAGGTCTACTTTAGATGTGGTGGTCAGGGGAAGCCTTTCTGAGGAGACATTTAAGTGGAGACGTGATAGTCCAGAAATGATCAGCCGTGTGAAGAGTCAGGGAAAGAGTCTTCCTCACACAGTCACAGCTGTGTGAAGGTTTTCAGGTGTGAAAGTCTCGCATGTTTGGAGAACTGAAAGATGGCCAGGCCAGGTAAGGCCTAGTGGGTAATGGGATGGTGTTTGTTTACGGTCCTGATTGAACTCAGGGGCGTGTGAGGGGCATGGATATCTCTCTCTAGGCCTAAGCAAACCTGAGAACTATAATTTAAGGCTTTTTTTTTTCTAAAGAAAACCCCACGATAAAAAATTAGGCGAGCTGGGCGCTGTGGATCATGCCTGTAATCCCAGCACTTTAGGAGGCCAAGGAGGGCAGATCACTTGAGGCCAGGAGTTTGAGACCAGCCTGGCCATCATGATGAAACCCTGTCTCTACTAAAAATACAAAAATAAGCTGGGCGTGGCAGCGGGTGCCTGTAATCCCAGCTACTAGGGAGACTGAGGCAGGATAATCGCTTGAACCCGGGAAGCAGAGGTTGCAGTGAGCTGAGATTGCGCCGTTGCACTCCAGCCTGGGTAAAAGAGTAAGACTCTGTCTCAAATAAATAAATAAATAAATAAATAAATAAATCAATCAATCAATGAATGAAAATTTAGGCCAACGTCTCTTGTGGGTTTGCTTATGGAATTAAGGTCTGTGGGAAGCGCTAGAAGCCGTCATCTGTTGACAGACTGTTGGATGGGTTTGAATGGCTTCCAAAGTAGATTCAGCACTTTCTCCTCCTTCCCCTTTCCTGCCGCTCATGCTTTGTAAGGATAATGTTCGTTAGAGCTCCCATCTACCCCTCATGTGGAAACCTCAGCCTCTTTCTGCCTTCCTTCCCCTCATCCCACCTCAGCAGAGAGGAATTGAACAAAGAGAGAAGCAGGACAGGGAACTGCAGGAAGCCTGGCTGGGGCGGGGGGCCACTGGTTCGCACTCCTTCCACCTGTGGTGTCCACATCCAGCAGATTGGGCGGGTGGTAGGTGCACAAGGGCAACCTTACGTAGGGAGGGTGGCTCAGCCACCATGGAGGGTCATGGGGGAGCCAGAGGGCAGAAACATGAAGTAGACGGCTTAGACCAGCTCAGCATTAGACTGAGGGGAGACAGTTACGCCTTCTTCCCGTCCTTCCTTCTGCTGTTTCCACAGGGAAAGTGAGGCCAGGCTGGGCAACCCCACAGGGCAGCAGAGAGCTGGCAGCTGGGTCTTCCCTAGTCAGGATGACAGTGCTGCTCTCAGGGAGTGGTGTTGAGGTGAGCCGAGTTTTACCTGAAAGGATGGCCTTGGATCGCATCTTTCCATGCGTATCCTGTCTCCCTGGGATAACTGAGTCACCATTACTTCCACTTTTACCCAGTGAATTCCCAAAACTTTGGCCATTGCTGTGGCCCCTCTATGTGACTCTTACATTAGGTGACCAGATGTAAGGACCTGAGTGTGCCTCACTTCAGTCCCCATGCTGGGGGAGAGGATGTCCACTCTCCCTGGCTGCTTTCTAAAATTTTGTTGTTTTTGATAACTGTTCCCAAGTGGGTAGAGATCAGTTTCTCCAACAGTATGTCAGACTCTGAAGAGTTGTCAGTGGCCCTGGGGTGGACTGTGTACAGGCTGACAGTCTGGCACCACACTCTCCCTCAACCCCTGGAATGCTCTGAATCTCCCCCTCCCCGGGGTGGTCTCCAGTCCAGCTGTCTCTTTCCCCGAGCAGGTTGGAACTGTCTTCTACTATTGCCTTTGTTCTACTTCCCATGCTGGCAAATAGAGTCCAAGTGTCATGAGGTTTTTTCCTTTGAGGGGGAGAAGGAAGTTATGATACCATCTAGTACTTCAGGGATGAGCTTGTAGGGGAAGGGGTGGTGGTAGATAAGGGAATCCTCTAAATGTTGAGTGGGACCAGTGAAAGATGCAGGTTTTAGTGAGTAATACACACCTCCTCAGCACTTTGGACTTCCCAGAGCTCTTTCACATTCCACAACCCACTTCACTCACCAGGCCTCTGAGGCAGGCAGGGTGGGGACGATTTTCCTGTGCAACACAAAGATCCAAATACAGATTAAACTGTATCATTTGCTTAAGAACACAAAGCTAGTGACAAAGCCAGGAGGCTCTCTGCTAGAAAGGATCCTAGCTAATTTACTTTTACAAAAAGAAATTTGCAAACTGGCTGCAATGGCTCATGCCTATAATCCCAGCACTTTGGGATGGGAAGCAGGAGGATCACTTGAGGCCAGGCAGGAGCGTAATGCACAGTGCAATATATAGAGGAGTAGAGTTTGAGATTTTGGTTGGGGCAGCTCCACTGTTATAAGTAGCATGATCCCCCTTGCTTGGACTGTCCTTTACAAATGACCTAATAATAATGTTGGTCATTAATAGCATCATGGCAAATATGGGAGAACATGGTATGCTGACAACATAGTATTTCTGAGACCTTCCTTTTAGCTGAACGCCTCAAGATGCTTCCAGAAAAGGTACGTTATTACAAATTTACACATTAGTGAGATGTTAGTTACTTCCTTTTTTCTCTTAGAGCTATTTTCATTCTAGACCCAGGTTCAGTTTGTGGAGTAAATGGTTCTCTTTAAATTACTGTCAACTTAAGTCATTTGGGAGTGGCTTATTTTTGAGAAAGGCCTTCCCAGCATCTTTGGAATCACACCAATATATCTGTATAACAACCTTAAACATTGTTTTTCAAGGGGAGTATGAATTATTGTCCAAAGGACATGTCACATCATCTCCCAGATCATAAAACCATTCATTTCCATCCCCATAGTTGATGACAGACATGGAGGCCAATTTGTCTCACTTCTCTCTTTTGCGAATTTAGCCTTTTTGGAATTTTTTCCAGAAAGTGCCCAACACTGGGCGCCTGTAGTCCAGGAGTCTCTCCTTTATCCCAGAGCTGGTATCTATGGAATGTCAAGGGGTCTTCATCCCTGGGCCATAAAAATGAGTGCATCTCGGTACAATAATGTCTGCCCCGTGTGCCCTGTGCTTACGTGAATTTAAGGAGGGTTTGTCTGTTCTACCAGCCAGCAGCACAGTGCGGCAGGCATCCAGGCCTGTAAAGTTTACTGCTTTGTTCTGGGTCCGTTACAGGGAAGTAGCCCACTGCCAAGCTGACATACATGGAGCCCTTATGTGGCAGGCACGGGGCTAAAGGTTTTACATTCATTATTTCATCAGTCCTTACAATGATCACCCCCATTTGAAAGAAAACAGGCACAGAGAGAGTCAGTAACGTTCTCAAGGCCTCACACGTGGTAAAATTGGAGCTGGATTTCACAGCAGGGCAGGTGAACCTAGGTCTTCATCCTAAATACAATGCAATGCTGCCTCCAGGAAATCACCGCAAGGGGGCTCCCTGTCCTCGTCCATGCCTGTTAAAAGGAGCTGTGTTTTATTTTTCCACTCCAGGAGGTGCCAGGTAGGGCACAATTCATACATTCTTATTTTCCTTCTGTTCAAATGCCAAGGCTCCTTCAGTATTGGAAAGTTTCGGACCAATGTAAATGTGTTTGCCAGTATTAGTCACTGTATCTCCAGGTCTAAAAACACAAAACATCCCCTGAAAGAAGCCACTGTACTATGAATAAAATGACATGTTTAATAGTAGAAACCGGATTTACCTTCCTGGGGCAGTAAAACAAAGGAATTGTTTTAAGGAAAGCTAACAGAACGCTTGAGGCTTCAATCACTAAGGATGCAGTGTTACAATTAAGGGATTTTCTTCAGATACTATGGATCATCCAAGCCATGTTTTAAATCGCAGGGTTAAGCTCAGAGAACCCAAGGGCTCATTTTTCTTCTTTCCATGTCATCTGACAAAGTGGCAAAGCAATTGTGATACAATGTTGTGGGACAAAGGCTCCATATCTAAGGTTGACAAGTGACACCTGGGACTTGCAGGGCTAGAAATTCCTGTCCAGCTCTTGACACATATAAGTCTGGATGTGTGATGAGGCCGGGAGCCATAGAAACAGGCATCCTTGGGTTGGCTGAGTATGCAAAAGACAGGAAAATAATGTACAAAAATATCTTCACTTTTTCTGAGAAAATCAGTAGCATTTAAAACGTCTAACAGACAAAATGTGAGAGCAATAATAATACACATCGGCAAACAACTCAGCATCACGTAGGTCTGTCCATTAGTCCCTGTGTGCTGAAGGAGGCAAGGCAGCTTTGCCTCATCGAACTATGTCCATCAGTGGCCAGTGAGATGGACCACGGGAGCAGACACTGTTATGCCCAGGGTCATGACTTATGAGCAGAAAGAAGAAAATGTAGCAGAAAACTTTAGGGGAGGGAGAGAGATGGGAAGTGAAAGTACAACTCTGGAAATCCTGATGAGGATTCCAGATGAGGCTCAAGGGAGAATTCCAGATGAGGCTCAAGGGAGAATTCCAGATGAGGCTCAAGGAAGGTTCCAGATGAGGCTCAAGGAAGGTTCCAGATGAGGCTCAAGGGAGAAAATAAAATGGGGGTTAAGGCAGGTTACACTATAGTAGTAATAGAGCTTAAATGCACATTATATTTAATTTTCTTGACAGCTTTTTTTTTTGAGACAAGATCTTGCTCTGTCACCCAGGCTGGAGTGTAGTGGCACAATCACGGCTCACTGCAGCCTCAACATCCCAGGCTCAAGTGATCCTCCCACCTCAGCCTCCTCAGTAGCTGGGACTACAGGTGTGCACCACCAGGCTTGGCTATTTTTTGTAGAGATGGGGTTTCACCATGTTGCCCAAGCTGGTCTCGAACTCTTGGACTCAAGTGTTCTGTCCACCTCAGCCTCTCAAAGTGCTGGGATTACGTGCATGAGCCTGGCCCTCGACAGCTTTAATTTGCTGGTTTAAAATCTAGTAAATATCTGGGGAAGCCAGGTGCCCGGTCATCCCAGACCTGCTGGAATTTTTTTTTTTTCTTTAGAAAACACAACATGACCAAGGACATCAAAATGGCAAGTTTGGGAGTAAATGTATATTTCTAAAAACTCCCCAATTGGTTGTGGCAGGCAGCCAGGGTGGAGGAACTGCTCTAAGAAGCCACTGTAAACCAACACTTTATTTATGGGTAATGCCTTAGGGAGAGCTAAAGCAGGATTTAAGAAGGGCCAGGAAGCAAGGAGAAGGACATGGACAGGAGAAAGAAGACTGTTCAAAAGGTTGGGGCGAAGGTATAAATGAAGGCAAATTTAGCATCAGCTTGGCTTGGTTACACAAAACCATTTTAGATGTATTTTCTAGATTTTAAGAAAGCAAACCACAAGAAAACCCGTCCTTTGCACCATCTTGTTAAAGAGGACTGTTAGTTAGCGCATTCACATTTAGAGAACATGAGACTTGCCTTGTGGGTGGGATGTGTCCTTTTTCCATGTCTCTTACATCTTTGCTTATCTTCATGCTCTGATAATGGTCCACCTGTGGCACTGCCACAATTTCACTGGCACTAGGAAGTACTGTCCCCTGCCCACCCATGCCAAGATAGGCAGGAAGTTGGCATAAAGTGACTCAGGGGGCTATGCAGGAGCAGCGCACAGCTCTCTTCTCCATGCCTGCCGAGCGTGCTTATGTGAACATGCATACGTACATCCGGCTACCACACAAGTTAGCCTATGAAAGGCACACAGAATGGGTGGCAACAGAAAACAATACTCAGACATTTGCATCTTGAAATTTATTTCGGGTGTTTTCCACCATGCCTCCCCTTCTGTTCCCCCACATCTGCCCCAATCTGCTTGTTTAGGCAGATGATTATGATAAGTCAATCGTTTTTCCTAAGCATGTTCTCATTGATGCAGGAGAAAGGCACCACTGCTTTTTTATATTAATCCTCCCATAAAATTTGAGAGTTGGTTGTGGTATAATCGCTAATAAAAATTACATTAAAAAAGGATAATCTCTGCAGGGCAATCAGCTTATAATTTAGTTCACAAGAGCAAGTGCCTTTAAATGCATAATTCACTTAAGGCTGGGTCCTCATCTACCCAAACATATCTCTGCTCGTTCTCCTCTGACAAGTGAAGACTGCAGGTCTCTCCTTTCCACCTGCCCTCCTCCCAGGAAATATCTCCAAGTCCCCCTTGCTTTACCGAGCATCCATGCCAACCCAGAGACAGCTGTTCTGCTGCAGTAGTCACCCAAATCACTTCCCTTGAAAACAAATGGGGCGGTGCAATATGTTGCATTTGCTTTTCCATAAAAATAAATTGACACAATACAAGCAGGTCTTCTTTCCCATTTAACAGGGCAAGAAACTAGTCTGCTGAATGAGGGCACATGCAATAAAATGAACTCAAATGGAGTACATCACTGATATCAGCAGAAAGGTAATTATTAATCAGCTTAATTGCTTCACCCAGGAGAAGGAAAAAAAAAACTTGCTGAATAGATGCCCATTGTCTAAATTAAGGTTAGCTCTTTAGTCTTTATTACATTCCAAGCTTTTCCATTAGAACATATGTAATGACATTTTATCATCATGCTAATACTAGTTCTGAGGTTTCCCCTTAGGCACATAAGATTTTCCTATTAGCATAAAAAATGTGGTGACATGTACTTATTTGGTAGTGTTTTATAGAGTTCATAAATAACTGCAAGAAACAAATTTCATCACAGAGTTAAAATATTTAATGACAAAATTAGGGTTTGTTGTAATAGTGAATCAATAGAGCAGGTGTTACTTATCTCTGAATTAAACAAAAATTATATTTGACATCTCAGAGAACTTCTGAAGAATAACTGTATGACAGACATCAGTAGTGTCACAATTTCTAAAATTAAGAGCTAAACCTATCTTTAATGCCCCTTATTTAGAGCATCCTGTAAATAATTTTAAATAGATGCACAACCTTTGCTAGCCACAAAAGTAGTATTAAAACAGTTTTCACTGTAACTTAAGTCTAACACGTAATCTGAACTTCTTCAGAGCTTGAAAAAAGGTAACTACTGATCATGTTACATTTTACAAATACATTCTTTAATATGAAACATTAACCTGAATAACTGCATACTTTCTGTACACAGGTATCTAATAATACTAGTGAGAAATACTACAGCTATATTCCAGGAAGAAGTGGTAATACTGGAAAGTTTCTTTCCTTTTTGAGTTGTCTATACAATAAGTCCTTCACAGAAATATAGTATCCCAAAATTCATAGAGAAGTGCAGAAATGAAACAAATGAAATGTCTTCTGACAAGCTCAACCAAACTGGTCCCAAATCATGACAGTTATTTTGTCTAAGACCGTATTAATACTTTGCACTGCAGCACCTTCTACAAGAGGACAGCAAAGAACTTCACATGTGTTATCACTGGGCTCCTCTGCAAGAGGCTGGGAGGTAAAGGAGGGGCAGGGATTGCTGTTACGGCCCTCTCTGTTGTGGGGAGGCCTAGGTAGGACTTTGACACTGAGAGGTCAAAGGTATGAACGCAGCCTGGAAACTAATCATTAGAGGGGGCTAATAAAGATTCGGATGGGCTTTCTTCTAATTCAGGCTATTTCCAATGAAACTTAGGTCTAAAAGGATAAGCAGAGAGTGAGGAAAGAGGGCAAGACATGGAATACTTATATTTATCAAGAGTAACTATTGTAATTCTACCAGGGAAGAAGAATCTTGGGTTTCACAGTATGCTTATGACCTCATCCTCAGCTACTTTGGAATCAGCTTCCCAAACATTGTTGTTAGAGAGTTGGCAACCACTTCTGTTCTTGAATTTGGCGGACTGTCAGGGGGTTTTAGATTTATCCTTTCAATTATTTATACCAACTCTCTATCTCTGAAACCAGAATCCAATTTGGAAAGATAAATACATCTCTGTGTGTGTGTGTGTGTGTGTGTGTGTGTGTGTGTGCATTCTGAACTGAGATCTGCAAACAAAATCTATTTGGAGTGATATTTGGGGCTTTTCCTAGAAATTAAAATAGCTTCCAACGGTACTCACCAAATGGCATGTTCCTCGCTTCTTTAAATTTTTAAGACACCAAAAAGAAAGTATAAAATATTATAGTTAACTTATACAGTTTATTAAATTTTATAGAGGGTTTTCTTGAATTGGATCATCTAAAAGGATTCTGAAATCTGTCTCCGACAAATCTCATCTCCCTTTTAATGTGCACCATCTGATATTTTTACCCCCAGTAGACAAACTTTCTCTCTCCTTGGGAATGCTTTATTAGGAGAACTTCAGCTATTTAAATCAGTATTAACAATCCAAAAGTCATCTTATGCTCCTATGTAAGAGGCTGCAATACATATCGACTCAATCAGCAAAATGGATAGGATGGAATAGATAGGGGTCCTGAAGATTCAGGCAGCTTAAAAATCAATGCGCTGCAGTGGTAGGCTTACAATGTGTCTGAGATGTGCAGCTTGTCTCCTAGTTTCACAAAAAAAGCACAGCTTTTTTTATGTTTAGCATTTTAACCCTCTAGGAAACAGAACTTCTAGACCCTAAGCCCCTTATTATCTTGAGTAATAGAAAATCACGAGGTGTGTGACCAACTGTATTGAAACTGACTGCAATGTAAAGGTTTGTGATTGTGGTGTTTTATATCAGACCAGGCAAGGTGCAATTGCCATGAAATGCAATTTGTCAAGAAACTCACATATTAAATTACATTAAATAAATAGATAGCAAAAACAACATCAAAACCTCCAAAATCCAGATACCAAGAAACTAAAGGCCCTCTCCCAAGGACATTATGAAGGTGTCTCTAAAATAGGCATGACTGTAAAAAGACAAGACAAACATTTTAAATGTACTACTTGTTCACATTATCATTGACACAGACCTTTACCTGGACAAATCAATTTTTTGATAAAAATATAAGCACTTTTCCATACCAGCGACCATCACTATGACAGTGACAAGAGAAACATCTGTGAGTACACAGAGGGTTTTAGGTAGGCTTTTCTTTAGGGCTTTACTCTCAAATTTTTACCCTTCATATGATAATTCCAAGTAAACACCCTGGATACAAGTAGCAAGAGTATTTAAACTGTAACTCAGGAAAGAGATTTCTATCTGCGATTCTGATTTTTTTTTTTTTTTGAACGCTGGTGATGGTTCATGCAAAAGATTACTATGCAAGGAGCAAAATCTAAGACTGCTGTTTTTCCCAATAAATTCAATTGTTTTCCACAATGTAGAATTTTAATCTTCAAATTAAGTGTAGCTAGGACAGTGAGTGAAACTAATCACTGCTTGACTTTTATTTTCATCTAGGAAAAATAACATCTGATGTCACCACATTAAAATGCCTTCCTGCTTAATATCAGAGAAAAAAATACATGTTGCCAGTTTAGACTCAGCGCAGTTTATCATTTGGTCCAAATTTCATATTCAAACTACAAAAAATATTTTTTAATAAAGAAAACATATTCAAAACATACATATACACACATACACACAGTGGGAGGAGGCAAAAACCCAAAATGAAGCTGATGCTATTGTAGCATTTATTAGCAAGATCATTAGGGAAATGTAAAAATGCAACACCCTTTCTTTCACATTAACATCTGAAAAGAAAAAACAAAAACCACTCTAAGTGTCCAAATATTGGAAAAAAAGAAGCAAGCGGAGGTCCCGAATTCTTGTAAAAACTGCTGAACAAACTCTTCAGTTTCTCTTAAGAAGAGTCACCAGGATAGGCAGTTTCTCAACATTTGTGCTTCATGGCAAGCTAAGGAGAGAGAGGAATGAGAAAAGTAAGACTTTATTAGCAGGTATTAGCAGAGAGATTTCACTGTGCTGCTCCCTCTCCACCTCCACAATGAGAAGCAGCACCAAGATTCTACTCTCTGTGGCAGATCACCGTTACTAATTACAGTAGCACCTTTAAATGTGCAACATTTTCTCAAATAGCTCATGGGACATTTCATTTGTTACTTTTCCTTATGATAGCTTTGCTGGTGTATGCATCCAGGCGGGAGGGAGTGCCTGTGTGGTGTTCCTACATCACACTGAAGGAACAAATGAAAAAACCAATGGACAGGCAGAATGAATGAATTACCCTAGGAATAGCTGGGGTTCCCAGCTATTCAGGAGAAGCAACACCCCTGAATTGTATTTACTGGCATCTCATGAAGTATTAAAAATCAACAGCTTTTAGTGAGACAATCTACAACCATCTATTTAATATGCAGCCTGGACGTTCCACCAAGTCCACAGCCCTTCACAATTTAATTGTGTTACTGACGAGGGCCAAAACACACCAAATCCCGACTTTGATTTATGCCTTTCCCATTGGTGTTTGTAAAACACGGTCTATTGAAATATTAGGTCTTTTAAATGGGAACATCAAATACCACAATATCAGTCAATATTTTCCCAAGCCCAGCCAGCCCATGATAATGTATTTAAGGAAATGGTATGCAGGTACAGAATATGAAATTAAATTTGTCCTCACTTTTCTTAGCCAGATCTTTTCCAAGGAGTCTATACAATGATGTGAACCAGAAGGCAGAACAGAGGCTGAACTGTAACTCTCCATGTATCCAGAGTCTGATATCAGGGACTAATTCCTGTGGTTGGGGCTGGGAACAACTGGGGTTAGGGTTCTGTGGCTCAGAAATCCTTTGAGCAAAGAACAGGTGATTCTCCGCAGGCAATAACTTTGCAGAAAGCCCTGTCATCTGCATCCTGACCAGGCTCTCTGCCTTTTAAGAATTAGTAAGGCCGATCCTACTGATTTCACCCAGTGGTGCTCTGCATCATTTTGGAATGTCACTAATCCATTTCTTCTGCAAAACCCAGGGCAACCTGAGTCTTCTCTTTCTCTTCTTGACATCTTCAACAAATAAATTATAACCCTGGGGCTGCCATCTCAGCTAAGCCACCAGCAAAGACAGGGTCAACACTCACAACAAGTGTCCCCAGCCAGGTTTGCATGTGATAGAGGGACCTTTGGACCAGTCCTCATGTTGATAAGTTAATCTCTGCTTGGGAAACCTCAGCTGAAAGAGCTCCTGGTACCTCTGTCTGGTGATGCCAGTGAAGACCTCCACAGATCTTCTGCAATGCTAACGCCAATAGTCAGTCAACTGTCAGACACAGGGTTTGGGAAGTTCCGAATGTGCCCAGGCTGTCCTGCTGAGTGATGTGGGTTCTTGCCAAGAAGGGTAGAGGTGGCTAAGGACTCCTGACCTCAAGGAGTTTATAGTCCAGGAAACATATAGTCCAGGTTGGTGCAAATGGCAGAGCCAGGGCTCTAGCTCAGATCTGTACCACTTCCTGGCCACACTCTGAACCTCATCACTCTACGGCCTCTACTTCTTGCTCTGCTTCTAGTTTTTATACATTATTCAGCAACATGGACCATCACATCAACACAGAGTGGTTAAGTGTTGTGCATAATAAATACTGACCATAAATATTTGATCAGTGCTGCTGTCCTGGTATTCAATGAGCTGTTAACTTTCAACTAATGGGCTTGTGCCAATTTACCCACAGCTATTAATTTTCAGCAGTGATTATGCTGCTGTTCAAACCAGACCCTGGTAACCAGGACAGTGCATCTGGAATGGAGCTAAGGGGAGCCCCCGGGCCACGACCAGCTAAGATTTGCAGAAATACAGTTAAGACTGGACATTTTGCTATTTGAGTATTGGCATGGTCCAAATGTTTGTGTTTCCCCAGAATTCTTATGTTGAAACCTAACCCCCAAGGTGATACTATTAGAAGGTGGAATCTTTGAGAGGTAGTTAGGTCATGAGGGCAGAGCACTCATGAATGAGATTAGTGTCCTTATAAAGTGGCTGAAGCGAGACCCCTCACCGCTTCCACCATGTGAGGACATGATGAGGAGGTGCCATCTATGAATCAAACAATTGGCCTTCACCAGACACAGGATTTGCCAGTACCTTGATCTTTGACTTCCCAGCCCCCAGAATTGTGAGAAATAAATTTCTGTTGTATATAAGTCACCCAGTTTATGGTATTTTGTTATAGCAGCTTGAATGGACTAAGAAAGTAGTATCATTTTAGTTTTTGTTTAAAAATTCCCTAGGAATTAGGAGCGTTAGAATATGGAAGGCAGGGAGGTAGAGCAGAAAGAGCACTGCATGAAATGAGGTCAGGATACCTGCTGCTGCAAATCTGCTGTATGACCTTGAGCTCTAAAGTCACAGCTGCTCCACACCTCAGCCTCCTCTTATGTCTATAAAAAAGTCTCCAACGCTAAATGCCAATGGATAAATTTAGGTGTCAGAGTTGTTAAAATTTCAAATTTCCTTTTGATATATTTTGTGTTCTTAATATCTCATGGAAAGAGTTCTCTTTCAATGCTATGCATGTAACCTACTCAACCTAAAAAATGATTATAATAAAATCATGACTGATACCAGGCAGATATAGTATCAATATATTACTGTTGATAAATAATAAAATCATGTATTTTATTTTTTATAATACTATTATAACATAATAGTATTATTTTATAATAATATAATATTATATATTATAAGACCTGTGCTCCGAAGACCCAGACCTGAGCTCCTTAGGTAGTAAGGATAGAGGCAGCCATTCCCTCGCAGTGAGAGAAAGGCCACACGCCCTTTCTTCCCCCACACACGTAGGCTAGTGCAAAACAGGGCAAGTCAATGTTTTTTTCTGCAAGAAATGTCATCTGAGGATGTCTGAGTGTGGGTAATGCTCTTGTCTACTGACTCACTGACTATGGCGGGGCCGTCAAAGCATTGCGTCTGCTGCAACATTGTGCTTTTTGGCAAGGGAAAGTGAGCAGATCTGTTTCTGCGATTGTGGTGCACTTTCCTGAGGTTAACTTTGCATGAAGCCCGGAGCTCAAGAAAGGACCACATTTCCTCAAACCAGGCTCACCAGAGTGGAGGTGGGGGAGTCAGTCTAGGAAGGCAGGGCGGAAGGATCATTTTCTATCTGCACTGTAGACAACAAGCACCTGCGTATTTTGAAGTCAGGGTTGTGCAAAAGTGATCCATTGACTCTTGCACCTGGGTCACTGCAGGAGTCCTGGAACAAGTTAGAAGGCCAAGTTATTTTCTACTGGACTCTACAAAGGTGTGCCAAACTCTCCAGCTGGGGTTCGGCACCCTTATTCAACTGGGAGCTCTAGGAGCTGCCACCTGGCATTGCCATTTTCAGCTCAGGACTCTGCCATGTGTTCTGGCCCCCACTTGTAAGCACAGCTTACTCCTTCTGAGTCAACAGAGCCATGCTTGTCTAGGGGGTAGAATGCTTGGGTTCCATCTCTGAACTCTCCCCTCACCAGCAGGCCTGGCTGTGGCTTGTCCAGTAAAATGACAGCTTCATGGTCAGCCTATGCTAGCAGGTCCAAATCAAGAGTCCTGGTCCCTGGGAAAATAGCCACACCTTATCTAAAGAGGTCAATCTGCTTGTTAGGAATACTGCCAGTGCCAGTGATTCATAGGCACACATCCCAGTTTCACACAACTGCAAGTCTGGCCATGACACTCTCTCACTCTCATACACATTAACAGACACTAGTAACCCCTCCTCTTCCCCCCGAGATGACCTGAGGGAGGGGAAACCAAAATAAACACAAGCTGTCCACGCCTCACCCCTCCCGAGTGAAAGCAGGTAACTGCTAGGCATAAATTTTCCCACTGGTCAAGCCAGAGACCCCTTTGCCTTTGGTGGCCGCATTAGTTTCTATCCTGATGGGTCCTGTTTCAAGGGCTGATCTGTGTTTAGATAGTATCAACATTTAGCATGAGGGCCCTCCCACACCCCTTTCCCTTTGGGTTTGGGAGGCACAAAATCTTCTCCTCCATTCCTTCCCTGTCCCTGTGTTGAGGATCCTCAATCACCAGTATCAATTCTCCAATCCCTCTACAGTGCTCATTATGTGACTGAATAGGGCAGGGTCAGTAGAAAAAAAATTTATGAAAATGATTACAAATAATAGTAATTTAGATTTATATGTGCTACATACTGTGCTAATAGCTTTGAACTCATTCAATTCTCTGAACACTCTAGTACGTAGGTACTATTCTCATAAAGAATAGTGCTCTATTCTACTGATGAGAAAACTGAGGCTTAGAGAAATTAAGCATTTGCCCAAGGTCACCAAGATGGTAAATGACAGCGCTATATTCAAACACAAGATGTTAACTACTATTCCATATTGCTTTCCCAATTGCCTCGCAAACTTGGCCACAGTATCAGGGAAACAGGGCTACCAGGGCCAAGAATTCAGGCCATCTGGTTAGGTTATCCAATCCAGTGTTTGTACAGCCCCCTCTGGGAGGGACGCCTACGTGGACGACATCCAGGTATTGTCTATGCCACCTTAGGAAGAGCAATTTTACAATCTTCCTTGGTAACCTGGTTCATGGTTTAATCATTAACCTAAACTCTTGTTTTAGCAGAATTTTATCAGTGCACTATTGATTGCTCTATTCTGTGTGGGAAGACATGAAAGAAAAATGCCTGTACCATCACCCTTCCCAGAACTGAAGACTGTTATAAAGTTATTCCCTTTAGCCTCCTCTACCCAACTCAACAACTTAAATGTTTCCCCAGATTTCCACTATCCGTCTCCCACTGAAATCACGGAAGCTGCTGTTGTTGTTAAAGAAGCTGAGGCTGTAATGCCAGCATTTCCATGTCATCATTATCTCTGTGTCACAGAGGCTGGAGAAAGGAGGAAGGAACTAGGGAGACCTTCAATCCAAGTTCACTCTCTGCCTCTGCACCAACAGCAGCAATCTGAGGCTCTGGCCTCCAGCAGGGCTGTCTGCATTTTCAGATAGATCTAGCCAATTCTCCTTGAAGGAACTCGAAATGGGCCCCACGGGCAACAGTGCAGTAAGACCCTGTCACGACAGAGAATGAATGAGATGACAAGACAGCGCTGTGCAAAGGGGATGCAGGAAGAGAAGGCAGGAGTCATCCACTTAGAGCTGGATCCCCAGCTGGACCTGAGCGTGAGCCTCCAGAAGAGGTCACCGCAACTCAGCTGGGAATATTCTTCTCATTGCTTTTTAGGTTATCCATCCTTGTTTCCTCAGCAGAAGTGGTGTTTCTGTTAAAGCCAGTTATTTTCTTCCCCGAAAGGTCACCTGAAAAGTGTATTTGAAGGGCCAGATCATAAGCCTGACATGCCAACACAAGTCATCAGCAGATGTTGTTTCTGGAAGGCTAAATTCAAACCACTAACCAGAAAAAAAACTGCCCTTTGATCTGAAGCACAACAACAGTAATAAATCCTCTTTATCACCTGACCAACAGGGCCTCTCTTTCCTTTGGTTTGTGACTGCCTTAGATAGCTGGCTGCCAATAAAAACTGCCCCTTTCCCTTCTAAAAGGCACAGTTCTCAGCGAGTATGAGAATGTGCAGAGTGCGCACTCAGTCACGCAGGAAATGCCCTTCTCTGGATTCAGGGGCAGCAGGGAGTATTGCTGACAGCTCAGCGCTGGTCCGGTCAAGCTCAGAGCCCCAGAATTGAGGCCCTGAAATAACAATCGACCCCTCTCCGAGGGAAAACTAGCCCCGAGGTGCGTAGTTCCCTGGGACTGGGGCTTGCTTTGTGTCTGGTGAAGAGATAAGGACACACTGCTACACTCAGGATGAGAAAGGGACAGGATGGAAAAGCAAGCACGAGCAGCCTCACGTCCTCCATGTGTTGGCTAAGTGGGGCAGGGATATTCGAAGACCTGATCTCTTCTCCCCGACCCCCTGTTCTGTGCCTCGATACTTGAGCCCTAAACTTCTGAGCAGGAACTAAAGATGGTCCATAGTTCCTAAAGATCCAAGGTCAGAAGGTCAGAGATACGGCTGAGGACATTAGAAAAGAGCCAAAGAAACCAGGTACAAGAAGAAATTTTCCACGACTCAGGTGTTTAGTAAGTAGCAGATGGGAATTACATAAAGGGGAAATAGCTTAATTTTATATCTCTCATCACAGGAAAATACTGAAATAAAGTTTCTTGGCACTGTAGCTCCCCAACACCCCAGAGCTGAGAAGCCTGCTCCTCTCTTGGCCCACCTTGTGCGCAGTTTCTGCAAACTGCTGGGCGCTGTTCTTCAGGTCTTCTGTCTTCTCCTCTGCTCGGCCTAATCGCTCTCCACGCTCATTCAAGGCCTGGCTTGCCTTCTGCACTGCGCTGGTCACGCTGTCAGCAGCTGAATGGAGGATGCTGTTTCCTGAAAGGAGGAGAGCAGGAGCATCAGAAACTGGCTCAGCTGACCCACAGTGACCAGACTCCGGCAGGGTGAGTATCCTGTAAGAGGAAGGCAGGTCACACTGCAGAAAGGCCGCTCGTCTAGTGTCTAGGAAACAAGCCGACATTTCTTTTGATTGGGTTTGACTGACGCACTTGCAGCAAGAACACCCACTGACTGCAGGACCTAGGAAAATCCTAAATGCTTCTCTATAAACTCATCACTGACATGCCAGTCATTTCCATTCTGCCAGTATTCTATCTGTGGAGGCTCAAAAGGATGGGGCCTGTCTGGATTTACAACTTGGCTTGCAAAGATAAATGAAAACGTTGACAAGTTCACAGAATTAGGCAAGTTCAATGAGACATATCTGGATCTTATGTTATTTCCTTTTGACCTGTGGTTTCGGTGAATAACCATAGGAAAACTGGGACCACAGAACTTTTCTAGATAGAATGCTCTATATTCCTTCCAATGCTTCTTCTTCATTTTACCCCTTCATCCAGCAAGTAAAGAACACCCCAAAATGTACAGCTTCATGTAAGAGCTATGATCCAGTCTCAAAGCTCAGAGTAGATGTGTCTGCTCCCAACCTTGGATTCTGTACCATGGCTCGGATGGTTGGGACTCCTTACCTCTGATCTCTAGTATGTGAAATACGGAGCCTCAGGACCATACTTAACCAGCAGGTACAAAACAGTGATAGAAACCAGCCCTAGAAGAAACTTGGTACTCCCAAACTCAGGAGTGGTGATACCAAGAAGGTTGAAAGCCATTGCATCTCAGAGGGTCATGCATTCCTGACATCCCATTTGCCGGGACTGGGCAGCAAAATTCAATAGTGAAGAACTTGCCAATGCATAAATCACTGAGAAATAGCAACTTGCAAAATGACAACCAAAGGAAATTTATAGCTGTATTTTGTTAACACTGAGTGTGAGATATTTAATGGCATTTTATATAATGACTTTATGTCTTTGAATAAGTTTATTACATCATTTAACTTTGTACCTGGGATGGATACATCTAGCCACAGATAGCTTTTAATAGAAACGCAATTTCCACTGGTCTCAGCTGCAAAGGGTTCTTAATTTCTCCTCTGTGGGCACAGTCTGTGGTTTGTGGAAAAGGATCTCAGGCAAAGAAAGTGCCTGGACTGGAGGAAGCACTTAGTAAATGTTTTTCCATTTTTCTTCTTTAATGGTGGATTTCAAGGGATTCAATTATGCACTGAGGGGAGGAGAATGGGGTTAACTCAGTGTTACTCAGTTGCATCAAGCACTACATGAACCAAGATAAATCAGCACAGATAAATAGGGAGCAGAGGAAATGCAGTTCTAGGCAAATCTGGTTGAATGCAAGGTTGGAATGAAAGGTCTGGGTCTTCAGAACAGATTTAGGAGGAGAAATCTTGGTCCCCTTTGCTTTCATATCATACTCATAACTATGATAATAACCCATCCATGCTGCTCAACACTTGAATAGCACTTTGCAATCATAAAGCACCTTCACGAATATTATCTCACTTGATTGTCACAATTCTGCTGATAGGATTGAGACTAGCAGAGGTTAAGAGGCTTGCACAATACCGTATCACTAGGGAAGTGACATGGATAGCACTTGAGCCTGGTTTCCCAGTGACTTTTCCTTATTCTCTACCTTGTTCTTTGCAGATATGGTGTTGGTTCAGAGAAGCAATCACTAAGACAGAATTGTGCGCAGACTAGCATACAGATAGGTTTTGACAGGTTATTTCCCAAGGTAACGCCTGACCGTTTCTGTCCTCAAGGTACTCCTCTTGGTAAATTAAGAGTTATTACCCATGCCACATGGAAAGTCAAGTTTTCTCAAAAAAGGAAGAGGCCAATGGGGTGGAACAGGAAGATGGGGAAGGGCGCAGAGGAGTTGGGAGAGGGCACAAGAAAATCTCCTTTTCCTGCCTCCTTCCATATATTCACAGCTGAGCCACCAGAGGACTGGGAAAAGATAGGGCAGGGAAGCTGCAACTTCACCACTAGGAATAGCTTCCTTAAATCAAAAGGATTTTAGAATTAGCTGCTATAAAATTAAGAGGGTGTATAACCAAGACTTGCCTTTTCCCACTGGAATTAACCTGCATGATCTTCACTCGTGTTTCTGGAATGAACCTACTACACATAAGCCTTGCTGCTTTGTTGCTTGAAATTAAGCTTGCACGTGATGTCAGGTAACATCACACTCAGTTTTATATGATACTGTTTAACAGGAGACATTATAACTCATAGAGAACCAGATGCTGTCTTCACTGTTGAAAGATGACATTGCTGACTACTGCCAATAGGAAATCCACCTTCAGTTATTTTCAGGCATCAGGATGAATTCGAACAAATTTCATTTCCTTGGTTGAAATAACCTCTTCCAGTTTCAATTCTACCCACATTTTAGGCACAGTGAAGTCCCATCACCTTTATTAAGCTTCAGGTCAATTCCAATCTCTCCCTCCACTCAACTCCCTAAATAATATCTATATCCTTCTTGGGTACTTAATTAAGTACAATCACGGGCAACTCTTCTCCTACTTGACTTTTTCACCTGTAGATGCAATGACTTCCCAGCTGGATTACAAATTCTCAGAGTGCATCATTTCGCTCTGTTGACCATTCCCTAAATCTTTAATATTTTTCCTCTATTGACTTAGATCTTCTGCTGACTTATTTTCTTCTATCTGGGATCCTCTTGCTCAAACTGTAATCCCAGGGTTCTTTCCCTCACTCTCTTCTCCTTTGCACTCTACAGACTCTCTCTGGAGCAATCTCATCCAGCTCCTGACTTCCATAACCAAATCCTTATCTTTCACTAGGTCATGCTGCTGAGCTCCAGGCCCATAGGTTTTCTTATGGAAAAAGTCCAACAGAATGACCCAAAGTCATCTTAAGTTCAGTAAGTCAAAACCTCAACTCATTATCTTTTCCCTCCACACCTGTTTTTCCTTTGGGTCCCCTACTTAGCAAACAACCCCAATATCTGCCCAGGTCCTGAATCCAGCCGGAAATCTGGGAGTCTAGTCTAGACACCTTCCTCACTTTTATCCCATACAACTAAAGGTCACCTCCTATACAGCTCTCTACACTCTTGCCTTTTTACCATCCTCTTGCCTCACATATACACACAATCTTTACCACATCTATGATAATTACTAGAAATAAAATTGCTGGTTCAAAGCATACAAACATTTTTAGGCTCTTGGTGTATGTTGAAAATTGCTTCCCTGAAAGATTTATTCAACATTCAAAACTATTCATGAAGTACATACTACGTGCCAGGCACTATTATGTTGACACAACTGGCAGAATGACTTTAAGGGAGTGATTTAATTTGTCTGATCTGTAAAATGTGGGTTGTGCCATTTACCTCACGTGCCTACTGTGGAGATGAAGATGTACACGCAGTGTCTCCAGGTACTCAATGGAAGTTTGTCCCTCCACCCCCCTTAAGACTACATCTTCTTTCTATGTAATTTTGAAAAAAATGGCACATCTCACCCAGTTCCATTGCATGTCATTCTCTCTTCTCTCCTATCTCGGGGCTAAGTGTTTTGAAGCTTGCAGAAGATACTCCTTACATACCTTTGTATATCCTGCTATATGTAGCACAGCATGTTGCTCAGACAGGGAGTTTCACACGTATTTATTAAATCACGACATGTTTTGTAAATAGGATGCCTAACTCAAAAGTTGGGACTCATCATATTGTGCTGAGTTAAATCTGGAAATAAAGCAGCCTCCTGAGGCCAACAGCATAGTAATTCTTTCTAAATAGATAGGAAGCATATTAATACCCAAATTTATTCAAGCAGTCTGAGAAGCTGTCAACCATGGTAAATAAAGTCAACTACTTTTGGAATTAGTCTCTGGAGATAGAGCAGAGACCAATCTTGCTCCACTGATCTTGCCTTCATATCAGTTCCACTTAATGTGTGCTTTTAAAAAAATATATACGCTGACATCTTTTATGTTAAGTGATTTAGAAGACTTCATTGAGAGAGCAACTGGAGATAAAGCTATAGCATTGTGTTCAGTCACTGAGAACACAATGAAAATAAATTTAAATGTAGAGAAAAATGAGAAAAAAGAGTAAAGTATATTGAGAAGTGATAAACGAAGAGAAAGGAGGAAACTTTTTAAGAAGCACATGCAATACACCAATAGTTCAATTATCTACATAATTTCATTTGATCACCCTACACATCAGGGTGTATCTTGGTAATTAAAATCCTTAATTCTATTGCTAGTAAAAGGCAATTTCAACAGAATTTTCAGCAGCTACTTCTATAAAATACATATAGAGATATTTGAAATATAAAATATTCATCCTGTTTGGAAAATAAGGCAGCAAGAAAATAATCTAAAACATAAATAATAAATATATGCCCATCTATACTCAGTGCTGAGTCAATGTGCTTATCTAAGAACACTCTTTTAAAACAGAGATTTCTTAACAGTTTTGCTTGGACTACTTCTATTCCATAATCAATTTAACCACTTAAGAATAACTACCCAATAAACCCCACTTATCTAAACTAACTTAGAGGAAAACCAATTTGAATTTTGGGAAAATATAAATGTGTAAAATAGATATGGGTTCTAACAAACACAAAAATTGGTAGGGAGACCTATTATATTTAATCTGTTTATAGGCCAGGAACATTAGTGACTCTCACATAATATGCCAAAAGTATTCAATAATAATTTATTCTCTGCGTAGATGAAGTAGGCTCTATTCTATTCTCATCTACTGAGTTATTTTTCTTAGCAAAGCTATTTTCATGGTTAGTACCTAAGGTACAATTAAGTCTTATTAAGTATAAGTGACACACAAATTAATTTCACTGGATACAAAAAGGTAGGATTCACCTAAGACATGTTTTTTTCTTTTTTCTACTTTCGCTCTGTGACAATTTCATTGCTCAGTGTTTCTGCCACTAGAACATATATTAGCAAAAGAAAAGTCACATAGAGATCTGGCTCCCTGACAGCCTGGTCTCCTTTCAGTCCCAAAGCTACTCAGTGTCAGTTAGACACTGTTCTGCTTCCTGTGATGAGTGGCTCTACTTCTGCCCCCATCCATGGTCATTCAGTTGCATGATAATCATGATGCTCCAAAGGAGGCTCTGTTTAGTACTGTGACTGTCACTAAATATTTTATAGATGAATAATAATTTAAGTAATCATGACGATATTAGCTTTTACTTCTATGAACAGAGTGATTAAATGCAAAGCCTACCCGGTGATAGAAGTTGGCTCTTAATCCACAAAGTCCATTAATTATCTGTGAATTTAGGCAATACCAAGCTCTTTCTATATTACATTGATTAATCAATACTAAATCACATCACTGCATTTCAATGTTGGATAACCTCTAATATCCTCTTTTAAGATGGAGATTCTTCCAAAAAGTTAAATTTCATCCATACTTTTGTGATAATGACTAACCAGAAAAATTCTTTTAAAAATTCTGGTTAAATCAAGCCTTTCCAAACGGAAGAGTTGTTAACCCAAGCTGGGCAGGATGCAGTGTGAACATCAGTCAATCACAATCACAGAACAGCTACCATACTAGGTGGCAGGTACTATGGTAAGATGTTACATTCCTCAAAGGGAGATATTCTTACCCTTATGTTACAGTTAAGGAAACACATGCACAGGGAGGTGAAGTAGCTTACGCAGGATTAGCCGCGAATTGACTCCAAAGCTCTTAACATCTATGTCGGCATTTGCCAAAGTGGTTCTGTGAGTTACAGTGCTCCAAGGAAAGCTCAATTCTATGGCAAAATGACTTCGTGAAATGAGATCTAGCCACACTCCTTTATTGCAGAACTTTGGAAAATCTTTAATGCGTTAATGTAAACTGAATGAAAAGGAGGTACGGGTGAGAGCAGGAGAGGTATGGTATGCAGAGCTTCCCAAACATATTTACTTATAGGGCTTTTTTGCCGAGTATCTTAGTAGGGTGAAATTCCGCAGAATTTGTGCTCAGAAATGCTACAATAGACTACACTGACTCCTAAGTTAAAGGAGGAAAAATAAATTCAGGCTGTCCTCATCAATTTAGTAACAGACAGGTCATGTAATTACATTCAAAAGGCTTGCTTTATAGAGGCTACGGAACAGATAGCGTGCTCAATGGTGGTTTCAGAATTATCTTTTGTCTCAAGTTGGTGGCTAATTTCAAGGACCAAGAAACTTACTTGCTTGTTGCCTGGAGCTGGACGACAAAGAAAAATGGACTTAATGCTCAGGAATACTTTGTAAGTCCATAAATGCAAAAGCCTACTTGAAGGACACCTTGGAATTATTGATTGCTGTTGTTACCAAGAGAAGAATGGACCATTCTATTAGGTCTTCTTTTGGCATTGTGAAGGTAATGCAGTGGAACACCAGCCTACTCCCAAGTCACAAGCATGTCTGCCCCAGAGGCTAACTAAAGTCTCAGGAAAAAGCCCAATGCTCCCTCCCTGTCATATAGACAACTATGAGTTCATACTCTCCTCTCAATTCACTGTTTCAATCTTCTCATTGACAAGGATCAAACATTTAGGATTTTATTCAGGTCTCTTTAAACACTTAAATTCAGGATATGCATAAACACTCATGGATATCTTTAGGATTTACTTAACCTTGGTTCTTATGAATAGTTACAGGGTATCAGGAGAATGAATTCAATAATACTTCTTTTGGGTCTGTTTTGTTCAGAGATTATCAGTTTCTCAGAATACAGGGAACACTTGTTTTGAGGTTAAAAACCTAACGTGGCTCTAAATTTGGTAAAACAGATTTTGTTCTGTCTTGGGTTATGTTTGCTGACAAACCAGCTATGATCTACAGGTCTCTACTTTTATTACAGTTGGCAGCTAGGGACTTTTACTCTAACACTCTAATAACTGTTAATTTCAAGTCCTTACATATACAAATTGAAAACTCTCTACACAATGCTACTGGTTAAAAAGCAAATTTTCTTCAACATACTTGCTACTTACCAGCTGTGTGACCTGAACAAATTACTTACCCTGTTGTGCTTCGGTTTCCTCACCTGTCCTAGGGATTGGTCTAGTATCTATCTCATGAGATTGCTGTGAGGAATAAATGAGGTGATGCGCAAGTGGGGCATTTACAACAGTGTTTGGCCCATAGACACTGAACCTTAGCCATTACTAATGAGATTGTTACCTGGCACTGGAGAGTCTTTCTGTTAAGCTCTCTACTTAGCTCATCTTTCTTTCCCTACTCTCATCACCATGAACATTCGTGAAGGAGGAGTCTGCCCCTACTGTTACTTTCGTATGCCACAATTCTTTTGAACTTCCAGTGGACCACCTCACCCCATGCTAACAACACTGTTCTCTCAAACTCACCAATGACCTATCGAGTCCATTGCCTATTTTATGTTTCCTCCAGTTGGCCATGGGACCACAAATTGACTGACTACTTCTGAAGGCCGCTCTTTCTGTTGGCTTCTAAAACACACTATTTCTTGATCCACCCCCCGACCCCTGTCACTTTGATTCTTCCTTCATTCCCTTCCTGATTAGAGATACAAGGTCAGAAAGATCTAGGCTTGAGACTGACTTTGCCAAATATCAACTATGTGGCCTCAGATAAGTTACTTAATCTCTATGAGCCTATGCTTTTTCATTGGTTTAATGTCAATAAAAAACAGTACCTATTTTGGCCAGGTGTGGTGGCTCATGCCTGTAATCTCAGCACTTTGGGAGGCCAAGGTGGGTGGATCACTTTAGCCCAGGAGTTTTGAGATCGGCCTGGGCAGCATGGAGAAACCCCATCTCTATAAGAAATACAAAAACTAGCTGGGCTTGGCAGTGCATGCCTATAGTCCCAGTTACTGTGGAGGCTGAGGTGGGAAGATGGCTTGAGCCTGGGACACTGAGGTTTCTGTGAGCTGAGATGGAGCCACCGCACTCCAGTCTGGACAATAGAGCCAGACCTTGTCATAAACAAAGAAATAAACAAACAAACAAAAAAAAGTACTTATTTTTCATATGAACTAGTGTGAGAACTAAATGAAATACATATTTAGCATAGGGCTAATAATGCAGTATGTGCTCAATGTACTCTGTATCATTAGTAATAACTGATTCATTCAGCTCACTTATTACAGAACATGTGCCAGACACTGTCTATATTTGTCTGCTTCACAAATTAAAAACCTTCATATTAACCCAATCTTTTCCTTCCTTCCCTTCTTCTGATCTGCTCCTCCTACATTCATTGTGTCAATTAATGGCTCTTCTGTTCACCTACTCTTCTACTCTCAATTGACCTGACTCTTAACCTCTCCAACATATCCCACACCAAAATGCTCATGGAATCCAGGACATTCTCTCTCAGCAAGGTTTCTTTACTTAGCCCTCCACATTATTTCTAGCCCCTATGGTACTTTAAGTTCTATTTCAGTCTTACTGGACAAAGATAGTAGCCTGGATGTTGTTCCTGCCACTAGTCTCTAAGTCCTCTAGTACCTGATCATGCCACTTTCTCATTTCTATGCTTTGCTGCTCACCCATAATACAACACAACCAAGAAGGCCTTTCTTAATCTAGTTCCAGGCTATTCGCTTGCCACCTCTGCAGGACCCCCAACCTTTATCTACTGCTTCACTGTTTCTTGACAGATTATAGAAAATCCTTAAAGTTTTATCAGTTTCTTACTATGTAGAACATACAACAAATGAATTTGAAAAAAAATCCATGTGAATAAAAAGCTTAACAAAGAACATTGCATCCAGCTCTGTCCCTAAGGGTGTTCCGACATCAGCAGTAGCACTTTTTTTTTTTTTTCCAGCATCAGTATTGAAATGCAAGCCTCACACTCAGATTTAGGTGTCTAGCAATATTTTCTGCTAGAAGAAAGCAAAGTTCTTTGGGAAGCAGCAGATTCCAAGCCTTTGGGCAAGGAAAACTCAAATAGGCCTAAAATACCTTATTATTGCCAGATAGCAAGGATACCTCTAAAGATGACAGGGACAGTGCTAAAATGAAAAAGAAAGCAGTTTAAAGGAGATCACTGGGCAAGATCACTGATGTGATATTTAGAACATCAATAGTAACAAAAGTTATCACAATAAAGATAATTACAGTAATTGTATATGACTTCGTGGAAGCCATAATTTCTTAATGATAAAACAAGAGAGTTAACATAAAATGTACAAAAATGAAGTACAAAACAAAATTGATTATAATTGGATGCTTTATTGATTTTAATTAGTAAAAAATATTAAAATATCTGGGTATTTTGTTTAAGTATTTATCTACATACCAATGTATGTATTTGTCTCTATCTGTGTGAGTAGCAATGGGCAAATACAGAAAACTACGAGTAAGCCAAAGAATTTCAGAAAGAGCAGAAAGTTACAGAAAGGACTAATGAGCATTAATGGTCAAACATATCCACTAGGTAGAAAGAATGACGATGCATTCCAAAGTAGTGAATGTGTTCTCCTCTTTAGAAATTTGGCTATCTGTTCAGATCAGATTGCATCTCCCAGGGGAAGAAACTTCTAGACAACGTGACAAATTATAATTAGATATTAATAAGGTGCCTGTATGTTCACAATAATGCTAATATACAAGAGCGATGCACAAGAATGACATAGAGAATTATGTAATGCTGGCCAAGCAATGTAAAGGATGCACCATTTTGGGAGAAAACCCGTCAAGTTGAAATCACTGGGCGTATGTGAAGAATATAGGCTTAAACGGTGCTACTGAGGTGAAACATGAGGTTCCCATGAAGACCCAGTGAGATACTCAGGGACTCAAGTTTGAATCACCTTGGGAGAATAAACCAGGCCCTGTGCCCCCTGTGCCCCCACTAAAAATCAACTGATTGCCAACTCAATCCTCTAGACTCAGGAAATATGAAAATAAGCACTTTGATTAAAGTTGAAAGATCTATGAAGAAGAAAATAAATAATGAAGAGAGAAATTAAACCTATGGTGTTGCTTGTTCATTACAGGTTTAAATATAATATTCCTTTAAGTATTGTAATTATTATTTTTGCATATGTCTTGTCTGTTTAAAGTATCTAAAGTAGTCAAAATAATCAGTCCTATTAAACTGTGATTGCAGTTTAAATTGTTTAAGAGAACTTCATGAACTGTTTCATAAACAATGTTTATAAAAGTTTAAGAAAATTTGACTTTTCAAATTATGTTTAGTAGAAATATTTAATAAACTGAGCATGAAACAAAGTGCAAATAAAAGTGTTTCCTTTCCATGCATATAATCCCATCAGTGTCCAAGGAATATAATCAGCATCTTTACCCATACATCTCTTTTCTTGCCTCTGAGACTTTGCAGACACTGGTTACTCAACCATTGATGTACTTTCCTTCTATAATCACCTAGTAATTCATACTCATCAGATGTCATTCCACCTTTTACATTTCCCTGCTGGTTTGTTTATTCATTGAACTATTTTTTTTTTTTTTGGTTACCTATTATTTGCAATAGGCACAGCAGCAGGCTGGGAACACCGTTGTAGGCAAAATAGACATACTCTCCACACACATTGTCCCCACCCCATGACCGGCAAGGGGCCTACGGTCTAGAAACAGGAGGCAGGATGTGTATGGTTAAAAAAATATGTGTAGGGGTGTGTATGTGTAAAAAATACGTTATAATAAAAAAACTGAATTGCTGAAACACAATAATTTTCCAGGTTGTTAACAAACACTGTGCTGTGATAGTATATTCAAGGGAAGAGGGACTGACTTAGAATCAGTTTGAAAGCCATATCTGAAGACGTAAGCTGTGTGTGATGATAAGCTGGGGAAAAGTCCATGTGCAAAGATTTGAAAGGGGAAAACCCCTTTATGTGTTCTAGAAAGTGAAAGACCACTGGTGTGGCCATAGAAGGGGGAAAGTGGCTTGAGAAGAGACTAGAGAGCTAAGCAAGAGGCAGATTAGATAGGGGCTTATAGACCATGGTAATGAGAGATCTTAAGTGCAAGCAGAAGCCATTGGAGTGTTTTAAAATAGGGGTAATCTGGACCAAGATAATTTTTGGAAATTATTACTCTGGTGGTAGTTTGGGAATAGGAGAAAGAAAAGAAACAGAATGGTTAAGAAGCTATTGCAGTAATTCAGGTAAGAGATAAAGGTGGCCTGTACTAGGATGATGTCAGTGAGATGAGATGTATGGAAAGATTTGAGATACATATTAATGGACTGAATATGAGAGGTGAGGGAAAAGGAAGAATACTGAGTGAATCCCAGGCTTCTGGTTTGAGCAATTGGGTAGGTAATAGTGGTGCAATTTACAAGATAAAAAAGGCTGTCAGAAAAACAAATTTTCTTGGAGGGTGAACAGATATGAGAATCAAGTATTTCATTTAGGATAAGGTTATGTATGCTTAAGTTGTCTATGAGACATCCAAGTGGAGTCAGTAAGTCAAACAGATATTCCTGTAAGAAGCTCTGCGGAGAAGTCTGGGGATGGAGATAAAATTTCTAAGTCATTAGCATAGAGACAGAATGGGAATGGATCATCTGTAGGGAGCAACACGAAAGAGAGAAGGGAAGGGGCTTGCAAATCCTATCTTTAAGAATCTTAACATTTAGAGTAAGGTGAAGGTAAAGGAACCTGCTAAGGAAACTGAAAAAGCAAGGTGAATTTGGCACAATGGAAGTTAAGTCAGGACAATATATCAAAGAGGCAGCTATAAGAGTGTTAAGACAATTTAATGGAAAAAAATTGTCTTTTCAACAAATGGTACTGGGACAACTAACTGCATATCCACAGGCAAAAGAGTGAAGTTGGACCCCTACATTATACCATATACAGCTTTAACTCAAAATAGATCAAAGACCTAAACAGATGAGCTAAACTGTAACCTCCTAGAAGAAAGCATAGGTGTAAATCTTCATGACCTTAGTTTAAGCAATAGTTTCTTAGTTATGATACCTAAAGTAAAAGCAACAAAAGAATAGATAAACTTCATCAAAATTTAAAAAGAAGTTTGTGCTTCTTCATTTCCTTGGAACTTTGTTTATGTTTCTATTACTACATTCAATACATTATATTGTAATTATCATTTTAAGTGTCTTTTTAGCCAGTTAGACAGTTAATTTTACAAATTTCCTTCACTGTGTCTCATCCCCATTTGTATACTTGGTACCAAGCAGAGTACAGGACCATATATCACATGCATTATATGGCTAGTGCAAGAAAGTAACAAAGTTTTTAAAATAAGAAATAAAAAGGGTGGAAAATAACAGTGAGTGCTTGCCAAGGAGAAAAAGCTCACCAAGGCTAAATTATTAACACAGGATGGAAAATTGAATGGTTTTGTACTAAGACAATAATATGTTAAGTTGTTTGAACCTCTAGGAGTAAGGAATGAGGTATGAGGCTTACTATCCTTTACAGCAAGAAAAAGTGAATTTATTGTACTCTTTGATTTAAAAAAATATGTATGCAACATTTAGGATGTGTCCAGCCCAAATTGGTTCTTAGAGAAGTTTTACCTCAAATTCAAATTCTATCTCAAACCTATTGTCCTGAAGTCATGAGGTTCTCTGGGAGTGCAGCATGATTTGCTCATGTAAAATAAACTCACACCCCCATTGTTTGAGATTGGAAAGCAACTTAGGGGTCAAGTTCCTCGACAGAAAACTGTGGTCAAAGGGGCGAATGAAGGATTTGCTCAAGGTCACACCCGAGGTAACAGAGCTGGCCTAGAAGCCACGTTTGCTAAATTAGAGCTCAGTGAGGTTTTCAACTTACTCTAGGTCTTCAAGCCTTTTACTTGAATATTCTCTAAAATTAAAAAAAATATATGGAAGCTGAGGGTTTTAATTTCCTTAAAACCATCTGTGCTCATTTTCCCTTTGAAAGCACTACCCTTATCTTTTGGAGAACTTCGCCCCATTGAGCATGTACACATGTGCCAGTTTATGATTTCAATATACAATACTACCTAGCTTTGGTTTCATTATCATGAAATCTATAAATTTCAAGTTTGGGTCATTATTGCTTTAGACATTGTCATCAAGGGCAACAGAATTCAGCAGACAGCTGAACTACAGCTTCTCTTTCTGACTGTCTTGTGCTGGCATCCAGATGAGCTTGAGCATCACTTATTGTTTTAATTTGGTGAATGTGAAATTGAGAACCTCACCTCATAGACAGATTGGGTATTTGGTGTGAATGAGCGGATATGCTAACACAAGTCCAATTTCTGTCCAAGCTGATAGTCGTAGGGGAATTTTTACCATCTCTCTGGTGTCAATTTTGAAATTGATACAAAATCCCAATGGGTATCATGACTATTCATTAGTCATTCTATGGTCTCCATGTATCTTGTTTGGTTACTAATGAATTCCTGTGACATATTTTACTTCCCAAGAAGGATGCTCTAAAAATTCCTGCCAACTGGTCATTAAAATCCACTACAATTATCATCAATGGAATCAAATTACTATCAATTACATAGAGGAGTTAATCCACACTGAATAATTTTAAACAAAAACATTTTCAATTCATATTAACAAGATACAAACCAAAGGAAAGAATGACCAACCAACTGTATATCTGGTGTCTATTATCAAGGTTCCAAATGCAACCCATTTCCATTTGTACTATTATTAGAAACTACGATTTGCTAAGTGACTACCATGCGCCAGAAATGATGCTAAATACTTTTCATTCATTATCCTATTAGTCCTAATGGCTACTCTTTAAGATAGATACTGTTACTTCTCTCTTAAAATGATGAAACTCAGAAACTCACTTAAAATTACACTGTGTGATAGAAATCTTGATTTGAATTCCAGTCTGGTTGACTCCAAACATCAGTCTTCTCTTTCATATCATGAGAGTTTCCATGGTTTCTTAGAGGTTCACCCTGTGAGGTGAAATGTGAAAGCACAGGGAGTGGATCTGCATTCACCCCAGCCTCATGACGTTGCAGTTACACCAAGGATATGAGCATGGCACCTGCACACTCCTTTCCTCTGCCTGATGTCTCCTCCCCTTTCATGAGCTTGGTTACCTAAGCCACAATTCCTCTTGTAGGAATCTGGTTCTGTTTCCCTGAGGTGGAAGAGAGGTATTCTACCTATGTTCCCCTAGCACCCTTTGCATTTCTCTAATGGAGCATTTATTATAATGCATCAAAATTGTTGGTTGACTTATTTGTACAGCTCATTAAACTAGGAGCTTCTTGATTACAAGAATAATCCCTTCATTTTTTGTTATCTCCAGGCAAAACGTGTACAAATTAGTAAGTGTACAATAGTGGTATGTTGAATGGCTAGTGAACTGATAAACAATGGAAGATATATTTGGTTTTATAAGGATGTGATGAGGTTACTATTTATACCTAAATCCTTATTTTCATTGGCATTCATCTTGGGTTGTGCTATTGTAATCAGCATACAGAAAGGATCAACTTCTGGACATGGCAAATAAAATTGCAGTTATGCAGCATTTTTTTTAATTTGGGAGGATTTAAAACAAATTCTATCAAAGATATAATTATGTACAAAATATATCAAGTTGCAGATATTTGATTAATATGGAAAAAATTGTTTTCAATAAAAACACCACTATTTCCAAAATTGTTATTATGGTCTAGTGTGAAAAAGATGACATACAAAATGAGTAAAAAAACCAAAACAGATTTTGGTTCTTCCTGTGTTTATTCCATTTAGAATATAGAGGAAGGCACGATTTTCACACCTCCTCTGTTTAAATACCACTTTGAAAAATGATCCATAATTGAAAACTCATTTTTTTTTTCTTGAGACAGGATCTTGCTCGTTGCCCAGGCTGGAGTGCAGTGGCACGATCATGGCTCACTGCAGCCTTGACCTACTGGGCTCAAGTGATCCTTCCATCTCAGCCTCTGAGTAGCTGGGATTGCAGATGTGCACCACCATAACCGGCTAATTTTTTAATTTTCTGTAGAGACGAGGTCTTGCTATGTTGCCCAGGCTAGTCTTAAACTCCTGGGCTCAAGCAATCCTGCCATCTCACACTCCCAAAGTGCTGGATTATAGGTGTAAGCCATTGCACCCAGCCTAAGAGAATAAACTTTTAGTATATTCTGTCTCTGGCCAACTTACAGGTTCAAATTTTAACAGAATCACACCTAAAAGATAAATATTTCTGCCAATTTAAAAATATTTAGTGTTCCACTCATTGGGTTTTCAATTATAAATGGCATTATTTGTAGGAAAGATCCTTAGATATTGAGGAATGAAATCCTTGTTGTGGGAATGATCCTTAGGTATTGAGGAATAAATAGTCCTCACACTTTTAAGGTATGTGACTCTTAAACACCATACAATTCAGAAGCTAATGCTCCTGGGAACTTACAAAGTGGAGAGGCCACACAGTGCTGAAGAAACAATGATGATTTGGTTGGGGTGGGAATAATGAGAGGAATTAAGGTACTAGTGATTAGACCATTGTAAATATTCTTGAAAAGATGAGGATGGCCCGAACTACGAGAGTCAAGATGGGAATGGAAAAGAAGAGTTTTAAGAGACACTGAGGGAGACCTGTGGGGGAGAAGGGCTTGGTAGAGATGACTTGTTTGCAGACTATGTATTATGGATTTCTAAAGGGGGAAAGGCAGAGTCTGATGATAAGATCAGATTCAAGTTATCTGATTTGAGACTGGGAATTTCAAAAAGTGCTTCTCAAGAGTTTTCTTCCATGATACACATGAAGGGTTTGGCAGAACTAGTGCTAGGTGTTCACAAAGTTGTGTCTTGTTTTTCCTCCTGAATACATAGAAGGTATATATATTTAAGACCTCCTTACAGTTAGATTGGTCATATGGCCAGTGGGCTCTAAGCAGAGGCAATAAGTGCTACTTCTGGGCTGAGGTAATAGAAGACCCTGGGCGGCCTTCCAACTTTCTTCTTCCGTGTTTAATTTGAATCTGGAAGGCATGTGTCAAGATGGTGAAATGACAAAGATGCAAGCAAACTGGATCCCTGAATCACCACTTAGAAGCTGCTCTAGAGCGGCACTAAACTCACAGATCTTCTTCGAGTGAGAAGTAATGTTTTATTTGTTAAGCCACTGAGACCCGGAGCCGTGTTTGTTATTGCACCATAATTGAGTGTTTTTTGACCAGTAAAAGAGGTGATATTCTTAATTTCAACACATTCTGAGGAGAGTACCCAGATTTAGAAGACACTTTTGAAAATGTTTATTTAACAAAAACAAATCAAGTCAATGACATTGTTTTTGTATATGAGGGTGAGAGGGGTGGAATTTCATACATGTATCCTAGAAGTATGTAATGAATAAAATTAGCCACTTAAAGATTTTTAGAATATTGTTTAAAAAGCAAAAATAAACATAGATCATCTAATTTTTTAAAATGGAATATTATTTTTTAAGAAGTTCTTTCTTCCTCACCTCTGTAAGAACAAAAAAGTAGGTGCTATTAAAAAATAGGTAGTATCAAGTCTAATTTTGTGGTTTGGAATAAACAAAGTAGACTGTACAGATTAAAATATTAATATAAATATCCTATTTTCTGCTTTGGACTTGTAACCATAGCTACGCTTAATAACGATATCCATAGTGCCATTTTCCTTTTCTCTTACCTAAAAGAGGTGTCCATCTTTGTGGATGGAGACACCCATTTTCTACTTCCCTTCATATTAAAAATGTATCTATGGGTAAACCAAAAGAACAAGAAGTCATTAAGGTAAATGTTGTAGGAAACAAGCATTACTGCACACTGTAGTCACCATGACTATTAGGGGGACCAGAAATAGCTGCAGGGAGAAGCAGGGCAGTAGCTCTCACTTCACTCTTTTCACTGCTGCTCAAGACAGCCAGTGGCAACACTAGTTAATGAGCAATAGCCTTCAGGGTGTGTATGAAATCATACTCACACTTTGGTACTTTACTGATTTTTTAATAAGATGATTGGCAACATGCCTTTAATACTGGTAATACTTGATTCAGTACAGAAAGAGACTTTGTAAGTGTAAAATATTTTATTTTGGACTCAAGACCTAGTCAAACTACTAAAGATAAATAGCGTTTGAAAATTTACAACTCAGAAGTGAAAATCAGACTGTGCGTGATGGCTCACAACTGTAATCCCAGCACTTTGGGAGGTCGAGGCGAGCGGACCACCTGAGGTTAGCAGCTCGAGACCAGTCTGGCCAACATGGTGAAAACCCCATCTCTACTAAATATACAAAAATTAGCCGGGTGTGGTGGCGGGTGCCTGTAATCCCAGCTACTTGGGAGGCTGAGTCAGGAAGAATTGCTTGAACCCAGGGGGCAGAGGTTTCAGTGAGCTGACATCACACCACTGCACTCTAGCTTGCCAGCTTAGGTGACACAGCAAGACTCCCTCTCAAAAAAAAAAAAAAAAAAAAAAAGAAGTGAAAATCAATAACCAGTCAAAAGGGTAGCTATTAACAGACTAAATTTTCCCTATGTTAGTCCTTGTAATAGGAAGAAAGTAGGATAGCAGGATGGATAAAAATCAACAAAAGAAAAAGAAAAATGAATGGAAAAAGAGATTTTTCTTAATTCTTTAAATCTTCAGTAAAAATCCTGCTTCAAGTAAGATTTTTCATGACTCTAATTAAGCACTTTTACGGCAGGATAGATCTATAATTAAAGCCTTACCTTATATGCCTTACTAACTTGCAGCTGCAAGCTAAATGTTTTAACATATCATCAAATTGGCATTAGTTCGACAAAATGTAGTAATCATTTCCTTTTGTGGACTAAAAGACATCAAGAACATGAATATTTTAATTCATATGTTAGGTGATACAGACATAATTATTAGAGGTTACAGAGTATATATGGCATTGCAATTTTTTCTATTCCTTTTTTAAGTAATTGAATGCTTTGCTCAAATAGTTTGAATAAATGTAACTTGACACAAATGATCTAAAACAAGGGGTAGAAACAGCAGGGAGGATGAAAGAAAATAGGACAAATTCCTAAGTTCTGTGGAACATAGGAAAATTTGTATTTTTAAAGATGAAAAGTGGTGTAAGAACTATGCAAACTTAAAGGCCAACCAGACAACTATTTTCATCAAAGTATTTAAATTATTACTCTTGTTAAGAAGCTAGTAGCATCATCTTTCTTTACTTAAGTTCGGGGGTAGAATCATATCCATTATTTGAAATCTGAAATTGCTACCTAACTATATTCTCAAATTGCATAATCACAAGTTAAGCTCTTTCTGTGGACACATTTGTGTATATGCTTTAGTCAAAAGCAGGAAAAAAAATAGCCAGCAAAATGTTGCTCTGTGGTTTTGGGAGTGATGGGCAGGAGGAACTGTGTTAGCAGGTTGGAACTCTCAGGTCCCAGGACTTTGGGGCTGAGTACACATAGAACACCTAACATCCCAGTCAAGTTAGAGCTCTGCTACAGGAACTTGTGCTCATTTCGGCAAAGGCTAGGACAGAATTAATCTCTGCAAAATTAAAAATTAAGAGTCAATCAATAAATAGGGCATATAATACTACTATTAATTAAAAGGGTCTAAGATACAGCTCTAACACGACAAGCTGTATGAACATCTCTCAGACTTTCCCATCCTAAGAGATGTCTGCCAGACTGAGTCATCTCCAGGGAGGGTAAGTGTCAGAGATGCCCTGGTGAGCTGTGGATGGCTGGAAATAACAACTGGAAAGGAAGAACAACAGCTAACAATCTCCTGGAGTTTGGCTGCCAAAAAGAATCTTTCCTTCTTATTAAATTCTGATCAAAGATCTAGATTCAGTTTCCCAACTGAGAGCTTCACTGTTTTTTCTAATTTTAATTTTTATTTTTTGAGAAAGAGTTTCACTCAGTTGCTTAGGCTGGAGTGCAGTACACGATCTCAGTGCATAGCAATGATCCTCCCACCTCAGCCTCCCAAGTAGCTGGGATTATAGGTGCATGCCACTACTCCTGGCTAATTTTTGTACTTTTTGTAGAGATGAGGTTTTGCCACATTGCCCAGGTTGGTCTGGAATTCCTGGGCTCAAGCAATCTACCCAACTCGGCCTCCCAAAATGCTGGGATTATTGGTGTGTGTCACTATGCCCAGCAAGCTTCACTGGTTTTTAAATAAGCATCAACATATCTGCTGTGGTCTGTAACTGTGGAATTGGAGGAAATGTGGACATTCAAAAAAAATGGCCAGGCTGGGCGTGGTGGCTCATGCCTGTAATCCGAGCACTTTGGGAGGCCAAGGCCAGTGGATCATGAGGTCAGGAGTTCGAGACCAGCCTGGCCAATACGGTGAAACCCCATCTCTACTAAAAATACAAAAATTAGCCAGGCGTGGTGGCTCGCACCTGTAGTCCCAGCTATTCGGGAGGCTGAGGCAGAAGGATCGCTTGAACTCGGGAGATGGAGGTTGCAGTGAGCCGAGATCGCACCACTGCACTCCAGCCTGGGTGACAGATCGAGATCCCGTCTCAAAAAAAAAAGAGAAAAAAGAAAAAATGGCCAGTAACTTAAGGGCCCTTTCATGTCTTATTAAGCACCTAGAGGCTAATAATTCCTTTTAGAAATGTTCTGAGGGAGAGTGAGCAAGATTGAGCATAAACAGCTACATTCATAGACAACTCAACTGCCCTTCCTTATTTAATTCCTGCTACTTCTTATCGATTTGAAAATTTCTAAGAGATTTAAATTGTGATGCTTTCTATAGGCTGAGATTAAAAAGTCAACCAGGCTAAAGAATATGAAACAATAATAAAAAAAACCTAAACCATTAAAAAAGGTAAAAGAGAGCCCAGATCATAAAAAGTCCAACAGGCCATAAAATGAAGGCTGGAAACATTACAAAATCTCCCTTCTCAACTGGGAGCCTGGCCAAGCAACTACACGGGAGTTGAGTTCTGTGATTGTGAGTGAAAGTTGCATTGTCTGTCCCCGCCTGCCCTCCTTCTGTTCTGATCTCTAATTTTAGACATATCTGTGTTGACAGCATCCCTTAACAAAAAGATCAGCAGCAAGCTGTTCAAGTCCTAATCTGACATTTCCCACACGGAGAGAAAGGAATGGAATTCCTTTCTCTTTTGTGGATCTTTGCTCTGGGGTTGTAACTAGTAAGTTATCACAACTGGTTGGTACCAGCACATCACCAATTCATACAACACATGCTGTTCATTTACCTTAAAAAAGGACTAACCATAAGCAAAAGAGAATTTGGTTCATGATCTATAGATACATTATCCCATAGTCTCCTAATCAAAATTTAGAATATACAATTGAGCAACAGGACATTATACCCTACGTCTTGAAAAAAAATTTAGTCAAATTTGATTCTGTGTTTGAATAATCACATCTCTGAGGTGACTGTCCCTAAAAACCCAAAAAGTATGGTAATCTTGTATATTGTGTGACTTGTCATTCTTGAAAAAGAAAAGTACTAATAGCTAATATGTACTGTATTTACTCAGCGCCGGGCACTGTTCAAAGTTCAAAGTGCTCTGTGACAACTCATTTAATCCTCAAAACAACTTTGGGAGATAGGTACTATTATTATCCCTTCTTTACAAATGAGAAAACTGAGGGTCAGCTAAATAATTTGGCTGAAATCATAATGGTAGGCAATAAAAGATGTAGGATTTGAATTAGAATTCTTGCTACTGAATCTGTGTTCTTAACCACCGCTTTCTAGAGAGAAAGAGGACAAAGAAGGCAAGTCAGTTCTCAGCCCTGAGAATTCCACCTGGCTGATCTTTGTCATCAGTAAATATTTACTGACTCCTTATCATGTGATATGTTTTAGGTATATTACAGCTAGTGTTTTAGGCATGCCTAGTGTTTCAGGTATATTATGTTATTTAATCCTCCCCACAGTACTGTATGGGAGAACTACTACTCTATTTTACAAAAAACAAAAACCATGGCTTAGACAGGTTATAAATTGCCCAAGGATATACTTATGGTGAGTGATGGAACCACCTCTGCTGGTTCCTTTGGGATTATCATTGATTTGAAAATAAGGTGAACAGCTATTGGCAGGAGATTCATGGTACTGAGGAGGGAAGAGGACTACTTTCCAGGCTAGCTGGCATTCTCCTTATGATGCAGGGCTGTGTATGTGACAGAGGCCTCTTGAGCCTTTACTTTTCCTCAACAAGATGCGACCACAGGATTGCTTGGAATTCAGATTCTTTCCTCCACTTTAGCCCATCAACAGATTGATTCCTGACAACATGGCTTTGACAGTGTGATTCTTTGTTTAGCCTTCTTGCCTTGCTTGTCCCAGCACTGTGCCAATTTGGGCCCATTACTCCCAGAGCTTTCCTGGCTTCTGCTCCATTGTTCTAAAGAAGGGATTACTGACACACACTTTGGATCATTTCATTCTGAGGGCTTTAGGCTTTATCTGAGACTGCAGGTATGAGAGTTCTCTCTTGGGAATCTACCTTCACCTTTACTGCATTTGTCAACTCTTCCCCACATACAGGAGTTTGTAATTCGAGACAGACACTCATTTCATCAGAGATAGAGTTTGCCCTCATAAATTCTCTGAGCTGATTTTGGATAATTTTCAAGAAAAGAGGTGACTATCCTTTATATTCTATCATTTTAAAACTAGAAGTCTAACAAATGTAACTGCTTTTTTTTTTTTCCTGTCAAATTAATTCAGTAGCTATCCTTCTTGGAATGAACTTTAGCATGGATTAACTATCCATTGAACATACAGCATGTATTCCTTATTACTTTTGTTTAGAATTTTATCTCCAGTTATTTCAAGAAAACATTCCAAGTAATTTTAAAATAATCATTAAGACAATTAAGTTTGGCAGTGTATTTTTACCATGTTTGCAATCGTTACAGTTTCTTACACTCCACTCCTACCCTTTGGGTTCAGTGTGCTTCATGTTGAAGCACATCATTTAATACTTCTATCAGCAAGGGTCTAGAGGTGGTGAATAATCAGTCTTTGCTTTTCTGAATATATCTTTGTATTTCTCTTACATCTATATTACAGTCTAGCTGGATACAGAATTCTAGATTGACAGTTATTTCTGGAACTTTGAAGATATTAATGTATTGACTTTTGGCATCTCTTGTTGCTGGGAACAAGCCATCAGTTTATCCTTCCACAGTAGGAAAACTGTATTTTTAATAGCTTTTAATATTTTCCCTTTGTCCCAAGTGTTCTATTGCATTATGTTTTTCTCTAGGTAAAGCTTTATTTTCAAGTGTGGCACTTGGTGATATTCTCAATCTGAGTCTTCAATTCAGCAAGTTTTAGCCATCATCTTTTCAAATACTGGTTTTCTGCCATTCTTAAACCTTCTTTAAAAATTCCTATGAGATGAATGGTAGAGCATCTTGTTCTATCTTCCATGTACAACTCATCCTTTATATTCTTCATTGCTGTGTACTGTATTATGGGTGAATTTCTCATTAATACCTTATAGTTCATTAATTCTGTCTTTGACCCTGGCCAGTCTAGAGTTTATTCTATCAAATGAGTCTATTTCAGAGACTACATTTTTCATTTCCAGGATTATTTTTTTCTATCACTTTGTCTTTTCATTTTAGTTCCTGTGTTATAACATCTTAACGTTTTTTCTAATTTCTTCCTTTATCTTTTGAGTATCATAAATGTACTTAAAGTCATTATTGGAGTTCATTGTTACTTTCATTTCATTTGGGGTGAATTCAATTCTCATTTGTTATTTTTGTTGGCTTTCTCATGTAGAATTTTGGTGTGCACAATATTCTTCAGTGGGAGATTTAAATTTCTTCCTGCTTCTCCTCATTGCCTTGACCTTTTCTTTCTATGTAACAGTTTTATTATTTCCTGTGCTGGTCCCTGGTACAACAGGATTTAAAGTAATGGTCTGAGGCTCTTGTTCTGGGTAACATGTGGGATATGGCAGAGTCAGTCCCAGGCTAGTGGCCAGTTGGATCCAGGTCTTGGGTGGGAGACTATGTTTGTTTTCTCTTGCCTCTCTGGAACACAGGTTCTTATAAGCCACTTCCCTAAGGAGCAATTGGTCACAGCGTATTTGTAAACTCCTTTCTTGGGCTAAGAAGACTTGGTACCAAGCAGCAAATCTAGCTCCTATATCCACACTTTGCATGGGTGCACTTGTAGTCCCTATAGTAGCATGGAATTCAAACTTCTTCCTTCCAGACCTGGAATCCAGCAGACAACAGCTTTAATCCTAATAATTGCTTTGTGATTCTGTTATGTTTCTGGTTTATGGATATACTTATGTTTTCTTTTTCCTGAAAATGGCTATTTCTTTTTAATTTCCTCTATTCATGGTACTGTGATACCATGTGATAGAGCTAAAGGAGCCTCAAAATACAAATTTACAATGCCAAACTGCTCCAATATTCAATTTCCCAAACATTCATTTTTATCAACACAAGAATCCAAAAATTCTACATTGCCCAGCAAAGGTAATACTTACTTTTCTCTTTTTTTTTTAACCAGCAAACAAAGGAAAAGATGATTATGCCTTACTGACAGACTTTCTTATTTACTCACTACCTGAAATTAGATAGCCCCAAATGATAAATTTTAATTTACTTTTTTTAACAGGAAAAAAAAGGGTTGAGAAGAAGTAACAATTTAGTGGCTGTATCTGTTATCTGCATTACAGCTTAAAACTTCTGCAGTTTTACTTAATCTTAATCAGAGAGAAATCCAGCTATTTGTGCATGCATTTATTCAGCTTTTAATGGATAGAGCTGGGAAGTATAATAGGCCCAAAAGAGGGGAGTCACAATTTTGGAATTATTTTGTTAATGACCACTGAAGAAAGAATTTTTCTATTTTCTCTCTCTAATGGGGCAGGGGGAAAGAACAGATTCTGGAGATAGACTTGGGATCAAATCTTCACTGACCTTTATTATGGATATGATTTCAGGGTAGATAAATAACCTCTCTGAGGCTCAGTTTCTTCGCCTGTAAAGCAGGAATAACGATAACTACTTTTTGTAGTTAAATGTAAACTAAAAAATTGCCTGGTATATAGTAGGGATTTAGTATGGTGACTATCAGTGTTATTAGCATTCACAGGCTTTTTTCCTGGAAGGCAAGAAAAATATAAATACAAATACATATAAATACAGACGACTGTACTTCTACTGTATCTGACCTAAGGGACACTCAAAGCCATGTTTCTCTACTTCCATTAACTCCTGTGTCCAGGGAGAAATCAGGTTCTATACAAATTTCCCTTAACAGGAGGGAAGGCAGGACAACAGGAAGACAGGATTAAAAGAAGACATTAATTATAAGCTCCCACTGAGTGCTCACGATGTTCCGTGGTACTCCCTATGCACCATGCTATATGTTTTATATATGATCTTGTTAAATCCTTACAACTTACTACAGGGCAAGCATTAGTATTCTGTTTAAAAAGAGGAAGTGAAGCTTACAGTTTAAGTAATTCATCCACAGACCAATAACAGACCTGCTCTGTCCAGTAAGTGACAGACCAGAAATTCAAACCCAGATCTGTGTATTGAAAGCCTTTATCTTTTTAATGACATCATACCACATCCTACCAGGAAGACAAGATTTATAAACAACATGTGACACAGTAAGAATATATATTTGGTCTCTGCCCTCAGTTCCTGGCACAGAGCTCCTAAAACCCTTGGAATTCCCTGCATGACAGGAATGAGAGTAGTATCTTTTGTTATTTGTAATAAGCCCCCTTCAATAATACCTGAGTTTATGAGGTGACTTTTGGAGGTTAGGGGACTGGCTGCTAAACCAGTCATGAGATTAGAGGGTTTTAACTTTCGGCCCCACCCCCTCATCCTGACCTCCAGGGAGGGGAGAGAGGCTGGAGATACAGTCAATCACCAATGGCTTAATGACTTAATCAATCATAATTAGGTAATGAAACCCCAGTAGAAGCCCCTAAATGATGGGATCTAGAGAGCTTTCAGGCTGGTGAACACACCCATGGGCAGGGAGGGTAGCGCACCTCAACTCCATGGGGACAGAAGCCGCTATGCTCCGGACTCTTCTGGACCTTGCCCTATGTATCTCTTCATCTGGCTGTTCATTTACATTCTTTATAATATCCTTTATAATACACCTGTACATGTAAGTAAAGGATTTCCCTGAGTTCTGTGAGCTGGTATAGCACATTATCAAACCCGAGGAAGAGATCATGGGAACCTCCAATTTGTAGCCAAGTCGGACAGACGTACGGGTAACCTGAGGACCCACTACTTGTGACTGGCATCTGAAGTGGGGAGTAGTCCTGTGGGACTGAGCCCTTAACCAGCAGGGTCTGCACTAATTATGGGTAGTTAGTGCCAGAACTGGATTAAATTGTAGGGCACCCAATTGATGCTCCAGAGAATTGGAGAGTTACTTGGTGTGGAAAACCCACATAGCTGGTGTCAGAAGTGTTCTGTGAGTAGAAACAGATCCTAAAAACAATAATTCAACGGTATAGTGAAGGGATTACATACCCTAAGTGATACAGAAAATTGTTAAATTAACATGGAAACTGCATTTCAGGTGCTCATGTTGAATCACTTTTAAATGTATATTGAATTAAAGAGGTAAATCCAGCCAGTGAATGTGAACTTGTCTGTAATGATTATATATTAAATAAACTTGACCTTGACATCTTTTATTAAAGCTGAAAAGGGAATTGTTAATCTCTCAAGAGGTACACCACCAAGTTATTTACAAGTGGGGCATTATGATGATTTTAGGAGGAGACAGGGAAGAGACATATCAAGGAAAAGAATGATTTTTAACAAAATCAACTGATTTTCAATATCTCCATCATCAAAAGCTTTTTTTTTTTTTTGAGGTGGAGTCTCACTCTGTCGCCCAGGCTGGAATGCAGTGGCGTGATCTCAGCTCACTGCAACCTCCGCCTCTTGGGTTCAAGCGATTCTCCTGCCTCAGCCTCCCGAGTAGCTGCGACTACAGGCATGTGCCACCAGGCCTGGCTAATTTTTTTGTACTTTTAATAGAGATGGGGTTTCACCGTGTTAGCCAGGATGGTCTCGATCTCCTGACCTCGTGATCTGCCCACCTTGGCCTCCCAAAGTGCTGGGATTACAGGCATGAGCCACCGCGCCTGGCCATCAAAAGCTTCAACTATCAAGTACCCTAAGAAATGTGTAAAAAACCCATGTAATTATTAAGGAAAACAAATCCCTTAAGTAAAGAGAAAGAGCCAAGGTAGAAGTATACCAGCTGCTAAAGTAAGGAACTTTTTGATATTACAGAACATGGCAAGCCCCTTTAGTCACTTAAGTACTGGGTCTTCATAAAAAGTCTAGGTGCTTCTAAATTTAAATGTCTGAAATTAGAACAGATTAGCAGAAGTAATATAGTCTATAGGACATATATAAAAGTATATCTTATAAAAAATTAAATGTAGGACAATATTACACAATAGAGTATATTACAGCTTTCAGAATTGTTTAAGAAAATGGTGTGGTAGGAAGAATAATGGCTTCCCAAACTTGTCCACACTCTAGTCCCCAGAAGCTGTGCATGGTAAGAGGGACTTTGCAGATATGATAAGTATCTCCAGAGGGGAAGATTATGCTGAGTTACCTGGGTGGACACAATATAAACACAAAGGAAGGCAGGGGTGTCAGAGACAGAGAAAGAGATTTGAGGATGCTGGGGGCTTTGAACATTTAGGAGGGGACCATGAACCAAGGAACATAATCAGCTTCTAGAAGGTGGAAAAGGCAAGGAAACAAATTCTTCCCTGGGGCCTCCAGAAGGACACAGCCCTACTCACTGATTTTAGGTTTCTGGAGTCCAGAACTGAAAGACAATGTATCTTAGAGTTCTTTGCAATGTAAGCTTTTCCCTCTTCCTCCGTGAATGAGAGCCTTTGTTTTGCTGGGTGCCCCCAAGAGTCTATGGCAGGCTCCTTTTATTATTAACAATAAACTAACTCCTGAAAACCAAGCCAAAGACATTCTGACTCAAGACTGAACTATCTTTCCCGCAAAATTAACCAGGAATTTGATGTTCAGTTATAAAAGTTCTTTAGTGAAATTCTAGTATTTCCTACTACCTATAATTTGCATTTTACAGCATTATTCTATGTAGAATAGCCACAATATAACACTAATTTTCTAAGTTCTCTGAATATCCCTTTAGCAGCCTGTCTCATATTTTTCTTTCTGTTTGTATCTTTGAATGACTAACACGTTATGCCTTTGAGATCTCCATCTCAAATTCTCCCAAAGCCCTTATAATCGTTTGGCCACCATAAGGTTTATTTGTCTACATACCATAAACGTTCTTTGTTTTCCATATTTGTTTTGGCTGGCTACAAACTGGGAGAGTGGATGTCCATAAAGGTTGCCAGATAAAAATGACATCCAGCAAAATTTGAATTCCAGCTGAATAATGGATAATTTTTTAGTATAAATATGCTGCAAGTAACATGTCCTGCATTTTTATTGGTGAAATCTGGTAACTCTAATGCTCTAACTTCTTGCAATGAACCTAGTCCTGGGTAGGTACACTGCAGGTAGAAGGATAAGTAAGGAATGTTTGCTCCTACAAATTTGAAGTTTTCAACTTTAGATTTTTAAATCAATGTCCAATTTTCAAAGAACTACCTATGCTAAATCTTATTATTCAACCTTACTTTAATGATCAGAAACATGGTTAAAATTTTTAGAAGTTTATCATATAATGTGAACAAAAAAGACCATTTTATTTACCCCTTCACTAAAGGTTTTAGAAATCTCATATTCCTGTATAGTTTCTCATATACTATGCTCAAATTTCTAACCTCTATTCCAGGTATGGAATAGGACTATAGCCTTCAACCTTGAAGATTATATTCTCATCTGCTCTCCAAAGAGTGTGTATTCTGAATGGCTTCCCCAGAAGTGGGGGTGAATTTGACAAATTACTAAATGACAAAGAAAAGAGCACAGACTGGATTCACTTATCCTTCTCTTTGATGGCATCACTCATTAGCTGTGTTATTGTTCTTGAGAATTTACAGCTTCTCTTCACTAAAATTCCATGTACTTTTTAGTTCTTGATGCTTCTATGTTACAGCAGAACAACAGCTTTTAAATGCCAGTGGATGGTAGAGTTTTTACTGCCTACGTGAAATAAGCACAATGAAGTAAGCTTTTCATAAAGGTAAATGTTTCTAACTTAAGAACAGCCCCTTTAGTCTCAGAGATTACATCCTTTTATCTTTTATTGTTAATGTTAAACTTTCTTTTATGAAATTATGATGACAGTAGATGTAAAGATTTTAGAAAACATCCTTCCTTCGAAAATGGTTGGCAAATTTATGTCTCCCAAAATTTTAAAAAACTTTCATATGTCTGTAAATTTAAATGTATGAGCATAATGCAGAATGCCTTTTATGTCTGTTTCAGAACTACCACTTCATGTCTAACAATGTTAAGTAATTTTACCTCTGACTCATATTATCTCTAGTTTTGGAAGTAGAAAGAGGTGGACTCAAGGAATTGTTCTAGGCTGAGGACATGTTGGTGGAAAAGGAATATTTCCATTCTCTTGTAAAGTTTAGAAAACATGTTTTAGGTTTTTTTCTTTCCCACTGGAAGATCTGAATTATGTGCCCTGATCTCTGGCACAGTGTTACTTGATATATTTTAAACATTGTTGTTTTGGTTAAGTCAGCAGTAACATGTGCACTCTATAAATGTCAAACATAAAATGCAACACAATCAGCATTCTATAAAGCATAGCAAACAACTCAGCATCCCAGACATTTGAAATATCTATAGTATAGCTCAGCTCATTCTCACTTGGAACAAAGAAATTCTTTTCCCCCCAATTCTTATGGCTAACACAGATTAGGAAAGCTCAAGAATATTCCCTTGCTTCTTTCAGAAGAAAAGGCTTTTGATAAATATGCTGGGAGAAATCATGAAATATTATGAATATGCATATTTGTAGTGTTTAAAAACATAGAATATTTAGGCATGTACTGGCATTTTTCAAAAATCCCATTTGATTTAACCCTTTATAATTTACTTTAATCCTCATGTCATCCCTTCAAGGCATATGTTGTATCCATGACACAGAAAAGCATAGAGATGCTGAGTATAACTTAAGCAGCTCAGATGAAGTTACACAGCTAATGAGTGATGCTGTCAAAGAGAAGGGTAAGTGAATCCAGTCTGTGCTCTTTTCTTCTAGATCAAGCTGTATATTTATGTCTTCTGGTTGATTCTGAAAATAGGAACGGCTCTTATCTACTGCAGGTTATTTAACCATGGCATAGACAAAACATGTTTACAATCCTTGTCCAGACAAAAATGGTATTTTGGAAGTACCTTTACGTAAGTCTTGGTTTGGTACAAAATTTTGATGAAGAGATATGACTCAAAAGCATTTTAATGCACAAAGCCACTCCCAGCTCAGGATGACTAACTATAACCCACCAGCTGTTTCACAGCATGCATTTCAGCGTAGCTTACAGCCAATGAGCAGTGAAAAAAAAATTGCATCTGTGACCCATTTTTCCTTAGTTTCTAGTCATTTATATCACACACAGAATTGGATGGAACCTAAGGAAGTAGTCCTTAGTTACTTCTAATTTTTTCACTTAAAATACAAGTATCTACCTCTCTGGGAACAACATGAGGTTGAATGGCTGAATGAGGAAATATGAGAAAACACACACGTACAAAACATGATGACTAGTAATGTCATCCTCAACTTAAAAAATACATGAAAGATTCCTATCCAAAAACATCTCACAGTTTCTGCTGAATGTCATGTCCCTAATAGTGCTCAGCCAATATCAGATGGTTACTTTGATGGGTCACATAGGACTATAAAAACATTTGTGTTTGATGCAGTGGGTACACTGCTGGGGTCCCAATAACAAAAACACAAAACTTCCAAACTGGGCTTTTCTGATTCTATGCTTTAAATATTTGTACTGTTGTTTGTATTGATGCTTTTATTTTGCTTTTAGTCTTAGTTTTTTTCTCTCTCTGAAAGAACTTTCATTTAAGACAAGTCTTAAATGAAATATCATGCTGTCTAGGAAAAGATATATTGGCTGCAATGAGGAGGATGGAGTGATGGAAGAGTGGCTAAGTCTGTGTGTGTACATGATTAATATAATTATGTAACATAATTTACGGAGAACTTTCAAACATAATTTTCAACTGAATTCACACAAAGATCTTGTTAAATTGGTGTCATCCCCCCTTTTGCTTAGCTGAATGGATATAAGGAAAAGAAGACTTGTGCTTATTAAGGGAACGTGGAAGTCACGGTCTCCATTTAATAGATGAGGACTAAGTAGCAGGTCTTGACTGAAACATCAGCTGTATCTCTTAATGGCTGTGGGATCTTGGGCTAGTTCCTCATGAATCATTTTCCTCATCTGTACTTGGTGGAGGAAACTGAAGTTTATTATTTTCCCAAGGGCAACAAAAATAGTCACTGGAGGAACTATGCCATGGATTCCTGTTGATTTAAAGAACTATAAGAAACATTTCACTGCAGTGTCACAACAGTGAATCAGCTAAGAAGCCTGGCCTCCTCTGCTGTTCTGTGTCTACATTCAGGCATCAAGAAGCAACCATATGGTGGTGTTAATACAACTTATCTCTGTGAATTATAATCTCTAATATGTGTGCGTGCATCTCCCAAGGATATTGAAGTTTGATCCCTAGGGGAAAAATTATACATGACTTTATTCTTGAGAAATAAACAATTCATTCTAATGCACCCCTGGTTGCAGCATGTGTAGGAGTGTGAGGTTCACACTCCAAAGTCTTTATTCATTGACAGAGTTAAAACAGAAGGAAAAATAACATAAAAATCATGGCAAATGTTATAGATTCCTTTAAAGTACTATATTAATATATTGGGATTAAGAATGACCACACCAATCACTTTTTTTTTCCATGCCTGGGACACGCACAAGGTGAAATAGTTGCACACCTCACCTAGGGATGACTTTGTATTGTTTGGAAGAAAAGAACAAACAAAGTCACAGTTTGATTGAATCCTGAGATTCTATCCTATCCTGGGGGAATCCAGAGTAAAGCCATTGGGTTTCCTTTAGCATACCAATCAGCAGGGGCAAGTGAGGGCCAGCCTGGTGTGAAGGTGACATCAGAGACATCTGTGTCCCTAGAATTCTAATAGAGCTCTGAAGTCTGGGCTTTATACTATCATCTGAAGGGCTGTGCATAGAAGCGTAATGCTTAAGAAATACCCTTTGATGATGATGAAAATATATGGCACTTCAAAATAGCCTGCTTTGTGAAAAAACAATCTGCCACATTCAAATTCTGAATACAGCTAACATTGAAATAAAATTGTCTGGATTAACTGTTGCAATAAGAGAGAGCTAATTTCATCTTGCCCTTGTCTGTCTGGCAACTGCTAACCATCCTTTAACCTCCAGCTCAGCCATCCCCTTACTGTCATGGCAATGTTTCACGTCTATTTACATCTGATATGTCCAGAAAGTAAGTCAAGCTGGTGAAGGTGCCTACTGTGTGACTGGATCTCCACAGCTAGTTTAGCACATTTACATAGCGCTGAGTAAATGATTGTGGGATCACTGAAGGATGACATACAACAGGTGAAATAGTTAAGAGAGAACTGAATGAGTTAGCTAGGGTATTCGGGCTCAGAGTTCAAGTAAAAGGCTTGGATATGCTTCAGTTTATGCTTATCTTGAAGAATAAATTATTTTTTCTTGCAAATAATTTATACCTCTTAATGAAAAAGAAAATGGGTTTGCAAAGAACCTACTTTGTGGTTCTAATATAGAAATTGCCAGTATCACCAAAGATTTCTACAGTTCACAGTATTAGGCATATGAATACTAGGCCAACAGTAATCATTATAAATTGGTCAACACAAATGAAATAGCAATGTGGGAGCCATGTGGGATTTGCTCACGTTTAAAGAATACTGATGTAAGTAAAGTAACAAAGTCTTCCTTGGGACCTTGACCTAATATGGCATACCCGTTAATCTATACTGACAATCTATTTGAGGCAGACCACGTCTCTTTTTTTTTTTTTATACTTTAAGTTTTAGGGTACATGTGCACAACGTGCAGGTTAGTTACACATGTATACATGTGCCATGTTGGTGTGCTGCACCCAGTAACTCATCATTTAGCATTAGGTATATCTCCTAATGCTATCCCTCCCCCCTCCCCCAACCCCACAACAGGCCCCGGTGTGTGATGTTCCCCTTCCTATGTCCATGTGTTCTCACTGTTCAATTCCCACCTATGAGTGAGAACATGCGGTGTTTGGTTTTTTGTCCTTGCAACAGAACCATCATTCTCAACATCTGTTTGAAATGAATTAGCTGAAAGCAAGTCCCTCCTGTGGAGTCTAATAACACGTTATTAACTCCTTTGAGGCACCTTTGAAGTACAAATGTGTCATCACACGTATAACAGTATAACATCATTTCTGTTTACAATAAACACAGAGAAAATAAAAGCCACCATTTCAGAAGAAGTAAATCCAAACCATATGAACTAAAGACTGTACTTTCAGGGACCCCTGTCACTCATGTGGTCATGTCACATTTCAGCAGCCAGACCTGGCTCCCCACCTCTGCCTTCAATCTCTGTAGGTTGTTGCATAGTCCCTGGCCTTGACAAAGTCATTCAAAATTGCTGGGCCTCAGTTTTCCCAATGACAGGGTTGGTCCAGATACAGCTGTGAAAATAAATACAATTTAAAAGCTGTTGGAACCCCCAAAAACACTTTAAGCCTTGAGAGAGATATGGCTGTGATCTGAGTCATGCAGCATGTTTTGCAATTCTACTTCTTAGATTATAGCTTAACTCTCTTCCTCATTGTTTTGTTCTGTAAGTGACTAGGAGACCAGAGACCAGACCTCTACCTTCCAATCACAAATCTTTGTTAGAGATTAACTGCCTTCTTTATTGTCCTGACCTATCTCCTGACCTAACTCAGACTAGATGGTGCTCTGAACAGGGACCCCATGACAGTTACATCTGCAGTAACTGCAATGGAATGTTAAATGTACCTTTCTCAAAAGAGGAGGACCATCTGAACTAATCAGGTCATTGTGACTATGTATTAAGCCTTACATAGAAAGATGCTGAAATTCTGCTAAAATTCCCCAGGCTTTGTCTACATAAGCAATCTCACACGTCTACGCTTTGTAACACTGACTTCCATTGTTAGGAATCTGTGCTTCTTGGGTGGGCTTGTCCTCAACCTTTGCACTTAAAGTCTCTTTAATCTAGATTCTGACCCTTTTCATTATTTTAGGTTGGCATAGAGTACCTGAGAGGCCCTGTAGGCGGCTAGGGCTGCACTGTCTTCCCAGTGCTTTCATCTATTTCCTCTATTGAAGTTCTGGTGGACAAACACAAAAAACAAAAAGCAAGATGATTTTAAAGGTGCTTGATGACTCGATTGTTCTTAGGATGAAAAAAATAGCTTAAGAATTATCTTAAATATTTTCCTGGGACAAAACTAGGAAAAAAGTTAAAACTATCCATAAAGGCGGGTTTTCTCCCACCTCCCTTTTTAATACCCAGGAATGTAGTGGCTAAAATATTCCCAGCAATTCATATACAACTCCAGGGGGCACCATTCATAACAAAGACAATGTCAATGGTGTTTCCTGGAGCATGCCACTCAGTGGCTTTAAGGAGCCAATAAGTGGGCCTGCCCTGGCATCTTATCTTTACGACTTACTAGTTATATGACCCTTGGCAAGCTATTTGATCTCTCTGATTCTGTTTCCTTCTCTATAAAATGGAGTTGATAAAGCATATTTCCAAAGTCTGCTATAAAAATTAAATTAGATAACATATGTATAGAATCTGGTGTTGGGCAGCATACTAACACCAGTATTAGTTCTTTAAAATCATAAAACTATCCTATTGCATGGTATAAGAAACAATGGTATCTAGGACTTGTGGCCCATACTATAGGAAGAGACCAAAAGATACTGTGAAACTGGCAACAGATTTCATATCCTAAAGATGTGGAAGATACCCAAAAGTTAAAGAGGTCAGAATGTAGTGGCCCCAGAAGCACCTAATTTTGAAGTCTCAGAAGTGTGATAGCTGGCAGAAAAGAAGACTAATCGGCATACTAATTTATCAGGGTGTGTTGGCACAACTATTATTAAGCATAAGCAACTGTTTAAGACATGCTGCATTCACTAAGGTTATATGTGCTGCCAACAAATTACTACATGCTTAATTTAAACCTTTTTGTGCCTTCCTTAGTAATCCAGGACTTGTCAATATTTAATTGCGCTAAATCTTTGATTCTTTAGATAAGAAGCAATTAACCTACACAATAAAACTATAATTTAGGAATTACAGACTTTCAAAGTGATGGAACTGAAAGAGATTTTATATAGCATCTAGTCTAACCTCTACATGTGACACCTGGGAAAACTGAAGTCTAGAGCAGCTGAGAGACACACCTACAGTTACACAGGGCAAAGGCAATTCTGGCATTTGGTTTTATTAACTTATTCTAATTTTTTCTTACTACAGGAAACCAATATTCGGCTTGCCTAAATACACATACCAACAATTTAACACTGGACATATGTGTTCCCATCTCAACTCTGCATAATTTGGGGTTCACAAGGCAATGAAAGAAAGCTGAAGGGCTGGCTCAATGATGGACAGAAGCAGTGTGGTGGGGCTGTGTGGGAAGGTCTGAGGATATTCAGGAAGGCAAAGGAAGAACAAATTAGAGATCTATCAGTCTGGGATTTGAGTAGTGGCAATTAGGGTCTATTAAGGAACCAAATATAGAATTATTCTCTATGTCCAATACGTAGCACAGTGACTAGCATGTAGTAGGTTCTTAGTTCTCATTTATTGTATGATTGGATAATGAACTGTAATTGAATGAAGGAAAGAAAAAGCCTGTTCCTAGAGAAGAAATGAGACCTTTAGGGGAAACAGAGCAGGGGGACTGCCTAGTGCAGTCTGTTAAGGGAGGAAGAGGAAGAGTCAGCAAAGCTATCCCTAACCTTAGAATGAAGGAGGTAGCTCGTTTCCCTTGGAAGGACAGTGAGTGTGTGGCCCTTTTGCTTCCATCCACATTTCCATTCTGAGGAAGTGCAGTAGTTTCTATGGCACTTGGTCTGTTTCTGGCCACACTGCCCAGGACGGAACATGAAGAAGTGCAATGCTTGAGGGGAGTCTTTCTCCAAGAGCAACAGAAATTTCAAATCCATAATGTCACATTATTTTGAGAAGAGACTCTGTGCTTACATGCTAGCCATGCAAGCTACTGACCATATGGACATGGATGAGAAAAATGCTTCATAGCAGGAATTGAAGATTAAGAAACAAATGTGATTCTAGGCTATCAGAGCAAACTCCACCTAATGAAGAATGAGGGAAACCTGGGATTTCCTGGCCAACTTTCCATTCACTGAAAATGTGGCCCTCTGTGGTCCTAAGCCTGGTGTGCTTCAACCTTCTGCCAAGTCCGTTAAGGCTGGACTTTCAAAGCAGGAGTCATTTTAAGAGCACTGGTGGCGCAGACATGATACAGAGCTATATCTTATTATATTTTCCAAATAGGTCAGTGTTTGAAATTCCCTTTCCTTTAAACATCTATGTCTAATATTTTTCACTTTTGTACCATAGGATGTGACCCCTTGAAAAAATATACACCATTCATCACCTCTTGTATTTTCCTGGGATTAAACAGAGAAACTATAATAAAATAAGCTGCATAAATACCTAAGAAAGACCTTCCAAGGTTCTTATGATGTAAGCAACTTCCTACTTAAAAGGAATGCCAATACCTCAGTGGCTAATACCAAAGAATTGGATAATAACTTCTCTATACAACTTCTAGTAACTAATGGCAAAATGACAGTATGTGTGTCAGTTGCTAGGACAGAGTAATGGATTCTGCTGTATGTTCATATGAAACATATATACAGCCCAAGGAGAAGATGTGATGTATTTAACGTGATCTTCATTTAACATCTGATTAAGGCAAAGCTGGTGCATTTTTAAAAACAGTCTTTCAAAACCAAGAGACAGGTCAGTGAAAAGACCAATGATATAAACACTCTTCCCCAACTCACAGAGTTGTCAAGGCTTTTACATTTTTAGCACAGTATCAATTCTCTAAAAAGAAATGCCACCTAAGAAATGTGCTAAGCACCCTCTAAACATTTCTCATTATGTTGCCGATGCTGGCACTCACCCCTTTACAGTGGCTTACTGTACTCATCCTAACTCAGCTCTGTATGCCATTCAAGGAATAAACACGAGTTGCTTTTGAAAGAAAGGGGAAGCATCTGTTGGAATTTTTATATTAATATTTGTAAAACATCTTGAGAAAAAATAGAAAAAGGCAACCCAGAAAATGGTGTTCTGCAATGAAATTATAGAAAAGGTAGTAAAGAAACCAAAATAAAAGGTTTTTCTAATAAGGGAGCAGTTTTGTTCTCATCATTCAAATAATCTTAGCTAAGTGCAGATAAGAACTAGAAGGCTAATTCTAAAAAAGACCAGCTTTTGGACAAGAGTGAAAACATACCTTTGTGTCTAAATTTACCATACAATAAACTCCCTGGAATGGTTCTTATGTTGTCTAGCTCTGAGCATATTGATTCTTCTCCTGTTTTTGTCTTTAATTATGCTGCTGAACTCCTAACTTCTTAAGTAAAAGTGAGTCTAAAGAAACAGGATGACTAAAGTCACACAAATGTCCACTCACCTCCCATAATTTTGGATTGGCAGTTAATAAACTCTGGCTTCCTGTCCGTGAGGTACCTCTGGCAGGTATGGTGGAGGATCTGGAAGAAGGTGCATTTTTCTGACGCTGTGCTGGCTACCCACTGGTCAAAAGCATTTTCAAACAACAAATCAAACTCTGCCGAATCCTGGAAAAGACAATGAAATAACTACTAATCTCAATCTATAAAAACTGCTGTTTCTAGATTACTCCTGTCAAAAGATTTATAAGGGCTAAAACAAAGACTTTGATCGCAATCATAAGGCTCATCTTTATCCAAGTGTATGGAGAGTCTACATTTCTCTGTTTATGAAGCAAACCCCAAATCTTACAGTATTGATACATGTTCCTAGGAAACTAGTATCACACAAATTGAGATAGCCTAACTAAACACTGACAAATGTCAGAATTGAGACCATGTATTATCTTCCCAATTTCCTGGAAAAGGGATTCCTTTAGGTTCTCAGCAACGACCTATATTAATCTGGCCCCTAAACTTTGGTAGGAAGATTCCCTCTTGTTATTTTAGTCTATAGTAACAATTTATATTTTATTATTCTTCATTATTAGCATTTTGTGAGGTGTGCATGTGAGCAACGGGAATGTACTTTGCATAGATAACTATGCCATAAAATGTTTCTCCTATTAAAAGCAAGGGAATCACAATGCATACTGAAAGATACCATTCATTTACTTGATTTTTGGTAAATACACCTTGTCATTAGTGCCAGTAGGAGATAAATGAGGTTTTGGTAAACATGTTTTTTTTTTTCCATATTGATAACCATCGATATGATTATCTGCACTCTGAACTTCGTACTTTGCTGATCAATGTTACCGGAGGTCACATTTTTTCAATATGCATTCTGTTAGATTCCTCTATTAAACATGATGAAAAGATTTATAATTTCCCATAAGAAAGGACTCTGTATCCGAAAGTTTTAATCACATAATTGAAATAGAGAAATAGCCTTCTTAAGAATGATTCAAACCACCACTACCACTACCAAGGTCAATCAGAGAGTCATCTTGTGAAAAGAATGCCTTTGCTCAGCATTGGACAATTCACTCACCCCATTAGGATCGATACCATTAACCTGGCGAAGCTGCTCGAGCATCCACTGTGATCTCCGAACAAATGATGTGGAGCCTTCAAACTGTTTGACCTTTGTGATGGACGCCTGTGTGGGTTTCTTGTTTGTCACTGCCAAGAAAAGATCACTCAGATTAGTGCACCTGCAAGTTGGTGGTTTGTTTCCACATTCAGTGCTGTTTCTACAGGACACCTACTGTGTATATGCACAATAACAGAGAGAAGGCAGAGGGGGAAAGGAGGGAATATGAATAAATATGTGTGCCTTTGGTCAGGGGTGAACGTAAAGGAAATAGATGTTACAATCTCCACTCTGAAGCAGTTTACAATATAATTATAATTGTAAGGGCTGCTTCATTTATGTGTTTATCCATTCAAACTGAAAATGACTTAAGTGAATAACACCAAGCACCTTCAATGGAGGCTATAAGTGCACAATTACAGCTTGCAGGAAAAGAAGCATATAGTACTGACAGGCATCAGGTAAGGTTCACTGGGAAAGGCTGAATTTGAAAGGAAATGAAGGTAATTGGCTCCCCTAGAGAACTGCAAGGTATATTTCTAGTTTTATAGTCCAGTGTAAACATCTTAGGCTTCAGTGATGAGGAGTAATCCCTAACTCAAAAAATCCCCAAACTATTTGGCTCTCTAATATTGTTCAGTTTGTATCTAGTTTGCATCTAATTATGATTGAATCTGGTGTTCTGGGCACACCTCCACACCTGTAGGAAAAGGACAATTTCTTCTCTCAGCCTCAGTGAGTTCTTCCCCTAAGCCTTTCTGTGCTAAAGATGGACAGCATCACCTCTCAGACTGAAGCCAAGCATCAGGCACCAGGAGAGGCACTCTGAATATTTCTACATCTGCCTACTTTGTGACATGGAGACTCAAGGGTAGGAAGTAATTAATTGTCTTTAAAGGGATTTCCTAAAAGCTTCTCCTGAACCCTGGCTATAGGAATTAGCAAATTAAATAGAAAGGAACTACAGAAAGTAGAAATCATTATTGGCTATATTGAAGATGATCCTAATTACTGACTTGCTGAAGACTATGCATCTGTGGCATATTCTTTGTTTCGAATCACCCCACAGATTCCACACTTTCGAATAACTATGTAGATGCTCAACAGATGGCAAAAAGAATTCTGAAGGGATGAAGTACAGAAAGCACCTACTCCAATCACAGTTGGTGAGCAGGGAGACTCTACAGTTCACGCATTCCATAGCTTATTGCAGTTTCATTGTCGGGGGCCATTAAAGCAGGAGAGCAGAGACAAAGGAAAGGTGGCCACTGTCCTTAGATCTAGTGAGAACCCTACTTTCCCAGCACTGAAAACCACCTTTATGGCCTGAGTACTATCTACTCTCTCTGCTTCCAACCAAAATTTAGTGAAGATTTGTTTTTAAGTTCAAATAATGTTTTGGTTTATCACCCATTATTTCAGTTATATTTGCTAAAAACTTCTGAATATTTCATACCAATTACATTTACTTTTATGATTAAGAAGTCATCATCCCCTTAACACCCACAATCAGATGAAATTTTATAGTCTTCTATTCACAAATAGGAACAACCATTCCCTCTAATTGAATTCAGGCAGTATTACCAGTCTGCCCAGGACTCTGTCTATCCATTTAATTCGATTCATTTATTTTTTGTGTCTCCTATGACACAAATGGGAGACCTAATAGGTTTCTCTGATGGCTGTGACCTGCTCTTACGTTTTAATGTTAAAGAAAACAATACACCTGGAATACAGGCAGGTCTTAAAATGTGCTTAAAAGATTAAAAAAGGCTTTTCAATAACAGGAAAACATGGGTTCCTGTATTAGACACACACCCCTAAATGCACAAAGAGAATTTCCTCCTGTGTTTATGTAAATCATACAACATTTAAGCCTGGGAAACATAAAGGCTTTCTTTCTAACTTTAAAGTTGTTATGAGCTCCTATTTTCACTTCTGGTCCATTTGCTTCCAAGTAATTTACAGCATTTTAAAAGCTTCAACACAACTCGAGATCACTGTATATTGCGGGCATGTTTTAAGATTCACATCTAAGGAAGGTAAGTTCCATTGAAAGTTTGTCATTGAAATGAGGCATGCAGGAACCCCAACTATTATGACAAATGACCCCATGGAATTCCTCCACAGTGATCACACTGCAGAGCAGTCATTTTTAATGGAGGCAGTTGCAACTCTATCCATTCCTGCCTTTCCTCCCCTATTAGTTTATTCCTTGCCCAGTTCTTGGAGTCTGGCTAGTTTTCCTGGGCACTGAGCCTGGTTGGTTTAATTTTTGTTTATTGTTATTATCTCCAGCATCCTAGTTTCTATTTTGAAGCAGGTGTCTTAAAATTATATTATTATATACACATCGTATAGAGTTAAATTAAGACTTTCCCCTTCTGAAATCAAAACACTTGCACACACACACACCATTGCCAGACTTTTTGAGTACATACTTGAGGAAAGCATGCTTTAACTATTTCATTGTTTTGTTGTTTTGGGAGTCAGTAGCTGATAAAAAATACGCCAGTCACACAAAATCCAGATGTCTAGTGAAAAACAGTGATTCACCTTCTCTTTCCAAAGGAAAGCTAATTGACAGTACACCCTGGAAAATGCAACCAAATTATCTGGATCAGTAATATCATAGAGCTGCATGCTAGAGACTCCCAAAGTCATTATTTTGAATGACTTTAAAGGTCAGGGGATTTCCGTTATGGCTTCAACATTCACAGGGAAGAGACCAACACAGAGGCATTTAAAGGAATAGGGTGGGTATGACTCCCAGGTAATACTGTAGACCACTCTGAAGCAGCCGATTCTCCGGCTTCCTGCACTGGTATCAGAGGCAGGCAGAAGCATGGGGGCAACCCAATTCAGGCCGCTTTGCTATTAGCTCTGAAAAAACAACATGGTTTTCATGGCTTCATGCCTCTTCTTTGGCTTTCATGTAGACTTGCTACTACCTTTCAGCTTTGGTTAAGAAGCAGTGACACAAACTATTATGTCCAGAATATCCAAAATATCACTGCCATCACTACTCCAGTGGAGTAACATCTCTGTCTCATGAACTAATGGTCTAAAGAGCTCTTTTTAAAAATGGCCCCTCCATGAGACACTTTATACAAACAAAATTCGAAAACTTGCTATACTCAAAGGGTGGAGACCACTGACCTTGCCTGTGCCCAATCAGAGAATTCTATTTAATTAAAAACCAATAAGCCAGCCAATAACAAAGACCATGTCATAACAAATTGGTCTTGCAACAAGTCAGGAAAGTAGAACTGGTAGAAGAGGGAACAAAGACCAATGAAGAAAGACAGAAAGACAAGTCACTTGCATGTTATGTGAAATGGGAGAAGAGCTCATATACCGCCAAGATTCAGAGGCAGATCCTCTGTTTCAAGGTCCAGTGGCTGAAAGACCACTTTTTCCAAAAAGCCACACTGTTACACCTACACTCTCATTATTCACAGCATAATCCCTCAACTATTCCAAAAAGGAAAACCAGTTTGGCCTAGGAGACAAATTATCTATTTAAAATAAATAGCCTTAAAATATTATTTTAAAGGAGACAATCAGTATATACCACCTGTACATCCTCAACTATCTCATATTTGAGATAGCTGAATAACATCTTTTTACACATTTTTCTACATTTACTATACACATTGAACTTGAATTACTTTATAACTTTATGTGGCCATTTCTCAAAAAAGTAAAAAAGAAAGGAAAGAAGAAAAGGGGTAAAAGAAAAACAGATTGCACCCCCAATAGCTATAGTTTTGATGTTTAGGGTGGCTAAAAATAAAATAAATATCCTTAAAATATGATTTTAAAGGAAACAATCAGTATATACCACCTCTACATCCTCAACTATCTCATATTTGAGATAGCTGAATAACATCTTTTTACACATTTTTATACATTTACTATACACATTGAACTTGAATTACTTCATAACTTTATGTGGCCATTTCTCAAAAAAAGAAAGAAAGAAAGAGGGCAAAAGGAAAACAAACTGCACTAAATAGCTATAGTTTGATGTTCAGGGTGGCTAAAAAGCAGAATTTACCACACCTACATACCTAAGATGCCTTACACTTTCATCATGTGCAGCCCTATTTTGACCTTACAGTTAAGTGAAGGTCCGTGTTGTGTGGTATGCCTCAGCTCTCTGCTCTGCTGGAGTCTAACCACCAGACATTTTGATTTCAACAAGAGTGCTGATGAAAAATAAATAAGCTGGAGGTAAAAAAAAGAGGCAGTATTCACATAGAATATTATCAGGGCTGCTGTGTGACTGTGCCAGAGGTGACTAAGGGAAAAGAAGAAAGCAAGCTTCTGAAATGAGGGTTCAGGAAGTAACTGAGTGTGGCTTCTTGGTGCTGCTGTGGTGACAGAACAGGCTACGTGGCCAAGGTGAGAAATAATTATTTGGAGCTAGTTTCCTTACTGTTCTTCCAAAGCTCTAGTGTATGATAATTCTGGGTGGATTTCGCAATATCCATGAGAAACAAATATCAGGTCTGAGGCTGCTGCGCCAGCAATTCTATCAGCCAAGATGGCTGAATGTTTATAAAGCATAAAAGCAAAAATATCTAGGTTGTTACCTTAAATGCTTTCAGAACAGGGAAACATCCTCTCTGCTATAGTTAGTGGGAAATGGAGCATGGTGCTCTCCACACAGGATTGATCTTTTGCTTCTCACACTATTTCTTAGTGTGTTATAATTTGGGGACATAGTAAATGTTTAGACCCTGCAGGCTATGTAACCCAGAGTTGCAAACCAGACCAACTTGTGAAATGGTCAAGTTTGTCTCTGGGGCCCTCCCCTTCTCCTCCTTCTGTTTCTTCCTTCCCATCTTAGAATCTGGCTCTCTGGCCAGATTCCCAATAGGACCCAAAGGGGTCTGACATGGGATACTTAAATCTGCGCGTTTTTTGTTCTGTTTTGCTTTCAAGACAGGTCTCACTCTGTTGCCTCTGCTGGAGCGCAGCAGTTGCAGTCATGACTCAGTGCAGCCTCAATCTCCTGGGCTCAAGCGATCCTCCCTCATCAGCCTCCCAACTAGCTGGGACTACAACACATGTGTGCCACTACACCCAGCTAACTTTTATTTTTTTTGTAGAGATGGGGGTCTATGTTATCCAGGCTGGTCTCAAACTTCTGGGCTCCAGTGATCCTCCCACCTTGTCCTCCCAGAGTGTTAGGATTACAGGTGTGAGCCACCATGCCCGACCTAAACCTGGATGTTTTAAGGAAGGTCTGTTTCTTTTCTTTTCTTTTTCTCAAAAGAACAGCAACAACAAAAACGGTGGTACTTCAGTCATGTGCACCAAGCCACTGGGGAAAAATGTAGGATGCCCTTAAACAGTCCCTGCTCCATTAACCCCAAAGGTGGAAGGAAACAATAAAATCAGTGCATAGGGCTTTGGGAAGCAGATTTCCTCAGTCTACTGAAAAGATAATCACAAAGGAAAAAGTTTTCCAGACAAAAGTTTCCTGATTTTGAATCACTAGTTCCTTAGTATCACTAGTTCCTAGGTATCCAACTATATACCACATTCTCATCTCCAAAAGTGGAAGAAGAAGAGATAATGGAAAGTCTAGGAAATTTCTCCAAAAGGGATGCCAAAAAGGAACCACTTTATGAAAATGTCTTGCTTTGTAAAGCAGTTTGGGTAAGTCTTTCAGTAGAAGGAGAAAAATAAAAAACATCTTGCTAAAAAATTCTATGGGAAGGCTGCTTTAATATGAAGGCACAGCACTACGTCCAGAGTAGTTAGCAACTATGCAAATAATAGAGCAAGTGCCTGCCCTACACCAACTTTGCAGGCGGTACTAGCTGGTTTTAATGCTTCCATATGCCAACGAGGAAGCGGCATTACTTTTGGGATGTGCAATTTTAATGCCACAGGCCCACATGAGATCGATCTAGTTAGTACTTTTAAAATCTAGTCCCTTTTAATTTTAAACCTTCTTTATTCTGTTGATAATTTTATTAAATGTAAAAATATGTAGATTTTTATTTTGAAAGGATACTCTCTTTTTCAAGTAAATGACAGGTAGTCCTGGACTATTACATTTTAACCTTAAAATCAGGAACCTTAACCCCTGGAAGGCTTGAGTTCCCCACTGCCCTCCCCAGACTAGGACCACGATATGGTTTTATTATAATGGATACAGAGTGCTAACTGAGGTAGGCATGTATAAATCCATGAGGGAATGAATTTTTTTTTAAGTTTTTATTTTTGGCCTTTGAGCTTCTTGTGGATAATTTGATACATTCTTGAGTCAGGTGGCTGCTTCTTTGATGCCTTTGATGGCTCCTCAACAAAAGGAAGAACAGTTCCTGTGCTCACAAGAAACCATGAACTTACTTCAGGTTCAACTGTTTAGTTTCAAAATTCAGCCACAGTTTTAAGGTATTTGAACATTTTCTTACTAGAAAAGAGGAGTATCCCAAGAACTACAAGTAAGAGTAAAGAAAATGGTAATAACCAAGAAGTTACAGAAATATCAAGAGATATCAAGAGACTAGAAGGAAAGGAATTTAGGGGTGAAAACCTCTTACAACAATCTCTTTTCCTGCAATCCTTATTCTAGCAGCATCTCTCTTAAGTAATTCTGTTTGTTTCAGGCTTCCTGAAAATATGATTTCAGGGAGATTCAACAACCCAAAAGGTTTCCCAATATGTTTGATTTTTTAACTTCCTTAGACATTTCTCCATAGACCTGCAGAGAAAATAAATTTGCATGAATTTTGGATAAAGGGAACACATACAATGAATTATAGAACCTAGTTAATATTAGTTATTGCAAACTAATAGTTATATTTTATATGGAAAATTTATATAACATGTCTGTTTCATGTAATATAACTGTGAAACAAACAAACAGGTCTGAGCAAGACAGTAAATGCCCAGAGTTGTGACAACGGATGGTTTCTGAAAGGGATTAAATCCAATTCCACCTATGGTATTAGACAAGGAAGATAATGGAAGGGGTTAACTACAGTCACAAAGTCTTATTCTGTTCTTACTTCCTCAATTCTAGAAACAGATGTAAACATCATTTTTGATCCATTCTTAGGCGAGATTTACAGAGTATCAAAAAACAAAGGCTTCAAAGTCACGGCCAACTGACTCAAGAATGTATTAAGTTTCTCCACAAGAAGCTCAAAGGCTGAAAATAAAAACTTGAAAAAGAGATTTCTTTAATGTTATGCTTTCCTTTAACATTATCCATTATATACTGAAAAGTGTAGGGCAAACAGCAATTCTCTTCAGGAAAATGTCATACGTGGTAGAAATTCAATGCATATTTTACCTAGAAGAGCGGCTAAAAAGCATTCTTAGAACTAAAAAACCCTTTACAATGAGAAGAGATGGAAGCGTTTCTGCAGCTAAGGAAGCAGGTGAGGGAAGGGCCTGTGACTATGCTCCTGGATACCACGCACCTGCTGCTGAGCTTCCTCTTTCAAAACATAGATTAGGTCTAAAAGAACCATGGAAGGATGTCATGTGCACATGGATCTCCTTTAATGTGAGAAGGCCATTCCAAAGGGAAAAAAAAGGGACTCAGATTTGAAGGAGAAAGAGTAACAGAGAGAGAATTTTTAAATGGACTAGATACTAAACATATATCACTAGGTTTTTGGAAAAATCAAAGCTGTTATTACTTGGCAAGCATAAGCTGTCAAATATAATTACCGCTATCAGTCAAGCAAAGGCAGAATTATCTGCTCTCTTGGCTCTCCTGCCTCCTCACCACCACCACCATCCCTTCTTTAGTATTTTTCATCATACATTGTAAATGAAGGGATACAGCACTGAAGTTCTAAAAAAAAGTGCATGGTATCACTAAGAACCCGCCACCTTCTCTCTCTACTGTGTTCGACTGGGGAGTAAAATCCAGCAACATGCTCTGGTTAAAACCAAGATCAACTACATTATAAAAATTATCTAAAATTAAAATTAGCTGAATTTATTGTAATTTAAAAAATATTTTAATTTTTAATTTTTTAAAACTCTAGGCAAGATCTACTAAAGCTGAACATGTACATATTTTATGACCCAACAATTCTAATCCTGTGGCTACATCCAATCCAGATAAGTGCTATGTCTACCCTCCTGCCTGAAGTAACCAAAAATGGACAAAATATATGAAGCAATGGTTTTTAAGGCATTGTATATCAAGCAATGAAGCATAATGACCCCTGAGAGATGGGAAATGAATAAGGTGAGCCCTACAATTGTACTAGTTTACTGCTTTGAGAGAGTTTCTAGGCTGTGGTGCACGGAGGAATAACCCAGGAAGAGACTGGCAGATTCCCTGAGTTGAAGCGAGTGCTGAGAACCCAGGGATACCAAGATGGCTAAAATTCTTAAGACAGAGTACTAGAGAAGAGAGACACAGAGAAAACTCTAGAGATCTGCAGAGATTTGCCTATGACAATTCAGCTGAGTGATTCCCATCATATGTTTGTGAGGAAACTATCTGAGGTTTAAAAAATAATCACTCAAAATGAATAGAGGATACAGTACTCCATGCTCACACAGGGCTGGGAATAGTGCCTGTTTCCATCATCCAGACTGGAAAAACCTCAAGATTCCTGGGGCACTGAGTAGAATACAGATAAAAGTCCTGCTTCATTAGTGAGGAATAATTAGCCCTAGACAAGCAATGCTCTAGTCCTGTACAACAAATGTGGTATGAAGATTATATGGTATTGAGTTTATAAAATATGAAAAAGTAAAATATATAGCAACAGTAGCAAAATTTGGGATGGGAGAAATGAAAGTGAACTATTGGACAGTTCTCATACTATACATGAAGTAGTGTATTACTCGAAGGTAGAGTATGCTAAAGATATATGCTATAAACTCTAAAATAACTAAACGAAACCACTAAAATAACAAGAGTCACAGTTGTAATGGATATATCAACTTGACTGGCCTGCAGTGCCCAGGTATGTAGTCGAACATTATTCTGGGTGGTTTGATGAAAGTGACTTTGGATGAGATTAACATTTAAATCTGTGGACTTTGAGTAAAGCACATGACCCTCCTTGATGTGAGTGGGTCTCATCCAGTCAGTAGAAGATCTGAATACAACAACAGACTGACCTCCCCAAGCAAGAAGGAATCCTGCTGGTAGAAGGCCTTTGGACTTGTACTGCAATACTGGCTCCTTCTTGGGCCTCCAACCTGCCAGCCTGCCTTGCAGATTTTGGACTTCCCAGTCTCCATGATCATGTGAGCCAATTCCTTAAAATAAATCTCTTTTATATATATGTGTGTGGGTGTATATATATGTGCATGGTGTATATATGTACATATGTGTGTATATATATGTGCATGCATGTATATGTGTATATGCGTGTGTATATGTGTGTGTATGTATATACACTCATTCTATTGGTTCTGTTTCTGGAGAACCATGACTAATAGTCAATAAGGCAACAAAGACAATTCCATTTACAAGAGTATTGAAAAGAATAAAATGCTTAGGCATATGTTTAACCAAGAAGTGTAAGACTTGTACACTGAAAACTACACAACATTACAACATTGCTGAAAGAAATTGAAGACTTATAGAAATGTAAAAATACCTCATATTCAAGGATTGGAGGACTTAATGTTGTTAAGATGGCAATAATCCTCAAACAAACCATGGTATGTCTGTCCACAGGAATACTCTACAGATTCCAGTGGACAGACATACCATGGTAATGGGTCAGAAGACTCAATATTATTAAGATGTCAGTTCTCCCCAATTTGATCTAAAGATTTAATGCTATCTCAATCAAAATTCCAGTGGGCTTCTTTTTGTAGAATACGACACATTAATTTAAAAACTCATATGGAAGTTCAAAAGGCTAGAAGAGCAAAAACAACTGTGGGAAAAAAGTTGGAAGACTTACACTATCTGATTATATAAGACTTGTTGTAAAACCAAGTGTAATATGGTTGGTTGATGGTTACTCTGCAAAATTCATGTTAAAACTTAATCCCCATTGCAACAGTATTAAGAGTTGGGCCCTTGAGAAAGAGATCAGGCCATGAGAGCTCCAACCTCACGAATGAATTTAGTGCCTTCTAAAAGGGACCTGGGAACTAGCTTGGCCCTTTTGCCCTTTTGCCATATGAGGACACAGCATTCATCTCTCTGGAGGATGCAGCATCAAGGCACTATCTTGGAAGCACAGACTGGGCTCTGAGCAGATACTGAAACTGCCAGTGTCTTGATCTTGATCTTGATCAGCACCTCCAGGACTGTGAGAAAAAAAGTCGGTGGTTGATAATTGCCTAGTTTCAGGTATTTTGCCACAAGAAGCACAAATGGATCAAGACAATAAACTAATCAGGACAATGTAATACTGGCATCAAGACAGACACATAGATCAATGCAACAGAATAGAGAGGCTGGAAAGACCTGTACATATGTGGAAAACTTGTTTTCAATAAAAGTGAAAAGGCAATGCTATGGAGAAAGGACAGTCTTTTCAACAAATGGTACTGGAACAACTGGATATCCACATGTACAAAGAGGAATTTCAGTTTGTATATACAAAGCATATACTTTGTACTATACACAAAAAAAATAAATCGAAATGGGTGATATATCTAAATGTAAAGGCCTAAAATTACAACACTTTTAGAAGAAAACGAAGAAAATCATTATGACCTTGGGTTACGGCAAAGATTTCCTATATATAACACTAAAAGCACAATTTATGAAATATAAAGTTAATAAGTAGGACTTCATGGAAAACTTGTGCTCTTTAAGATAATGAAAAGATAAGCCACAAACTGTGAGAACATATTTGCAAATCATATCTGATAAACTTGTATCTGCCGGGCATAGTTGTTCATGTCTATAATCCCAGTACTTTGGGAGGCTGAGGTGGGCAGATTGCTTGAGCTCAGGAGCTTGAGACCAGCCTGGGCAACATGGTGAAACCCTGTCTCTACAAAAAATACAGGAACCAGCTGGGTGTGGTGGCACATGCTTATAAAGTTCCAGCTACTCAGGAGGCTGAGGTGGGAGGATTGCCTGAGCCGGGGAGGCAGAAGTTGCAGTGAGCTGAGATCATGCCACTGCACTCCAGCTTGGAAGACAGAGTGAGACTCTGTTTGAAAACACAAACAACAACAAAAATCTTGTATCAAGAATATACATTTAGAAACTCTCAAAACTCAACAAAAGAAAGCTAAATTAATAAGCAAAAGATTTAACACTTCACTAAAGAAGATGTGGATGGAAAATAAGCACATAAAAGGATGTTCAACATTACTAGTCATTAGGGAGAAGCAAATTAAAACCACAATAAGATATTATACACCTATTATTAAAAATTAAATTAAAAATACTAAGGATACCAAGTGTTGGCTTGTATACAAATGTTCAGAACAGATTTATTTGTAATAGCCAAACACTGGAAACAACCCAAATGTCCCTCAGCAGGAAAATGGATAAACTGTGGTATATCTATACATGGAGTCAGAGACAAAAGCAAGTGCAGATTATGGAGACCCTGGTGAACAAGGCTTTGTAAACATGAAGCAGGAGTGTCAAAGGATCTGACCTGCATTTTAAAAAGTGTTCTCCAACTGCTGCAGGTCAAAGAGGTCATGGCAGGAGTGGGCATGAAAGCAGGGAAACCCTTTTGGAACTTCTACCGCAATAGCCCAGGAGAGAGGCGCTGCCAGTAGCTTAGACCAGAGGGTAGTAGTAAAAACAGAGAGAAAAGGGATAGTCTAACCCACTCTTCATTGCAGTTGACTCTCCAGACCAAAATCTTCAAGGTCAGTCACGAAGTCCCAGGCATGTTCGTACTGCAATGCCTAATGAATTGGAGGCCACTGCTTATTGAACATCACATTTTGCATATGTCAGGAAAATAAAGATAATTCTTTGTATTTTTATTTACCTGCATGTGCTATCTCATCTATCAGACTGCAAATAACCTGAAAATGTAAGACTACGTCTTTGCATTCTTCAGGTACCTGGTAGGGTGCCCTACTGAGAGTTTTAACTCAAATATGCATCACATGACATATCTCCATTCCGATCACAAATAACTACCTATTTGCTGTATGTACTGGTGACTGTGATTAGCAATATTTCACCCACCCTACTCTCTTTATTGGCTATCTCTCTTTTTTTAAATCCAGGGTCATTTAAGGCAATATGGGGAAATAAAAAAAGAATAAGCAGGCACACCTGACTACCAAATCCTGCTATGTGGTAAAGAGCAGCTTCTCTCATAAAGAAAGCCAGCATCTCTGTGACTTCTGTGCAGATTCCAAGGTGAAACCCATTGTTATACACATCATTAGTATTTATGTAGCAGCCTATGAATCATTCCCGAAATAAATGATGCCACTTGTGTTAAATGATTTCTTCCTAAGAAAAATCCCTGGGGGGTCTTTCCAGGCATGGCCTTGATGAAGATTCAGAACAAAAGAAATACAACACCCGACTCTCTGGTGCTGAATAAGTGGTGATATGCTCAGCTTTCTCTATTCAATTCTCCACTGATAATTTGTGCCTAAATCGCATCATAATTGGGGGATAAACCGTTTTAAGGAGATGAGCCACAACTGTCAAAACGCTCTTCTCAAAACTCGGCTGGTCATGATGTCCACACACTTCCATCCACCTGTCCCACGGTATCTTCCCCTCCCTCAGACTTACAGCCTAAAGTAGAGATTATTCTGATAAAGCCAATCTGAATCAGAGAACAGTCACCAGATTGAGCATTACTCTATGACAGAGAGAAGCTGTTGCTCTCAGTAAACACTAAAAGTGGTCCCTAAACTTTGTTCCATGGGGTTCAGGGATAGAGCTCAGTGCTTATCCAGCTTTTTGGTGTCTACACTATGAAGTATGGTTCCCTAGTTTTACTGGATGTCACTATTTTCCACTGTGAAGGTAAGTAAGGGCATTATATTAAAATTGAGTAACAGGAACAACCATTATGTATAGTATGGTTTGTGTCAGGCAGATAATAAATTTATTGAAGGTTCATGCATACCAGTAAACAGACCTACTAATTTTGAATTTTCAAACCCTTTGCATAAAATTATTTTGGTACTAAAACCTCAGTTTACTTTGACTGGAATTTGAGGCAGAAATCATCAACTCTGCATTGGAAGGTAACCTATATTAGGTTTAAAGCTGTACTTAACGAGGGGCCAAATATGTGAAGTCCCTAGATCAACAAAACACTGCAAATTATAACTTCTATTGGCCCCTTCAAAAGCAATGTTTTGCATTCTTTTAATGTACAAACTAAAGTTCTGTTCAGCCTATTACACCAATTTGACATAATTAAAGTTCACTTAACCGATTTTACATGTACGGTTTGTACTTCTGCCTATGTAATCAAGGTAATACAGAGTTATAGAGTGGGAAGATATCTCAAGACGTTTATTCTCCACTCCAAATGTTACCTTTGGGCATGTTACCTTCTAAGATACATTATTTTAGTGTCTTTTTCTAACTTTTTTACTCTCATAAAAATAACTTACAACCCATCCTAATACTTAAAAAGCGTGACAAGAAACTCTTCTTTCAGATTATGACTACAGCCATTTGCATTTGCTTATATTTTCTATTCTTGAAATTTGTCATTTAAATGGTCTCCAGTTTTCTTCATGTTCAAATTGTCCTGGTTCACTTAGTCTTCCTAAATAGACTCCCTACCCCATCACCACCACCTGTGTGGTCCTCCATTGACCCTAGCTGAGCTCTCCATGTCCCCCTTCAGATCTAAGTAGAATGGTTTAAAAATGCATCACAAAAATACGAAACACAACAAGTTCACATTCAGAGTTGGACTGGTCAGTACTGCTATTTGAGTATGCCAGCATTTTAAAAAACTAAGATGCTACATGCTCATGGCCATCTTGTTATCTGCCACGGTGCTTTATAGGCTCATTCTTTGGCCATATTCTTAAAGAGATCAGAGAAAAATGTAATTGACATTTGAAACATGTTTTTTTTTTTTCTCTAGAAACCACGCCAATATTTTGCATCCCATTATGTTCTTTTTTCACTACTTTCATATGGCAGGAAGCCCATTTTAAACTCCTTAAGAGAGAAAAAGCTATCTCCTTTCCTCACTAAAGAACTTCACACTGGAGAGGCATGGCTTCTACTTCTATCCCTTCTCCAGCTCCCATTCCCAATCAAAGTAGAGCTAGGTGTTTAGCAGAGTTCCTTACACACAGTAAACATCAATAGAGCATATCCACTGAATGAACACTATTAATATTGGGTGATAGGTTGTTGGAAGTAGGAAGATGGCACTGAGGAAGAAAAGATTAAAAAATGAAAGGTGTTGCGTGAAGTCTGTTGGTAGGTGTAACTAGTAGTTGCCATGGCTTGAATAACTCCCATGGAGAAAGAATAACTTCCATGAATATGTGCTGTAGGTCTTGCTTCATCAAGCTGTACATTAGGAATGTGCCAGATGATGCTGTCAGGGGCCAAAGGTTACAAGAACACTCACAATGCAGCAACCAGCTGAATATTTACTACCTGCAGAAGCAAATGATAAAATATCTCCTCTCCAGAGCAAGGACTGTCTGCATGGCGTTGCTGCTTTCAAGCCATGGCCCACTACTGGATGGTGCCTGGAGAGCTTGTGATAAGAATGGAGCACATTTTCCAAATGTGAATATCACTAACTCAGGAACTCTGATGTCTTTCCATAACCTAAACTCAAATATCATTGCCTGGGACCATGGATCAAAACATTCACCTGACTCATCAGAGCTAGTAACTTTAAAAGAACCTGCCTCTCTGGGATGTGTGAGGACACAAAGGCAATGCATCTGCTCGAGAGTCTTTACTAATAATCTGGTGCCTCCATCTGACTCCATGGGCCCAGACCTCCATGGCCAACAGAGTAATTTCTTAATTAGCCTTTGCTGGGCCTCCCGCATACCTTAGCACTAAGCAGTACCAGCACTTCTATAAAGAAGGAAAATTTTCCAGGAACTAACAATATCAAACAAATAAACAGAGAAACTAAACTATGCCAAAATTCCCACGAAGACTTACTTTTTCAAACAGAAATTTTAGTCTATTAGCAAATCGGCAGATTCCTAGACACTCTCTAGTATGAATAAGAAATCCAAATGGGTCTCAGAAGATAAGCATTGAGGAGTAAAATGCAAAATAAAATATAAAAAAAGGAAAGACAAATGTATTTGTGCCTGGCAATGCAAACCTACATTGGCAAATCAGGAATTACAAATAAGATAACCGGCCACAGTTCTCCAAGTGTCTTTTTATTGAATCTTTTCTCAGCTGCTGTGACTTCATACCTGAAGTCAGTGATAACATACAATGCTAGGCATGCACATTTTGGAGTTCCAAGGCACTTGAGACCCTGTATAGCAGAGACACATAGGCCATCACAAAACCCTAAGAGTTGACAAAATCATGACAATTCTAAGCAGCCTTAGAGGAAGTGACTGACACAGTGACTAACAAAGGCCACTTTAGGGTTTGATGTTGTTACAAGGATAGAGTGAATGCCTCTCTCCTATATGTCTCTGCTAAAGAGGTCAAGGAAGTCAACGAGAGTAGGGAGATGCCACGGTCCACCCAGTGGTAGTGCAATGGCTACCCTCTTGACCACAGGCCATCATCCTTAGATCCTTATAGTTAGAACTCTGTGCATGCCTGGGATGCCTTCACAGCCACCTCCTCCAAATCTAACGTGTGTCCATCCTTCACAGGCCAAGTCTACATCTTCCCTCTGCCACATGGCTTTCCTCAGAAATCCAGCTCACACTTCTTGCCTTTCCCAAAATGTTTTTTATTTTTCTCTGTAACATTCATTTTGGGACTTTGTTGTGCCGAATCTGATTCAGAAACATAATGGAAACATGCTATTTGCAAGCAAATGGTTCGTCCTAAACTGCCAGGTTGTTTTTTATTTGTAATTTAATAGGTTAAGCTGTTTTTGTACATCTTATTCATTCTATTCATTTGCTTGGGAAGTATTTTCACCCTACAGGTAACGCAAAGGGAAGCTTCAGCCAAATTCATCATGAATTTATAAAAAATTCTAAATTCAGAACGCATAAGCCTCCCTCAAATAAAAATGTATCCCCTGATAAGCTTGCCGTAGGATCTTGTTTATTAGTAGTTTGCTATTCTAGGCAAAATAGAATATAGTCCCTTCTTCTCAACGGTTTTCAGGTTACATTTAGATAAAAAAAAAAATTCAAGCAAGAAATGGTAGTTCAGGGCCAACAGAGGGTTCAACAAGCCAGAAGAGCCAGGACAGTTTTCAGAGGAAGGCAAGTTCTGAAGAAAGACTCAAAGAAAGGAAGAAACTGAATCCCTCAGGGGAGGAAGAATGAACACACAGCATAGTCACTCTCTCATGTGTCCCAATGAATGGTAAAAAAGCCACATTTCCAGAGGTAACAGAGTAAAAGATGGAGTGGAAATGGCTATGAAGTGATTGGTTTGGGATTCTAATGAAATGAACAATGAGAACGGTGACTTCCATCTCTGGACTCAAGCCATTGTGGTGTCCCCATAGAAGGAAGTACGGGAAAGGTCAGTGCCTTCTGCGTGCGACATTTGTTTTTCCTCCTTAGTGTTGGACAACAACCACTAACTTTCTCCCTTTTCCTGAGGACTCTTTTGTAAGGAGATTCATTTTGCAGATGAAAATCCACACCCTGGTTCACTCTTCTCTGAATGACGGGAACAATGAGGGTGTAGGACAAGAATGCAGGAACAGTGTCCAAGCATAACTGATGCTGGCTGTGTCTGCCTGAACTCCTGTGCATACTCTTTTCCTAAGACAATATGTATAACAATGCATAGACCACCATGCCCACCTTGGATAGACAGATGCCTTCTTTTGCTGATGTGCAGATGCAAAAGCCCTTCGTTGTCAATTCTGCTGCCCTACAAATGAGATAAGGGAAGCATTTGTAGGATCACAAACTAAAGTTAGTATTCACTGAGCACTCCAAACGGGAACTTCCAAATTTTAAGTAACGGCAATTTTTAAGAGATGGAGGAAGAAAAAAACCACTTGCTTTTTCCTTGGAAAATTGCTCACTCCCTCTCTCTTCCTTTTGAGGGTACAGGGAATATTTTCTGGCCAGTCGTCTGAATTGAGGGCAGGGTGTTGTGGGGAGGGCATCCCTATTAAAGCTAGGGACAAGGGAGATGAGAGGGATAGTCACTCAGATTCTGATGTCCAGTGCTTATGCCCTAATTTCAGATTTGTATTATGGGACTCATTATACTACTAGCCTCCATTTCTAGCCAACATTTCCATAGAGTGTTGCTCAGGTATGTTCAGAAGAGTGTGGAAAGCCCCTTGCCCTAGTTCCACCGACGGGTACAGACTTTATTATGCTATAGGGTCCATCCCACCCATGCCGTCTCAGCCACTATCCTTGAAAGGCTCTGGAGAAACACAGCCAGAATCCAAATCGCTCCCAAATGTAAACAAGCTTTGTTCACCAAAGCATAAAGCCAAGCAGAAAGCTAGGATGGTCCATGTATTGTCACAGGTAGAAGGTCATTTTAATTCAAAGAGTAAAGCTAATTAAGTGACTATTTTTCAGATATGAGAAAAAAGTTGTTTGCTGAGACAACAAAGTAGAAGGAAATTTATGTGAGAATCCATAACATGTTTCCTGCTGGGGGTCTTAGACAAGGTCCCTTTGCAGGGGTCCCAGCACTACACGGTGGCTCTTTCAAAGAATTACACATCGACCGGCTGTCTCCTGAGAGGATGGGGATGCTCCTTCCTGACTCCCTGTGAGTGGGAACACGCTCATTAAAATGGCTCTCCAGTGGAAGCCAGTGTTTCTGCTATCAAATCACCCTATCATTCCTCGCCTGCTCCATCATGGGCCAAAACAGCACAGGATTTGGCCTAGAAACTAAGCAATCCCTTCTGCAAAGGAAGCTGCTCTACATGGAGAATGAACCTTGTACCCATTAGCACTGACTGCAGCTAACTGAATAACAGCAGCAGCTCTAACAGGGAGGAAGCATCGGAGAGAAAGCCCTGGACCGGGAGTCAGGAGGCTGGGGGTCCTGTGCCCATTCTGCCTACCTGTCCATGGACATTACATGTGTCTTTTCCTATCTGGGTCTCAAAAACACCAGATGAGAAAGACCCTAAGAGCGCCCTCACAATTCTATGAGTCACAGAAGTGCATGCTGCCCACTGTGATGCCCCTTCTCTCAAGCCTGGAGATCTCACTGATAAAATGAGAAACAGAATACCACTTTATAGATAAAAATAGTATGATTGATCTTTACATAAAAGCTGAAAATGTATAATGTCTATTCATTTTAAACGTCCAACACACAAAGAATCTTCAACTCTTTATGTCCAGGCATTGTTTTAGGACTCATTTGAGATTCTTAAAAAGATTGTTGGATGAACTGTTGGGGTGGGGTAGCAAGGGGAGGACTCTTGGCAGGAAGGAGCTTCATGCTATGAGAAATCTATTCTGTTGAAAGTGGAAAGATGTTATGCTCATAACTTTCCTAAATTCCCCTGGAGGGAATCATAGCCGAATATGAGACATTTATGTAAATTTTCTATTTCACTTAAGAGGAATTTAAACTGCCAACACTTGAATCATAAAGCAGTGTGACTATTCTTCTGGAAAAATCTGAAGGCACAAATAACATTCATCAAAAAATATTTACTGTGTGCATACTGAAGGAAAAGTGACACAAGGGGTAAGGGTGGCGGGAGGGGAAATGAGTTGAGGGGTGGAAATAGGTACAAGGTGATTGAAGTGCAGTCATATTCATCAGGGGGTTCACATTTCAGAAGAGAAATGACAAGTTCCTAAGCGTTGAAATAGTGGCAGGATATGATAAATACGGCACTGTGTATTTATTATCATCACAAGTGTATAACACCAAACAGAGTGGAGGGGTGGGGTGAGAGGTGGGTTTTTGGTGGATGCAGGACAGCTTCTTTATGAAAGCAGTGTCATTTGTGCTGTGGGTGGAAGGCTGATAAGGATCAAGGAAAAGAGAAGCAAGGCAGATCTCATTTAACTCTGAAACTACCCTTGTGCTTCCATAACTAAAAAGAGGAACCCTACTAACCGGGAAGGCCTGCCTTACAGGTACAGAAATAAAGCCAGCCAGAGAGCAGCTGATTTCTTTTAGATTGCCTTGACCTGGGATGAATCTTAAGGCAACTCATATCCTGGCCAAGAATTCTGGATACTCTATGCTCAAACTTAATGTTTAGGAAGTAATCTTGTTAAATACATATTTATATTGAAAAGCAGAACTCCAAACTTCCTCATCTTGTTTCCTGGCCTCAACACAAAGGCACTATTATTTTCTTGAAAAGGAAATTATTCCAGTGCCCCTGCCCAGGCTCTGACAACACATGTTTGCCCTCAATCTCCTTCCTCTTCTTGCAAGGACACCCATAGTTATAACTCACATTAGTATGGGGCAGCACAAGGGGTTTGACATAGAAGCAGCAATGATGTACTTGTGTTTCTGCTTAAACTGTGGAAACGATGTTCCTGAGAGAGAACACTGAGAATCTTACTTCCCTTGAGATACGCTATCCATTAGCAATTCAGCTGCAGGGCAAGGTTCACTTAATTTTAAAATGTAAGTCAAGAGCCTAAAATTGGTAATTGGGCATTTAATTGGGTCTGCGAAGGCACTTACTGGATTTTAACAGCTTCAACTGGTAATGTTTAAGAACATTAAAAATTAGAGCAATGATGAATCAGATGCAAATGGAAAGTGAATGAATTTTGGCACTATAATTTAACACACAGTTAAGTAGTGTTTTGAGCTGAAGATGTTAAGCCTGGTTGGTTTTCTTAAATTTTCTTATATGCCAGGGATTATCAAAATATTTCACTCTTTAAGCTTGGCTTCCCTTCTCATAAAACTCTACTTTGAAGAGTTCAATTCAGCAGGTATATATTTGGCCTAATTGCAATCAGTATTGCTTAAGCTTATAGGGAATGCTAAGAAGTATGAGCTTTATTAATATAGCGTGGTTAAACAAAACAAAGAACATCTGTGAACATATTAGAAATCTGGTCACTCACTGGGGCATCCAGAAGACATTGGCTGGACATCTGCTAATTGAATACAATGGCTCTTTTATGATGGTCTGTACTCAAAGACCTCAAAACCATTTTATAAATGCTGCCAGTGCTTGCTGACTACTTGTTCTTTTTAAAATTTTATTTTAAACATGCAATACATTTTCACACAATCAAAAAATAACATATTGAGACATCTTACTCCCATCTCTGTGTCCATCTACTCCTTTCCATTCCTCTTCCCCTGCCTTCCTGTATACCTTTAGATAATTTCTTTACATGGAAATAACAATAAACAGTCTCATTTCCTCCCTTTCTTACACAAAAGGTAGCATATTATATACATATTCTTTCCTTCCTTCCTCCCTCCTTCCCTCTTTTCCTTATTATTTTATCTCGGAACTCCTCAAGATTCGTGGAAAAAATCTAAATTCACAGCAAACTTCTTCCTACTTTGTATAGCTGCATAACATTAACTCCATTCTAAGGATGAAACATGAACTACTTAACCAGTCCCCCACTGATGGATAGTGAGTTGTTTCTAATCTTTTACTATTGCAAACAATGCTGCATAAATAATTTTGCAAGTATGTTTTGAGAATAAAGTTCCAGAAGTGGATTGGATTACACACTTAAAGAGCAAATGTACTTGTAATTTTAATAAATATTACCACTGGCCTTCTATAAGCAATGTAACATCTTGCACTCCCACCAGAAATCTATATCTATTTCCTCATATACATGCCAAAACAGTGTGTAGTCAAGCTATGCTTTTTGCCAATTTGAGAGATGAGAAATTATATCTCAGTGTAGTTTTAACTTGCATTTGTCTTATTATTGGTGAGGTCCATTTGTATTTAGTGAATCATCTGTTCATTTTTTCTTTTTGCCCATTTTTCTATTGTGTTGACCACCTTTTTCTTAATGGTTTCTAGTGGTTTTTTCTATTCTAAGGAGATTAGCCCTTTGTGATTTGAGTATTCTCCCAGTATGGCATTTGTCTTTTGACTTATGGGGATTTGCACCATGACATTTTGGCAGTTTTGTTTTGTTATGCTTTTTTTAAAAAATAGTCATTCATCAATGTTTTCTTCTATGGTGTCACGATTTTCAGTCGTGGTCAGGAAATCCTTCCCTACACCAAAGAATCTGCCTTAAAAAATTTTCTGGTTTTACTTTTTAATATTTAAATATTTCATCTGTTTGAAATTTATGAAGTAGGGTCACGTATGCATTCAACTTTATTTTTTCCATATTGTGATTTAGTTATTCTAACACCATTTCTTAACACTTTATCTTTTCCTCACTGATTTGAGATACTAATTTTATCCTATACCAAATTCTCCATACATTTTTGTTGACCACAAATTTCACATGTGACCTTCAATCCTTTCAGAGAGCTGATCCAGTACTGGGAGAAGACCTCAATTAAAATATCTAATAACCTTTTCTTATTTATTTATTTATTTTTAAATTTATTTTTATTTACCTTTTTCAGTCCACCACTACAATGTGATAATGGCCTTTTCTTAAACTGAATTTCTTAGCAGACACGCTGGGATGTTCAACCATAACACACGTTTCATCCTCATTAGCTGGTCTTCTCTCTAAAATTCACTAAATGTTTTCTCCTTTGAAGCTGACTTGATATCTGTGTAAACAGATTTATGTCAACAATGCAAATTAACAGGGAGCTATTATGCCTTTCCCTATTCTTACTGAAACAGAACTGTGAACTATAAAGAATTACTATAAAAGAACACTGTACCTAAAGTTCTCATTATACAGTGTTTGACCTGAATGACCACGTGCCTTAAACATGTTTAAATTAGTGAATGCTAGAAAGCCTATTGACAGCCTATAAAATGATAAAAAATACATGAATTCTAAGAAAATAAACAACAAAAAACAAATGGTCAGGTGAATTTAAACTACGAGCCATGTCAACAAAGTAGAGAAAAAAAATAGCTTCCTTTTAAAGAAAAAGAAGGAACTTTCCATCTACTGAATTTATCATTCCTATCAAACAATGAATAATCAAATATTACATAGAAAATAATATGTAAGATTGGTTTTGCTATGGTCATTTGTATCTCCTCTACAGCCCAACATTTAAATGTGTTTATTACATAGAGAATGGAAGCATAATAGAAGTTTTCCTTCTTTAAACAAAAGGAAAAGAACAAAGTTACATGTAAAGAGTTTTGTACCCCAAAGCTTTTCCGGTAATCCATTTTGATACTGGAATAAACACTTAGTATCAAGATATTATTGATCGAAAGATAAAAAAGTTTCTTGCCCTCCTCCCTGCTCCAGGCTGACTCTCAGTGTGGATCAATATTTCTTTTCATTCGGACTCCATGATCTCATTTGGTACACTTTTATTTTCTTGCTTGCATGCAAGATAACTGACTCTCAGGGTTTGTTTGATGGAGATTCTATTATGGTCCTAAACCAATTATTTTAAGAAGAGATGAGGAAAAAAGGAGACAAACAAGTTGACAGAATCCATTTTATTCCTCTCCTTTTAATGTTTCTTGCCTTTCCACGTCGCCTTTCTTTCTCTAAGCTCCAGGCACTCTTTTTACAATAGAGAAACAGGATCTTGGTTGGCAGGAGTTGCCCCCTGTGAACAATAAAAAGCCAAGCAGAGATCACAATTCCCACACAGTGGTAGGGCAGCTCCTGAGGGGCAACAGATGGCAGCAAATGCCCGCTGAGGGTGTCTGGCTGCCTGCTCCGAACCCACCACCAACATGGGGGCAACCTGGAGATGATTTGTTTCTTGCTCCTTTCTATCCTCTTGGTGTATACTCCCTTTCGTCATCTATTAAGTCATGAATCTGTTTCTACCACTATGTTCGACAGTCATGTAGTCTGAGAAGGGACTGGCTGCCTCTGTGAGTGAAAGACTAAGATATGACATTAGTTACTGAACTGGCATCTGTCTTCTCTCCTTGTCATGTCCCGAGTTGTCTTGTGCTAAAGGGTGCTGGGAAAACATTTTAAAAAGTACTTACTAATTCACTATATTGTTCACAATATTCCCCAGGGAAACCAGCGGAAAGTTTCCTTAGTTAGGCACCACTAGGAATTTGCTTCTGGTGTTGAAAAAAACAAAACAAAACAAAACAAGACATAGCAACTAGGCACAGGAGCAAAGATTGTGAAAATTTTCCAGAGAATGGAAAATCTATTCCCAACCTCTTGGGGGTACATTAATGCTTAGTTCATGTCCACATGTTTACTGTGCCACAGGTACAACAGAGGCTTGTCTCATCAGCCTCAACGTGCATAGAGAGGAAGATCCTCTGAAGGATGGGGAGGGTCATAACCAGGAAACGTACAGGAAGTCAGTAAAAGGACCACGTCTCTAGTGCAGAAACTGTAGGCCAGGTACATGATGCATTGCTCCCTACCATCTGGTGCTGAGTATTTGGGCTCTGTATTGAAAATGAAAGGTAAAGGGAGCCATGAGAGCAAAAATCTGGAAATATCCCAGTTCCCATTAATACAATAAAACAGACATTTATTTTAAATGACCAAATACAAAAACAAGGCCGTGCTATGGATCAATGATGAGAACATGTCATGAACTGATGATTATGATGGATCGATTATGTACACCCCGGTACTAAAAAGGAAAGAAAGGGAAGCAGGGACTTTAGAGGGCAGAGAAGAAGAGTTAGCAGAACAGCACTGTGGGGCAGTTCCAATCTCTGAAAGGTCAGATGAGTCACATTTCATAAGGTTCCGACATTCATCCACTGCAACTGTGTTTTCTCATTGTTTTGAAAATCCAAAAACCAAGGATACTTTTCAGATACTATCCTACTGTTTTGAAAGCATTATTCTCACACACTTTTCATTCCTCTACTATCTACTTGCTTCCCCATACACCTTACTTTGCAGGTAATGTTACCTCCAGTGAGCTGTCCAGAGGTTTGATCTGCTTCTGTTTTTTTTTTTTCTACAAATCTGAACAGAACAGTGGGAACTTTGGGAAAGGCTCAGGCTGTGTTCAGTGTCTGTGGGCCACTAATTGAAGGGTAAAACTCAGAGGCAGCTTTCTCTATACTTTCTTGGAACTCCACTACTTCCTGAATCTTCTCTTTCTAAAGGCCATGGTGGGTGGCCAGGGCTCCAGCCAGCAGATGTAGTTTACATTGGAATACTCTTTAAATAATGGCAGAAAAGCAAATCCCTGTCTAGGGAATAGACTTGAGAAAATAACTCAAGTATTTGAGACTCCATTCAAAATACCATGAAAAAGGCATTTAAACTGTATAGTGGGAAAACACCTGAATCAAGAAAATGTTAAGAATGACAAGCTGAAGTAAAACAGCAGAGATGACATTCATAAATTTAGTGTATCTGAATATAAAGACACAACTTACTATGGAAGTCCATTTATAGCCAGTCATGATATGAAGGCAGCTGTGCTAGACTGGAGTTTACATAACCTCCCTGAAGGCAGAGGGACAGACTGAAAAATCACATGAGGACTGTTCCTAGCAATGACAAGCATACATTTTTAAGAAGCTGGTGACCTGGGCTGACTTGCTTGTGAAAAATAATGACAATGTTAAGAGTAGGCCTAGCTCCAGTCATCACTCTGAAATGTAGCTGCCAAAAGGGTGGGGAATACAGAGCAACTGTGTGTACAGGGGCTAGTGGTTGGCTGGAGCGAAGATGTGCAGGATGGATTTACGAATATCTCTATGAATGGGGAAGATCTCCAATTTGCCAAAAATTGGAGGCCAGTGGCCTACAGACTGGGAGGTGCAAATCAGGAAGTTAGTTTTCTCCTTCCTATACATTGGCAGGGCCCTCCTCTCACTATCACATCTTAACCTATCTCAAGACCAGTTCCTACCTGAACTGCCCATCAATGCCTACCCTTCCTCTGGGTGACTGAGCATAAGAGGGGCTTTCGGCCGGGCGCGGTGGCTCACGCCTGTAATCCCAGCACTTTGGGAGGCCGAGGCGGGCGGATCACGAGGTCAGGAGATCGCGACCATCCCGGCTAAAACGGTGAAACCCCGTCTCTACTAAAAATACAAAAAATTAGCCGGGCGTAGTGGCGGGCGCCTGTAGTCCCAGCTACTTGGGAGGCTGAGGCAGGAGAATGGCGTGAACCCGGGAGGCGGAGCTTGCAGTGAGCCGAGATCCCGCCACTGCACTCCAGCCTGGGCGACAGAGCGAGACTCCGTCTCAAAAAAAAAAAAAAAAAAAAAAAAAAAAAAAAAAAAGAGGGGCTTTCCCATACCTAAGGGACTTGGTCCCAACTTCCTTAACCTTGAGATGCTTGAAGCTCAAGCAGAACTGTGTGTCTCCTCACTGGACCCAACAGGAGATGAATACACCCAATCACAGAGCTGCCTTACGTGTTTCTAGTACTCTGCTTCTTGCCAAGCCTGAACTGACCTGTATTCACTCAGTTCTCTTTCACATGCCTCCCTGGGGCTTTATTTATTTGATCATTCTCTTCTAGTTCACTACCCCACCCCTAGTCATTCTCAGCAAGGGAATACATTCATAAATAAATTACTAAATTCATTGATAGATAGAACCCTTAAATCAGCCTAGCTCTAGCCTACCACCTCTCCACTATAAGTTTATTTGTTCATATAATCCTTCATACATAATCAGCTCCACTTGATATGTAATTCAAATTTACGTATCTAAAAGCTGGCAACACTTTTGAAACTTTGTATATTCTTTCAGTCAGTAATATTTCTAGGAACTGCTCCTGAGAAAATAATAGTGAATGTGAATAAAGCTTTAATTACATAGTTAGGTCATGACATTGTTTATAGTAATGAAATATGGATAATGACTTCAATTTCCAATAAAAGGGATTAGTTACATGCATTCTGTTGTATTTTCACATAATTAAATATGCAACAACTATAATGCTATAAAATATTTAGTGACATGGAAAGATGTTCATTTAGAAAAGGAAATTATGAAACAATATGTGAATATGTCTCATAACTACAAACACACACATAGATATGGTGTTCCTCTGAGTGTTTACTTCTCTGTAAACAGAGTACTTCTCAAGTATAGAAATACTGCTAAAAGCATGTTTTTTTTTAAAAAATACACTCTTTATTTTAGAATAGGTTTAGATTTACAAAAAAGTGGTAAAGGAACATTTGTAACAATTAATGAATCCATAGTGATACATTACTATTAAATCAAGTTCATACTTCATTCAGATTTCCTTAGTCTCTACATAATGTCCTCTATCTATTCTGGGATCCCAACAAGTATACCACTATTACTTTGGTAATTAAAATTTGTATTGGTAAAAAATTGTATCAAGGAAACCACAAAAATTTATGACATAAACCATGGAGACAGTGCTCATGAATGGTAGAAGCCTCAAATATTAAATCTCCAACTATCTAGATACGGAAACCCCTTATTTCCTAAAGCACCCATGTTGAATACTTTCAAAGGCGGCTATTAGATGTGAAAAACTTCCCAGATATTCTATTTATTACAAAAAAAATGACCCACTGGAATCACTGGGCTGGAATTAGTCAGTAGAGTTTCCACTGTGAAGATTTGGTTCTGAGATCTGGCTTACTCACCAGTTTTTGTTCTTCTATAGTGTTTAATCCCCCTGGGATTCTTCTGCAAAAGCAAATGGAAATGTCAGACTATCCTCCCCAAAAAAGAATGGTTTTTAAAACATGTTTTGAATTGGAAGTTTCCTACAACACAAGCTCTTAAGTAATTGGCAAACAAAAGAAAAAGCTATGTTTAAAACAAGGTTTAAACATAGGGGACAACTAAAAACATTAACTCTCCTCTTTAATATTAAAACCCCTCTTTTATTAAAGGCTGTCTTCTCTTTAATAAATTTCATAATCAATTTTTAGCATGTAACTGTATAGCTATCTCTGCCAAAAAAAAAGGTGGGGGGGCACATCTTATTCAGAAGACAAAGAAAAAGAAGGCTTCCACAAATTATTAAGATTCAAAGGATCCATCAGCCACCTACATTCTGTGGAGTGGGACTGGCTGCAGACTAATCTAATCCTTAAAAGGTATACTAGAGAAAAACTAGAACAATTTCCTCTTGTCAAAACACATTCATATCTTCAAATATAGTTTTAAAGAGTTTTGGTTAAAATGACCTGAAGAACAGCTGCAAACAGCTCCTGATTTCCATCTTCCATTCCTAATGGAAATTCAGAAACAGAAGGTACCAACATCTCCATTTCTGAATCAACAAATTTTCATTTTAAATTACAATGACACAATAAAGGAATCCTATTTTGACTCATTTTCCAGCGGACAGTAATTCTAATATAGCTTACTTTCCAAAAGCAATAAACAAACAAACAAACAAACAAAAAACCCAAAGCACTGCCTACGTGAACCAACCGTCAGTGCAAGATGGGCGGCATGCGCTGACATGGTGCTTCAGAGACTGTGCCTCTGTGTCTTCTCCCAAAGCATACACATAGAATGACTTTGCACCAAAGTAGTTCTCCTGGCAAATCGATCTTCAATGCTAACTTTCCAAAAATATGCACATATTCAGTAAAGCATATGGATCTATAATGTTTATGAATACCCTATTAATAATTTATTATTTATGAATCCTGTTTTTATATATTTTGCCCCATGACAGGTACACTCAGTATGAAATGCTGAATTATAAAGCTCCTCACTATGTCTTGACATGGTTTTTGCCTTTATGTGTAAAGTCACATGAGAAATAAATATTTTTAAAGTTCTGAAGATGAAAGGCATAAGGAAGCATACATTCCACAGTTTTGTCAGGAAACACAAGAGACTGCTTTTCTAGCTTTTCCGAGACTTCATTGCTTCCCCATCAGTGCTCTGTTCTGGCCTAGCCATGAAAAATCAAGAAGCAAGGATGATACACCTATTTAGAAGGAAAATGTCTCAAGGTTTCCACCTGCCTGCTCTGGGTAAGATAAAACTTAGTGGGGTATATCTGAAAATCTAAGAGGACCATAAAGTTTCTGTGATATTTCTATTCTTTACTTAAATTCAAAAACGTTGCTTTAAAAAAAGAAAAACCACACCTGATACGTTGGAATTGAGAGGTTCTCTGAGGTGTCTGCCACCTCTCCCAGGTGTTGCCAAAAAAGCCAGTCTTCATGCTGTGATGAGCCCCTCCATCTCCAAAATAAGTGTTCTAAGAAGAAGGTCTATTTTCCTGTACTCAAGGTTTGGCATATCCAAAGGCCACAGGGTAAACTGCTAAGGCCAGGCAGGCTTGCTACAGGAGAGCCACCTCAGGACTCTAAGAGTACCTAGGATAGACAGGCCTTAAAGCCCATTACACTCAATCCCCTACCTTCACAAGGGAGGCCACCAAGGGCCAGAGAAGAGCAAACATGACCCAAATCATTAACTCAGGCACAGCTCTGGTTCTTCTAGTTTCTCTGCTAGTCACAGCAATTGCACTTGTTAACAATCCACAGATGAATGACATCCATTGTCTCAGTTATCAGCTCAACGTTTGCCTTCTCCCTGAAATCCTCCTCATGCATTCAGTATTTAGTCCAAACTGATCTAAATATCTTTGATCTATACTTTTAGGTTAAAAGAACCCTAAAGAACATTGGCCATGTGCTTGTTGCCATCCTCTATGACATCCACGTGACGTGATACTACCTAGTAACAGAAAATTTACTACTGCTTGTGGATGGATGCCCTTTTACTCCATGTACAGGAATATATGAATATGGTTTTTGAGTCCCAGAAAATAAATCTGGTTTGCCTTTCATTTACAATTCTCAGATATCTGAACTTAGTGTTCATGAATTTGCACTTATCCAGGGTAAACATGCCTAGCTTCTTTCTCTATGTTAACACATTGCCTGGTCTCCTTACGCAGTTGGTTAATCCCCCTCTTCTTCAGCTAGGTTAGTATCTTCTTCAGGGCAGGACACTCCGACAACACTTTCTGTATATGACCTGCGAAACTTCTACTTGCCCCAATCGCTTTGAGTTCACAAAAAAGGAGGGAAACATTAGCTATTTCTGATATTTTATTCTGATATAATTCTCAATTGGTGCCAATTTTTGAAATATTACATAGTGGTTAAAAACACCTTGCTTTGGAGTCAAAAAGACCCAGCTACAAGTGCCTGAGCTGCCATTTCTTATCTGTACGATTTTGGTTGGGATACTTTATACCTCCATGTTCTTACCTATAAAATAGGAACAATAACAGTAACTGTAAATCCAAGTTATTATAAAGATTATAAATGATAATGCATCTAATGACCTTAATACAGGACCTGACATATTAAGTATTCAATAAATGCTGGTTATCATAATAACCATCTCTGAGAAATCTTTGCTATCTAGAACTCATCTACAATTCAGATGACATGTTCTTGTTATTTTATTCTGGAATTTGGTAGTATTAATTACTCTGTGGATTGCCAACAATTCTGTTCACCCTTTATGACTTGTCATTTCACATTAACTTTAACTATTTACACATTTGCCAACACTTTGTGCAGTCTGAACTTAAACCTGGTATTCAAAGTAACACTCTCATACTGTATCACATTATTCTTGTGCCACATGCATTTTAGCTACCTTAGAATTTTAAAAAACACCAATAAAGCAATTGAGAAGGACTTGTAACTAATAAGTAGATAAATCCAGATTAAAATCCAAGTTTCCCAACTCCTAGTCAAGCATTGTAGAATATCTTGCTGTTTCTTTCTTGAATCCAATCCACAGGTATTGAGCTATGCCTTCTACTTTCTGAACCCTCCCAAAAGAGTCATGAAATCCCTTGCATTGAGTTTCTAAACAATAAACATGCAACTACAGAATTTCATCTAGCTTCTGTCCTACCCAAAGTGACATCAGGACTCAAAGCATGAATGAGAAGGTATTTTGGCAGGAAAGGTATTATTTTACTTCCAGAAATGTATAAGCTCTTGATAGTTAAGGCCTTAACAAAAAGCTTCCTAAACTATTATAATACATATAACATTTCTCTACACTTTGGTGCTTTATTTCATTATGACTTTTATAAAAAGCGGTAAAGGTAAATCATGTATTCATCCTTATTTTTTTTCCTGAAAATCAGCAAAATTCTGAACCTGTTAATTTATCATCACTAGCAACTAAGGAATTCTCAACAAAAAGTAAGCATCATACTTAGAACACATTCCCAACTATTAATTTTTCCACTTTCATGATTCAATTTTAATCTCATAGCAAAGATGAAAAGGTTTATCTTTTAGAGGAAATTCACTCTCCTCAGCCCTTCTTCCTAAAATCTATATTTGGATTCAACAGTCAGTGGTCTCAAACATTAATGGAGGCTTCCATTGAGCCATTACTCTTTTTCTCTTTTTGTTTTGCAAACAGGGCTTATTAAATCTTTGCTGTAGGCACCAGGGATGAAAAACAGTGAGAATGTGCTGATGTGAAAGGTTTCACTGAACTCAGGCAAATCATTTCTGATTTGCCACAACTCCCTAATAGTAAATGCCCCAAAAGTACACTATTTGGGTGGCAAATATAAATTACCATCACATAAAACACACTAAAGGAAAACCAAAACCCACCCCTCTCCCTGTGCCAGGGGTTTAAGGCAGAGATGTTGACTGCAGATGCTTCCCACTAAGTATCGTCAAGTCAGCGTAAAGAATACATTTTTGGTGCTAATGCAGCTTGATGCAAGTCCTACTAGCAGTGAGGGAAGGAAATTGCTGCATATTTTAGGACACACTGCATTTCTTTATTTTTGCTATTCTCCACTCTATTTTAAGCTTAGACACACTCATACAAAATTAAGTTTAATACACAGTTTAAAGACATATAGTACACAATTTTAATAATTAATCACGTGATGATAAGGAAAGCAAAGCCAATATACTTCTGTTCTTCATGATTCATAGAAAAGGTAACCAAATTCCAGGTCAAGACCATGGTCTGAACACATGCCTTTACTTGTGGTTTCTCTTAAACCTCACTAAAGTGACTAAGGAGATTATCTTTTAAAGGCACAAACCCAAAGACAAATGAAATGGAAGAGAACACAACATCAACAAAACTTTGCAAGCTATATTACAAATGGATAGGTGGTTAATGACCCAAACAGGCACAAGAAAGCTAAAACCTAAGCTGGCAGTAGGGAAAAGCCACAAAGCAACCCACCCAATATACATCAGAGAATCTCCCCAAATCTAAGGATTTTAAGGCATCATCACTACCTTTGGAAGTAGGGGTGAGATAGAGCTAAGATAGAAAAAATGGGCTGGGTGCGGTGGCTCACCTCTGTAATCCCACCATTTTGGGAGGCCGAGGTGGGCAGATCATGAGGTCAGAGGATCGAGCCCAGCCTGGCTAATATGGTGAAACCCCATCTCTACTAAAAAATACAAAAATTAGCTGGGCGTGGCAGCATGTGCGTGTAATCCCTGCTACTCAGGAGGCTGAGGCAAGAGAATTGCTTGAATCCGGGAGGTGTAGGCTGCAGTGAGCTGAGATTGCGTCACTGTACTCCAGCCTGGTGACAGAGCTAGACTCCGTCTCAAAAAAAAAAAAAAAAGAATGGTTCAAAGTCTGTTCCAGAAAATATTTAGATGCCCCAATCCCTTTCTCTGCTTTTATGGGTAGGTTCCTGACTTTTCTAACCCTCTATGTACCAGACACAGTTTAGGGTAGTGGCAATGTATTAAAAATAATTACCGTTGTTGTTTTCTTCAAAGAGAACATTTGCATACTTGTTTAGAGTACCCTGCCCCTTTTCCTCTTTTTGTACTTAGCTCCCAGGACCCTGGCAGCCAGACCATACTTTTTACAGGCAGATTAGAAAACCCTTCCCTGGGGAATCTCACCTAGACAAGAAAAAAATCATGAAGATGGTGACATCAGGGGCTTCCCCATTAAACAGCACAGCCAGGCCACCTTATCATGAAGTCCCAGGTAACAACACCCAATGACATGCTCAGGGTTTCTAATTGACTTTTAAGGTCCTCTTCTTAAATATGAGCCAACCACCAAGAATCACTGAGCCAAGTCTCTAGCATGAAAGTTAGAGTCCTAAACAGACCGTCAAAAGCAACCAGGAATATACAGGGACTAGGCAGGGGGAAGAAAACTTAAAAACAACAACAACAATAACAACGACTATCAGGAAAATAACAGAAGATGGTCTATTCATAAAACTAGAACAGGATGCTATAAGAATACCCAGAAAAGAACATCACACTCTGGGGACTGTTGTGGGGTGGGGGGAGGGGGGAGGGATAGCATTAGGAGATATACCTAATGCTAAATGACGAGTTAATGGGTGCAGCACACCAACATGGCACATGTATACATATGTAACAAACCTGCACATTGTGCACATGTACCCTAAACTTAAAGTATAATAATAATAAAATAAAAAAAGAAAAAAAAAGAATACCCAGAAAAGAAAAAAGTGTACTTACATATTATATGTATGTGTGTGTATGAATTTGTAAAGCTCAATTACTCAATTGTAAAGTTAGAAACTAAAGTTAAGAAAATCTCCTCCCAAAAATAGGGTTGGAAGACGGGAAAAAAGTAAAAAGAAATTAGAAGAATCAATCCAGGAGAGTCATACTAATCAGGATCCTTTGCAGAGAAAATAATTCATGTTATTTAGTTTTAGCAGAAATTATTTCTTACCATACATTAAATAACATAATCTCTAAGACAGCTAAAGAAGCACACTTGAAGTTGAGCTTTCAGTACAACTCCCCAACTGTACCAGAGAACTAAGCCACAAAGGGAGCTTCACCTCTTCTAACATCCAGAGACTGCCTCCTGAAGTGGCAAACTGCCACTAGAGCCACTAATTCCAGAAGCATGTTATTACTGCCAGGATCAGGGAGTCATAGGTATTGCTATGGACTGCAAAGCCAGGCTGTGCCTGCCACAATCCATACAAGCAAAATGGATGACAAGCAGTCTGCTTCTTGACCTCACAGAGCTAGTGCCCAAACACTGGGATGCCTGCTAATGCTGTCCCAGAGTAAAAAGCTTCCATGGCCATACCTGCCAACAGAACAGAAAGAAGTAAAGTCAAATCTAAATCACATTCAGAACACTAACTGCAAAAGATCTTAGAAACAGTGTCTATCCTTCTAGCCCCTGCAGTACACAAAGGTAAACTGGAAGGAGGTTGGCATGGATGTGGGATAATTCACAATATTCATCACAAGATCCTCAACATCTGAATAACAAAGTACCGAACAACAACAACAAAAAGATGCACATAGAAAACACGAGGGTCAGGTGGAGGAGGATCATGCATGAAATTAATTCAAGAAAACTAAAAAAAAATTAATTCCAACACTGAAGGGACCCACTAACTACTAGTACAATAGATGAAAAGAAACCACTCCTAGATATATTACTGTGAAATTGCTGAATACTAGGGATTAAAAGAAGATCTTACAAGCTTTCAGAGAGGAAGGGAAAAATGTCCTATAGAAAAGATAAGGAAATTAGCGTCCTTTTGGACTTCTAGAGGATACTGGAATCTAGAATACAAAGCCACAACATCTTCAAAAAATGTATTCCTTTGAAATAAATTGAAACAGTATTAAACAGGAAATTCAAGGCAGAGTTAGCCCCTATTTATTCTTCAGAGGGAGCAGTGCTATAGAGAGATAGGCACAAACTCCCAGCTGATTGCTCTATCCTTTATTTAATTTGGTACACTTATTTCAACTTAGAATTCTATACCCAGCCAAGCTAACAATCAAGTATCAGGGTAGAATTACATTTTCAACAGGCAAGTTGTTTGTGCCAGTGCACTGCTGCCATCTGGGCTCTATTTTGACCTTTATCCTGAAACTTGTCTTTACTTTTTTCCTGTGTTGAATCCCTTCTTCTTGTATCTGTCTTCCTCTTGCTCAGTTATGTCCTTGTTCTCCAGGAGTTTCCTAAGGAAGGGCTCGTAATGTCTTCTGTGCACAGATAACTTTGGACAGTATGTTAATTACGGATGCAAACAAGGCCTGAAAACAAATTAGGAGAAGAAACTGCTTCCACAAACCGTGGAGTCCTCCTAACAGACTTATGAACGTTTCCTTTTTAGACAAAAAGTGCCTATTTAAATAAAGAATAGGGCAGTATATTGGGGGCTTGAGTCCATCTCTCCACAGTGCTGCTCCCTCTGAAGGATAAATAGGGGTTACCTATGCCTTGAATACTCAGTTCATATCCTGTATATGGTTAGCCTGAATGTCAAAAGACTAAGAAAATATTATTAAGACATTAGTAAATACCACAATTTCATTTCACACTAAAACCTCACCATTAATTCATTCCCTGTTCCCCATCCTGTAAAGAAAGAAAACTGTCAGGAGACCTGCCCGACCCTCTCTAAAGAAATTTACTTAGAATTCCTTATGAATACTATAATCTATCTCATTTCACTAAATAGAGGAAAACCAATATTCATTTTACCCCACTAATATTAGCCTTGAGGGTACCCATATTTCCTTTATATCTTAGAAAAGTTTATCTAGAAAAACTATTTAGGTAAAGCTTTGATTTGTTCAATACATACATAAAATCTCCCACACCAAACTAAAAGATAACTCTAATGGAATACTGTGTTCCTTCTCTTCTGACATTTCTATAATAAAACTTCTTCTAATGTCTTGAACATGTAAGGCTTCTTCCATCTGATTATCCTGGTGCAGAACATTTCCTCTTCCTGGAATGACTTTCCTGCTCTTTCACTTTTTGTTAACCCCCATTAATCTTTCAGAGGAAAGCTCAAGAGCCACATACCCTGGAAAGCCTTCCTACAACTGGACCAGATCAGGTTCCCTTTATAAATGTTCCTGGCTCTTAGTACTTTTCTTTCCTGGTAAGTATCTCAGTATATAACTATATATGTTTGAAATTATTAGATTACCCCCAACACATGTACACATTAGGTTCTATGGGGTAGTGTCTGTCTTGCTCCCCCATGTATTCAGAGCATCTTATGCAATGCAGACAGTCAATACAAAGGTAATGTATACATTATTTTTTTTTTTTAAAAAGGAAAGAGGTCAGTAGAGAGAAAAAAAGTGGAAGGAAAACAAGGAGGAAAGTGGGGGGAAAAGAGGGTAGAAGAAAGGGGAGAGAAAGAAAAATATTCTAGGTGCAAATTCTGATTTTAGGTGGAAGTATTTATTTTTAGAATTTTTTAAATTGATGTATCTAGCGAGCTATTCTGCTTTAGAAATTTCAGAGGTTGCCAGAGGACTTGGTAAATGAGCCAGATGTTTCTATATTCTTCAAGGGGGGAAATAATTCTGAGGAGGAAGAAATCATGGAGTTGCATCCTTAGAAAGCAATTCTGATTCTGGGCCAACCACACCCCTTGGTTTGAGTCTTTTTCTTCCCAGAAAAGTCATGCAGAGGGCAGGGACCCCCCGCCCCCTCTCCATGTTGTCTTCCATGAGCATTCGGAGCAGACTGCCAGAGCAGGTTTCTGAACTCTGGTCCTTGTGCTCTGGCATCCCATTGACAGCACTGAGTTGCAATCCTCCGGGCCATGCTGTTCCCACACTGGCTCCATCTGGCCTGCAGACCATGAGAGCTGCAATGGGCCATGTGGGAGAACATCAAATATGAGGCACATTACTAAGATGTTATCAAGCAGGAGCAGGGGCTTGGGCAGAAATGGGAGAGAGCCGAGTGGACCTTGCACGTTCTCAACTATCAATTACTGTAACTAGAACTCCCACAGCCCTGAAGAGGGAGCAGAATGAGCCTCATTTTCCACATTCCGCTGCTTTGAAGTGCTCTGCCAAGAGACATTCAGCAGGAGAGCCCAGGAATGGCACTCTCAACAGCCAGGCTGCAGAGGGGCTTGGGCTGTCTCTCCTGCAGGTATGGTGCACACAACCTGACCACTGTTTTCTAGGTGAGCTGTGGTAGTAGATCCCAGAGACTCAAATGCCCAGAGATAGTGACTGTCTAAAAATTATTGATTTTGATCTAATGATAGTAATATTTACAGAGAAACTAGCCTTTCGTATGAACAATACAGCTCTAATGACAAAAACAACAATAGCTAACACTTGGGATGTGAGTGCTTATCATGTGCCAGGACCTATTCAAAGTATTCTGCATATATTAACTTATTTAATCTTGGCCACAAACCTAAAGAACTTACCACTTAAATCCATTTTACACATGGAGAAACCAAGGTACACAAAAATTAAGGAATTTGCTCTAGACCACACAGCTAAGTTGCAGAACAGAGATCAGAGCTTTGGCTATCTGGCTTCAGGGTCTGTGTTCTTATTCGCCAAGCAGTGCTGTCTTGCTCAGTTGGGAAATTCCCAAGCACTTAAGAGTGTTAGGTAACAGGCAATATATATAAAAACAAAAAAGCCTCCATCTGTGCAAAATATGGGGTACTAATGTGGGACCTGTGACTTCCAATTATGACTAAAGTTTTGTGAATAATCCCTAACACAAATGCCTAACAAATAAAAATTAGGGCTACAGGGATACTCAATGGTCAGTTACTTCATTTTGTTGTCTTCAAATGGCAATAAAATATATGTACCTCCCATTAACATTTTCCAGAAATTCCCAAATTAGAAAACAGACTTCCTTAGTAACTGTAAGATCACAAATATCAATGCCTTTAAGGAACAGCTAGCTTTACAGTAAAATAATTCTAAGTCTGAACTTCAGTCTAGTCATTCCTCTTTTGGGTTAGTGGCATTTTATAAAAAGACCATATAACACAAAATGATAATTAAATATAAATAAGAATAAAAATCAGGACCAAGGATCATAGAAATAGGGTTATAGCATCAAATCAGGGAAAAGAAAAAAACATGTGTTATACAGGTTCTATGGTAAAAGTAGAATGGAAACAGATTAAGTCATGTTAGGGAATTTGAACATGGTTTTAGAAAATTAGGCAAGACTATTAAAATTCAGCTTGCATTTTAGAAATAAAAAAGTTTTTGCAGAGTTGAGGATTGCCTGAATGGAAATGGACAAAAAGACAAAGACCAATTTGGAAAGTATCTCAGGGTCTCATAAGAGAGAAGACGTAGGTCTGAAATAAACCAGTGTAAAATGATGAGGACTTAGGGACTCTCTTGAATGTAAAAGGTGAAAGAATTGGAAGTCCAAGTCTAATGCTAAGATATCTAGGTTGGGGAAAGTGATTAGAGGGTGATGTAGTAAACCATGTAGGAATATACAAGGGGATGCCAGGAGGTGCTGTATTGGCCTGGATTTAGGTCAGGTGGAAATATTTACTAGACAACCAGGACAGCGTGGACTAGAGATAGTGTAGTTAACTGGGGGAGAACCAGGAAAGGTCAGTGTCCCCCAGACAGGAAACTTAATGCTGATGAGAAGAGCCCTAAGCAGATTCCATATCCCCCAATCCATAGAACACAGCATTTTCTTTTGGCTATATTTATCACCTGAGAGTTTGCTTTGCTCACATGTGTTTGCTTTATGGGGTACTTACCACATCTCACAACTCTGCTCACATCTGCATTAACTTTTCTCTATAGACAATGGGGCAGGGACAGAATACCCCTCTCTACCAGCCTAAGGAACTCTTGCATTGTGTACAAAGTGGTAGCTAGCAGACGAAAGGCTCATGGAGACCGTGGCTTCCCAATTGCACAACTTCCCTGAATCTTTATTTTAAAAGTTTTCCATTCTAACTCTTCTCCTTATTTCTCTCTCTCTTTTTTTTTTTTTAATGCTCAGGAAAATTTCTCTAGCTCCTTCCATATCATATCCCACTGGTTTTATGATATTTGCCTTGAGCTTGTCTGGCTATTTTTCTTTCTCGTGTGTTAGTACTAACCTCTAAAATGAGATTTTTTTCTAAGCGAATAAGCCCAAGTCAATATCTCTATTTTTATCTCAAACACTAACCATGGTCCACGTGTTAAGCTACTAAATGTTCCCAAGAACTGTTTTTCTCACAGAAATCAGTCTAATTTATAGTTGGCCAAAATAGTGGTATTTTCCAATATCAGCAGCAAAGGAGCAAGGCACAGAACACAAAAGTGTCCAGATTTTTTTCATTGTGAAATGACCATTTGATTGACTGTAGCCAGGAAATAAAAACCACGAGGAATTCCAACATGTTAACACTGTTTATCCCTGCCTAATTGTACCATTAAGGAAAAGAGATTTAAATGCAATGTGCTTACATTCTATCTAGAGGGCCCATTCTTCAGTTCTGACTTCAACAACAGGACTAGGTTTACTGGCATTCATGTCCAGTGAAAGGAAGGCGGTTAGGAGGAGTCGCAATAACTTTCTCTTCTGTTAAGAGCTCCCGTAGCACTCAGCCACTCCTGGTGGTGTATCCTTGTGTTGGGTAAGCTACCCATATGCCAAATGCTTTCTAGTAGAGGTCCAGACACATACAGGATTGAGGTCAGAGTCATTCACAGACATTCGAAGATATGAATAAAAAAACAAATCCTCTCAAATACGCAGAAGATAGGGTAGGGCTTCCATTATAATAGTAAGTCAGAACACTAAATGTTAAAAGTGGTAGCTGGAGCAATATCAGAGCATAGGCTCTGCAGGCAGCTCACCTGGGCTGACATCCCTCCCTTCCTTCATTAGTTGTGTTATCACGAACACGCTGCCTAACCTCTCTGAGCATGAGGTCCTCACCAGTAACAGGCAAAAATTATACTTCCTCTTTGGGTTGTCTTGAGGAGTAAACGAGATAGTTTATGTAAAGTGATTAACACAGTACCAGCACACAGAACTCACTGAACAGTAGTTACATTAATTATTGTGTTTGTCAAAATCATTATTAGACACCAAAAAGAAGAGTGTGGGGTGTCTTTGGAGGGGCTGGAGTACGGGCTACAAGAAGGATCTCTCCAAGCTCAGAAACCTAAATACAGCATAGGCAGCAGCATTTCTGACATGAATGTCCTAGAAAGAGGATGATTTCTTCAGCCTTCCAGATGAATTCTTCGGCTTTCAAAAGTCCACGATCTAGTGTGGTCCCAGGATGTGTGTTCACCTGCCAGCCTGTTGGCACTTAGCCATTTTTGCACTGGCTGTGGCTCTTTCCCACAATGATATTACTAATGACATGACAGACTCAAGTTTTGCTCTACTAAGAAACATATATATATATGCCACAATTCAATTTTAGGCTCTGATTCTGGAGTCCTGGGGTGTAGCTCCTTATTTCAAGAACAGAACCCGCTGTCAGCTTCCTCCTATTCAAGGAGGGTTTAAACAATCAGAGATTTGCTAATATGCAGTTACCTGGGTCCCACTCAAACCTACTGAAAATGAGTCTCTTGAGAAAGAGAGAGGAACCCAGGAATCTGCATTATAACAAGCAGCATTGCATGCATATTAAGATTTGAGAACCACTTACTTTAAGGGCTCATAATTTACTAGAGGATACACACATACAAGCTTTCTAAAATATCTGGCAGTCTCTGATAGGTACCATAATAAAGATATGGAGTACAGAGGCAGAACAAAGGAGATAAAGTCATTCCAAACTGGTAGATCTAGGAGAACCTCTCAGACTGGGAACTTGGAAGGTGGTTAGGATTAACAGCAGAAAAAAAGCTGGGCTAGGAATGAGGAGAAAAGGAACACAAGAGTTGTCATAGGTAGAGGAAACCAGATGAACAAAAGCATCCGGAGTAAGCATGTCTGGGGTATGTCTGAGCTGGTAAGTGTTAGTGGGGCCCAAGTGAATGGGCATTTGGGGAGGGGGTTACTATTTCAGGTAGAGAGAGGAAGGCTGTACCACTGGGTGAGACATAAGACTAAAGGCCTTACACACCAGTTGGGTTCTGCTAGTGTCTCTTTGCACTAAATCACTGGGAGGTTTCTGCAGAAAAGTAATATCAGATCTTAGGCCCACATTTTAGAAATTTTGGATTTCCAAAATCCAAAAAGTGATGGAAACCAAAAGATTTTTTTAGGCTGGGTGCGGTGGCTCATGCCTGTAATCCCAGCACTTTGGGAGGCTGAGGCAGGCAGATCACGAGGTCAGGAGATTGAGACCATCCTGGCTAACACGGTGAAACCCTGTCTCTACTAAAAATACATAAAATTAGCCAGGCGTGGTGGTGGGCGCCTTTAGTCCCAGCTACTCGGGAGGCTGAGGCAGGAGAATGGCATGAACCCGGGAGGGGGAGTTTGCAGTGAGCCAAGATCGCGCCACTGCACTCCAGCCTGGGCGACAGAGCGAGACTCTGTCTCAAAAAAAAAAAAAAAAAAGGAAAAAAAAAAAAAGAAAAAGTTTTTTTTATACATCTCCTTTGTTGGCAAAATCTATCATGAAATGAAGTCAGGTTACTTACAGTCATTATCTATCCAACTTGTGAAAAATATTAATGTGTTTGAGTAGGGGTGCTGCATTGAACCCCACCTGGAGATGTTACATAAAATTTAGTTCAAGTACTATACAAAATTTCTGAACTCAGAAAAAATTTTGAATTCCACAGTACACCTGGGATTAAAGTTTCGATGAGGGATTATGGATCTTCACAAACAACAGGAGAGGTTTAGTAGGCTCTTGATGTTTTAAAAGTCCAAGGGAGTCTTTTAAGAGGTGACATATAAGTGTGGGTAATCAGTACCATGGCTCCTTCTGTTCTATTTTCTATGACCACTTAATTGCTGTGGTGGTTTGGCCAAGGGAAGATGCCTACAGACTAAGTGGCTTGGCTCTTATAATAATTCTTAATTATTATCAGTTGTTGCCTCCTGGTCCCCTGAGTGTAAATAAACAAAGGGTATAATGCTACTGATTGGAAAATCAGTGGTGAAGTCATGTAGACAATGGTTGTTTCATCTTTGCATAGCCATCTGTGTATGCATGTGTTTCTGTACACGAGGTTTAGCAATCAGAGCTGCTGAGCTCCTTAGAAATCATTTAGTTCAACTTGTTCAGACCACAGATGAGGAAACTGAGGGTAGAGGAAAAATGTTCTTTGCTAGAGACCTCAGCTCGGAAGCTTTCACAACTAACACTGACCGAGCATCCCAGGTTTGCATTCTGAGTACAAGGTCTTACAGGACAAGGTGTCCATTATGACTAGAAATTGACACATACAGGAAGCATTTAATAAATATTCTTCAACTGTGATTCTCATAATCTCACCACTGGGTAATAATATTACTGAACCTTACTGAACCTCACTGAACCACATGCTTTTTTAACAGAGTATTGAAACGGGAAGGGATGGCTGGGTGCGGCGGGTCATGCCTGTAATCCCAGCACTTTGGGAGGCCAAGGCGGGTGGATCACGAGGTCAGGAGTTCGAGACCAGCCTGGCCAATATGGTGGAACCCCATCTCTACTAAAAATACAAAAACTAGCTGGGCGTGGTGGCATGCGCCTATAGTCCCAGCTACTCGAGAGGCTGAGGCAGGAGAATCGCTTGAATCCAGGAAGCAGAGGTTGCAGTGAGCCGAGATTGCACCACTGCACTCCAGACTGGGCAATAGAGGGATACTCCATCTCAAAAAAAACAAAACAAAACAAAAAAAGAAATGGCAAGGGATTTAGGTTTGAGTGCTGTCAGCCACTCATATGAAGGAAAATAAAGAGAATACCAAAAGCATTCTTTTTTCTTTAAAGGCATTTATGTTTATATAAAGGCATTAAATTATACACAAGTATGTGTATATGCATATGCAGACTCCTAGAAAAACCAGAAGAAAACAAAATTGACTCTTACCAAACCTCTATAGAAGGAAGAATTTCTATACTCAGAGGCATCATTACATAGGCATGATTGATTATACCACTGGCCATTGCTGATCAGCTTGGCCTTCAGCCCTTCTCCGTTCCCCAGAGGTTGGGGGTGGGGATAAAACTCCCAACCCTCTAATGCTGCCTTGGTCTTTCCAGTGACTCTGAACCTATCAGATGAAAAAACACACAATAGACAGCACTTTGAAGATTTCAAGTATTTTAGGCATTATGAGCTAGGAATGGTGGACGAAACCAATATATATAATAACACCACAACCGTACATAAATTTGATTTCTAAATTAATTTCAATAAAATTAAAGCACTATATTAGACAAAAAGTCAATAGTAACTTGTCTTCCCCTTTATTCCAGTAAGAATGTTTGGAATATAGTTCCTAGGAAATAAGAAAATTCAAATTACCACAGACATTACAGAGACATGTTAACAAACTTTTCAGAGAAATTATTCCATGCCAGGAGAAATTAGGAGTGCTTTTTTCCTTCACCAAGTAACAATTAGAATCTTGTGAGGTGGCCACTACCATAATCACCATTTTACATAGGGCACCAAGAAAGTGAGTAACTTATGGCCGGGTGTGGTGGCTCATGCCTGTAATCCCAGCACTTTGGGAGGCTGAGGTGGGTGGATCACCTGAGGTCAGGAGTTCAAGACCAGCCTGGCCAACATGACGAAACCCCATCTCTACTAAAAATACAAAAATTAGCTGGGTGTGGTGGCACATGCCTCTAATCCCAGCTACTCAGGGGGCTGAGGCAGGAGAATTGCTTGAACCTGGGAGGCAGAGGTTGCAGTGAGCCGAGATCGTGCCACCGCACTCTAGCCTGTAAAACAGAGCGAGACTACATTTCAAAAAAAAAAAAAAAAAAAGCAAAAAAAAAAAAAAAGAGTAACTTACTCAGATATCATATGTTTGGTAAGAATTTGAACCCTGGCTGTTCAGCTCTTGAATGGTGCTCTTAGACACTATGCCATGCAGTATCTTACTGACCTCTGAAGTGAGAAGGTCCTTGGATATCATTAGTACCAACTCCCATAAAGAGAAATACAGAGAAGTTATGCAACTTGCTAAACACCACACAGCAAATTATCTAATAGGTGAACAAAGCGATATGCCTTAACAGGTTGTAATTTACAAACACTAAGAAAGATTAAAATGATTGCAAACAATCTTAGTTTATCTGCTTAATTTTGTTCCTAATATTAGATTTTTCTTTTTTCATTTTCTTAGAACCTATACTAAGAGAAAGGCATATTTCTGTGGTCTACAGAGAGCACTTACATCCCTGAAATCCTAGGGCTAGCAGATGTAAGCTCTTTCCTCTCAGTTCTATCAGAACCACGTTTCAACCCAGGTGGGGAAACATCATCAGGGAAATGTCCTCATCAAAGCACCTACTGGGTGTGGCACTATCCCAGGCTTTGTAAAACATCGGACTCCAACAGAACTCTCTGAACTACAGGAAAGCAGTATAAGAGTCAAAACAAAATAAAACCACTTGCCAACAGCAAGAAAGAAGCTCTGCGTATGCTTATTTTCTAATCTATCACGAAGTCCAAAATAAACTCCAGGCTTCCTCATCACATCTGATATAGATTAAGGGAGTCAGATCTCTGTTGGGAGAGAAATGTTGGGAAAGCTCTACACCAAATAACTGGGCTAAATGACAAGAGAAAGTTCTACAAAATTATTCCCCCGAGCTACTGTGGCTTAGTCATGCCCAGTTTTTCAGTGTGCTACTTAGAGGTTTCTGGACCCATCTCATGGGATCAAAAAAGAAGGAAATGAGGTCCATATCAGACTGTGAAAATGACAGGATGTTGCCATTAAAATCATGGAAATAAATGCCCTCCCCATCCAGGACAGAAGCATCAGCCTGTCCTATAAGGCAAATACAGTGTCTGTCTTTTCTAAAGGAACCAGGACTCCCAGTGGCCCAGTTGTGACTAAACATCAGAAATAAATGATAACCAACAAAGTCTAAAGCAGAGATGAAGACAGTAAAAACTGGGATGTATGCATAATTGGAAGGAGGAGCAATTCTGCTTGTAGCAGCACAAACTGTTACCGCTGGACAGACTAAGTCATGAAATTTACAACTTAAAGCAAGAATCTCATATTAAAAAGCCAAACCTCAAATGGAGAAGGGAATTTCTAGTCTCATTTAAAATAAAAGGAGGAAAAATAACTTTTATTTGAACCGTATAGACAGGATTTTTTTTTTCTCTGTTTTTGGCTTTTTTACCTACTAAAAGGCAGGACTAGTAGAAGTTATATTATTAACATTTTCTTTCATTCTATAAAATTGAAATGTCCTCAAATCTAGTGATTTACGATCATTTTAGACAAACACTGTTTTTTGAGATTGAAAAAAAATAAATGAGTGGATTTCTACAACATACCCACTAGCATGGCTCCCCCCCAAAAAAAGACTGGCTATATTAAGTGAAAGCTAGGATTTGGAGCAACCCTAACACTTACACATTTCAAGCACAGTGTAAAATATTACAACCACTGGGAAAACTGTTGGCAGTTTCTGAAAAAATTAGGCATAACGTTCCCATAATGCAGCAATTCTACTCTGATCTGTGTACCTGGGAGAAATGAGCACATATGTTCACAAAGAATAATACTAGAATGTACAAAACAACTTTATTCATAATAACCCAAAACTGGAAACAACCCAAATGTACATCAACAAGAGGATAAATTATGACATACCCATACAACAGAATACTGTCAGCAATTAAAAAGAAGCTATACTAACACATGAAACAATATGGATGAGTCTCAAAAACGTACTGAATGAAAGAAATCAAAACCTAAAAGAGTTAATATACACTCTGTGATTCCACCTATTTGAACTTCAAGAACAGGCATAACTATGGTGATAAGAATCAGAATAATGTTTATTTCTGATGATAGGGGCTACTGACTGGAAAGGGGAATAAAAGAGGTTCCTGGGATGATGGAAATGTTCTGTGTTTTGATCTGGATGGTGTTCAAATAGGTGTTCGCATATGTAAAATATCAAGCTGTACCCTTAAGATGTGTGCATTTTACTGCATGTACATCATGCCTCAATGAAATGAACGAATCAAAAGCATTTACTTTTCTTATTACAATAAATATTTTCCATTAATTTGATATCTGTATATCTGAAAGACAATTAAAAAATTTTAAGAAATGTAAGAAATTTAAGAAATACCTACTTTTTGCTAATGAAAGGATGAGTGCAATGATTTAGCTACAAGAATAGTCATCATAAAATGGTCTCTTCCAGGCAAAAATTAGAAAAACAGATTTAAATATCCAGTGATTGGGGACTAGTTGTGGGTATATTTATGTTAGAACTCCATGCCTGAACTAAATTAAAATGCTGTAGTAATATTTGCCATAGACATGGAATGATAAGATACAGCAAAAGAAAAAGCTGGATATAGAGTGTATATGGTTGCTATGGACTGAATATTTGTCCCCCACCTCGCTCTCCAAGTCATATGTTGAAAGCAGTAATCCCTAGTAAGGCTATATTTGAGACTTGAGACTTATTATTTTGCCTACCATAGATGCTTCGTTAAGTAACCTAAGAATGAGGACCACCTCATCACCTTTTGGGTAACATCACAACTCTACAGACAGACAGCTGATGACTGATTATCAAACATTCACTAACATATTAGAGCTTGATGATGTACTGAGTTACGTAAACTATTTGTCTCTTTCTTTCCATTAGTTTTGTAGCAGCCTTGGTTGTAGTCAATTAGGCCTATTTCCTAACAGAACAGAAAAATGTAAGAAAGTTAATCAGAAATAAAACCCCATAATATCTCCTAAAGTGAAGGGGGTTGATGAGATGGGTATAGCAGAGTTTCTAGGGATACTGCTTCATTTAAAACTTTTCTGTTCATAGGTCATTCCAATGGCTCTTTGTATAAATACCAGAGTAGTGGCAGGCCTTGGGTTAAATCTCTATATACAACAGGTGATCCATAGAATTTTACCAAGGACTATAATGAGTTATTTAAAATATTTTGCAATATATTTATCTTTGAATAAGATTTCACACTTCATTTGAAGACTGGTGGATCTATGAAAGACAAGTACTAATCACACAGAGAAGTAGCTCACAACAAGCAACTTGTGATCATTTAGCAGAGGATTAAAAAATCTTTTACTAACCAAGATTTCTTTATTGAATTCCTCTGAATTATCACATGTGCTTGAGGCTTTGCAGTGAAATTTCTGGATTTGTTAGAGCTCGCATTTTTGGTGTTTGCTTTTGATTTGATTATTCTCTGTTTTGTTTGTTTGTTTGTTTGTTTCATTGAGACAGTGGTGAGCATATGCTGGATGATGTACTCTGAGAATCAAGATCACACAGGCATGGTTAGGTGTTTGAGCTCCTGTCTAAAAGCCTTCTCTTCTTTAACTGCCCAAGTACTTGGTCATTGTCTCTCTGATGGCCCTTGTCACTTACTGCTTTACATTACATGTATTTAACTTTATATTTTCTCTCTTCTATAGTGTAAGCCACTTAAGAACAGTGTTCATCTTGATTTTTTTAGTACTGCCTAACAGTCCCTTAAACAAAGTTCTTAATAAATATTTGTGGGATGAGTCACAACTGGTACATAACTGAAACTCCACATTTTAAAATGCCTAACAGTTCACATAGAGACAGCCAGAATATCCAAGTGACATTTTGCCATTGTCAAAAAATAATCTACAAAATAATGCTATATTTTGTTATTTATAACTTAGGGATCTAACACAGATGGATAAAAAAGAATATGAACTTAAAAACCCAGTTTAAAGCAAAACTTCACCATTCACTCCAGTTAAAAACCTGTACAAATTACATAACAGTACTGAGTTTCAATTTTCTCATCTATAAAAATAGGGATATTACTTACATCACAGAATATTTGCTGGGATTAAGTGAGCGTTCTTGTGAAAGGGCATCTACGTGTATACACTAGTTTTATCTTTCTGATTCTGCTCCTCCTTCCCATCCTGACCAAATCTTCATTTTCTTTGCTACATTTTAAGAGTTTGGCTGACCAAACCTGGACAGGTTTTGGTATAGTCCCTTTGGAGCAAGAATGATGACATTCAGTCACACAACTCAAGGGCTGGCTTCAGGGTATAGGCAAAGATGTCAGAGGTTTGGCATCAGGAACATCGCTCTTGTGAGTGGCCTTGTCACTCGCTCATATGAGAACCAAAACAAGTAAGAAACTGAAGTAAAGTTATCTTCCCCGAATCCCACATCTCCAATTCAAGCACAGTCCCAAAGTCATTTTACAGATTTTATGTGAATAATATAGGTGAATACATCCAGCCACAACTTCATATCTACGCGGTTAAGTCAATTACCCCATCTACGTTGACAGGGAACCAATGTTCTAATATATTAGGTTGGTGCAAAAGTAACTCTGGGTTCTGCCATTAAAAGTAACGGGTATAGTTCTAGGAAATTATTTTTTTGTAGAATATTACTTTTAATGGCGAACCCGCAATTACTTTTGCGCCAACCTAATACCTATTATATATCTGTTCTGGACTAAAGTGTGTCCCCCCAAAAATTCAGCCTTTGAAGCTTTAGCATCCAATGTGACCGCATTTGGAGATAGGGCCTTTAAAAAGGTAATATTAATTGAGGTCCATAAGGATGGGGTCCTAATCCAATAGGAATGATATCCTTGTAAGAGGAGGGAAAGATACCAGGAGTGCATGACCACAGAGGAAAGGGCATGTGAGGACACAGCACAAAGGCAGCAGTCTACAAGCCAGGAAGAAAGTCCTCTAGAAATCATCCCCACCAGCACCCTGACCTTGGACTTCCAGCCTCCAGAACTGGAAGAAAAATTTCTGTTGTTTAAGCCATCCAATCTGTGGTATTCTGGATATGGCAGCCGTAGCAGATGAATACAGCATTCAAAGCAGTTCTATTTGATTAGAGAAAATTAGATTTGATTAGAAAATTACCATCTCATTCAAATATTGGTTATTAGAAAGGATGTTGAAAGACCCCAGGATGAGAGTTCAGGACTTGGGTTTGCTACTAGTGACAATGTGGCCTTGGGTAAATAATTTAATCTCTTTGTATCTAAGTTTCTCATATATATAGGTATCCTTTCCAAATAGAAAATTCTGTTTTATTTGAATCTTCCATGGTTTGTATAAGTTTTTCACTGGAGACCAGAAGAGGGACAGGATAGAACCATCTCAAATAGGATTCATTCAGACTTATCCATGCTTTTGGGCTGTTTATTCCAAAGTCCCTATCATGTCTTAAATGTTAAGAGACTTCAGTTCAAATCTCAGGATGGCCTTTACACAAGATACCCTCAGGTCAGGTTGTGTACATCATCAAAACTTCAGTTTGCTCATCAGTAAAATAGGCTTGTAATACCTACTTACAGGAGTGTTATATTGTTATTTAGGAGGAACATGAGAAAGTTGTTGCAAAGTGCCTGGAATGCAGCAGATGTTTAAAATGTTTGTTGAATTTGGGTCTTTCTGCGCACTCTTCACCCTCAGATTCTGGTCCTTTGCTCTCCTATTCCTGCCTGTCTAACAAAGAAAACCTTGGGAATCTATAGGAAGCCTGCTATTCAGACCTAAAAATAACATGCAATCTGTGGCTCTGTGACCTATGTAGCAAAAACTGCCAAAGGAGGAAGAGGACCATGAGGTTAGTTGTCTCGATCCAGTTCTGCATATTGTACAATCCTCTCTAAGCTGGACTCACCTTCATTTCTAAAATGCTGTCTTTCATTTACTTCAACAAATGAATACATAAGACATTTTATGTGTCAGTTCCTACCTAAACAAAACCTTCCAGGGATACACAATGTAAGACCAAGATAGGATGTACTTGTAGTTGAAGCTCACAGAACTTTTCCCTTCCACACCTGTGCACCTGCATGCACATCTTTTACAGAATATGGTGTCAAGATATAATGGGAGATAAATTGTGGGCCACAGAAATCATCTTATCCATTGTAATAAGTAGTAGTTATAGAAACCTGAGGGTACAAACTTTGAGTAGAAAAAAAGACATGCAGGAATACACATAGAATACTCAATCAAACATCTCTAATTGTTATCATTTGTTAATGATTTAATTTCCCTAGGTCAATGCATCTTGATTAAATATTTGTTTCCCATCCAAATAATTAGGTTTTTTAAAAATCATTTTCATCCCTTAATTTTTTAAAAGGGTCTTAGAATGCTCTCTATTTTTTCTCAATCCAAGCCTTACTACTACAAAATGAATGATATTATGTGTTACTTTTCAATTTACATATAAATTTACCCTATAGGCTAAAAATATGCAGGGTTAAAGACATATTAATGATATTCTACAATGCAAAAAAATTTAAAACTCAGATAGGTGTATGGCATGCATTTTACTTAAGTCTTTTATACGAGGCCATTTTAATAATTTTTTATATAGTTCAATTCAATCAATAGGCCAGAAATAGTCACTGTCTCAACTGACATTGATGATGATCATCTGTGTGCAGAAAATATATTTAGCTTCCTATGTTTGGGGAATTTCAAATGCAGAGTACTGTATATTTTAGCAATGTTCCTTTAAAGAAAACTGTTATTTTTAAACTCATTTGACTGAGATATTTTAAAGGATTGTTTTGTTATGAAATCTAACCTGAGAATGCGACATGCATAACAAATTTTCATTTAAAGCTGAAGGAAAATGAAGGATAGTGCTGAATTGCAAGTTGTCCATATCAAGTGGTTCCCTCACTACCGGCAATATTGCTAAGTCAAATTTCTAAGCTGGCAGTTGACTTTTTACTTTTTCTGTATAGTAAATTGATGTAGTAGGAAAATATCAGGTCAAGGAGATGAGTTGTCTACTTCACTATGCCCTCTAAGAGGAAAAACAAAGAAAGCAGAAACTACTCAATGAACAATAAAGATACAGATTTGGAAGCATTTAAAAAACAAGTTTAGAAATATACAAACAGTACTATCATTCGTATGTGGGAACTAAAAAAAAGTGGATCTCATGGAGGTAGAAAGTAAAATTGTGGTTAACAAAAGCTGGGAAGTGTAGGGGGAAAAGGGGAATAAAGAAGAATAAGAGTTGGTTATGAGTACAAAAATACAGTTGGAAGGAATATGTTCTAGTGTTTTATAAACAATAGGGTGACTATAGATGTCAATAATTTATGTATATTTCAAAATAGCTAGAAGAAAAAATTTGTGATGTTCTCAACACGAATAATAAATGCTGGAGGTGATGCATATCCTAATTACTCGGATTTAATCATTACATATTGTACACAGGCATCAATATAACACATACCCCAGAAATCTATATAGTCATTATGTGTCAATAAAAAATAAACAAGTGAAAGGATATACATGCAGGTATGAAATTTTTATTTAGAAATTTATAAAAGGGGAAATTGCTTCCATTATAATGTACAGTGCAAAGAGCATTAAAAGAGCATTATTAAAGTACACAGTTGTCTATATATCACCTCAATTATATAAAAATGTCTTATGGGTATTAGAAAAGATTGGAAAAACACACCAACATGTTAGCATTTTGAAATCAGAATTGCCATGAGAGAGTCTTTGAATTTTATGTGGCTTCTCTTCTTTTCCATACTTTTTAATTTATTTTCTTCTTTTGTGGCTGATTACTCACAGATTTAATTTCTTAAGAATAAAAATATATAGCCTTTTAATAAGCATTTAAAAAAATCTTATAACAAGTAGTTACACTGAATTCTACTTGTATTTGAAGGGACAATGTTGATAACATTCTGTCCATGAAAGAGACACTGATATTAGTTCCTCTTTTTAAAAGTTTTTTTTCCTTTTTTTTTTAACCAAACCCTTGTTTTCCATTTCCTCTGCAAGGTGCTCCTCCTCCTCTCTTAGATTGCTAAATGTTGAGCATCCCAGGTCTCTGTCTTGGCTACACTTTCTTCCTGGGTCATCTTAACCATCCAGAGCATCACTTCAAACACCACTTCAAAGCTAAGGAACCCCAAATCTGTATCTCACGCCCACAGCAACTCCCTGAGTTCCAGGTTGCAACCCCTAAGCAATGACCCCATTTGGGTGTCTGTAACAGGCCTCTCAAGATAACATGGCCTAACAGCATCAATGATTTGCTACCTCCTCTGTCTCCTAGTCTTTGCTAATCCACACCTCCTTAAGTCTTTCGTCTTTACAATAAATAGTATCACCACTCAGCTGGGTACACTGAAGACCTAGAAATTATCCTTGATTTCATTATTTTCCTTACCATCTTACCCAACTCTATCTTTTAGCACTACTTAGCGCTCTACATATATCCTGAATACAACACTGGTCCCCACTTCTGTGCTTTCACTTGGCCCAAGACACCATCACATTGCCACTGGACCTCTGCACAAGCCTCCTAAGTGGTATACACGCTGATCCCATTTGCTTTCATAAGAGCCAGAATGTAAAACATACCATGGCATGTCTTTGCTTAAAAACTGCCTCCCATGTACTACAATGTGTATAGAAGCTCCAGATCATGGCTGTTGACAAGGCCTTATAGGGTCTGGGCCCACTACCCCTTCAATCTTGTTTCTTCTCCACGTCCACTGTGCTCTAGACATGCTGACCTTTCTTTGGTTCCTCAATTGCATCAAACATTTTGTGCTTTTTGTCCCATCTGCCTGGAAAGCTCTTTCTCAGGTCTTCCTCCACAAATGGTCCTTCCCCTACAACTGAGACCAAAACAGAACCGAAACTTGTCCCAATTTCCTCATAAGGCTTGTGTTGCTCCAGGAACACCAGACTAGCAGCAGCTTTCAGGAGCTCCAACAGCCCTCAAGCAGTCAGAGGCTCGGCTGAGCTGCAGCATTCACAAAAAAGGCTGGTTATTCCTTGTGGTCAGGTTCCACATCAGGCAAACCCCATCACCCACCAGCAGCTAAACTCTAGATTACACAGCTCAAGGACAAGTTAATGGGATTTGGCAGAACATTAAAGAAGAGAAGAAACTACAAAAGAAAAATGCACTGAAAATAGAAATAGGTAAAATACACAGTAGTAAAATTTGTGCCAGCTAAATACATCAAACCATATTTACATTTCTGTGTTATCTTTAGGGATAAGCAGGAAAGAAGACACAGAGTCACTGACGTATTTCTAAATTTGTTCGAATCTGCATTTGACTTTACCTTCAGCATTCTTGAAAGATCAGAATATGAACATCTATAGAATCAAAGGTGCTACACATTGGCACATAAGCCTGCCCTTGAATAAGGTCAACTTACAAACTTTAGGTTTGCGAGTCAGAACCCCTTTCACAGGGGCACTCCAGCCCCAGCAGCACGTCATGCGTGGAGCGCTTTCCAGTTCACACCAGCCAATCCACATGAGCCTCTGTGGTTCTCACAACAACCTAGATATTTTCCCCTTATTTTACAGATGTGGGAACTAATGTCCAGGGATTAACTGCAATTTGGTCAAAGAATCAATTATAAAGTAAGACTAAAGTCTGTTCTTCTCAGTCCTAGCACTTTAGAAAATAAAACTGTTAAGGTGGGGCATGGTGGTTCGTGCCTGTAATCCCAGCACTGTAGGAAGGCAAGGCAGGTGGATTGCTTGAGTCCAAGAGTTCAAGTCCAGCCTGGGCAACATGGTGAAACCCCAACTGTACAAAAAAATAGAAGAAAAAAATCAGCTAGGTGTGGCGGCTAGTTGGTGGCAGGGCCAGATCTAGCATGTATCCTGGATTCCAGAGCATTGTACTTACCAGATATGAGAATTTTTTTTTTTTGACAGTCTTGCTCTGCTACCCAGGCTAAAGTTCAGTGGTGTAGTAGCTGATGACACCACTGAACTCTAGCCTGGGTAACAGAGAAAGACTCTGTCAAAAACTAAAATAAAATTTATCATACCTGGTAAGTACAATGCTCCGGAATCTAGGAGATATGCTAGACCTGGCCCTGCCACCAACTAGCAAGTATGACCTTGAGTGAGTCACCTTAATTTGGGCCGTAGTTTCCTCATGTGTAAAAATAGGTATAATCACATCTGCTCAGCTCTACCACAGGATTGTTTTAAGGAGCAGTTGAGACCTCTGATCACACCTCCTACCACTTGTCCCAGGTCACCGCACCCATCCACACTGGCCTCACAGCTCTCCTCAGGTGAAGCACACGCCCGCTTCAGGACCTGTGCTTGCTCTTCTCTTGATATCCACAGCTTGCCTCTCACTTGCTTCATGCCACTGCTCACATGGCCCCATGTTAGAGGGGCCTTCACTGACTACTCTCAGTAAAACAGCAACCCTGCCCCCAATCTACACTCCTTTTTCATCTATGTTGTTTTATAGTTAGTTAACATATTTCTTCTCCATTTGATGTATTTGTCTCCTCACAATTGGATTACAAATTTCATTAAAGCCAGAGTTTTTGCCTTTGTTGTTCATTGCCTGGTATCCCTGCAGCCTGCTGCAGTGACTGACACAGAGCATACCCTTTAAACAATCATCTAATAAATGGATGAAAAATGGAACACACCACTTACATGAATAAATGTATTGTGATTATCATCTTCTAGTCCCTTCTGGGACTGTCTACCATAAGAGAGGTTAGGTATGGTATGCTCGGTCTTAAAATCAATATCTTTAAGCAGGATGAACTTTGCAACTCACAATGTTACATAGCCTAGCAGGTCACAGGACTAGAAAACACATGTATGTATATGATAATTAGCTACTAAGACCTAAGTTTAACAAGATAAATCCTAGCAAAGCCCTCAAATCTTCTACTTCTAACTCTACTGCTAATATCAGAGATGTTAAAACAACCACTACCACGCAGAATTGCTATGGCTGTGAAAATGTCAGAGAGTAAAAACAAAACACCTCACAACAGAGGAGCCTCTAACAGACAAAGTGTTCCTAAACAACCCAGTGGCCACTTGTGAGGAGAAAAGAAGGGAAAAGAATGGAACGGTGGTGGTATGGTTTTAGCTGTTATCTGTAACATTAAAAGAGAGAGAAGGAAGAAATCTAGCAAAACATTAAAGCTCGATATGCTTTTCTATAGGTTTGAACTATTTCATAATTAAGAAAACAGGCTAGGTGCATTGGCTCACACCTGTAACCCCAGCACTTTGGGATGCCAAGGTGAGAGGATCACTTGAGCCCAGGACTTTGAGACCAACCTGGGCAACATAGTGAGACTTTGTCTCTACAAAAACAAACAAAAAACAAAAAAAAATTATCCAGGCATACTGGCACATACCCATGGTCCCAGCTACTCAGGAGACTGAGGCAGGAGGATCATTTGAGCCCGGGAGGTCAAGGCTGCAGCAAGCCATGTTTGTGCTACTGCACTCCAGCCTGGACAATAGAACAAGACCCTGCCTCAAAGAAGGAACGAAGGAAGGGAAAGAAGGGAAAGAAAGAAGAGAGAGAGAGAGAGAGAAAGGAAAGAAAGGAAAGGAAGAAGAAGGAAAGGAAGGAAAGAAAGAAACCAAGCAGGAGGATGTCCAAAGAAAGAAATCAAGCAGGAGGATGTCCAAAGAAAGAAAGAAAGAAAGAAAGAAACCAAGCAGGACGATGTCTCCACTATAGATACCAGCTTCTCAAAGTTGGAAAGCACCTTGGCAGTCATCCAGACCAATTTATATCTAACGCCTGAGTGTCCTCTCTAACAGCCCAACAGTCAGTCATTTGCCTGGCAGTGCTGCTTGGCAATTCCTTTACACAACCACAGTGAATGCCTCATTCCATTTCTCAGAGTGTTCCAAACCTTTATTCTATTATCACCCTTTTCCCAGCAGCCACATCTGCAGCAGAGCACATAGCTTAGAAAAACCAGAAGAGTTCTTTGGTTCCTCCTTGTCTTCCCTCAAATATGCACGTGCACATTTGTGTACATGTTTACAAACCCTTTTTTAAATTGAAATCAGCCTCTCTGTTGTCTTCTACCCATGAGTCTGTGTGTTCTCCAGTCACGGAGAGTTACTCAACTTTCTTGTCCACATGGCAGCACTCCAAATATTGTAAGACAGCAAGTGTGGTATTTTGAGTCTTTTCCATTTAAATATTACCACTGTATTCAACTTGTGCAATGGAAAGAGAGAAACTAACATAACCACCAAGGGTGGGCAGTATCTGTTTGGCATGAGAGTCCCATCAAGCTAGTATTGTACATAAGTAACTCTATTTTTCTATGTACCCAATCTGAACAAGGAATTCGTAGAAGTAAATAATTTTTTAACTACTTGAGGTCTGAGTTAGAATTTAGTGTGATTATTTTCTTATAGCCTTTAAAGCAGCCTCTTCCTTTCAATTTTAAGCAAAACCAAGGTCCTAGACTAGCTTTTCAATCAAATAATTCAAGATTTTAAGAACTAAGTTAAAATATAAAAGGTATCTTGAATGGATGTTACTGAAAATCACCTGATAATAATGTTTGGTATTGTGACAGGGAAAGGTGGCTGGGTAAGGTTTATAGAAAGTGAATGCCAAAAAAAAAAAAAAAAAAGTGAAATGCAGCAACCAGTGTTTGCCAAATAATTGTTAAAATCTTCTATAACAATTTAACAACGTATAGGAATTTGCAATTAGATCTATCCATTTAAAAATCATACAGCCTTACTTTAAGTGCATACTTAATCTAAGGTTTAAATAACAATTTATTAAAAGAATAAGGTGACCAGGAGTGGCAAGAGGTACAAGTGAGTAAATGTGAGTACACTTGATTAATGCTGCTCAAAGTGTGGCCCTCAGACCATGCTATCTGGTGCTGTTCTGCAATAAGAAAAAAATTGCTATAAGGTACTTAGAAGCTTTATAGAACATGGACAGAGTAACTTCATGTCAGTTGAATATAACACTACTTTTTAAAAAAATGTGGACTTGCCTTTTTTTCATTTTTCTAGCAATTTATTTTTATCCTATTTTACTAAAACACTGGTCTAAATAGATTGAAAATTTAAAAACAGGAACTCCACCACAGGTATTTTCAGAAGCCAGCACTAGGTTAACTGGGATTTAACCTATTTTTCTTACTTACATAATTATTCTTTGCAATCCTGAGTTATGAGCCCAATCTTAATGCTGCAAACACCTACCCTGCCAGGAGACGGGTATAATTACAGGGTAATTCACAGACTCATCAAATGGTATGAAACTCAAATTATCTTAAAGGATGCTGAAAAGGAAACCTCCACTGAGGGGATTCCAACAAAAAGTAGCAGCTCAATAGTTATGGTCACACATTCCTTCACTGGCCAAACAGGAATGATTCCTTCTTTGCTGAGAAACCACAGTCCTGGAGATGAGGACCAGTTAATAAGGAATGGGTCATCTGCTATAGTTAACAGGAATGTATTATATAGTTTTAAATAGCTAGAAGGAGGATACTGAATGTTCCTAACACAAAGAAATGATAAATGTTTGATATAAAGGGTATGCTAATTGTTCTGATCTGATCACTATATATAATATGTATCAAAACATCACCATGCATCCCTTGAATATGTACATTATTTGTCAACCACAAAAATTAAATTAACAATACAACAACAACAACAACAACAAAGAATGGGTCATATTGTATGTGTCCGAGGCTACTTTGAGAAGAAAACATCTGCAATCTCTTTTAGAACCCCAGCTCAGATGTATGCTGAGAAGAGGAAAATCTGTAAGACAATTAGACATCACTAAAAGTTTTTAAATAGTCAATTTGAAAAGTGAATTTGCTTTGCTATAGTATATAATTTCCATGTTTAACCTTGTGTCTTAAAGACACTAATTAAAAACAATGAGAGATAAAATCTTTATAGTCTTTGGAAAAACCCTGCTACTATCTTGGTTCACATTTTACCACCAAGGAAGTGGAAATGGAATAAAGTGGTCCCCAGAACAGGGGGAAATATTGTCTCTTCTCAAGGAAGCATTGTGGATGTGGGGAAGGATTCAAGACACATTACAGCTGATAGGCAGTTTGGCCTTTCCCTTTCATCTCCTGAGCCTTGTTTTAGATGTCAATGTGTCATTCTCCAGCAACTCAGGCTTAGCGGGATTTACTGAGCCTTAAATTATGCATCATCTTTCACTGTCATTTGGTAACAGATACTAAAGCTGGTATCAGAAAGTATGCCACTGTGATGCAAGAAATAAAGCTTTTTAAAATTAATTTCTCATGGATTTTATCTTACAGGTACCTTAATTCCTAGCAGCTGAGGTTGACATATTTCTAATTAATCATCTGTCATCCCGAGACTATCTTCCAAGTTTTGGTCACAAGATATATTTTAAAACTGTCCTTGGCTCTTCCCTTATTTTTCAGTATGACAGATTAGTACTACTTTCTTATTAATATGCCTGACACCATTTTATATACTCTCAATCACAAGATTGAGATATGATATTTGCATCTTAACAGGATAGTCAAATGCTTGGCTTTTTATTTTACTTTTTTTAAAAATGAATTTCAAAATACTGGCTACTGTAATAATTTATTATACTGCCCTTAATTAGTCAAAGGACGAAAAATCTATAAACTTGTGACAATAACAAATTTTCAAAGACAGGCTGGTTGCATTATCCTCCCCCTTCCTAAATAAAATATCCATTTCCCCTTTTTCCTCATTTAAAAGAACATATGCAACTATCCTGAATGCCAGGGCCGCAGCCCCTCACAGGCCTGACACAACTCTGCTGGCTCCCTGTTACAGCTGTCTATTTTTTCCCTAAGCTATCCGTTGTCATGAAGACTTCCTTTTTTTAACTTTTGCATTTAAGATGCACATCAGAAAAATGGCTTGTGCATAATTCTTTGATGGAGATTTATGATCTTGATCAAACGATGAATCAAGATTTATGAGCTTGCTTGATAGCATTTGAGTATTTCACTCATACATTTCCAAAGGATGTAGCTCTTAGCTTTACAGATTTTGCTCATTTTCAGAAAATCATCTTCTTGACTGTTTCAAACATGCAAGTGCCAGGCAGCAGGATTGCTGAGAAGCAAAACATTAGTCTCCCTCAGCTTTCACCATTATTATCAGAAGTTATTTATCAAAAAGTTTGGTTCAACATTGTCTTTTTTTAAGGAGAAGAGAGAGGAATCACAGATGAGGACAATTTGTCATGTTTCTCAGAGCTAACAAAAATACACAATTGCATTTCATGTCATTACTGTCTACACAGGTCAGACTTTGTGCTCTCAGTATTCATGTAACAACCTCAATCAGTGTAGAGATAGAATAAAAATGACTAAGAGCACAAATGAGATGGCTTTGTAAATTCTTTCATTTCAACTATGGTTCAGGATTATATTCTGATATAATTCCTTCAGACAGTGGTAAAAGTGAAGTTTTTCAAGAGCCATAGTCAAACAGATGGTCTGCTGAGTTACCCAGACATTACACACAAACTGTGGGGCATGGATTGTTTCACTACTGAAACAATGGACTATTACTATTACCATTGGCATTACTATTACTATTATGATTACCATTGTAGTTGTATTTCACCCTAAACCAACCACCATAAGATACTGGTTCTTACTTAGCAAAAATAATACATTAGGTAAATCATTTGGATTTTTAAATATAGTCCTGTTCTGGTGAAGAAGCTAAGCTCTGAAGACATTTTTTTAAAGTCATAGAAATTAGCATAAACTATGAGGTCATAGCATGTGTATAGCAATAGTCTTCGTCTCCTTTTTCTATCCCTTTTTAATCAATATTCATACCCACAACCCTGTTCAGCTAGTTCTAATCCAGCTGCAAAATAAATAATCTTTATCAGGTGAAGGTGAAACAAATGAATGAATGAATCAATCAATCAATCACTCCCTCTCTCAACCTTTACTATCCTGAGCCAAGGTTTGCAGAACAAAAATAGATAAAATGTGAACCTAAAAGAAAATTGCAATGATTATTTAAAAAACAAGACAATTCACTTTGTTCTTTCAGATGTCACTAACATTTCTGAACCGGCTTTTTTAACAGGGTTCAACAGACAGATAGATGCCTATCTTTTGTAAAAATCATGGTATTTTAACTTGATAGTTAATGCAGTTATAACTCCGATTCTGAAGTAACTACCAGAAAAACCAAAAAGACTCAAATAAATATATGTCTTGGTTAGAAAATCAACAGCCTTTTCCTGTACAGCTTAAGGTAAAATCATTCCAAACAAATATGACAAACAAAGTCTTCACCCCCTGGGTTTAGGGTAAATATGAGTTTTGTGATAAGGGCATCTGGTGGTATTTGCCTAAATTGCTATGAGAATGTAACTGGGCTTAAAGAAAACTAAGATTGACCAGGTAGAGAAGGCTCAACTCATCCTATTTTATTCTTAAATCAGCTGGGGAAATCTATAAATCAGCCAGTTGGACGCTGTGCTCATCAAAGCATAATCACATAACACCTTTCTGAGTCATGATGTTGAGAATATACCAAAAGACCAGAGACATCACTGTGACATCATCAGACACACATAAATTTGGTCTTTGCAACTGAGTAATTAGCCATAGCAAAATATCTGCAGGTTATCCTAAGGGGAGATTTTATTTCTTTAAGAAGTTTAATCTCTATCTGATTGCAGCTACTGGATGGTATCTGGAATTGGTTTGTTTGCTTTGCAGGGTGTGTGGGGAGTGTTTTGTTTTATTTAAAGAATCTTTTTTGGTTTCCAGAAAATACTAGGGAGAACTCAAGGTCTGGATTAGAATGTTTCCAACTCCTGACTTCCTCCTAGGATCTAGGACACCTGGGGACCTTAGGTCTTAAAGTGTGATCCATGGATCAACAGCATCTGTAACCGTGGGTGCTTGTTAGAAATGTGGAATCTCAGGCTTCACCCAGATATAATGAATCAAAATCAGCATTTCAATAAAATCCTCAGGTGATCTACATGCACATTCAAGTTTGAGAAGAACTGATTTAGAAAGCCAGTCCTTTTCAGAGTATATTCAGCTCAGGAATTAGAGGTAGTTAACTCTTGGACACAAACATGACCATTCCTAGACTATACTTTCTTCCCAGGGTCAGCCTGCCATGGACAAAATAGGATTGGCACAGATCAGCCCCAACATTTAGAAACAGCTGAGAAAAGTCTGTCTCTCCTAAGGAAGCATAGCATAAGGAAGACAGAGTAGGAGGAAGAAAATGCAATTGTGTCCCTGGTACACATTTCTAGGGGACTAAGGAGTTGAGGCAAAGATAATACTAACATCCATGTTTAACATTATACCTAATGTTAACAACTCGGCACAATTTTGTAAAAAAATCTCATATTATTAAGGAATGACACAAAAACTAGAAGAAAAGATGACAAAATGGAGTAGGCAAATGTGTGATTGTTTTACTACATTTTCACACTTTTTGGCAAAGTATTGGCAACGCACGTGGGGACAGAAGGATCACTGTAACTCATTGAAGAGACGGTGAGAAAAGGCTGTCACCAGCACTGGAAGCTACAAACATGGAGCACAGCTTTAGCAACAACCTTCCTCAAACACCAATCGCACCATAAGCACTCAAGATAATCTCTGAGGAGGTTAACATTTTCAATTAGAAATTAATTGCATTTCAGTGCTGGGAAAACTGAATAACCATATGCAAAAAGAAAGAAGCTGGACACCTACCTCATACTATATACAAAAATTAACCTGAATAAATTATAGACATAAATGTAAGGGCTAAAACTTCAAAAATCTTAGAAAAAGACATAGATAACAATCTTTATTACCTTGCATTAGACAAAAGTTTCTAGACATGACACTAAAAACACAAAAGACAAAAAAAAGATAAATTAAAATTCATCAAAATTTAAAACTTTGTGCTGAAAAGGACACCATTAATAAAGTGAGAAGACAATATACATAACGGGAGAAAATATTTGCTAACCATATTACAACATGGATGACTTTTTAAGACATTATGTCAGTCACATATCCTTGCCGGACTTCCTCCTTCCCCAGGAACACAGTCCTCAAGGTGAGATGTGTCCAAGCTGCCTAAGTTGTCTGCCTTTGTTTTTTTATACTTATGCAACAGGTACAATGTTGAAAGAAGCCAATCACAAAAGGCTGTATGGTTCCAGTGATGTAAGATGTCCAGGATAGGTAAATCCATAGAGATAGAAAGTAGATTAATGGTTGCCAAGGGCTGGGGGAGGTTGTATCTAATAATAGGTATGGATTTTTGTGTATGTGGGGAGGGGTGGTGATGAAAAAAGTTAGTGGTAAATAGGATAGCAGTGATGTACTGCACAGATGTGTGAATAAACTAAAAACCAATTGTACATCTAAATGGGTAAACTTCAGGGTTATGAATTATATTTCAATAAAACTAGTCTTAAAAGAAACAAGTAGATGAGGGTAAGGGGACACAGGAATGACCTGTGATGGTTTTATTTAAATTTTGTCAATACAAACCTAAAATCATTGTTAAAGGAGCTCATTAAAACGTTTAACTTTAAAAAGAGGTGATTATTTCTTAAAAACCACACCCCCACCACACACACACACACACACACACACACACACACACACACACACACACACAGCAGGCATGGATGTCTAAACAACTAAATCTTGTTTAGTTGGTGAAATTAAAGAAAGGGAAAAAGTTTCAATTAATAAAATACTGTAGAATTGGCAGTCTGACAAATGAGTTAGAAGTGAAGATTTATCTACTCAATACGAATGCTTTATTAAACACAGAGACTTAATTAACATATTTCTGGTACTCTCTTCTCCCTTATTACGGCAGTTTAACCAGTGGCTGGTACATTCTCACCCTAGAACACAACTGATTGTTGACATGAAATGTGAAAAAAGCAGAATTACAGCATCTTATGTTTGAATATTAACTGTCAAATATTTGGTCTAAATATAAGGTTTCAATTTTGTTCTAAACCAAGAGTGCAAAAGAGAAAAACTTTTCCCTACTTACTGTACTGTGAAATAATGAATGCTTCACAACTTCAAGGCTGTTGGCTCAAGTTCCCATACTGGGAAGGCAGAAGAAACGAAAGCAGGTGCTTTGAATCTAACAGTGTGCTCAAGATGGAAATTCTACTGTTATCATAATGGAGACTCTGGAAAAATAGTGCAGTCACACATCCTTGCCTAACTTCCTCCTTCCTCAGGAACACAGCCCTCAAGGTGAGATGTGTCGGAGCTGCCTAAGTTGTCTGCCTTTGTTTTTTAACACTTATGCAACAGGTACTATGTCGAGTTTAGCACACTCAGAAATCAAGTATTTTCGGGGCAATTTCTGCCTAAGATGCTTAAAATAACCTTATCACCAAGTCTCATTCTGGCATGGGTAATATGGTACTTTAGTCTTCCAGACTAAAGAGATGGAAGAAAGGTTTCTAAGAAAGGGAAAATTATCCTGTAACAAACACACTGACAGAAATGTGTATACCATTTTATTTCCTAATTCTTCAGAAAAACATCTTTGGATGTTTTAATAACTGATAAATAAATGCGAAAAATAAAAAAAAAACAAATTTTAAGTTACCTTTACAGTTCATTACATCCCTTTAGAGAAGAACTATTTCTCTCCAAAAGATTCAATACGCACTTTTTTTTTTTTTAAATCAAATTGCCCTCAAGTCACTTAGTACGTCAGATTAAATTCTGCTCCTACTTGGTATCTAAGAGGAGTTATTTTGCGCTACAACAATTTTATACAACAATTTTAATAAATCTGTGAATGCACCTCACATGTGTGACTCTGCCTCATACCCTTAATTTCTTTGTGCAATATAGTGACTTGGTTTATTAAATAAATGAGTATTTGTTAATGAAAACAGTAGTGGGAGAAGGTGAGTTGTGTGTATGTACTTAAGGATGGTGTGGGTGCATGACAGGGAGGCTAATTTCTTATAAATCTTCACTTGCTTACAATACCAAAGTGCCTACACTTTGAAAGAAAGCTTATAATAAAGAGAGAAACAGCTACACAGAGACAAGTTAGGTCAAATTGAAAATGACAGGAGCTTCATTTGTGCTCTTGCGAAGAATGTAAAGTAAGAGGAGAGAAAACTTGGGTAAAATTTAGCTTTCCAGAGGTTTTGATATCCAAAAATTTCCAATGTCATTGTGATTCTTATGTTTAGCTTTCCATCTTCTCAACTTAAGAGACCAGAATATCAACAGCATCTACGTATCAAAAAGCACTACAAACATCTTGAAACTCACCAGTGTACTTGCTCCTGGTACACAGAAATCAAACAAAGCACAGCAAGAATCAGGAACTCAATACTCAAAACACATGTGGAGGAAGATGTATAAATGTTATTGTGTTTGTATACTAGATTTTAAAAATAAAGGTGTGTTAGATATGGCCATTTTCTAAAATAACAAGACTGCCATTTACACTTCATGTTTTAATGGTTCTTTTCTGACAGTTTAAAATATTTACTCATAAAATATTTACTCAACTATTTTTAACGTTTGATCAACAGAATATTTCTCTTTCTCATTTTCAGAGAGCTGAGGTGACTCCTCAGGCAGTGTGTTATACTTCCTTGCTGGCGATAGTTTAGCCCTCCTTTAGTTTGATGAGAAGGAAACTCAAGGCTGAGTAAGCGCACATTTCTAGAGATTCCCCTTTTATTTGTTTTTGAATAAAACCCAGCATACTTTATTGAATTGGAAAATTTCTGTTAGCCAGCAAGGCCTCCACCCCAGTAGAGCCATACTGCTCCCAGAGGACCCTAAGAAGGATCCTGTCTCCCTCAGCTGCCCCCATTTCCAACATCTCCTCAATGTTACATCCTTCAAGCCCCCAAACCACCTCACAGTCTCTTATCTTCCATGTCAACTGTTCTAAGAATAGTATGAAGGGTTTGCCAAGCAACTCCTGTGCACAACTGGAGACCGTCTTTACCCACAAACTATGTTCTGTTTCACTTGTTTCTGGGAAACAGGAAAACCAGCTCAGTTATCAGGATAGTAGCACATGCTATGACCACTGAGATAATGCAACCCAAGATCTAGAAATCTGGTGTGTTGGATGTATTGCTGACTACACAGCAGACACAAGGCACCAGAGACAAGGGTTTAATACTTAATAAATCTAGCTTTGGGATCAGAGACCTAGTTTAAAACAGGCTTGGCCTTTTACTAACTGCCACTTAGTAGGCAAGTTGTATAATCTGTTAAAGTCTCAATTCTCTTCTCTGTAAAATGGGAATAGTATCACTTACTTCACAGGGATGTGTCAGGATTCAAGGAAGTATTTGTAAAGTAATTCATACAATGTAGTACATACAAATTTCAATGAAAGCTAATAATTACTGCTGTTACCATTCCATTAATCAACACAAACCTGGTATAAGCTATATAATCCCAGCTTCAACCAGGCATCTATTTGATGACTCTAACACTTTAATAAGGTGCTTAGAGCACAGTGTGATCTCCAAGAAGAAATTATATTTACCTTTTAAGAAGTGCAATTTTACTAAAACTTTCCAATATCTGCAAACACACATACCAAAAAGCACTGGCTTAATTCAACCTATATAATATCCTTTTTCTGGATATCAAGAGATGTCTCGTTTAGCATTCCTTTTGTTTAAATACAACTTTACTATAAGAGGGTAGAAGGCTCATCCAATTCAAGGCTTAGAATCAACTGGCATTAAGATAACAGGAGCTCAGTTATTCCTTCTAATACCAGCTAAAAGGCTTGTTGCTGTTATTCCAGAACAAATATCCACACCACAGAGGGACAGGCACAGAGTCCCAGTATTGGGAAAGTCAGGCGGCAAATTACAGTCATTTCTCATAAAAAGGAAATTGTCCCCCTCTGCCTATTTTAACCTATGTTATTGACTACTACTATGTTTTTAAATAAGAACATGGCTCAAAAGCCACAACCCTTACTTTCACATTTCAGCTATTTTTTTGTCTCAAAGTTGGCCTGTACATCCCACCTTTCTATTGTTGGGTCCCTGTGCTCCTTACTGCTGCCCCTTTCACCACTGCCCTTGGTAATACACCCAGTGGACTCCCATATTCCTCAATCTTCATCCCCCTCCCCTTTTTTTCAGGATACCATGCATCATATTCCAGGCCTTGCCGAGACTCCTGTCATCTTCCAGTCATTTACCAAAGTCTTTGTACATTCTGACTTACTCTGTCAGCAGCCACTTCCCTAGAATGAGTCACCCTCCAACTCTTCTATTAAGTCTTCTGACCCTTATTTATCTCTTTCTGCCTTCTCCCTCATTCCAGTAAGCCATTGATGAAAAATTAGCAAAGAATTTCAGGCTTAAAGGGGGGCTTATAGATATCAAAACCAACTCCCTAGCTCTATAGATGAGAAAACTGATGTTTAGAGGGATTAGGTGACTTCTCCAAAGCCACAGAGTGAGTGGGGGAACCAGGTAGAGACATCATACCACGTTTTAATTCCTGATCAAATGTGTTCTTAACACTGTAGCTGCTCTCACCTAGCGGAATTATCAATACCATTATTTTTCCTTTTTTAAAAATGCAGAGCCCAAGGGTATATCTTCCTCTTGCCACAGCCAGGCTATCATCTCTGTAAAGATAACCTCTTTTCCCCTTACTAAATCTTAGTGGCTGAAATTCTGCTTCCTTTCAAAATTCTTCTAAGAAGACATCTCTACAACCTCCCAGGTCCTACAAGTACACAGGGATGCTGTCCTTTCCAACAGCAGCCTTGACACCAGGTAAATGCATCCTTCTACTTGGTGACCTTGACCTTGATATTATTTTCATTTGCCTGCCTGCTCATTCCACCTTATGCAGACATAGATGAGGGAAACCTTATAACAATTCCATGCCATCACCATCCCCAATATGTACTTTAGATATTATAGCAACAAAATAGGTTCTAGTCATTAATTAACTTAAATGAAAGAACAGCATGTCCAGTTCAGTGATGAACTTATTTATGCCTCAGATTTGAGCCATTTTGGATTCACTATTCTAATCTTTAATATAATTTTTCTCTCTCGGTTAAGAAGGATTCCTTCCTTTTGCTTACATTTTAATGTATAATATGAAATATTTCCAACATTGAAAAAGATATAGAGAATAAATACTCAAGTATCCATGACCCAATATAAGAAATAACCCACAGCAAGCACTACTGATGTCTCCATGCATCTATTTGTGACATTACCCCTGCCTCCATAAAAGATGATCAAAAATTTAAATTTGATGTTAACCATGCCCATGTCATTATTCATATTTAGATATATATAAAACCAATCCTACACAACATAACAATTTTTGTTATAAACTTTATATAAATGGCAGCATAGGAAATATATCCTCCTGCAACTAGCTGTTTTGTTCATTAAGTTTGTGGGGTTTATTCATGTTGATCAATGTAGCTTTAGTTATTTTTACTGCTGTATGGTATTCCATTTTATTTAAAATGCCACAATGTTTTTATTCATTTTCCTATTCACAGTTACATTCAAGTTTTCAATATTACAAACAACATTCTTTTTCATGTTTCCTTACGAACTTGTCAGTTTCTTTATGGTATAAGTACTAGCCAAGCCCTATAAGCACACCTTACATTTTGGAAGGTTTTGACAAATGGTTCTCCAAAGTGGTTATATCAATTTACAATGTATTAGAGCTCCCATTGCTCTACATCTTCACCATTGCTTACACTACAAAACTTCAGAAACGTTTTCCACTCTGATGAGAGTGAAATGGCATCTCATTTTAACTGACATTTTCCTGATTACTAGTGAGGCCAAGTGTCTTTCATGTTTACTGGTCATTTGCATTTCCTCTTCTTTGAGCTACCTGCCCCTAGCTTTTGCCTATTTTCTTCAGGGTTGTCTTTATTATTCTGTAGTAAGTTTTATATTCTATTCCCTTTTCAGTTACACAAGGTTGCAAATATCTTCTCCTTGCACATGGCAGTCTTTTCACTTTGCTTATGGTGTTTTAGTGTCAAGAAGATTTTCCTTTTAATGCAAATTAACAACCTTTTCCTTTATGATTTGTCCCTTTTGTAGTTGTTCAAGAAATCCTTCTTTACCCTGATAAAAATAAGAACCAATTCCCACATATTTTTTTTTTGCAAAAAGCTTTAAAGTTTTTCTTTTTTACATTTAGCTCTTTAGCCCATAAAATTTATTTTTGTACATGGTGTGAGCTAGAGGTCCACTTTCTTCTCATTAAGAGTAATTGAATATCATGATTCCAGTTACTGAACATCATCCTGGATGTCATCCGTGTGGGGCATCTATGCCCCACTGCCCTGTAATGCCACCTGTCAAATATTACATTTCCATATAAGGGTGGGCCACTAACACATTTTGTCTTTTCACTTTGCTGCATTAGCAGTTTGTATTTTTGTGAAAATGGCCCAAAAAAGTTCTTATTCTAGGATAAAAAAAGACCAAAACTGAACTGAAGATGAAGATAATGAGAGGTTGATGGTCACACTCTCCATTACCTAAAAGACTCACTTCTAACCCAGTAATGCAATTTTCTTCACAGAAATTGCAAATCATTATACAGACCTTTGAGTTCACTTAGAAATAGATAAAATCTCCAATGCAAAGGGAGTAGTAAGGAAAATAAAAGAAGCATAGCAAGGGTCATGATCCAGCTTTAGTTCTTATTCATTAAGAATAAGAATCGTTTGGTGCCCATTTGGTGTTTCTCCATTCTTACTAGCCATCTCTTTCCTGTCTAAGAATTCAATAAGGCAAGCATGTATGTACCTCCTGTTACATTCACCATTGTGCTGGTGCTAGGGGATGCCCAGATGACTAAGCCACAGTTCCTGGGGGAACTTGCAATCAGTGGGGGACCCATACAGGGTCATGGCTCAGTCTCACATGTCAGATTACGACAAGTGACAAGCTAGAGGTACTCACTTACAGGAAAGGACAATTATTCTGCAAAGATAAGTTCAGGAAATTATCCAAAGGAAGCAATACCTGCGGAACTCCTTTGTCTTCAAATTTCTCTAGAAATGTCATAGCTGAAAATCAGCTACTATAAGAAGAAAAATAAGATACCGTTGTATCAAGATACTCTTCTACCCACATGGCTATCAGGTTTCAGTTTAGTTCCATGTTCGTGGTGTTGTATTCAATTTGATAAACTACTCAGTCACAAATGTACCTCACTTTCAAAATCTGTGACATGTAAAGATATATGGGTGAGACTTCACCTTACAGGTGTATTTACAATAGAACTTCATCAAATGGTAAATTACCTCAATGCATTTTCATTTACTTATTCACAAAATGTAGTTTAGACATCCAGCTCTTGACAGTCCTTCTACTGCTCATTACAAGATGCACATAGATGAACAAAGCCCTCGCCCAAGTTTTAACTTCACATGAAGCATGTTGCAAACAGATGAACACAAAGTTGCTAGGATCAGAACATTTCCTATCATTACAAGTGAAGGTAAGCAGGATCAATTTCATTTAAGGCACAAGTAATTACAGAGGCAAAACAACTAAAATAACAATGCCAGAAAATACCCTATGAGATAATGTTACAGCTACTCAAGTAGTTGGTTCAAATAATGTGGCACTGCAATTGCAGCACGGGGAGGGAGGGAAGCCTCTGTCCTGTTCAGTCCAACAGCTGTCCCGTCCCCAAGGAGGTACCAAGAAGAGTGGCTTCAGCATTTCTCCACTCTGAAACTTCTCAACTCCATAGGATTTTTGAGTAGCTTCTCAGAAACCATCAATTCCACTTTTAAGGATTAACAAGGTCCTATAAAGGCCAACCAAAACAGTAATTGCTTAACTAGTTGACTTTGGAATAAGCTTATATAATGGGTTTTTAAAGTATTTTATAATCTGCAAATATCTCCCCAAAATAAATTTTATAATTTCTAACTCCCCCCTACACAAAAATGGGAAAGGGAGAAGAATTTGACTAAAGACCAACTTTCTGATGTGCTCGGAAGTTACAACACAAAAAAGTATTTCAACTTGCCCCTGCCAGAAGTTCAGAGAATGTATTATAGAAAATACATTCCCTTTCCTAGAAAACTGGGAAGGGAAGGTGTTCCTGAGTGCATTGGATGTAAAACAAAGACAGGGCAGTACTGTTAATATGGAAATCTTTATGCAGTGAGGATTCTGACATGTTCCCAAATAACTCAGCTCTGCTGGCTGCCTAGTTTTATTTAATTTTTGGCAAGGGGACTTTAAGCTTGTTTCTTTCTTACCACCTTTCTTTCCTGTATAAACAAACAAGCATTATTTGACTTCCAAGCAGACTAGCAAAGCCCTGGTGAAGAAAAGGGAAAAAAAAAGCCTTGCTAAAGGGAGCAGAACGCTAGGGGAATTGCAAGTAGGTGGTAAAAATTGGGACAAGAAGTGTGGGACTAATAGCGGAGAATAAACACACTTTCTGAAACCGCTTTTCCTGATATCTTTGGGCTCGCCATGTTGCTTGGACTAGTCCTGTGGATCTCTCTCTGCCATGTAGAAATGGCACGGGATTGGTCTTAGAGTCTTCTATTTTGGACGAACAATTTATGTTAAACAAGTTAAAGAGTCAAAATTTCACATATTTTACGCCCTGTGATGACTGAGAAAAAAATATATAGGCTGACGAACTCCATTAGTACACTAGTATCATTGTTTTGTGCTTGCTAAGATTTGTATCCATAGCTGGAGAGTAAATTTGTAAATAAATAAATCATGAATTACAATTTAAAAAAATATTTCCAACGCAGAGGCTAGTCATTTGTAGATTGGCGAGTGTAGCATTACGGTTAAGAGCAGCCTCTGAATCAGGCTGTGCAGTTCATATCCCAGCTCTACACCTAACTACGTGTGTGAACATGGGCACATTACCTAACCTTACTGGACCTGGTTGCTCATCTGTAAAAAGAAAGCAATAATACTGTGGCATAGAGGTGTTGGGGGATCAAATGAGTTAATATAATGCAACACTTAGAATTATACCTCGAGAAGAGTAGGTGAATGCTAAGTGTCAGCTCCTGCTGCTATTTAAAAAAAAAATAAAGTTAATAATTACGTCTAGCCGAAGCTGATCCCCTAATTTAAAACAATGGGGTGAAATTAAAACATTTTAGTGGACGCAAACAAGTAAAACTTTGTAAGTAGAATACTATGGCAGAGAAATAGAGGTATAAAGGAATCATAATGGATGAATTTCTAGTGTTCTTGTGCAGAGGATAATATTCAGGTATTGCATGGAGAATTAGGCACTGTTACTCATTATTAAAGAAGACTGTTTATGAATGCAGGACTGATGCGTTGTGAGAGATGAGAGCTTCTCCGTGGTATTCCACACTTCTATACTGGCCTTGTTCCCTGGCTCACTCTCCAGAGGGTCCTTCTGCACCCACCCTCCTGGGTGAGCAATCCACATTCCCTGAAATGTTAATCTTTGGTTCTCAGTGGCCGACTTTGTTTCCTCCTTGGCCTCTGAGCTGTGTTGACGCCTTTCTAAAATAGAGTGAAGTGGAAAAAGCAACAATATTTTTGCATTTTATCTATAATTGCCAAAGGCAGAACATATTTGTGCTCAAAATCCTTCAAAAACCCTAGGAGTAATATCACTCAAATCTAGATTTGCTGAGAAAGTGTTTGTAACTATCATACTTTGCAATAACCTTTCCTCTAAAGACATCTTCAAAGAACAGTTTATTTATTTTCTAAATCACTTCTGACGTTGTCTTTTTCTCTGCTTTTGTGCTGCGACAGACACATAGTCTCTCTATGTCCTTTGTCCAAGGGATGGATTACAGTAGCCTTCCTTCAAGTGACATTAGCAGAAATGTCAACGATATATGTTCAGATGTTCAGGGCTTATTTTTCTTTAGGACAGTTTTCCCCCTCCCTTCAGTGGGTTATGTTAACCTTTAAAGTGAAAATTTCTCAAACCTTTATACTTGCAACTTTAATAAAAACTCTTTTTTTTTCCTCTAGTTCTGGAGAGCATATAATCAGTCAGGGATTTAATTCTCATTAATCTTAGTTTACCACACAGACAGCCTTTGAATTACTATCCAATGTTGTTATACCTCTGCACACAGAGACAACTGAGTGGAGGAAGGGATGAGGAGAAAATAGAAAGCTGAAACACAGAGGTGCTCTGAAAGCCCTACCTACTGCAAAACGGTCCTTCGGAATTTAGAATAATAAATCCCTCGTTAGATTGATCTGTCAGCACCCTACGAACTTCCTCTTCTCACTTTCCTTAGGAAACCAGGCCTAATCTATACAAATGCACATCATTAACAACTGGAAATTGAAAACTATGTACACTTATACTGAGGAAGGGAGTTTGGCTCCCCCAGCACTACCATGGAAAAAACTGAAAAGTGGGAGAGAATATACTGGGATATAGAAAGATTCCAGTTCACCTCTTATTAACCTTACCCCCTGTCAATGTTTCTAAACAAACCAAGCATCCTTGGTTTGTTTTGCTTTTTTTTTGTTTTTTTCCTCCAAGTTTTCTTTTTATTCTGATCACAGCCATATGCTAAGCTGCTCATTTAGAATTTTAATAGTGTCTCTAGTTCATAAATCCATTATTTCTTTTCCTACTAGCTTATTAGTCTATTAACAACCTCATACTGTGAAAACAAATTAGAATTGGATAACCTACCCAGCTTTTGACACCACTTTCCAGCTCTTTAGCAACTGCTTCAGATACTGATAAACCTAAATATAGAAGCAAGAAACACAGAGCCGAAATCATTTAGTATCTTAGTGATTAAAGCAAAAACATGCAATCACCAGCTCAAAGCCTCCAAGTCAGGCTTGCAGCTGTTCTATCTGATCATTGTTTATTTTGATTTATTCATTCCAAAGGTACTTGAGACCATGCACCCTCAGAATATAAATATTGCTAGTGTTCTAGAGCATGAATATTAAAAAGAAAATAGTTTTTAGAGTTCTTTAAATTGACCAAAAAATAAAAGCCCTTTGGATAATCAATCCAAGTAGTTTCCTTGTGTTGGAAATTTCCATTAAAACCCAACACAGGCACTAGATTAAAAAAAAAATAGTGTGACATTCCACAAGGCCAACAGATGACAGAAGATATCAGGTAGAAAGTTCAGCAGAAGAACTAAGGGTAACACACCTTTCAGGTTTTCAAGCCTCATAGCTATGCTCAGAAATACAAAGTGAAAAAAGGCCTCCAAAAAAATCTACTTTTCACAAATTTATTCTTCAACCAATCCCAAGCACAAACTGGATATCTGAATAAAATCTGTAGCTTTCTGGAAAATTATTCTCTTTGAAAAGTCATAGGCATTTCAGATGAACCTGTTCTAAAATCAAGGAGTTCTCAGAAGCCTTTCAGTCTTCCAATTCTCTGGACACTTACCCTTGCATTTTCCATTACAACTTTCCACATGCCTACAGAGAGCTGAAGCTGTTTCCCCCATAATGTGCTTTAAGACATGAAACACCTAAGCAAAAGGCCACATTTCTAAATGTCTCCATATACTTATGGCAATATATAGTCCAAACCATTCCCTTTCTGATACAGCAAATTATTTTGTCTTTTACTGGAGACTGCAGAGATTTAAAGTAATAGTTTGCAGTCCTAAAGGGCATTCATGCCCACGTTGGCAGTTTCAGGAAGTTTTATTGCTGAACTTCCAAGGAAGCTAATAAACATTTGTCTGGTTTCCTATTTAGACTTCCAGCACTAAACGAATACATAGCACAAGTGGAATTTCTTCAAATTAGATATTTTTATATCAGTAACAAAATTTTATAGGCTGCACCAGCTTTAAATGGCCTAAGTAGTGAAATAATGTTCTACGAAAGATGGTCAAATGACCTCTCCTTCGCCCTGGGCATCGCTCAATGAACTGGAATCACTACTGTCAAGAGAACGTGTTCCACTAACTTCTTTTCCCTTCTTCCCCTCTGATCCCAGTTCTTAGGAAAGTGTATCCTGGCAGAAGGGGTAGCAGTACCATACCATACTGGCTTCTAAAGAATCTAGAAAATATGTAGCCTCCCCATCACAAAGCACCACTTTGTTATATGCAAAAAAGAATATGACTGTGTCCTCTAGATAGAAGGCTGAAACATTTACAGGCACTTTAACTGACAAATATTCCCCAGGCCATAGCTACAGAAATATTTTATTTCATTAAATTTTGTCAAGACTTGCTATGCTTCTGTTAGCTTGCAACGAATCCACTTTTGGAGGTGAAATCTACTTTAAGTGGTAACATATTGCTCAGATGGCTCATCCCACCGTTCTGCAGAGCAGACCCAGGACAATCACGTGGGGATAATAGCCTGCACTTTCCATGTCTGCACTTTCTTAGAAATGGGGAGAGTATTTTCATATGTTTTTTATTTGTCCATTGAACTTTTAGTTTTTGAAGAAAAGCCACATTTCCTTGGAGAAATAAATCTTTTATGATAAAGTCTTCACCACACATTTTTGTGATTGTGGCACTGTGCTAATTATAACAGATTTTATGAACAACATTTTTACCTGTGTATGATGTCCTTGAAAAGAAATTCTTTTATGGTGACCTGTTAGGGGAAGAAATGCTCTGTACTTGATTCTCTGTGAACTAAATAAATCACTTTATTATTCCGGTGATGACACCCAGGGTTGCTGCCATCACAATGAACTGATAACACTGAAGCAAAGGCCTATGGAGGTGTTCTGCTGGGATCTAAAGAGGGGCAGGTTTACCAAAATTACAACTCTATCAAAGAATGTGAACAAGGGCTAAAAAGTCTGTGTCTGGGTAATAGGAGAGACTTTGGTTCTTTTATAAGAAAATCTTAAAATGGTTATTACACTGCTATTTTAATAAAAGTAATTAGTTTGCTGAGAATGATGGTAACCATCATTCTAAGCAAACTATTGCAAGGACAAAAAACCAAACACCGGCCGGGCGCGGTGGCTCACGCCTGTAATCCCAGCACTTTGGGAGGCCGAGGCGGGTGGATCATGAGGTCAGGAGATCGAGACCATCCTGGCTAACAAGGTGAAACCCCATCTCTACTAAAAATACAAAAAATTAGCCGGGCGCGGTGGCGGGCGCCTGTAGTCCCAGCTACTTGGGAGGCTGAGGCAGGAGAATGGCGTGAACCCGGGAAGCGGAGCTTGCAGTGAGCCGAGATTGCGCCACTGCAGTCCGCAGTCCGGCCTGGGCGACAGAGCGAGACTCCGTCTCAAAAAAAAAAAAAAAAAAAAAAAAACCCAAACACCACATGTTCTCACTCATAGGTGGGAACTGAACAATGAGAACACTTGGACACAGGAAGGGGAACATCACACACGGGGGCCTGTCGTGAGGTGGGGGGAGGGGGGAGGGATAGCATTAGGAGATATACCTAATGTCAATGACGAGTTAATGGGTACAGCAAACCTACATGGCACATGTATACATATGTAACAAACCTGCAGATTGTGCACATGTACCCTAGAACTTAAAGCATAAGAAAAAAAAGTAATTAAAAGCAATATCTGGATGTGTAAAAAAAAGCTAAATGTTGAGAGTTGTTACTCATTTTCTTCCTCATTTCTCTGAGCTTCCACACAACTTTCCTTGGTAGAGTTAGGTTTATTTCTTTTTGGGGAAGCAAAAACACATGTTAAAGACTCATTCATTCATTCAACTAATTCCCTCATATTTATGGAGCACCTACTATGTTTCAGGTAGTGGAGCAGTGTTGAACAAGTGAAGTGTACTCTCTTCTGGAGTTTATATTATAGTGAGGAGAGGGTAAGAATGAGAAGGGTAAGTCCAAATGGTGATAAGGGCAATGAAATCCAAGATCCAATGCACATTACCCAAGGCTGGATAATGTGACTGTGGGCAAGGGAGAAGGAGCGGCTACTTAGATTCAGTGGTCTAGGCAAGTGTGATCCAGGAGGTGGTACTGGGTAGAGGCCTGCCAGTTAGTGGTCAGCTATACAAAGAATCAGGAAGGGGGAAGGCAGGAGGCTAACAAAATACACAAGGACAAACAAATGCAAAAGTCCTAAAAGGAAAGCTTGGTATTTCTGAGGATACGTAGAGGTCCAATGTGGCTGGAGCAGCCCATAAGGCGATAAAGGGTAAGAGAGAAGACAGAAGAGGCCTTCAAAAAAAAAGCAGTACTAGATCGTTTAGGATCTTGGAAGCCACAGCACCCACATTTGGATTTATTCAAGATTTCGATTAATAAGATTTAGATTTGGGCTGGGCACGGTGGCTCATGCCTGTAATCCCAGCACTTTGGGAGGCCAAGGCGGGCAGATCACGAGGTCAGGAATTTGAGACCAACCTGGCTAACATGGTGAAACTCCATCTCTACTAAAAATACAAAAACTAGCTGGGCGTGGTAGCGGGTGCCTGTAGTCCCAGCTACTTAGGAGGCTGAGGCAGGAGAATCGTTTGAACCTGGGATTTAAAGTTTTTAAATCTGTCTTTAAAGTTTCTTTGGCTTAGCCGGACATGGTGGTACATGCCTATGTTGGGCCATTCAGGGAGCTGAAATGAAAAGATGGCTTGAGCCCAGCAGTTTAAGGTGCAGTGAGGTATGATTGCGCCATTGCACTGCAGCCTGGATGATAGAGTGAGATCCTGTCTCTAAAAAAAATAAATAAATAAAATAAAAATATTCTTTGGCTTGCTGTCTATATAATGAATTACAGTGAGTGAGAGATGAGAATAGGCATGGGAAAATCAGCTAGGTGGCTATTCTAGGTGGTTCAGGAGAGAGAAGATGGTGGCTTGGAATCGTGTAGTAGCAGTTAAATGGATAGAAAGGGGTGAATCAGAAATGCATTTTGAAGGTAGAACCAACAACTCTTGCTGGCTGATTAGATGTGGGAGGATAAAAGAAATGAACAAATCAAGAAAGACTCCAAGATTCCTGGCTACGCAACTCAACTATTGTCATTTGAGGTAAAATAACTAGGGGGAAAAGGGACTTGGTGAACAAAGAGGAAATCAACAGGCTCTGTTTTGACCATGTTAAGTTTGGGAAGCCTAGTAGACATATGAATGGAAATGGTGACTGGGCAGCTGAATGTAAAGATTTAAAGCAGTAGAAAGGGGTCCAGGCTAAATATAAGATCTCAATTTGGAAATCTTGGGCATACAGATAATATTTGAAGTCACATCACTGGGCTGGGCATGGAGGCTCAAGCCTGTAATCCCAGCACTGTGGAGGCCAAGGCGGATGGATTGCTTGATCTCAGGAGTTTGAGACCAGCCTAGCCAATATGGTGACACCCTGTCCCTATAAAAAATACAAAAAATTAGCTGGGTGCAGTGGTGACTGCCTATAGTCCCAACTACTTGGGAGGCTGAGGTGGGAGGATCCCCTGAGCAAGGGAGGTGGACAATGCAGTGAGCCAAGATCATGCCACTGCACTCCAGCCTGAGTGACAGAGTGAGATTCTGTCTCAAAAAAGTAAAATAAAATAAAGTCACATAGCTGGAAACTTCCTAAAGAGCACATATACATAGAAAGGAGTAGAAGATTTAGGAACTGAAACAGTATCCAGAGGTCGAAAGGGGTAGGAGACAGCAAGGAGACAGAAGAAATGGTCAGTACAGACACAATTTCTGCATGTACTGAGGGGCTAATCCACCAAAAAGCTTTAGTATTTTTTATTACTATTATTGTTGTTATTGTAATTTTTAAAAATGTATTTTTATTTAACTTTTTTTTTGCAGTCGACACACTTTCACCCTTGGGAACTGAGATTATCTTGTGAATTTAAGAACAAAGATCATCAAGCTTCATCACATTGTGTTGTCTCTACTTGAATACCAAATTTTGTTGAATATTATAGAACACACGCTCCTATAAAAATGCTTTATAGATTTAGCAGTTTTCAATTGTATCCTACATTTTATCAAAATTGGGCATGCTTTTTTAACGTAATTATTAAAAAAGAAACCTAAAATATACAAAGTCCAGTTAAAAGAAAACTTACTTCTATGTAAAAACTCTTGTATTCTTGGGGAGATCAAGTGATTTTCCAAGGTTACAGAGCAATTTAGGGACCCGAGAATTAGTAACTATCCAATTCCTAGACAAAGCAATGAGAAAAAGACAAAAATAATAGTGAATGTAGGGGCAGAAAATACCAAAATTGAAGCAATGAAAGAGAAGAAGATAGCAATGGAATTCAAAGATGATCCCACAAAAGATAACTGTTACCTAAAGAAAAGAATCCAATGAGTGGAGCATAAAATATTAAGACACATGATAGAAGAAAACTTCCTGAAATAAAAACAAATTGAACTTGTAGATTTTATAGAGTATACAGGTTAATATAAAGACATCACCTTGTTAAGTTTTTGAACCTAAAATATCAAGAAATAATTCTCTAACATTAAGACTGAATAAAAGTGAGTCATTTACAGAAGGGGAAAATAAATCAGACTTGGTCAAAGCTTCTTCCTGGCAACATTCAGTGACAGAAGTCAGTAAAACAACTAGAAAGTTATGGGAGAAAGAAAGTACTATCTAAGAATATTGCACACAACATTCTTGTTCAAAGTATAAACACAACAGACATTCTCAAACATGAAAGAACGTAAGGACAAAATGTAGCACTCTCATCACCTCTTGAAAAGGATAACAGACATTCCATGATGACATCCAGCCTATCAAGAGCTGAATAAAAATAAAGGCTAAACATGGAGAGGCCACGGTTAACGGATCTGGGATAAGCATCAAATCCATTAACATACAGAACTAAGACTAAACAATTGTAGGAAGGAAGCATGTTTGCAGAATAGAATGTAAATATTAGAGTCCCTGACAAAGTAAAAATAATACAACTAATAAAAGCCAAGGGGCATAGGAGGAAAAATAAGAAGTATAATAATTTGTTTATAAAATCAATAAAGTCACTCTCTAAAACAAAATTCCTAAGAATTTTGTTGTTAGGAGGTCAGAGGCAAACTGACCTCTGATAGAGAACACCAAAAGACACATTTTAAGAACCTTAAGTGATATTAATACTCTTTTTAAAAAAAATCTCAAAAAATACTTGATTTACTTTACATTTATAACATTAATGCATCTCACAGAGTTCCTTAGGTCTCCTGGAGCAATGGGATGGTGGAAGAGGGGAATACGAAACGAAGGTACAGAAAACCTCTAAAAGAGACTGATCTTCCCACAGAGAAATGTGCACCATCTAGAAATGTATTTTATAAAAATTAGTATTGCACTATAGCACTGAATTAAAATCCTTTAGTAAATATGAAAAAGCAGCAAGGGCAAATGTGGGATCATTAGATACACTCAGCTTCTCATAACAATAAGCCACAGTTAATCCTGCAGGGCCTCTTATGTGCAAATAGGTTTTGCTAGACAACATTTATAATATAGGAATCTCCAAATTATAGAAAGAAACAAATTTGAGGCAATGAAGGAAAAGCTAGAAAATAAAGTTGAGAGTGAAGTTAAGAGAAGTGTCAAAACAAACAAAAGAAAAAGAGATAAAAAGCAACATCCGTCCCCTGACCAAATAAATCCATATATATGATTCATGTGAAAAGGCTCAGCAAGAAGTAAGAAAGAGCCAAACTAAGTCAAAACAAGTAAGAATAATCTAAATTTCAAAAGGAAGAAAAACATCTCCATGTTGTGGAGATATGTGTGGTGAAGTTTCAAAAGGATGATTGATATTAATAAGATGGGGTTATATGGGCTTTGCATACAATATAACAGTATTTTCTAAAAACATCTAAGAGGAAATGTGTCTGCAAAGAGTATAAAATGTCTACTTTCGAACACACTTGTTATTTCAGATTATATGACACTAAAATACAATTATACTAGATTGCTTTTTCTTTGACTTCTTTTATTGAAATCCAAGATAAGCCAACATGACTCCACCTAGAAAGTCTTTCTTCTCAGATGTAGCACTGCTCTTGGAAATAATCTTTTCCTGATGAACACATACTAACAACTTAACATCCATGCACAGACCAGACAGAGACAATTTGGCAACTCTCTTTCATATCTCCTTTCACAGGAGAGATCTAGCCCAAGAATCCAAAACAAACGAGAGAAATATGAGAATGTGTGTAGAATCACAAAGCACATGTGACTCTTCCTTGACTTAACAGTATAACTTTAGGTTGGCTAGAACCAGATGTCTTTGAACTTGGCTTATTTTTTGTGTCTGTAGCAGGTTTTTGTGTCTGTGGTTCCACTGACTAGAGCCCTGTGTTAGATCAGAGTTAAACTTTACAGCCATTTGAGAGTCTACTGGCTTGCTTTGCTCCATTAGTCCCAGACTCTACTTGAACACTTGCTGTTTGCTTTTCAACACTGTTGTTTCCTGCTCCCCCTCCTCCTCACATATGGATCACAGGCCAGAAACAAAACAAAACAAAAAACAAAACAAAACAAAAAACCCTACTGTCATTGGATGCACCAAAACCAGGTTGGCATGCTCTTTGGATGCTGAGTAATGCCACCTTCAGATAGAAGAGGTCACTAGTTTGAAGAAAGGAGGAGAAATGGAAAATATACACATAGGAAGAATGTGAAGAAAGAAATCTCTTCACTTTGCAAATAAATCTATTCTTACAGATTAGATTTGTAAAGAATCTTATAGATTAGATTTAATCATATCCAAGTCATCACTGATTGTCAAAAGGTACTATTATTTATGTAACAGGCACTATTATTTGTGTAACAGTAAATAAGTAAAGAGACCCATGAGGAATTGCCACACCGTCTTCCACAATGGTTGAACTAATTTACACTCCCACCAACAGTGTAAAAGTGTTCCTATTTCTCTACATCCTCTCCAACATCTGTTGTTTCCTGACTTTTTAATGATTACCATTCTAACTGGCGTGAGAGCAATCCCATTACTGAGTATATACCCAAAGGATTAGAAATCATTCTATGATAAAGACACATGCACACATATGTTTATTTCAGCACTATTCACAATAGCAAAGACTTGGAACCAACCCAAATATCCATCAATGATAGACTGGAAAAAGAAAATGTGGCACATATGCACCATGGAATACTATGCAGCCATAAAAAAGAATGAGTTCATGTCCTTTACAGGCACATGGATGAAGCTGGAAACCTTCATTCTCAGCAAACTAACACAAGAACAGACAATCAAACACTACATGTTCTCACTCATAAGTGGGAGTTGAACAATGAGAACACATGGACACAGGGAGGGGAACATCACACACCAGGGCCTGTCGGCGGGTGAGGGTGGAGGGAGGCATAGCACTAGGAGAAATACCTAATGTAGGTGACAAGTTGATGCGTGCAGCAAACCACCATGGCACATGTATACCCATGTAACAAACCTGCACGTTCTGCACACGTACCCCAGAATTTAAAATATAATTTAAAAAAAAGTAAAGAGACTACCAATTAAACCACGACACACTTTTTAAACACATGCTTTTACATTTACTAAGAGTTCTTTTAGAATTAGACTTATATATGATGTTGCTCTGTTACTATGCCTTTATATATACTGAACAACATAATCTTTTTGAAGGCAGTTTACAGGGCAATTACACTCAACCTGTCTTAACTGAAGTGATGACAATATGAGCAGTTATGCCCAATCTGCACAGGCAATCACAATTATGTGATGACTGCCACCTGGCTAGCCATTTAAAGATGTCACAGATTCTAAGATGCATCCCAATTTCATTAAAATGTAAAACACATATATATATATGTCTTAGAAACATAAAATACAGTAATTTATATTATCACTTCTGACCATAGCTGATATATGTTTTAAACATGTATATACAGCAACATGAATAAAGAAATGTAAGCAAATATTTTCTTGGTTGTGTTATCTTTAAATAGTACTGTTTCTGACATTAAGCTTAATTGTCCATGTGCATGCAGGGATGCAGCCATTTGGCTGAGATTTAAAAAAAAAATTACCTGTGTACATTCAGGTTTTCAGATATTTTGTTAATTATTTTGCTCCCAGTATTCTGGGTTTTATGGGTGGAAGGTGTTTCAAAACTGCCAATCAAAAATCACTCAGCCTTTGCCACTTTGCAAATGCAGAAACGTGTTGATGAGGTGCAAAATCATATACGAGCAATCTGCCTGGCTTTATATGGGGAAGAAAACCATTCACCTTGTTTATCTTGATGCACACATTGTACAAGACAACAGAAATCACATAAAACTTTAGGCAGGGGAAAATCAGATCCTAATATTTGGCTGTCTGAACTGAAAAACACAGAATATGCTGGGCCCTGGCACTCCCACCACTTTTTTTCTCACGCAAGAGCAGTATGAACCAAAATGTGTGAGCAGATAAGCTTCAGAAGAGCTGCTTCATCAGATGCTGTCCCCTGCCCACCTAGGCTTAGGATGGTTTATCTCCTAATATCTCTGTAATAGCTAATTCAGTCAGGCAAAGATTTTGTTTTTCATGAGATTCCATTTCTCCCATCTCTGACAATTTTATCATTATAATACTTAACCATGCTTCATACTTTATCCCTGCCTAAAAAAAGTAATACTCCACTCCAAGGCCCTTGTTTGCTGTATGGTAGACACTGCCCCTATAATAATTTCTAAGGCTTATAAAATCAAAATCTACACCAAATACCTTTCCAGATTCTAAGGCCCAGAGGAAGCCATTCTTTCACATTTTAGTAAGAAAAGAAAAACCAGGAAAAAAAAAAAAAGGCCCACAAAACAAAGTTAGTCCATTATACCAGTACTAGACTGCATTATAAAGAATGACATTTACATTTTAAAATATTATTTATTTGTTTTTAATGGAGGCAAGTTGGCCCTCACCCTCCTGGAAGCAGGCCAGGGGTCCTCCATAACGATCTGCTCCCCTAAGCTTTCAAGAGGATCTTAAACATGAGTCCCTGCCCACTGGCTAGACATTCCTAACAGAAAACTCACTTTGCTGGTTTAAGGCACTTAACATGTATTCAACTTGCTCTATTAAACCATTGTGGCAGTACAACAAAGGCAGAGGGTTGATGTCCAGGGGGAAGGAAGATCATTTAAGCAGCCAACTCCAGGCAGCCAGAAAATGCCATAAACCTAAAACTGAAAAATAATAATAATAATAATTACATAAGTACAAGGGATTGAAAAGCAGAAAATGAAGTCTAATTACATCTCAGAATTCAATGAAAAGAAATTAATCATATTGCATTTATTTGCTTTTGTCTGATAAAGTATCACTGATTTAGATCAAGCCAAATATCAAGATATTTTGCTACAGTTACCAACTAACATTTAAATCCCCTCCTAGTGCTCCGGTGACTGTGGCCAAGGCAACAGAGATACTGCATCAACAGACCACAGGGATATATGGAGTACATAATTGCGGATCTTGGTGTTTGAATACCTTCCTGACTTCTATTCTAGTTTGGGAAGTCTTGACTCCAACCCTATATCTGTTAGGCAAGCTAAAGGGTAATGGGTTCCTCTGAAACAACAGAAGTAAATGAAAGATTTTAGCAAAAGGTTCAATTAGATGTGGTTACATAACATTTTTTCAAGTAAATCTACATTACCTTTTTTTTTTTTTTCCAGTTACAGCTCTGTTGGGCTAACCTGAGAGGTGAAAACTGAGAACTTTCTGCTATTCTGCCTATGGCGATGGCCATTACCTCTAAATGAAAGCTATCAAGATATGTTTGTTGAATTCGTATGTATACTTCACATGTACTGTATCATGATGTTGAAACTCTGTGATTCTAGACCATCGCTGTCCAATAGAAACAAAATGTGGGTAACATTCATTTTCTAATAGCCACATGGAAAACTACAAAGAAACAGGTGACATTAATCATGTATTTCATTTAACCCAACACGTAATAAATATAAGATTATTGAGTTATTTTACATTTTTTTAATACTGAGTTTTAAAAATCTTGTGTGTTTTGTAGACTTCATGGCACAATTTAATGGGGATTGGTTTTAATTACAAGTGCTTGATAGCCACATAGAGCTAGTGGCTGCTGTACTGGACAGCACTTTACAGAGCATAACAAACTGAGTCCCAGTCCATATCCTCAAAAAGAAGAGTCCTGGTGCCTGTCTGCACAGTATCTTGAAGAGGTGTGTCATCACTGACCTCCTGCACTGTAATCCCCAAATGTCACTCTTTTTGAGAAATCTGATATATTCGTACTTTCATAAAGCTGAGAGAGCAATGTAAACCCTACAGATTAACTCTGGAGAGGAACTTGCCTGTCCATCCAGTTGGTACCTATAGCAGAACACCCAGCTGATGTAAACAGGGTGATTTTACTGGAATGATTCCCAGTATAAGGTATCGTGACAGAATCTGGTGTTTAGAAGCAAAGGAGAAGGATGGTTTCAGTTCTAAAACTCTTACCCTTCTGTGGGAACAGGTAACCTCAGTAGAAGTATGATTGCTATATGAGAGAGGGCAAAATACAAGAATTGTGACTATACAAATTCAACATTCATATTGAAAGCATTCTGCCAAACAGTGGTTCCATGGGTGAGAAACCCATGAAGTATGTGATGTGTGATTAAGATGTGTTCATTTTCCCTTTATCCTCAATCTGTCATCTGTACCTTTTTATTATTGCTCAGCTGGCTTGATGCTGGAAGCCTCTTGACCTTTCACTAAATAGGCTGACTGCAGACTGATAAGAACTATGGGTCTATTTTTATGCTGGTATGTGTCAGAGACCTGTTGACCTGGATGCAAACCTTTTCCAAAATCAATCATCTTCCTCCCTGACTCCACGGCAACTTCCCCCACTCTACTCTACCTCAGCCCAACCCTAAATAGACATTAAAACCAAGTAACTGGCCTTGCCGAGGTGGCTCACGCCTGTAATCCCAGCACTTTGGGAGCCCGAGGCAGGTGGATCACAAGGTCAGGAGTTCAAAACCAGCCTGGCCAAGATGGTGAAACCCCATCTCTACTAAAAATACAAAAAAAGTAGCCAGGTGTGGTGGCAGGCACATGCAATCCTAGCTACTTGGGAGGCAGAGGCTGAGAATTGCTTGAACCCAGGAGGCAGAGCTTGCAGTGAGCCAAGATTGCGCCACTGCACTCCAGCCTGGGCGACAGAGCAAGACTCTATCTTGGAAAACAAAACAAAACAAACAAACAAAAACAAGCAATCATGCAGGGAGAGGCTTGACAAGCAGGAGATATATCTCAACCCAAGAGATGAAAAATTCATCTATAAAATTTGACAACATAGCCAGTTTCTTTTGGTTCCATCCACAAATTTACTTACTAGTACTGAGCATATGCCACACACCATGCTAGATACCATATTCACAAAGCTGAATAATAGATGGTCACTAACCTCAAAGTCCTACCATCTAGTGGGAGAGTAGACAAACATAAATGCAGGACAATGTGGCAAGGGCCATGATAGGGATGCATGAGGACACAATGGGAGTGCAGAGGAGGCCTCATGCAGGCCTCTGTGAGAAAGAACATGAGAGCTGAGGATGGAAGGATTCATTACATTCAGCTGGGTGAGGAAATAGGAAATGTGATTAAAGGATGATGGAAGAATATGAAGGTTCATCAGATTAATCAATATGGCTGACACTGGCATGAAGGTTGTATGTAGCGGTAGGGAAAAGGGTGGCTAGAAATGAGCAGGGGGAGGAGGGAGCAGGAGGTTGAATAGTAAAGAAGTAAGCAGAAACCAGATCACTAAAGGCTTACAAACCTAACCAGAGTTTTGACTTCTGTCCTGGGGCCAAGGGGAGCAGACCCTGTACCCACTAGCCCATGGGTATCTAGCCCAACAGCCCAGCATCTGCAGCAGAACCTACTCTTAGCTGTCTGCTCTTTTCTGCTTTGGACCTCTTTCTTCTTTGGCTCCTTCCTCTCCTTGAGAGAGTGCCATTGCATGTTCTTAACTCAGGGACCACCTGTGTGAGAAAATACCAGAGACTAATACAAGTGAATGCTTCCTTTAGTTTCTGAGAGCCTGTGAGTAGCAGTTACAGGGCCTCACACAGGAGCTGCTGGCTGAATGCCAACAGGCTGCCAGGTGTGCATCTGCACCAGTTCCCCCTCAGCAAGTCTCTCTAGGTGATGTGTTTACTTCAATTCTTTCTGTGTCTGAGAAACAAGATTGCAAATAGGTGAACTGCCGAGAAAAGAGAATGCAAATCTGCTGTTGGGGACACAGTCAACTTGTAAAAAGCAATGATTCAATGAAATTGTAGGATGGAATTTGACAAAATTCCTGAAAGAAAGTGAAGGGAAAGAAAAGTAAACAGAAGAAAACCAGAAATCAACTTTTTCTAACAGGGCCATTTTTGGCCACTAGTGGAGGTCTTGACATGAAGAATAAAAATGATATCAAGGGACTACAAATGGTGCTGTCTGAGCCTCATTTTTACCAGGGAAAACTAGAACCATATTTGAAAGCAGACTGGATAACCAAACATACATTGTCAACAACTTCATCCAGAGATGGAAAACACTGAGCCCAGCAGACTACCTGGAAAGAGTTCACACACTGTGGGTGAAGCTGGGAAGGAGGAGGTTGTTGAAATCACCACATTCAGTTCTCAGCACCTTATGGAACTTCAGGGGCCACACTGAGTGGAAGTCAGTGTGCTGTTCAGAAAACTCATCGTGATGCATGAATGGTGTTCTCTCACCCTGCTTCCAAGATAATCAAACAGCTGGTTATCTTGTCTCCACGCTTTGCCCACTGACGGTCTGATCTTTTATTCAGCATTTATTGAACACAACTGCCTTTGATCTGAGGTCAGGTAGTGCTGTGAAGGCCATGAAAAGAGCAAATCAATTACTCACAAATGGCAGGTGTCTTCACAAAAGATAAAGGGGGTGGTTCATGCCCTTGTGGCCTAGTCCCAATCCCACAGACCAATATCTATGTGCATATTTAATTGCTCTCAAACTGATAGCTATGTAGCAGAAAAATCAAGACAGGTACACCTACTAGCAGGAAGATTAGATTCTTGGCCCAGAGGAGAAAACAAACAAAAGGGGTCACAGAAAAATCTTAAATTAATTAGAATCAGTTAAGAAAAGTGAAAATTCAGTTTCACCTTTCAAATCTGAAATCAGTTTCAGAAAGGTGAAATCCCTTCCAGAAAAGGTGTATGCTCACTCTTCGGAAGTTGGCTGACAGGGTTAGCATCTTGCCCAATATTCTTTCTTTCCTCTTAACAGAACCCTGATTCTGGCACTGGGGGTGGGGTGTGAGGCAAGAAGGCTGGGAAATCTGTTTTCAATCTCACCGTACTCACAACTACAGTGGCCAATGAAACGCACTTGGAAGTCACTTGGGTTTCTGGCAGGACTCACTGAAAGCTGATCTGATCCTTTTGTCTTCTGCCCTGCCCCTTCTTCCTTTCTGAAAGGCAAGTGTGGCCCTGCAGGTGGCCCATACTTCTTGCAACTACAGGCAACTGAAGGCAGGTAAGGCAGAAGAACAGAGGTACCCACCTGGACTCCTGTGAGAAAAAAATAAACTGACTTACTGAAGCCACTGCTTCTTTGGGCTTTTCACTGGGTACAGCTGAATGGAAACCTAACTGATGATTCATTCTAAATGTTTCATCAGAAGCAAAACCTTAAATTTTCACATTTTTCAGTTTTATGTTCCTTATGAAATTTAGTAATTAAATTCTGAATTATTTGTTAAAAAGGTAAACTCAATGGAAACTGCCAGGTTTACTTCTGAAGGAGGACATTTGAAAACATAATTGCTATAAATAATAAAACCAGTTTTTCTTCAGAACTGAACTGAATATATTTAATAAAATGTACTGCTATGTAATTGGATTACAACATTCAGAAAGGAATAAAAATATGTTTCAGTGGTTAGAATAATGTCTATATCTTGACCTTTAAATAAATCACTAAAAATTTTGAACGGTAGGAGCTCTAGCTTTGACTCTGAAGTACCAAAGAACTGAAATAAAAACATATTTCCTTATTTAAAAAGGGTAATTTGGTGATTTGAAATAGTTACTTATTTACATATCATTGAAATTCATTGTTGCTTTTTTGTATTAAGCAACATGATTTTCTTAAATGCTTTGTTTTCCCTCCCCAAAAGTTTTAAACAGAAATTAGTGTTGGTTTTTATTGCTAATTTGTTTTTGTCCTCACCTTTCTCCATATTTCTTTAGCCAGTCAAAATGTAGCATCCTCCACAAGAAGAGGCTCAGGCTATGCAACAAAAAGCTATCACTTCAAGGAACCAACGAGTGAAAACAGGTTGACAATTCATTTTATCACATTCAAAGACGGAGAAACAGTAAAGCTCGGAGGAACCTATTGAGTTCTGCCACCGCACGGAAGGTATCATCCCATCCTCAAGCTTGGGCACGCTGACCACCTAGGAAAGCAGCAAGCTGGGCAGACTCCAACCTCAGGCAGAGGTAAATAAACACAGCCATTTTTCTTCTTGCTTTAAAACATCCAAGGAAAAAATTCTAACTAAAGTTATTTTTAAACACATCATGGCGGAAAAGCCCTTACCCCATCAGACACACAGAGCCAGGGCTCTGCTGGGAGCACATAGGGGATATGGGAGAGAGTTTCCTTGGTAGTTCATAGTGTTCACCAGTGAAAATGCGACTGCCTCAAACAGACATGGCATTTTGTCATGTTCAGATCAAAACTGGAGATGCTGGAATTAGAAGGGGATTTGGGATCTTTTTGTCCAGTACTCTGGGTTTGCCTACCTAAGTTGTTAATGAGTTTTAAACCAAGGTCTTCGATCCGGGGCTCTCATCACTACACTAGACTATGAAGACTTATAGCATGAAACTTAACACATAACCACTGCACTGCTGTCCTAGGTTTTGGACCATCTTCTTCACCTGTTTTGTAGGACAGTACTCTCCATTGCTTTATGGAAGGCATACTAGAAGAGCTTCTAGGTCATTACATGAGCATGGGGAGTTTGTTTGGAGTGTGAAAAGAGTGTGAAAAGATTCAGGGCCTGAATCTTAGCCCTGACTCTGCCACTAGCAAACAATAAGATCTCAGAGATTCTACTCGCTAGGCTTGTACTTCCTGTTGGCAACATGAGAGCAACAGACTCAGTGCTCTCCAAGGCTTTTAATTCAACAAACTGCTTATTAAGTAACTAATCCATGCGTGATGTCTTGAAAGCTTTTGTGTCTCCAAGGGCTCACAATTTATTGGCTATAAAAACAATCCTCAAACTTTGGCATGTATATGAACCAATTAGGAATTTTTTTTTTTTTTTTTTTTTTTTTTTAGCAGATTCCTGACTCCCACTTTCACAGATCATGGTTTGGCAAGTGTGTTGTAGTGGACCCCAGAAATCTGCTATTTTCTGAGCATTCACATTGTTCTGAACCAGTCAGCCTTTGGACCACACCAAAAAACACTACACACGGTGGCTCACACCTGTAATCCCAGCACTTTGGGAGGATTGCTTGAGGCCAAGAGTTCAAGACTAGCCTGGGCAACATAGCAAGACATGTCTTTATAAAAAATAAATAAATAAAATTATCCAGGTGTGGTAGCACACACCTGTAGTCCCAGCTACTCAGGAGGCTGAGATGGGCAGATGGTTTGAGCCCAGGAGTTTGAGGCTGGAGTAAGCTATGATCACGCCACTGTACTCTAGCCTGGGTGACAGAGGGAGACCCTGTCTCAAAAACAAAACAAAACAAAACAAACAAAACACTACCCCTACAAACAAGGCAAATTAGATAACCACTGCCAATATGCTCATAAACAGATAGATGAGCCCTTCCTTGAAGGAATTTCCTGTGTTGCAAAATAATAATAATTTTTAAAATATAGCAATAGCAGCTGACCTTTACCAAGCATCAACTATGTGCTAGGCATTGTTCTAAGGGCTTTATATATAGTAAAAACATATACTAACTCATTGAATCCTCTACAAAAGCAGTGTAATAAGAACTATAAGCTAATAAACTTTCTCTAGAAAAGGGAAAGTGACTTCCAGGGAGACACGCTGGATTTGAGAATAGTCAAAACGGTTGAACTCAAGAGAGTAGAACAATGATGTGGATCGATTAAAGAAAAAGATCTGAAAACGTTTATGCTAATATCTGGTGGATCGAGACATACACCTTCTTAGAGGAAGTATGTGGCAATTAACACCTAACAGAAAGCCAAGATGTTGAATATCTGAAACCAAAGGAACATAAACTCAACTATTCTTTATTTCAACAAGTCTTTGAGTCTACTCTTTATACAAATGTATGAGAGAAACAAATATGAAAAAATGTGTAACAGTAGCACTGTTTATGGGATATTTTCTATATTCTGGGCAGTTTCTGTAAAATTTTATTTTCCTGTCAGAACTACCCTACAAAGTAAATATAACAGTACTAGAAATAGCCCCTAACACTTATTGATCATAGCATTGAGAATGTAGAAAAAGATAAATGTGAAAGAGGGCCCAGGCGAGAGTCCTAAGAGTGTCCAAATTTAAGAATTAAGGTACAGGAGATCTGCAATGGAGACAAAACCAAAAGCAAGTGGTGGGGTAGAAAGGTAACCAAGATAAAATATGGTATGTTTGATGCCAAAAGGGAAAAAATTGAAGGCAGAGAAGGATTGACTATGATGAATGCTACTGAGAGATTGGTGAAAGAGGACTGGAAAAGTAGCCGTTGGCTTAGGGAACACAGGGGTACCCCATAACCTCATCAGGAGCAGGAATCAAGTACGGAGGGTCTCAGTCAGACCAAAGTGGGTTAAAGGGTGAAGAAGAAATTACAAGTGCCCAAGGCAAGTGCAAATGTCTCTCCAAGAAAGGGAGAAGAAGAGAGGTTGGCAGAGGGCCTGGAGTCCTGAATAGATTATTTTTTAATGGGCGACACAAAAGCATTGTTGGTACTTAATGGGAACAGTTTCATAGGGCAGATTGGAGAGAAGATAAATGGAAGAGCAATCCTTGAGAAATTAAGAGGGTATGGGATACAGAGTATTCAGGAAGGGGCTAGCCTTTGTAAAGAGGGAGAAGACCGAGATGACTGGGCCCAGGATTTTTAGCAGTTGGATGACAAGACTGGAGCTTTTGTAACTCAAAATGAAAAGCTACATAGCATGAGTTACTAAAAAATTGCTCTGAAGAAACAATCTGAGAAAGTAAAGGCAGAGTCATGGCCCAGTCAAGTGCTTATTATCTAGAAAATTGAAAGTGGCCCGTATATCGGTAAAAGTCTCCCCAAATAATCTACTCTTGCTTAAAAAGGTGAAAGGGGTCTTTGGAAATAGAAAGCAAAGGAGAAAAGGAATATTAATAGAGAGCTCCATATGTGAAGGGAAAGCAAAATAATTCAGTTTTCTGATTCTCTGGGACCAAATGGGTTTGAATAAGAAGCTGTGGCTTATGCTCAGGCAGGAATGACAGCCATGATGGGAACAGCCCACAGAAGGGAACACAGATGGCATTTTGAAGAAAATAGGGACTGAGAGCACAACGTGGTGAAAGAGACGGCGATGGAGAAGTAAATCAGAAAACTCAGAACAATTTCAACAGAATGCCAGGAGGCAGAGCATTACACATTCTTAAGAATGACGCGCAAAGACCAATTATTGATAAGAAGAGTCACTGCCAACTACATCGGTAAGAAGTCAGGAATGAGAGGAAGAGTATCATTCACGCATCAGTTACACAAATCAGAGGTGTTTCCACAAACACAACTTCTATGCTTAGACACTAAGCGTTCTTCACACATGGGGAAAACTGACTAAAAATAATGGCTGGGGAATGGGCTGTTCAACTTAATAGTAAACTGGCAGTGATTGGATAAGAATGTGTAATATTATAGCTAAAGTTTAATGACAAAAAAAGCCCAAATCCACACATTTCCCAATTGCAGAATGACATTATCACATCCAAACAGTCTTCTTGAAAGGGAATGCCTTCACTCTACATGCCACTTCTCAAGATGTACCTTTTATTTGTAAGGATCCACACTCTAAAGTATCATCTTGTTATATAAACTCATATTTCTACACAGATTGATTTCTGCCTTCACAAAGATTGCTCAGATTTTCACTAGTGACTGACAGTTTCTCAAGTCAGATCCATTTCCAATCTGAAAACAAACATTAATTTAAAACAAAACGGCAGTCTCCATATGCAGTATCCTTTGCCTTAGTATTACACAGAGGGCACAGAGTGCTACATCCATGAAGATGGGAGTGAGAAAAGGCGCCAATCCCACTTCTCTCCGGAGAAAGCAAAAATGTTTCAAAGGGACTTGCACTTTGAAATAGCTCTACAATTCGTGAAGATCCATTTTCAAACTCACAGGGGAAAAGTTTAAAAAGGCAAGGCTTCACTGAGGCTTCTAGGTGGTGGCATTACCTGGTACCTGGACCCAAAGAATCTCCAAGGAAAACTATAATGGTTATGAAAAACCTTGACTTTATGCTCTTTATGGACACTTTTCACCTGCCTAAGTGCAGAGATCTGATGTTTTGCACAGAGAATCTATGGGAAGTGCCAGGAGCTCAGGCTGTAGGGCAGCACTCTGTGGCATGAAGGTTCCTCACACTCAGTAACAGACTGTTACTGGCCCAAATAGGGACCACCTGACACTATGCTCACATAGTTGATTTTCTGAGTTCAGAGAACTCTCTTGAAATGGGAAAACTAGGTGACAACTGTCCTCTGACTGTGAGAACTGTCCTCTGACCATGAGCACATGGAGCAAGCACCATGTTTACTGATTCTTAACAAAGTTTCTCTTCTTTTGTTGCTATCTCAGCAGGGGTTCTCCTGGATTAACCAGAGACCGCTAGGTTGTAGAGTTTATCCTTAACAACACTTTCAAAAATTAATAGCAGGTAATAGAGGAAAATAGAATATTTTGTCTCAGTATAATTTTTTAAAATGTTGAGTCTGTCACACATAACAATAAAGACACAATTAGTGTGACTGATTATTAATTTTCTCTAAGTACTGAAGGAGATGAATTTTTTCCATGTTACAGAAACCTATTACACAGCATAAAATAGGGAATACGATCTAGGAGGCATCCTAAAATCGATCCCAATTTCTTTCTAATACGTTGGTGCACATCTTGATACTCGGTGTCATAGTGACATCAATGGGGGAGAGGAGGGCACACAGAGTAGCTGGAAAGATAAGGAAAGAACTAAAAGGAAAAAGGCATGAAATCCAACTGAATTGGTACTAAATTCAACACGAAAAAGTAGAGAGTAAGCACCATTAGAGCAAACATTTTATTTTACAGACAAATGCTGTTTATAGTTGGATACTTCATTACACAATGCCAGTATTTTAACATCTAATATCTTTTATTTAAAAATATTAATAGAAGTGTAAAATGCCTGAGCCAGAAGGGGAGCCCTTTCTCTAAATTGAGTAATGATTATCTCTTCCCAAGTTTAAAGTTTTTAAATCTTCATAATTTCAGAGAAATGCAGAAACTAAAGAGGATTCTGTAGAAGGGTAACAGACAACTAAAGAGATGGAAAGTGGGTACTTGAGTTAAGCACTAAGTGGCCTTGAAAAGACAAGACTGAGAGGCACCTCAACAACTGTGTTCTAGATTGCTTAGAGCTCTTCCCAAAGGAATCATGGCAAACCATGCTCCATTTTCCTCACAGTGAGAGAGAGACGCACGGAAGATAGTTATAAACAGATAATTTATAAATGGAAATATTTCTCGAATGTAGAATGAGTGAGAAAATTGCCTTTAATCTGGCCAAAATCTATTTCTTTAAAATTTCAGATTAATAAAAATAGTGTTAAATTAAATTTAGCCTAAAGCTGCCTCCTTACATATTTTAAGTTTACCCTAAAAGTTTCTCTTCAAATAATGAACTGTAACATAACTGGATATGTAAACAGGCTGTAAATTACTCCTGTAGTGTAACTGAGCCTCAGCCAATCACAGTGGCTGAGTTTCAGCCAATCACAGGTAGCCAGCTATTCAAACCGTGTTCAAATAAGGCAAATGCCTCACTGTAACCAATCTGGCTGTTCTGCACCTCACTTCTGTTTTCTGTACATCACTTTCCCTTTTTCTTTCCATAAATGTTATCTGACCATGTGGCAGCCCTGGAGTCACTCTGAACCCATTCTGGTTCTGGAGGCTTCCTGATTTGCCAACTGATCTTTGCTCAATTAAACTCTACTAAATTTAGTCTATCTAAAATCTTTCTTTTAACAATTGTAACTGGCTTTCTTATACCTGTCAAATTTCAACTACAAATATTCATTCAATAACCCTCCCTGCTCAATAAATAATTTAAAATTAAAAATGATCACACATGTGGAGCAACAGGCACTCTATACACTGCTGGTGAGAGTGTAAATTGGTACCACCTTTGGAAATCTGTTTGGTATTATACACAGAAGCTGAAGAGGTACATACTCTTCAACTTAGCAATCATATTCCTGGTATATACCCAACAGAAATATGTAATTATATTTACCAAAAGACATGTACCAGAATGTTCACAGCAACACTATTTGTAATAACCAAACCCTCAAAAAGTTTAAATGTCAATGAACAATAGAATAAAATATAGCGGTATGTTTTTATGATAGAATCCTATTCAGCAATGAGAATGACAAACTATAGCTACATGCAACAATATGGATAAATAAATCTCACAAACAATAGCGAGAGGGAAAAAAATCAAGCACTAATAGTACATATTCTAGGATTCTATTTATATAAAGTTATTAAATAGGCAAATCTAAACTGTGGTGCTAAAGATCAAGATAACGGTTATCCTCTGTCAATAATTACCATGTTATCTTTATCTTCTAGTACACATTGAGCTTCTCTAGACACAAAACTATTTAAAAAATTTTTTTAAAGTTGTATTTTAAGTTCTGGGGTACATGTGCAGAATGTGCAGTTTTGTTATGTAGGTACACGCATGCCATGGTGGTTTGCTGCACCCATCAACCCGTCGCCTACATTAGGTATTTCTCCCAATGCTATCCCTCCCCCAGTCCCCTTCCCGACAGGCCCCCCGTGTGTAATGTTCCCCTCCCTGTGTCCATGTGTTCTCACTGTTCAACTCCCATTTATGAGTGAGAGCATGCGGTTTTGGTTTTCTGTTCTTGTGTTAGCTTGCTAACAATGATGGTTTCCAGCTTCATCCACGTCCCTGCAAAGGATATGAACTCATCCTTTTTTATGGCTGCATAGTATTCCATGGTGTATATGTGCCACATTTTCTTTATCCAGTCTATCATGGATGGACATTTGGGTTGGTTCCAAGTCTTTGCTATTGTGAATAGTGCTGCAATAAACATACGTGTGCATGTGTCTTTATAGTAGAATTATTTATAACCGTTTGGGTATATACCCAGTAATGGGATTGCTGGGTCAAATGGTATTTCTAGTTCTAGATCCTTAAGGAATTGCCACACTGTCTTCCACAATGGTTGGACTAATTAACACTCCCACCAACAGTGTAAAAGCGTTCCTATTTCTCCACATCCTCTCCGGACTTTTTAATGAGCGTCATTCTAACTGGCAAGAGATGGCATCTCATTGTGGTTTTGATTTGCATTTCTCTAATGACCAGTGATGATGAGCTTTTTTTCATGTTTGTTGGCAGCATAAATGTCTTCTTTTGAGAAATGTCTGTTCATGTCCTTTGCCCACTTTTTGATGGGGTTGATACACAACTTCTAAAGTGCATGTTTACTTGAAAAATATATTCTCTTACATAGCCCTGAATGCCAAGCAACTCTATTATATTACATGGCTTTACTGTATAATTTTTGGTCATTCTTCATTTAAAAAATTTCTTATGTGATGGAAAAATGTCAAGTTACATAATTATATATTTATATTTCTTTTTGTACAATAGCCAAACTGTTCAAACAGACAGTAAGTTCTTTGCTGTATTTTCACTATTTTAATCCTTCTGGTGTATAAAATGTGTTTCATCCTTTTAAATAAAATATATTTGAAAAACAATTTTTATACTTTCTTTGAATTTACATCTATGAAATATAAATACACATCAGGCAATTGGGAAAGCTAAAACCCAAGTAATATTTGATATTAAGGGATTTATTGTTGTGATACTGGTATTTTGATTGTGTTTTTAGCACATATTTAAAATACTTATATATATAATATACACATATAAAAATATTAAAGAATGAAATGATATAATTTACATAAAAATAATCCAGTGAGAGGCAGTGGATGGGAAATAAATACAATATGACTGTCCAATAGAGCTAGTTACATGGGGATTCATGATATTATTCTCTTTACTGTTACATATTTGTAATTTTTAATAAAAATATTTAAAAATAATAATTACTTAGAAAATTCCATTAAGACAAATAAGCTTATTTCAGGCTGCTCTGCTTAGGGGGTAGCCATTCTTTATCCCTTAAAAAAAAAAAAAAGACAAATAAGCTTATTTCAAACTTACTTAAATGCACGTAGTTAATCTGTCGGCATGAATACAGTTATCAAATATTCACCTATCAATAGCATAGATTTTGTTCTAAACCTCCACAAAGGTCATTGCTAAATTTTGCCCAAATGTAAAACTGAGGAGTATTAATCTAAAATGTCATTTTGTACCTTTCTGAGTTTTTCTAGATAAAACTAAATTTTTGAAGGGGCAGAATTATAGCCATTCATTCTCTGCAATCAGCATTTAATACTCTTAATCATACAAATTTGACCCCAACTCCACAGTTAAAACTCTCTTTGTCATTACAACAAAACTCCGTGTTGAAAGAATTTAAAGTATTGTTATACAAGGAAAAAATAGCACAGTAGGTAGCACAGTAGGAATCAGAAAAACACCTTATCTCACTCAGCATTAGGGAAAAAAGGTACGTTGTTTTCCCTCTTGATTTATTTAATGCTGTCCATAAATTTCATCAAATAAGTAAAAACAAAAGATGTGACCAGAGGGCATTCCAACTCAGAGGAGGAAACCATACCAGGAAGCTTTTGAGAGTAAGATATCCCCAACCATACTTTATTTCTTCATATATTCATGAGCATATGCAAATGCTCAATACAAAGACATGTTCCTGCTCACATTTCTATTGTGTTTCTGATGGGGAGCATGAGGGTGAGAATGATGTCTTCTATACTTTCTACAGCATTCCTTTTTGTCTAAAGGAGGCCAGAAGGCCACACTCCATCTGGAGGCACTAGGAGAGAATCAGTTCCTTGCCCCTTCCCACTTCTGATAGCTGCCAACACTCCTTGACTCATGGCGACATCACCCCAATCTCTGCCTCCATATTCACATCGCTTTCTTCCCTGTGTGTCTCATCTCCCTTTGTGTCACTTGTATAAAGACACATGTGATGGCATGTAGGCGCAGCAGGATGACGATCCAGGGTAACCTCAGCTGAAAATCCTTAGTTACATCCACAAAGACCCTTTTTCCAAATATGGTGAACTTCACAGGTTGCCAGGATGAGGATGTAAACCTATCTTTGAGAGCCATTATCAGCCTCCCTCAACATCACTCTCTGTTTGCTGAGCTGCAGTCACACTGGCCTTCTTTGTGTTCCTCCAAGTTGTCACGCTTCCTTCTGCCACAGGGAGCAGTGCTTCCTCTGACAGTGGCTACCCTTTCCTGCTGCTCCCACGCTTTCCGCATGTCCCCAGGAAACTCTTTTTCAACCCTCATATCCCAGTTTGTCACTCGCTTTCTACTGAAAACACCAAGTTCTTTTGTTCTATGTTTTCTTTCATAGAAATCAACTCAGTATTTCATAGCTGATTAATTTCTCTCTCTCTAAATCCCATGAAAACAGTTGATTATCTTAATTTTTGTCCACAGTAAGATCTCAACAAAGATTTTTATAAATAAACAAAAAACTATCTCAGGCTAAATGGTGGACATAATTAGAATTCTAAGCTGGTGGCCAGTTGAGAATTACTGATACTAATAGCAGAGGCCAGCATCTTCTTCAAAATGGGCATAGAAGAGACCAAGAGCGTGAAGCCACGGAGTGCATAAGAAACATTACTTGCTGTTCTTGGGTGGGGTAAAGGTGACAATAGAGGGGGTTGGAAGAAGAGGGAGAACTCCCAGGATGGGCTGAGGATCCTTGCAAAGGCTGCCAATTCAGAAGAAGAGGACAGGGATTTGGTCACTGGCTCTTAGAGATGAAAGTGACCAGCATTTTTTCAGAGACCACAGGCCCATCAATCATCTCTGGCCTGTGCATAGGGTGTCACAGCTCCTTAATGAAGGTAACAGGGGAAACAAAGCTATTTCACACCTTTCACACCCTCACTGGCTTCTAAGGGAGTTGAGTCCTCTTGACTAGGGGTGGTTTATTTCTATTGTACCTAGTGTTAAAACTGGTTTGGGTAGCAAGGTTTGGTAGCAGCTGAAGAAGTCTGAATTGCTTTGCCTAAGGTGGGAGGGGAGCAGACTGAAGGGGAAGAGAAGACTCTGGAAAGCAGAGCCAGATATTATTAATACTAAGAGGGCTCTGAGAGAAAAGTCCCTTGAGGCAGTCCAGCCAGAGCTTAGGGGAACAGAGAGTGCTGTGGTATTTGCTTTTGTATGTGGTGTAAACACTCTTCCACCTATACAGCGGAATCTTTACTATGTCTACAGGCTCACTAGTGCCTTTTTGCTAAGAGAGTCACCCTTAATGGAGGGGAAAGCAGCACTAAGATCTGCGTGAGAGCTGCCTTTAGTGCGACCACAGATGTGGAACAAGCATGTGCAGGAGGAGCTAGGGGATGAGAGGCCAAGTGGCATCCGGATCCCACTGTGATTTAGGACTGGGCAGGACATAGGTCATCTTTCCTATAAAGTGAGGCTGACATAAGGCAGTAAAATAGTCAACCAAAATTAGCAACAGTCCCCCCTTGGCTTTCACTGACAGAAAAATTCTGAGGGCTGGGCCACAGCCTGACATAGAAGTGGCTTTAGGAAACACCTCTGTCCACAGCGCAGATATAAAGAGCTCAGGCTCTGCAGACAGGAGGATCTGGTTTGAATCCCTACTCCCATATTTACTGGCTCTGTGACACTGGGCAAGTTACTGGGCATACCTACTCCTCTGTCTTCGCATCTGAAGAAAGGAGGTAACATGCATCCATGCCTCTCTGAGAGGGTTGTAGAAGGATTAAGTAAGCTCACACATGTAAGCTGCTTAGTCTAGTAACTGGCATATAATAAGTGTTCAGTTATTGTTAACTATCTTTATTGTTGTTCCCATCCAAAAGTTCTTTGTTGCTCAGGTATTGGTCTATAGAAATTATGTTGAACATGGCAGGAGGAGAGAGTAACATCCTTATGGAGGATACTTAACTGGGTCATCCTCTTCTAAATGGTCAAAGGGCCTGTTAGATTGATGTTAGAGTGATCAACCTCCTGGGGATGGCTACCCTGCTTCACCAGGAGTCCCACATCTGATGCCCAAGTATCCACAGGCCACTCATCCACATTCTTCTGCTCCACCTGCTGTAACAGCCAACTAACCTGCTGCAGCGCCTTCATCTTTCCTACACTGGTGGAAGGGCGAGGATTAAAGTGTATCACCGTTGTTTTGATCTGGCTACTATGGTCCTGCCTGCCTTCCTTTGGATAAGGACAGACAGCTTGGAATATAAATGCCCTAGCCAACATAAGGGCTCTAGGCATGATTGCAGGGTGAACCCATTAATCACTAGCAAGGCTGAAGTCATAGCCCTCAGTGGAAGCAACCTGAACATATGGCCCATGATGAGATGAGTGGGTACCGTGGTAAGGAAGTGAGGGTGCTCCTCAGGGCACAGGGTATCTCGGTTGGCTAGGGAATCTGGCCCTGCTTCCCCCAGCAAGTTCTCCATGGAGACCAGCACAAGAGCACTGAACCAACTGTGTGGGCAACAGGAGACAACAACCACAGTAAGAGCAGCTTCCCTGCAATAGCACCTACTGCGTGCCAGGAAATAAGTAAGCCAGGTGCTTCATATATGCAGCATTACTTCACATGTTTACAACCACTCCAAATATTCAGCTTTCGAGCTGAGGAAACCAAGGCGGCACAGAGAGGGGGAGTAACTTGCTCAAGATCACACAGCTGGTGTCGGTGTAAGACTCAAACTGAAGTCTGTTGGATTTTGAAACCCACACCCTTTTCTCCACTGCATTTTGCAGCTGTTGGCTACTTATTTCCATACATACCCAAAAGCACAAGAGAGTCAAATTTTCAAATGGGAGACAGTTGGGTAATTGAACATGAAGAAAACAGTGGCTACTAGGTGTCTGGTCACATGGGTCAATGGAATTAAGGGAGAAAAAAAAAATCACTGCATCTTTGAATAGACTGGAGTTACACTGAAAAGAAGAGGACCTCAGTAAGGAATTCAACACCAAGTTACAGAGACTGGCCACACCCACCGCAGAGGGCTTTGCGGCTGCCTATGGGGACACAGGGACAGGTGCTCAGGGACATGTCTGAAACACTACTAAGTTCTCAGACGAAGGTTTTGCTTGTAAAGCTTTTAATGGTAGAATAAAATCCAAAATGAATGTCATTCGTTTGCATAAAAATGAATATGAAGAAAATAAAATGATAAACCAGAAACTGGTTTTCAGAAGTTTCTTTTATATCCTTAAAGTGTGTTATCGAACTGCAGGGAATTCTAGCTTTTCTGGGACTGGGCACTCAGCTTAAGCCATCCCCATGTACGAACTTGTGAAAGCTGCCTGCTGCCTGCTGGGGTTTAAGACTCTCCACCCAACAAAGACATTCTAAGAAGAAAATAAGAACTGACAGCACGTCAGCTTAAAGAACAAAAAACAAACAAAATACCTCACACTAAGTAATGAGACAGGGGTTTCAGTGCTGTTTTTATTTTTGTAATACACCGACCACGCCTTCAACACCAAAAACCCAAACTTCACTCTTAACAAGTTCTAGCACTCCTGCTATTTCAGGATAATGGCACTTCGGGTGTCAACAGGTAATGCAGACACAAAGCAGTCAGGTTGTGCATCCCTCTGTGTTCTTCACTTGAACATACTGCTTTTCAAGCATTCGGCGTATTCTTGAGGCTCCTAAGCTCCCTGAAGACGGAGTCACATTTTGCATAATTCTGCACCCCTCTACACACACACACTAGGCTCAGCACACTACCAACCAGCAATTACTGAGGTCTCTGATGTGCCAGGCACTGTGCCAGGCTCTTTGCTAGTGGTCTTACTTAATTTACACACCAAGTCCATAAGGTATGAGTTGTCCCCATTGTCTAGGAAAGCAATCACAGAGGTTAGGTATGTTCTGTGGCCATGGCCAGAAAAGGAGATGGCTGAGATTTGAAGAGACTTGTGTCTAACCCTAGTCATGCTCTTACACCACTCCAAAACCTGGCATATTGAAGGACACTTGTAAGCATCTAGCCTTGGTTTAAATTGAAACTCTATTGGTTTGCCCTTTAGAAAAAATCGGAAAATTTCCATCTTCAGAATAGAACACTTCAATCAAGCTAGTGGCAAAACTTGTCATCACGATCCTAATGTGTGTCAAGCTCCTGGGACTAGAAACTCTCTTCTGCCCGCTGATAGAACTTTGATTTCCTGTTTGAGGAATGTGCAAAGTCACCAGCTGCCTTCTCGCCTTTTCTAGTTCCATCTCTGGCAGATAACTGACAACTTTTATTCTTCATGCCAGTAGAAGAATGCTTTCAAATGCTAGATGTGAATGATGACGGAACTACCATTTACTAAGCATTTACTATATTCTGGGGCTAAGCCAGGCAGTTTAATATACATTTTCTCCCACAATTTTTTTAAGTCCTCACACTAGCCCTCTAAGATAGGTACTTTTAATCAGCATTTTACATAAATGGAAACTACGCCTTAGAAAGGCCTACTGGCCCTCTAGGTTACACAGATTATACAGCTAGTCAGTAGTAGAAACAGGATTCAAGTCCATGTTTTTACTATTGCCAAAGCTTTTGCTCTTACACAGTTACTTCTGATGAGTTACTTTGATTCTGGAAATAAAAGAAATGCAGAGTATGCACATAGAACCATTACTAGGCCATAGATTTTCCCCAGTTGGTACCTATGTATGACAAAATAAAGCCTCATATCAGGAAAGAGTGATGCAACTTCTTACTGATATGGTATATCTGACTTCCAAGCATACACAAAGAACTCTATCTTTTTAAAACTCATTAGAAATATGGAAAAATGATGCTCTACAAAGTACCTCTCATAAAAACAAAACAAAGTTCTAATTGGATTCAATGCGGTTAGGCTAAAAATAGAATAATCCAACTTATAAATTTAAATATTTCAATACAAATCTCTTTTTAATATTGCCCATACCAAAGTACTTATAATGCTCACTACATTGTATAACACCAAGCACTGTATCCTCAAAAGACTTTATGTACCATCATCCAATTCCTACCTCGAGGCAAAAATTAAACTGGTCACAGGAAAATTTAAACTCATTTCTGCAAAACTCTCCCCCTGCTTGTGACCTATAAGGTATTTCCAGCCCAGACTCAAAGAGCTCATTTTATGGGGAAGAAGATTCCTTTCTTCCACTGACCTCAACTTTACAGAGCTGTATTGTGGCTCAAGATAAAATTAGATTTTGGAAGGAAAAGAGTTTGAAATATTATGTAGAAAAATATTGGCAACAAGATTCCTGGCATATCACAGCCTTAAAGCTAGAGAATTTTATCTGGAAGGCTGGCTACACAGTAATTTTAAAAAAACACCATAAATACACTTTTTGTAACTGAAGAAGACATTTATAATCCTAAGTGCCCTTGGTTAGTAAGTCAATTTAGGAAAATGAGTAATGCAAGGCTCTTTAGTATCAAGTTGCATTTTTTTTTCTGTAATACTCTCCATTAGAATGCAAAAACCAACAGAAGCCAAATTAAATGAAATCAATGTCCATTTAATAGAGTGTCCTCTAAATTCAAGGTAAAGACCATTACTATCTGAAAGGTTCCAAGCAAGAGTCCTTAAATATCAACAAAGAAGAGTCCTTAAGTATCAACAAAGAACAAATGAATGCTTCCAACAGACACATAAGGAAATAAGTGCTCTAGAACAATGATCTAAACAGGAGGTCACAGTGTTTGTCATAATGCGTCTATCAACCCCAGTTATAATTATCCAGGAAGGTGTAAAATGGGTGATAGTCGTTGATCAATAAATGTTCTCAGTGTTACTATTACCACCACCACTACCACTAGTTCTAGCAGAGTTGCCACTTTCTGCAAAAACAAATCTCTTCAAGGGAAGGGGTTTAAGCAACATATCAGTCTTCAAAGGTTTTTGTAAACTGTATTATTTCTTTACTAACATATCAGATCAGTCGCTCTGAGGAACTGTGTTTTTAATAGTCTTGGTAAGGGAAGAGAAAGGGTCATCTTAGAGTGAAGGAACAGTGGCCAAGCATGGTGGTTTGCAAAGACAAGCCCTGGGAAGCAAAGGGCACAAGAGGCGAATGGTAGTTGGACAGGTCACCTGAGTGAGGAGCAACAGCGATGGGGAGAACACAGAGCAATCTCTCCTTCAGACCATTTCAGAAACCTGTCAGAAAATCAGGTCCAATCTCAGAGCTATGTTATTTTAAAAAAACAAAAGTGATATTTTTAACAGTTCCCAATTTCATGGAAAAGGAGTATTGTGACTTAACGTTTATCTTCAGGTAAGATGTGGCACATGTAAATGTTTTTGGAGACACAGTATTTGAATTCTAGTTCAAAAAAATTCCTTCCCAAAAAGGGTTGGCATAGCAGTGCTACAAGGATCTATACAGTCCTTACATATAAAGTATAACAACTGACAAAGGGCAATAATTATGTGCAAAAAGGTGAAGGCACTAGCCCAAATGGAATTGCTCATAAGAGAACCAAGAACTTTGCTGTATCAGCCAAGAATGAGACTCCCTTGGATGAATCCATAAATGTCAGGTCCAGAAAGGAAATGTAGGTTTCCCTTTTTTAAACAGTACAAAAGGCCAAGAAGCTTTAGAACTAAACAAACCAGGCCTGACCTCATAACAGTGTACTAAAAGCAAAGTCACAGATGTTTACATCTAGTCCAAATCAAGCCTAATATTAGAACTGAAACAAATAATTGTCTCAGCCAGATTTCAGGTTCCAAAAGGGGAGCAGACAACCCCTGAAAGGAGAACCATCATTTGCAGCTGCTAAGTGCTAAGCACTGTGACAGGCTTCTTGCATATGTTAGGACACTTAGTCCAGAGAGCAGCTGAATCTGTATCCCATAGAAAGCCATGGAATCTGGGGGCAGATTGAGAGCAAGGAGTGGGGGCTGAGACTGAGTCCAAAGGGCAGTTATATGCTCACTACTGTGAGCAATTACCTCTGAAGCCAGACGTTTGACAACAGTTGATCACAGGTCACTGGCCAGAAGTTACATGTACTGCAGCAAAGGTTTCTACCTCTTAGGACTCTAGCCTGGGGTCTCTAACCATGACTATGCCTCCCTTCAATAAAAAATTTATGACTGTTAACCCCCAATAGATGCATATTTTAAATTACATACATGAACTACTATTCTACTATATTATGGTAATTATAAAGCATATATGAAACATGTAAGTTAGAAAACAATTATATTTTAAATTTTAAATTGAAATTTTAATATTTTATTCTCCTAACCCAATGGATCAGGCAGTGTATCACATTTAGAGACTAGCTTTTTTGGCCTTTCTCTTCCAGAACACTCCCGATGGGCACGTTCTGCTTCATGGGTCCCCAAGTCTAGGAAGAACTGACAGAAGTGGAATAGGTCTGCACATTTGGCCTTTACAGCTGAACCCATATTCAGTTTCTCACAATAATCAAACTTGAGAAGAAAGAGAGCCACTTCTTTGATCATTAGTAGACAGGCTCTTGCCAAGAGTGGTACAAATTGTTCTTGCATACAGATAGGAAAAGGAACGTCAGAGAGACATGTATCTTCAAATTCAGCTTGGCCAATAATCACATCTCTTTCTCATCTAACCCCACTTCAACCAAAGTCAAAAATTAAACTGGAAAGATCTGAACATGTTCTTTTTTCTTCTTTTGCCTGACTGTAGTGATTCTGTGATGTCAGGCAAAGCATCCAATTTCTGCAGGCCCCATTTTTTCGTGTAAACATTGGCATCAGCTTTGAGAATGACTAAGGATTCTTGTGGACATAAAAATCTAAAGTTCTAAAGAAAATTCCTAAGTCAATTTTCCTAATATGGCATTTATATACTATGGTATATTATGCAGCTATAAAACTAACACAGGAACAGAAAACAAAATACCACATGTCACTTTTAAGTGGGAGCTAAATGACAAGAATCATGGAGACAAAGAAGGGAACAACAGACAATGGGGTCTAGTTGAGGCTGGAAGGTGGGAGAAGGGAGAGGAACAGAAAAAATAACTATTGGGTAATAGGCTTAGTACCTAGGTGATAAAACAATCTGTGTAACAAACCCCTGTGGCACAAGTTTACCTATATAACAAACATGCATGAACCTCAAATAAAAGTTAAAAAAATTAATAGGAACAGATTTCAGAACTAAAAACAAAAAAAAAAAAACATAAAAAGAATATTATGCTGCTATAGAAAAGAATGAACATGGATGGAGGCCATTATTCTAAGTGAAGTAACTCAGAAACAGAACATCAAATACAGAATGTTCTCACTTATAAGTGAGAGCTAAACAATGGGTACACATGGACATAGAGATGGAAATGACAGATACCGGGGACTCTAAAAGGCAGCAGGGTGGAAAGGAATGAGGATTTAAAAATTACCTATCCAATACAATGTTCACTATTTGAATGATGGGTTCACTAGAAACCCAAGCTCCAACAGTGTGCAATATATCCATGTAACAAACCTGCACGTGTACCCTGTAAATCTAAGCTAAAAAAAAATAATTTTTTGAAAAGTTAATTTTTCTCACCCTGGTTTCTCTCTGTGTTCAAATGTTGGCTGTGATATAATGTGAAATGTGAATCATTAATTAAATGTACCAACCTAGAAAAAAAACATAAATATGTTTGGTTGACATTTACCACTTCTCCCATCCCTCATCTAACACTAATATATTAGAAGATGCAGATGTCTGATGGATTCCTAACTGAACCAGACCAAATGCATGAGGTACCTCTTTTGCAGAACATAGGACTGAGTCTAGGTAAGACACCTTCTTCTCCTCTCTTTCTCTGCAAACACAGACAGAATCACACATGCACAGTACCCTTATATACACCTGCAAACGTATATAGAGATCAAATAATGGCATAACCCTAAAGCGAGCAGGCATTATAAGCATCTCAAAGAGAACCTGGTGTAGACCATGTTAAATATTATAGGGATTTTTAACTGGTTGTTAAGCGCACAAAGTACAAGATATTTTATTTATTTATTTATTTATTTATTTATTTATTTATTTATTTATTTATTTATTATTTTTGAGACAGAGTCTCACTCTGTCACCCAGCCTGGAGTGCAGTGGCACAATCTGTGCTCACGGCAACGTCTGCCTCCCAGGTTCAAGCAATTCTCCTGCCTCTGCCTCCCAAGTAGCTGGGATTACAGGCACACGCCACTACACCTGGCTAATTTTTGTATTTTAATGAGATGGGGTTTCTCCACGTTGGCCAGGCTGGTCTCGGACTCCTGACCTCAAGTGATCCGCCCGCCTCAGCCTCCCAAAGTGCTGGGATTACATGTGTCAATTATAATAATATTGTCAAATACAATAAAATTGACAAGATATTTTATTTTTAAGAGGTTCTGGTGGACTGGGGTTTTAAAATAAGTTAATTTTTAGCTCACGGCAGAGCACTAAGCAGGGCACAGAGAAGAACGATTCCAGTCCCATCCTACCACTCACTAGCAGTGTGAATGTTTCCTCTAACAGTTATCCACGTGTTCCTTAGTTTTCTCACTGTAAGATGGGTATTCTTTTTTTAAAGCAAGACTGAGATCATTATTTCTCCTGGTGAAAACTGAAAAAAAAAAATCCAGCAATAGATGAATGATCAAATATTGTATGGTACTCAAGGCGACATTAAAATTATCTTTATAATAAGTGTATAAAAAATAAAATTCTTGTTACCATGTTAAATTAAAAAGGAGAACAAAATTATACCTAGATATTATAAAACGGGAGAAGTATTAAAAAACATGAATCCTGAAAATCAAAGGCATGATTTTCCCATTGTTTTTTTCCCCTTGGTTTCATGTTTTTTATAACTAATATGTATACATTTAGAGGAGGCACATTCTCAAAAATCACGGATCCAAGAACACAGTTGACTCTGACCTGTCCACAAGATAGAAAGGATTCTGAACAGAGGTATAACCCACGTAATTACTGCTTGTGTGCATTAGCTAGAAAACAGACGAGGGCGGCTAATGCTTCCTTTCAGGAAGATGAAAACTTGGATCTCAAGGAATGAAGGCCAGGTATATTCTTGCTATCTTGAAGCCATTTGCCGAGACCCTATATGCTTCTCAGAGCAGTATACTTGTTAAACTGATAAAAACGTCAAAATGCAGTGTAGCGTAAGGTCTACAACCTCGGCCACATTGGATCCACACAAAGTGGATGAAGAATAATTTGTGTGAAAAGGGTGGAGGTGAGACAGTATGAAAATCCTCAGAGAGGTTAACACTGAAAAACAAGAATCCAGTTTCCATTTTTCTCTGGAAAGCCCTCTTTCAGGAAATGTAGAATTGAAAACGGTGACAATGAGAAAAGGGCATCTGGGGAAAGCTTTGACATATTCAAGGTCTATTAAATGATCACTTGTTACTCCATTAAATGAACTCTTTCTTCAAGAGAAACACTCAGGTGCTTCACAATTTTAAGATAACCGCTTTCCACTGTAGGCCACAATGGAAGCATTTATAAATTGCTCATTTTGAAAGATTCTAAAAGTCTGAATACATTAGAGAAATGTGCATTTTCTTATTGGTAATTGGTCCAATAGGTAGAATAAAATCTCCTGCTCCGTAACCTGATGGATTCCAAGGGAATTAAAAGACCACCCAGTAGCATCTTAGTGTGTGTGAATAACAGCAAGTTTCTAAAAAAAAAAAAAAAAAAAAAAAAGCCAAAACAAGTACCAGCCACTATAATCCAGAGTGAACGTGTGAGCTCAAACCCAGAAAGTGAGCCCAGAGTTCAGGCAGTCTCAGCTCTTATAGAGGCGCAGCAGGAGTGGGATTATGCCCAATTCCCCCCACCCAGACACTTCATTTGTTCCACAAGGATGCTGTGATCAAAGCACTGGGAACAGAAAGGAGGTACCTACAACAGTCTCTACTCTCTAGAGGCTGACAGTCTATGGAAGTAAACAGAAAGCCAACTGACAAAGCCCAGCAATGCTAAGTGCTATTACAGAGATGACATGGGAGGCCAGAGGGGGCACATGCTCATGCTCAGAGCACGGTAACTACCTAGTAGTCTATTCTCTATGGTATTGGACAGCTTGGCAACCTCACTGTGCTTGTGGCTAATAGTTTCTTCTGGAAAATTCTGCATATGGTTTAGCATGACTGGAACTGAGCTGGAAATGTCAGTCATTCGTATTCTCTCTCCCTCCCTGTCTCTTCTTCATGGAAGCTGAGTACCTTCTATGTATCAGGCATTACATATGCACCTATAGTTCAGTTACTCCTCAAAATACCCTGTGAGTTATTGCCATTTTATAGATGAGAAAACTGAGTTTCAAAGACATGACAGAGCTAGTACAGTTCTCATTCTGTGTGTGTGTGTGTGTGTGTGTGTGTGTGTGTGTATGTAAAGGAAGGGTAACAGGAAAGAGCTGGAGAAACAAGAACCTGATCTGGGCTGAGAAGCTGGGTCCACAGGCATTTGTATCAGCCTCTCCCACTTCTGATGTTTGCTCAACAGTGAACTTGACTGACCTCAGAGAACGTTTTGTTTTATTTTGTTTTAATTTTTCTTTTGATCCAGTAAAGATAGGTGTAGGAAAATAACATCTCCCATTTCAGGGACAGGACTTCGATTGACTAACCCAGTTCTAACTCCCTGTGAAGCAGGATAAAGAGGCCTAAACACAAAGGGCTTCTGCACCCAATATACCCAGTATTGTGCAAATATTCATGACATTAGAGTGGAAATTTTCCAACTCTGAAATAGAACAGCAGTGTGATGCCACCTAATATTCTAGCTTTGGGGAAAAACAATGTTGGAATCTAGGTAATCGAGAGTAGACTGGTTTAAAAATGGCGGGTCAGAATGACCTTGAGATTCCTGTCAGGAGTGGGACACAGACTGGAGAGGATGCAAACCAGAGGGGAATGGGGAAAAAATGTAGGGAAGGAGAGGGAGAAAACCCCCAAGGCCAAGTCTGGGTTATCGTGTGATTTTGCTTCACATGACATGGGTCACGGATGCCTGTCATACATACATATTAACATGTTTTTTCTTTTTGCTGTTGTCTTATAAATGTCTTGAGTCTGTTCCTGAGAGGCAGACTTTACGATTAGATTATTTTTATTTCAATGGGTTTTTTGGGGGGTAAAGGTGGTGTATGGTCATTAACATGTTTTTAAAAAGCTACAGATGAACAATCTTTGTGTGGCAAGAACCATTAGTGGGATAGTGAGTATCCCACTAATGATGAGATAATAGTATTGCTCATAAAGCTGAATACCTTCCACATATCATGCATTACACACACATATACACAGTTCAGTTATTCTTCAAAATACCCTGTGAATTTAATGCAGGGATATAGATATTAATGCCATTTTATAGATGAGAAAACTGAATTTCAAAGACATGAAGAGCTAGTACAGTCAGCGTTTTACCATAAGTCAGTCTTCTGCCTAACCTGTGTTCTTCTATAACTGGGGTGGGAATTCTTCCAGGGAGCAACAGGTGCCTCTGACTATAGCTTACTGACAAAAGCCTCACTACCACAGAAAGGTGCACTAATTTCTCAAAGTGTTAACCTAGAAAATCACCCAAAGAATGCATCTATGTGGCTTAAAACAGTGCCTTCTTGGTAGGCTGCTGTTTAGGATGTCTGCCAGGTACACAGTGCCTTGCCAGCCACATGCCAGAAGGACAGCTGCCTTAGTTTGCAATCTCCCTAACCACCACTTGCTCTACCTTTGCAATTAGTCAAAACTAATCAAAACGAACATAAGTGAGTGAGCTGTAAAACTCCTGTTCTTAACAGTGGGCTGTGTGGTGGGAGAGCACACAGATGGAGTTTCCTTTTTAAATGAAATATTTGGCACTAGCCTCTGTTAAGAGTTTTCCCTTGTTTCCATCTGGTTTTAGTATTGGAATGCATACATGAGAGAATGGAAAAAGAAAACTCTGTTGGCGTGCTAAACCACTAGAAAAGCTGAAGTCACTGACAGCACATCCTCTAAATCCTCCGAGATTAGCACACTCTGCTCAAGGAATGTTGTCACATTGTTTTTAAGGGAGGGGAGAGTTCTGTTCTCCAGATCTAGCCCTGTCTTGGAAAAAAAAAAAAAAAATGACAAGTGTGTCTACTTTGGAGTCAGATGGACCCAGGCATGAGTCAGCACCCTCATTACTTAGCCACCTGACCCTAGGCAGTGCAACTACCAGCATTAAGCCTCAGCTATTTCATCTGTAAAGTAGAAATAACAAGAGAAGGCTGTTGTGAGGATTAAATGAGATGATACCTATTCAATGCTTACTTATCTATTTTTGAACTTTCCTAATAGCAAGGTTTTAGGAAAGACAAATGTTATTATCACTGGTTTTCACAGGAAGAGATCTAGAACCACCAAGGAAACTCTAAAAAAATTTCAGGCATCTATTTTTTCTACTACACAACAGAAGAAAACAAATTCATATTTGGCAGTGTCCCTGCCAGGAGTCTCTCCAAATTTCCCCAGGGAGTTCATTTGCTCTCTAAGAGTCAAATATATCTACTAACAGTGTCACTGTAATATGTGAATTTCTTAACACCCCAGTTGTTGGTATACAGGACTGTCACCACCCAGCCAAAACCAACCAAAGCCTAAACCTGTAGGAGACCAGAGTAATATCGAGACATGATTATCACTAAAGCCGTATGAGAGGGTAAGAAAAGGCGTTTGGTTTGGCAAGTCTTTTCTCACACAATCCCTATGCCTACAAGAGAAGGAGAGCACAGCACAGTGGATAAGGGAGTAGGCTCTAGAATCAAACCTGGGTTCAAGTCCTTGTTTTGTCACTCACTAGCTGAGGATCTTGGGCAGGCTAATTTGCCTCTACATGCTCAGTTTCCTCATCTACAAATAAGAACTATTATCTACCTCATAGCACTGCTGTAAGGATTAAAGGAGTTAACATGTGGAAAGGGTACAGAATATGTCTGAACTCAATAAATACCACAACTACTATTATTATTACTATTACTGATCCCAAAGCAGGCTGATGCCACCCTGACTGTATGAGCACTGAAGAATGTGATGGGTGCATGGCAGGTGCTGCCCTGCAGGTCATTTAAAATTATACCTGGTGGCCAAACCTACTGAACTAGAAAATGTTTCAGAGGAAAACCCTCTCCTTTTCACTTCATGTAACCAATGGCTATTGTTTTACAAATGCTTTAATCAAATGTGTCTGTGCACATATCCTAGAAGAGCCAAATGCTCAATAAATGGTATAACAAAGGATATTGCATATTTATAAAATTAAAAAGGATGTAAGAAAACTCACAATCAAGGCACTGAGAATAACTTTGTTTTTTTATTGCCTTGTCTTCTAGAGTTAAAGTTTTATAGCTGGATGTACACACCAAATCTCTATAATAAAGAGACAAAAGGCTTACCCTGATATATATTCCAATGTAGGAAAGTCTATTAATCAATAACCTCAGAAATGAGATAGAATGACACTGTGGAGGCCAAAAGCGTTCTACATCTCTATCAATTGTGAAGAGTCAGAAAGGAATCTACTATTTAAAACACGGTCCTCTCCACCACACCCCTCCCAAGTGAATTAGAAGAAATGAGGTGCTGTGGCAGTTGCACATGGCCATGGGTCAGGGACCAGGTGGATGTCTGACTCTGCCACTTCCAAAATGGTGACCCCGGCAGATCATGACCTCTGATGAACACTGGTTCCTTGATCTGTGAAATGAGGAACATACCACCCAATAAATAGGGATGCTGCAGGGATTAACTGGAATTAAATAATATAATATGCATAAGATGAATACTTTTAACTTTTATATAATTTTTAAAAATTTCTTAATTTCCGTAATATTCACTATTTATATAATAAAGAATATATATATATATATATATAAAATTATTGCAGTTGCTTTGCAGTTCCTTTTTCACTGCTAATACCTTTGTGTGCCTCTGACTTCAGTGTGAATTTCTTCGTTTTTCCTGGATAAAAACTCTTGAAAAGTCAACTTACCACTGCTGAATAAACCATTTCTACCAAGGTCAAATTTCATCTGTCTTGTCTCTTCCCTCTCTTCTAATATTTATAGACTTTGAGATGAGAGCCGGTCTGAATTAGAAAGTAGACAATTTCTTTCTACTTTCTACTTTTCTAATTCAGAAAGTCTGAATTAGAAAGAGAGAAACAGAGTTTCTCTCCTATGCCAGATCACTGACAATTAAATTTGGTTACCCTAATTCCAGTAACAACCTGTAAAGAATTTTCTCAAACCCTCATAAATGTGTAAGTGTTGATATTAACTACCTGGATTCTTCTCTACATGACATACATGAAATAAGAATGAAATTTGGTATAAAACTTCCATGGGGGTTCAGATCCCTAGAATCTCAGAACCCAAATAAACCTGAATCTTACTACTCTGAATTTTTCAACTGAATAAACTAAAGCCCAGAAAAATCAGATGTTTGACCATGGCCAGACAACAAGAAAGAAATTAAAGAAGTTTTTAATAAAATTGAGTATCAAAAATATATCATTATGTCAGATATCCCAATAAGACAACCCAGAGCATACCCCAGGAAAACAGTAAAACTTCTCAACCTTATCTTCAGAAGTTCTTGCACAACACTTTCAAAATACAGATTAGCTTCCCCACCAGCCCCCCGTGCTGCATTAGAACCAGGCCATCTGTACTTTGAGAAATTCTAGAGGGTTTTATAAGGAACACCTAGGGCTGCCAATCACTGAAATAAAGGGCAGTATTGGCAGGTTCTACGCTCCTAATACATGTCATTACCTTCCATGGGTATCTATTTACATAAATTATTTCATCAAAAAGCATTCAGAACTTTTTCCTAAAGAAAATTTTGCTCTCCCTACAAATCTAAAACCATTTTGAAAAGATTAAGATTTTCTGTTTCAACAAAACATGTAAAAGAATGTACTAATCACAAAAATTAAAGCTCCCACATGCTCCTTCTCTGGGGATGAGTAGCAGCCAAGGGAAGATTTTCACCCACTTATGGATATAAAGAGTAGCATCATATATTACACACACATAATTAAAACAGGATCCAGAAAATAGATTTTAAACATGAAATTACAGAATGTTTGGTAGGTAACTGATGTCTAATAACAAACTGATTTTAACTTAGCATGTTTCTAGTTTAGCTTTATAGACCCATATTACCATGGACAACTGACTATAGACATTGTTGTGGGTAGGGCTTGCTTTACACTTTGAATGTGTTAACAGTTCTAAGTTAGAAATAAAGTCTACACTATAATCAGGTATGTAGTAAACAAAAAACTCAAATACATTTTCCATTAAGCATCTATTGTCCCTATTGAGCAATGTGCTGGGTGCTATAAGGAATTTATCATATTAGCTCCAGTCTTTGAGCAACCTAATCCACATGAGTGAGCAAGAATGAAAAGATAGCACAAAATAAAGATTTTGTATGTAGACAGACCAGACACAAGCACAGGTTTAGATGATACACAGCTGCTTCTATCAGAGTGTTCAAAAAGGCCACTGGAATAACCTCTCATGCCTATAAAGGAGAGGATTAGTTTCCACCCACCTTAGGAGGTGCATGGAGATAATGAGGTTAATCTTTCCCACTAGCGACTCTGTAAAAGTGTTTCTAAAGTAATCAATTTCGGCCGGGTGTGGTGGCTCATGCCTGCAATCCCAGCACTTTGGGAGGCTGAGGTGGACGGATGGCCTGAGGTCGGGAACTCGAGACCAGCTTGGCCAACATGGTGAAACACCGTCTCTACTAAAAATACAAAATCAGTTGGGTGCAGTGGTGTGCGCCTGTAATCCCAGTTACTCAGGAGGCTGGGGCAGGAGAACTGCTTGAACCCGGGAGGTGGAGGTTGCAGTGAGCTGAGATCACGCCACTGCACTCCAGCCTGGGCAACAGAACGAGACTCCGTCTCAAAAAAAAAAAAAATCAATTTCATTGAAATTTATTTATATATAATAAAATACAACCACTTTAAGTGTGCAGCCTGATGAGCTGTCAAAAATGTATACACCTACGTAATCAACACCACAATCAACAAACAGAACACCTAACATCACTGCAAAAAATTGCCTCAGGCCCCTTCTCAGTCAATCCTGCCACTACATCTTACTTTTGTCTGTTCTAGAATGTCATATAAATAGAATCACATAGTATATTGATGCTTCTGTCTGTTTTTTTTTCACACAACATGCTTTTGAGATTCATCCATGTTGCTACATATATTGGTAGTTCATTTCTTTTTACTGCAAGGTAGTATTCCACTGCAAAAATGTAAAATAATTTGTTTATGCATTTAATATGTAGATGGGTATTTATTTCTGGGTTTGGGTTATTATGAATGAGACTGTTATAAATACTTGTGTATAAGTCTTTAGGTGGATGTATGTTTTTATTTTTTCTCTTGAGTATATGCCTAGGAATGGGGTGCATGTTTGACTATAAAAAACTGCCAAGTTGTTTACTAAAGCAGTCATATCATTTTTACATTCCCATCAGCAAAGTATGAGAGCTCAAATTGCTTCGCATGTTAACACTTGGTATTGTCAGTATTTTTAATTTTAGTCATTGCTGAAAAGAAAAAGCAGAAACCAATGCTTTAAGAATGTTAATCACAGAGGCATCTCAGTACATAAGCACTTGTATATATCATTCAAGAAGTCAATCAATCTGTGATTCCAGTGAGAAACACTCAAATCCTATCCCAAGACACCATAATGAACTGGAGAGATTATTTTTCTCCTTATAGAATTAAACCTAAATAACCCAAGAAAGATCATCTTATTTATCCCACTCCAGCACCTTTTTCGGATACCTCCAGAGGATATTTAAACCGCTCTGAAAATAGTAAGTCTTATGATCACAGACCTCTAACTCTGATCATAAAATGTACTAGATATTGGGAAAAAAATCACACAAAGAAAAGTTAGTAAGAGACATTGGATATATATGAAACACCCATGTCTAGATGCATATTTTGGCAAGCTTTTAAAGTAGTGATACTTCTCCCTTTTTTAAAATTTGATGCTTCATGCTGTTTCAAGAATGGTTAAAAATTATTTGCAGACATTGTCCTAATTTGGACAAAGTTTGCCAGTTCAAAATGAATAGCTGGTTTTCATCAACCAAACCACAATAGTTGAAGGGCCTGGCCTCCCAGAAGGTGTAGGCAGTTCACACTAATAGCAGGAAGAATATTTTCATTCCAGGGCTCAGCTTTCACTTCACAGACTCCTATGAGAGCTGAGCTACAAAGAGGTCCTAGACTGAATAGGAGAATAGGAGAAATTCAAAATCCTGCTTAGTTTTTTAATGAACCTGCCATTCCCTCTGCCTGGAATGCCCTCTCACCCACACAATCCTCTTTTCAAAACCAGTGAAGCCCTACTTTTCTCAAAACTCTTGGTTCTCCAAACCAGGCCAAATTCTCTGCATACATGCTTTCACATCATTGTATTTTTTTTAATCTTTCACAGTTTATAACTATGTTTATTTTAGTGATGGATTAATGTCTATTGCTACTTGCCCACCAAATTAGGTAAGATGCATGAATTCTTTTCATAGCGGTACCCACGGAACATAGAATGCTTGGCACAGAAAAATTCTTAATAAATATTTGACTAATTAATTGCTAATTAAAACATTACCTTATCAGGGATGTAACTGATATGCCTCTAAGCTTTGCACAAGTTAAAAAATAAGGGTGGCTGCTTCTTTGTCACTTACAAGAAACATCAAACTGCAAAAATCTTGGGTGTCAAAGTTGCCTGCCCTTCTCCTGCCCCCATTTCCACTACACTGTCTGCTTAAATGTCAGATCTACTTTATCAATCTATCCTCTCAAGATTCAAAACCATGAAAAGACTGAAGAACAAAAGATTTTCCTCCATTAGAATGCAACAAAAAAGCAATTGTCATAGTTTTGGACTTTAAACCTGAAGGTCTTGGTAATTTGCAAAGGAAATACAGTTATTCCGTAAGTCCCAGGTCATTATCTTCTATGGCAGGGGAAATGAAATGGTTATGCTATTTCACTGAGATGAGGCTGTTAGAGTCCCTATATCACTCTTGCAGGCTTCATGATCAAAATTAGGCAGACAACAGTATATGCCTAAAATGCAAACAACTATTCTTCAATTATACATAGGTACTAGGCAAAATTCAAGTAGCTTCTAGACCGTCTACCTTTCTTTCAACTACTCATCTATAAGAAATGTCAATGAAATATTGAGAAAATAGAGCTTAACAAAATTAGAATCACTAGGTATCCATACTAGGCCGATGTTCAGCTCAGCTCAAATGCAAATCAGTCTTTATTTAAGTGTATTCTATTCATTGTTTGCGTAAGCAGAACTGTGGAATCTAAATTTAAGAATATGAAAATATTTTTAAGACCTGGGCTGGGTGTGATAGCTCATGCCTGTAATCCCAGCACTTTTGGAGGCCAAGGGGAAATGACTGTTTGAAGACCAGCCTGGGCAACATAACAAGACCCCATTGCTACAAAAACTACAAAAATGGTGGTTTATCCCTGTAATCCCAGCACTTTGGGAGACCTAAGTAGGAGGATTGCTTGAGCCCAGGAGTTCGAGACCAGCCTAGGCAACAGAGTGAGAACTCATCTTTACAAAAAAATACAAACATCAGCTGGGCATGGTGTTGTGTGCCTGCAGTCCCAGCTCTTGGGAGGCTGAGGCAGGAGGATCGATTGAACCCAAGGAGGTCAAGGCTACAGTGAGCCATGGTTGTGCTACTACACTCCAGCCTGGGCAACAGAGTGAGACCCTGTCTCAAAACAAAACAAAACACACTTGAATTTCATTAACAAAATTCTAGGAAAGTATTAGGTGAGGCTACTTCTTTCTTCCACTTAGTCACTAGATATTAATTGAGGCCCTAGAATATGCCCGGCACTGCTTAGCGCACTAAAGAAATACAAATATCTTCTGACAATAACCCAATTTTTTTATTAACCTAATCCTTATTTGGAATAAACAGAAACCAATGTTTCAAGGTCAATTCTCTCACACTTATTTAAATAAAAGCTTTCTTCCTTTTTTTTTTTTTTTTTTTTTTTTGAGACAGAGTCTCACTCTGTCAGCCAGGCTGGAGTGCAGTGGTGTGATCTCGGCTCACTGCAACCTCTGCCTCCTGGGTTCAAGCAATTCTCCTGTCTCAGCCGCCTGAGTAGCTGGGAGTACAGGTGAGTGCCATCATGCCTGGCTAATTTTTTTATTTTTAATAGAGACAGGGTTTCACTATGTTGGCCAGGCTGGTCTTGAACTCCTGACCTCAGATGATCCTCCTGCCTTGGCCTCCCAAAGTGCTGAGCATTATAGGCATGAGCCACCGCGCCTGGCCCTTTGAAAAATAATTCTTACCAAAGTGCTATGTTCTTACTTCATTTTAATCTAAGACACAGTCTTAGAAATTTACATGTTCTTTCTGGTAAAAAGTTACTTTTACCCTAAAATAAATTCTGATAAATGATCAAAGGTTTAATTTTTTAAAAAGCTAGAAATGGGTCCAAAAACATAAAGTTTTATTCCCAAAACTACAATTGAAGGAAAGTTTTTAAAAAGATAAACTAAAATAAGCTTAAATCTTCCATCACTCCATACAAGAAATATTATCAGAAATATCACAAATGCTCCATGTGTTTAGATTAGCATCACCAATAACTCCATGAAAAATTTATCCAGATTTTATCTCAAAAATCTTAATACGAATCCATTGTAAATCCCACAGATCTCCTACAATCACAAACAGAAAGAGAAAGAAAAAAAAAAAACAAGATTCAAAGCTTAATAAAACAGATGCCTCTTCTTGACAAGGCAATGGCTGTCAGGCAAAGCAACGACTTGTGAACTGAATCAACCTCCTCACATTCCATAAGGTGCCAATATTTATCTTAAGACAAGTGATTACTGATTATTGGCAACTGTCTAGAAAAACAAAGCCAATGAAAGTCAGGCTGTGAGTAATGACAATTATTCAGATACCAGCAACTGTTCTAAAACGAGAATTCCAGAGGATAGCCCATTCTCTGTCAGTGTCCCCGTGAGGGCAAGTATGGACAAACAAGTCTGCGAAACATTTTACGAAAGCTCTTAATGAACTGGAAAATACACCCGAATTGAACTTCACTACCTTTCCAATACGCGGCAACCTCAAAAACAAGGTGTCACCAGTAAAGAGGAAGACCAGAAAAACGGGGAAAAGGAGCAAGACAGTGCAGACACCTACAAAACCTGTGAATGTAAACCTCCTGGATACCTCAGAATGAACTGTTTTAAAATGGAAGTTATTTTAATAATATTAATATCTGGTTCTCATTACCTGACAGGCAGATATAAGTTAAATATTCGCCTTGACCTCCAGTTGCCAAGAAAGGAATCTTTTTCTTTGTCCTCCTCTTGACTTGGACAGCTCCCAGCATCCTTTCATCAAGAGGTGCAAAAATTTCCTTGCTGATAGCAGATTTGGCACTCATTGTAGAACAAGTGAGGACAGCACGCAGTGAATCTTTTAAAGAAGGAAAAGAAAGGAAAGTTGGAATTGACAACATTGTAAGGGTTCATACAATAATCAGCAGCAAGTGAATTTGCAGGTGAAGTAATTTTCAATTTACAGTTTAATCTCATAATTGCTTGAAATGTATTATAGAAACATTAAAAGCAAGGTCTTCATATTTGTAATAACTATGAAAAAATAAAGACAAAAAGGGGGTACTTATTTACTTCCCAAAAATGTCAAACACAATATGAGATGAGTAGTACAAACTGGGATCTGGAAAGTTTGTTAATTACTACCCCAACTGCACCTCCCTCTAACTGGCAAGCAGTACCCACTCTATTCCTGTTCTGTAAGAAACATATTTCACACTTCCAGAATACAAGTCTTTCCACTGTCCAACAGTCCTTAGAGTCAAGAAATTCTTTATGCCCCTTCAAAATCTCCTTTAATGTAAATCCATTTCCCTAATTCCATTCATAATGGAAATAATTATATCATCTTCTACACAATAACTATACATGCAACAGAAGACCATTAAATTAATACCCTTCTTCTGCCTTTGATCACGCTAAGTAATGAATTCTTATTTATTAGCTTCTCCCAATGGGTTCTAGTTTGCAGTGCTCCTCTGCATCTAGTTACCATGCTCTGTACCCTTGACAAACACTCCACATTTTCCTTCAGCCAAAATGGATACATAATTCTAAAAACATATCTGACTAATGCTAAGTATTTTGGAAATGTTACCCAGCAGCTCCCACATGTTATGCTCCTCTGGTTAACTGGCAGTGGATGCCCAATAATTAAGAAAATAAAGCAGTATGACGCTGACTCACAGTGAGTTCCCCCCAGAACACACACATACATAGCCCCCATGTTATATTTAGTTTTCTAAAAGTTGTACTTCCCCAATGGTCTTAACTCTGCTTATTTATATCTATTATGTTCAAGTTCAATCTGAAATATTAAGCCTGTCATCCAAAAAGATTCTACAGCAACTTGAGTAAACTTTCTCCATTCCATCATCCTAGTCATAAATAGTCTGTGCCCTAATAATGAATAGATATTTGTTCAGGCAATTCAACAAATCAAAATTAAAGGCACAGAGAGGGCCCATGGGTTGGACATGCAGAGTATCAGAGATCCCGCATATGGATCAACAGCATAGCTATCTGCAGTAACACAGCTCAAAGAGTTGATCAGACTGCTGTAAAACTGAGCCAGCTGGTTACAAAAACACCTGCTATGTGCCACTTCTATGATAAGTATTAGAGATACAATAAATAATCAAGACATGGTCCCAGTTCTCCAGGAGTTGACTGCTAACTACATCAGAGGTTTCACTTAAATCCAGATAGTTTATAGTAAAAGATCACGGGATCATCCTTCCCAATGCAAGATTCACAAATGCTACCCACACAACTGTTTACCTGTAACCTGTTCACATCTATAACCTCCTGGTAGGAAAGTGATATATTAAAAAAGAACACCTTTCTAGTTAAAGAAATTTCTCCTAGTTTTTATTCTGTAATAGGGCAGGTTTTCTTAGTGACACAAGAATACCTATCTATACATACACAAAGAATATGTATCTAGATATCCTAGAAATTATAGATCTAATACCCACATCTACTTGTGCTCCAATCCCAACATTTTATCATCACCACCAGGTTCTTCATGCTGGCCAAGAACAAAATGACAACAGTGGAGGGGGACCTGTTTTTCAAATGCTGATCACTAACTGATACGGTATGATTTCCTACAAGTTGGCAACAGAATTTCATAATTTACCCCATGACTTTCCTAGGCAAGATGTTACAATTTATCAGGGACTTTTATTTATTTTTTTTAAAGAAAGAAACACATACTGGTTATTTTCTAGCTCCAAGGCCACTTGCCTCTCACTATTTGGGTACAGGTGAAAAAGAAAGCCAGTGGTAGCACAGTGGCTTCAAACCATTTGATAAGCAATGTAGAAAGCAAGCCAAAGTCCTGAGCTGACTGGGCGCTCTTTTTTTTTTTTTTTTTTTTTTTTTTTTGAGGCAGAGTCTTGCTTTATCACCCAGGCTGGAGTGCAGTGGTACAATCTTGACTCACTGCAACCTCCACTTCTCCGGTTCAATCGATTCTACTGCCTCAGCCTCCCCAGTAGCTGTGATTACAGGTGCCTACCACCACGCCCAGCTAATTTTTGTATTTTTAGTAGAGATAGGGTTTCACTATGTTGGCCAGGCTGGTCTCAAAACTCCTGATCTCAAGTGATGCACCCGCCTCGGCCTCCCTACGTGCTGGGATTACAGGCATGAGCCACCGCGCCCTGTCTCACCCGGTGTTCTCGGACCAGTGCCTTCCCAGCTGTCATGGCTTTTGCTTTTTCATCTCAGGTCCACAGTTTTCAAAAACTGTAGTTAAAAGAAAAAGAAAGCTATCATTTTATCATATAAAATCTGTCAGAAAAAGGAAAGAAAGAGATAATGTGGTTTTACCAAGCTTAGGAAATCCTGTTCTTTTTAAAAACTGGTGAGAAATAGAAATGACCTTTTATTTTTTTTTTAAATACTGATAGTCAGTGACCAAGAACAAGAGAGAGAGAGAGAATAGATAAAGCCAGTAACTTCTTCATGGAGCACAAGTTTTAGAATCAAACAAACTCAGGTTCAAATTTTAACTCCAACACCTAAGACTTATGTGATTTCTGGGTAAATCTCTTAAAATTACAGACCCTTAGTTTATTAACTACAACATAGAGATGTCTTCACCTACCTCCTGGAACTAAAGAATTAAATGAAACAATATATGCAGAACACTTATTCTGTTGCCTGAATAATTAAAAAATGCTTAAAAATGAAACATTTTTATTAATTCTCCTACTATGATATGAAAAGATAAAAATCCCTCTGAACTTGAAGAAATTGAGTAAATGCAGCAATCTATACCAAAGGTATTTGTAAAAGTGAAACCCAACTTTATTTACAAATCCTCACCTTTCTCACCCATCAGTGTGAGACCCTCCACCTACAGATAAACAGTCTCTTATAGGGATGGTTTTGTACTAAGTATCACAAGGATAAGGAATTTATAGGCATCACTCTTTAGGATACTCACTAGGAGATTATCAGATTCATTCTATGTGAAATTATCAAAAGTTTTTATTCAGGGCAATGACACTAACAGGACAGTGTGGAGCACACATGTATACATGTTTTTAATGTCACCCTGGGAATGGTAATAATGCACAGCAGATTAGATGGAAAAGAATCAGAAAGTAAAAGGGGTACTGTCATAACTTCATAGCAATAACTTAAGAGTATCCCAAATCTGATTGTATGTCTGAATTCAGCATGGAGAGCTTTTCAAAAACGCAGACCCCTGGGTCCTTCCTTTATACCCACCAAATTAGAATCCTGGGATCTGTATTTTAAACAACTCTAACTGGTTCTCATGCAGCCATGCAGTCATTCTGCCACCTAATTTAAATGCTCTGAGCCTAGAGAGGAGCTAAAACCTAGACCAGAAATGTAGTGATGGGAATGGAAAGGATGAATCATTTCAGGAGAGAATATAGGAAGACAATGCACAGGATTTTTTTCTCTCCATCTAAGCAGCTTTATCAAGCCTTACGTCTTAGTGTTGGTAAATCATTGTCCATCCCAAGGCTGAGAACCCACTGTAAGAAATTAAGATGAATATAACAGCAATGGTACACCAATGATCACTAGTTACTCCAACCTATATCACCCCATGGAAGCCTTTTCTTTTCCTGCTTCTACAGGTTGTAATTACAAAATTTTTCCATCCAAGAAACCAACCTACAATATGATTTGCAAGTCAAAGCAGCTGGTTCCCATAAGTGTTAGTTACAAAAAACTAATCACAGTTAGTTCTGATCTTCTCACTTTGTGCCATCACATCTATACATACCATTCTTGTTAATGCATGGCTACTGTAGTGTGATGCCTTTCCACTGCCCAAGTAACTAGGAAATAAGACCATCCTTTAGGTTAGGAGTTGCAAACTCAAATGACCTCAGAGAACAGGTAGATGAAGCGCATAAGCAAAGGGGAACAGGTGTAAGATGCAACATTTTTGGTTTCCAGTAGTGGAACTGGTATTTGTCATCTGTGGTCAGGAGACCAAGAGTAGTAGTAGGAACTGCAGCAAATTAAAAACCTCCATTGTTAAGGCATTCATTATCATGCAGGTAGTTCTAGGGAAGTATAGTCTACAGCCCTTAAATATTTTTCATGTGAGAAGAAAGAATCTCCTCTGGTAAGGCAACAGTGCCATCTATTTAGCTTAATACTGTTAGATAGTTGATCTAACTTCATTAACTCCTCTGTTCTGATCCCATGTTTAACATGCAATCCTCTGATCAAGTTTTGGCCTTGTGGCTGTGCCACACAATTATTCTAGACTATGTAACAATTATACTTCCTATTGTAAATGAGTAACCAAGAATTTTAGACATCAGTCTCATAAGCTAGTTAATGTGTCTCAACACTAAAGCAGATGCAGTCAGCATGCTGATAACAAGTTTCAGAGTCTTTGAAGTTAAGAACCAAGATGATGTCACCCTGGAAGACTCTGGGGGGAAAATCAGCTAGTCTTTCCTACTTCAACGGAACTTCAGTTTGGTGAACCCAAATAAGTTAGAAATAAGAGAAATAAGATTCTCTAAAATTAGACTTCTTTGCATTACCACTTTGTTTTTGAAATTCTACAAATTCAATTTTAAGTCCCACCTATAATGTTGATGACACTAATCATGCATCCAACTCAGAGTGTCTTTCTGGCTTTAAACCCATATACCTAGCTGTAGACTGAGCATTTCCACTGAGACCTAACCTAGACCCTTCCTTCTCCCTCAACCCTTTCAAATCCCCATAACGAACCAATCACCAAGTCCTGTGGATTTGATTTAATATTTCTAGACTAGCTTTTCTTCATTCTCACTTCCTCTGCCTTAGTTTGGGTCTTCACCATCCCCGGCCTGAATAATTTTGATGCTTCCTCTAAAGGACTCCAGTACTGCTCTTACTTTACCACAATCAGCCCTCTACACTGTCCAATGTCATATTCCAAAGGATGAATATGATTCAAGCTTAACTGTACTTAACTGCTTCTTCTCCATGCCTCAGCTATTGACAAAGAAACACAATAATCTTAACAAGGAAAAAGACAATTTTGTAAATGTTAAAATCTAAATGGAGAAATGTTAAATTACTTCCCTTAAAAGCCACAATATAGACATACTAAATGCTACAAAACAGATGTTATTATATATCACTAAACCTAGAAATCTAAAAATGTTAATTTTGCTCCAAAGTTCAAAAACTTTAACAGGTAGTCAGAAAATATACAAGCTTTTATGCAAAGAAAATCAATTTTATTTTTTCTGATGTCATATATTAAGATCAAGGAGATAATATGAGGCCAATTTAGCCCCTTTAAAAGTGTTTAAGAAAGAGTTACTGATTTTTAACAAAATGTTTACTTAGATAATGTTTCTCTTTGATAAGACAGTTCTCAAGTTGAAAGCTTTAGTCTTTCCATGGTATGTAGGCATGTGAATAAACAATAAATTAGACAAAAATTTTAGTCCACCAACCAGTTTTTCCATGTAATTCAACTACTACTCTTAACTACTAGTTCTTATAAGTAGATTCTAAAAAGGAAGTCAGATATGCTATTAGAATAGACAGGTAACTTTAATCTGGTGACAACATTTGAAGTCTTAAAAGTACAATCACTTCAAGTTCAATCACTCTTTATTGCTACAAACAAGGGCTATTGGATGGGCTTGCCATGGTGAGAAACCAGATGGGAATAGCAGACCAAGAACCCATATTTAAGGCTTCACAAGCTTTACAAAATTAGGGTAAAATCAATAGACATTCAGCAAATCCTCTAACAACATACTTAAAGGAGCCAGAAACTTCTAAACATGAAAAATAATGGGGATATGAATAAAAACTAAAAACATTATCTGTTCTGCTAGAAAAATAGTTGAAGATAGGAAAAAAAATATCTTAAAGTAGAAACTCCAAACAAAAACTGCACATGAACATCACCTGGGTGCCCAGGTCCTGCTCACAGAGATTCAGGGGATCTGGGGCTAGGGCCTGCAACTTGTTTTCTGAATGACTTCTTCAGTTTATTCTGCTATACAACCAGGTCCAGAGCCACTATCTTTGGGTTTTCCCCCTGTATTTAATGAATTACTTATAAAACAAATAAAAAGACCCCAGAAACAAGTGTACATGGCAAATATTTTGTAAAGCCCTAGTAATGAATCATTGAAGTTTACATAGCACTTCATGATTTACAAAGTATTTCTATATCTAATCCCAAATGTGTAATCAAGAGAGCCACTGAATATATCTTCCAAAGTTTGCTTCAAAACTGTAAATTAGAATCTTCAGATATGTATGTGAGTATTTTTTTTTTTTGAGGCAGAGTCTCACTGTTGCCCAGGCTGGGGTGCAGTGGCACCATCTTGGCTCACTGCAACCTCTGTCTCCCAGGTTCAAGCAATTCTCCTGCCTCAGCCTCCTGAGTAGCTGGAATTACAAGTGTATGTCACCATGCCCGGCTAATTTTTGTATTTTAGTAGAGATGGGGTTTCACCATGTTGGCCAGGCTGGTTTCCAACTCCTGACCTCAAGTGATCCACCTGCCTCAGCCTCCCAAAGTGCTGGGATTACAGGTGCGTGCCCAGCCCAGATATGTGTTTTTATGAAGGGTAAACTATGTCATTTTTAACACACCCAATTGGTGCAAGGATTATGAGGAAGTGTTATAATTCCTCTCCAACAGAGATTAATATGAGTTGAAACCTTTTGAGCCAGCAACTCTACCATTAGAAAAAATGGTGTGAGCATGCACACACCATGTGTGTGTTACAGATGCATGTTTACCTCAGATCCATTTTTAAGAAAAAATCATCATAAACAACCTAAATACCCATCAATCTTCATTGGTTAAATACAGTATAGCCCATCCACCCAACAGAATATTACATATCCTTTTAAAATTGTGGCACAGACCTACAGATATTGACTTGGAAAAATTGCCAAGAAATAATACAGAGTGAAAACAAGGAGGTTATAAAACAGAAAATGAGCTCATGAATTTGCAATTTTATGTGTATATTTACATGCATAAAGAGATGTCTAGAAAATAGTTTGCCAAAACGTTAATATGATTATCTCTGGATTTTGAAACAAGGAAACAGGTCAGAGATTCTGCAGGACAGTCTTCGTACTCCACTAAAATCTCAGTGGAGTGCTCCTTGAAAATTGCGGTTTTAAGGCACATTCTTTCCACCAAACCTGGAAGACCTATCAAAATACATTTTATTGAGACCCAATTATAAGTTGACCATATTCTTTTTTCAACTCCAGTCCAGGCATAGTGTTGAGAACCCCAAAGTAAATTAGCAAACTCCCACCCTCAAAAAGCTGTGAGAAAGGAGAGCAAACGCTGTGAATAATGACAAGGCTTAGAAGATAACTTTGTAGGAAGAAAATGGTACCCTTCTTCTGTCCAATTGCAGCTCAATGCTGGAGCCTTCAACCTGGTGAACAGAGCACCAGCTACGCGTTAGCCTGCGCTTGCTCTCTTAGATGAATAACTCTGGAACAATGTAAAAACAACACAACCGTACACAACAGCCCTGGTCATACTGTTTAATTCTTTAAGGAAGGAAACGAGGAATTGCTTTTCTGCCATCAGACTGCCAAAGACTATGAGACCCGATTGGCTTTCTTTTCCCTGTACATACTAACTCTCCCTGTGTAAAAGACATTATGTTCACAGGATTCTCTGAGCCCATGACTCATGTCTGCTTCAACTATAAACCTAGATTATTTTCATCTCCTCTTTCCTTGTTTATATGTCCAGTATACACATTCTTCTTGTAAGTCTGATATCCAAAGAACAAACCCTGACCACAAGATCTGTGTTTACACAAGTTTATTTACATTGCGGGTGTACCTTTTAATCTTGTCAATTACTACATCCTAACTTTCACAAATGATATGACAAAGCCAAAAAATAACACCACCAACAAAAGCTACATAGGATATGTCATTTGGAGGATTTATTGAGGTAAGACGAAGATTTCATAAGCATCACTCATTCCAAGGGATTCTATTAATAGGAACTCCACATTCACAAGTTTAAATTCCAAGGACCAGTTAAGCCAGTTCTACAGTATCCATGTACCCTTTCTACAGTAATGGGTAGAAATAAAGAATCATAGTGAAGGCCAGGCTAGAATACACTCATTGGTGTATTATGGATACTGACGAGATTATCAATCTAAAACATAGAACAAACCTTGAAAAGTGAATTGAACCACATCAAAAGAGGAAGGTAGTAACAGAAAAAAATTAAAAAGAGCTCAACTTTTTGACATTCCCCTATTTTTACTGAGCAATCATGTCATTGTAGTATCCAACAACTAGTCAGCAAACTAAGAAAACAATATGTTGACTTGAGAACATCACTTACAGCAGACAGCACTGGAAATAGCCAAATCTATTCCAACCATGTTCAAATACAGGCAAAAGCCACATAAAGATTGACTTAACATGAAAATAAACATTTTAATTATCTGCTAGGTTCTGCACTACTTGCTGAATTAGTTTGTTTCTTTTGCTTACACTGAAGAAAAGACAGAAGGAAAAGCACTAAACCCATATATGAAAGGAAGTAAAAAGTTTGCATAGTAGGTCAGTTGTTTTCCCCTTAGAGGAGGGTATGATTGATAACAGAAATTGCAGATTTAAAAAGAAAACAAGAAGATGTGTCTACCATTAAAAATAAAGAAACAAACAGAAACATAAACTCTCCAGCAAGCATAACATGAGCTTTTTATATTAGATATTTGTTGACTCAAGCTTTAGGTAAATTTTAAGTTTTCTTGATTTAAGCTAATTCTATTTTGGAAAAGACTTAAAATATAACAGTGAAAAAATAATGAGCCTTTAAAGAAAGCCTCCATTTTTTAAGAGTTTGAAACCTATAAAAACCTAAAATACAGTTGAAACAAGTTTATATGCTTTCTAAAATTTTTTAAATCAGAGCAAAACTTCTTTAAAGTATTCTCTAAATCAAACATCAATTTTAAAACATTCCTTATTCATTGAGAGGCCAAGGTGGGTGGATCACGAGGTCAAGAGATCAAGATCATCCTGGCCAACATGATGAAACCCTGTCTCTAGTAAAAATACAAAAATTAGCCGGGCGTGGTGGCATGCACCTGTAGTCCCAGCTACTTGGGGGGCTGAGGCAGGAGAATCACTTGAACCCGGGAGGTGGAGGTTGCAGTGAGCCGAGATCGTGCGACTGCACTCCAGCCTGGCAACAGAGTGAGACTCTGTCTTAAAAAAACAAAAACAAAAACAAAGAAACCAAAGAAAAAGAAAAAAGAAACCTTCCTTATTTGAATCGCTGATTTGGAGAATATCACCACTTTACAATTTCTTGGAAGAGTTTGAGTAAGTTTTCTGTAATTGATATATCATCAGTGTTATACTCCAACATGACGTCTTCACAGCAGTGAGAGGCACAGAAGCAATGTGACACTCTGAGGAGCCATTTTACACATACCTACTCTGTTTAAAAGGCAAGACACTGTGCCCTTCAATGCCTCAATTTCCCAAATGAAATTTCCAGTGAGGTTTATGAACACTTCTGATCTCATTAAGGATCTGGCCAAGGACTGTAATTCCAACTTATCTGATCTCCCCAAGGGTCAACTTCACGAATTCATGCCAGTGTAGTACAATCTGAATGGTGATCGAAAGGCTTCCTTCTCAGCCTCCAAAAGCAATTTCCCCATCTGTCAGCTACCTCAAATTCTGACATAAGAGATGTATATACTTAGATATGTGACTTTGGTATTCAAAAAATCCTTATTAATATGCTTATACTCCGGGTGCAGAGACTTTTACAGATGAGGAAACTAAAGCTAATTGGTTAAGTAAATTGTCCTACATCACACAGCTCAAGGGCAGAGCAGGGACTTAAACCTAAGATGCATGACTCCAGAAGCCTTTGCTCTTTCTTACTATCTCATATTGAAGAAATGAGAAAGGTACGGAAAGGTGAGGCTGGAATGCATTCTAGGTAAAACAGGACAAATTCAACTGCTTTACACTTTTGCCTCTGGCCACATTTTCTGGTGTACAAGATACTGTTATCACCCTAGCCCAGCAGCTACAAAGATAACAAATCGAGCTGTAGTTTGAAGTCATTCTTTCTGGATATCTGTTCATCTTGTGTGTGCATATCATGCTGGTTCGTTGGCAAAGGAGTTGCACAGCCTTATTAGGATAGAGCTTGTTTTGATTCTACAAATAAAAATGGGAGTTGACAATACATTAGCAGAGAGATTCTGCAACAGATCTCTAACTCCATAAAGGGGACAATGCCTATGAAAGCCTCATCACAGCTGCTCACCACCATCATTTCGAGACCTGCAGTTTGCAACAGGAGTCAACTCCTGAGATCTTGGATGGCTGCCACAAGGCAGTTTTATGAGCCTTGCAGGCTACTTTCCAAACCGGAAAACGCTTAAATATGAAAGGCACATTTTCAAAGGTTTCTGCTGGTTCTCAAGGGAAGTCCTCTTCCACTTCCTTTGCTGTATTACCCCCACTCTGGCATTTCAAAAGCACAACTTGGACCCTCCCTGTTACCTTCCTGTTCCCACTTTTTCTGGGCCTTCTATCTTTTGCTGACAGTGCTTCAAGGAACCTTAGCTTCTCCAGCAGCAATGCCCTGAGTTTCACCAATTTCAAAGGCTCTGCAAGAAGAATTTCATCATTTTACTTTACGGAGAAGGATCTCAGCAAGATATTCACAAATAAGCTAACCAACCACATTATTTGACACCCTTTTGGGCCTTACACACCAGCAGCTTACACCTCAGTTAAAAAGTGTGGGCACAGCAGAAATGTGGCATTCTTAAGCTTAAAAGTTTAATGCCTGGAAGTGATCCTAGTGATGGTCTATCTCATCCAATTACCTCACTTAACACATAAGGAAACTGAAGTCCAGAGGGTGATTCCAAAGTCACACAACAGAAGAGTAGCAAAACCAATATTAGGGCTAAATATTGCTCTCGACTTTTTTAAGTAAAAAACAGAGAAACATGAAATGATAATGTAAATAGTAGAGCAGTGCCGAATTTGTGGAAGGTGAGAACAGGTGGTGTGTTGGGGGAATGATGATAACAGAGAAAGAGAAAACATGATTAATCACAGTGGGGACTCTTCTCAGATTAAATTTTTTTTCTTGGGAATTGGCTTGAAATTAAGTGCTGAACTAGAAAACCTCTAGCCCATAGAGTTCTAAACCTTAACTCTTGGCTATCACCTTTTTCCCCTTGAATTTTCACAGTTTGTTTTCTCATTTGGCTATTGAGGCCAAAAGCAATGATGGTCTGCCCAAGCGGAACAGCCCAGGATAGTCCAAGAAGCACAGACTAACTCTGGCCAAGCTCCAACCCACAGGCCTCTGTATTGACTCCAACTGAGCCCCTTCTACAGTCTCCAGGCTCTGAGCCACTGGCAGAAGAATACACCCTGGGAAAAGTCACATGTCCATTCTCGGTTTGGGAATTAATGTGCTGGTGTTGGTGGTCTCCTGAAAGCACACACTAACCATACCAGGAGCCTGGATCAGCTGTTGACAGGGTTTCTCAGTACCTATTCCAGGCCCTGGTAAACAACAGGGTGGGAAAATAGGAATCCGTCTAGCCCAGTTCTTGTCTTTGGAACTGCACCCTTCAGCCGCAGCACAAAAACACCACCAGGTGCCTGCAATCTGTAATCAGTGCTCTATTAAAACACTCTCAGAAACACTGGAATTATCCTGATTTCCACACACAGCTGCACAAGGTCCTGTTGGGTAACTGGAGAGTCTTTACAGGTTCACTTAAGCTACAAACTAGAATGCCTTGGTTAGGATTGAGCACATTCAATGGTGAAATCTCCATGTGAGTGGAATGGGTGGATAGGTGGTCATCTCTATTCTATGTCTTGAGATGTAACAGAATAGCCTACAAATCCAGGTCAGACTCAAAGTCCATATGCAAATTCAGGCTCTGCTCTATTCAATCAATTCCTCTGTCATTCAATGTCAACCCCTTTTTAATCAGCATGTTCCAGAAAATAACTAACTTCTGACCTAACTAGCTGTGCAGTGTTTGATAGGAAGGAAAAAAAAATCTATCAATTGAATACTACCCTAATATGAACTCAATTAACACTAGTACAAGCTTAATGGTACCACACACTAACACATTACAAAGACATTCAAACAAATGTGATCGGGATCACCATCCAAAAGCTGGGGGCCAAGGTACAGGAGTCACTTCTCCCCTGACTCGACCTGACAGATGTTGGATGGTGACAAGAAGTTTTTACATTTGTCATCACAGGACCTAGGTCTGAGCCTGTCTTTGCCTTTACTCAATGAATAATATTTGGGCAAAATCCTACATCTTTGAGACCTGCATCTTCACCTTTAAAGTAGGATAGTACCACCCACTTCCTAGGACTGTTGTGAAGGATGAAGAAGGAGGTTATGGAAATCAGCTCCCTGGGTCCAACTGCTCCCACCTGGGGTGTCCTGATTCTTGAAAAGCAGGCAAGCACATCAGCATGTCAGCTTCTTATTTGCAAAAGCATGTTCATCACAGAGTATTTTACAAAGCCTTTCCTCAAGTGCCATCCTATTTCATCTTCCACACTTGCGAGAGAGGTATGATTGTCTCTACTGACACATAAAGAGAAGGAATGGGTCTTCCTCCTCCAATCCCATATCATTTCCATTGCTACCCTCTGCCACTCCATAGGGAATGGCCAGCCTAAGCAGGAAGATAATGGCAAGAGCCAAGTCAAGTCTTTCCCACTGTGAGGTGTTGTTACCCAAGGGAGATGCAGAGTGGTGTGAACATATTCTTAAAAAGGAGAAAAACAAACAGAAAATGGACAAAGAGCAGAGCAAAGCTGGAATAAGATACACACTTACTCATTCAATATCACTGCATTGTCCTAACGCTGAGGATACTGAGGAGAAGAAGAGCAACAAAGTACTTTCCCTCATGGAGCTTACATTCTAGTGGGGAAGAAGAACAATCAACAAGTTAGCCAATCAATGCAGCAGCTGAGAAGAAATCAATATAGACAGGTCTTGTGTGTTCAGCAATTAGGCAAAGGAATAAAGAATAATAGTCACTGTCATTCAGCACCAACCACCAGATAGAGAAATCACATAATGCGGGGCCAAAGTGCTCCTAGACTTCTAAGAGGACATTCATCTGGCTTTGATGAATATTTCTGTCCCTAGTGCATACTGGTCCTTATTAACAGAGGTAACAAAGAAAATCCATCTAGGGGCAGGACCTATCCTTCTTCATTCAACAAACATTTAGTGAGTAATTACCACAACCTGGGCTCTGTGTAGGCTTGGAGATCACAGGCATTTCAGATATATTCAAAGAAAAAATTGTCTCGTTGAGGAGAAAGACAAGGAAAACAGGTAACCAACTACACAAAATTAAGACTCTGAAGTTGCTGCTTCACAGCAGCAGAAGGGGCAAGTACAGTTTAATCTTTCAGAGGCTGGTGATCAGGAGATACTTACTCTATTAAGCCTACCCTTGAAATGTAATTAAAAAAATTAATTAAGTCTGCCTGCATGGATTATGCAGGTAGATCTGCTTCAAGAAAAAGCCATGCAACATTTCAATAAGCTGTTAGCTCTGTGTGAGTGACCTAGAACATATGCCTGCTCCAGCCTCTGCTTCCACCTGGGTTCTGTGCAATGGGTGTGCCCTGAATTGCTTCAGCCGACGGAGACAGACAGCCCCCAATCCAAGGTGGAAAGCAGAGAATACTCTGCAGGGAACCATTTCTGCAAAGAACCTGAACCCTTGTAGAAGAGCAAGAAAAAATAAACGGTCATTGAGACACCACAGGAAAGAGGTGTCTGAGGCAAAGAGGTACTCTTCAAACGTCCATTTGGTACTAAGTGTTCTTGAAGTGGGAGAAGTAGGCAGAAAACTACTTTAAAAATGTTCATCCCCACCTACGTACAGAAGTTCACTGAAGTGGGAAGGAACAGGCCTGAGGTTACAAACGGAAAGTTTTGCAAGAATAAGTTTTCTTGGCTCATGTATATTTCTAAAAATATATACTTCATGTAAAACATATTTCCAGTTTCTCTTGAAAACTGGGAAGACCTGGCAACATTAGGCTCGCACCCCCCACCATCTCTACAACCTCCAAATCACCAGACCCCACTACTCCCTATTCCACCATCCAAACTGAGGCTGCCTCTCAGGTGACCATCATCCAGATTGTTCTATTTTTCTAATAACTGGCCTGTTTACTAATTCATTACTGTCTGGTTACTGAGGATACAGAAGCTGGTGTAGATACTAAATTAATTAGCATGATTGGGAAAGTTGTAAGAATATATTTTCAGAAAGGTAAAGCACAGTTTAAAAATAAAAAAGTACTGCCCAATGGGGCAGTAAAGCAGAGATCAAGAAATCGTCACAGCGATTTGGGGGAACTGAACTAAGGGCATCAAAATAAACAAAAAACAAGCCAAATATTCATATCACATAGTCATCTTAGAATTTTATAAAGACTTTATATTCTATCCCTCTCCCAATATGCCAGCTGCTCTGATAAAGTGCCACAAAGCAGGCTCTGAAGAAACAAATACCAAGAATGTGAAATGTGTGTTTGTGGGGAGGGGGATGGCAGTATGGTGCACGCCTAATGTATGAAGGTGAGGACTGTCTTCATGCTTAATTAAGATCCTCCAATTAACCTATTTCCCAGCATCTGGCCTCAGAATGCAAGCAAGGAGGCTGCCCATCACGAGTGTGGGCTCTGTTCTACTAGACAGAGCATATGTTGAGCCAGTGACCCAGGTATGACGTGTCTTTCTCACAGACAGACTGGGAGGTGTAGCCTTCTGCCCTTTCTTACATGAGTATTAAGATACGCCTCACCTTTATACGTTAAGCATGTACTGTGGTTACATGTGCCATGTAGTCCATGGGTTGCAGAATGGTTCAAATGGATCGTGACAGAACTAGAATTGTGACAGAGATCATTGAGAATTGTGGCTTCAGATGGAGACAATGGTTTTTAAATGGTCCCACAGTCAGCAAGAGCTGACTATGACTTTGGACACTTCCTGTTGGGGAAAGGTTAAGTGAATATGTGGTTTTACCTATAAGGATTGGCTTACATTGGAAGAGGAGATCTTTAGAACTGTGTGTAGGAAATGAGTTACGAGCCAGGCCGGGGAAGGGTCATGCCTCAGAATGTCTTGCTTCTCATCACTTTGTGCTTCTGAAGGAAGCTTCCAACTTCCTGATCTTATGCACCACATGGGTATGCTTCCCTGTTCCAAGCTGAGTAGGATGGGGAGAGTTGAGAAAGGCCCGACTTAGGAAGAATCAATCCAGCTACAATATGACCTTGCTTGAAAAGATAAGCTGCGCCGCGCGCAGTGGCTCACACCTGTAATCCCAGCACTTAGGAAGGCCGAGGTGGGTAGATCACCTGAGGTCAGGAGTGTGAGACCAACCTGACTAACATGGCAAAACCCCATCTCTACTAAAAATACAAAATTAGCCGGGCGTGATGGTGCAGGCCTGTAATCCCAGCTACTCAGGAGGCTGAGGCAGGAGAATTGCTTGAACCTGGGAGGCGGAGGTTGCAGTGAGTCGAGATCATGCCATTGCACTCCAGCCTGGACATGAGTGAATGAAACTCCATCTCAAAAAAAAAAAAAAAAAAAAGATAAGCTGGGTCAATTAGATCCTGAAAGAAAACAGAGCAATTAGTAGTGGGAGCTGAAGCTTTAAGGTCAGTTATGCAGAAAGAGGCTGAGAGAAGAAGGTTGATCACATACAAGCAAATGCCACAAAGAAAACTGGTCTGTAGGTTGAGGAAAGGGTGATGCAGATATGCAGAGAGAAGAGGAGGGAGAGAGAGGAAGAGGCAGAGAGGGGACAGGGAGAGGGAAGGGAGGGGAGAGGATGGAGGAGAGAGCAGAGGAGGAGAGAGCAGAGAGAGAAGAAAGGAGAGAGAGCATGAGAAAGGAGGAGAAGAGAAAAAGGAGAGTAGGAGGAGAGAGAAAGAGAAGAGAGACAGAAGAGAGAGGAGAGCAGACAGAAGACAGAGGAGAGGCAGCAGAGGAGAGAAGAGGAAAGCAGAGAGGGGGAAGAGAGAGGAGAAGGAGATGAGTGAGAGAAGGAGGAGGAAGAGAAAGAGGAGGAGAAGAGCAGAGAGAGAGGAGGAGGAGGAGGAGAGAGGAGAAAAGGAAGCATCCAGAACTTCTGCTCATCTAGTCATCCCCACTTCCAGTACATATGCAGGCTTATGAAAAACTCTTCTTTTCCTAAAGTAATTGGAATGACCTGCTATTACTTGCAACCAAAAGAACCAACAAAAGCAATGAATATTGTCAAAAAATTAAAATCTGCAAGTATGTGTCTTACTTTCTTTATTAATACAGTAGGCCTAACAGCTGCCCCAATCAGTTTATACAGGTCATTGAGAGAATGCAGATTAATGCGAATGTGTAATATGATGTTGTTAAGAGGTGTGGATAGTAAAATGACAGCCAATTCAGAGTCTTAAATACACAGAGAACTTTCATTGCCTGTTAGATGCTCAGTTCACTGAGCTTTTATCATCCCCAAGAGCAATATAAATCCAGTCAAAAGACATATTAATGCAAGATGACTTTTGTCTTTTACATAAGGGGAAAATCAACCAATTCAAGGTTATGATTCCCACAAATTCAAACCACACTAAATATGTCATCTAACAAAAGAAAGAAAAGGAAAGAATGCCTAGAAGACAAACTTTGGTGACAGATAAGTACATCTCTCAGAACTGCCTTTTCTCCATGACTGCACAGCCTGGAGGGCTTGCTTCTCACACAGGAATTCTGACTAGAGAGCGGTAGACGGCCCACCAAGCCTCACAGCCCCTACATCCACTCCCAGCTTGCATGTGGCAATATGGAACCCAGACACCTGGTGGCCCTCCTCCTAATACGACCATTCTCCTTCCTGCTGCTTCTCCCTGGGCTGGGCTACGTGCCACTCTTTTGCTCAACATTCCAACAGCTTTATCACTGTGCCAAGCACATTGTAGGGAACTGCAAGATTCTTCTTACCGGTCTGTTTTTCCAACCAGATTCTGAGCTACCGAAGAAACCCCAGCACCTAGCACAATAGCTAGGAAATAGCTCCATATTATGGAGCTGAAAAAGCATGTCTTCAATGCATAGATCCATCTTCCCCATCTTGTTCCACTTTCCTGGCCCTAGCCTTTCCTTTTAAAGGTACTACTTAGTCCCATAGTCACACTGAAAGAGACTGCTCTAACTACCCATGAGCTTTGCTTTCCCTTGGCTCTGCTGCCTCCTTACCACAAACAAGACCATGACCAATGCTGCAAAGGCACAGTCTACACTCCACATGGTCTCTAAATATCTCAAACAAATTTGAAGAAAAAATAAGTAGGAAAAAAAAAGGTCAAAGACACAAACTTACCAGCCGACATAAAACACCTAATGCAGGACCATAATCCAGGGGTCAGCAAATATAAAGGACCACTTAGTAAACATTTTAAGCTTTGCAGACCAGAGTTGGTATAGCTACTCAACTCTGCTGTGACAGTGTGAAAGCTGTCATAGACAAGACATAAATGAATGGACGTCACTGCGTTCTAGTAAAATTTTGTTTATAAAAACAAGTGGCCGACCCACAAGCTGGAGTTTGCTGACCCCTGGATTAATGTAATGCAATAAGCACCAATCAAGAACATATGTATGTGCGAAACATCAATGCTAGCTGCTGAGGCATATACAGCACAGCATCCCAGCCCTATATGATACTAGAGGAGAATCAACCATAAGTAACTCTGAAAAACAGGCAGACTTGATGAGTATGATAACAGAAGCACAAACAACACTGAACAGTCAACTTTAGAGCATCTGAACTGTTGACCATGACCACTTCTTCTAACATTCTTCCCTAGTTCTGGGACTCCACACACTCCGGTTTTCTTCCAACATCTCTGATCACTCTTTCACAGTTGCTGCTTGGAACTTTTCTCCACTGCTTGTATTCTTTCCTAAAATGTTGTTATGCCTCTTGGATCTAGCTTATGATCTCTTCTCTTTGCACTCTGTAGTCTCCTTTGGTGATCTCAGTCATTTCTAAGACTTCAAGTACCACCTACAGGCTGAAAACACATCACATCTATACCTTCAGCCCACATGTTCAGAATGAATTTCCACCTAGATGAGCCACAGGCACATCAAACTGAGTAGGTCCAAAACTGAATGAATCATCTTCCTCGAAACGGTTTCCAGTCCTATGTTCCTATCTCAGTAAACAGCACCACTATGCACCTAAATAAAAACTCAAGCTTTCTCAATCCCTCTCCCTCCTTTATTCTCACTGATCCCCATCCCTCACAGGAAATTACCAATTCTGTTCAACTCTACTTTCTAAATCCCTCCACATCTACCCGCTTCTCTTTCTTGCCATTGCTCTAAATCAAGATGCCATCATCTTCTGCCTAGATTACTACCAACATCCTCTGTACAATGAACCAGTGCCCAGTTTTGCCTCCTTCCAACCCACTTCCCACAGTACATAGGTAGAGTTACTTTTCTGAAATGCCTGGGGTAGATTATTTTCCAGCAGTCTGTCAGCCCAAGCCCACCCTCTGTATTCTGCTTTATGATATTGGGACTAGAAGTCTTCAAACCACATTTCCCAGACTCTTTTGCAACTGGAAGGCAGAGGTGGAGAGAAGAAACTCTCTTCCTGTTTTCCAGCTCCTGTCAGCCTGTACAGTAGCAGACAGCACCAGCTGCCCATGCTTTAAGTACTCTGTGTACCAGCCTTGGACCCTCCCTTGATAGTCTGAGTACCAGCAAGAAGGCAATCCTCCCCCAGAGATCCAAGTACCTCCTTAGCAATCAGCACATCAGCTCTGTGGTAGCCCCTATGAGTTTTCTTGGTTTAGCTAACATCACCCACTCCCTCTTGTCCCTCCCAGCTGCAGGGATGGCAGCTGCTTCCTGGAGTTACCAGTCTCTCTCTATGTATAGCCTCTGCTTCCACTATTTACATTTTCAGCCATCAAATATCCCAGGTCCCCAGTTCCCTATGTTAAATCACCTCAGGTAGTATCTGAAATACATACTTTGCTTCTCTCTTCTGACTGGACCCTGACTCATGAAGTACTTGGTACCAGGAGTAGTTCTGAAGAAAGAGACTCTAAAAATGGGATTGTGGGATTGATTTCTTACCTCCGACCTTTAACGGTGATGACCTTCTTGCCTCCATCTAATACATTCTGTACATGGCATCTACTGTGATTTTTCTAGAATGTCTGTCATCAACTTAATAGCTCACTAATGCCATCAGGAGAGTGGGTTTGATAAGGCTCTCAGGGTCCTAGAGCCACTATTTCTCTAACTTTTGTTCTTGACACTACTTCCTTCTCCCTCATGCACCAAGCTCAAACCACTCTGAATTTCCTTTCCACTCTTTCAATCCCTTCACAAAGCTATTTCCCCAGCCTTGTATATTGCCCCTAACCATCTCTGCTCCTCCAGTTAACTACTACTTGGCTTAGATAGCACTTTCTCCAAGAAGTCTTTCCAGATGTGTATCCAGCCTGAACTTCTTCCATTGTAGCAGTAATAATACTACCTGTTAACACTGTGTAGTTGCCCAATACTCCCCCATGAATCCATGAATTCTAGAAAGGCAGGTGGCTTACTCCATTCTGGTTGCTATTACAAAATTCTATATGGCCGAGTGTGGTGGCTCACGCCTTTAATCTCAGCACTTTGGGAGGCTGAGGCGGGCAGATCACCTGAGGTCAGGAGTTTGAGACCATCCTGAGCAACAGAGTAAAACCCTGTCTCTACCAAAAATATGAAAATTACCTGGGTGTGGTGGCTCACATCTGTTGTCCCAGCTACTTGGGAGGCTGAGGCAGGTGGGTCACTTGAGCCCGGGAGGCAGAGGCTGGAGTGAGCTGAGATCACGCCACTGCACTACTCTAGCCTAGGTGACAGAGTGAGACTCCATGTCAAAAAAAAAAAAAAAAAAACCACACACACAAAATTCCATAGACTAGGTAGCTTATAAACAACAAAAACTTATTTCTCACTTTTCGGGAGGCTAAGAAGTCCAAGATCAAGGCATCAGCAGATTTGCTGTCTGACAAAGACCCATTTCCTACTTCATAGATGGTGCCTTGTAGCTGTGTACTCACATGGTAGAAGGAACAAGGCAGTTCTCTGGGGCCTCTTTTATAAGGATAATAATCACATTCACAAGAAATCTGCCCTCGTGACCTAGTCACTTCCCAAAGGCCCCACTTTCTGCAACCATCATATTAGCGATTAGATTCAGCATACGAATTTTGGGGGCATATTCAGACCACAGCAGCAGGAACTATGTTTATCTTGCTCACAGTTTTAATTCCACAGAGCAAGTGCTCAATAATAGTTTTTTTTTTGCATGAATGGATGAACCCATAAATGAGAATGTATAGATTAATTCCTACTAGGGAGATTTGGAAATACTTCTTAAAGAAGGTGGGATTTTTTGCAGTGAGCCACTAGACCCAATCTTCAGCACAGCAGAAATTTTAAAGAAAATAGCATTATTCTTACCTTCTATGGACTTCCTAACAAAACTGGTAAAAATATTTTTCTTTTAAGGGTATCCAAATTATCCTAGCTCCTAGAAAATAAACTTCTTGGAAATAAAACTTCTATCTCTGGGATTCATTCATGGGCCAAGCACATGAACAAAAAAAACTACCTTAGAAACATAGTAACTAAATACCCTTGAATGTTTACCAGCCCATATCTTTCCCTTTTAGAGGACTAGTCTAATTCAATGTCTGTTCTAAAGTAAGCTGTGTACTGAGATCCCAGTAAACTTACTTTATTACTGTCTTTTCACAAACCTTACACACCAGATTTTAGAAACTGTATATTACAAATCTGAACACTGCTTTCAGAACTCAAATGGAAAGAAAAGTGCATCAATTAGGTAAAAATCTTTATGTTGATCTATATATGTAGATTTACTATATAAATTGTAGAGGGGATTCCATATTTGGAACTCATTCTCCCCCTCCCCACCCCAAGTAGTTGAAATAATAAAAGAAATGGCTGAATTTTCTTGTAGTTTTATAACTTCATGGGTAAAAGTAATAAACCTACATATATTTTGTTGATCAAAATATAATGTATACCTTCCATACATTAAATGTACTTATGAATTGAATTCTAGACAAAAGCTCCTAGATTAATTTTTTAATGCTTCTTGGCTATTTACTATACTTATTTGTGCTGAGTAGATCATAACGTTTTGTGGCTCAAGGTTTTAGTCCTTAGGAATTTCTTCCTCACACCAAATTCCTTGGTAAACTTGCAACTGTCAACCTAACTGGGCTTCCTATACCTGAACCTCTCAGCTTTGTTCTCCTCTGCTATTGCCCTAGAAGCTCATTAAAAACAATAATTCACAAAATCACTTCTCCAGTAAGTTTCAGTTAAATTTCAACTGTCTTATTCTTGACATCACACAGGGCCTCTTTGCTTCTCTCCTTAAAAAAAATAAAAAATTAAAAATAAAATTAAAAAAAAGGCTCAAGCCTGTAATCCCAGCACTTTGGGAGGCTGAGGCAGGTGGATCAACTGAGGTCGCCAGTTTGAGACCAGCCTGACCAACATGGAGAAACCCCGTCTCTACTAAAAAAAATTATAAAATTAGCCAGGCATGGTGGCACGTGCCTGTGATCCCAGCTACTTGGAAGGCTGAGGCAGGAGAATCGCTTGAACCCGGGAGACAGAGGCTGCGGTGAGCCAAGATCGCGCCATTGTACTTCAGCCTGGGCAACAAGAGAGAAATGAGTGAAACTCTGTCTCAAAAAAAAAAAAAAAAAAAAAAGAGAAGGGAACGCAGGGGAGAGGGAAATTTTGGTACCAAGACTTAGCTCCAGAGCATACAAAGACACAAGAATGAATTGAAATACACCCTTCCTGGGAAATGACAGCTAAAGAAAGAAAGGGAAAAAAGTAAAAGCATATGACGCCACTAATCTAGTTCAACCTCTCATTTTACAGATTAAGTAACTGACGTCCAGAGGGAAAGTGACTTTATGGAGATTCACACAGCATGCATATGTCAGACTCAGGAAGGGGCAATTTCCTGACTCACAGGCCAGAATCCTGTCTTCTCTTTTCTATGTGCGTAGCCCTCACCATTTCCCCAACAACAACACTCACATACGCAGGTGCTCATGAACTGAAGCCAAGTCAACCTTCTTGTACTTCCAAAACTCAAACCTGACACCATCATCCAGGCCTTTACTCTCTCATGCTCCCTCTGCCATCTATTCAACCATCAAATACCAAATCAAGCATCACATTTTTCAAGGTTCAGTTCAAACCTCTTCTATGGCAGCTTTCTTATTCTCTTTCATGCCCAATTCCTACTCAATCAAACGAATCCTTATTCCTACTGAATATTTTGCAACTTCTATCAGTACCCATGGATACTACTGTATGTATTTGTTTCCCTGTGTTTATTGACTAAGCCATAAACTCCTAGTGCTCAGTATCAAGTCTTATCATGCACCTTTGTATCCCCAATCCAGAGCTAAGCGCCCTACTCCTAAAGAGCACTGAATAAGTATTTTAAAATATTTATAATTCTTTTGGTTATATAAGCAATACAAAAATGCACAAAGTAGAAAATAAAAGGCTGCTGTAAATCCACCCTTCAGAGATAACTATTGTTAACAGCATGCCGTACAATCTCCTAGACTTCTTCCTATGAATATATAATTCACACATATGGAAAATTCAATGGAACATTATTAAGTACAACTTTTCTTTTTACCTGAAAAAATTATATATATTATATAGCTTGTGTGTATATAAAAAGAGAGAACATATCCTATTTTTAAAAACTATATTTCTTTATACAAATATGTCATATTTTACTTGACCATTTTCCTATTAGTGGATATTCACACTCTTTCCAATTTTTCAATGGTAAAAAATATAACCACCATTGTGCATCTGTGCAAATATTCTTGTAGAAGTTGTTAGAAATTGATACATATTTAAAATGTTGATAGATATGTCCAATATTCTTCCAAAATGTACTAATTTTAATTAACCCTCTACCCCTAGTGTGTAAGACTGCATTTTTTCTGTCCAATACTAGGTATTATCAGTTGTACTAGTTGTTGCCAATCTGATAAATGAAAAATGGCATGTTATTAAAATGTGCATTTCTTGGGTTATTATGTTGATTGTCTTTGTATATGGTTGTCTAGGAAGTGGGAAGGGGTTATTTTAAGCAAAAAAGTAATTTTTTCAATAAAGTCAAAATAATATATTCTTACGCATATATTCTTATGCATTAATTAGAGATGAAAAGTCTGAACTTCGGTGTTTTTGTTTACTGGCTGAGCTAAAGATTACAGAAATATTGGAAATAAAAGAAAAACTGCCCACTGATAGCTGGAGAAATCTCAGATCAAGTTCAGGGAATAACAAAAGCTCTTTCAATCAAATTACATGTTACTAGAGAATGACTACTACTTGAATAGAGAGCATGACCTCTTGTGTAGGACTCTTTTACAGGAGGTAAAAAAAACAAAGCTCAGCTACTTTGGCCCAACTGTTAGAACTCATAAATTTGTACATATCAATCTGAATTTACTGAACACCTACCGCAGGCTTGGCAGACACTGAAGATGTAAGTGTTACTACGATCCAGGCCCTAACCTAGAGGAAGTTGCCTTTTTTGTGTTTGTTTTGAAAGGAAACTATTTGGGTAATATTATTTTACCATACATAAAAACTTCAATGAATTCTCCTTAAAAAATCAATAGTCTGTCTTCAATATTCAAGGGATAAAAAGCTAAACCTTGGCCATTTCCAAGAAATTGACAAAAATACTATTCTTATGGGAGAAAATAATGCCTTCAACCTTAACTACGTATATTCCTTGCTCTCAAACCAGTGAACACATATCCCTTCAAGTTACGTATTATATACATATATACATACATTTTTATAATTAATATACAGATGCTGAACTTACAATGAAGTTATGGTCCAATAAACCAACTGTAAGTTAAAAATACAGTAAGTTGAACATGCATTTAACACCCCAATAAACCCATTGTACAGCTGAAAAACTGTTAGTCAAACCATCATAAGTCAGGGATTGTCTGTGTACATTCCTCACTATACCATAATACCCCAAAAAACCACCCTTAGGCGTATCTTATTCAGACTGCAGAAAACCAAGAAGGAAGTGAAAATCTATAAAGAAGCCAGAAGGAAAAGAATATCCTACTTACAGAGGAACACGAGAGCAATTGACAGCAGAGTGCTCACCAGAAACCATGCAAGTAAGAGAAGCATGGAGTGCGATCTTCAGAGTGCTGAAAGAAAAGAACTTTTTCATTCAAACCAACAACATGTATTGATTGTCCATGCTATTATCTAGGATATAAAAAAAGATAGACTAAAACATGAATGCTGCTCTAAAGAAGCTCACAGATGGGCTATGAAAGAAACTGTAATGGGATGGCGTATTATGTGACATTAGCAGATATGAATACAATGTTACGGGAATCCAAAGGGATTAGGTCTGATGTGTGGGTAGAATGGTCACAGGAGGTGACATCTGAAGACTATAGAAGGTACAACTTTTTGGGGGTGCCACTACCCCCAAAAGACTTCAGTTTAAAAACAGAGGATTATAGCTGAAAGAGTTGCAATATATAGACAGTCTCCTCGGAGCAGTATCAGAAAAGCCCAAAGCCCAGAGGGGAGACAAAAACAAGTTCACAGGAGTAAACTGAAGCCTCTAATACCTCTAGCTACAACAAATCATAAACACAACACAGATCCTAGCAGGAAGAATAGTGTTATGTGCCCGTGTCTGTAAGGACAACACTGATTTAGCTATTTGGACAAAGATGCTAATATGTTAGGTTGTTTTGGTTACAAATTATACGAGTTTTTCCGCTTATAATCCCTGGGGACATCACCATATTGGCCTGAGATAATTTATTTAAAGTTTTGTAGGACACGCTTCAAATAATTTTTTTTTTTTTTGAGACGGAGTCTTGCTCTACCACCCAGGCTGGAGTGCAGTGGCAGGATCTCGGCTCACTGCAAGCTCCACCTCCTAGGCTCACGCCATTCTCCTGCCTCAGCCTCAGTAGTAGCTGGGACTACAGGCGCCTGCCACCACGCCTGGCTAATTTTTTTGTATTTTTAGTAGAGACGGGGTTTCACCATGTTAGCCAGGATGGTCTCGATCTCCTGACCTCGTGATACGCCCGCCTCGGCCTCCCAAAATGCTGGGATTACAGGTGTGAGCCACCGTGCCTGGCCTTTTTTTTTTTTTGAAATGTTAGGACTGGGTTAGGCTCTGGCAGTTTATAGTCTATGATTTGCCAATGGCTGGGACTTGGAAAACAATACCCCAAAATGAAGGCCTCAGAAGCAAAAGTTTCTCTGTGACCTCCTCCTGCCCTCCTGTCTTCTGGTCCCATTCTGCCCCTAGGCTAGCCATAGAAACTGAAATTTCTCTTCCCTACGGGAAGTCATTAAAACCAGAACCTTCTTCCCTACAGCCACCCAAAAAACCTATAACTCTAACTTCCCCTCTGCATTTCTGTGTAAAACTGACCATAAAGAAATTATCTTTAGTCAGTTTTACACAGAAATGCAGAGGGAAAGTTAGAGTTTAACATAGGACACAAGACCCCCATTCCAGAGAGAACCCTGCCCCACACCGAGAAGGAAGGAATGCATGATCAGAGAGGCCAAGAAGAATCCAGACAGCCAGGCCTTGCTGAGTTTCCCTACTCAACCTGTTAGCATTAGATCTTACCCTTTTTGTCCAGTTTTATTTTACTACAGCTGTCCATACTTTGTTGAACCTAAGCACAGAAATGGACAATTTCCCCTCTATCTTTGGGTCTTCATTTGGAAGGCTCCTGCTTGTTCACGATAAATAAACTTGGATGCTTTTTCTCCAATTTATCTGCTTTTGTGAATTGATTTTTCAGTGAACCTTCAGAGGAAAAAGGGGAAATGTCCCCTTTACCTCTGCATAACCATGGGAAGAATGTAAAGACGGAGGCTTTTTCTCTTGGAACAACAAATATTTGAATGTCTGTCTTTTTGCCTCTGCCTTTGATGATTAGATCCTTCTCAACAAGGACTTACTGAGTGATTAATGTGCTGAGTAGAATGCAAGGAGACTTAAGGTCCTTGCCTTAAAATAGCTCACCATCTAATGCATAAGACTCACAAGAATTCATACATACAGGGCATTCTGACTATACAGTCCCTGGCATAGATCTCCTAAAACCTGTGGCATTTCCTGAGTGATAGGAGTAGCTTTTAAAATTCATAACAAATCACTTTCAACCATACCAGAGTTTATGCTAACAAGATGACTCTTTTGGGTCCCTAGATAGCTTCAGAATAGGGGTTGGTTGCCAGAAGGACCAAGGCATGATTAGAGGGTTGGAACTTTCAGCTCCACCATTCTTCATTTCGGTAACTGTGGTTTTTATTTCTAACATCTTCTTTTGATTCTTTCTTAGAGTTTCAATCTCTCTGCTTATATTACCCATCTGTTCTTGCATGTTGTCTATTTTTTTCCATTAGAACCCTTAATGTATCAGAGTTCTTTTAAATTCCTTGTCTGATAATTCCAACATCTGTTTCAAAATCTGGGCTCGATCATTACTTTGTCTCTTCAGACTGTGTTTTTCTTGCCTTTTGGCATGCCTTGTAATTTTTCTTGCACATGGGACATGTTTACAGGAAGTGAAGTAAGCAGGCCTTTGGTGTGGCAATTTATTTTTCCATTACAATGAATATAATGAGGGCAGACGATAGCATTATCTTCTACAATAAAGCATATTATTCAACTTATCCATAATTATTTCCTATTCAAACATGTACCTTCTCCAGGTCTTTCATCTAAAATGTATATGTAGAGTCACTAGGCTAGAGTCTCAGGCTATTACTTGCAACATCACTTAAGCCACTATGAAATATGGACACACAACACCAGTCAAGGTTAGAAAGGGCATCAATTTACGTATATCATAAACTAGGTGCTTTTCTTGTAACCCAACATATGGATACTTCATGAGGACATTCTCTAAAATTATTTCACATAAGTAGATGAGGCTAGATTAATACTTTCAGGATACTATAAGTGAATTAAAATTCAGAAAAAAATTAAATTCTTCACTATTGATCATGACAGACTATTTCACAAAAAGGTAATAAACTTCCTACTTCCAACTTTAACAATTTTTTAAAGTTAATTTATGACAGAGAATCCCATACAGTTAAATTCTTATGACTTTTTTTTTTTTTTTTTTGAGACACAGTCTCGCTCTGTCGCCCAGGCTGGAGTGCAGTGGTGTGATCTTGGCTCTCTGCAACCTCCACCTCCTGGGTTCAAGCGATTCTCTTGCCTCAGCCTCCCAAGTAGCTGGGACTATAGGCACGTGCCACCACAGCCAGCTAATTTTTTGTATTTTTAGCAGAGACGGGGTTTCACCAGGTTAACCAGGATGGTCTCGATCTCCTGACCTCGTGATCCATGTGCCTCGGCCTCTCAAAGTGCTGGGATTACAGGTGTGAGCCACCATGCCTGGCCATTCTTATGACTTTCTAAGTCCTGTTGAAGAAACAGTAATTTCCCCATCTTTGCAAATTTGGTCAAAGTTAAGCAACAAGTCAGCACTGAAATGTTTTTAAATGTACAGATTCTTTTTTTTTTTCTAAGATGGAGTTTCACTCTTGTTGCCCAGGCTGGGCAGGTTCAAGTGATTCTCCTGCCTCAGCCTTCCAAGTAGCTGGTATTACAGGCGTGTGCCACCACGCCCAGCTAATTTTTGTATTTTTAGTGGAGACGGGGTTTCACCATGTTGGCCAGGTTGGTCTCAAACTCCTGACCTCAGGTGATCCACCCGCCTCGGCCTCTCAAAGTGCTGGGATTACAGATGTGAGCCACCGCGGCCGGCCTAATGTACAGATTCTTAAATGTAAAGGTCAAGGAATCAAAGATGTGAAGATGATCTGCTTCACTGACTTTCGGCAAAAGAATCTTAAACTGACAAAAGAAGCAAGAACAGCAAGATCAGAGAAAAGCTCTGGCCAGTTTCTTTCTAAATGACCTCTGAGCTGGAGGGGAGGAGACCAGTTGTTAAGCCTAAAAATAAAGGAAGCTGTAGACAGGAGTCCCACAGGTGCTCAAAGGAGCAAGTGATGAAACCTCTAATACCAAGGAGAGCAGAGCCTCTTCCTGTGAAATATCTTCTCTCCTAGCCTTTAGGGTAATTCTAAATCACCATTCTTTTGTCGTCATTATTGAAATGTGCTTTTAGGAAGAAGCATAACAAGTCCTCCAGGGAAAGTTTTCAGCTGTAATTTTATTAGGGAAACAAGTCAAATTATGGGTGTGCATGCATCCATTTTCAGAGAATTCTCTGGAACCTTCAGTGAGTCAAGCAGGACCTAAGGTACAAACCTAGCTACCGGGCAGGAAAAGATGAATCTGTTGTTCTTTTATTAGATTGAGTCATACAGTACATGTAACATAAGAAAATTCTTTTGCTGAGAAAAGCATAAGAATGTGGTTCAGTACCATCCACCAGACATGCCCACTGTAAGTACCTTTTGGATCACATCCTACTACACTGATACAGCAACCACTTAGCATGTCATCACTTTCCCTTCTTAAATCTCATGCTGGATGACTCCTGTTACTGGCCAAGGCCAGGCCAGTGTCACAACAACAAGACAAAACATCACATGAATTGACAGCAACACAATGGCAGCAGGAAATGATGTTCCCCAGGGAAAGACCTATTCATACTTGGTGAAAGTATGAAACTAGCTCAAGCAGCTCTCCCAGTTTAAGAAATTTAAGTAACTCATTCATTCATTAAACATTTATTGTGCCATACATAATATATAAAGCACTGTTTATGCTCTGGAGTAAAGGACTAGCAGAAAGAATACAAAGAGAGTTGAGGCCTGGTGCCTACCTCAAAGGAGTACACCAGACAAGTTGACATTAACAAGAGCGAATGTGAGTGATCGTGCAAATTGAAGAGGGAGATTGCCAAAAAAGAAGAAGGCAGCTGATCCTCAAATTCTAACTTGAAATACAGTGATAGGCCAAACAAAGGGAGCCACTGAATCTGCTGAAACTACAACTAAAACGGCTGAGTAGGATTTTCTCAGGCTACACATGCCAATCCCCTCACCTCACTATCCACCATTCCCAATATTTAGCAAAGTAACAATTTTGCTTCTTCCATGCGGGCCCAGTTCGATGGAATTCAAAGGGAAAAGAGCACTCAATCAACTTTCTCTAGACAACTTGCTGCACTGCTCAAGGGTCTATGTGAGAATTATACACATGGGGGAGGGAAGGGCAATACTAAGCATGGGTGTGTACTGGACCTTGTGGTTGACCACCTGAAATAAGTTTCAAGGGCAAAACTGACTGGATTAGGAGGAACAAAGAAACAGCACCTGAAACTAATATACCTCTCAGCTCCTGACAAAGTCATTTATTGTTTAAATAATTTGGTTCCAGTGGGAGTCCCACTTGAGGCAATCTGGTCAACTAGGGTTGTTAGCTCTTTGAGGGCAGAGTCCATGTTTCTTTCATTTCTATGTATCCCGATACCACCTAGCACAAGATAGGGACTAAAATAATTGAGGAAAAGAGGGAAAGAGGAAGAAAAATCAAGGGTCAGTTCACATTCCCTAGATTCTACACTCAGCTACTGGGGAGTGCGCAGCAAGAAGCATAGCTTTCTATAAGCAATTAAGGTGAGTGCAGTAACAAGCACACACACAGCCTGGGCCTAGGAGCATAAATATCCTCATCCATGAGCACTGACTCTGCCATTCGGATGGAAACAACCAGGTCCAGTAAACTGATGAAGACAGATCCCAGCTCTGAAACTGTTGTCTTTACTGCTCTCACTTACCACACAGTCACAGTATTAGTCAGGAAAGACTAGTCACTGCGGGAGCTGATCATAATCCCAAAAGACACAATCTCAGTGAAATCTCAAAATCCTGCAAATATAATTCTTAAAAAAAAATTTAAAGACTCATTAAAAGACATTTATTTACCTTTTTAAAAGGGGATTTATTTGAGAAACAAAGATATGACACAACACTTCCTAGGTCACTTAACACAATAAAATGGACAATAACAATATACATACTTTTGAAAGCAAAAACACTCAAGTATGCTAACAACAGTTGCATGGGTATAACAATTATGAGCAGACAAACCATATTCAAAATGAAATAATTCAAAAGGGGAACTATATAAATGCACATCACTATGGTTGGTCATTGTTTGCACCTGGCTTTATGACTGCAATCATCTGAAATACTGTGATGAACAACCTAAGTCTTCTGATGAGATTGATCAAAAACCACGATGGGTCACCACCACTTATGCAGTCATCCAAAGAGCTGAGATCAAGAAATTGTATCCTTCGCAAATGCAGATGTACAAAAAGAACATCTCTTTATTTGCTGAGAAAGTTGCAACATTTTCACGTGCACACAGAATGCTTACACACAAACTCAACATGGTGATACTACACTTTTGTGGAGTCAAATTTGCAAAAATTGCATAAAAGGGATTCGAACTCTCTAAAAGTCTCTATACAATTTATTACTCCAATATTGGAAGTGATGAAAAAATAAAATACATAGCATAGTGAACTGTAAAAAATAATTCTACAAATTTAAAATAGTAGGGAAAAAACTAAAAAAAAAAAAGCTAAATAACTGAAAAGAAAATTCAACATGTAAAAATGTATATTACAGGGAAAGATTTTGGACAATCGCACAGAGACAGCCCATAAGAGCTGGCCTAACATTAACATCCTGTGATTGTGATTTTCAGAACTTTAGACATGAGGGACTTTGGACTTTAGGGATTTTGATCTTTTGGGATTTTGATGTTCAGAACTTCAACATTCAGGATTATGACACTCAGGATTATGATCCAAACTCATCACTGTCAAAATATATCCCTGACTTCTCTATAATGGCTCAAACACCTCCGAACTTTGTTCTTGCTCCCATGACAGAGAACTGGTGAATGAGGTGTTCCTCTTCCTCACGCTGAACTAGGGATTCAAGCTGATGGGCTCAGCTGTTTTCACTGTGGTCACCCCTTTGCTGGAATTCAGGCACGTGGCTGTACCTAACTCCAAAGGAGGCTGGGAAATGCATTCTTGCTGTGGGCTCAGGAAGAGGAAAACATGGATTATGCTGAGAAGCCAATAGCTTCTGCCATGGTATTTTACAGCTCTTCCTCCCCCTTCCAAGCTTTCTCTTGCTCTGTTTCTAAGGCTGCATATGTATATGTGTGTGTATACATACATATATAAAAAAACTATGTTTCTATGTAGCAAACTTTTGGTCCCATATAGATGATAAACATGAGGAACCCTCACATAAACATGGTTGATGCTTTATTTGTGAAGGAAAGGGAAGAATCTGATATTAGGGCCCAGAAGACGCACCTCTGCTTCAAGCAAGGGAGATAAATTCTGCTGTGTCCACATTCCCATTAAGGCCTTTATCAAGATCTATCCAAAAAATATATTCACGAGGGGTTCACGTCCAAGCTGGCAAACACTAGTACAGCATAAAATTTCCCTGATAAGGGCAGCAAAATGCTAAGTATTTCCTTGAGGCCCTCAATGATTCCATGTACTGACCAAGGAACATCAATCACATCTTAGATTCAGCACTTCCATCACCAACTCTAGAAGCTGGCTTTCTTCTCAGAGCAATTTTTCACCAAAAAAAAAAAAGCATATTTTACTTCAAAGGCATTTAACATATTCAGCAATAGGTAGAAACAATTCCTCACTGAAATGTGGACACAGGGAAATGGCTAAACACACACTCCGACATTAGTTACCCCATACCAGCCTCCCAAAGCAGCTGACTCAAAATTATGCCTCGGCAAAAATGCGAAATCAGCATATGACATAGACTTTCATGGTCTATCTCAAATTAAATCACTGACATGCAAATGACCTGCTCTATGACTATACTGAACTATATGCCCCTTTGGGAAGATACATATGTGATTTATCTTGCTGTCCTCCACAATGCCTTGTATACCCCATCATTCAATAAACATTTGTTGAACGAATACAATTGTTGGAATTTCTATTCATCATTAGTAAGTTATCTGCATGTGTACACGTAAGGGCTGTCAGTCTTGAGGACAAACACTTAGCTGTATGACTCATTCTGTATAAAACCTTGCTAAGAGGCGTGGGGTAAATGCTTTCTGACGGTGACTGTGATAATGGTAGTAGTAACTATGACAGCACAGTCAGCCACAATATGTAAATGACTGTTCTATTTCATGCCTGTGGGTACAATCAGTCACCACAAGTAGTACAAGACCCCAGGTCCTGACATGGTTCCCTTACCCCTCAGCACAATTCCCATCCCCTTCCCTGTTTTAGTTTTCCCCGTAGCTCATATCACTGTCTGACATATTTAACTTCTGTGTGTGTCTGTCTCCCCCACCGGAAGCTCTGTGAGGTCAGGGAATTATGTCCATGTTGTCTGGTATCCAAATCAGTGCAGGGCACATTAGAAATGCTCAGTAAACATTAGTGGAAGGAATGGATGAAATCAATACAATTATTTGAATTATTTCCTCCAAATCTGAAGATTTTGGAATCACAGAAGAAATTATTCCTGCAAAGTTCCAGTATATTCACATTCTTTTGAACATCTCAAAAGGAGGTCTCACAGACAAGCCACTTTTTGTACTAAACACAAGGTTTCTAGAAACCTGTCATTGTTCTACCATCTTAAAGTCTCCAAATAAACTGAGAATGGACAATCTCCAGGACTGGACACGCTTCTGCTAAGTTTTCACCTAACAAAAACTACATCTGCAGGCCTGGCTCACTTTCACCTGGCTCCCACTCTACTACAGAGTCCTGCAGATGGCTCTGTCAGCTGGCACTGGCACTCATGGCATGAAGCCAGAAATGAGGATAGGAAATTCCTTTAATTCAGAAACAAATTTGCCTGAGTCCCACATGAACAAAATGTTAGCTGCCAGACCCAGCTCTACACATGGGAAGTAGCCACAATTCATTTTTAAAAATTTTTTTTAAGTTTTAAAAGTTTATCTTTTTGGCCAGGTATGGTGGCTCACACCTGTAATCCCAGCACTGTGGGAGATGAAGGTGGGAGGATCGCTTGAGTCCAAGAGTTCAAGACCAGCCTGGGCATCAGAGTGGGACTCCAACTCTACAAAAAATTAGCCAGGTGTGGTAGCATATGCCTGTGGTCCCAGCTGAAGTGGGAGGATTGCTTGAGCCCAAGAGGTCGAGGCTGTAGTGAGCCATGAGCACACCACTGCACTCCAGCCTGGGAGATAGAGGGAGACCTTGTCTCAAACAAAAAGAGTTCGTCTTTCCAAATGTACCTGATAAATTACTTTAGGTTGTTAAAGACTCACTGAATGTTATAATTAATTTGACAAGCTGTTGCTTGATAGAACTTTAAAATTCATGTTTTATTTAACTTGGTGTATGGAGAACAGCGTCTATTGGCAACAATAATTCCTCTTTATTCATTTTTCTGTTGACTCTCAAATAGCAATTACATAATGCTCCCAAAGTAATGGTAAAAGAGACTACCAGCTTGAGAATGTGTAACAAAAAAGACATTTTACACATCAAAAGGTTTTATACCTATAGAATATTTTACACATCAGAAGCTTTTAGAATAGCAAGCAGTAGCATCTAACAACTCACAGAAGAATGGCTAAGCTTTTAAATCCCAAAACGAAGAGTCACTCTAACATCTTCCACCAAGACTTTCTTCACAAATACTGTGGTCAAAAGGTTTAAGTTTTTTAGCAAATACTATCTCAGCCAGCCCACCAGCCAGCCAGTATATATTATGTGCTAACTCCACAGAGAGACATGGAGAATTCTGAGAGCAAGATATGACTTTTATCACAAGTTACTGGATTCATCAGCAAAATAAAAAGGATGGATGGGATGATAGCTAAGATCACTTCTAGTTAATTTGTTTTGTTTTCACTTCAGAATGGTCTCATTCAACTATCGAACTGTATTATAAGACGTCAAGTTAAGGACGTCTTAAAGCAATTAAAAAATGAAATTTCAAAACAGTTCAATAAATGGAGAATTCTTATCACTGGGTCCTAATATCTGATGTTCTAAAACCTAAACATACAGCTTTGAAGCTTCAAATATTATTTAATTTCCCAGGGACTCTTCTCTTAAGCTCATTTGCTGATTACTTGGGTTCCTTGTTTTTCCATTTTCCTACTTGCATCTCAAAATGAGGCATAAATTATACAAATTATACAAAACTATACAATAAGTAACCAAAATACATTTCCTTCCCAGACCCAAAGCCCAAAGTGTTAGCTTGCACAGTATCATGTAGCGTAATCAAATGCACAGAAAATCTCCTCCCTCAGTGAAACAGAAACCCAACAAGCCCAGTCCGACAAAGTGAGGAGCACGCCATCGCCACAACGTCACCTACTCTTTGAGAACTTACTCCGACTTGGTGCTGACCCTGCACTAAGAGATCCAGGTTTTCTAGTCCCACTGGTTTCTGTTACAGGGCATCAAAACACCCACATGTAGCCTCTTCATGCAAAACAACATCACACACACACAAACTGCATTTAGAACCAAGCCAAATACCACAAACATTATATGTTACCAAATTTTCAGCAATATGACTGCCACTGTATGGACTACAAATCATTCAAAGCCATTATTTACTTTTTCTAGAGTGAGTGGCACTCTCCAGGGAGAAATGCTAACAGGCTACCCCCAACTCTCCTCATCAGCCTAACTTCAGTTGTTTTTTCACTAAAACACCTAAAGATACCAAACACAACTGCTAACAACAGTGGCTCACTGAGCTCCCGGGCAAAGGAAAAGAGGTCTTCAGAGCTTCAAAAGCACACTTGGAGATTCGGACACACCCTCATTCCTCTTTGGGAATCACTGATATGAGAGATTCCAGCTCAACATGCATTCCTGGAATTCTGAGTTCTCACCATAGAAACTCTAGCCAAGGCAGTCCTCAGGAAGAGCTGTTAAGTTATGGCTCACTTTATGATGGTTATGCTCACTTTAGATTTGAAAAGAGATTTATGGACTAGCCCAAAGTAGCCTCTAATCAGACTCAGAGGAAGAACATGTTTCCACGTTAATAAAACTTCTTCTCCGGTAAACCTATTCAGGCAATTAAAATGCGTTCCAATTTCTACTTCCCAAGCCTTTACATTCTTTGCTCTTAGCAAGAGAATTCAATAAACAAAACCTGAATTTTAAATCTGAATTCCAATTGCCTGAGGCTATTTTATACTTAAATAAATAAATAAGTGGCATAAATTAACAAATGTTTTGTATTTAAAATATGTTTTTATAAGGCATTTACCTACCTTTAACGCAGCCTTTTAGTTGGGACTGCACTTCATGGAAAACTCCACACACAAAGCACCTTTCCTCCTAGTACTTCAAGGTCCTTATGAAGGAGCAGAACTTTCTAAACAGGAAACTAAAGCACAGAAAGGCGGAGCCTTAGTGACACTAGAACCCCAAATTCCTGGCATTCCCCAGCTGTAAGTTCCAGGCTCCCATCATCATATACTACATGCTTTGCATGTGGAGACGGGTCTGTTTGATGATTTTTTTTTTCTTTTCTTTGGGGGATAGGATTTGGTCAAAGTGACAAACATGAAAGAAAACAAAATTTTGACAAGACCAATGGTGGTGGTGTGGAGTTTCAAAGCCCATCCTATGAAAGAACCACCTTTCTACTTTACATACTGACTTTCTGTATTCTAAAACTACCTTCAACAAAGTCAATGAGATGACTTGCTGGAAAAGCCCATGAAAATGACAGTCTAAATATAGAAATCTAAATGCAACTAATTACTTAAATCAGATATTGAGACCGTTTCACAATGGCAGATTTAATGTTGAGAAAAATAACAAGCAAGGCTACAGTGCAAAATGAATTTGTCTATAACTACAAAAACTAGTTTAGTATTAAAGATCTACTTTCCAACAAAGAAATTTATATTCCATTAAGAACCCTGCAACCTTTGACATAGTCTTTGTTTCACTCCCCACCAGAACCACAAAGTAATTATGACACACCTGACATATTATGACACACAGGCTCTGATCCAAGCTTCCTACAAGATGACACTTTTCCAGATGGCACCTGAGGCTGTCAGGTACCGTCAAGTATTTCCTATGTTGGAAAAATACTCAAGGATATTACATAAGACTGCTCCTCTCCTGTATATGCACTAACTTCAGAAAGCCACTGCTAACTGTTTTGGAAACACACTTCCTTTTCTCATGATAGAAACTCTTTCATACCTGGGAAATAAGAGCTAATGTTGTTCATTAGCCAAGAGAAGCTAAGGTTATTGGGCATTGTGACAAAATGGCACGTTACTGGGTTCAGTCCAAGAGAATGAGACAAAATAATGTTTTCCCTGAGCCCCAGAGACTACAAAATCCAGTTATATTTTAAGTAGCCATTTTTAGAGATTTATATACTGTTCAGTGATAAAAATAAATGAGAGTCCCAGGCTTAAGGCACCATTATTCAGCTTTTAAAATTGCAGCATGTTTTCTTGCAGGATTTGGTTCAGCCAACTACAGGATGAAAAAAAAGTATTTCTAAGCTACATAGGTGAGCAATAGATTGGATCCTGGGTTCACAAATTAGTGGAAAACATATGAGCCATTAACGAATTCCACAGGCAAGGCAGGCTCTTCTCTGGATGACTGAGATCTTCAAAAGTCAATACTCTAAAAAACTATTACTACATTTTGAATTTCCTACTGTGACCAGAAAAGCAACATATTCGGAGTACTGGCTGTTTTTTGTTTTTGTTTGTGAGACAGGATCTCGTTCTGTCACCCAGGTGCAGTACAACGGGACAAAAACAGCTCACTGCAGTCTCAGATTTGACTAGAGTCAAATTCTAGTTTTGCCACTTATTAGCTGTGAGACTTGAAGCAGATCACTCAGGCATACACAAAAATGGAGTTAAAAAAAATGGAGCTAATTTATAAGGCCACAAGTGATTATATGTATGTAGCATGAAACATAAAAGATGAGCCTAGAATAGTAGTTCTCAAGTTTGTTGGTCTTAGGACGCCTTTACACTCTTAGAAATTATTCAAGACTTCAAAGAGCTTACCTTAAAAAATTCTAGAAAACATAAGAACATGCATGCACACAGTCAGGCATGTTGGCTCACATGTGTAATCCCAGCACTTTGGGAGGCCGAGGTGGGGGTACTCGAGGCCAGGAGTTTGAGACCAGCCTGGCCAATATGGCAAAGCCCCATCTCTACTAGTGCCAGTAGTCCCAGCTATCTGGGAGTCTGAGGCAGAGGAATCACAATCACTTGAACCCAGGAGGTGGAGGTTGCAGTGAGCTGAGATTGCACCACTGCACTGCAGCCTGGGCAACAAAGCAAGGCTCTGTCTCAAAAACAAAAAAACAAACAAACAAACAAAAAAACATACATTCCAATAGTCAATATATGGTTTCTAGAAAACTTCACTATATACAGGTAAGAGAATAAGAATAAAACAGGTAAATTATGTCTTATTATTATGAAAATTGTTTTGACCTTATGGACTCACTAATAGGGTCTTGAGAACCCCTAGGCATCCTCAGACTACACTTTGAGAACCATTGGCCTAGCATACAAAAAGCAGGGAAACTCAAAGACTATTAAGGTTATATATCAAAAGGATTCAGGAGACCACACAAAGGGATTCCCATCGGCCAAAGATGAGACAATTTTAGTTTCAATAAGAATAAAGGAAATGGCCTGGAAGGTGGCTTATGCCTGTAATCCCAGCACTTTGGGAGGCTGAGGTGGGAGGATTGCTTGAACCCAGTAGTCTGAGGCTGCAGTGAGCTACGATAGTTGCACGGCACTCCAGCCTACATGACAGAGAAAGACCCCACCTCTTAACAACAACAACAAAGAATCAATGTAATGGTTTGAAACATCAAATATTTTAAATTAATGAATTCTTGATGAGCCACCAATTTCTCTTTTTCTCTTTCCCCAGCTCCCCAAATTGGTTATCTCTGGATGCTAGGGAGCCAAATATTTTGAAAACTGGTAGATAAATGGAAAGAATCGAACATTTTTCTTGCCTTTTCTATACAACTGTACCTCAGGATAGCCAAACAGATGATTGGATTGGCTAGATTATTCTTCATAGAAGTAGTCTAGCTAATAAATGGAGAAATGATTGACATGAAATAACATTTTAAAACTCCTAATGAATTGATGGATTTAGACAGCAAAATCACCATTGGCTATCAACATCTCTCTTTCACACACACACACACACACACACACACACACACACACCCCTAAAGGTAAGTGTCTTCTCATGGGAATACATAACACTGCTCATATAGTACTTTTGACAAAAAATTGAAACAGAATTCAATCTAGCCTCTAAATGTAACTACCAGTTCACAAGAAATACAGAGGCTAGAGGAATATGTTAAACAGAGGAACATTTAACATTTAACTCCATGAGATGGAATCAGCAAAATCCAGCCAGTGGGAAAAATTTACAGAATAAATGATCCCATTTGACAAAAAAAAAAAAAAATAGATCACAAGGAAAAGATAGTGAAGGGTGAATCCACAGATTAAAAGGGACTGAAGAGGCATGTCAATCAACTGCAATGTGTAGACCTTATGTGGATACTGTTACAAACTAAAGAGAAAAATAATGAGAAAAACAAACAAATGTGAACACTGACTAAATAGCCCATATTTGATTGTTAGAGAATTTTTTTAGTGTAATAATGGCATTAATAGTATTAAAAAAGAGTCCTTATCTTTTAGAGATGTGTACCCAAATATTTACTAATAAAATAATAGGATGTCACGGATTTGTTTCAACATAATCCCTGGTAGAGAGAGGAGGCTAAGATCTAGATGAAACAAGATTGGCCATAAATTAACCATTGTTGAAGCTGAGAGAGAGGCACATAGGGTCTGCTATTATATTCTCTTGTACTCCTGTGTACGTTTGAAATTTTCTGTACCAAAAAGTTAAAAATATGGCTGGGTGTGGTGGCTCACGCCTGTAATCCCAGCACTTTGAGAGGCCGAGGCAGGTGGATCACTTGAGGCCAGGAGTTCAAAACCAGCCTGGCCAACATGGTGTAACCCCTTCTCTACCAAAAATACAAAAATCAGCTGGGCTCAGGAGACTGAGGCAGGAGAGTCGCTTGAACCTGGGAGGCACAGGTTGCAATGAGCCAAGATCGTACTGCTGCATTCCAGCCTGGGCGACAGAGGGAGACCCTGTCTCTAAATAAATAAATAAAATAAAATAAAAATTAAAAGCAGCCATGAAAATGTCTACTTGTCTTCTCTTGACTTCTCCACCTATACTGTGAGATGCTGAGAGGCAAGCCTTGCACACTCAGCTACCGTGCAAGGCACAGAGTCCGTGTCCACAGAACACTTGATAAACTAGGCTATCAGCCAAAGATTTGCAAAGGTGAACTGTGACAGGGTATGTTCTGCAAAGAAGTTCTGAGTCAGCTGTCTCTGAACCGTAGACATCTCTCCAACAAAGCAGAGAACAAAACTGTATTTATAGTATGATAACCAAGAAAGATAAACAAAAACTCTACACAGAAAACTGTTTAAAAAGCTTTTCACATAAAAAGAAAATACATGAAAACAGTACTTTTTTTTCTCTTGGATATAGGGAATATGAGAATTTGATTTTCTTTGCTTCTATTTCTCTCAATCTCCCAAATTTTCTGTAATTACCATATTATTTTAAATGTTGGAGAATACCATAACTTTTTTACTTTTAAATCACTTATATCAAAGCTCTATTGATGGCTGCTTTTACATAATATTTCATTGGTTATATTTCTATGAGCCTTTTGACTTAGATAAACGAACAGTATTATAATGAAGAAAATACTGAAAACTATCATTGAGGGATTTTAAAATTGAATTCTAAAAGCAGTATGAGAACACCCTTATTTACATTGGGGAAGGGAAAGATAACCATTATCTTTTTCTCTACAAAATAAAAGAGAACTGCTTTAAAAAAAAATCACATTTGAACAACCTGGATCAAGGGGATTTCTCTGGTTCTTCTAAAACCTCAGTTTCAGTGCAGGAAGCTGGAGACAGAGATATCTGGGACCTAATGAAGGGGCCTCTTGTGCACTCCTCTATACCCCCTGTTCCAGACACATACCCTGCCCACCCAACCCACAGTCTCCACCCCTTCCATTAGCCCCAGGGAGGCAGAAAATAAAGGAGTTTAATTTAATGTCAAGATTCCACACCTGGCAAGACAATATTCTCCAAGGGAAAGTTCATCCCACAAAAAGAAATGGATTTATTATTTTTTAGAAAAAAAAAATCCTTTTGATAAAGATTCTTAAAGAACTAGGCAACAGTCAGAATCCCGGAGCAAGTTTCAATTATTTCACTTAGAAAATAACTGAAAGAATATGTGCACCAATGACTATTAATAATTGAACATGAAAAAAGAAAAATGTTAGAAATTTGGTGTGGATAATTGTTATGTTTTCCACACGGGTCTAATTAAAGTTGATTTAGACTGCATAGTGCCTTTTTTTGTAACCCTGTTATTAAATTAACAAACAACAACAAGGAAAAAAAAAAAAAAGCTCAAACTGCTACTTCTCCTGTGCTTTACACATATTCTGGGAGGCTGAACTCAAAGTGAGGAAAAAAGTCAAACAACTCAACATATGGCAGTGTCACCTTGTAGCTAAGAGTGTGAACTTTGAACCAACTGCCAAGGTTAAAATTGCTGATCTGCCATTGACTAGCTGTGTGACCTTGGAGACACTGTGCAGCTTCTCTTGCATTATGGGTTCCTCAACTAAAAAATAAAGTTATGAGTGGAAGTGTCAGAGGGCTGTTGTAATAGTTGAGATGAGAAATGAAAAATGCTTAGGTGAGTGCCTAACACCATGCACGCTCAATAAATGCTACCTACTATTCTTATTATAACCTATTATACTTTTTTCCTACTTTCCCCTTTTATTCTTCTTTTTCACCCAAGGAAAAAAAGATTTTTACAAACTTCTATTTGTTTAGCCTCATCAGTAAATACTGTTATCTATTTTAAAGATTGACTCTATTTTCCCCAGGGTAGAAATTAATTTTTTCTTTAAAAAAAAATTAAAATGGAGTTAGCTTCCTCTTTACTTTGTGCTAATCAGAAATGGTACCAGAGCCCTAATTCCTTGAACCTAGAAAGAATCACAGTTACTGAGGTCCTAGGCAATCCTCAGAGAGTGAGTATTTCCTGGCCTTCCCCACCCAAATCCTTTGTAGTGGGGATCTATTTTCCAGTTTTACTAAATCCCTCATAGCTCTTTTCAAGTGTAAAGGAATTCTGAAAATCCACGCCAAAAAGATCGTAAGAAATTCACATTCTAGAGAAAGAAATCCAAGTCTTAAAATGCCTACATGTCACATACAACTTTTACGCAAAAGAACATGCTTGATGTGTTTTTACTATCAGGGAGACTCCTGGTTTGTGAACTTACTAAATAGGATGTGAAAAGGATTGCTGGAATCATAAAATTAAGCTAGGAAAGCATAAAACTTTAAAAAAATAAACAATATATTCCAGGCTACAAGGAAGCATGTAGAAAAGGAGATGGCATGGCTTCACACAATACTTCGGGCTCTAATTACATGTGTATTTGGTATGAGAACTAAAAGGAAAATTATAAGGCTTGCATTGAAGAAAAGAAGTTGGCAGATAGAGGAAATAGGAGAAATTGGAGGTAAGTGCCGTCCAGCTGTATAGTACATAGTGCGGAGTATGCAGTTAAACGCTTCTTAGAAATTACTACAAATAGTCCAGTAATGGCAGAATCAGTAACCTGGTCAACTAGATGCCAGGTATAAAGTAGTATCTCTAATTTTACATATTTGCACTTAAGCACAAGCGTGTGTAATAAGAATTTTTTATTCACCAGAATTCTTGGAAAATAAACAGAATGTATTTGTGCTAGTTGGTAGGGTATAAAAGGAAGGACTTCTCACTCCTCTACGGCCGCCCCTATGTGGGTAGAACTTTGATTAATGTTCAAGGGAGAAAGAATATGAAATAGGGATAGAATTGGCAGAGCTGGTGAAAGACCACCCATGTCATACTGTGACTCTTCAAGTGTTCACTAAAGCCTATCTGATGGGACTAGATTTCCTATGGAAACTGGTATGAGGGAAATGCTGTATTCAGAATCTCCATGAGAGATGCAGAAACAGCTTTTTAGGAAGCAGAAACTCAGAGGCAGAGGAAGTATAAGTCACTAGAAGGCTTTGGGTTGATCCAAAGGGCAGGGAATACCAGTTGATACTTGGTTACCAAGATAAAAGCTTGACAGTATAAGGTAAGGATGCAATGTATTCAAAGATCAGAGACTCCAGGGGAACCTACAAGTTGTGGTCATTTGATTAAGGGTGGCCTTGGGCCACAATACATCTCAATGACTTACTTGGCTCTAAGTAATCCCTGGGGAACATTAAAGAGCAGGAGTGCTTTCAAGAGAGTTTTCTTCCAACTCTCAGAACAAACATGGGAGGAAGATAGCATCTGGAGCCCTGAGGACTTACTGGACCCTGTGGTTTCCCCAGGCCTTGGTTCACAGTGGGCAAGGTAGCACAGTGGTTGCGAGCTCCAACTGTGAGGCTCAATTGCCTCACCCGTTGAGTGTGAATCTCTGCTTGCTATCCAGTAGCTCAAATTCAGTAGTTGTTCTGTTTGCTCAGGCTTCTATCCTGAATTTTCTCTTTCCAAATGCTCTTGGTCGTGGATCACCCATAGGTCTTCTCCTCAAGTAAGCAATCACAAGACTTCTCTATAACACACCATACACTGCCCCCCTGCTCAGCACATCCAGAAAACACATTCTTAACCTGATCTTTGTATGTCTTCCTTTCTGTTCTATCACCATTGTGTTGTACTGCTTTTTTATCTTCCCATTCTTCCTCCAGTGTGCATAAATAGGACTTCCGGAGATTCTTAATACATCTCCAATGCCAGCCATTGCCCGTGGCTTCTGACTTGCCTGCAACTGACTCCTAACACAGCTAAATACTAGCGTGGGTGCCTACCCCAGGCCTAGGCAGCAATGCACTAGACCCCCCTAGTTCCCACAGAGTGATCTTTAATAATGGTAAACTAGAGTTATCCCTAAGACCCTAAACCCTCCCGGTTTTACAAAGTACCAACCCAGAATTTACTAAAAATACCAGAGGTAGAAGCCAACCATCTGAGAGGGGTAATATAATAAAATATCAGGGGGCCCCAAACCTCTATATTCTATGCCATTCTTTGGCATTGCCACCCAGGGTTAGGGCACTCTCCTGACACTCTATCTCTTTCTCCCCATCTTTCCACACTCCTTCCTCAAGGGTGATTTTCAGAGTCATGAATGTTGGCATAGCAGGAAAAACCTGGTTCAGGAATCCACAGAGCTGTGTCCTGGTCTCAATCTGCCAATATACACAATATGGCCTAGGGACAGTCACCAACCTCTCTAGACCATTGCTTCCTTCTATGTCACACTGTAGATGCTGAAGTCTGTTTCTAGCCTTGACCTGCCTATGCAATAAGTTCTTAGTTTATAAAATTCTTCAATGTAGGATCTTTCTGATCAACCACCCAGGCCCAATAAGAATAGCTACCACCAACTAAGAACACACCATGGGCCAGACATTATTCTTGGCAGTTTACAATCTCAACTGACAATTGCTAGAGGATCTTAAGGAGGCTAGGGCTCCTTGGCTGCAATTTAACTCAATTCCTTTCTGCTCTGTTGAGCCCAAGAAGCAATACTCGGTAGGCTTCTACCTCATCTTCCACACTTTTTACTATGCCTAGTGAAGATGTACACAAAAGTATGGGAGAATAAGAAGCCACAGAAGGCTTATGTCCAGAATGAACTAATCATTTGTCCATAGAAACATGCTGAGAACAAAGCAGGTAATTCAGTTATAATGCTTATCAGAAACTTTATGTTCTTACTAGAGACAATTGAAGCAATCCTTAAAGGCCTGAAGCTCAAGGTAGGAGAATCCAAGTCTCAGGACTCTCTAATATCTGGGGGTCTAAAGGAACTTGTGGATTGTTAAGCCTTGAGTTGTACAGAGAAGTGATTCTTTCCTTGGGAATAGTTTGAGAAAAAAAAATCCAAGATTTTTCACAACCTTAAGAATCTATCAAAGAGCTAACTTAGTAAATTACATAGACAAACAATAAACACAAAAGAGTCAAAGAAAAGGACAATCTATATCATGTTGGACTTATTCATTCCTCCTTTTGCCTTTACTTTTCCCTATCCTAACATAAGGAAATAGATTTAAAGAAAACAGAGTGAATTGCCTGGTTGGCAGCAAAACTGCTGTAAGCTATAAGACATTTCATTCCACAGCAGATATCTTGAGTGCTGAGGGACTTCTGCCATCTTTGCTCATCATCCTCAGCAGGAAACCTGGACACTCTTGCCCCATGCTTTATTTACCTAATCTTTCCAGAATCAGTAACAAATAGAGCTGTATCTGAAAACTGCATGACCAAATTCTTTTTTAGATTATAGATTTCTGCATATTGACTAGGCAGTAAGGATTTTTATCACAACCGTCAGATGTTTTGAGATGATCAAGTTTAGTATCTTATTATAAAATACAAGTTTCGTGGGTTTTTTTTTTTTTTTTTGGTGAGTCTTTCAAACTCCTTTCCCTCTCAAGTATAAAAAATGCTGGTTCTGTCCAACGATTTGCCATTCACAGAAGTAATTTTTGAGCTCTAAGATTACTGCATATAAACTATAGACTGATGGGCCTGCTTGGTTTCAGTTACTGCCAAAGCCTGATATACATTACACATGACAACAGATGTCTCCAACACAGCTTCCTACTTACTCTCCAAAGCTCATCACAGTGACAGCCACAAGGGATTCAGTTAAACTTGGCCTGTTCTTGAAGGTTTTGATTGCACTGCCAGTCACCTTCAGAGGCAATATGACCATGTGAGGCAAAAAGGAGAACCAAATTATCCCAGCAACTAAAAATTCTAGGAACTCAAGATGTTTAAATGACTTACATTTTCTCTAGTAACATAAAGTGATTAAAGATACATTTTTTTCTGATAAAATATCACTCCTAGTATATATTTTGAAAACAAAGAGGTGAACCCAAATATACTCCTCCAGCTGAATTTCCAATGAAATCAAAGGTAAGGAGGTTTAGAGGAAATAGAAAATCTGTTCTTAACAAATAACCAATCCAATTAAATCATTCGAACCCTGACCAAATTCTGCCTCTCCTCCCCTAATCCTGCAATCACATAGACAACCTCAATACCCAACCCTATCGAAACTCTGGTTTCTGTTTTCTGAAATGTCTCTGAATGTCCTCACATTCAACGACATTCTCTTCCACTCCACCTGAGACACCTACCACCCATCAAATGGTCTACCCTTTGACTACAATATCCTCAGCTTCAGCTTCCTTATTAAAATCCTTCACTGTGATCAACCATTTGGGCCTCATCAGAAGTGTCACTGCACATCCCTTCTCACTCAGCTTCCTTTCTAATGGTCGTGGTTTTGATAACACGCTTTCCATAGCACTGCTGCAAAATGCCCTAACTTGCCTTGCTCAACCTCCCTTTGTCTTTCCCCTTCCGCCCAACCCCAGTCTTAGATGATGCCTACTGTATCTCTGTCTGTGTCTACAACTGTGCACCTGGACACTGGAGAAAGCCATACGCAGGCAGATTCGTGAGTACCAACTGCAAATGCATTCTCAGCCAGGCTGGGCAACCCTACCACATTTCTCTTACCAAATCATTCTCACCATTCTCTCACTCTCCTCAATGACTAGTTCACTCTTAAACCTCCACCTAACACTTCTGACATCCACACCACCACCACCCCCATTCCCAAATAGTCATTCTCAGGTGGAGGCCATCTCATCCAGCAACTTCCCACCATCAGACTAATTTACAATTGTAGCAGCCTTCAGCTTCTTCCCTCCTGTTGCATCTTGTTCTCTCCTTTCATCTTAGGCCAACCACTCCATTTGGGCTTCAGATTCCACTCCATCCTACCTTTTCAGGCTCACATGATCAATTCTCCCTTTCCTCTCCTGTTTATGCAATCAATTTCTCCCTTTCAACTAGATTCTTCCCATCATCACTTCAGCATACTCAAGTCCTGCCTTTAAAGCACTCCAACTCTGCCTCACATGACTCTAGTTACTGCCTTATTTATCAGTTTCCCGTTACAGGAAAAATAGAAGAATAGGGTGTCTTCATTTTTTTTCACCTCCTATTCATTTTTCAACCCACAGCAATCTGGCTTGGCCCCATCACTCACTATAACACCTCCAGTTCAAGTCAATGACCACTTTGTTGCCAAATTCAAACCAGTTGACATCTTGATGGTATTGGCAATGTTGACCAATTTCTCCCTGAAAACTCCTTACCTTGTCCTCCATGACCGATGCTTTCCTTTCTACTGCCATGGCTCCCTTCTCCTTACAGACTTGTCCTCTTCTACCTATTATTTAGGGTTTAAGCTTCTCAAAGCTTGAACCTAGGCCCCCTTTCTCTTTTCATTCTATACAAGGGGTCAAAGGCCTTGCTACCCATAGGGGAAAGCAACTAATACAATTAAGTGAAGCAAATCAACTTTCATTTCCCTCTCAACGCTATTATACAACTTAAAACACAGTAGAATGAGCAAGATAACTGTCAACAGATCCTAGGCATCAAGGGAAGATGACAATAGGGAGTGGTATAGGCCTATAATAAAGCCCATGCTCCAACTAGAACAAGTTACTCAGCTCAAGACAAAAATCCTGATTTCTATGTGAAAACTCACAATTTTAAAAGTCTTGGCAACTGTGTCAATTAAAATTCTTTCTGGTACAAGTAAAAGAAATCTTGGTTCAAAATGAGTTACACCAAAAGGAGAATGTATTGGCTAATTTAACTAAAAGCCTAGAAGTACATAGTGGCCCAGGGTTAATCGATATGATTAGGGCCAGTTTCTTTAACTGGATTCCACTTCTTTGTTGTCTCCACTCTCAGATAAGCTCTACCCTAGGGTAGCAAGGCAGTTCCTAGACCTCCAGGCCACATCCTGCCAAGTTTAAGCAGAAAACAAGAAACTCTCTCTTCCTAGAGTTCCCCCATAGGCTCAGAATTCCCTGTGATTGGGCCAACTTGAATCAGAAGTCCATTCTTGAACCAACCATTACGGCCAGGTAAGTTGGGGAATGATTGGCTCACCCTGGGTCACACACTTCATCTAGGGTCAGAGGTAGAACTTGATCTATAACACAAAGTCTGAGATTGGAGGACAGAGAATTTCTCAAAAGGAAATTAAGGTGCTGCTACCAAAAAAGAAAATCGATACTGGGCAGCCAAAAAACCATAAACATATGCTACAGCAACTCATTCAAATATTTTAAAAACATTACACAGGCCAAATAAAACAGGTTTGCTGGCTGATGGTTTCTTGTCAATCTCTAGTTCCAATCCTCCTTTCTCTACTTGTTTCCTAGGTGATCTCATCCAAGACTGAGTCTTCACCTACCATCTCTATACTGAAAATGCCACATTTTTATCTGACTCACAAATTCAACTGCCTACTCAACATCACCACTTGGATGCCTCAAACTCATCTCCAATTCAATTTGTCCAAAATGAAATTCATGATGTTCCTACACCTCACCCCTCTCCTACCCAAAGCTGGCCTTCCTCAGAGTTCTTATTGCAAGGGAAGATGGGGTAAGGGGATACTTGTTACTTTAGCATTAGCAGCCATAAAACATGGTCCTAACCTGAATGTTGGTACTACAAGTCTCCAAAAAGCATTTTAAAATCTTCAACAAGGACACTGAAAACTCTTAGCAGAATTCCAAGGATGCAAATGACTACTTCACTTATAAACAAGCGGGGATCATTAAGATATGCTCTTCTAACGTCTTTAATTATTAACTATGGTTTGAACTTGGTAGAATTTTATCCTATTAGGTGTAATATCAAATGGGAGTCTACTTTACTATAAATGTATCATGATTCCACAGAAAGTTTTTTGGAATAGGACAAACACGACTGAGATATTGTTTGAAAAAAAAAAAGCCCGTCAGAAAGTCAACTGTATGACTATTGAAATTCTTTTTGTTTTCAAATATTTTTTACAAATTTGATATCTTGATTCATCTAAATTTGCAGTTGCCATTTTCCATCTCTTCCCAATTTATTTTTAAGACACATATAAATAAAGTTTCATCATAACAAATAACAAAAGGGGGAGAGGCTGTCAAGGGACATCCAAAGGTGCTTTTGTGGCTGGGCGGTGGCTCATGCCTGCAATCCCAACAGTATGGAAGGCTGAGGTGAGAGGATTACTTGAGGCCAGGAGTTTGAGACTAGCCTGGGCAACATAGCAAGACCCCGTTTCTTAAAAGAAAAAAAAATTATAAATAAGCCAGGTATGGTGGCTACTCAGGAGGCTGAGGTGGGACAATCACTTGAGCCAAGAAGATGGAGGTAACCTATGATCATACCACTGTATTCCAGCCTGGGCAATGGAAGAAGACTGGAATGCAATGGAATGCAACAAAAAACAAAGGTGCTTTTGCTTCTCTGTTTCTTAGTACAGCCATAGTCTTTTAGCAAACATATTATCTGATTTGATCCTGACAACCTGGGAGGTCGATAGGGCACATATTTGGCAATATAAGAAATCACTGATTATAAGATGCATGATTATTTTATGTACCACTATACTAGGAGGAAAAAACACCACAAAACCATAACAAACAATGTACTATAAAACACATCTTGGCCGGGCGTGGTGGCTCACACCTGTAATCCCAGCACTTTGGGAGGCCGAGGTGGGCAGATCACAAGGTCAGGAGATCGAGACCATCCTGGCTAACACGGTGAAACCCCGTCTCTACTAAAAATGCAAAAAATTAGCCGGGCATGGTGGCACACGCCTGTAGTCCCAGCTACTCAGGATGCTGAGGCAGAAGAATTGCTTTAACCTGAGAGGCGGAGGTTGCAGTGAGCCGAGATTGTGCCATTGCACTCCAGCCTGGGTGACAGAGTGAGACTCTGACTCAAAAAAAAAAAAAATTTTGTTTTCAGTTATGTTAAAATGTAAAATAAACAAAAATGTCTTAGAATCTGTGAAAAACTATCAGAAGCCTCACTTCACAGATAAGGAACCAGAGGCTCAGAGGTTATCCAAAGTTAAAGGTAGTAAGTTCAAGAACGAACTTGATCCTGTGGGATCAGTTTCCTAATTTGTTTTTCCACCAGTCCAGCTCCTGGGACTGAATGATCTCTAGTTACTTCTGGGGCCCCAAAAGCTTTTCTGATACAAAGTTAGTAAAGGACAATCAACAACAAATCATTTCAATAAATGCTTTTAAATTGACATGGATTCTAATACTGAGAATAATTTAGAACTTGACTTTTCTCCAACTCCTAGACAGCCTAGCAATACTGCTAGCATAAATAGCAACAGATGCCAGGTGTGTTAAAATAATAATAATAAAAAAAGATTACATCTTTAATTTCACTGCTAATTCAGTAGAGGGCAGGTTGGGACAAAAACTTACAGTTGACTATTAATTTTAAGTGTGATTCACAAGATGACTTTCACTTATGAAGCATTATTATAGGCCTTTGGTCAACTAAAACTTTCTTCTGTAATAAATGATGTCCATTTAATGATTTTTTTTGTTGTTGTTTCTATGTTTCAAAAATACCCACATGGAAAGGTGCCATATTATACCTAATTATTGCACAAACTAATGCAAAGTAAATGTGTAAGCCTAACAGTTCTAATCAGCCTGTGCAGAAGGCCTTTTGATTTCAACATCCAACATTCATTAAAAAGAAAATGTGTTACAAAAAGCCAAGAAATTTTGGTGTGTGGGATTTGAATAAGACAGATAGGCTTAACTCATGAGAAGGCTTTTTTTTTTAATTTAAATCTAATTATTTTACATTTTGTATTTCCCACAACACTTAGAGCAGAGTTTTAAACAAAGAAGCTGGATAATAAGTGCACATAATGAGATATATATTAGGGAAAATGACATTTTGCTAAATGTTCCTTCTTCCTATCCCTATGCTGGTTCTGGAGGAGAAAGTCTGGCAGATTCTTGGTGGTGTCTGCCCTAAGGCTGCCTTTGTGTCAAAGGCACATCAAATGGAATACTGGAAGTCCTCAGGGAGCTGACAGTCTAATCAATGGGCAAACACAGAAGATATGCAGGTTGCAGATTATCTTTAAGTGTTCTTATAACTGAGCAACATACTAAAATGTTTTAACATCATGTCCAAACAGTGTAAGATGTAGAATTAAGAGACCTGATGCAGCCAGTGTTGCTAGATATGACTTTGGGCAAGTCAATTTTCTGAGCCTGTTTCCTTACTCATTGCCACCGCATCCCTCAGGGCTACTGCAAAAGAAATGAAGGCAAAAGAAAATCTTTTGCAAATCTGAAAGCACTACACACTGTTAAGTATCACGAGGGACACTCATAAAAATGTCCTGTTTCTCAGAATACAGCAGTGACCACCTTTTGGAGTCCCTTAAAATGAAGTCAGAGGATTCTTTCTAAACTCTAAATTCAATCATTCCATTTCCAGGCTTCAAGATTCCTTACTCCCAAAGGATAAACACTCAACTGTTTAGCTTGGTAAATAAGGTCCTGCAAAAATTGGCTCCCCAACTGCCCTTTCCATAGCTTTACTCTTCAAAGACCACAGCAAATACACAGCTGCTCCCTGATCACATTGTCTTCCGTGTATCTTTGCCTTTACATTGACTTTACATTGTTGGTGGAGTTCCTGGCTATGATTATCCTGCCAAACTTAGGACTCCACCAACTGCTATTATAGCACCTTGCACATTATAATGGAGCACTGAACTTCTGTAGGAGAAAGAGGATAAATGTCTTATTCTTATCAGTAGCCCCCATCCTTAGTATAAAGCCCAACCTACAGCAGTCAGTAAATGTTCCCTGAGTGACAGGCAAGGGAGATACTTACTTGCATACCTCAAAAAGACGGTGCCAAAAAGAGAATCTCAAGGGAAGGTTGTCAACTGAAAAAAAAGCTTAGAGACCTAAATAAAAATACTACAGGCCCACATCTCTTATCCAAATCCCCTAAAGCCAGGTGTGCTTTGGAATTCAGCATTCTTGACTTTTTAGAAAGGTAATATGGTACGTACACCTTATGCTCCAAGTAGGATCTAGGTCAGCACCCCATAATCAAACACGGTAATACTGCTGCAGCAAAACTTACAAATGATCCCACTAAATTAGATACATGAAGAACATAAATAGACTCACATTTGTTCAAGTCCGATCTTACCACCAAGTGAGTTAGAAAAGCTTTCAGGGCCTTTAAGATTTTGGAATTAGAGAGAGGATGGTGGCTCCATACCACCTTATTTGCATACATAACTTTTTCACATCCCTTTTCTTGTTTGCTCAGAAATTCAGTATGGCAGGACTGACCCATATTTAGGCAACAAATTAAAAGTGGACACACACCCAAACAGCAGCAGACAGGTAATAAAGTATTCTGAGAAAAAGAGGTTCAGAGGCACATAAAAATGGCCATCATCACTAGCAACTGTTACAGCCTTTTACACCATTAAAACAAAAAAAAAGTTCTTTCTGAATCTAGCATGGAACCACCAGGTGAGAAAAGCAGTGAATACACAGAGCAGGAAATGAATGAAAGACTGATTGCAAGCATGCATACATGCATGCATACATACATATTGTTAGGAGCTAACTCCTATCAGATTTCTAAATGGCTTCCCAATTGCGGGGACAGAAATGTACACATACAAACAATGGCATTCAGACACGAAAATCAAGCTGTTGCAGACCAATTTGACTTGCTTCCATATCAAAATAGAACCCGTAATGCATAGATACAAGCATAGTTTGTTTATTGTGCTTTATTGCACTTCACAGATATTTTATATTTTACAAATTGAAGGTTTGTGGCAGCCCAGTGTGAAGCAAGTCTATCAGCGGCATCTTTCCAACAGCATGTGCCCACTCCATGTCTCTGGGTCACATTTTGATAATTTTGCAATATTTAAAAATCTTTCATTATTATATGCTACAGTAATCTGTGATCAATGCTCTTATATGTTTCTATTGCACTTGTTTTGGAGTGCCACAAACCATGCCCAAAAATGACAGTGAACTTAATCAATAAATGCACGTATTCTGGCTGCTCCACCCACCAGCCCTGTCCCGGTCTCTATCCCTTCGTCTGAACTCTATCAATAAATGTATGTATTCTAGCTGCTCCTCCCACCAGCCATGCCCCTGCCTCAGGCCTCCCTATTCCCTAAGACACAACAATATTGAAATTAGGCCAATTAATAATCCTACAATTGACTCTAAGTGTTCAAATAAAGGAAGATTCTCATGTCTCTCACTTTCAATCAAAAGCTAGAAACGATTACGCTTAGTGAAGAAAGCATGTCGAAAGCCAGGACAGGCTGAAAGCTAGGCCTCTTGCCCCAAACAGCCAAGTTGGGAATGCAAAAAACTTCTTGAAGGAAATTAAAAATACTGCTCTGCTGAATGCATGAATAAGAAAGAAAAACATCCTTATTGCTGATACGAAGAAAATGTGACCAGTCTGGATGCAAGATCAAACCAGCCAACCAGCTACAGCATTCCCTTAAGCCAAAGCCTAATCCAGAGAAAGGCTCTAACTCTCTTCAATTCTACGAAGGCTGAAAGAGGTGATGAAGCTGCAGAAGAAAAAAAGCTGGAAGCTAGGAGAGGTTGGTTCATGAGGTTTAAGAAGCCATCTCTATGACATAAAATTGCAAGGTGAAGTGGCAAGTGCTGATGTAGAAGCTGCAGCAAGTTATGCGGATGATCTAGCTAAGATAACTGATTAAGGTTATCAGTTACCATTAAGGTTATCAGCTACACCAAACAACAGATTTTCAATGTAGATGAACAGCCCTATATTGGAAGAAAATGCCATTTAGGACTTCCATAGGTACAGAGGAGAAGTCAAGGCCTTGCTGCAAACCTTCAAAGGTCAGGATGACTTTCTTGTTAGAGGCTAATGCTGCTGGTGACTTTAAGTTGAATCCAATGCTTATTTACCATTCTGAAAATCCTAGGGCCCTTAAGCATTATCCTAAATCTATTCTGCATGTGCTCTATCAATGGAACAACAAAGCCTAGATGACACCACATCTGTTCACAGTATGGCTTACTGAATATTTTAAGCTCATTGTTGAGACTGACTGCTCAGAAAAAAAAAAAATCTTTTCAAAATATTACTGCTCATTGACAATGTACCTGGTCATCCAAGAGCTCTAATGGAGAGGTACAAAAAGATTAATGTTGTTTTCATGTCTAATCATCCATTCTTCAGCCCATGGATCAAGTGGTAATTTCTACTTTCAAGTCCTATTATTTAAGAAATACCTTTCATTAGGCTATAGCTGCCATAGACAGTGATTCCTCCGATGTATCTGGTCAAAGTCACTTCAAAATTTTCTAAAAGGAGTCACCATTCTAGATGCCTTTACAAATATTTGTGATTCATGGGGGGAGGTCAAAATATCAACATTAACACGAGCTTGGAAGAAGCTGATTCTAAACCTCATAAATGACTTTGAAGGGTTCAAGACTTCAGTAGAGAAAGCAACTGCAGATGTGGTGGAAATGGCAAGAGACCTAGAATCTGAAGTTTAGCCTGAAGATGTGACTACGTTGTGCAATCTTATGATAAAACTTGAATGAATGAGGAGTTGCTTCTTATGGATGAGCAGAGAAAGTAGTTTCTTGAGGTGGTGAAGATGCTGTGAACATTGTTGAAGCGACAACAAAGGACTTAGAATATTACATAAACTGAGGTGATAAAGCAGCAGCAGCAGAGTTTGAAAGGATTGATTCCAATTTTGACAGAAGTTCTACAGTGGGTAAAATGCTAACAAACAGCATCACAAGCTGCAGGGAAATCTTACACGGAAGGAAGAGTCAATCAATGCAGCAAACTTCACTGCTATCTTATTTTAAGAAATTGCCACAGCTACCCCAACCTTCAGCACCACCATTCTGACCAGGCAGCAGTCATCCACGTTGAGGCAAGACCCTCGACCAGCAAAAGGATTACTATTTGCTGAAGATTCAGATGATCATTGGCATTTTTTAGCAATAAAGTATTTTTAATTCAGGTATGTATTTTTTCAGACATAATGCTACTGGACACTTAATAGACTTCAGTATAGTGTAAACATAATTTTTATAAGCACCAAGAAACAAAAAATTTGTGTGACTTACTTTATTGCAATATTTCCTTTATTGTTGTTGTCTGGAACTGAACCTGCAATATCTCTGAGGAATGCCTGCATATAAATGTATTATTTTAAACAACCACAAAGACTCCTATATAATGCTTCATGTGAAAAATTTCTTTTAGAACCAAGTGCTGGCGGGAGTATAAAGCTCTCCCTGAGAAAATGGTAGGTGCTTTCCCTCCTGAAAAGACTTACCACATAATTAGGAAGAGGAAAAAGAATGTATAATCCCATTTGCAATGAATCCTAACACCTGGACACTCATTTGGTAGTTAAGCTAAAAGTTCTTATTTCAAAGAGCTGGATAATTCTGCCTCAGAACCTTTATAACAGACACTACTTGATTCTATCACACACCAGAGGCCAATAATAATAGCAATAGCTACCATTTATCCTACTGAGTCCTCACGGTATGCAAGGCAGGGAGCTGAACACTTTGAAAGTCTCAATTAATCCCCCTATTAATAATAGAACATATCTCATAAGGTTACCATCCCATTTTACATATAAGAAGCTGGATCTTTCAGGAAAGATCCCAGAGCTTTCAAGAAGGAAAATCAAATGACTACAATGGCATCCCTTGCCAATTAGATAGCATTGGGATTGCAATTAGATAGCAATTGGATAGAGCAATTCAACAGGCTGGAGTAACAAAGGTGACTAGGCCTAGCCCCCAAAGTCTGGTCTTCCATGCCTGTCTGCTCACAGCATCCAGGACAGTACCCCATGCCCAATATGAGGGGAAAAGGCAGGGCCTGGGCCACTGAATGGGAAAAGGAAGCCAAGGTGCTCATCAACTCACCAGGAGAGCCTGGCCACTTCCTTCCCAGCACCCTTTATTCTACTACAAGCCTTGGGGACTCTAATAACTCTCTTTTGCCCTTTTTTGAGGCCAATATTTGCCAATTAATCATGACTCTAAGACCTTGAGTGGAGGACAAGACACTATTCCCTCAAGGGTTCTTCATCTTGAGGGGCAATACAGAAAACAAAATGCTTACTGTGTTGGGCAAGGGAACAGGAGAACTGATTTTAAACAGACAGATTTTAAAGGCAAATTGGTAGCTCACAGATCACCAGTTACATATATCTTCAATATCCACCTAAACACCAGGGCACAATAAAGGCTGACAGCATTGATGGGTTCCTATCTGTCCCTCCTCGGCCTTTAAAGCTGTAATCCTCATGCTTTCTGAAATTGCTACGGCCTGGCTTCATCTTGAGTCATAAATTCCTACCCATTGCTATACAACATGTTATTTTTAATTAAGGTAGATTTAAATTAACTGTTATGGAAATTGCCTAACACCCTACATAATAACTAATTAGACACATCCCGATTTCCTTCACAAACTCAGAATGAAAAGAAAAAAAAAAAATCACAAGTTCCAGAATACACCTCTCATAAAAACCAAGAAAGGACAGTATATTTCAACAGAAATTCAATCTATTGCTAGTGGAAATTTGTCCAGACCAGACATAAAATATTGGTACGCTTCGAAATTATTTCTTCATACACACAATATTGCCAAATTTTGTAAATATTTATAGACCTATAAATCTTTACATTGATTTTAGAACAAGACAAAGCCATCACTTGGTTCTCCCCTTGTACTGAACCAATTAAAGCTTTGGTTACGAAAAAGCAAGAAAACAACTTCTAAGAGAGAATGACCTTAAACTGAAAAATAGGCTTTAATATGAAACGTCTTAGAAATATTTTAAGTTCTAGAAAATCACAATGAGCTGGAGAATCGAGAGATTGGAATTAAGAATTCTGAGTTTACTACTCATTTATGGTAGAATTGTACTGCCTCAGTTTTCTCACCTGTAAAACAGAGGCAGGCAGAAAGATGAGAGTACAGGAGGAAGAGATGACAAAGGGGTTAGATATCCAAAGCCTTTTCCTGCTCAAAAACAATTGATATTGCAATATACATAGAATAGATTCTTTCTAGAGACAGACTACTCCTCTGTTTCAACTAAAAAATAAAAGCTTTTTAAAACATCAAAGAAAATAAAGATACAGGATAATAAATTGGCTTTAATCGTCTTAGCATGAGAGTAAACTTTTATTCTTATGCAAATGCAAACTTACAAAATAAAAATGAGTGGTAATAAATATTTTTGAAGAATGGCTGTATGTATCTCCCAAGCAATTTTTTTTTTTTTTTTTGCTCAGTTCTATATATCCTAATGCACAGGACAAATGAAGATAATTTGGCACATGCTATTATTGCCCACCATCTCTAGTTATTTTAAGACAGTAACATGTTTATCAACAGCATGCTTAGGACAACAGACCAGCACAGCAGAGCAGAAATATCCCGAGGTCACTCTTGGACCCCAACGAAGAGCCTAAGAAATGCCCTGCTTCCAACTAAAGGAAGAAATGGACAATAGTATCACTGAATTCCAAGAGAAGGTGGGGAGTGGAAAATACAGAAGAAATATGGTGGTAAATACAGAAAGAAATACAGACAGGAAGATAGAAAGTTTGAAGTGACAGAGATGGAAAAAATAAAGAGGCTTGAAATATAAAACCTTAATAAAGACAACAGAGGCACACAGGAGGAAAACAGACTGACCAGCCACTTTGCGCATGGTCTCCAACACCGCGAAGGCATTCTATTCTGCAGAGAGAAAGCACTGCAGCAGTACTGATCCCCAGGACTATCACCACACTGGAACTAGCCTCTCTCTGGTTTTAAGGTTGGTGGTGAGTTCCATCATCCGACATCGCTCGACACAGAGGATCAAGATCAAGACAACATTTGTCCTCAGTCCACACTCAGCCCTGGGGTTGTGACTTGAGCACCCCAAGGCCTGAAATGTAAAACAATCTCAAATAAAAAAGAAACTAGATCTAACCTATCTTTAACTCATCTCTCCCCCAGTCCTCAGTCACATTAACCAAAAACTCATCCACTGATTCAATCACTTTATGGAAGGATCGAGTGGAAAAAAGAAACACAGGCATTTACCTAAGCAGGAGCACTCAACCCGTCCGGGGAAGCCTCACCTACCAAGAGCCAACTGTCACCACAGGGCCTATGCCCTCTGAGCAGCAGCTCCCACTAGTGGTGGGGAGGACAACAGGAGAACATAAGAACAGATTTCACAGAGTCCCTCGATCAATGTAAAATCCTTCACATTTCACAAAGTTACCAAATACATAACCCTCACAGACACCTCAGAAGGTTAGTGTTACTAGGCTCATCATACAGATAGATAAACAGAGGATCAGAAGGGTTGAGTCTAGCATAAAGGGAAAAAGACACATTTCTAAGTGCTGAGAAGTTCAAAATAACTTGTAAGTGCTTCCTGAAAATTGCAGGCACATCTCTATATGATGAAATGCATTGGGGGTTGTACTACAACTATGAATCTTTTCTCTTGCCCCAGCCACACTCATTGGTACACTAACTGCTGTTTCCCACCAAGCACACACACCACTTTTCTAAAGAAACTCCTCCTGTTCTAATCCATCAAACAAAAGGTACATGAGTGGCTATTATAAGTAATACTGTGAGGATTCAAACTTCAATTGGAAAAAGATCTTGACTATAGTCTACCTGGGGAGGCATGACGGTCCATGCAATGACACCACCATCACACAGTCATGCAAGCTAGAGACTGAAGAGCCAACTCTGGCATCTCCCTGTTTCTCACCCTGTACTTTCAACCCATTACCACATCCAGTCATATCACTTCTTTCTATTTCTCCATACCTCCACCCGGTTCGCTCCATCTTTACCACCCTGGTCAGACTATCATCATTTCTTCCTAAACTACTGCAAAAACTTCTAAACTGGTCCACCGTATCTTCTCTTGGACTTCCACAATCAATTCATCCACTTCCTTTATTGCAAAAAACATGAATCTTGTCAATCTAATCACTTCAAATCCATGTTAGGAACACTGGTGACTCTTGAGAAAATACTTTCTCATACCCATTATCCTCCACTTCCAGCCATAGAGGGCTTCTGCCCCTTGCTCATACCAAGGTCCTTCCTACCTCAGGGCCTTTGCACATTCCATCACCTCCATAATGCCATCTCCCTCCCTCTTTAACTCTACTTATCCTTCAGATCTCAGCTCATCATGACTTCCTTAGGAAACTGCCCTAATTTATTTGACTAGGCCAAACTCCCTCAAACATGTACCCCCCTGGAGCACTTACAACAGTTGTCATGTAACATTTTATGCAATTAGTTTAGCTCCTTTAAAAACATTCTATAAAAGCAGAAACCTTGTCTGATTTTGCTCACCATGAAAATCGGTTACACACGTAGACTCTTTTGCTGAATGAATGAAAAGACAGAGATCTAAGTTTAACACAAAACAAAATGAAAAAAGTGCCTGAGAAAATGCAGGTATATGGCCCTGCAGGATTTTAAACCAGGAATTTCCTGGGGTCCCTTCACCCCAAAATAGCACTATGACACAGCATCTATTTGAGGAAGGGGAGAGAAACTATAATATCTTTGTCTGTCCTTTCTCCTGTTCCAAGCCTGGACATGAAACGGACAAGGAAAGAAGTAGGGTGCTGCATAGAAGCTTGGCCCTGTATGTTTGCTTTTGATAAAGGTAGGGGAAGGAGGTACCGGTAATAATACCCAAACACTTACTGAAAGAAAAACCAACTAAACCTACTGAAAGAGTTGTTCCAGGTAAACTTGACCCCTAACACCCCCACACAAGAACCATATCCCTCTGTGGAGGCCTTTCCATGATGTAGGTCATCATCCTTACATGAAGCTGAATATCTTTCCCCTCCTTTAAATGTCAATGGCATTTCTCTCCTTCAAAACCCAGTTTCTTCTCAAAATCTGCTACAATTTCCCCATCCCTCACGTAAGCTGAGCATATTTAAAATGCAGTCGCTCATACTGATGCACTTCTTATTAATTAACGTCTGATCTTCTTTCTTTTGAAATCCAGTTTCTCAAGAATGGCCCCAGGTTCTGACCATACCCTCTAGTCACGCACTGCCTCAGTACAGCACAGTGCAGTGGTCAAGAGCCTGAACTTAGGAGTCACATGGATGGGATGTGTGACCCTGGGACCAAAGGACAACTTCTCTGAGCCTTGGTTTCTGACTCTGTAAAACAGGGCTAGTAACGGCACCTAATTAAAAGAGTTGAAAGAATCCACAAAATGTCCTTAGCACAGTGTCCAGCACACTACATATGCACAGCTATTAATATTTTAATCAATATCACATAGAGGAAGCCTCAGATATTCACTGAAGTGAGCTCCTTATTCCTAAACCAAGAAGCTTATTAAAAACTTCTTAGAAAACTTCTTGGCCGGGTGTGGTGGCTCACACCTATAATCCCAGCACTTTGGGAGGCCAAGGGGGGCAGATCACCCGAAGTCAGGAGTTTGAGACTTGCCTGGCCAACATGGTAAAACCCCGTCTCTACTACAAATACAAAAATTAGTTGGGAATGGAGGCGTGCACCTATAATCCCAGCTACTCGGGAGGGTGAGGCAGGAGAATCACTTGAACCCAGGAGGCGGATGTTGCAGTGAGCCAAGATCGCACCATTGCACTCCAGCTTGGGTGACAAGAGTGAGACTCTGTCTCCAAAAAAAAAAAAAAAAAATTCTCATAGAAAGAACTTTAGACAGTTGTACCTGTGAGATAACACAGCCATCTATAGGGAGGCAGTGCTTACTGTACCTCTGCTGCAGATGACAATGGGACCTGACCTACATCCTAGTTACATATCCAGGAACTAATCATTAGCTACACCCACTCAAAAAATAAGGATGTGGGCGGTCCTTTACTCCTCCTGTCACAATGTATATTTTGTGTTTACTCAGGACACCATGAAATTCAAAGTACAAAGCACCATTTATACGTTTCTTTCTTTTGGCAGGAAGTCAATAAGTTCAAACGTCCACCAGCCAAGTCCAGATCTGACATATACAACCTACACAGGTGTATAGGACAATATAATCTGATAAGAAAATGAGTTTAGATCGCCAGATATTCACAGCCACTGGGTTCAACTGCTTCTTAGTGACACCTGGAATTCTTTACAGGAATTAAATGTGGCATAAAAATGAATATCTTACCAGAGGAAGTTTTCATTAAAATGTCCTCAGAATTTTTTTTTTCTCAGCTACCTCATTTTATCCAGGGAAAACTATGTGAAAATGAACAAAATAAAATTATAATCTGTATAGGAAATTTAGCAATCTGGTTACCCACGGCCAAGTACTCTGCAGTAAAAACCAAGACTGTGCAGGATTATAGGTGTTAAAAATAAAGAAACTACCAAATGAAGAAAGCATTCTTCTATGTAGTCGCAGGAGAAACACAGAGGTTTCTTTGCTACTACTTTGAGCCAGAAAAACAGGTTGTGGGCTGGGCACGGTGGCTCACGCCTGTAATCCCAGCACTTTGGGAGACTGAGGTGGGTGGATCACCTGAGGTCAGGGGTTCGAGACCAGCCCAGACAACATGGTGAAACCCCGTCTCTACAAAAAATACAAAAAGTAGCCAGACATGGTGGCGTGTGCCTATAATCCCAGCTACTCAGGAGGCTGAGACGGGAGAACACTTGAACCCGGGAGACGGAGGTTACAGTGAGCCGAGATTGTGCCACTGCACTCCAGCCTAGGCAACAGAGCAAGACTCCATCAAAAAAAAAAAAAAAAAAAAAAAAAAATACAGGTTGTGGATTGCAGCTTTCTACATCCTCAGCTTATAGATAATATTCCCAGTGTCAGTGGAAGAGGGCTAGTGTGGTGGGGTCCATGATCCCAAAAGGGTGAGAACAGGTCTCTGGGATGGCCAAGCACATATGTCTTTCTTCCGGACCCTTGGGGCAGCCAAATGCCCCACTGTCTATCTGAAAGCTACCTGCCCAGGGCATTCCTTTCAGGAAAAATTTCTGAAAGTCTTTACTGTACACAAAAGAACATTAACCCACTGGGTCTTGGGGAAAACTAATAGGAGATTTTAAGTTCAGCAATAAATGAACATTAAAGAAATCAGCTGGCCCGGCACGGTGGCTCACGCCTGTAATCATAGCACTCTGGGAGGCTGAGGCGGGCCGATCGTGAAGTCAGGAGATCGAGACCATCCTGGCTAACAGAGTGAAACCCCGTCTCTACTAAAAATATACAAAAAATTAGCCGGGCGTGGTGGCAGGCGCCTGTAGTCCCAGCTACTCAGGAGGCTGAGGTAGGAGAATGGCGTGAACCCAGGAGGCGGAGCTTGCAGTGAGCCAAGATGGCGCCACAGCACTCCAGCCTGGGCGACAGAGCAAGACTCCGTCTCAAAAAAAAAAAAAAAAAAAAGAAATCAGCTATACCCTTCCTCTACTGGTCAGATTTTATGTAAGTATCCACCCTGAAAAAGACCTGCTTTTTACACGGAATATACACGGAATATATTTCCAACAGTGACATTATTCATCAGCATATCTTTAAAGTATTTTCTGGGTAACTATTTGCCAGTCAGGAAGAAAAAGGAGCAGACACAGCAAAGCCTACAGTAAGACAGTCCTGGCAGAATGTGGCAGGACCCTGAAAGGCCCTGAAGAGCTCCAAAGATCAGCAGGACCGCAGGAACCAGGTTTGGGAAACAGGAGTGTCCTGAAGCCTGACACAGGCCACCTAGGACTCCTGTCTCCACAGAGCCCCATTTGACAGAGGCCCGGAGAGCTCCTGGGACTCTGAAATAGGACAGGAATGGAAACCAGAACTTCACTATCAGCACTTGTTTTTCTGGCTGCAACAGAGTTTTGTTAATTCCTCCAACACTTGTCAGAGGAGAGGCAGGGTAGGGAAAGGAAAAGGCAAGACAGTAAGGTTTGACTTTTAAATCATGTTCTCTTTTGCTCTCTAAACCTGACTTTTCACCTGTATAATGATAATACTCAAAACAGATTAAAAGACATCATTCAAATGGCATCTTCTCCCTCCCTGCTAATGTCTTCAGTCTTCACTCAAGAAAGGAAGTTGCATTCCTTTACAGGCAAGTGTTATAAATAATGCTTAGGGTTTTTTGTTTGTCTGTCACCCATGGCATTAGTCCTTCCTTCCAGTGGGACTGGGCTCTGAGAAGTCTTGCTATTTCCCAAAATCACTGTACATGCTCAAAGGTCATTTTAAAACCACCTAAAGTATTCAAAAGTATGTATGTTTAGAGCAATTCCAAAAAATGTTTTCAGCAATACTTTTTAAGGTGGTTTACTATCTTCCAGAGGGACTTCTACAAAAGGCAAACTCATCTGGAGATCAAATGGTTTTACACTTTCAAGTGGTCTCTGACTTTACAATTGCCCTGGGCCATCTATGCTGGCTCCAACTTTTCAGCAAGTTTCCTTGCTAAAGGGTTTTATACCTCTATATACCACTTCATGTCCTCCTTCCCCAGAAACATTTGAGGATAAAATCAGATATCAGTGACAGGTAACCCCCATGACTACAGATTTCAAGACTTTTTACCAATGTTCTGTGGAACTTTCATTGTGTTTTTAAAAATACGAACACACACACACACACTCACACACACAACTGAAACATAAACAAGAGGCACGGAAAGATACTAAACTTCAAATGGTGATAAGCGAAAGACAAGCTAAAATCATAATGACAGACCCCCATACAAACATCAGAATGGCTAAAATGAAAATGACTTATCAAACTAAGTGTTGGCAAAGAATGTGGAACAATGGAACTCTTATTCATACCTGATAGGAGTGTGAAGAGCCACACTGGAGAACTGGCTGTACTCACTAAAGCTGAACATATTCACATCTTAGAAATCAGCAGTTGTAGACACACACCCACCATCAGAAAAGCAAACCCATGTTCATCAAAAGACATACACATAAATGTTCACAACAGCATTATTCATAATACTCAAAAACTGGAAACAATTCAAACATCTGCCATCAGCAATTTATGTTCACACAAAGGAATACTATCCAATAATGAAAATAAATAAACTACTGCTGCATACACAACGTGGATGAATCTCACAAAATCAAGGGAAAGAAGTCAGACATAGGAACCCTTAGAAGCAGAGATTAGAGTGGTTGTTACAAAGAAGGGAACAATAGACATTAGGCCAACTTGATGGCAGAGGGTAGGAGGAGGGAGAAGAGCAGAAAAAATAACTATTGGGCACTAGGCTTAGTACGTGGACGACAAAATAATCTGTACAACACAGTCCCATGACTTGTGTTTATCTATATAACAAACCTACACGTGTACCCTCGAAACTAAAAGCTTTTTTTTAAAAAAAAGAAAAAAAAATAATGGTAGTTACCAGGGGAGGAGATGGAGGGACCAGGGAGATGTTGGTCAAAAGATACAAATTTTCAGTTAGATAGGAGAAATGAATACATTTAGACCTACTGTACAACACCATGATTATAGTTGACATAGTGTATTCTATACTTCAAAATTGCTAACAGAGTAGATTTTAAATGTTCTCACCACAAATAAATGATAAGTATAGGAGGTAATGCATATGTTAACTAGCTTGATTTAGTCATTCTACAACATATACATATATCAAAACATCATGTTGTACAACAATAAGTATACACAATTATTTTTCAATTAAAAATAAATACAAAATTTTAAAAAAGAAGTCCAACATAAAATACAAAATACAACATAAAAGAATACAAAAGTATAAATTAGGGGGTTAATAGCATAGATTCTTTATGAGTTTTCATTTCAACTCAAACAGGAAGTTATTATAAGTCTTGTAGTTCTATTACCAGGGCTGCTCTATAGTAAGCCTTTATTTCAAAAGTGGAGAGCTTTTCAGTTCACATATGGAAATGAGGCATACTCTTCATTTTGGAGGCATCAAGTTTCTTTTACTTAGTTTCTCTCTCATTCTGTCTTCAGCTGCTTTCTGACTGTCTTTGTATAAATTGCAGTTTCTTGGTGCATATCTCTCTGGATATCTTATGTCTCTCTCTGGGTCCCAGGTTAGGAATTAGGCCTTCTTCAAGCAAGAAAGTGCTTGGAACACTAAGGCTGGACCCACGGAGACTTGGCTCCTCTACAGCATTGGCCCAAGGATTAGCCCTCTTCATTTCCTGGAATGCTGTCAGAAACGCAGAATCCCAAGACCCACCCCAGACCCAGTGAATCAGAATCTGCATCCTTTTTTTTTTTTTTTTGAGACGGAGTCTCGCTCTGTTGCCCAGGCTGGAGTGCAGTGGCGCGATGTCAGTTCACTGCAACCTCTGCCTCCTGGGTTCGAGCAATTCTCATGCCTCAGCCTCCCGAGTAGCTGGGATTACAGGCGCCTGCCACCATGCCCGGCTAATTTTTTTTTATTTTTAGTAGAGACAGGATTTCACCATGTTGGCCAGGCTGGTCTTGAACAATTGCCCTCAAGTGATCCGCCTGCCTCGGCCTCCCAAAGTGCTAGGATTACAGGCTTGAGCCACTGCGCCTAGCCAGAATCTGTATCTCAACAGGATACCCAGGTGACCACACGTACATAAAGGTTTAGAGGCACCGACCTGGGGCATATGGTGACCTGACAAACTCAGAGGCCTAGGGCTAGAGGTCACAGCCTTGCAAAGGTCATACAGTTCAACCTAAATGGCTCCTGTGTGAATGGCCTCACTCCCAGCCTGGGGCCATATGAATGAGCCATGTTTTACACCTGTAACTTTATTTTCCAAACTCAAGTCACATTATTCTGGAACTTGGGGGTGGTCAGAAAGGAGGCAGAGGACAAGGGAGGTGGTTAGAATTGAAGGTAGAAAGGCATGTCTGCTCTCATTTCTCTGCAACTCAGGAAAAGAGGGTAATATTTGAGAGCTAAAAGTCTACTGAGGCTGCTACATAGTACTGCAGGACCTTAGACAGAAGTCACTTCACCTTTCTCTATCTCAGTCTTTTCAAGTGTAAAATAGAGATAAGTAACAGTACCTACCTCTGAGAGTGTGTTGTAGGATTAAAGGAAGCGACATTTGTAAAGTGCTTAGAACCATGTATTATGTTAGCATATGATAATGTATAGGTAGTATTAAATAAAAATTTATTATTTTTATGTCATGGAGTTGGTTTCTCTCTGATAAAGAAACAAAAAATAATAGACTAGATAGTGAAGGGGAATCACAGAAGAAAAGCAGCTCAACATATGTTTATTGATTCTCTACTGTATGACAGACACGCATAGTTTGTATCCTCTGGGATACAAAAATGAAGATCCTTGTCTTTGAAGGAGTTCACAATCCAGTGGGGAATGAAAGCAAAGGCTGTCCCTAAAGCCGATGTCTTCATTCAAGATTCCTGTTCCATCTTTTAAAATCAACTATTAGATAGACCAGTAAGTATGTGGTTGCCAATGACAAAAAAGGATCTGAAGTCTCATTTCTCAGTAGTGAAATTGGGAGAAATGTCTACTTTATTAGCTTTAAGCTCCTTATATAAGTGCCAACTTCCTATATTCAAGGTAGACAGTTTAAAAAGAAAAAACGGGGCCAGGCGCGGTGGCTCACGCCTGTAATCCCAGCACTTTGGGAGGCCGAGGTGGGTGGATCACCTAGGTCAGGAGTTCGAGACCAGCCTGGCCAACATGGTGAAACCCAGTCTCTACTAAAAATACAAAAAATTAGTGGGCAGTGGTGGTGGGCGCCTATAATCCCAGCTACTCAGGAGGCTGAGGCAGGAGAATCTCTTGACCCCAGGAGGCAGAGTGAGCATGTGATCGTGCCATTCCACTCCAGCCTGGGCAACAAGAGCAAAACTCCATCTCAAATAAATAAATACATAAATAAATAAATAAAAATAAAAAATGTATATTGTTATAGTGGATAAGGATTTAATCTTAAAACAACTTGCTTCAGGAACACCCAGCTTCATATTCCCAGCTCCTTCTCAGCAGCAGGACTGCTTCCTTATTGCTCTTTAATGATAGGGTAGATTAAATTTTTCAAGAATAATATTAACTTCTTAACCACCAGTTACTGCTGGCTTTCAGCTTAGACTGTACAAAGTCAACATATTTCTAGGCAGCCTACAAACAAAAAACAGCTCACTGATATACGCCCTATCTGACCAAGCTTAGTCACCAGAGCGGTTATGGAAAGTGACTAGACTGCAGCACACATATTCACCTGCCAGAGGAATCAGATAATTCTCACTTCCAAATGACATGGCCACCTCTACCTTCCAGAAGCGCAGTGAGTCCCAGTGAAGCCTAGTGTATTAGGCTTCAACCCAAATATCTTATCTTTGATTACCTGATGTCGATGCAACAGCAGTTCAAATGCTCTGCCCTGGCATTGTAACAAAGTAAACAATCTCATTCTTCAAAGTCATCAGGCGTTAAAGACCCCAACCTGACAATCCATGCAAGAGTCAAACAAGAAGGTAGAACAGGGTCTCAAAGGGTACAATTACTACCCTTAGGAAAGCAATAAACATCAGGCTGTGGAGACTGGAAACTAGTTTGATTTATTGCACTTGTGGCTTTGTTTAATTCTTAAAAACTATTTGTACGTATTGTTTCCCAGAAGAAAGAGGATCCATCAACTTAATTGAAATGTAAACACAATCTCCTATTTCCTTCCACTTCAAATGATGATAAACGAAACAGAAACAGAACAAATTTAACAAGCCACCAACTCACCTTGGGTAACCTATGAGGATGTAATTCCCCAAGCCAGCACTGTAGAGTAATAGCATATACTTTACAGAGGTGCTTCATCTTACAGCTCATAATGTCCTCATGCCAATCCCATAAGAAGGCAAGCCAGCCGGGATTAGTGCCAGTCCCAAAAGCAACAGAGGAAGCAGAGGCTGGTGAGGGCAAGGGGCACAGGCTCCAGGTGGGAGAATCCCAGTCATGTATTTTGTTCCTTACTCCTTACCACAGAATTCTTGATCTTTGTGGGCAGGAGAAGGTCAATAGCATTTAGCATTTCAGGCACATGATGCTAGGCACACTTCTACCTGCTCGGTCTTACTCTGATCATACAGATAAGAAACTGTGGCGCAGATGTTAATTAACTTGCGCAAGGTCACGCACACGTTAATGGTAGAGCTATGTTTCACACTCGGCCCTGTCCCATTCCGAAGCCATCTTCTCTAAACTGTATCAGCTTCTACTCAAAGTATGATCCACTCGACAGCAGCATCTGCATCAGGGAGAGCTTGTTAGAAGTGCAGAATCTCAGGCCCCATCCCAGACCTACTGAATCAGAACCAGCATTCTAACAAAATCTCAAGAGGCACTGTGGCACCACACTGTTAAAGAGAGAAGAATGTCTACCCAAGGGCCAACTGTGTCAGCTCCAGCGGTGTTAAACCTCATTTAGTATCATGCCTCTTGGACCCAAATACGTTGATGTTCACGTAATGCTGACCACCACAAGAACCCTCTTTAAATAGAGATTTTTTAAAAAGAGGGAGGAGGCAGTCTTGACAGAGTTCTACAAACAAATTAGAAGATGACACTAAAATGTCGATCACAGTCAGATCTTAAGGCAGAAGCTAAACTGAAACTGCAGAGTCAGCATGCCCTCTGGTGGATCACAAGGAAGCCTGAATAGGGAATTTGTCTCTGGAGGAAAATCCAGAAACACACTCAGATATGAAGATGACAAGGCACTTGCCATGAAAACGATCCCACTGACTCAGGAGCAACTTGGAACAAAACCCTTTTAATTCAGGTAGTAAACTTTCGAATGAGAGAGTAACAAGAGCATTCTAGAAAGCCAAAGACAAACAAGGATAAACGAATAATCCAGATATTTTTTCCCGATAGCAGAAAATTTAACCTGAAACTGAAACCCTATTTCTGGAGTTGTCTCATCATTTTTTTTTAAAAAAACAAAAAACAAAAAACTCTCCTTTGGATCCAACTACCTTCTTCCTATTTTAAAAAATTTAATAATTCATATACCATAAAATTCACTCTTTTAAAGTGTGCAACTCAGTAGTTTTCAGTGTATTCAAAAAATTGTGCCATCATCACCCTAATTCCTGAACATTTTCATCACCCCAGAAAGAAACCTCAGACCCATCAACAGTCTCTCCCCATTTCTCCCTCTTCCAACCCCTAGCAACCACTAATCTACTTCTGTCACTGTGGATTTTCCTATTGCGTACACTTCATAATGGAATCATGTAAATACATGGTCATTTGTATCTGGCTTCTTTCACATAGCATGTTTTCAAGGTACATCAATGTTGTAGCATGAATCAACATTTTGTTCCTTTCTATGTTTGAATAGTTTTCCTTGCATGGATGTACCACATTTTGTTTATCCATTCAGCAGCCGATGGATATTTGGGTTGTTTCCACTTTAGGGCTATTAAGAATAAGGCTGCTGGCCAGGCGCAGTGGCTCATGCCTGTAATCCCAGAGGTCAAGGCAGGTGGATTGCTTGAGCCCAGGAGTTCAAGATCAGCCTGGGCAACATGGTAAAACTCTATCTCTACCAAAAATAAAAAAAATTAACTGGAGGTGGTGGCACATGCCTGTAGTCCCAGCTACTCGGGAACCCAAGGTGGGAGGATTGCTTGAGCCTGGGAGGTCGAGGCTGCAGTGAGGAGAAATTGTGCCACTGCACTTCAGCCTGGGAGACAGAATGAGACTCTGCCTCAAAAAAAAAAAAAAAAAAAAAAAAGGAATACGGCTGCTATGAATATTCATATTTTCATGAACATGTTTTCAGTTCTCTTGTGTATCTATCTTGGAGGGGAATTGGTCATTAGGAAGCCAATATTTAACATTTTGAGGAACTGCCAAACTGTTTTCCCAAGTGGCTGTTCGGTTTTACATATTCACCAGCAATCTAATGTAGGAAGCTTCCAATTTCTCCACATTCTCCACCTGGCCGTCCTGGTGGGTGTGAAGTGGCATCTCACTGTGGTTTTGATTTGCATCCCCCTAATGACTAATGGCACAGGAACACTTCCATGCCCCCGTCCAGTTCCAGGCACCCCTGACTGCTTTCATCCTGAGTGTTGCGCCTCCACTCCTGCAACCAGCTGTCCAGTCCTCTCTATAACTCATCTGCTATTTCAACGAATTTACAGAATCAAAAAACTTTTTGTTTTGTTTTTGGGACAGGATATTACTCTGTTGCCCAGGCTGGAGTGCAGTGGCACGATCAGGGCTCACTGCAGCCTTGACCTGCTGGCATTACAGGCATGAGCAACCAAGCCTGGGCTTAATAGGTTCTTTGACCACCACCACAGATTCAGTAAATCTCGCACTGTGCTGGGCACAATCCATTTTGTTGTATGCTCTGAAAATTATTTATATGCAGGCACAAATGCAAGTCTTTACTCCTGCTTCATTATCCCTCCAACCTAAAATGTCCCTTATCTATCAAAGAGTGCTACCCACCATTTATATTATCACAGTCCAGCTCCTTCGTGGAGACTTTCTTAGCCACTACAGCTTAAAATGTTCTTCTCTACTCTGAAATAAAAAATAAGTAACCACTTATAGAGTTAATTAATTAATAGCCATACTTAATGAATGTCCCTATATTTTCGGGATATACTAGGTGAAACCATCCCACCCACAATATTAAATCACATATTAAAATTGTGGTTTGTGCTAACTCAGTAATGGAGTCCTAAAAGATACATATATAACCTCAGAAAATTCTGTATTCTGGGAAACGCTGACTTGAATAAATGTAACCAAGTTTTTGTCGTTGATATAGTTAACTATAGTACTTCTCATAGTCTTTGATATAATGATGCCCATGTTGAGAATCTCTACAAGAGGAAAAAAAAATAATAGGCAGTGCTTCCCAAATGGATTTGCCCTTTATAAGAGCAAACTGATTAATACCCACCCCAACAGCACTTTACCCAACATATTCTCGGAACTGCTGAGCTAACTGCTCAGCAATTCAATCAGCTGGACAGCATTGAGTAGAAACCATATTTTCTACCAGAATAAGGAACTAACCTTGCTTTGTTTGAGGATGTCATCAATTGATAGTCACTACACTAACATACTAGGTTACAGAAGAAAAAAAAACTGCACATTAAATGCGTTCATACTTTTTTTTTCTTTTCTTTTTTTTTTTTTTTGAGATGGAGATTCACTCTTGTTGCCCAGGCTGGAGTGCAATGGCACGATCTCGGCTCACTGCAACCTTCGTCTCCCAGATTCAAGCAATTCTCTTGCCTCAGCCTCCCGAGTAGCTGGTATTACAGGTGCCCACCACCACATCCAGCTAATTTGTTTTTGTATTTTTAGTAGAGACAGGTTTTCATCATGTTGGTCAGGCTGCTCTTGAACTCCTGACCTCAGGTGATCCACCCGCCTCAGCCTCCCAAAGCGCTGGGATTACAGGTGTGAGCCACTGCACCTGGCCTAAATGTGTTCATAATTTTTAAGATCCATCTGGGCTTCTGAAATCAGAAAAAGAATGTATCTTAGAAATGAGCTAGTGCAGTATAACTAGTGTTTTAGTTTAAAAGCACCCTCTAGGAACATAGAGAATAATGCTCTAGGAATGGGCCCTGACTCTCTGTGACTCAGTAATAACAGTCCTAATGACCAAAAAGAAATAAAGTGTCATAATGACCGTCTCACAACAGATTTATTAAAGGGAGCAAAGATACCATGTACTGAGAAAAGTGAACAACAGTGATAAGAGGCTGCCCTCAAAGCAGGGGTAACACCCAAAATATAAACATCAGGTTATGGGAAGAAATTTTAAAATAGAAATGTTCCCTACTTATACTAAGTGGGAAAAACCATTGAAATTAACTAATGAATCTTAAGAGTGACAACCAGAAGGCTGTTCCTTCACCAAGTGCTGACTGCTGTCAGGAAGACAGGTTTGGGCCTGAAAGTTTTATCTACTAAAACACTAAGTGTACACTTGAGTTTTTTAAAGGTTTCTGATTTACTGATAGGTTTCTCTAGTGCTAATCATTTTAAAACTAAAACAAAGCACAAATGGACAGCTGAGATAAAGCATGACAGTGAGCTGGGATCCCATTTGGCCTAGCAACACAAGAACTAGTTAAGGCACTGACTGACCTCCTCTTATACCTAATTGATTTGGGCACTACATTATGTAAACTTTATTTCTTCCTTAGGATGTTATTGCAGGAACCCTCCTGACTCAAGCAGGCTCCCACAGCCTCTCTGATGCAAAGCAGTCAAAATTCAAGGCCACAGTCTAGGTCATAGGAAGTCATGGTGAGCTCACAGCACAGGACTATGGCGTGGGGGAAAAGGAAAAGAGCTTAAGATTGGGTTAGGTCCCAATAGTGCTTCATTACAAGCTAGGTTACACAGGACACCACACTAATACTGATCAGCTGCCCCTGAAAGCCAGCCTTCTACCCTCTTAGAGACGAAGAGAGGGTCTCAGCCACTGCCAATGCCACTACCATTCTCCAGAAGGAATGAAAGGGCTTTGCCAGGTCTAACCACCATGGGACATTTGTCGTGGGGTGTACTTCATGCTCCTTCCAGGGCCTGGGTAAGCTGTCCATTCGGAAAAGACACCACTGCAAATTCTTCTTAAACTTGTTCCCTAGGTGATCTATTCTGTCCTCCAACCTTAAGGTTCAAGCTGTCAGAACTGTACGTAACCTCCTTTCCACAAATGTCTGAGGTTTCTCCAAAAAAGGAAATGGGGTAGTTTTTAGATTTTATAAATTATAAAGGTCACCAATCCGGCACTACCCAAGGGTGATCTAAAACCTGAGACTACATATTTTACAGTATGAAAAGAAGGGGGAATCCTACCTCTTTGTAAAATACATCCATTTGAAGAGCAATCAGAATTATTAAACCTAGATAATGGTAAGTGGCACAGGCATTGGAACATAAAATGCCTAAGGAGACTTCCCAACACACCCCCAAAGAAACCTTGTCTCTGTATATGAGCTAGTAAAATAATGGCATTTCACAACAAACGTCATCTCTCTTACTATCTCCCACTCCATAAGTTAGTGATTCTATAGGCATGGTCTGTAGCACCATTAGCATCATCTGGAACTAGTCAGAAATGCTAATTCTTGGGCCTTCACCCTAGACCTAGAGAATCAGAGACTCTGGCAGTATAGCCCAACAGTTTGAGATGTAACAAGCCCTCCAGATGATTCTGATCTGAGAACCACTGCCCTAAGATTAGGGAAGATGCTGCACCTGGGGTGGCTCAGGAGCCTGTGTGAACCCTTTTTAACTGAGTGATAATCTCACCTGTTCTTGCCTTCAATTGATACTGGCTTTTAATCTTCATAGACTGATTTCACAGATTAGGATTTGAGTCCTTAGTTCAAGGTCACTATTAGAGGTCAAGTCAGAGCTCCATTCCAGGATCTGCTGACTTCTTCATCAGCCTTGAGTTTCAAACTAAGGCCTTTCTGACCGTGCCAATTCTGGGGCCTAGGACTCTGAATGTTGATAAGGCCACCCCAGTCATCTCCTAATCTACATCATGCTGCCTTCCTCAGATAAATATGAGGACTGGAGCTCCAATTCTTAAAATCAAAAGAGATGGATTTGAGGATAGAGAAAGAAAAAGGGTAAACAGATGCTTCCAAAGGCCCAAGCAACTAAACCACTTGGTGAGGAGTGGACAGAGAGGAGAGAAGACCTAGATGTCTTGTTATAATTAAGAATTAGCTCATTCAAAACAACTGAGTAAAGAGCACAGAGACAATATCTAAGACCTGAATGGTGCTTTTAAAGTTTTCTTAGCTCTTTTCATTTTCATTATCTCATCTGAGTTTACAACAACCCTGCAATGGAGGGAGGTAAGGCCACGATTATCTCCGTTTGACAGAAGAGAAAACTTAAGTTCAGAGTGACTAATCATTTGTCCATCAGCACTGTCATCAGCTGTAAAGCTGAAACTTGACCTCAAGTCTGTCTGACTCTAGAACTGTGTAGTGTATCCACATTATGTGATTCGCACATCTAGAAATCGGCCCCAAAGCAGACTACCCTCAAGGAAAAAGCAAAGAGAAAAACAGGCAGCAGAATGGTGAGCCCCTAAATCCTGGCACTTGAGCAGTGTGAGGGTGTCCCTTTAAGAACGTAACACACAAACCCAACAGCCAAGGTGTTCAGCCAAAAAAGAAAAAAAGAGAGGCATATTTCTAGCCTGCATAATCATTTCTGGACCGATTCCCACTAGCAGCCTCTGAGACGAACAGCAGCTCACAGCCTCGGCTGAAGCTCCTCCACCCCCAGGGTGGCTCTGACTAGGGCGCAGCTCTGACTAGTGTGCAGGCAAAACCCCAAAACTCAAAACAAGAAGTGAAAAAAGTGGAGCCAGGAAAAATTCGTCGGCATCCTCCACAGCCTTACAATCCGCACAATGCCAGTTCCAGGGTCCTGGGGTCGCCCGGAAGGCAATCTTAGGAGAGGGTGGAATGAGATGGAAGTTCCTGCGGACCTACCGATCCTATTCTCTCCCACCCAGTCCCTAGGGAAGCGTAATAGGAAGGGGAGAAGGTTCGTTATGAAATCCTGGGGCCAGAACCAAGGGCAGATACACCCCGGGGACTTTCTCCTAAAGAACAAGATGTCTTTCCAAATTCTCCACCTGCAGGTCCTGTCCTCTGTGAAGATGAACGGGGTGGGGTGGTGAGGTGGCGGGGTGTTGTAAACCTGAGGAAAGGTTGGAGGGAAAATCAAGCCACCCACCTACTCCAGCCACGTTGCCCGGCGGTGTTGGTGAGGCTCGATGCCGGCGTGCACGGCAAGCGCGAATTCGGAACCTGGCGCCCTTGACCAAGCCTGAGATCGGAAAGGGGGCATCGCCCAGGGCCAGCGCCCTGGGGGCAGGGTGCCGTGCCCGCCAGAAAAGCTCGCCTCAGTTTTGGCAGTAATGATTTTCCTAGAAGATGCCAGAGTTCGCGAAGATCGGAGTGATTCGCGGATTTCTGCGCTCAAGCTAGAGGCGCAGCGACCCCGAGCTCCCCCACACTGGGAGCCTCGGGGCAGCATTCTCGGGGCCCATGCCATCGCGGGGACGGTGCGGAAAAAAAGGCTCCATCCTCAACTTTCTCGGAGGAAATCGCTCCGTTCTGCGGCTTGCCCAATACTGCCCGCACAACGGGTCCCAGGGTTGGAGAGAACCAGGGACACGAGTCCCTCTCTGCGCGCACAAAGCAGCTGCGCCGGGGCGCGCGGCCCCCTCTCCCGCCACCCGCCAACTTGGAAGAATCTCTCTGGGAGCCTGCCTACTCCCCTGGCCTCACAGCCACCCGCCTCGGACGGAGCGCCAGGCGCCCCAACAGCCGTGGCGGCTGCAACCGCATCTCCCGGGCTTGGCCTCCGCCCTGACCGCCTGGCTCCCCTCGCCCCGGTCCTACCGTGCAGCCTGGCTCGCGCCCCTGCCGTGCCAGTGCGCGGCACGCGTCCCAGAGCACGAGGCTCCTCCCCGGGGGGCTGCCCCGCGCGGGGCTCCGGGCTCCGGACAAGGCTTAGCCGGCCCGGGTGCTGGCTCGCCGCCGCTCGCGGCTCCCGCGCCGGCTCCTGCTGCCGCGCGCGAAAAGGGAGGGGTTGGGGGGAAACTCCCGGCAACTCCAACTCCGGGCGCTGGAGCTCCAGCTGCAGCCGCGCGCCCGCCCGCCGCCGAGTGCGAGCGCCTGCGAAGCAAACCTGCCCGCGCGGCCGCCTCTGAGCATGCTCAGTGCCGCCGTGGGCGAGCCCGAGCGCCCTGGCCCGGGGCAAAGAGCAGCGGCTAGGGGCTGGGGGCTGGGGGCCGGGACCCGCGACCCGCCCCAGGCCTCGGAGCGCGGAGGTGGCAGAGGAAGGGAAAGGCCAATGTAGGGGCGGGGGCCCTGAGCCAAAGACCCGGGAGAAACCGATCTGGGTGCAAGAGCCGGTGCGACTTTCACGGCTTGTGGGAAGTTTGTGGGCTAGAAAGGTGGGCTGCTTCTGTGAGCTTCTCTGTGAGACTATATTCGAAAGGACAACCAGGAAACATTTTTTTTTTTCTCTAGGAAAAAACGAATAGACCCAGCCGATGGGTTTTTATCCTGTGCGCTCCTTCCTTTATTCTTACGATAGCAAACTCAAAGATCTAATGGGGCCTGACAGGCACTGTAACTGGGGGAAGGCGAACTGGAGAGAGCTCCGAAGGCAGGGCCGCTTATCTGCTCTCAGGGTCCCTTGCTATCGGGCAAGAATTAGACCTAGTGTTGCTAGATTTTCTGATTTTTCCAGAAATGACGGAGTATATTCATGTACAATATCCTGATTTGTAAAATCTTGATAACAAATTCAATTTTCTCAAAACACCCTGGACTAAACAAAACATATCTGCGTCCCCTCCCTGCTGAACCCCCCAGACAGTGATTTGAGCATTGTGATTCTGCACTCTTTTAGCGAAGTGGTGCTGAGTGCTCACTGTGGTTTGGGAAAGTGCTGGAAAGGATCCAAGATGATTCAGAATATCTTCGAAGTACTACTAGTTACTAGGGGAAATGGGTTTTCCTGACAGTAGAGCGCTACACTTAAATGCTGGAGCGTTCAAGAAGAAAGACGTTACTAATGTAGAAAGCGGTTGTAAGAACTAACTTTTGGGAAACATCATTAGTAAAAGTATCTGTGTGGGGAGTCACTGCAGGGCCGATAACAGTGCCCCGGAAGGCACTTTTGAGCCTGAAGCAATAGGAAAAACCCCTAAACTTACCCTGTCTTTATTTAAAATTTTGTTATTTTTCATCATGCATTTTTGATATTAATTTTGATTTTTTTAAATATTCCATTAAAATATTAACCTTGATTACTGAATTCTTTGGTGAACCTTTAAGTGCTGTGACTCACCTCACCCTAGCCTGGCCCTGTTGGGGTGTTAGATGGTGGTACACAGACCTGCTTGTTTGGAGTGCAAGGGGTAAGCATTAGCATAGTGAAATAGGAAAGAGGGTTTGAGCTGTGGATGGGGGCTCAGGCAGAAGTCCTGACTGTCAGTCTGTGGCTCCTGCACTTAGTTTGTAGACTACGTGGAGATAGCAGAGATGCTGGGGGAGGAGACAATCCGAACTGAATTCTGTGAAGATGGACAGGGCAGCAGACCCAGGAAGATGGTTTGGAGGGGAAGAATGGGAGAAACGGGGATACCTAGGATATCATAAAACTGATACCCTAGGTATCCCCATTTGGTAGCTACAGTTTTATGAAAATCAGAGAAAATTGCCTGAAAAAGTAAGTTTCTTTTGCTCTGCCTATCTCTGTAGAGACATGTCATGGGGCTACCTTAGTGCCAATGAGTAGTGTGCCGGGGTCCTGGTCTTAACCTCAGCCATTTCCCTACCAGGCTTCCATGGGCAAGTGGCTCAACCTCTAAGCTTCACTTTCCTCATCTGTGGAAGGGAAAACAATTCTCATGGCGTTTTTGTGAGAATCCAAAGAAATGTATGTCTAAGGGCTTTGAAAATGTTGAGAGTTCTTACCTACAAGTCATCTATGTAAAATTTGAATTGAAATAAGGGCCTTTTTGCTTGACAAAAGCTCTAAGTAGCAAGCTTCTTTAATTTAGCAAGCCTTTCTAATGTGTTGGGATGATATTTACAAAACTTTGGAATCAGCTTTTGGGTAACTCAATAATTTTGTGAAGTAAGATACTACTGTACTAGCTTCTATTGCCAGTCATCTCCCTCTACTACCTTCCTTTTTTATCTTCACTTGCCTCTTTTTGTTCTCAATATTGCAGATCTAGTCAAGAGGACTCTCTCCCTCTGTACAAAGTGTTCTCTAACTCATGTACCGGTCATCACGGTAGTGTCTGCCTCAAACACCTGGGACCTACCTTAGTGTGGGAGGTGATTCTCCCTGCAGGTAACCTAATTTGTTGCTGCATTCATGGAGAACAAACCACTGCTTATCTATGGGAAGCATTTTAAGCATGCAGACCTCTCAAAGAAAACAAAAACAAAAACAAAAACAAAAAAGACCGTGGATGTTTAAACAAGAAGCCTTCCAGAAGTCATGTAAAGGAGGAAGTACCTAGCCCAGGATCTGTCACATAACAAGTAGTTACAAATATTTGCAGAATAAATAGCAATTTCCATCGTCAAAGTCTTCTGCATCTGTTTCACCTCCCACAGTGCCTAGGATTTTTTTTTTTTTTTAATCACAATAATGGTAAGGTCATAAAGAAGAACAAGAAGAACAGGAACTAAACATTTATGCAGGGAGAGGTTCTGTACTTTAACAAGTGAAATGCTTTGCTTACATTTTAAATTGTATTTTTAATTCTTGTTAGCAAATAATACATGGTATTTAAAAAAAGTTCAGTGCACAAAAGCTCAGTACAAGGAAAAGCAAGTTTCCCTTCTCAAGAAAGACTAATGTTGCCTGTTTCTTGCATATAGTTATAGAAATACCCTATGCACGTGAGAGCAAGCATAGTCATTTTCTTTTCCATAAAATCTAATCACAAAATGATAGAACTGAAAAAGACCTTATGGTTCATCTAGATGTTAAGTTAGAGGCTTTTAAATTGCTATTCTGGGAAAGAAAAGGAAAACCTAAAAGCGATCTTCCCTGTTTCATAAGTAAGCTCATGATTGTAAGGATGCCAGATCACGTGGCAAAACCCTCCATGTGAACATTAATCACATTAAGTGATACAAGGGAAAACTGAGTTCACCTAAAGTTGCCCTGAAACCCATAATGCCCACTGTCGACCTCAACCTAAAACACCCATGGATATAGATGTCTTAGGTTCCCTACGGCTGTTGAAGGAAGTGCTGTCTAAATAACAAATGGAATAAATTGACATGGACACAGAGGGCTTGATCTGGAATTGGGTATTATAATGTGACTATTTTGAACAGCATCTCTTATGCATCATCAATCACAGTATGTCTTCAAGACTAGTAAAGTCTATATTTAAAATTTTTTTTTCTGCTACATGGTGTAGCAAGTAGCTTTTCAAATTCTTCATTCTGATGATGTAATTTCAGATAAGACATTTAGGAAGTCATCAGCTTATTAACTTTTGGGTTGAACCATATGAAACTGCCATTTTTGTTGGTCATAGTTTCTAAAATATTGGAAATTTCAAATGTTCCATCTTCATTATATTCCTCAAAGTTAGTCCTTGTTCTAGAGCTGTAAGAGGACTTCCTTTAAGTTTTTTAGAATATCACATTTTCCTGCAAGAGCTATGTCACTAAGCTAGTTCCAAAAAACCTATTTAATGTTTGTGGTTTGTAATGGTACCAGATTCACATCTGGTCCTAGGAACTGAGCCTATTCTGTTCAACAGGGTCAAGAAAAAGAAATAAATTTCTCTTCCTCTTTTGAGGGGTATAGCACCGGCCTTTCTGGGCCTTGAAATAGGTGAAAATAATAATTATTTTCCTTTCTGCTCTTTTTGCACCTTACTTCTCCAATATTCTCCTGAAATCCTTTTTCCTGTACCTATTGTCCTCATTCTGTCTGGCCTTTTTCTATCTCAATCAGCTTGTCTTTGCTCTTTATTCTTAACAATCAGCATTCATTTAGTATGCTGCAAGTTGGAACTAAGTAAAATAACTTGATTAAATGAATTCACAGTCGTGTGCAAGACTATCTGCCGTTCCAAAGACATATGCAATTTTAAGAGTATCTTGTAGTTGCAAATGAACATTTCCATAAGAAAATTTTGGAGTTTGAAAAATGACTAGAGAAAGAATCCTGGTAGTGAGGGGCAGAAATAATATATTGAGGAGCAGGAACATTTGGTTCAGTTCCCCATTTTTATACATTTTGTAATTTCTTCTCACCCTTTTACTTTAAAAATATGGATTCTTTTAAAGTTTAGGATTTCATTTTGACTTTCACAATGGCTGTCTTGCCAGTAGCAGTGAGCACCTCCAGACTAGGGAGAGGTCTGCGCCTACTGTATGTATGTGCCATTTGTAAATTGGGAATGAAATGTGTCGCTTCTGGTAACATCGGTATGATGGGATCTGGGAGACCTTCGGAATTCAGATGGGCTTATGGAGCTTATATTTGGGACCCTATTCTGTTTCCTATACAATTACCCTTGGTCTGTGGTTTTATCCTTTAAGGGTTCTAGCTGTCTATAACTGGAGTCCACCTTCTTTTTTGACTGAGGTGACATGGTCCACATTTTATCTCTAATTTACTAAACATATAGTTCCTTCTCTGCTCTGCTTTTAAGAGTCAAGATAAATATTGACTGCTGATATCAAATTTGGTGAGCTTTGGCCCACTATCATTCACTATAAGATGGAACATTTCTGAGATATGTGGCAAACTGTGGTTCTCATTTCTTCCTTCTCACCTTTATCGGTTTTCCACTGTTCTCCAAGCTTCTTTCCAGTTTTCTAATTATATTACTTTATTCCTGAAACTGCATCAGCTTTCATATGCCAGTGTTTATAAGTAAGACATAGATTAGAAGGAGAGATAGTTCTTTGGAAAAAAACAAAAGAAAGCAGTTTTTTCTTGCAAAAGATGTGGTTACATCCTGAACTTGGTTGCTCTGTAATCATTTTATATTTCTTAGCAACACCCTTTCAATCAGATTATTAGTTCCTTGAGTGCCGAGAACAAGTCTTAAGGATCTTTGATTACCTCACCAAACACCTAGCACAGAGGAAAGAGACAATCAACAAATAACAGTTACAACTTGTTATCATTCAGGTGAGTCACTGGGGACAGGAGACAAATAGTTCATTTTAGAGATAAGGAATCTGATATTTAGAACACACATATAAATGTAAAATTGCATCTGTGATAAGTTACACAATCAAAAGGTACATTGCGTTATTAAAAGTGCGTAGTAAGGTTGGGCGCAGTGGTTCACGCCTATAATCCCAGCACTTTGGGAGGCCAAGGTGGGTGGATCACCTGAAGTCAGGAGTTCAAGACCAGCCCGAGCAACATGGTGAAACCCCATCTCTACTAAAAATACAAAAATTAGCTGGGTGTGGTGGTACAGGCTTGTAATACCAGCTACTTGGGAGGCTGAGGCAGGTGAATCACTTGAACCTGGGAGGCGGAGGTTGCAGTGAGCCGAGATCGTGCCACTGTACTCCATTCTGGGTGATAGAGTGAGACTCTGTCAAAAAAAAAAAAGTGTGTAGTAGAAACAGTGAACAGAACAAAGGAAAAGAAGACTGTTTTGAAGAAATGATTAAGCTAAGGTCTGCAGGATAAATCTGAAGTAGTTAAATAGGCAAAAAAAAAAAAAAAAGCAAAGAGAATTTCAGGCAGAGAAAATAGCATATACAAAGGCACTATGGTGGGAGGATGTATGTAAAGGTTGGAAGGAATCTTAAAGGTCTTTAAGTTTGACCTGTTGCCAATCCCACAGACTTTTCTATGTAACCCAACATCTAATAAGGACAGCTGCCACAAAAAGCAAACTGTCCTCAGCAAGAGACACCAAGAAATCTGGTATTAGGAGGCACCATGCCGTGGTAAAAAGTGTATGGATTTTATATTGGACAAATGTGGGTTTGAAATTCTGTTCCAACTCCTTGCTTTATGATCTTCTACAACTTTTCTGTCAGCTGTCTTATCTCTAAAATAGGCATATTAAGATCTATTTATAGTTGTAATTGGAGGATTAAAAGGGAGCACATATGTAATATGCTTAGAACAGTATCTGGCCCACGGCAAATGCTGAATAAATATTGCACTTTCATCCCATGACCACTCATCTTGGTAACTTCAAGAAAAATGGAAGGGGGAAACCCAGAGTGTGTTTTGAATTTCCAGTCTGAGCTGTTTCTTAGAAGCCTTGCCTTTGCCACAGGCAATCCTATTTTACTCTACAGATGGAATATAGCATTTCTTTTTTCACACACAGAAAATGTTATATACATAGAAAGTGCTTTTAAAAAATTTCTACCTTCTCTTGTCCAGATGTCCTAGTGTTTCCACCTATTACTGTATTTCCAAATACAAGCTCAAAAAGAGTAGACTAATAGTTTAGAGATTTCATTATTTACGTTTATGAAGTTATGACTCAAGATGTGACTAGTTCTGGATTGTGGTCATAAATAGTTACATATGGCTCTTCTTCCCTTATTTCTAGAATTGCTTGAATTAGAAGTGTTACAGAATAATATCCAGCAGAAAAATAAAAACATACAAAGGCTGTTTTAACCACCCTCTGCAGCAGCAAGGCCTCTATCTTAATGCAGACATGGTTTGTTGTATTAAGTTTGGAGTTTAGTAGACTGAACCATCCTAATTACTGCTTCCTTTATTTCAGCAATATTTTTGAAAGACCTATTTTTGGGTTAAAATTACTCTGTCTCCACCAAGAGCCAGAAGAACTGCTAGACTTTGAGCTAACAAAGAATCCCTTATTCTGCTAGGACACAAGTGAGTCAGTGACCACACAGAGTTTCTGTGCTGTTGGTTTGGAGATGATGGAACGATGCAGTCCACCTGCAGTCTGAGATGGAGAGGTCTTCTATATTACAAATGCAGGGCAGCTCCTTCTCTTCTGTTTATTAGGGTCCCTGACCCCTGCCAAAAGTCTAACAATGAGAGAAGCACTGCTGCTCTGTCCTCAGAAGCTTTCCAGGCCCCATGGACCTGCACAGCCAGATGTGTGGCCCTATAATTTCCCACTGCATCTGCCCCATCTTGGAAACATAAGGCCTAGAATGTTGTTATTCAAAGTGCACTTCTTGGACTGGCAGCTTCAGCATCATCCTGGGAGCTTGTAGAAATGCAGACTCTCCCGCCTAGCCCAGACCTGGTAGATCAGAATCTGCACTTTAACAAGATCTCCAGGTAATTCATTTACATATTAAAGTTTAAGAAGCACTGCCCTCGCTAGGATACCCAGCCAGAAAGACTGGAGAAAAACAAAAAGCACTTCAAAAATGAAATCAATTTTCTTTGCCCTGATGCCCTTTCTTACTCCAATTTCCAGGCCCCATCTCTGTGTAGCTAAATCCTCCCCTTTTTTTGAGCTGCCTGAAATGCCTCTTCTGCGGAAATCTTCACTGATAGAGTCAGCCGGAGGCATCTCCCACTCATTTACCTGTATATTTTTCCTTTGGTTCTTACCATGGTTTGCTTCTTACACTGTACAAGTATCTATTTATGGGTCTAATCTGTCTTGCTTGAGGCCTTGCTGGAACCTTCTTTATACTCTCTACAGTGTCTAGCAGGGCAGTCCCAGAAAAACAAACAAACAAACAAACAAAAACTTATTTATTTATTGAAAGGAAGGAAAGAAGAGAGGAGAGAAAGAGCTCAATTAGTGTAGTAAATAGCTCTAGAAAATTGAGTTCAGCCCTGGGGGTGGACTTGAGCCTGTTTGATACAGGAACCCAGGAACCATGTTATATCCATCCCAGAAGAGCCCCCATTAACTGTGGGCATGGAACTATCCCAGTTTTGCAGGAGCTACTGGCCTGGATCAGATCCGAATTCACCTCATCACAACACTCCCCAACCAGACCTGGCCAAAATCAGCCTACCCTCTCTTTCTGGAAGTAGAATAAAACTTCTGTTTGCTAGGGCCTTGACCTCTGGCTTTAAGCATGCTGTGGACTCTCAAAGGATTACCCTCTTTCCCTACTTTTTGTCTCATGTCTATTCCCACCTAAGAGTTAATATATTAGTTTATTTCTTTAAAAAACGTATTTTGGGAAAGCTTTTTCAGTTTCTGGCATCTTTTGTTTATAAAGAAACCTTTTTGAAAAATATTTAGTTTTTATAATTCAAGTTTTGTAATGCCTCATTGAGTAAAGGCAATGAGTTTCTGGCTGCAACTTACAAGTTAAAAGAACAAGTCATGGCTGGGCATGATGGCTCATGCCTGTAATCCCAGCATTTTGGGAGGCCAAGGAAGCAGGATTGCTTGAACCCAGGAGTTGGAGACCAGCCTGGGCAACAGAATGAGACCTCATCTCTACAAAAAAATTAAAAAAAAAAATTTGCTAGGCATGGTGTTGTGTGCCTGTAGTCCCAGATACTTGGGAGGCTGAGGCTGGAGGTTTGCTTGAGCCTGGGAGGTTGAGGCTGTGGTGAGCCATGATCACAGCCACGATCACACCACTGCACTGTAGCCTAGGTGACAAAGAAAGACCATGTCACAAAAAAAAGGAAAGGAAAAGAACAAGTCATTTCATCACTTTTAATTGATAGCAGACTCAATTAAAAACTTTGATCTAGATTAGACATACGGTGCCATATTTACGATAAATCTATCTTCCCAACAGATATCCCAGTGTCACTATAATTTTATCACACATAAAGTATAATGGGCAATGCTCCTAGGACTTACAAGAACTTAGACTTCACTAGTGTTGATACAGTTGCAATTCATACAATTAGTATGACCCACATGGACAGATTTGTGGCAGGACCTGCAGTTCACATAGAGTAGGCATATTTTCTTTGATAAGCGTTTAAAAAGTATGACCAGTTTATCCGAGATGAGTCATTTGGGGGTAATGTAATTTTTTATACTTTCGAAGAAAAATTGGTGATCTTCATCTTATGTGAAAAAAATATTCAGAAGCTGTGATCCTGTGAGTCTCACCTCTGTAAGTTTTCCTCAAGGAGATACTTAAAAAAAAAAGAAACAGCTCTATTATAACAAAGTTATAACAGCAAAAATGGGTAACAAGAAAATGGAGAAATAAGTACATTTTATCATATTTATTTGATGGAATATTATGTATCTTTTATAGATAGTAAATGGGATAACTTACTAGAGCATTTATAAAACCAGCTCAACTGAAAATATTCAGAACATAAAATCATATAAAAGTATTATTGCAACGAATCACATACCTAATATTAAAAATTTCTCTAGGTCAGGCACTGTGCTAAACACTGGGGATACAGCATGAAAAACATGAATATGATTCCCAACATAGACCTCACAGTCTGATGCAGGAGAAAGATATTAAGCAAGTAAACATATAGTTACAACCCATAACTCATGCTGTGAAGTAAGAGTATATTAATATATAACAGGGGGACCTAAGCTGGTTGCAGTGTGGTGGGGGCTGTTCATCAAGGCACCCTCTGAGGAGGTGATGGAAGAATCACAGTTAACCAAGAAGGGACTAGTGGAAGACTGTCCTAGGTGGAAACACTAGGAACAGAAACCCCAAAGTGGGAAAGGGTCAATGCTACCTCTTTTACAGGAGGGTTTGATATTTCCTCTTTTACAGGAGAAAAAGAAGGACCAGACTGATTGGAACATAATGAGTAAGAGAAGAAAGGTAAAACTGAGGGACCAGGTCATGCAGTGCCTTCAGGATTTATCTTTCTAACCTGCAGGGAAGCCACTGAAGCTTTTCAAGCAGAAGAGTGGCAGGGATGCATTTACATCATAAAACCACTCTTGTGCTATATGGTTAAATGGATTGAAACAAATGAAGAGTAGAAAAAGGGATGCTGGGCATGATGGCTTATGCCTGTCATTCCAGCACTTTGGGAGGCCGAGGCAGGAGGATTACTTGAGCCCAGGCATTCAAGACCAGCCTAGGCAACATAGTGAGACGTCATTGCTACAAAAAATAAAAATAAAAAATTAGCCAGGTGTGGTGGCCCCTGCCTGTAGTCCTCAGCTACTCAAGAGGCTGAGGCAGAAGGATTGCTTGAGCCCAGGATGTTGAGGCTAGAGTGAGCCATAATTGCACCACTGCACTCCAGCCTGACTCAGAAAAAGTAGATGAAGGGTGGTTTACTGCTTGGATTGCAGTAATCCAAGCAAGAGAGATGACTGTGGTTTAGACTAGATATGAAACTGTTAAATGAAGAAAAGTAGTCAGATTAAGCTATATTCTAGAGGTAGGAAAAACAAATTTTACTAATGGATTGGGAATAGGGATGAAAACATTAACTATAGTCTTCATATTACTTCCTTAATCCACTGGATAGATGATGATGCCATTCATTTATTTTTTATGCTTGAAAATTTAGGAAGGAAACTGAAAAATCCATTTTGGACAAGAAGTTGAGATCTTGTCAGAAAGCTAAATGGAAGGGTCAAATAGATAGTTTAAAATACATGTGTGGAACTCAGAAAATAGATGTTTGGAAATTATATATTTGTGAGCAATTAGAATTTAGATGGTATTTAGTGCTATAGTATAGAATGATTGTAGAATGACTAGGAAAAAAGCCCATGTTTAGCCACAAGGAACTATACAGAATTAGAAGGTCTTGATGAGGAGGTAGAGCTGTCAAAGGTGACTTGCACATTGGAAAAGTGTTGAGTAATTCTAGAGCAAGGAAAATCGTATTTCAAGATGGAAGGTGTGGTCAACTGTGTTGAATACTGTTGAGAGGTCAGGCAAGATGATGTGCTTCTATGGATAAGAAACAGTTGTTTTATTAAAGTGGTGGTTTTAAAAGTATTTTTATAAGTTTAAACTTTAATCATATCTGATTCATTTAATAGCTCAATTTCATCAGGATATATTTATTTGATCACCAAATTCTTTGTGATAATTATTACTTTTGCATCTCTTTATTTTCATTTTATATATTAGTTAACTCTCTTCAATTTAGGATTAAATCTTTGAAAGTTTTAAACCTAGCCGGACATGGTGGCTCATACCTGTAATCCCAGCACTTTGGAAGGCTGAGGCAGGAGGATCACTTGAGAAGTTAGGTTAGAGATCAGCCTGGGCAAAAAAAAAAAAACAAAAAAACTTAAAAAAAAAGTTTTAAACCTGCCCAGCTGTCCAGCCTAGTAACACACTTTCTAAATGCACAAAGTCCCTATTTTTGCAATAGGCAGCATATAGAATATACAGTTTGCTACATGTACAAGAATTTGAATAATCTATAACAAATGATCTATTTCTTTTATTATTTATTGAATTTCACCAAAAGTGCTCCTTTCCCTAAAAATGATAAAAACTACCTTATTCAGATAAATTCTGATCTCAGTTTGACAGATATGCATTAGGCAAAGATGACTGAAAGTATCAGAATAAGATGGTTTTTTTCTTTCTTTCTTTCTTTCTTTCTTTCTTTCTTTCTTCTTTCTTTCTTCTTTCTTTCTTTTTCTTTTTTTTTCATTCTGATATTCTGACATTCAGGAACTGAAGAAAGGACTTGAGATGATTTGGCCAGGAAGGACAGGAACTGTTGTTTTCCCAGCTTGGGGAGTGGGAAGGGTGGGATAGGGGAAACTCTCTAACCCTTCACCTCCAACCTGCCACTTATACCTTGACTATTCACTTTTTTCAACATGACTCAGAGTGTCACCACCCTGTGGTACTCATGAATAAAGAAAAAGAAAGAGGAAGGAGCCCTCAAAAGGACTGGCCTTAACAAAATTGGCAAGACTGCATTCACTTTCCCTAACTCTGCACCTTAGGTTTTAATTATGTTGTTATAAAGCATTCTCTCCTCATGCACAAATTCTTCTTGGCAAGAAATCAAATTTATGCAGATTATCTTCTGTATAACTACAACTGTGTTATGTTTACCAGAATCAGCCCAAAGTCACTGCTGTGATGAATGTCTCATGAAACAAAATAGATCTCCTTGTTACTCATTTCATTTTTTTCTCTTTTCTCTTATCTGTGTCACTGGGCATATTCAAATAGGTGTCAAGAAAATATGTTATCCTTTCCCTTTGTGTAATGTATGATGCAATATAACCTATATGCCACTGGGGATAAAGGAGTAAATGGGAATATCGGTGACCCCTGGCAACTGGATGGAGGAGAGTGAGCAGACGTGTATTTAAAGGCTTTGCCTGGCTGGTGCCAGTATGCCAGAGGAAGAGTACTCAGGGACGGTTGATTGCATTTTTTCCAGTGACATTCTTAATTTTCACCTGGAAAGAATTAAATATGGTCATGTTTAACTTATGTTTCTTTCTTTCAGCTACAACAGGAGCCCTTCAAGGTCACAAAGGAAAAATCCCGCTCTATGACCACCATCTCATTTACCTTAAACTAGCTACTCTTTGGGAGAATGATTCAACTGATTTTGACTGTTCTCAGGGGTAGACTTGTGAAGTTGTCCAGTGATGTTGAGAACATATACTTTTCATCCTATCAAAAGCTATTTTCTTAAGTCAATTCAGGCTTCTATAACAAAGTACCATACACTGGGTGGCTTATAAACAACAGAAACTTACTTCTCACAGTTTTGGAGGCTGGAAGTCAAAGATCAGGGAACCAGCTTGGTTGGGTTCTGTGAGGGCCCTCTTCAGGGTTGTAAACTGTCTTCTCATTGTATTCACATGATAGAAAGAGGGTGAGGAGAGCTCTCTGGGATCCCTTTTATAAGGGCACCAATCCCATATATGAGGGCTTCCTCACTTATGAACTAATTACCTACCAAAGGCTATACCTCTTAATTCTATCATATTGGAGGTTAGGGTTTCAACACATGAATTTTGGGGAGACAGAAACATTCAGCCCATAATAGTCATATGGGTCCACAGAGAGTGTCTGTTACCATAGTGTAGCGGCCCTATATATGGACAAATGAAGATTACTTGAAGACTTAGTGAATAAAATGAGAGGGAAAGTAGAGGGGTAATTAAGGCAAAAACAGAACGTGGAAATGCTCACCCAAGAACTGGCTTAAGGTTTCTCTCAATGCCAAAATTAAAGTCTCCTTTCACATGGTTTTCCATGCAATGACTTGTAGGTTACTTCCCGCTCATGGATTCATTTACTGTGATAATTAGGATAATCATTTATCCAATATCCAATCACTTTCCCTTCCCTAGGAACAGAATATACTTCCCTGACCCACTGACTTTAAGCTTGGCCATGTGACTTACTTTGGCCAATGGAAGCGAGGAGAAGTTATACATGTATTTGGGTAATTTGGCTTAATTTTTGTACTCCAGGGATATGGCATGAGAAGAGCATGCCCAGATAGCTGCTGCTGCTTCACCCAGGATTCTAGAAGAAACACAAATGGAGCAGACCAGAACCCCATCCAAAGCCTGAAGCCAAGTTCAGCCATCCTGAATCCGGAAGCATGACTTCCCAACCAAACCAACCTAGAGCAGCTAAGCCGTAGTCACCTGCAGATCCATGAGCATTTACTGTTTGTGTAGCCCTAAAAAGTGGGCACACCAAAACCACTTAGTCATGTTATTTAGCTTAAAATGCACTGGGATGTTATGGTCTGAATGTTTGTGTGCACAAAATCCATATGTTGAAATCCCGACCTCTAAGGTAATGATATTAGGAAAGGGTCCTATTGGGAAATGATTAAGTCTTGAGGGCAGGGCCCTCATGCATGCAATTAGTGTCCTTATAAAACTGGACCAAGGAAGCTCATTCTGTCCTTCTAACGTGTGAGGACATAGCCAGAAAATGCCATCTATAACCCAGGAAACAGCCCCTTACCAGACACTAAATCTGCCCACACCTTGATCTTGAATTTCCCAGCCTCCAGAACTTAAGGAATAAATTTCTGTCATTTATAAGCTGCCTAGCTTATGATATTTTGCTGTAACAACCCAAATGGACTAAGGCATGGGCTCACTATATAGCTCTTATGAAATAAAGCATTAAAATACATTGAATTTAAAAATAAATAAAATGAAGACATTCAAAATTAATCAAGTCATTTCATTTTCAAATATTTTAGCAGGAGTTTTCCCAAAACAAATGTTCTGAAATAAGGCAAGGTGGTATGAGTAGCAACAGGACTGCAATGTACTATTGTTTGGAAATAATTCTCTATTCTATCCATCCATCTACCTGCATTTATTATTTTTCCAGCTTATATAGTCCTCTGGGAACAACGTGGTGGGTTTTAGGTAATTTGAATAAGAATTTAGAATTAGAAAAAAATTATTTGAAATTTCTGCATTCAAATTATGTGAGAAATCCATCATCATTATTAGGAAAATATAGATAAGCAAGAAGGAAGAAAACTCCATAAATGTACCACCTACAGATAGTCTTTCTTTATCTTTTCAAAACTTCAGTTATATATGTAATTACAATGGACTCAGACTGTGCATACTGCCTGTAAACTGTTTTTATCATTATGTTGTCATCTGTCTGCCTGACAATAATATAGAGCTATATAATTGTTTTTACTGGCTATATGGTATTTCATAACCTAGCTTTGAATGTTAGGTTGTTTCTAGGTTTATTTGGGGTTCATTTTTCATTATAGATAACACTTAAAGGAACATTATTATTTATACATTTATTTCACTTTTTCCAAGTATTTCCATAGAATATATTAAGTGATATTGCTAATGCAAAGGGTATGCACATGTTTGAGACCCTTGTCAAGGTAAGCCCAGAAAGATGGAATCTGTTTACATCCTCTCTAGCCATGTGATTCTACCACACCTTCCAATCCACACTCAGTTTTGCTTTTTGAAAGATTTCCCCACCCTCACTGTTTTCTTTTCTTTTCTTTCTCTCTCTCTTTCTTTCTTTTCTTTCTCTTTCTTTCTTTCTTTCTTTCTTTCTTTCTTTCTTTCTTTCTTTCATTTCTTTCCCTCCCTCCCTCCCTCTCTCTCTCTTTCTCTCCTTCTCTTTCTTTCTTTCTTTCTTTCTTTTTTTTCTTTCTTTCTTTGACAGGGTCTCACTCTGTTGACCTCGGCTCAGTGCAACCTCCACCTCCCAGGCTCAAGTGACTCTCCCACCTCAGCCTCCTGAGTAGCTGGGACTACAGGTGAGCACCACCACACCTGGATAATTTTTCTGTTTTTCTGTAAAGATGGTGTTTCACCATGTTGTCCAGGCTGGTCTTGAACTTCTGAGCTCAAGCGATCCACCCATCTTGGCCTGCCAAAGTGCTGGGATTGCAGGCATGAGCCACCACACCCAGCCTGCTTTCTTTTGTGTATCTAATATTGTCTCTTCCTCCATTTAGAGCAATCAAAAAATTCCCTCATTACATTTTTCCTGTGATATACAAAGAAACAAAATATGACTTAAGGAATGTCTTGTTTGTTTGTTTGTTTTTTTGAGACAGAGTCTCTATGTCACCCAGGCTGGAGTGCGGTGGCAGGATCTTGGCTCACTGCAATCTCTGCCTCTCAGATTGAAGCGATTCTTGTGCCTCAGACTCCCGAGTAGCTGGGATTACAGGCGCCCGCCATCACACCTGGCTAATTTTTATATTTTAGTAGAGACGGGGTTTCACCATGTTGACCAGGCTGGTCTTGAACTCCTGACCTCAAGTGATCCACCCGCTTTGGTCTCCCAAAGTGCTGGAATTACAGGTTTGAGCCACCACGCCCTGCCAAGAAATGTCTTGAATGGGATAGAATAAGTAAAAATAACCTTGACAATAACCGCGACAGCAAAGCAGCCTTTTTTCTTTGAAAAAAAGAATCCTCTTAATTTTGGTCTCAACATTGTTTGAAATAATATCTAATGAAATCATAACCCTTTACAATTTCATGATACTAAATAGGACTTATTGAAAATGAGTCATTTTGTACACATTGGGAGTTTTATGGTTAGTTTAATGTCACTGAATTTAATTAACTTAAATTGTCACTTGCACATAATTATACTTTGGTAAACCCACTTCAGAGAGCTCTTAGTACTGAACAAAAAATGTACAGCTCCTCTAAGTAACAGAATCTATTGAACTAATGTATTAGGTGCAGAAACTGAGGCATGAAGCAGGAGATCTTCCGCTGGCAGAAATAAAACATATAATAAAATTATAAAGGTATAGATGCTATCATGGAGGAAGAGAAAATTAGTGTGAAGGAATATTTTTATGAGCCAAACTCAGTCTTTTGTGACCATTAATAAATGAGATAACAAACCAGTGCCAGAATTTTAAATGGGGTTGTTGCTTAGAAGTGACAGCTGGTTTGGGAAACTTACCCCTGTGAATTCTCTAACTTCCAGAAATCACACAAGTACATAAAAAGGAAATCCTTCTTTACTAAATGGTTTTATTTTAAGAAGGCAAGGTCAGATACAATAGCATTTTGAATATTACAAAATAAGCTATTGTGGTGAAGAACTTATGAAAAATCTAACAGTTCTTCAAGAGTAATTCCTATGATGTCTCTTTCTTATCTTAACTGTTCATGTATATTGTGAGGGAAATTAGGAGGTTCTGATTACAAAATTAGACTTTAAAAGGCTTCCTTCAAATATATTTTTTGCACAGCTACTTTCTTATTTGTGGTTTCTTTAGATTTACATAAAAATGCATATTTCAAAGTATTTGACTGGCAAATTGGAAATCACATTTTTCTATACAATATTAAGCTTGGAAACAATATTATTTTAAAATAATTTACTCTTCAAGCAATAGATCCATCTTGGTCTTTTTATTTCTCTTTCATGATGTGTATTTTCTGAGACTGCCTTTTTATTCAAATTCAGCTCTACAGATATTTACTGAATAACCAACCAGTTGGCACAAGACTGTGCCAGAACTCAAAAGACTAGGAGAATTGAGACAGAAAGCAGATTAGTAGTTCCAGGGGCTGGGGAGAGGAAGAATAAGGAGTTATTGTTTAAGGGGTATGGTGTCTTCTTTTTGGATGATCAAAAAGGAACTACATAGCGGTGACAGTTATACTAAATGCTACTCTATTGTACACTTTAAAATAAGTAAAATGGTAATATTATATATTTTAGCACAACAAAAAAAATAGGCAGAAAAAAGAAAAGGAACTAGTAGTAGGGTCAATGAAAGAGAGGCATAGGTATTCTGCTTCAGAAGTTCGTTTAAGCAGAAAATACATTTAAATTATCCTTCCAATCTCACTGTTGAGTTTACGCAGCAACTGTGTCAAATCCTATTTAGTAAGTATTTATTGTTAGGGCAGTCATAGGCAGTTGTATTAAAAATTGCACTTGAATGCTGAAATGAACAATCTATGGCCCTTGCCTTCAAGTAGATTTCAATTCTATAGCGAATAAAAACAGCTATAAAAATGTATAATACCAGACAGAATATCATAAAGCTGTACTAGAGAGATGAACATAGTACTAAGAGAGTGAAGAGGATAATTAGATCAATTATTAGACAAAGTATCAGGGATAAGATAGCTTTGTGCTTGATCTTTAAGAATGGCTATGGTTTTGCCAATCTCATAAGATGGCAAAGGTCAGTCCAGGTGAAAACAGATGAGAAAAGGTGTGGAGCCAAGAAATGAAAGGTAATTACAGAGGACACAAACTATCCATGCTTTGCTGGCAGGCATGGTTTAGTAGGCCAAACAGTGAAAGTTAAGGTTGAAGAAGTATCAATGAATCATAGCATAGGATTGAAGACATTTAGAGTTTGAATGTGATGAAGTAATTTATTCCAACTCTCCACCTGCAAAATCGATCTTCCCTACAAGGTCTGACAAGTGGCCATTCAGCTGCCCTTGGAAATCCTCTAGTGACTCAGAAGTCACTGTCTTCTCAGGAAGCCTGGACTGCTGTCGGGTGACTGAAATTGTCAGAGTTCTTGTATTGATCAAAAACCTGCCTCCTAAGAACTAGCCATTTATTTTAGTTCTGCTTTCTGAAACCACACAAAATAAAATGAAATTTTTTTCATATCAGTTCTTCTAGTATTTGAGTCAGGAAATATAGTCTCCTTTCTTTCTTCTCTTTTCGAAATTAGATATTCCTGAGTCCTTCAATTGTTTCTCCTTTGGCATGCTTTTTAAGACTCCTGCAATTCTAGTGAATCTGTTCTCTGTACATTCCTTCATCCCTTTTCTCTTTTTCTCTTTTTGTGTTTTATTTTGAGACATGGTCTCACTCTGTTACCCAGGTTGGAGTGAAGTGGTGCGATCTCGGCTCACTTCAACCTCTGACTCCTGGGTTCAAGATATCCTCCCACCTCAGCCTCCCAAGTCGCTGGGACTATAGGCATGTGCCACCACACCCAGCTAATTTTTGCATTTTTTGTAGAGGTGAGGTCTCTCTATGTTGGCCAGGTTGGTCTCAAACTTCTTGGCTCAAGCGATCTGCCCACCGCAGCCTCCCAAAGTGCTGGGATTACAGGCATGAGTCATCACGTGCAGCCTGCATCCCTTTGCAATATATCAACCAGTGCTGAATTTATTTTTGTAGATCTATTCTGAGCAACATCACTTCTGCTTCTAATACAACCTAAGGTTGTAGTCAAATTTCTGGCAGGTACCTCACTGAGTTGACATATATTGAATTTAGAGTCAACTAACACCTGCCTAAAATTGTTTTTTTGTAAGTGCATATCAAGTTATTTCTCATCAAGCCAGTACTCAAGTGCTGGATTTCTAAATTTATCATTTAAAATTTCATTGTGTTAGATTTGACCCATAATTATATACTGTGAGAACTTTTAGGATCTTGTTTCTGTCAGCTGGTATATTAGCTACTCTACTACCTTCTTACCATTTAGTAATTTAGTAAGCATGCCATTGACGTTCATATTCAAGGCATTAACAAACTGTTTTAGAAATAAATGTAGGTGATAGAATTCTAAACAAACTACTGAATGTTTCCTTCCAGGTGACTTTTTTTTTTTTTAAGAGACAGAGTCTTGCTGTGTCACCCAGGCTGGAGTGCCTGGATTATTGCTTACTGTAACCTTGAATTTCTGGGCTCAAGTGTGCCACCATGCCCACCTAAGTTTTTTTTTTATTTGCTATTTTGTAGAAATAAGGTCTCGCTATGTTGCCTAGGCTGGTCTTGAACTCCTGGTCTCAAAAGAGGGTCCTGACTTGGTTTTCCAAAGCTTTGGGATTACAGGCCTGAGCCACAGAGCCTGACCCCAGGTCAACTTTGAATTTGTCATTAATTGGTCATCTCTGAAAATGATCATTGAACTAATTACGAGCTCACTCAATTATTGTTTTCATTTTCATTGGCCAATATTTTATTATGAAGCATATTTTCAAGTGTATAGCTAAAATTAACATAGTGGGTTGGAGCTTAGGCTTCAGAGTTAAGATTTGGGGACTGGCATTTAGCACAGCCAGCTGCCAGTCATGATCTTGAGCAAATTACTTACCTTCTCTGTGCTTCACTTTCCTCACCCTTAAAAGGTATGTAAAAATACTACCTACTTTAGAAGGTTGTTTTTGGGGTTAAATAAGCTATTACCTAGCAATAGTAAAAATAAGAAAGCGTTAATGATTACTATTATTATGGTAGGTTTTCTTTTCTTTTTTCTTTCTTTTTTTTCTTTTTCTTATTTTTTTTTGAGACAGGGTCTCCGTCTGTCATGCAGGCTGGAGTGCAGTGGCACAAATTCGGCTCAATGTAGCCTTGACCTTCCAGGATCAAGCTATCCTCCCACCTCACCTTCCCAAAGTACTGTGATTACAGGCATGAGCCACTATGCCTGGCTTATGGTAACTTAAAAATTACCATATGTCCATAGGTTATTTGATACTCTTTCTTTTAAGGGATGGTGCCTTATATCTCTCTCACTGAGTGTCGGCTGGGCTTAGTGACTTGACGACTTCTAACAAGTAGACTCTGGCATTGTTTTTCTACAAAAAAGCATTGCGGTTACCTCCTTGCTGTCTCACTCTGGGGGGAGATAGCTGCCATGTCATGAAGCTTGTGTTAGTTTTCTATTTCTGTGTAGCCATTTGCCACACATTTAGCAGCTTAAAACAGCACCCATCTGTTAGCCCCCAGTTCTGTGGGTCGGAATTCCAGCACAGCACTGCTAGGTTCTCAGGGTATCACATGGCTGAAACCGCAGTGTCAGGCAGGCTGAGCTCTCATCTGGAGTCTGGGGGTGGAAATCAGCTTTCATACTCGTTCTTATTGTTGGCGGAATTCATTTCTTTGCAGCTATAAGTCTGAGGTCCCCGTTTCCTTGCTGGCTGTCAGCTGGGCCACTCTCAGTCCTCAGAGGCAGCCCATATACCTCGCCGTGTGGCCTTCTCCATCTTCAAGTAGTCAGCATCAGCGCATTGAATCCTTTTGATGCTTTGAATCTCTGACTTGCCTGTGTACTAGTCACTAGAGGAGACTCTCAGTCTGTAAAGGGCTTGTTTGACTACATGAGGCCCACGTGGATGGTCTCCCTATCCTAAGGTAACTGAGTTGGGACCTTAATTGCTTCTATGAAATCCCTTCACAGGCAGTGCCTAGATTATTGTTTGACTGAATAACTGGAAAAAGGTGTGTGTGCACCAGGAGCCAGGACTCTTAGGGCCATGTTAGAATTCTCTCTGTCGTAGTTACTGATTGGCAGAGCTGGTTTTCAAAGCCAGATAGTCAGGCTTCAGAGTCCATGCACTTAACCAGTATGTTAAACTGCCCCATTATATTCATCGGCTGTGGCCATATTGTGGAGAGAATGGCATACCAAAAGTCATTGAAACTAATTTCTGTATACCTGTATAATAAAAAACACACACATATGTAGATATGTATATACATTTTATGTATATGTATATAATCTTCTGTTAGCTGTCAAATGTTTTTGAACAAGGACACTATATGTTTAGAAAATGCTTGCGGAAGGTTACTTGAGCAAATGGAATCCACAGAGAAAAGCTGGAAGCAGGGAGTATTTGGGTTGCTATTTGACAGCCCAGGGTGGATGTAATTATTGCCTCCAAATTCTTGAGGTGATGGTATGACTGTATAGAGAGACTGAATGGGAAAATCACTGATGGAATAGAATCTACTGAATTTAGCAAGTTGATTTGCTGTCAGATGTTGATGGAAAGTAATGAGACTTTAGAGGTCAAGATATATAAATGTGGGGTACATAGAGATGTACATCAGGGAGTTATTCAATGGTAGTAATTGCTCAAGTAGTGTGTGGATGACATCCCATGGAAGAGTGTAAGGAAGAAAAATAGAGCTGAAAGAAGAATGTCAAGGGACACTTAAATTTAGAAGTGTAGTAAATGTAAAGTCACAGAGAGAGACAGAAATGGAGCATTTTACACAGTAGAAGAGTAAGAAGAGTTAAGTAGAAGAAAAGAGTTTCAAGAAGGAAGGGGGTAAGTCATATCAATTTATGCCCTATCTTAAGGTTACAGAGGGCACGGGTTAAGAAGTTAAATTACAATAAATTTTGAAGTATATTGTAAAAAAAATGGAGGTAGGCGGTATATTTCTAAGTTCAGCAATCTGGGAGAGCTGACACAGAAAATAAATCTCTTAAAGATAAGGAGGATGACCTGGTCTTCAAAAACCATTCCAATTCTAATGTTTTTCCTCTTGTGAATTAGAGACTACTGGGAGATTTCAAAGATGCCTTGTTAAATATTTCTTTCAATGGAGGTTGCTCATTTAATTCATTGAAAAAATTGTGCTTCATCTTAAGTTTTCCTGAATTTAAAATCCTGGACACATGATTTGGGCATTGGTTATTCACTGTGATCAAAGCCACCTTGAGGCCGTTCTTCTGGCATTAGAGACATTAGATGACATCCATTCATCACAGACACCCATTGCCCACCACTACTACCATCAACCAAACTGCCCTGGACCAACAGAACCGAGGGTCTGGCAACCTTGGGAGAAGGGGCACTATATCATCCAAACGCATTAACCAAGATTACAATACACGATGTGCTGGGCACCTAGCAGAACCACACGAATGGGCTTGAATAAGCATGGGCCATGCTCCGGTTGACTTTCTGCATCCCAAGGGTCAGCCAGTTTTACTAAAGACAATAGTTTGGTTTTTTTTTTTCCCACAGGTATACACGTATCATTAATCTCCTTTTTTTCCTCTTTTTCTTCTAACTTTTCCTAATTATCTCAGGAAAACCAAAGTCTCAACCCCTCTCTGTCTGCTCACTTTCCCATTTTTCCATTTGCTCAAAAGACAGCCTTAATTCTAATAAAAGTAAAAGAACACTAATTATTCACCTCTATCGAGGAAATTAAATTTATATACTTTGACGTTAAATTAGGCATTGTGAAGAACTAATGCCATTAACTTCTACAGTCCATGAAAATTAGAAATTATTCCTTTGAATGCATGCACAAAATTACCCTATGCATTATCATAGTACTTTAAAACATGTTTTTCCTTAAGTAGCAATATTCTGATTCTGTGTATGTGTTTAATTACTGACATTGCCGAAGTTTAGTTTTCTACTATTTTTCATTGCTAATGTCTAATATTTCAGATATATTATGAGAAAAATAGGATTCTGTATAATCCAGAAATTCAGCCACTATCTTTAATCCTGTTGCCAGAATAAAATGCATTCTACATTTCTAACAAGGGATTTCCAAGTTTAGAGTACAAACCATTTGAAAGTTGAAGGCTGCGCATATGTAACCAAAGTACAGTTAAATGTCTTTACTATAAATTAAGCAATCTGAATTTTCTGCTGTTATTCTGTTCAAGTTATTTTGCCATGCAATACCACCACAGTCCCTCTGTTCTGTATTTAGGAAATTGGCCATTAAGCATGGCCAAGATCATGCCCTTGGAGCCAGATAAACCTGTGTTCCAAACCTGATTCAATCACTTACATGCTCTATGGCTCTGGGGAAATGATTTAACACCTTTTTAACCTTAATCTCCTATTCTGTAAAATAGAAATAACATGAATGCCTATCTCTTAGAGTTATTGTGAGGATTAAATAAAATCATGTATGATAAGTTCCTGGCACATAGAAGGCATTCAGTGATTACTGTTTCCAGATAGTAGAATGGTGGTCTCTTTTTTTTTCAATCATGCACCCAAATTATTAAAAATATATTTTTATTATATAGCCCTTATTTACTTATTTATAAATTATATACATGTTTCTTCTTGACTAATACAACATGAGCATACAACACAAAAGGAAAATCTATAAATAATGTGGCAAAGATAAAACAAGCCCCACTTTAAAAAATAAATAAAAATATAAAGTACAAATGGGATATTGTTGCATTTAAAATTTTTCAAACAATTCCAACTCTTCAAACAAATGCATTCAAACAAATGCAACTCTTTGGATTTTTACAAAGCAAATTATAAACTTCTGTTTTCAAGTTTTTCTGTGTGTAGAAATAAAAATGCTAATGGATGACACATATCATATCACAAAAAAGTCACACAAGGATAGAAACATTCTTTCTGAACACTCATTTTCAGTATACTGCTTTCATACCACTCAAAAAGAAGCAGTTACTTTCTACTCATTGCTCAAATATCACCCTTACCTTGATAGGACATATTAGTGTGTATAACATGTCTGTAGGAGGCACTTGACTTCACAGAAAATATCAGCCAACTTTCTTTTCTTTTTTTAATATCTGCTAGAACATTCAGTATTAACAGCCACTTATCACAGAAAAGATCAGCAAATTTGGATTACATGCCTTTTGGCTTTAGCAACTCTGCTTTTGACAACTAGACTCTGATGCCTGGAATTCTACTAATGAAGATTAAAATATAATTCATCTTTAATTTGACAAGAGTTTGAAATATTTTGCCACAAGCTAATCATTGAATCTCTTTGCAGTGCAAGATATTTTCAGGCATACTCCTCATCTCATGAGCACATATTTATTTAAGAGAGATTTATATGGTGCTTACTGTTTGCTACAAGCTATTGTAAGCACTTTATTACAAATATTAACTAATTTAATTTCATAATGACATTATGAGTTAGGTTTTATTCCTATTTTACAGATGAGGTAGGTAAGGCAGAGATTAGTTAAATAACAACAAATTTATTCAAAATCATGCAGGATTTGGACCTAGCCATTTTGGCTTTAACAACTCTGCTTTTGACAGCTAGACTCCGGTGCCTGGGATTCTACTAATATAGATGAAAGAATTTTTAAATACACTTAACAAAGTGCATGCAAACAACAATTTATTGCAATATGCTAGAGGCAAAGATTGGGTGGGGTTGCCAATACCAGTCGCTCAGTGTCATGGAACTCCTCTGCTTCCCTCTGGAGACCTCTTGTGTTGTGCACATGTGTGACCATCTGACATGTGGACCACATGAGGGCTGTTGTGTGTAGTCATCTTAATCTATTTCTTATTTTTTTATATACATGCAAGCAAATGTTCCAAATTCTTCTCAGAATTCCGATGAATTATCTTGTATCCTGCAGGGGTATGTGCACATTGCTTTGGAGATTAGTGCTGTAGAATATGAATGTATATGGAAGAGGAGCTTAAAAGATTTGCTTGTGTCTGCTTCCTAAGCTGGAGGTTATAGTATATGAAAATGTATAAGGAGTGGTCTCTCTGGACAGGCAGCTATCCATATTTCTATATTTGGAAATCTGTCATGAACGTGTCACAGAAAATCTTCTAAGGATTTTCACAAAGATAATGTGAAACAGCATTAATTTATTGGTTTACTCTTCTCTACCTCCAGGTAGTGGAAGGAGCTGCTGAGTAAAAATGCCTGCCAGTAGTCCCTACTATTAAATTGATGGAAGGAGGTTAGATTGAGGAGGGCTAAACTTTCATTTATGCTTCACATTGAACACGATGTTTTACATGTAGAAATATTAAAACTAGTTTAATGTTCTATTTTTCTAAAGATTATCTTTGTCCCTGGTTGTGAAACTATTCTCAATACATTGGATATTATATTACTCTTCAAAAATAAAGACTCTGATGTTTGATTTCCATCTGACTTCTGAATTTTCTAGATGTTCAGGGGTGACTTTTATATACTGATCTTTCTCATAGAAATATTACCATTTTATCCAATTGATTATCATAATGCTGTGATTATTGCTATGAATAAGTGATTCCTTAGTTATTTTGTTTCTATTCAGTACTGTAATAATATAAAAATAGTTAAATGAATTAGAACTTCTGGAACATTTAGATGTGATGTGCCATCCTTTAAAAAAAATGAGTGTCACCTAATGCTAAGATGAACTGAATTTTGTCACTTCAGGCTGAGAATGAGCCTGGTAAATTAGTGTCAGTGAGTAGCTTGTAATCCCTGGAAGGTAGGAACAGTGTTTATGTTTCTCTGTATTTATTTACCTAGGATGAGGCTGTTAAGCAGGGCCCCAATACATATTGTTGAATGAATAAATAAGTAAATGATTTTCTGTCTGGGAGATTTCACTTTCTTAAAGAATGCCAAGGAACAGAGCTGGACTTAAATATATTTGGGAGAGGTCACATTGCTTTAATGTCTTTGTCCATGCTCTGAATGACACTTTTGCAGACCCCTCTGAGTTTTCCAGTTTCCCCTACTTCGTTTCCTCCCTGATTTCATTTGTAGTGATCGAGATGGCTTTCACAATGGAGAAGATTACATCTTAGAAGATTAAAAAACTGATCTCAGTGTAGATAAGGATGCATTTTAATGTCCAATCCAGTAAAATATCATGTGTCTGACCCTTGCTTATCTGATCTGCTTGTTTATCTATTTATATTCTGGAGACTGTGGCCCAAATGAGGAGAACACAATGGCAGAGTCCAAATTCAATTAAGGTCCTCTCTGGCTCATGGGTTCTTAAGGTGTGAGAGTCCTTGGTTGGGGCTGTGAATCAATCTAAAGCAAAGCATGTCCTTCCTTCAGGTTTTCCAGGGGAGTGATACGCAACTTATGTGGATGTAAATTTGCATTCAATTTAACTGCTCTCTCAAATGAGTTATAAAATTTTGTATTTATAAACTAAAATTGAATCTAGGTAATGCTAAGAATTCAGGCTGCAACACATTGTTTGGCTGGGAAGCAGGTTCCCAAAGAGCATGCATGTGAGTGAGAATTGCTTTCTAGGTGCCTTATCGGTGTGGACTTACTTTGGTGTGGTTTTCATCACTACTGTCTTTTTTAAAAAACCTAAATTGTGATTGGTTTAATTTCATCATTATGCATTTATTTTCATTTAAGATCATACAATTAATCCTACAATTGTAGTGATGCATATTTGTGTTAATAGCATTGTGGCCATTTTTTCTGTGACTAGACTTTAAAGTGTATGTGTAATTAATATGAATTGTCTAGCTCTCTATTGTTAAAATGGATATGTATATAACCTGGTCTAATTTTTTTTGTAAAAACCACTTCACTGTTAATCACTGGATTTTTCTTCTAGTGAGATCGGGATGGATCAAGGAAACTTGTGGCCAGTTGTCTAGGTCATCTTGATTTTGTCATTGGATTGTGTCCAGTTCTGACTGATTCCAATAAAGGAGACACTTATGTAACTCTATGCCAGGGACTTTCAATGAACTTTAAAGAAAGGGAGAATGACCCAATCCCAGATCTTAAAGTTAGTAATATTTTAGTTGAAGAGAGGTAAAGGAAAGAATGCTGGAAGTTGAAGAGCCTAGGATTATTTTTTGAATATTTAAGCTTTAGACCTACATTGTCTAATTAACTAGCCACCAGCCATATGTGACAATTTATTTCAGTTTAGATAAATTACAGTTAAATTAAAATTTTAAATGAAGAATTCAATCTCACCCTGGCAGTAGCCACGTTTCAAGGGCTCCATAGCTTCATGTGGCTAGTGGTTTCTGATCAGACACCACAGATACACAACATTTCTATTATCACAGACAGTTCTACTGGAGGCACTGGATTAGACTATGAAATATTTGAGCAAATTTTATTCAAGAACTAGCAGTGATAGCTGACAGAATAATACACAGCTACTCCCAAACTGTTCAATTTGAAGAAGAAAGAAGAAAATAGACTGTTATTCAATCCAAGATAAATAATGGAACCCACTAAATGGAAGAAATTGTCAGCCAACTTTGTACACCTGGAGAAAGAGGATGTGTTTTGAGGAACATAGACCTGTTTATTTAAAACAGTGTCACACATTAGTTGCAATCAAAACTTGTGACATGCTATCTTTGTTTGCAGGACGGAACAGTCTCACAGTTTTTAAAGGGGTTTTAACTTCTGAAATGTGTACTTTAAGACAGGGACTATTCCTTTTTAATTTTGGATGGTTTGCTTGGAGCCTTTTCTAAATAGGCATTTAAGTTAATTGTTAGATAAAAATCACAAGATGAGTGAAGTTATGCTCATCATCTGCATGACTGCCCATCATGGCTTGAATACGTTCCATATTTGGGGAATTTCTCACATTGAATGCCACTTTCTCAACATAGGTGTTCTGACTTTGAAGATAAAACTCAAATCCTTCAGTCTTCCATGAAGCTGAGATTCAGGCAAGTGACTCAGGCTCCACCAATCAGATAAGCCCATACAAGACTTGATGCCTAAGGAAACAGGCTTCACGTAAGACTTTGTCGTTGCTGCTGTGGGTGGCAGCAGTTTGGTGTTGGGAAGGCCAAATACATCATGAAGAGTGGCAGTGGTGCCATCTGCAGCAGCCATGCCAGTCAAGTTCCTAGTGCTCAGTTCTTAGCATTGGAGGTGGTGGCACGATTTCCTCTCATCCAGTTCTGCTGTTTGGTCTTGCGCATTATTCCTAAAAGCTCAACTTCCAATCTGTTTCTCCAGCTCCCTCCTTTTTCTGTGAGCTATTTAATACCCTTTAATAAGTCATTTTTCTGCTTAAATTAGCCAGAATAGATTTTGTGCTTGCAGCTAAGAACCCTGATAATACAGGCAATGACATCAGTTCATGTTTTTGACTCATATTAATTAATTTACTCAATACGCATTTACGGCATGCATACCAAGCTCTATGGTTTCCAACTAGAGCACCTTCGTGAATGGTGGAATAAGAAAGAGATAAAACACAGGAGGTGAGACAAGTGTTGGACATATTAAGACTGAGAGGATTCTTTATTTCTGCCACCCCAAATCCAATCTTTCACCAAATCCTCACAATTGTATTTCTTAAATATCTTTCTCATCTTTTCCACACCCCCTTTCTCCTTCCATAACTGTTCATTCATTCAGCAAACATTCAACTTCAGGACTTGTTATTTTTCACTTCAGTTACTAAATTGCCAGTTGCGACAACTAAGATCAGGTAGTTTTTTACAAACTACATTGTTACATGTCATTGCCTACGCTGTTCTGAGAATCTGGGAAACCCTGCCTTTCCCCTTTTTTACATGAACAGCTCCAGCTACTATTTGTACTTTAAGCTGTAGAGAATGTCTTTTCTAACTCACATACTACATTGTATGATAATTATGTGGCTATTTATTTGACTTATCCAGCTGGCACCAGTCATCCAAGTAGGGCACATTGTCATGTATTATTTACTGTTATATCTCCAGCACTTTTACCAGTGCCTGGTATATAATAGGTTCGTAGTCAATACTTGTTGAAAGAACATATGATTTGTAATGATTTATTACATATTTATCTCTCTGTTCAGTCTATGAGCTTCTTCAGAATAATACAATGTCTGGTGTATAATAGGGACTCAATAATGACTTATTAATGAGGTGTATTTGGGGCCTCTGCTGAACATAATTGGTGACAAAAAAAATTATGATTCGAATTCTTAAACAGAAGCTAGGCTTGGAGATTAGGGTTTGGGAATTGTCAGGTGGTGGTTTGTGGTGGCTACGTGAAGGCATCTCTCAGATCAGTGACAGTAGGGAGCGTAACTGATTTATGCACAGCTGGCTTCTGTGCTTCACAATCCTTCCTGTATTTGCACTGTGGCCAACCTCCCATGGGCTGCTCCCAGACAATGACAAGGTGCAGAAGGGATACAATGGAAGGCTAATTTTTGGAAATGAGGGACTACTATGATAAGTGATGTTGGTATGAGTCTTCTCCGGTGACCTTGCCAAACACTCCTTACAACCACACAGCAGTCTAAGATGCTTCCATCCACCTTTCCTTCCTTCTCTCCTTCACTTGGGGTCAGAATGGCATTGCAGACTCGTGCATCTGGCCTTTATAGGCTTCCTTACCATGTTCTCTCACAGGCACTTCCCTAAATAAATTTCCTGTACATTCAGTCTTGTCCTGGGTGTGGATCCTGTTCCAGAGATCTGTGAATTTAAAAGACCTAGCCACCCACACTTCACACATCCAAACAGATCATTCCAACAGATGCTCCCATTCAAAAGGAGGAAGACCAACAACTAGTCTGTAGCAATTCTGTAGCCAGGTACATGTCACCAGTTTCTCCAATTTCTCCTGTTTTCTTTAATTAGAGTATATTCTGCTTTCTCAGTGGTTCCCTAACCCATTGTTCCCCTAGTCTCTTGGCTCTACACTCAGGGCTCTTGCTTCATATTCTGGGTTCTTGTTTTTCTTTAAGAAGTGAACCATGTTTGCAGCTGAGTACATTTCTCAGTCTGCTTCTTGCCAATAGGAAATTAGGGCCTAGAGCTCTCTTTTCATTTTGAATGATCTTTGGACCTTTTAGTCAAAGGTGATATAATTTTCTTAAAACATTGTGAGTTTCCTATATATCCGATTGGATTCCCATGCCCCGCAAGTCAGTCACATCCATAATTCTTTTTGAGACAGACCTTTCCCTCTACCTTGAGTTAGTTGTAAGGCTGCCATAGGGCAGTAACTTTAGGTTCTTGGAAGACTTTTTTTCCCCAACTGAATCTATCTACTAGTCACTATTTAAAATCTTTCAGAGGTCTTAACAAGGGATCTTACAATAAACCATATTCTTGGTTTGATCTTTATCTTGTTACCATTTCTAACTTTGAAAATCTGTTGCTTTCTGAAGAGAATGGGGATGAGAAACAGTTTTGTTTTCCAACTTAACAAATCCTGACCCATCTATATTTCCTGTAAATTATGCTGGTAAATGAAATAATTTCCTTTTCAGCTCATCTTTATTTTGCAATTCTTTATCATACCCAGGTAAAAAAAGCCACTTGATAAGTTCAGTGTTCAACCTGGAAATCCAAAATCTTGGTAGGCAAATTATATATCTTCTATAATAAATTACCACAACTGATATATTTGCTAGTTGTTCCACCATTTCATAACACAAGTCATCCTATTCCTGCTTCTAATAACAATGCCTCATGGCTTTCACTGACATTCTCCTCACTGCCTTCCAGCCTCCACCGGCTGCCAGTCACCAAACAAATGCTATATCTTTTAAGTTTTTGTTATGGTATCGCTCTATTCTACTTCCAAGTGCCAATTTTTATTTTAGTTATCTATTGCTACACAACACATCACCCCAGATAACAACAAATCATTCTTTCTCATGATTCCATTGGTTAGCTGGCAGTTCTGGCATTTTTTTTTTCCTGGGATTACTCATGCATTAAGCTAGAAAGTCATCTGGGATGGAAGGTCTAAGATGGCATCATGCATTTGTTTTACAGTTGGTTCTGGCTATTGGCTAGCATGCCTTCTCCCACCCCTACCCCAGCCCACCTAATGGCCCTCACACCATATTTTCTCTTATTTTCTAGGACTAGTGTCTATCTATGGCAGACTCTGGGCAGTATCCATGAGGACTAAAGCAGGAGCTGCTAGGCCCCTTGAAATCTATCCTCAGAAGTCACAAAATGCTACTTCTGCCAAATTCTATTGGTCAAAGCAAGTCCCAAAGCCAGCCCAGAGTTCAGCGATGGGGAAATAGATTCTCCCTCTTGACAGGAGAAGTGGCAAAGTCAATTACAAAATAATATCCACTCATGAATGGGAGGGGTTGTTGTGGTTATCTTTGCAAACTACCCAGCACCATCATTAACCCAGTTGCATGTCTTAGATTCCACGATTCTACTTCTCCATCAATTCACACATTGATTTATTAAAAAGTCTCTTAATTTTGCCTCCTAAATCTTCCTTCCTTCCTTCTTTTTCTTTTCTTTTCTCCTTCCTTCCTTCTTCCCTCCCTCCCTCTTTCTTTCTTTCTTTCTTTCTTTCTTTCTTTCTTTCTTTCTTTCTTTCTTTCTTTCCTTCCTTCCTTCCTTCCTTCCTTCTTTCTTTCTTTCTTTCTTTCTTTCTTTCTTTCTTTCTTTCTTTCTTTCTTTCTTTTCTTTCTTTCTTTTTTCTTTCTGTTTTTTTCTTTCTTTCTTTCTTTCTTTCTTTCTTTCTTTCTTTCTTTCTTTCTTCCTTTCTTTCTTTCTTTCTTTCCTTCTTTATTCTTTTTTTTTTTTTTCAGAGTCTCACTCTGTCACCCAGGCTGGAGTGCAGGCTGGCGTGATCGTAGCTCACTGCAACCTCCGCCTCCTTGGTTCAAGTGATTCTTGTGCCTCAGCCTCCTAAGTAGCTGGGATTCCAGGCATGCACCACCACAGCCGGCTAATCTTTGTATTTTTAGTAGATTCGGGGTTTCGCCATGTTGGCCAGGCTGGTGTCCAACTCCTGAACTCAAGCCATCTGCCCATTTCGGCCTCCCAAAGTGCTGGGATTACAGGCGTGAGCCACTGTACCCAGCCCTAAATATTTCTTAAACATAATCCTTCCTCTCTATTCACAGTTCCAGTACTTTAAGGCCTTTGTGATTTTTTGCCTTTACAATTGAAATGATTTCCCTGCCAACAGTTTCCTTACCCAATGAACCAGAAAGATCTTTCAAAATCAAGTCCGATAATATGTTTCCATTGCTTAAAATCTTTCCACTGGTTCTGGTAGTATTTTCTTTCCTAATTTATGTGTTGTTTGTACAGGTGTGTTTGCTTTGTGAAAATTCATTGAGCTGTAAACTTACGGTTTGTGCACCTTTCTGTATGTATGACTTAAATGAAAAGGTTATATTTTAAAATCCGCCTCCCATGGCTTCCCATTGTCCCCAGGATAGAATAAAAACCCTTAGCTTGATATTTAAAGCCTTTTGTGATTCTTGTCTTTCCAAATTCTTGTCACTATCCTAGTATTCCCATGTGTAATTACCTGTGTTCTGAAAATTAATTACATATTTTTTTAGACTACTTATCTTTTCTCTGCCCAGAATGCCCTTTTGTCATTGTCTACGTTCTTAAATATTATTCCTCCTTTAAAAATAAACCTAAGTGGCATCTTTTGGGACAAACTTTAATTCCCTTAAGGCATTACTTTCTTGTGTGCCCAAAGCCTACCATATACATCTCTAACACGTATAACATTGCTGTACCTATCTGTTTTTACTTCTGACACTTTTACTGGACGGTAAATTCCTCCATTGGCAGGAACATGATATATATATATCTTTTCCCAGAGTCTAACATTGTGTTTGTCATATAGTATTGCTATGGACTGAATATTTGTGTGTCTCCAATGGTCATAGGTTGATATCCTAACACCCAATGTAATAGTATTAGAAGTTGGGGCCTTTCAGAGGTGATTAGGTGATAAGGATAGAGACCTCATAAATGGAATTAGTACCCTTATTAAAAAAAAACCAAACAGATAGCTTCATTGCCCCTTCTGCCATGTGAGGTTACAGTGAAAAGATGGCCATCTATGAACAAGGAAGTGGACCCTCATCAGACACCAAATCTTCCAGAGCTTTGATCTTGGACTTCCCAGCCTCCAGATGTGTGAGAAAGAAATTTCTGTTATGATAAGTCACCTAATTTATGGCATTTTGTCATAGCAGCCTGAATAGAACAAGACAAATACATACCTCACAAACATGCTTTGAATACATGAATGAGAGAGGTAGATTGAGGAAATATAATCTATGAGTGATGCTTTTGAAAAAAATTGCAATCAAATTTAGTAAATAGGTTATAGACATATTAATAAGTTAAATGAAAATATGATAGAAAATAAATGAGTCATAAGTAACAATCTGTTAAATGTGAAACAAAGAAAGGGACCATCAGTGATGTAGGAATCAGAGGAGAGAAGTGGTCAGACCGTGGAACAGTAGAGACTGAACAACTAAATCTGAAAAGTTACGTAGTATTTGGATGGCTAGAAAGAGAGAAGAAAGTAATTCCATTAATGAGGATAACTTAAAATATCTAGGAAGTAATGGTTGAGCTGTGTTTGGGGATAGTAAATAGAATAATTCTATTGGATTTTTTTTTTAATATGAAAGGAAATTGATAAAACAAAATTCAGGCAAGGATGAGAAGTTTATAGGGAAAGTGGTAAGCTACATTTTGTATATGTTGAGTTGAAGGTGCCTGCAAAACACCAAATGGAGCTGTTTGGGTAGTGGTTAGAAATCTGGTCTGCATTTCAAGAGAAAAGGAAGATATACAGATTTGCTAGCCACATGCAAGCCAGTGAAATTGGCCTAAAAAATAATATACAGAGAGAAGGGAAGGGTTAACAATAGAACCTTGGGAGAAATCTATAATTAAAGGATAGAAAGAGGAAGACATGCCAAAAATGAAACCTAATAAGGCTCAAGAAAATAGAAAGGGACTCAGGGGATTGGAAAATCACAGGGGCCAATAGAAGAGAGAATTTTGAGAATCAGCAGGCAGTTGGCAGTGGCAAATGTACCAGAGAAGCTGAGAAGACTAAGAACTGCAATGAGGCTATTGGATTTGGCTTTTAGTAATTAAGCAATGGTCTTCAAGATTGCTATTTCAGCAAAGTGCTCAAGACTGAAAATAATACAGTGGGTTGAGAAGTCAGTGGGAAATTAAGAAGGGGAGGCAGAGCCCACTCAAGAAGAGTAGTGTGAAGGAAAGGGAGACTTGGCCTGGTAGTTTTAGAGATTAGCAGGGTTAAAAGAAGGCCCTTTTTTTCTCAGATGAAGTTCTTGAGAATGTTGCAGGTAGAAGGGAAGAAGTTGTTTTTTCAGAAGGAGGTAGAAAATGCCAGAGAGGGATAGGGCATAATTGATTGATGGGCCAAGATCCAAGAACAGATAGAAAGGCAAAGAACCAAGACCACTTGGAAAATGAAGAAAGTGAAGAATGAATGAGGATTCTGTAAAATATTGAGGGTTTTTAAGAATGTAAATGGGGACAACCCACACTGGAAGGCTTCAATATTTCTTAGCCAAGTAAGACGTGAAGTTGTCTACTTTACATGTACAGGAGAGAAGTGGGAGATTGAGGACGTGTGAAATGAGCTGGAAAATCAAGCAAAGATGAATAGAAAGGTTAACAATGAGATAAGAACAAGACACATAGAAGATATAGATCTATAGGGATTGTATTGCCTATGAATATGTTAGAGATATACTTTGTGTGTGCTTAAATAATTAATATACACTTATTACAAAATCCCATCACACAGAAATGAATACTGTTAGGTGACATTACAGTGAAAACATCCAGAGGGGCTGATGTCTAACTAGATATGGGGCATGAGTATGAGATAATCAGTTGACCGAGGTTGTAATTCTGAGTGGTTGGAAGAATAAATATGCCTTTGCTAGAACTAAAACAGTCAGCATTAAATTTGATGTGGGAAATCATAAAGTTAAAGAAAGAATCCCATTGCTTTACATGGCTAAGATTTTGATGGTGAGTTAATGATCAGAGGGGGATAGAAGGTAACATAGAGATGAGGGACCTAGAATATGGTTGGAGAGAAAGGTAAAGAACAAGGCAAGCGCTATGACCAGAGGAAAAGGGGCAAATGTTTTCAACTGTATTTAGTGGTATAAAGAAGTCAAGGAGAAAGAGAACAAGGAATACATCAGTTCTGTGATTAGCTGGAAAAACTGTCCATTGATTTTCTTTAAATGATGGCCTTGCTTTCACAATTAGCTTTAAAATGAATTATCTCACAGTACCACAAGTTATTGCTCAGAAGTTTCTTTGAAGCATTCATTACAAAGGAGAATTTTTTTTCTTTTTTTACTAAGCCTTAGGAGTAGGGTCTATGCTGGAGTCAAAAATTTTCAAAAGAAAACTTCAAATTAGCTTTGAAAACCTTTGTAAAATAGGCCTTTACTTTCAATGTTTTGAATTGCCACATTGAATTTACTTCATTATTTTTCACTGAACAATTTCTGTAGCCTTCTGAGATAATATTATTCCTTCCCAGACAATGCTCACTGCCAATATATATAGAGGCAATATTTTTGAGTGTAATATTCTCTGAAACTATCTTGGCATTTTTGCTGAGAGGCAGTTTAAACTGGAGAGAGGCTGACCAACAGCCCAAGAGAACAATATCCTTGAATAGTTTGTATCTAAGTCTTGGTTTTTTATTTTGAAGCTCTATATTTTTAATAGAGGCTCTTGAGTTTCTTGCTATCAATGTGTTAAAACAAGCTACCAAGAGAAATAATTACAGCAACTTTTGTGCATAAATTAAATGATCTGGGGTCGTTATTAGAGTGCATTTACAAAGGCCATTTCCATGGGATTTATCTATGACTAAGGGGTGAGATAATTAACAACATCAGACTGAAATGCTTTTATTCATCTCATATTTACAGAATAATGCAGGAAAATAGAGAATTCTTTAGATGCAACCAAAGTTTGAATTAATCTTAGCTGTTATGTATGATTAACAATGTACCAAAAAGTATGAAAGCAACATTTTAGTATTTTGTTCCACATATTAATACTGCTAAAATTAAATTCTCTAGCGGTCCTATCTCAAATTATTCTTATAACCACTTAGAGACAGCTTTGTTTTTCTGAAATATCTTTCCTGCCTCTCAGTCATGCATAACAGAAAATTATTCTGCATCTCATCCAAGCTCAAAAAAAAAAAAAAAAATCCCATTTTTAAGTGCATGCTAAAATGGTGCCAAGAGAAAACTCAAAATAGAAGCCCCAGGACAGAATGATCATTTTATTCAGTAAGTTTAAATGTAGTATTAGAGGTTAACATAACCAAATAGAGTATCCAGGATATTATTTAAAATTTCGAGTTGAAACTTTCAAAGAGATGGGTAAAAAGGAAGGAGTACCTGCAAGAAGTTTTCTCCAAGATCTATGCCTGCTAAAAGACCTCCAAATACATATCCCAAGCATGTGAACAGGCACTGTTGCTAGGTATTGTTGATTCAAATTTATTTAGTTTTTTAGAATTGTAATTATCGTGTTTGGAATAGTTACTAAGCTGCTATTATGTGCACGGTATTGTGTTTAAGTGTTTCTGGAAGCTGAGGTGATGATGTCTATGTTTATGTTCCGTAAGACACCAGGAGTGGAAGTCTGTGGGTGGTAGGGGGAGCATGGAGGAGGCAGGCCCACCGGGCACGTGGTTGAAGAGATCATAGTGGAACTGTGTCATACAAATGCAGCCTGTTGTATTGAATGTACTTGTTCTCACTACGGAGTAATCCTGATCTGCCTGAACTCCAAATGAAACTACCTGTCTGTACTGGGATAAAAATAACTTCAAAGTGCTTACCAAGTATCAAGAAGTAACTTCCATATTTATGTGAAATTAATCTTATTAAGCATGAAATCTCAAGAAATTTCAAAGCTAACACTACCTCTACAAGTATCTACAAGTTAAAGATAGGAAGTTTAACACTGAGTAACTTTATTCTCATTATTTTGAAACTCACCTCCTTGGTAGCTGTATTTCCTATTCTCTTTCTTATTTTGTTGCTATCAATGAGAATGGACTTCTCCATCATGATTTAGAAAGAAAACCTTCCTTGTCCATATAGTTAAAAGTAAACTCATCTTAAACTTTTATACAAAGCATTTTCCAATCTGGTAGAAAAATGAAAAAGTTTTCTTTCAGCACTACTTTCTGTGGGCATGTACCACATATGTCTGTTTTTTTTCAATTTTCTTTTTTCATGGTGTAATTGCCCCTTGGTTATCTCCTCCAGGTGCCTCAAAATTACCTGAAGTTCAGCTCTCTGGAATTGAACTCATTGTATCTTCCTCCAAACACACTTAACCTTCCTTGGAAAATTCCTATTCATCCTTCATTGCCCAACCTCAATTTCACTTCCTCTCTTGTGCCTTTCCAGCTTCCCCAACTGAAGTAGTTGTTTCTATTGTCATGCTACTTTTTCATATTTTTGCTATTTTATTTACTTACTATTTCTTGCTTCTAAGCTCCTCAAAAGCAGGGAACCTGTTTCCTTTTAGCTACCGTAATTCATGGCATAGTTTAGACACTGAAAATATTTGTTGAATCAATTTACATGCATCTGCTACTGTCTTTTTGTTCTTTGCTTTAATGCAAACATTTCTCAAGGGTAAGATGTTTTGATTTGCTGCGTAGTGAATGTCAGTAACACACTGTTAGATCTTAGTTATGTCTCTTAAGCACTTGGATTCAATTTCCTCATTTATAAAACATAAAAGAAATGGCATTTCTTTCTTTAAGTATATACATATTTCTTTCTTTCAATGTTTTCTTTTATCTCACAGGCTCTATTTTGAGGTCTGGCTCAAAAGTAGAGTTGAAGACAATAGAAGATTTTTAATTCTGGAGAAAAAAAGATCTTAGGGGGAACAGAAGCACTGTCTTCAGCTATAGAAAGGACTTTCATCTGGAACAGGGACAGCTGAGTCTGTGTGGGTGCAGGAGCTAGAACTAGGACTAATAGGTGAAAGTTACTAAGAAGCATTCAAACATCAGATAGATTTGGTACATGTTGTCTAGGTCATACATCCCAGATGTACGAATTTCAAGGATCAGTAAAATACCCATGCCACCCCAAAATGTGGACTTACCAGGTTTTCAATGTTTTATTTTGTCAAATTAAAAAAACCCAAGCCAAACAACAACAAAAAACCAAAACGACTTTCTACTACAACTATCATTTCATAAAAGATAATTTTTACAAAAAAACAGAAGGACACAATAGAGAATAGATCTTTTGGGGATAAGGATAGTGACAAACTGACAATGCTACACACACACACACACACACACACACACACACACACACATCTTTTACTATCATTTTAATTAGATCCTGCAAACATCAATAGTGGTTTAATGGGCTTGTAGATCATCATTTGAGCATCAGTATCCTGGGGCCCCCTTTAAACCTGACATTCAATAATACTGAGTCAAGATACACAAATACAGACAAATATATATTTACATACATATATTTAATTTGGAGGCCTTGCTAGGTCTAAGAAGACATTTTCCAATAAAATTTTTTGGGGAACAGGTGTGGTGGCTAATGTCTGTTATCCCAGCACTGTGGGAGGCCAAGGTGGAAGGAATGCTTGAGCCCAGGAGTTCAACACCAGCCTGGGCAACATATTGATACCCCATCTCTACATTAAATAAAAAATAATGCATACTGGTGCATTATTGTAGCTGGGACTACAGGCACATGCACCACCATGCACTACTCAGGAGGGAGGCTTACTTGAACCCAGGAAGTCAAGGCTGCAGTGAACCATGTGTCACAACACTGCACTACAGCCTGGGTGACAGAGTAGAGACCCTGTCTTAAAAAAAAAAAGAAGTTGTTGTTTGTTTTTGGAACTTGATATATAGTTATATTACTTTGACTTACTTTCTGTATGTAGTCAGAATTTTTTTTTTTTATGTTTGCCCACCCCCCCTTTCTTTTTTTGAGGTGGAGGCGGGGTTTTGCTCTATTACCCAGGCTGGAGTGCTGTAGTGTGATCATAGCTCACTGCAGCTTGGAACTCCTGGGCTGAAGCGATCCTCCTGCCTCAGCCTCCTGAGTAGCTGTGACTACAGGCACACACTACCATGCCTGATTGTTTTCTTCATTTTTGTAGAGGCAGGGTCTCACCATGTTGCCCAGGCTGGTGTTGAATTCCTGGTCTCAAGTGATCCTCCTGCCTTGTCCTCCCAAAGTGCTGGGATTACAGGCAGGAGCCACTACACCTGGCACAGAGCATATTTTTGAACAAGATCCTTAATTCTGACATGTCTTTGCACATCATGTTTTTCTTTGAATCTCTAAAACAAGTAAGTGTTTGTTGGTCTGGAAATCCAAACATAAATCTAATGCTGGGCTCTTAGTATGGTTCAAATTGCATCTGTATGAAAACCTTGTTTAGAAAGATTAGGACAGAGACTAGTTTTCTATTGTTTTTGCTGTTTTTTTTTTCCCTTGCTGCTGCTAGTTTCCTGTGTAGTATCAGGTTGTTCCTGCTCTGAATTAGGGTCCAGTATGGACCCAGCAGGAGGTGGCTCTTCTGAAGGTGGGAGTGGTGGATGCAGGGTTGATTACCTGGCCTGGTCTGAGATGAGCAGTTGAAGGGAGAGCCTATCTCTTAGTAGGACAGAGTAAAGCCACTGCCTAGATAAAAGGGTCTTAGTATTAACGGTGAGGGAGGAGACTTTGACCTCTGCTAGGTTTGGGTAAGACTTATGCAGTAACTTAGAAAAATGTTTGTATTCCCATTTTTGAGACCCAGAAGTGAATTTGACAGCTTCCAGGAGGTGTGGCAGGCTCCTGGAGTGCTACCATAAGTAGGTATGAAGTTTGCATTGTCACATTTGTTCAATTTCTCCTGAACATGAGATACTTCAACAGAAGGTGCTTCTAGAAGAGCATTTTTTTTCTCTATAGGCAATTAGGTTATACTCAGGAAGTTGCATATAAAACATTTTGTAGTCATGAATGTAGAGCTCTGTCTGTCTTCCATCCAAGTTGATTATAAAAATGTAGCATAAATAGCAGCTGGGTGTGGTGGCTCATGCCTATAATCTCAGCACTCTGGGAGGCCAAGATGGGCAGATCATGAGGTCAAGAGATTGAGATCATCCTGGCCAACATGTGGAAACCTCGTCTCCACTAAAAATACAAAAATTAGCTGGGTGTGGTGATGTGCTCCTGTAGTCCCAGCTACTTGGGAGACTGAGGCAGGAGAATTGCTTGAACCCAAGAGGTGGAGGTTGTAGCGAGCCGAGATCGCGCCACTGCACTCCAGCCTGGCAACAGAGTGAGACTCCGTCTCAAAAAAAAAAAAAAAAAAAGTAGCATAAATAAAGGGTTTATAATTGAAATTCTCAATAACTATTATGCATTATTAAAATGATCTGCTTTATAAATATATGGATATTGTCATGCTAAATAATATATCTGAGCTATAAAGACAGTAGAGGGTGAATTAGTCTTGTAAATTGAGAAGCACAGGCTTCCATCAAATGTCTTTGAAAAATTAGGAATGTAGATTCATTTCTGGAATCTAAGAGCAAGACACAGCAAGTGAATTATTTCCTTTTCTCTCCCTTCAAATAATATTTAAGTTGAGTGTGCAAAACTGGTGTATCATCCTCTTATCCTATCTATGGGTTTGAGAAGAACTTTCACAATCTCTTTCCAGAAATTAAAATAATGATCACAATAAAATCCCCCAAAGCTTGTCTAAGCCTGAAGCACTGCAATTTATTGAGATCCTGATGTATGTGTCCTGGCAGCACAACCACAGGGCTAAGTTGTAATCCTTTGCAAGAGTCACCCAGAAATCCCCGGGATTCAGTCTGATACTCTAAAAATATGCCTTGAAAAAACACTGTCGGGAAGACTCTGAATCTTAACCCCTTAGCTAACTCCAGATAGGTCTTGTGGCCTTCTGAATTTCCATTTGGGTGAAAGTAACATAATAATTTGTCTTCTTTAGGAATTAAATTCCAAGGGAAAGATGTAATTTCAGGTCTACTGTCCCATTTCCTAGAGGGAGAATAGGGTCCTTATTGAGGTTATCACTACACATGTGAAATAGAGGGTTTTAAGGAAACTATTTGGGTAATTCAGTCAGCCAAAATTTTCCTTTTATGTGAAATACTCTGCTGAGTAAAATAAGTGTTGGTAAGTCCCTGTGCATTGTCTTTTTTTTTTTTCTTTTTCTCTGTGGGAGGTAGGAGTATTTTCTGCAGTAACTGTTTGACTAATTGCCTTCATTCTCTGCCTCTGTGTGCAGACAGCCTATGCCCCTGACTATCTTATCAGGGTATATTTGCTTCTCTTCCAAAGTTATTTGAACTGTCTTATAATATTTCCTCTCAATAGTCCTTTTGGATATGGCAGAGAGTAGCCTATCAATTCCATTTGGGAGATGGAGAATGGACCTTGATGGTGGTTTTATGTGATTATTGCTGGTGGAGGTGGAGCCAGACCTGAGTCTTGTGACTCATAGTCAGGAATGCTTCCTCCCACACTGCACTGCGGAATGTGTTCCTTGTCACTGAAAGTTACAACTGAAACCATTAAAAGCTAGCAAGACCAGTTTTCCTAGTAAAAGTATTCAGTCTTACGATGAATGTCTAAGAAACTCAAGATAAAAATTATGCCAACTTCAAAGCCAACCACTGAAAGATCCCAAGGGGGCGGGGAGGCAGATCTGCCTGTTGTATGAGCACTTAGACATATTCATCTGTACTGACAATCCATCTGCACCTACTGAAAGGAGGCAGAATATTCCCTGCACCCTGACAAACGTGCCACTTTAGCAGAAGGATTATTTTGAATTAAAGTCATTTAAAAAAAAAAGATGGGTGCAGCACACCAACATGGCACATGTATACATATGTAACAAACCTGCATGTTGTGCACATGTACCCTAAAAGTTAAAGTATAATAATAATAAAAAAAAACAAAAAAATCCAGCAGGTACAAGAAGGGTGTTCTGATGCTTTCCTTTTTCTTCCTAAAAGCAGGAGATAAAACCCCCAGATGAAAGATATCCTTTTTATATCAGAAGGAAAGTAACATTCTTATCATTAGAATGGGAAGATGAGACTGAGAAAATTTGAACAAACAGACCCTATTAAAATTATTTTTATCTTCCTTTAGCCTCCCCGAATAGTTTAGTTTTCAACAGTTGACTCTTTTTGTTCAACCTAGCATATACAAAATCATTTCAGTTGTGCCACTTCTTTGGGTCTTCATTTCCTGATGAGGGCTCTGGTGTCATGTAAAACTTATATCAAACAAATTTGTTACTTTTCTTCTGTTAATCTGTCTGAGGTCAGTTTAATTCTCAGGCCCAGCTTAAAAGTCCTATGAAACTAGAGGTAAAATTTTGCCTCCCCTATACTATTGTTTTCCTAAGCACCCTTTTTCTGATATCTCAGAGTCAGAATCATTTGCAAAGCACCACAACGGTTTTCTCTGCCTTTCCAACCAGATTCTCAAACTGGCTGAACTATATTAATTACAAGCTGCCCTAGCCACCGTGTAAGGTAATAGTTTAAGCTACTTGACTGGTGTGAGAAAAATGTCTGTGGATTTCTCTCTGTAGTACCCCCAGAAGGAGGCCATGGCCTGGCAGATAATCAATACCTATTAGAGCAGAAATCAATTTGCCCAATCAGGTAATGCCCTGATTGTATTTTCTCTACAGCAGAGGGAAGATTTTCCCAGAGAAGTCACTGTATAGTGGTTTCCTTCATCACAGGCGAGGGCATGGCTACAGGAACAGCCTGTGAACACCTCTATCCCTAGGGGCCTCATGGTGTGAGTACCACTAGTCTTGCTGCCCACGCTGTCATGGATTTAGATTTTGAACTACATCTGACAGGTCTTAAATTTCCACTTTTATGTTTGTATGTCATTCTGAGGTCAGGCGTAAAGTGGAATGTGGGGCTGAGAAATCAACTAGATAATTAAGGAGGAATTGATAGTATAATTTGGGCAAATTAGCAGCGGCACTTACAGTATTGAATTAACTGAATTATGTTGAGCTGCACAGACTTCACCCAAGATCATATGACTGTGTATTGATCATCACAGTTGTTGGTGACACAGATCATGAATAATTTAATAAAAATTTATTTGGTACATACTAAATACAAAATACTAAACTGAATTTGGTACAACTGTTTTATTTCTGAAGCTTTTCATTTCAAGTACATTTTTTAAGCTTTGTGATCAACATTTACAAAAGAACAATGATTTTGTTTTCACTTTATTAAATTGGATTTATTTTGTATTTCATGATCCTCTTTAAACTTTTACTGTTATCTATGCTGAATGTTATGTTATAAATCATTTTAGAAAATAATATAGAGTGATGGTGGCTGTGTTTTCACCTGTAGTGTCTTTGTTATGTAAGTTTTAACAAATAAGAGCTGAGGTAGATACTTTCTTTCCTTCAAAAAGAAATATAACTTATCAATGAAAGAAAAAATAGCTGGAGAGATTTAAGCATTTTGCTGTGGCTTATTCATATAGTTTAGGAAGGTGTCTCAGAGCCTGAAAATTTAGGTAGTGATTGTTGATTCCATTTTCACCTTTGTCATCTCTTGGGAATTTATGATCCCACCTTCTGGTCATACAATCTCTGGAGTGGGGAGAATTTGAGAGGTCAGGCAAGAATTGCTTTGTCATGGAGATTAGGCAAAGACAAATCCATCCCTTTTTAACTATAAATGTTAGGATAAGGTGAGAGAAAATGAATGACCAGCTCCTTTCCCCCACCCTGAAATGATGAATATTCTTCCTTGAGCGAAACCCTGTGCGTTCAAAATATTTTCTGTGAGTGCTTTGAACATGGCCACAGTTAGTGGGAATTTTTTCTTAATAAAATTGAATATTTTTTTTCCTTAGAGGAAAGCAAAAGGATCCACATCTATAATGAATTACAGCCTCTGATCTTCTAAAATCCTTTGGCAACTTTTCCATGTATTTCTTGTTTTGGTCTATGAACCTCAGTTGTAGGGCTTTGATTCAACCTTTTGTGATCAGACAGAATTAGAATCTAGCTTTTTGCATGGGGATAAAATCAGTTCCAAAAGCCTTGGCAGACATGTCTCTGGTGCTGGGGATGAACGTGTCCTCCTGAGGGCAGATGTCTGAGTGATGAGCCTGGGGCTGGAGACATTATCTATGGACAGATATCACCAAGTCAACCCACAGGAGGCTGTTCCTTTCTGAGGATGAAGGGCAGTGGGGGGATGTCCACAAACATGGCACTGAAATGGAAAGACATTTAAAAATAATTTCCTACAACACAGGAAAACATAGCAGAGTGATATTAGAGTACAAAATCAACTTAGAAAATAAAATATAGCAATGACAGTCATTACTGCAAGGAACATTTAAACTATTACTATTACTACAAAGGAAAACTAACCAACTGCTAACTGAGCAGAAAAAAAGTTTACCAAGGAACTTATTAAATCAATAAGCCAAGCACATAAACAGCATCTTTGCATTGCATTGATGATTTACTTCTAAAAGCCAAATTAGTTGTTCCTTCCTACTGCCTTATTTCGTTTGAATGAATTTGCATCCCTCCTACCAGGAGAATTTAAACTCCTTTTCTTCTTACTATATTCAAGGTAGGATCATATTCCAGAGAGCTTGAGTTGTTCTCCATGATTGCATAAAGTACCAGGCTACACATTTTATCTACACCATTGACTGAATCATCTCAACACTGTTATAAGATAGGTATGCATTCTTATTCCCTCTTTATGGGCAAGATTCTGCTGCCTGTCCTGATAACTGCAGGTTTAGCACTGTATCCTCTTTGAGGAATCCCTGATGCAGCCTAAAAGTGTAAGGCACCCAACCCCACTACTGAAGTACAACGTCTCGGGGTCGATGACGGTGACTGTTAGTGGCTTTCTCTTCCCCTCTCCCACCATCTGCCTAGTCTGTGCAGTGGCGCTCATCTTCTGGTTTCCTCTGCTTGGACTGCAGCCACAAAACCAACTCCAGCTCTCTTGGTCGGGTCCCTGACACCCTGCCTTGTCCATTAGCCGCAATTACTCAGGCAATTCTTTGAATTCTTCCCACTTTGTTTGCTTGTAACTGGACCCCAGAATCCCAGACCCCATGCAACTACTTCCCTAAATGCTTTTGCTTCTTCCAGTGGGCTGACACTTCAGATTCTCCTTCTGATGTTTTGATCGCAGCACAATTTTTGAGTTTCCTTGCTTCTTCAGTACCAGTACACCCCTCCTAAGGAGCAGATCTTGGCTTTGTGGTGCCCATAGCTCATTCGATTTTGGGACCTTCTTAATATACAAAATCATCAATATTAACTTAGATATTAAAGGAGGGAAGGATGTGCCATCCCACAACATGCTGAATTGGTGTATTGATTATTTTGAGTTGAAAACATTGGAGAAATTGTAGTTTAGAAAAGGCTAGCTGACCTGTCTCTTCCTGCATGCAGCAAGCCATAAACGTTCCTCTGGGAGGGGTACTCTCTCTGTACCAGGGTGAGAAGATGGCCCTTATCATGAGACACTGGGAATTGAGAACTGTAATGGATCTGGATAAATATGCTTAATGAAGTAACTCTTATCTTTCACTAGTTTTACATGTCCCCCAATATATCTCCTACTGACTCCCCTAGAAATGTACTACTCCTAGCCAGATTTTCTTTGTCTTGACATTTCTTCTCAAATTTATCATTCTTTGTCTAAAAAGCATAAAAGCATCTTGCTTTGGCCACTTTTTAATTTTCTTTCTTGTGAAGATCCCCACGTACATGTAAAATGAATAAGATTTGTATGTTTTCTCTTGTTAATCTGCCTGGTGTCAATTTGGTTTCTAGATCCAGCTGGAAGAACTTGCATAAGAGCTTAAGGAGAATTGGAAGTGATCTCTGATTTTCCTGCAGAATAAATAAGAACACTTATTTAGAACGAGAAAATAAATCGCAGCATGGCTCCTATCCCTTTCTGGAGAGATATCTTTAAGAAATTTATCAGAAATGCTCACATGAAATGTTTCCTGTTGTAGCCTGGTTTCCCTTTGCCACATAGAAAACTCTGCAACCCCCAAGACTCACAGAGGCCAGTGAACAAAAGGGGCCCTAAAGCCTGAGTGTCGCTAGTTTCATAGCAAATGACTCTGACTCTCTGACGCCTTCACTGTGGCTTTGGGTGAAGACTCCTTGCTTTGGCTCAGTTCCAGAGAACCATAATTCTCAGGGGGTTGTGGGAGTGAGGGCAAGTGTGGATAGGAGAGAGAGGAAGAGGAGAGTGTGTGTGGGAGAGAGAGAGACTGTGTGTATGTGAAAAGAGAGAAAGAGAGGCAGTATGCATGTGTGTGTGTGTGTGTGTGTGTGTGTATGCGTGTGTGAAACAGAGATAGACTGCACCGTTCCCTCCAGCTTGCCAGTCCTCTCTCTTCTGGTGCAGAACCCCACTGCTGTGTGATTTTAGTGACTGACTGCTCTGCTGGAAGACTGAATGCCTTTATGGAGCTTCCTGTAATATTGTGGGGTGTGGCCAGGCATAAACTGACTAACCACCTTGGGATAGGTCACACATGGAGAGGCAAGAACCTAGAACACCCCCAGCCAGGCCTTGGAGGCCCCAGAGGTGTGTTGGCAGCTAGGCAGTGGCATGGTATCCATGGGGCTAGGAGACAGACGAGTGGGATCATCTGATGAAGCCAGGAGCATTAGGGAGGTCACCACTGGAAAAACAGGGATCCTGTTAGGCCCATGGACTTCAGCACTGTGACTCTCTCTGCCTTGAACGGGGGACCCAGAGAGGAGAGCTGAGGGCCCAGCTCTGGGCATCTGGCAAGCACTGCTTCAAGCACCACCTGGGGTACAGAGGGAGAATTTTGGTCCCTAGGGACTTCCCTAGAGGACTCTTAAGAGTTAGCAAGAGAAGAGTCAAGCAAAGTGATTAATAGGTTGATTGACATACTAGAAACAGGATGAAAGTTGGGGACCAGATCTTGGAAAGATTCGCAGGCAGTAGCAGTATATCAGGCAGTATATCAAGTGTATTAAGTGTTTGTATTTGGGGGTCAAAGACATCTACCATTTATTCTCTTCAGAGCCTTGAGCAAGTTGTTTAATTTCTCTGTGTTTTTCTGGTCCTTTAAAAACAATTCTGTTTAAAATAATAGCTGCATTACAGAGTTACTTTGACGATTTAAAAAGGTAATCTCTACTTGCACAATGCTGACTATAAACTATTTAGGTGCAGGAACCAGATCTTATTCGAATTTTATTAGTAATGTCTTACTCATTACAGAAGCTGGTACATAGTAGGCCCTTTACAAATATTTGTTAAACTGTGCCATATCACCTACCAGGTGACTGGCATACAGATATATTTATATAGATCGACAGCTAGGTTGACTGATACAGATACATAGATCTGTGCATATGTGTATAACATAAACTTCTATCTATCTGTTTATGTATCTATCTGTCTATCTATCTATCTATCATCTATCTATCTATCTGTCTATCAATCAATCATGTCTTAGTATTTGAACCTGAGTATAAGGTCAGGGCCAGAGTAGCATAAACAAACACAATCCTCAGTCAGTGTGAGGCTAGAGCTCTTAAATTCCTCCTGTCTCACGACTGAGCTGACCATGGCTGAGTCCACGGGTGTGAGTAAAGAAGCCCTAATGCAAGCACAAAGACAGGAAGAATACAGAGATGAGAACTGGGCAGACTGACTTGTTTGTTCTAAAATACACTTTCCACCTGAAATGCTGTTAAAACCAAAGTCTAGAGTGATTTTTCTAAAGCATTTATCACTATTTGTTTTCATGCTTCTGACCCACTGTTTAAAAAAATGACATCAACAGCCAGAAGCAGTGGCTCATGCCTGTAATCCCAGCACTTTGGGAGGCCGAGGCAGGCGGATCACCTGAGGTCGGGAATTCGAGACCAGCCTGACCAACATGGAGAAACCTCGTCTATACTAACAATACAAAATTAGCCAGGAGTGGTGGTGCATGCCTGTAATCCCTACTACTCATGAGGCTGAGGCAAGAGAATCGCTTGAACCTGGGAGGTGGAAGTTGCCGTGAGCCAAGATTGTGCCATTGCACTCTAGCCTGGGCAACAGGAGCAAAACACCATTTCAAAAAAAAAAAAAAAAAAAACCTCACCACTGGCCCCACAGAAATGCAATAATCAGAGAATACTATAAACACATCTATGCAAATAAACTAGAAAATTTAGAAGAAATGGGTAAATTCCTGGACATATACACCCTCCCAAGACTGAACCAGGAAGAAGTTGAATCCCTGAATAGAGCAATAACAAGTTCTAAAATTGAGGCAGTAATAAATAGCCCATCAACCAAAAAAAGCCCAGGACCAGATGGATATACAGCTAAATTCTACCAGGGGTACAAAGAGGAGCTGGTACCATTTCTTCTGAAACCATTCAAAACAATTGAAAAGGAAGGACTTCTCCCTAACTCATTTTATGAGGCCAGCATTTCCTGATAACAAAACCTGGCAGAGATACAAAAAAAAAAAACCAAAAAAACCCAAAAAAACTTCAGACCAATATCCCTGATGAACATTGATGCAAAAATCCTCAATAAAATACTGGCAAACAGAATCCAGCAGCACATCAAAAAGCTTATCCACTACAATTAAGGCAGCTTCATCCCCAAGATGCAAGGCCAGTTCAACATACCCAAATCAATAAACGTAATTCATCACATAAACAGAACTAAAGACAAAAACCACATGATTATCTCAATAGATGCAGAAAAGCCTTCGATAAAATTTAACATCCCTTAATGTTAAAAAAACTTAATAAACTAGGTATTGAAGAGAATGACTCAAAATAATAAGAACCACTTATGACAAACCCACAGCCAATATCATACTGAATGGGCAAAAACTGGAAGCATTCCCTTTGAAAACCAGCACAAGACAAGGATGCCCTCTCTCACCACTCCTATTCAACATAGTATTGGAAGTTCTGGCCAGGGCAATCAGGCAAGAGAAATAAATAAAGGATAAGAGAGGAAGTTAAACTGTTTCTGTTTGCAGATGGCATGATCCTATATCTAAAAAACCCCATCATCTCAGCCCAAAGCTTCTTAAGCGATAAGCAACTTCACCAAAGTCTCAGGATACAAAATCAATGTGCAAAAATCACAAGCCTTCCTGTACACCAATAATAGACAAGCAGAGAGCCAAATCAGGAATGAAGTCCCATTTGCAATAGCTATAAAGAGAATAAAATATCTAGGAATACAACTTATAAGGAAAGTGAAGGACTTATTCAAGGAGAACTACAAACAACTGCTCAAGGAAATAACAGAGAACACAAACAAATGGAAAAACATCTCCATGCTCATGGATAGGAAGACTCAATATCGCAAAAATGTCCATACTGCCCAAAGTAATTTATAGATTCAGTGCTATCCCCATCAAGCTACCACTGACTTTCTTCACAGAATTAGAAAAAACTGCTTTAAAATTCATACAGAACCAAAAAAAAAATACTTGTATAGCCAAGACAATCCTAAGCAAAAAGAACAAAGCTGGAGGCATCGTGCTACCCAACTTCAAACTATGCTACTAGGCTACAGTAACCAACACAGCATGGTACTGGTATAAAAACAGACACATAGACCAATGGAACAGAATAGAGATCTCAGAAATAAGACCTCACATCTACAATAATCTAATCTCGAGGAACTTGACAAAAACAAGCAATGGGGAAAGGATTCCCTATTTATTAAATGATGCTGGGAAAACTGGCTAGCTATATGCAGAAAATTGAAACTGGACCCCTTCGTTTCACCTTTTACAAAAATTAACTTAATATAGATTAAAGACTTATATGTAAAACCCAAAATTATGAGAAGAAAATCTAGGCAATACCATTCAGGACATAGGCACAGGTAAAGATTTCATGACAAAAATATCAAAAGCAATGGCAACAAGAACAAAAATTGACAAATATGATCTAATTAAACTGAAGAGTTTCTCTGAAGCAAATAAAACTATCATCAGAGTGAACAGAAAACCTACAGAATGGGAGAAAACTTTTGCAATCTGTCCATCTGATAAAGGCCTAATATCCAGAATCTACAAAAAACTTAAACAAATTCACAAGAAAAAAACAAACAATCCCATTAAAAAGTGGGTGAAGGATATGAACAGACACTTCTCAAAAGAAGACATTTATCCGGCCAGTAAACATATGAAAAAAACCTCAACAACACTGATCATTAGAGAAATGCAAATCAAAACCACAATGAGATACCATCTCATGCCAGTCAGAATGGTGATTATTAAAAAGTCAAGAAACAACAGATGCTGATGAGGCTGTGGAGAAATAGGAATGCTTTTACACTGTCGGTGGGAATGTAAATTAGTTCAACCATTGTGGAAGGCAATGTGGCGATTCCTCAAAGACCTAGAGCCAGAAATACCATTTGACCCAGCAATTCCATTACTAGGTATTTACCCAAAGGAATATAAATCATTCTATCATAAAGATAAGTGCACACGTATGTTCACTGCAGCACTATTTACAATAGCAAAGACATGGAATCAACCTAAATGCCCATCAATGGTAGACTGGATAAAGAAAATATGGTACATATATATATCATGGAATACTATGCAGCCATAAAAAGGGATGAGATCATGTCCTTTTGCAGGAACATGGGTAGAGCTGGAGGCCATTATCCTTATCAAACTAATGCAGGAACAGAAAACCAAACACCACATGTTCTCACTTACAAGGTAGAGCTAAATGATGAGCACATATGGACACATAGAGGGGAACAACACACATTGAAGCCTATTGGAAAATGAGGGGTGGGATGGGGGAGAGGATCAGGAAAAAAAACTAATGGATACTAGGCTGAATACCTGGGTGACAAAATAATCTGTACAACAAACCCCTATGACACAAGTTTACCTATATAACGAACATAAACATGTACTCCTGAACTTAAAATAAAATTTAAATTAAAAAAAAATCCTAAAAATAAGAAAATGAAAAACAAGCCACACGTTAGAATAATATGTTGGTTAACACTTACCTGACAAAGCATTGGTATGCAGAATATATAAATAACCCTCACAACACAATAATTAGAAAACAAACACACTGAATTTTAAAATGGGCAAAACTATTTGAATTCACCAAAGGAGACACAGATGGCAAAAAAAAAAATCATAAAATGATGCCCACTATCATTAGTCATTAGGGAAATTTAAATCATAACCACAGCCCATCTATTCCAATGGCTAAAATTTAAAAAATCAGATAATCTGGTTGGGTGCAGTGGCTCACGCCTGTAATCCCAGCACTTTGGGAGGCTGAGGCGGGCAGATCATCTAAGGTCAGGAGTTCAAGACCAGCCTGGCCAACATGGTGAAACTCCACCTCTACTAAAAATACAAAAATTATCCCGGTGTGGTCGTGGGCACCTGTAATCCCAGCTACTTGGGAGGCTGAGGCAGGAGAATCGCTTAGACCCAGGAGGCAGAGGTTGCAGTGAGCCAAGATGGCACCATTGCACTCCAGCCTGGGAGACAAGAGCGAGACTCTGTCTCAAAAAAAAAAAAAAAAAAAAAATCCTATAATTGTAAGTGCTTAGGGAAATCTAAATCATAACAACAGCCCAGCTAGTCAAATGGCTAAGAATTTAAAAACTCAGTAATCCTAAGTGCTTATAGTAATGTGGAGTGAGTGAAACTATCACACATTGCCAATGCAAATGCAGATTTTTACTGCCTGATTGGAAAATGGTTTGGCAGTTTCTTTTAAAGTTATACATACACTTACCATATGACTTCAAAATCTCACCACTAGAAATTTACTGAAAAGAAATGAAAACACATCTTGCACACGAAGACTTGCACACAAATGTTTATATTGCTATTATTCATAATTGCCAAAATTGGCAGACAACGGAAATGTCTACCAACTGGTGCATGCATAAACCATATTGCAGCAAACCTATTCAATGGAATATTATTTAGCATGCAACAACACTGATGAATCTCAAATATATTAAAAGAAAGATGCCCGTTTCAAATGCTACATACTATAGGATTCCATTGAGATGTCCTTCCAGAAAAGGCAAAGCTATTAAGACACAGAGCAGATTGGTAGTTATCAGGCTCTGGCCTTGGAGGAAGAAAACTGATTACAAAGGACACAAAGAAACATTTGGAGTGATAGAAATGTTCTGTTTCTTGTTTGTGGTATTGTAAACACAACGGTATAAATTTGTCAGGATTTATAAAACGGTACACCTAAAAACATCGATTTTGCAATATGTATAATGCATCTCAATATCTTGATTTTTAAAAAGCTAAATGCGGCTTACAGAGGGAAGATAACTTGAGATTGAGTATCTTGTTTCTAAACATAAATTGTTGATGTGTTGGCAAGTACAACTTCTATCTTTAATAAAAGTTGCCGTGGATTCTCTCAACGATGCACACTTAAATGCAGACTAAAAGTAAATATTGATCTTTTGGGATTTATCTTCATTTTTCCTGTCTTCCTTTCCTTGGCTTTTAAAGATCACTTCACTAGAAAGAAAGATAAAGGATATTAGTTGTTATCTCTGGAAGTGGGATCACAGGATTAAAGAATTTTGTTCTTTATATATTTTTGTATTTTTCAATGATACTATGGTTACCATGTATTATTTTTATAATCAGAAAACATATTAAAAGAAGACAGTACCCCAAATTACCTTAAGATTGCTATTTGAAGATATCTGACTTTCCAGTGCTACACACGCAGAGTCACTCTCTTTCTGCCACCTATCTAATTTAGATTGGTTCCTAAGAGACTAACAGATGTTGGTCACCAAGTGGCTTTGCAACCAAAACAGTTACCCCAGGCGAGCCATGGTGAAAGTGATGCCTATTTCTGACTTGCACAAAATATGTCTTCACCCATAATACACACAATCTGTATGAAATATGGCCTGTCTTATGTTCAAATACATATACCTACTTAGACACAAATTTAAAAATTCCCATAAAAAATAAAAATAAATAAATAAATGAGGCCCAGCTAATATCTTCCTGGAACAAGACTCAAGTATTAAGGATTCAGAGAGCTTCACTCTTTCCCTGTTTTGCCTTGAGGGCACCTTTTGCAAGGGATAATGAAGTGTTCTCACTGATTCTCTATTTGGTTTCCAGACTTTGATGTGCTTAAATAAAAATTTTGGTGTTGCCTTTGATCCAGTGAAGCCTAGAGGTGCCCTCCCCTTCAGGGAGGAAGTAAGTGTTAGTTCAGCCTTGTATGACCAACAGCTTGGGTCAACAGCAGAGAGCATGGCACAGATGCTAGAAGCGAAGGCTTTGTTCACAGATAAACCTGAGTCCAAAGCATGTCTCTGTCATTTACTAAATGTGTCATCTTATGTATGCTGTATCTCTTCTTTAAGGCCTCACTTTACTCATTGGTAAAAGTGTTAAAATAATAATAGCTACCTCATAGGGTCATCATGACTCTCGAAAGAAATAATGCAAATAAATTATGCAGTACAGTGCCTGGCATAGATCATGTATTTACTACAAATTCACTGTTTATATATATAAGGAAGGAGGAAGGGGAAAATGTACAGATGTGTTCTACCATCTAGCAATAGAGAGGATGGCAAAGGAGGCCTAGTGTGCCTCTGGGTTAGTTTGCATGGAGTGTGGGGCTCGGAGGAGTGTGAGAAATGCATTTGGTGTGGAGCATGTGATTGGGTAAGAGAGGGCTTTAAAAGCTAGTTAGGGAAGTTAACTAGATATAAAAAGCTGTGGTATGTTTTTGAACACATTGTATTGCAAAATAGCAAAACGTAAGTGTAGGGTTTCCTTTCAGAGACTATGAAATTTCTTTTAAACATTACCGTGTACCAGGGACCATACCACGCCAGGGTAAGAATTATTCTACTCATTTTAAAGATGGTGATATTGTGGCCCAGTAAGATAAAAATTAGCCCCTGTTCACCTTTTAAATCCACCTCATCTATTAAATGGGGATTAAATCAGTGTGTGTGAGGGTAACACCAGAGCCAGCCTGTGAAAAGCACCTTCCACAGAATTGATGTTCAACAAGCACTAATGCCCCTTAATTCTGTGTTAGCTTTAAAGACTGGGCCTCTGTCCTATTCTCATGACCAAGCCCCAGGTTTGTCCAGTTCCACTCACCTCTTTGGTCCTGCCATGCTTGTGTCCCTGTGTGGATAACCTGCTCAGGATTTGATCATTTTCAGCACTGAGCAGCTTTCTCTAAACCCCACTTCATGGTTGTGACTGTGCTCCTCCTTCTAAGCTTTGTGGACAGGAACTGCCGGCCTCTGCTGGCCTGCCTGTCTGCTTTCATCTCTAAATGCTGCCATGCTTCAGCCTTTTGCTAGGACCCACAGTCTGATGGTTCTTTGACATGATTTCCTGCCGGGAATATCACCCATTGTCCAGTATGTACATGCATCTTTTCAAGTTGCTTTTCCAACAGTGGAGTTTGTTAAAAGTAGAGTTGCCTGGGCCCTATTCTAGACTAACTAATTTAGAAGTCCCCAAGATGTGGCCTGGAAATCTGTATTTTAAGAATGTTCCCGAGGTCGCTGGTAAGATGGCCGAATCAACACAGAAGGCGAGTGATTTCCGCATTTCCAACTGAGGTACCCGGCTCATCTCAATGGGACTGGTGAGACAGTGGGTGCAGCCCACAGAGGGCGGGCAGAAGCAGGGTGGGGCGTTGCCTTACCCAGAAAGTGCAAGGGGTCAGGAAACTCCCTCCACTAGCCAAGGGAGGCGTGAGGGTCTGTGCTATGAGGAATGATGCACTCCAGCCCAGATACTATGCTTTTCCCACAGTCTTCACAACCCGCAGACCAGGAGATTCCCTCGGGTGCCTACACCACTGGTGCCCTGGGTTTCAAGTACAAAACTGGGTGGATGTTTGTGCAGACACCAAGCTAGCTGCAGGAGTTTTTTTTTAATATCCCAGTAGCACCTGGAATGCCAACGAGAAAGAACCGGTCACCCCCCTGGAAAGGAGGCTGAAGCTGGGAGCCAAGTGGTCTAGCTCAGCAGATCCCAACCTCATGGAGCCCAGCAAGCTAAGATCCACAGGCTTGAAATTCTGGCTGCCAGCACAGCTGTCTGGATTTGACCTGGGACACTCCAGCTTATTGAGGGGAGGGGCATCCGCCATTACTGAGGCTTGAGTAGACCATTTCCCCTCACAGTGTAACAAAGGCTATTGGGAAGTTTGAACCCGGAAGAGCACACCACAGCTCCACAAAGCCACTGTAGCCAGACTTCCTCTCTAAATTTCTCCTTTCTGGGCAGGGCATCTCTGAAAAAAGGCAGCAGCTCCAGTCAGGGGCTTATAGACAAAACTCCCATCTCCCTCAGAGCACCGGGGGGAAGGGGCGTCTGTGGGTGCAGCTTCAGCAAACTTAAACATCCCTGCCTGCTGGCTATGAAGAGAGCAGAGGATCTCCTAGCACAGCTCTCAAGCTCTGCTAAGGGACAGACTGCCGGCTCAAGTGGGTGTCTGACCCCCATGCCTCCTGGCTGGGAGACACCTCCCAGCAGGGGCCAACAGACACCTCATATGGGTGAGCTCTGCCTGGCATCTGGTGGGTGCCCCTCTGGGACGAAGCTTCCAGAGGAAGGAACAGGCAGCAATCTTTGTTGTTCTGCAGCCTCTGCTGGTGATACCCAGGCAAATAGGGTCTGGAAGGGACCTCCAGCAAACTCTACCAGACCTGCAGCAGAGGGGCCAGACTAATAAAGAAGAAAAGAGAGAAGAATCAAATAGACACAATAAAAAATGATAAAGGGGCTATCACCACTGATCCCACAGAAATATGAACTACCATCTGAGAATACCATAAACACTTCTACGCAAATAAACTAGAAAATCTAGAAGAAATGGATAAATTCCTGGATACCTACACCCTCCCAAGACTAAATCAGGAAGAAGTCAAATCCCTGAATAGACCAATAACATGTTCTGAAATTGAGGCAGTAATTAATAGCCTACCAACCAAAAAAAAGCCCAGGACCAGATGGATTCACAGCCGAATTCTACCAGGGGTACAAAGAGGAGCTGGTACCATTCCTCCTGAAACTATTCCAAACAATTTGAAAAGAGAGACTCCTCCCTAACTCATTTTATGAGGCCAGCATCATCCCGATACCAAAACCTGGCAGAGACATAATAAAAAAAGAAAATTTCAGGCCAATATCCCTGATGACATCGATGAGAAAAATCCTTAATAAAATACTGGCAAACCGAATCCAGCAGCACATCAAAAAGCTTATCCACCATGATCAAGTCAGTTTCATCCCTGGGATGCACACGCAAATTCAACATAAGCAAATTGATAAACATAATCCGTCACATAAACACAACCAATGATAAAAACCACATGATCATCTCAATAGATGCAGAAAAGGCCTTTGATAAAATTCAACACCCCTTCATGCTAAAAACTCTCAATAAACTAGGTGTTGATGGAATGGATCTCAAAATAATAAGAGCTATTTATGACAAACCACAGCCAATATCATACTGAATGGGCAAAAGCTGGAAGTATTCCCTTTGAAAACCAACACAGGACAAGGATGCCCTCTCTCACCACTACTATTGAACATAGTATTGGAAGTTCTGGGCAGGGCATTCAGGCAAGAGAAAGAAACAAAGGTATTCAAAGATGAAGAGAGGAAGTCAAATTGTCTGTTTGTAGATGACATGATTGTATATTTAGAGAACCCCATCATCTCAGCCCAAAATCTCCTTCAGCTGTTAAACAACTTCAGCAAAGTCTCGGGATAAAAATCAATGTGCAAAAATCACAAGCATTCCTATACACCAATAATAGACAAACAGAGAACCAAATCATGAGTGAACTCTCATTCACAATTGCTACAAAGAGAGTAAAATACCTAGGAATACAACTTACAAGGGATGTGAAGGACTTCTTCAAGGAGAGCTACAAACCACTGCTCAGTGAAATAACAGAGGACACAAACAAATGGAAAAACATTCCATGCTCATGGATAGGAAGAATCAATATCATGAAAATGGCCATACTGCCCAAAGTAATTTATAGATTCAATGCTAACCCCATCAAGCTACCATTGACTTTTTTCACAGAATAAGAAAAAACTACTTTAATTTTCATATGGAACCAAAAAACAGCCTGCATAGCAAAGAACAATCCTAAGCAAAAAGAATAAAGCTGGAGGCATCATGCTACCTGACTTCAAACTATGCTACGAGGCTATGGTAACCAAAAGAGCATGGTACTGGTACCAAAACAGATATATAGACCAATGGAACAGAATGAAGGCCTCAGAAATAAAACCACACATCTACAACCATCTGATCTTTGACAAACCTGAGAAAAACAAGCAATGGGGAAAGAATCCCCTATTTAATAAATGGTGTTGGGAAAACTGGCTAGCCATATGCAGAAAACTGAAACTGGACCCCTTCCTTAAACCTTATACAAAAATTAACTCAAGATGGATTAAAGACATAAATGTAACATTTAAAACTGTAAAAACTCTAGAAGAAAACCTAGGCAATACCATTCAGGATATAGGCATGGGCAAAGACTTCATGACTAAAACACCAAAAGCAATGACAACAAAAGCCAAAATTGACTAATGGGATCTAATTAAACTAAACAGCTTCTGCACACAAAAGAAACTATCATCAATGTGAACAGGCAACCTACAGTTTGGGAGAAAATTTTTGCAATCCATCCGACAAAAGGCTGATATCCAGAATCTACAAAGTACTTAAATAAATTTACAAGAAAAAAACAACCCCATCAAAAAGTGGGCGAAGGATCTGAACAGACACTTCCCCAAAAAAGACATTTATGTGGCCAACAAACATATGAAAAAAAGCTCATCATCACTGGTCATTAGAGAAATGCAAATCAAAACCACAGTGAGATACCGTCTCATGCCAGTTAGAATGGTGATCATTAAAAAGTCAGGAAACAACAGATGCTGAAGAGGATGTGGAGAAATAGGAACATTTTTACACTGTTAGTGGGAGTGTAAGTTAGTTCTACCACTGTGGAAGACAATGTGTTGGCGATTCTGCAAAGGTCTAGAACCAGAAATACCATTTGACCCAGCAATCCCATTACTGGGTATGTATCTAAAGGATTATAAATCATTCTCCTATAAAGACACATGCACATGTATATTTATTGAAGCACTATTCACAATAGCAAAGGCTTGGAACCCAAATGCCCATCAATGATAGACTGGATAAAGAAAATGTGGCACATATACACCATGGATACTATGCAGCCATACAAAAGAATGACTTCATGTCCTTTGCAGGGTCATGGATGAAGCTGAAAGCCATCATTCTCAGCAAACTAACACAGGAACAGAAAATCAAACACTGCATGTTTTCAGTCATAAGTGGGAGGTGAACAATGAGAACTCATGGACACAGGGAGGGGAACATCACACACTGGGGCCTGTCAGGGGTGGGGGGCTAGGGGAGGGGTAGCATTAGGAGAAATACCTTATGTAGATGATGGGTCGATGGGTGCAACAAACCACCATGGCATGTGTATACCTATGTAACAAACCTGCATGTTCTGCACATGTATCCCAGAAATTAAAGTATTTAAAAAAAAAAAAGAATGTTCCCCCAGGTGGATTCTGATACAGCTGTTTGGCAGGCTGGCCTCTGTGAAATAATGATGCAAATGTTTAGATCACATGGCCTCGATGGCCTATTGCAACTCAGTGAGTTCATTGTTGGCTCACCGTTGGGTTGGGTTCACAAATTAAATCCAGGTCAGTACACTGCTTTTCCTAGGAGTTTCTACAACTTCTTCAAGACAAACAGTGTTCAGTGTTCCCTCCACATCTCCTCTGGATGAACCCATCTTAGTGATGTCTATGTGATGTTACAAGTCCTGCAGGATAACTTGGAAGCTCATCTGCTACTGCAGCTAGCTTAGCATTTTCAACTTATTCTCATTCTAAGGTGCTTATGAGGCAGGACTCTTGCCGCATCTAAAGCATGACTGTCAAGCAAGTGGCATCTGTTGCCTATTATCAGAAGCAGAAGTAGGAGCACTTCTGCCCACTGCATCTTGGTATTGGAGTCTCCAAGGAAAACCCAAAGCAGTGAAGTACTGGATGGAGCAATGCTTCACTCATAAAGAAAAGAGATGGAGTGAGGTCAGCTTCAGTGGTAGGTATTGGTCCTCCATGGCCAGGGGGTCCCTCCTGGCAGCTGGCACAGGGTCATTGGCCTGCACACACCCCTCTTGTGCTATATTGGAAGAATGCCACTCCCTTTCCACAGGGAACAGATATAATCATGGGGTTGGCCAGGTGCCAAATAACACACATGCTTATGCAGAACAAAGGAGCATACATTGAGTCTGAAACAGGGAAAGATATTCCCACCCAAGGCGACAAGTCCAGCACAGGCCGTGAGGACTCTTTATCTCTTGGTAAGGAAGTATTTCAGGCCCAAGGCCCCATTCCTATCAGCTGAGAGGATGGCATGCTACTGACTTTCCTAACAGTGACCTTGCTTGTAGGATCCTGTGACTGTCACTGCCACAACCTAGTTTCAGATTTCCTCTTAGAAATGAAGATCTGCCCACATTCAAAGCTGTCATTATCAAAGCCATTTCTCTGAACTCTTCTGAAGAATAATCTTGGAACATCTGATATGTAATGTCTTTTAAATTACTATGGAAAAAAGACAGTCCTGTTTAGATTGAATTTTCCAGATTCATTAGCTACTGGGCTAGGTCTTACTGATACCCACTTTTGTTGACATACTAGAACTTTGTAAAAAATTGGTCTTCTAAACTGAAAACCTTGGAAACTTTTAAACATTGTCCTGAGTAGTTATTTTAGAATTTTGTATATTTGTATGTCTTTTTACGTTGCCTTTATATTAATATATGCCAGAGGTGCTGGGTATTTTATTCCTTGTCAGCATCTGTATTTGTGTACTGTGGAGAGTTCCCATGGTAATAATAAAAAGATAATTTTATTAAATACCAATTTATCCCTTGACAGTTTCAATGCTACTCAGAACAAGATAGGTTTTGTAAGTTCTGGTTTCACAGACTTGTAAGTTTCAACATTTTCTGTATTGTAGAAATCAGTATCCCTGAACGCATAATGATAATTAAAATGCCTTAGAAATCCAGTATAACCAAGAATATCCTGGCATGAAGTATTAGGTCATCAATTTGTGAGGAACATTGAGAGGAATTGAGATGGAATTAGGTATAATCACTCAAACAACAGTAGGACAGGAGGACTTGGAGAGAGAGTTTGTCATTGTATCTGTGACTGGGGATATTTTGGTTTGCTTGCCATGTCAGTGCCTTATTCATCAGGGTAAATATTTTGCCCCATCTAATTATTCTTGGGCTGCTATATCCTTGCTCCCCAGATGTAAATCCCAGGCCGTATCTGGAAAAGACTGAAGTAACAACAAAGTCTGCTTTAGTTGCAGGCATGCTGAATGTTGGCCACAATAGACAGCCTCGTTGAATGAACATTTAGGACATAGTGAGACAATGGGACACATGAAAAGATTTATCTGGCCAACCACTTATTCCCTTGCCAGTGAATCTCCAGTAAAAAATGTGTCTTGTGTGACTCTAAAGTAACATGCAGTCTTTTCATGAGTTTATAGACACTTTTAAATAGAACAATGAGAGAAGAGGGTATTTTACCTTGTTTCAAGATGGGAAGATCTGGGGTTAAGGGTGGTCAGAACATACTTTTGAAGTAGGTTTACCAAAGAGGACTTCCATTCAATTCAGAAAGGAACTGAGTATGTGCAGGAAGAGAAGCAGAGTTTGAGAGAGGCTTCGGAATTGAGAGAACTGGAGGTATGCCTTCCATGGGAACTTCAGAAAGATAGCTCACATTTTTATTAGGGAGTATTCAGACCTAAGTTCCAAAAACAATTAATATGTTCTCCCTGCTTTTTAATTTGTCAAAGAGACTCTAAAATTTAATTCCTTAATTATTAGGTCTCAAAAACGTTTATTCCTATAGACCATAATAGTTGCCAATTAAAGTGGAATTAATTTTCAAATATTAAAATGCATTTGAAACTATTCATATTAATTCTGAAGCAACAAAAGTAAAACAGGACAAGTCATTGAAGAAAAAAATGTACGATACCTCTTACTGCATGCTAAATAAAGCAAATTTAAAATTTGACATTAACTAGACTTTTATTCTAGATAGAGGGACCACATCTGTTCTCTCCTAACACCCCATGAAAATCCATCTCAAAATGTACAAGTATATATTTTTTAATTGCAGCAGCTCTGATAAGCAGGATAAGCTCTGATAAGCAGGAAAGACTACGTGCTGGACTTGAGAATTTCCAAATCCTGCCACATCAGTGGTGTTGGATTGAGAAGCACAGTCATGGATTCCATTTGTTCCACCCTGTGGTGTGGAAAAGTACACATCATCTGGCAGAGGATATGAAAAAGCTCTCTGTTACCAACACAGCCTGTTGCTAGCTCTCAGATTCCAACCAGAAAGTCAGGCAGCCACATTCCTTTCTGCATGAGGATAACATTTTATAGTCAGCCAGATCAGAGTTCTTCTCCTCTTTTTTGCCTTCTCTTTTCATTCTTGATTAGAGACTACATTAGAGACTACTCCTAATTAGAAACTTGTATGTTTTAGTAGAAACCATGCCAGATGTGTGATGCAGTTCAGTGGAATGTTAGAGAGCAACTGATGGTGGCACTTTGAATTGGGATTGTAAGCGTGACAGATGGGGGCTGAGGCAAGAAGAGCCTAGAAGCATGAGTCAGTGAGTATGCATGAATGTGGGAGGGTTTGTTGGGGGCATCACATCTTGTCTTTGTCAAAGAGGTAATTGAAGACTATGCCTAAGTTTTTAACAAGGTCAAGAGATTCTGGCAGTGAGGGAAGGAGGTTTATTTATTTATCTAGAAAATATTAATTGAGCATCTACTGTGTGGCAGATGCTGTTTTGGTGATAAAGAAATATGAGTAGAGAAGAGAGACCAGGGCCTGGTTCTAGTGGGGAAGGGGAGGGACAAAAATAAGTAAACCATTGAAAAATAGAATCTTTGATCATCATCAGTACGATGAAGAAAATAAGATGGGGTTGTGCGGCAGAGTGATGAGGGCTCTTCAGACCACTCCATTGTAGCTACAACATAGACTGAGCCCAAGTCTGAAGAACTTGTTCAGAAGAAACCAGAAGAAACAAAGTTTCTGTCATTCCTTTTCTTGTTTGATTCTCACCATACCCTATTATGCAGGTACTATTACTATCTTGTTCTACAGTTGGAAAAAAGCTAAGATAATAAATGGGCAAAGATGAATTCTTAAGAGAAATAATACAAATAATTAATAAATACCAGAAACATGTTAAAATTCATGAGTAATAAATGCACTAATAATTAAAGGAATGAAATTTAAAATTATAATTAGATATAATTTTAAATTGTTCAAATTTGCAAAGATAAAAAATAAGACCAAATTATTGCAAGTGATGGTGGTGTAAAATGTAGCCCCCTCATTTGCTTCTGAGGAGAAGGTTAATTGGTATAACTTTTCAGTAAACAGTCTTACCTGTAGGAATAAATACCAAGGAAATAACCAGAAAAGCAAATAAAGATTCATATGGCAGATATTAACTGCAGTACTATGTATAAAATCCCCAACTGGAAACTACCTACATGTTTGACAGCAGGGAAATACTTTCATAGGTACAACCATTACATAGTCATTAAAGATGATGTTCATGAAGATTTATTAACAGCATGGGGAAATGATTATTAAAATATATATTTTTAAGTAGGATAGAAGTTGTATATGTGGCACGGTGAAGTTTGGTAACAGAACCACCTGAGGTCTAAGTGGACACATGACTGTTCAATTAGAAATTACATTTCACAGTTTCTCTTAGCAAGGTGTGGCCACACAATCAAGTTCTGGCCAATGGCATGTGAGCAGAAATAACGTCCAAAATTCTAGATCATGTTCCCAAAAGGAAGCTGCTTACCTTCCACATCCTTTTTCCCTTTTCCCATAGGCTGATGGATAAATGTGGCAGTGGGGTAAGCTGGTTTAGACCATGACAAGAACAACACTGTAAGAAATGACAAAACAAGATAGAAGGAGCTTTGATCCCTGGGTGATCTTGTGGAGTACAGTGTGTACCTGCTGAACCTATCGATTGAACTTTAATGAGAGAAATAACCTTTTATCTAGTTTTCAGCTATTGTGATTTGGTCTCTGTTTAAACAGCTGAAATAATATCCTAATGAATACAGATAGCACCTCTGCAAATTATATACAACATTTTCCTTCTTTATTATTATGATTATTTAATACTTAAAGACACTAACGGTCTTAGTGATAAAGCTAAGGGGCAAGTTCTGATAGATTTGTTAATGAAAGCAGAATGCTTGACATTATGCCTCTGCCATTCGGGCAATCATATTTGCATATGTTTCAGAAAAGCACTTATATATAACTCTAATAATAACAGAGCCAGGTACAAATATAAAAAGGTGAAAGCTTTGATTAGTTTCTATAAGGTTTTAACTTGATCTCAGACCTGAGGAATATTAATGGCTATTTTTGTTTTCTGCTCTTGCCCATTGCTCCCATAATAAGCAATTGTATGCTCATTGATTTATTTGACTTTGTCAGAGATTTATCTCCATAGACTGATAAATTTTCCCAATTTGGGAGAAAGGGGAGCTTCCTGTACCATGAGTGACTAATAGGCAAGAAAGAGGGACAGAGAGGAGAGAGAAACATACCTTTCTCTTGGACAACTTTACTTCCTTCTCTTTATCAGCATTATTTACTAGAACCAAGATAAACAGTCAGCCCAGGTGAACTTCTGGGAGCCTAATGGACTGCATGGCAATGCCTCATTGTTCTAGCAAAGGAAAGCTATGGTAGAACCAGCACAGGAATTGGAGGGAATGGGGGCACAGATTGGAGGGAATGGGGGCACAGAAACATAAATGGAGACTGAATGATGGGGTGGGGGGAGACGAAAGGAATGATGAATAAGAGAAGGTCAAGTCTAAATCTAAGCTTGGGAATTTTGATCCAATGTCAGGTAGGCTTTGGAATCCAGAGGCTTTTAAGTTTTAGAGAAACAAGGATGGGACAATTAGGTGGAGTAGTGTCCTTCAAGAAAATCTTTCCTTTCTAAACATGAGGTGAAAGAAGAGCAAGGACAAAAACCCAGTCTTCAGAGAAATCAGCTGACTGAACCGAGACCAAATAGCAGCCTCCAGTCCATGATTCAAGGAGAGGGCAAGACTATATTGGCTGGCACTGATGCCTTGTTGGGTTGAAGGAGAGACCCAGGTATTCAAGGGCACTACACAGAAGGAGACAAGAAGATGAAAGGAACTCTTAAATTTATTGAGCATCTAATATTCTATTTAATTCTTGCAGCAATCCTGGGAGCACCCTTAACACAAATGTTTAATGTTTTGGTCAAGATCAGGAATTTAACAGACGGAGGATTTAGATTTGTCTGTCTCTAAAATCCATGTTCTTTTTTAAATGCCATTTTGAGAATTCTCAGAGATTGTTGCCCAATACTCTTCCATAAATTGAGGAATAAAGAAGACTAAGATATTCCCCAAACTTGATGACTTGCCCCATGAGAACTATCGATTTAAGTCCCACAAGCCTCTGTGTTAGTTCACAGAGGGAAGAGGAAGCCTATGGGTAGATAGGGAGATGCCCAGGGGAGAATGAAGGATGGTTCTGCTCCATTGTCCAGAATCTCAGTTTGCTTTGTTCCAGATTAACTCCAGGTGGCCTGATACTGTGTACTGATGACCACAGCAACCTTCCAAAGGATCCACAGGAGCCTAATAGCCTTCAAAGGAAGCATCACAATATAGCATGAGAATATGCCCAATGTTGAAACTGATCAGGAAAAAGCAAGTGAAATTAATCATTATATACTTAAAAAAAAATGAAACTAAGTAAATATCCATTCACAAAGGAGGAGTTAAACAAATCACAGGGCATTTTTCCCTTTACAAAGCCAATTAAAAAGGTGGTTGAATTAATTATACTTCCATGGATGGATATCCAGGATGTATTGAGTGCAAAAAGCAAGTTAATAAGAACAACAAAAATGATATACCTATGTGCTCATATACCTCTGTGTGACACAGAGAAAGGCCAGGAAGAACATGTATCCTTTAATGGTTATTTTGGGGGAAGAGAAGGTGGAATGGGGAAGGAGTAGAGCAGTGACTTTTGCTCTTCATGCATTTCTGCATGGTTTGAATTTTGGGAAGAAAACTGAGCATTTATTACTGTTATAATATAAAATAAACCCAACACAAAAGTGAATAGTCAGTAGAATACAACTATCTTTCTGAGCCAGAGGCAGAGAATGATGACTTAAGGTCATGGATGATTCTGTATCAGCATCTAATTCAGAAATACAGACGCATGCTGAAATCTGCTCCAGTTAGGAGATCCAAAAAAATCTGCTCCAGGAGAAAAAACAAACAACCCCATCAAAAAGTGGGTGATGCATATGAACAGGCACTTCTCAAAAGAAGACATTTATGCAGCCAACAAACATGAAAAAAGGCTCATCATCACCGGTCATTAGAGAAATGCAAATCAAAACCACGATGAGACACCATCTCACACCAGTTAGAATGGCGATCATTAAAAAGTCAGGAAACAACAGATGCTAGAGAGGATGTGGAGAAATAGGAACACTATTACACTGTTGGTGGGAGTGAAAATTAGTTCAAGCATTGTGGAAGACAGTGTGGTGATTCCTCAAGGATCTAGAACCAGAAATACTATTTGACCCAGCAATCCCATTACTGGGTATATACCCAAAGGATTATAAATCATTCTACTATAAAGAAACATGCACATGTATGTTTGTTGCAGCACTATTCACAATAGCGAAGACTTGGAACCAACCCAAATGCCCATCAATGATAGACTGGATAAAGAAAATGTGGTACATATATACCATGGAATATTATGCAGTCATAAAGAAGAATGAGTTAGTGTCCTTTGCAGGGACATGGATGAAGCTGGAAACCATCATTCTCAGCAAACTAATACAGGAACAGAAAACCAAACACTGCATGTTCTCACTCATAAGTGGGAGGTGAAAAATGAGAACACATGGACACAGGGAGGGGAACATTACACACTGGGGCCTGTCAGGGGGTGGGGGGCAAGGGGAGGGATAGCATTAGGAGAAATACCTAATGTAGATGATGGGTTGATGGGTGCAGCAAACCACCATGGCACGTGTATACCTATGTAACAAACCTGCATGTTCTGAACATGTATCCTAGAACTTAAAGTATCATTTAAAAAAAAAAAAGAGACATAAATGAATGTATGTAAGATATACATTGGTTCATCCCATAAAGGCATGACATCTCAAAGTAGTGATGTGGGGGGCTTCCACCTTATAGATGGATTTAAAGATTTCCTGAATTATAATTGGTTGAAAGGGTTAAACTCCACCTGAAGGAGTGAAGTTAGCAGAAAGAAATGTTTATTGTTAAGATAAGGGGGCTTGTGGAAGCCAGGGGTCTTGTTGTGTAGATGAAGCCTCCAGGTAGCAGGCATTAGATAGAATAAATGATAAATGTCTCTTATCAGACTCTAAAAGGTGCTCCAGACTCTTAATTAAATCTCTCCTGGACGAGGAAAAGACCAGGAAAACGAATCTGATTTTTCTACAGAATGTAGATTTTCCCTACAAGAGACAGCTTTGTGAGGCCATATCAAAATATGTCATAAAATATATCTCTGCCTGTAACTTCTGTCCCCCTAAAATGTTTAAAAAAAAATGTAACCCAACTACCTTGGGCACATGTTCTCAGGGTCTCCTGGGGCTATATCATGGGTCATGGATCTTACATTTATCTCAGAATAAATCTCTTCAAATATTTAAAAAAAAAAAAAAAAGAAAAGAAAAGAAAAAAAACCTGCTCCAGGCAGAACTGCAGCCAGTAGAACAGGAATCCATTTTTTTCTGCATTCCAGTGTACTTCAGCCAGTGTTCTTAGTGGCATTATCTATTACTCAGCAATTCCTTTAACTCTGAACCTCAGGTTGACCTCTTGTTTTTCCCCTGAAACAATTTTTAAATGCTTTTTTGTTCCCATCAATTTACATTTTAATGTTTACTGGGTTCATGACACTGTTAGATTCTTTGTAATAGGTGCTAAAATGTATGTAAAATTTCTTCAATTTTTTTCAAAGATAAATACAAGGCAATGCCTCTTAGAAGGTTATAATCAAACCAGATGTCATTGGCATGTAGTATATGCATGTAATGAAATTCAGAAAATACTGTAAAAACATTAATTTTCCCCCAATTTTATATATAGTTGATTTTCTTTCATTTATTTTTGAAGAAAAATAAGGGTTAGGAGGAAGATATGGAAGAGATCAGAGAGGTAAACAGAAGAGAGAAAAGTAAGCAGGAGGATTATGAAAAATGGTAAGAGATTGAGAGATGAGATAGCATCAGTGAAATTTTGTCTGGACCTACACACCCTTTCAAGCTCATGAGTGGTGCCACAATGCAACTGGCATCCTGTGAAAGCAAGCCTTGAACTCTACTGCATAACTCTCTGTATGGGTCCTGAACCACTTTATCTAACCTCTTTCCTGTTCTGCAACTTGGTTTGCTTCAATCCCTCATGCTTCTGATCACTAGATTTACTTTCCTATTTTTAGCCTAACCTCATATCTTGGAATTGACATGTGGTGTTTATGACATCTACTCTCATCCTTAACTAGGGTTCAGAGTTCTCCTGTGTGGTAGGCAGAATAATCACCCTCCCCTTCAAGATGTCCATGTTCTCATCCCTGGAACCTGTGAATATGTTGCTTACATTCAAAGAGGAATTAAGGTTGCAGATGGAATTAAGGTTGTCAATTAGCTGACCTTACAATGGGGAGATTATGCTTGATTATCTTGATGGTCCCGGTATAGTCACAGGGATCCTTACCAGTGGAATAGTGAGGCACAGGAGGAGCTCAGAGGGATGCGATGTGAGAGGGACTTGCCTTGCCTTTGTGACTTTGTAGATGGAGGAAGAAGGTCACAAGCCAACAAGTGTAGACAGCCTCTAGAACTTGGAAGGCAAGGAAATGTCCTACCTAGACCCCACAGAAAGGAATGCATGCGGCCTTGCCGGTGCCTTGATTTTAGCCTAGTGAGACATATACCAGATTTTTAACTAAAAGAGGACTATAAAATAATAAATCTGTATGGTTTTTAGCCACCAAATTTGTGGCAATTTGCTATAGCAGCAATAGGAAACTAATACACCCTGACTACTTTAAAGCTGTTCTCCTGGTCTGTCCTAAAGCCCTTTCCACCCTTTAACTTCATGGAGTCTTCTATGGGCACTAAAAAGGAGGTTCTGAATGTGGCCAGGAAATGGACTGCCTTGTTCAGAGACAAGTTGACCTACTCATGTGTTTCTCCTTCCATCCCAACTATACTTTCACTCTTTCAGCAAAGAGCTTCTTCTCAGCACTGTCCCAAGATTTGGAAACAGAGTGAATGGGGATACATGATAACGGGCATGTATTTGAGATATGATTGGTTTTAGGGCAGTTTCAGAACTGGATGACTGATCCCATATAAGTTCAATGGAAACAGCTTAGCAAAAGCTCATGATTATTTATGGCCAGTGGAAGTTAGATTGCTGTTCTGTGCTGACAGTCAAGTAGAACTATGCTAGGTTTGGGCTAATAGATACCTGTGTAAATGACATTGGGGATTCACTGTCCACGCTCTAAATGTGAATGAAGTCATAAGCAATGGGATTGGGGAGTGGGAGAAGGCATGCTCCTCTGGGGGCGTGGTCACACATGGTCTTCAGGTGGGCGTGTGGAAAGCCCTCCCAGATTCTGATAGAGAAACAAACATTGACTGTATAAGATACCAGTCCTGGTAGATTAGTCATTCACAAACTTCTGAATACATGAAAGTCACCTGGAGACTTTGTTAAAAGATGTAGATTTCTAGCTCTGTTCCTACTAATTCAGATTTAGTAAGCCTAGGATGTATTTTTGACATGTATCCAAGTGATTCTTATGCAGACAGTCAGTGCAGCTCACAATGAGCACGGCATTGAAGAACACTGTGTGGGAGAGAGATACCATTCAAATAGTCTAGTGCTTTGACTTAAGGAGGAATCTGTAATTTCCCAGTTTGTTTTCTGCTTTGATCCTCTTCACATGTGTATACTCTTTCAGCATTTTCTCATTACATAAGAATTTGCAAGCGATGGGAGCCAGGAGTGGGAGAGGGCATGCTCCTAAGGGGGCGTGGTCACACATCAGGGTCTTCAGGTGGGCATGTGGAAGGCCCGCCCAGATTCTGATACTATTCCTCTATTTCCTACTCCACTCACCAATAGGTAATTCTTAGCTCCAAGAAACACAGATGTCCCTTAGTGGGGCATTTCTGGGTGTGAGGAGACACTCGCAAACACTCAAGGCACCGTGGGACTTGCGCTGTAGGTGAGTAGCAGACAAGACCTTTCACTTGGAAATGTTCCTTTCCTTCCAAGGTAGGGAGAAATGATCTGATCTCTTCTCCGAGAGGATTTACTCTCCAAAGTCAAGTCTTCCTTTGATCTGGGTGGGTGGGAGGTGGGGGTCCTGCCTACGGTTGCGCAGGTTGAGCGTGAATTCCCAAAGGGTAAGTGTAGGTGGAGTCCTGTTCAGGTCCTACTCAGCAAGCTGGATGCTGGAGCAAGGGCAAGGGTCTGGCTAGAGGAAAAGCTGCCCTTTAAAAGTCCACACGAGGTCTCTGCTGGTTGTGACCCTGCCAGGTGGCAACCTCAAGGGTTTCTCAGTCTTAACTCTCCCCTTGAATTCAGTAATTTCAGGACTGGGGTGATAGGAAAATGAAAATAGAATGAAATTCAGGAAGAATTCTGTTTACTGCGACATTTTCCAACAGTTGGAAGTCTCCGCTTTCCTGACAATATTTGGGTTTATTAAAAGACCCACCTGTATGACTTTAGGTGGCACTCACTCATTTACCCACTGGAAAAACAAATTTTTTTTTTTGTCAAATGCGACTGAGTGTCGCATTATGCTCTTGTGTCTTGTCAATCCTCCTATTTGCCAATTTCCAGCTTATCAGCTAGACTTGCTTAATGCCTGAGGCCAAGGTACTGCAGTATCTCTTAATTAACTAGTTGCAGACAGCTAATTACTTAACTGCAGTATCTCATCAGTATACAAAGTATATTGACTCCAAATTGGAAAAATGCCTCTGAGCATTTTTAAAGTATTACAAAACTTCTACTAGAAAAGGCATCTTTTAAAATACCACCCATGGAAGAGCGTAGACAAAGGGAGGATAAGAGAGAAGTGTGGAGGAAACACACTTGAAAGAGTAGTTTCATTTTTCATCTCAATCCCTTACCCTCTATATTTCCTATGTCAAAATGATGGCTTTAGAGATTCTGTAGAAGTACTCGCCTCTTCACAACCTACTCCACTCTCCTGGAGATGACCATAACCCCTGAAATGCTGCGCCCCACCCTTTCTGAGCAGGTTCCCATCCTGAACTTCTGACTGCAGTAAAATTTAGAGAGTTGCCTGCTGCCCAGTCTACAGGCCACTGAAGATGCAGGAAACGTTTCTGATGAATGTTTTCAGGACTTGGCTCCCAAGCACTTGCTGACCAGCCTCTTTGGTCCAGATCCAGCCTTGCCTCCAACCTTGCTGGCTGGAGTATCTGTGGCTTCTTGTAAAAGGCCGGACATACTCTCCTTATTAAAGTGAGATTAACAGGTGCTAAGGAGGGTATTACAGATCATTAGCTACCTAATCATTAAAGTTCTAACTGAGGAGTTCTCCCAAGTAGACCATTTACTGTTCTCTCACTAGATGGCCAGGCCTGCGCTGGGCACTTCATACAGAATCAAACTCAGTCTCTACACACTATGAGCTAGAGATTATTCTTGATTTTTATTTGATAAACTCGAAGTGCAGAGAATTGGAATAATTTGTCTAAAGCCACACATATAATTAGAAAAAAAAACAATGCAAGGGAAAAAAAGTGCTTTAGAGGAAAGGAGCTAGTGAAACACATCATATTGAGAGTAAATGCTCATTTGGGATGAGTAGATTTTTCTTTTGGACTCCTCTGCCGGTTCAGCAGATCAGTGCTGCAGTAATAGTTACTGGGTTCAGAAATGATTTCACTTTGTTGGTCTCATTTTATTCTTCGATTCTTTACAGCTGAAGCCTGTCTTCGCCAAAATGGAGATCTAAGACATATGTTATTTCCACTTTTCCTCTGTCAGTTTAATATATATAGTGACCATTTTTTTTCCTTGAGAAGTACATATCCTGTGCATTGGTGTGGAGGAAAAGAAAATGCCAGTATGTCACCAAAAGATTAGCAGTTCCACAACCTTGGCTGCACATTAGAATCACATAGAGAGATTCGGGAAGTCCCTATGCCCAGGCCACACTCCCAACCTGCTAAATTAGCCTCTGTGTGTGTGGCTTCCTGATATTTCTAGCAGTGCTTCTCTAACTTTACATGAACACAAAGCACCTAGGGGTTTTAAAATGCAGAGTCTGGTTCAGTAGGCCTGTGTGGGTGCTGAGACCCTGCATTTCTAACAAGCTCCCAGTTGAGGCCACTGTTTCTGGGCATCTCCACGTTGGGGTTAGGCTCTAAATTAGTCATTTTCAAAATATGGTCCCTGTATCTGTGGCATCAGCATCACCAGGGATCTTGTTAGAAATGGAAAGGTTTGGGCCCCTCCCAGACCTAGTGAATCACTAACTCTGGAGGTGCAGCCCAGCAATCTGGTTTAACAAACCTCCAGGTGATTCTGACGTACACTAAAGTTTGAGAACCACTGCTGGGGAATCATTTGTAGTTTACTCCAGGTTTAGGCTTTTGGGAGGCAAGAGAGTTTATCCACAGTTTATCCAAAACAATGGAGAAGGCTTATTACAAGGATACTTGTGGAAATGAGATTAGGCTTCATAGGAACCCAAGGAACAGTTGCACAACCAGGACATATGTGACAAACCACTCACAGCAAGGCATCCTAGAAATTGGGATGTGTCCGGGAGCATCTGGAGTGACCACCCAGGCTGACTCATTGCTTGCCCAGCTGTTAAGAGTTCACTGTTTCTTCCTATAGTGCCTTCTCTTATCATGACTCAGCAATTCTTCCCCATCTCTGCTCCCAGCATAGTGGCTTAGTTGGAGTCCTGGAATGAGATTACTTGAGTTAGAATTCTGGCTTATTATGTGTACTATCAGGCACTTTACCTAATCTCTCTTGGCTTCAGTTTCCACATACTAATGCTACCTACCTCATAGACTTGTTGTAGGATCAAATGAGATAATGGGTGTAACATGTTTAAAGCATTGCTCGGGACCCAGTAACTGTTCAAAATATCAAGCTGTCATTATTGTCTTTTTGTGTCTTTATGCTTCTAGTTATATCTACCATTAACTCACTCTCAATCTGAGTTCAAATGTTTGCAAAAGAGGCACAGATTGCTGGAGTGAGTCACTGTCACGGTTATTGGTCCAATCTCTCCCACCAAGCATCTGTGGACATCCTGTCTTTTTGCTGTCTGGGGTTAGATGCCCTCCTCTGGTCTCTAGTACTTCACGTACTTGAGAAGATCCATTCACGTTAGGACTAAAAGAAGGAAGAAAGCACATGTGATGTTGCGTCAGTCCAAGGCAGTGTGCCCTTCAGGGTGCCTTATTCCCTTCGCTTGGCCCAACCAGTTTCACCATCTGCTGATGACCTTTTGTGTCTGACTCCACAATTTAGAAACCTATTATTACATGAATCTATCAGATTATAACTTGGCACATGGGTTACAGGAGTGGGGACTCTGCTGCACTATCACTTCTGCCTTCTCCTCTGGAACCACGTGATCACCAAACTAGTGAATTTAAATAAAAGGGAGAGGTGCTGCTCATCAATAGAGGCAAAGAGGATGCCAATCTAGGAATAAACACTACACATTTAAAAAGCCATGCCCTTCCCACCCTCCCCAGAACTTTAAAAAGAAATATCTTTGTCATTGTTTAGGCTTGAAGAAAACAGGAGCTGCTATCAGTCATTTAGAAACACTTTCCAGCTGGGTTCCTACAACAAAACTGCTGGGTTAATTCACTAAGATGTGTGGACTTTGTAGCTCACAAATATTAAGAGCAGTTTTGTAATGAATCCTCCACGGACAAGACAGTCCTTATTTGACTAGATGGGAACTACTAGCTCTTTCCCTGTCTACTGACCTCTGAGTGATGAGATAAAACCATGCAAAGTGTGAGATGCTTCCCTTTATAGTTTTGAATTTGCATGGTAGCATTTCGTTCTTGATCAGGTAGAATATCTCTGCTGTCTTTACTTTCTCCTTGTAGGAAAGCAGACAGAAAGAATAGTTTGGGCTGAGCATGGTGACTCACGCCTGTAATCCCAGCACTTTGGGAGACTGAGGTGGGAGGATCATTTGAGCCCAGGAGTTTGAGACCAACCCAAGCAACTCACTCTCAATCCTTGTCTCTACCACCACCACCACCACCACCACCACCACCATCAACAACAACAACAACACCATCTAAAACAAAACAAAACAAAATTAGCTGAGTGTAGTGGTGCATGCCTGTAGTCCCAGCTACTTGGGAGGCTGAAGTGGGAGGATTGCTTGAGCCCAGGAGGTTGAGGAGTAAGCTGAGATCATGCCACTGCACTCCAGCCTGGGTGATGGAGTGAGACCCTGTCTCAAAAAATAAAATAGTTTAATGATTATAATGAAAAGTCTCATAATGATCTGAGGACACAGCATTGGTTCCTATCCCTTCCGTCTGTCTCCTGCACTTATTAGTTTCCTTATCATAGGGTTTTCAATGTGAAAGAGATAATCTCGTTTAATGTCTGAATTTGAGTAATCCAGGGTACATACAAATCTCTTTTAAAGAAAATAAATTCTTGCAGATCTTCAGCATACCTTTATTACTTTTTATTATAAAATTTCTGAAATATGTAAAAATATAAAACTACATGTGTGCTATACAATCATAAAAACGAAAACAAATTTGCAAATTAAATATAAGCTGGGCATGGTGGCTTACGCCTATAATCCTAGCACTTTGGGAAGCCGAGGTAGGTGCATCCCTTGAACTTAGGAGCTTGAGACAAGCTTGGGAAACATAATGAGACCTTATCTTTACAAAAAATCAAAAAATTAGCTGGGCATGGTGGCGTACCCTATAGTCCCAGCTACTCTGGAAGCTGAGGTGGGAGGTTGGATTGAGCCCAGGAGGAGGAGGTTGTAGTGGGCCGATATCGTGCCACTGCACTCCCACCTGGGTGACAGACTGAGACCCTGTCTCAAAAAAAAAAAAAAAAAAAACTATCTATAGATATAGATATATGTATGTATATATAAACAAAGTGACAACCAATACAATTCAAATTCATGACAGTTTAAAAAGCAGATACTGGCTGAACTTAAATTGTCAATGCTAGGTGTATTAATAGAAAGATGAGTTGGCATAATTATTTTTACTCATGACAATCTTAATTATTGCTAATCATTATTTAAATTGTAATTGTTATTATTATTTTGCTATTTTAATTATAAAGTCATTTTAAAATACTGAAGATTGCTCAATTTAGAATGCACGCTCCCCATACTGAGAAATAATAAGTATAATTTAACAAAAGAGTATTTATTGCATCTTTATCAGCAACATATGCATGGCACTTAGCAAAGGTACAGGTCCTTGGATGTTTGAGTTTTCAACACTGTCATGAGCCATATAATGATTCAATTTTCCCATCACTTGTCTATGTCCAAATTGCCTCAAAAGTCTTGCACGATGAGTGGTAACAGCATTTGCCCTCCGTTTGGTGTACACCTGATTGTGAACACAAATACATAGGCAGCTATTAGAATCTCATGTTCATCCAGATGACACACCTGTGTTGCATTAATATTTATATTATGAAAATGAAAACACAAGGTTACATTCTCACGGACCTTTTGAATTTTGAGGAAAATCTGAGGACTCTCAGAGGACCTAGGGCTCCAAATTAAGAAACCTTGGTTGAGGCCGGGCGCGGTGGCTCACGCCTGTAATCCCAGCACTTTGGGAGGCCGAGGCGGGCGGATCACGAGGTCAGGAGATCGAGACCATCCCGGCTAAAACGGTGAAACCCCGTCTCTACTAAAAATACAAAAAATTAGCCGGGCGTAGTGGCGGGCGCCTGTAGTCCCAGCTACTTGGGAGGCTGAGGCAGGAGAATGGCGTGAACCCGGGAGGCGGAGCTTGCAGTGAGCCGAGATCCCGCCACTGCACTCCAGCCTGGGCGACAGAGCGAGACTCCGTCTCAAAAAAAAAAAAAAAAAAAAAAAAAGAAACCTTGGTTGAATTATCACCTAAGTTTCAGCCCCATTTAATTCTCACAGAAACCCTATGACATAGACACGCGCATCAACCCAACTCCACCAATGAGGACTCTGGGGCACACAGAGGTTAAACAACTTGTCCAGCACCACACAGGCAGTGAGAGAGGAATGACGATTTCATCCCAAGCCCATCTGTCTCCAAAGCCTCTCTTTTGAGAACTCTCAATACCCCTACTCTAGAAAATCTGTCCAGAATCCCGACGGAAGTGCATAGGAGTGATCACTGGGCAGACAGGGACACATGCCTAGCCTCTTTGCAGTTACTGGAAAAAGTTAATCATAAGCTGAACTAATGCAGTGCCTGTTTTGTGGGACAAAGATCTCAATTGTAATGACAACTGATTTACCCCACATGTACTTTGTCTCAGAATCAGCCTCAAAGCCTTCAGGCCTCATCTGGACATTTGAGGCCCTTACCTGAAGCCAGTGATGAGCTATATTGTTGGATGAAAATTGCTTTTTGTGCCTTGAAGTCTGGCAGCTTGTTCATTCATTTATTCATTAACTAATTGTACAGAATAGTGGGCTACCCTTCCAGGTATTCTATCGGTATAAGAAAGCAACTCACAGGTCCTGTCTCTCTCATTTACAGACCTAGAATATTGCCTCTGGTTCCCTTGCTATTGGGCATGAGTGCCTCCTTCCCTCCCTCTCAGAAGAAGGCATGAATTTGCTGTAGGGTGGTGAAAAAATATTAACTAATCTAGGCATCAGAAACTGGGTGGAAGTCCTGCTTCTGCTCCTAAAAGCTCTGTGACCTCGAACAAATCATTTATCTCATCTGATCACAATTTTCCCACCTTTAAAATAAGAATATTGATAATGAATTTATTGTGAGGGGTCTATAAGACCATGTGTATGACAACACTAGGGATTTTGAAAATTTTCAACAGTAGAACAGGTTATTATTTTTTATGTCCCCCAAACACTTACTGTGTACTTATTAAATGTCAGTATCTGTGTTGGCACTGAAAATACAAAGATTAGACATGATCCCTGATCTTAATGAGCTTGTAGTCTAGTAAGGGAGATTAGTGTTTAGATAAGAACATTGTGATGTAGTAAGATGGATAATTGTAGAATTATGTGCAATGAAATAGAGGCAGTACTCAAAGCGACTTGAGTAGGACAGTTTAAGCTACATAGAGCAGAGACATGAACTTAGCTTCTAACTACCATTACAAGTCATAGAAACACCCAGAAGCATGGTGTGTTTGGGAATTAAGATCACTGAGGTGGGGCAGGATGTGAGGTAAGTATCCCTATGTCACAGAGGACCAAGGCTCCAGACTTGTTCTACTTTTGCTGTACCATGATTAGATACCGTTGTAATGCTCACCCATGCTATTTCCTTTCTACCCAGAACTGTAGAAAGTAATTGTTTTGTGCCAGTTTAGAATGCACTTGGAGGATGAAAAACATCATTCTCCACTTAATTGGCTTTTGTTGCTATTTTTGCATTATGGTTGCAGGACCAGCTCTGAGAATTTTAGAGCCACCTCAACAGGGTGTTCCATCTTGTTCTTTTTGATAGGTCTCCTTTCCTTTTGGCAGGCTGTTAATTTCCTCTCAATATATAATTTGGCCTCTGCATTGTTGCTCTTTTGATGGCCTATTTAGGCCCCCAGAACTAGAATACACTTGGCCAAATGCATTATAAACAAAGGAGATTTTACCTCTGTAGTTCTTTAGGAAACAGGTAGAATTTCCATTCCTTCTATGAAGTTGATGCCTGGAGCACTGAGTGAATTAACTTGTCTTTTTGCCTTATTGAATTGATCAGAATATTTGGCATCTTTCATCTTCAACCCTTGTCGTCATTATTGCCTTGTGACTTTTGTGAAGAATGTGGTTTCTATCACATAATTCTATAAATTCAATCAAACCATGACTCAGAAAGTGTTGATATCTTCTGAATGACATTTTCAACAAATGCCCCAAACAGTATGGATTGAACAGCATCATCCATTGAACTAATGAAAGCTGGAGCCTGTATTATCCTCAGTCCACTGCCTTAAACCTCAGGGAACAATTAAATACCTGTGTATTGGAGGCAATGAAAAGAGAAAGTGAGTATCATAAGTCTGTGGGCCCTTTTGATTTGGTTTGACTGCGACGTGATTTCACAGCCTACATCACAGCCACAGGCCCTTCTTATAAATAACTTTTTCAGTCTGAATTTGAAAATGTGCAGGTAGTTTTTAGAAAGTCTGGTCTGGATCAGAGGTCTCCAACATGGGATGATCACACCCACAAGACAATCCATTGCCACACTGGAAGAATATATTATAACTAAGTATATATATAGTATGCATAAAATATTAGAACTAATATAAAATACAGTACTTAAATATAAAATTAGTTATCATATATTAGAACTAATATAAAAAAGGATGAATCAGAGCTTTATGCAATGAAGAAATTGGTAGTGCCCTCAGATGGTGTAGATTTCAGATGGTCAAGGTGCCATGAGGGAGGGGTGGTGCCGCACAACAGTGCTGTCATTCATCCTTTCCTTTCAGCATCTTATGACGGTTTGCAGTTTATATATATAAGCATGGGAAATGGGCAACAGTCTTAAAAGATTTATGTATTGAAATCATGTGATAAAGGTAATGCAAGGTCAATGGCAGAGGTGATCACATCTGACAAGAAATTGACCCATAACTTCAACATTATAAACAAAACTATTTGAAATATGGATTTTCTTATGAGCTGAATTGTGTCTCTACCCCACCCAATTCATATTTTGAAATCCTAACCCTCCAGTATCTCAGAATGTGACATTTTTTAGAGATAAGGTTTTTACAGAGGTAATTAAGTTAAAATGAGATCATTAGGGTGGGCTCTACCAATATGACTGGTGTCCTTATAAAAGAGGAAATTTGGACACAGAGATATGAATAGAGGCAAGAACATGGGAAGACCCAGGGAGAAGAAAAACATCCACAAGCCAAGAAGAGAGACCTGGAACAGATCCTTCCCTCGCAGGAACAGCTCACAATAAACCGATGCCAACACTTTGATTGATCTTGGACTTCCCGCCTCTAGAACAGTGAGAAAAGAAATTTCTGCTGTTTAAGCTACCCAATCTTAGCTCTTTATTAAGGCAGCCGTAACAAACTAATATAGATTCACATCCAGTCTCATTAGCCATGTGCCTTAGTCATTGTATATTATGCCTTGAGTTATTAATTAATGATAGTGTGAAGCCATTATGACTAGAAAGACATTTGAAACTATGCTTTCAGAACATGAAGACAAACCAAGACTTTACAAAAAATGAAATATATTCAATTCACTGCTGCCACTGAAAATATTACCATCAATAATAAGATCTCTAAGAGGAGAAGAAAGGATTTTTTGTGCCATTAAAAAATAAAAATTTTAAAATAGTGACATTTATTTTAATTTGGCTCCTAAAATTATTTTATTTCTACTTTGCTATATAGATAATATGATATCTATACAGTAGTACATGTATATAATTTACAAATAAATATACATAAATATGATCAAATGGTAAAATGTGTTTTATTGATGAGGTATGTAATTAAAAATGTTTAGGGACCACTGGCCATGATAATGTGGCTTAGATTCCTCCTTTCTAAACCTAGCTATTTTAGGTTCTTCAGATATAGGACATGTTAGGGTAATTTATCAAGGAAATAGAAGTTCTGAACTAACCAAAGTTTCACTATAAGAGGAAAGGATTTATGAATTGGATGACTCATATTCTCCTATGAAGATTTAAATAAAAATGTTTTCTTTATAGGTATCAGGTTTTAAAGATAGTTTCTAAAATGATTTAAATGAAGCTGTTTTTAGAAAGTAAGTTTTGTTTATTTTTTAAACATTTGACTTCCATTCAATACTATTGGTAAAATTCCCACAGTGGCAAGAAAGTCAGGCACAGCCCTCCAAAGTAGTGAAGGGTACTTAACAACCCATTTATTTGGAAGTATTTTTGGTATTTTGTATAGAATAAAATCAGGAAGCTCAGCAGCTACCTCTGGAGAATGCAGTTTGATTCAGTCAAAGCATCAGTGTGTGGAACTGGGTAAGGAGAGAATTTCACACACATCACACACACTCATATACACATATTAATACATATACACACATGCACAAATATACACTTACACATACACACAGACTTACATACTCACAAATAGACACACACATACACACACCAGCATTTATGTATCCTAGGGTAAAGACTTTTTACCAGAGACAAAGCTACTAACTTCCATGGTAGAAGAATATATAAGGCTGGGTGCCATGGCTCATGCCTGTAATCCGAGCACTTTGGGAGGCCAAGGTGGGAGAATTGCTTGAGTTCTGGAGTTAGAGACCAGCCTGGACAATATAGGGAGACCCTATCTCTACAAAAAATTTTTAAAAATTAGCCAAGTGTGGTGGCACCACCTGTAGTTCCAGTTACTTGAGAAACTGAGATTGGAGAATTGCTTGAGTCCAGGAGGTACAGGTAAGACCGTGTTGGCTGTGATTGTGCCACTGCAATCCAGCCTGGCCAACAGAGCAAGACTCTCTCTCTCTCTCTTTTTCTCTCATTGTGGAATGATTATTAAATGATGATTACTCTATATAGTACTATATATATATAGTCATATATATATATTCATATATATATAGTCATATATATATATACACACACACACACATATATATAAAGTCAGAAAACTCCACAGACATTAGACCTCATAAGGCAAGTCACTCTGTGCTTACACATCCCAAATGTTTTGTTCTTCGGAGCCTTTTTAAGAATGGAAGGAAAATAAAAAATGCAAGAACTTTTTATGATTATTTATTGTGCCACTGCTAATTTGAAGCCTGCCACTCATAACAAGGGGAATGATGATTACTATATATATAGAAATATATAGTAATATATTCTATATATATGAAATATATAGTAATATATTCTATATATATGAAATATATAGAATATATTCTATATATAGTAATCTTATTCTATATATAGTAATATATAATAAGATTACTATATATAGAAATATACAGTAATATTTTTATATATATTTTAATATCTAGTAATATATATTACTATATATGTTATATGTAAAACAATATATACTATATATAGACATAGTAACATATATTACTATATATACTATATATAGACATGTCTATATATAGTATATATTGTTTTATATATACTATATTATGTATGCTATATAATATAATAAAATATATAATATGCTATAATATATAACATTATATAATATATATCTCAAAGGATGGTTAAGCTTTCAAAAGGCAGGGATAAAATAAGGGGCAATTTAGGAAAATAGGAATATATAGTATATTATGTATAAACAATATATACGATATATTATCGTATATATTATGTACGATATATTATCGTATATATTAAATACTATATATTATTGTATATAATATATACTATATATAAATGTATATGATGATATCTATATTACTATATATTTCTATGTATATAGTACTATATGTATAGTAATCATCATTCCCCATGTTATGAGTGGCAGGCTTCAAATTAGCAGCGGTACAATAAATGATCATAAAAGGCTCTTGCATTTTTTATTTTCTTCCATTCTTAAAAAGGCTCCAAAGAACAAAACATTTGGCATGTGTAAACACACAGTGACTTGCCTTATGAGGTCTAATGTCTGTGGAGTTCTCTGATTACCATCAAGAAAAGCAGAAGGAAAAACATTGGTTCAGGATCATTTCTACTTATCCTTTTCTTTCCAGGTAAAAGAAATCTTTACCTGGGTCTAGACCAGCAAAAGCTCTTTGAAGCAGGAGATACACATCACTGGGTACGGCTGGTTCTCAAACATGCACTTGATTTTATTCACAAGTCTTACAAATCATCACATGCCCAAAGAAACACCTAGGTGAACTAAAGTTCTGATTTTATACACTCACTGCCACCTGTCACTCACAGCCTGCAAGTCTCTGTGCCAATGTCAGAAGCTGGAAATATATTATGATGGTTAAGATCAGTGCTCCTTATCAGTCATTTTCTAGTGGATTGTAAGTTGCTCATGTGGCAAAGTTAACCTCTTAGGAAGAAGGGGTAGATGGAGAACAATAGAAGAGGTGGAACTAAGTTCTGGGGTACTCCAGCATCAAGAGATTGAGGAGAGGGAACTGGGATCAGTTGGATGTCAGGAAAGCAAAGCAAGAGTGTCATCATGGGAACCAAGAGAAGAGAGAGTGATCAGCTCTATGAAATGACACCCCCATTTTTACATCCCCCAATTCCCCATTTATCTTTCTCAGCTGCAAACATGGATGATTTTCTTCTATGCCGTGAGGTCACTGAACGTATAAGTAGAAATTCCTAGCTCTCAGAACCATTTGGGACTTTTGCAACCTATACAAAACTTCAGTATCCTCCTTTTTTTCCTATTTTATATTTTCTCTTTTGAATTTAATCCTCATGCGATTAGAGTACGCTAAAAGGGACCAAGCTTAGATTAGCAGAAGAATTTTACTAAAGGTTCAAGTATGCGTTTGGCAATGAAATTCCATCCAGTATGTATTTACTAAATGCTTACTAAGTATAAGATGCTATTCTCAATGCTGTAGAAAAAAAATTAAAATTCTATGTTCACTGAAGTCAACATCTCAAATGTTGGCAATGTAGGAATGAAATTATCTTAAAAGAGATAATGCATAATTTGCTGTGGAAGTACAAAGGAGGAAGAGATCACATTCAGCGGGAGGGATTATAAAAAACCTGGAGGAGGATTTAGTGTGTGGGTGGACCTCAAAGGGTTGTTAAGCTTTCAAAAGGCAGGGATAAAATAAGGGGCAATTTAGGAAAATAGGAACAACATGAGCAAAGGCACAGAGATGGGAAACTATAGCTTGTTTTTGGAGAAATGGTCATAGTTAAATTTAGCTGAAGCATAAAGATATGTATGTAAAAAAGAAGTGAGTAAGACTGAAGAAGTGATGGCATATGTCAGAGAGTCCTGGGTAGAGAGGCAGTGAGGCAGGGAGGTGGGGAGGCCACATGGTGAACTGCAAAGAGCATGTGCTTCCCAGCCAGAGATGGGTTAGAAATCAAGGATCTCCCCAAAATATTAGTTCTGCAATAGGATTGTCAAATCATGTCTCCAATCTATAATTTTTCTAATACAAAAGACACGTGTATGCTTACCTTAAAAAAAATCCCACGGCCAAACCAAACCAAACTATGATGTTCATAATGATGGCTGTGAGACTTTTTTGTTAAAGCTTTTTGTTAACAAAAAGTTAAATTGTGTTCAGTGTATCTTGTCTAAGAAGTCAGGAAAGTGAATAGGAGGCTGGGGCTGGGTAAGGGCACCTAGGAGTCACTGAGGATAGCTTTCCTGAGAGAGGTTGGTGTAGGTTGTACAGGAAAGAGGGCTGTAATAAGAACTTTTGTGTTTTGAAGGTTTAAAATCCAACTATACACCCCATTCTGAGGGAGGGAAGAGAGAAAAGGATTCTGGATCTGAGAAGTGGTGAATGTTGGAAGAGTCCTGAACGGCATCCCTCGGGGGTGGGCAGCATTTGGGGAAGCTGGCGTATGCGGCACGAGAGTGCAAGGAAGGAAGAGCTGCAACCACGTGGCTGAGCTCAGCCCTGGGAGATGGGGCCGTCCTTCCTCTGGGAGCCACGGAAATTTCTACCTGGGTCTAGGCGGGCAGAGGCTCTGCAGCAGCGGACACGCATGACTGGGTAGAGCCAGTCTTCAACAGTGCCACCGTGTGGCAGAGAGGAGCAGTGACAGTTATAACTCCGTAGAATTATATGCGGGTTCTCCCAGCCCAGCCTTGAAAACTAAGCAGCTCTCTCTTCCTGGAGTGTGAGGGCTTCAGCATCCAGGGACAAAGCCCAGTGTGTACATGGAGAAGGCTTAAAGAAGCCGATACCGTGCCTCTTGATAATAGGGAATATGAAAACTTGATAAATTAATTGAAAAGTGAAGAGAAGTGGCGAATTCAAATTTGTACGGCAGTTCTAAGTGATAATTAGAATAAAATCATTAGACAAAAAGGAAAAATATATCTAGTTCTAAAGCGTTAGCTTTTATCTTGCTAGAAAACTCAGCTGTCTAGAAACTCACATTCCTAAGCGTCTGGATTGAGATTTTCTTTTGGTTTTCATTCATCAGGGAATGAAGTGAAAGGATTGAATTTTCACGTTACACTTAACTCAGGCTTGATAAGAGTCTGGAGGAGACAGTCTCTAATAATCCTATAATCCTAGATGTCCTGTCTATACCTTTTAACATCTCTGCATTTACTCCTTGAGTTTCTTGTGGTTGAGGAAGGATTTTGAAAGGGAGATGATGAGAAAAACATCACTCATATTAGTTACTGACTGAATTACATCCATTTCTGGTCAGTCGTCATTAGGTAAAGCTCTAAATTTCAATCAGGATCTTGGCTAATTGTACTTTGGATTTGATAAGGAGTCATTGAAAAGTGAGCAATGAATAAGATTAAAGCTAGGCATTTCTTCTTTTTAAACTAATGTATCATTCATTATTGGTTTAGTGCTCATCAGGTTTTGGTAAATAAATAAAAATCTTAGATTTGGAAAGTTCTACAGTGGTCATTTAGTTCAACCTTTTATTCCCAGGCAGGAGACCTTTTCTGCAAAATACCTGACTTTTTGTGACAGAAGATCAATCAATTCAGGATCTGCTAAAACACACCTAGGGATGTAAAACTCACCACTTTGTGAAGCAGAACATTCACCTAATATTCAGAGTGTAGCCTGGGGGTAGCAACGGGGCATCCCTGGAGAGTTAGTAGGAAATGCTCGATCTGAGTCCCTATCCCAGACTTGCTGAATCTGAATCTTCCCTTGACAGGATTCCTGGGTACTGGGTACTCATATATACGTAATGTTTGAAAAGCACTGGCTAATTCTATCGTTAGATGGTTTCAAATGTTAAATGGTTTCAAACTGACATCTTACTAAAACCTAATGTTCTGGTGTGGTCTATGAACCCATCCCCACAGCCTCGGCTGTTAGCCCAGCTTCTGGCCATTCCTGCAGTTATAAAGCTTTGGCCGCCACTGCCATTGTGGCCACCTCATCTCCTTACACTCAGTAGTTTCTGACTTTCCTGGGTGTGACGGCTGGGCTTTGGCACAGCCTTGGTCACATTTTCTGTGGTAGGAGCTGTGGCAACTCCAGGGCTTGGGCCAGATCAGATCCTGCTGCACCACTGAGGCTCTGGTTCTCTCAGTGCCCCTTGAAGGGGTAGGAGAAGGTTACTAAGAAGTTTAGGGGTATTTCACTTTGGGAGGCTGAGGAGGGCGGATCGCTTGAGATAGGGAGTTTGAGACCAGCCTGGCCAGCATGGTGAAACCCTATCTTTACTAAAAATTCAAAAATTAGCTGGGCATGGTGGCACATACCTGGAGTCCCAGCTACTGGGGAGGCTGAGACAGGAGAATCCCTTGAGCCCAGGAGGCGGAGGTTGCAGTGAGCTGAGATCATACCACTGCACTCCAGCCTGGGTGACAGAGTGAGACTCTGTCTCAAAACAAAACAAAACAAAAAGAAGTGTAGGGATATTTGTGCCATGTGGAGAGTGAAGAGTCAGGAAGTATCCGGGAAATAAATGACTAGCTCCTCTTCTTCCTGCTGACTGCTGCATAGTGCAGTGCCTGCCCTGCTTCTGCAGAGACGTGTGACCAGCGGTGTTTCTTGGGAAGCTGTGTACAGCCTGATAACATACTATTTTTTTCTTGCTCTCCCTCCTTCCTTGCCATGCATGTCTTTTTTTTTTTTTTTTACCTTTTGCCCCCAGAGAAAGCAGTAATGCCTAAGCTTTGCCTTAGAGTCTGTTTTCTAAGGAACCTAGACTAAGACATCTGCCCTGTATATGTTTCACTCACTGCTTCTAATTCTGCCATCTGTCTGGCTTTGGAATGGTCAACATCTTTCATATACTTTCTTCCTTCAAATTCTACAATGCAGCTACCAGGCCTTCTCTTTTCTTGGTCAAACACCCTCAGCTTCTTTTAATGATTCCTCAAAATGCAGTTTTAGTCTCTCACCTCTTGCCTCAGTTTAATATGTCATTGTCTTAAATTGTGGCTCCTTGACTGCTCCGTTGGGTTTGGTCAGTGCAGGGCTGAGTTCATGATGGGAGGATGGGCTTCTCATTTCCTTTATTGTGGGTATCATACTATTAATACAATAAATACAGCTATCCTGACCTGGACCTATTCTTGTGGGAATGCTGGCTATTTGGGTTGTGGTGACCTGACCGGTTAAAAATGAGCTTAGGGAAATTAGATTGAGAGTGAGCAAGGTTTAGCCTTCTGTGTCAGCTTCCGAGGAAGGCCAGGGTCCTCCATTGGCCCTGGAGTTCTTTAGGATGTCTGCTTTTTCTTAAAGATAAATTTGTGTTGACTCCCAAGGCAGAGGTGGTGAGATGAGGTGTTCACGTTACTTCCCAGGAGCTTTGCCCTCCTTGGGGTTAGAGTCTTCATTTTCTATTGCCTAGACAAACCCAGAGCCAGAGGATTCCTTAAAAACATTCAAGATTGTACCACATTCACAAGAATGTGAATCTCGGAGGATGACCTAATAGCCATATGAACTGTTCTAAAGTCTAGAACATCTTGTTATTCTGGATCCCCCCCCCTTTTTTTTTTTTTTAAAAAAAAAAGACTCTATCCCCTACCAAGTTTTAGAAACTTTTATGCTGTATGAATCGGCATTAGCTGAGTGCTTATAGGGAGCAAGCACTGTACCAACTTCATGGGAAGCACAGATAAAGGTAAGAGATAATGCCTCCAGGGTCTTGTGAAGGCAAGACATATATTACAAAAGATACCTAATATGAGGAGCCTATGACCACTGAATGAGTTCAGAGGAGGGGAGGACCCTATGGCATGGACAAGTTAGAGAGGCGCTATGGAAACTTCAGTGAAGAGACCTTTAGATTTATGGTATGACTCTTTCCTTTAGCCCTCCCAGCAGAAAGTTACAGACTGGAAACTATGTTGGTATTTCCCTTATACCTAAAGGCAAAGGACATGTCATGTTCTTGATATTTACAGAACACTATGAAAACATATGGTGCAGTACCTTATCGGGGCAGAGAAATGACTACATTTTTGCTTTTAGTTAAAAACACTGGGTTGAATCAGGGATTCCCAGGCAAGATGGCCAAATAGGAACAGCTCCGGTCTGCAGCTCCCAGTGAGACTGATGAAGAAGGAGGGTGATTTCTGCATTTCCAACTGAGGTACCAGGTTCATCTCACTGGGACTAGATTGACACTGGGTGCAGCCCACGAAGGGCAAGCAGAAGCAGGGTGGGGTGTTGCCTCACCCGGGAAGTGCAAGGGGTCAGGGAACTCCTTCCCCTAGCCAAGGAAAGCCATGAGGGACTGTGCCATGAGGAACAGTGCATTCTGGCCCAGATACTATGCTTTTCCCACAGTCTTCGTAACCCACACACCAGTAGGTTTCCTCGGGTGCCTGTGCCACCAGGGACCTGGGTTTCAAGCACAAACTGGGCTGCCTTTTGGGCAGACACTAATCTAGCTGCAGGAGTTTTTTTTCATATCCCAGTGATGCGTGGAATGCCAGCAAGACAGAACCATTCACTCCCCTGGAAAGGGAACTGAAGCCAGGGAGCCAAGTGGTCTTGCTCAGTGGATCACACCCACACAGAGTCCAGCAAGCTAAGATCCACTGGCTTGAAATTCTTGCTGCCAGCACAGCAGTCTAGAGTTGACCTGGGATGCTGGAGCTTGGTGGGGGGAGGGGCCCCCGCCATTGCTGAGGTTTGAGTAGGCAGTATTCCCCTCACAGTTTAAACAAAGCCGCCTGGAAATTTGGACAGGGCGGAGCACACCACAGCACCACAAAGCCGCTGTAGCCAGACTGCCACTCTAGATTCCACCTCTCTGGGCAGGACATCTCTGAAAGAAAGGCAGCAGCCCCAGTCAGGGGCTTATAGATAAAACTCCCATCTCCCTGGGGACAGAGCACTTGGGGGAAGGGGTGGCTGTGGGTGCAGCTTCAGCAGACTTAAACATTCCTGCCTGCCAGAACTGAAGAGAGCAGAGGATCTCACAGACAGTGCTTGAGCTCCGCTAAGGGACAGGCTGTCTCTTCAAGTGGGGTCCCTGAACCCCGTGCCTCCTGATGGGAGACACCTCCCAGCAGGAATCGACAGACACCTCATACAGGAGAGCTCTGGCTGGCATCTGGCGGGTGCCTTTCTGGGAAGAAGCTTCCAGAGGAAAGAGCACGTAGCAATCTTTGGTGTTCTGTAACCTCTGCTGGTGATACCCAGGCAAACAGGGTCTGGAGTGAACCCCCAGCGAACTCCAGAAGACCTGCAGAAGAGGGGCCTGACTGTTAGAAGGAAAACTAACAAACAGAAATCAATAGCATCAACATCAACAAAAAGGATGACCACGCAAAATTTCCATCTGAAGGTCACCAACAGCAAAGACCAAAGGTAGATAAATCCATGAAGATGAGGAAAAACCAGCACAAAAAGGCTGAAAATTCCAAAATCCACAATGCCTCTTCTCCAAAGGGTCACAACTCCTCACCAGCAAGGGAACAAGACTGGATGGAGAATGAGTATGACAAATTGACAGAAGTTGGCTTCAGAAGGTGGGTAATAACAAACTCCTCCAAGCTAAAGGAGCATGTTCTAACCCAATGCAAGGAAGCTAAGAACCTTGACAAAAGGTTAGAGGAATTGCTAACTAGAATAACCAGTTTAGAGAAGAACATAAATGACCTGATGGAGCTGAAAAACACAGCACGAGAACTTTGTGAAGCATACACAAGTATCAATAGCCGAATTGATCAAGCAGAAGAAAGGATATCAGAGATTGAAGATCAACTTAATGAAATAAAGCATGAGGGCAAGATTAGGGAAAAAAGAATGAAAAGGAAAGAACAAAGCCCCCAAGGAATATGGGACTACATGAAAAGATGAAAGAGAGGACACAAACACATAGGAAAACATTCCCTGCTTATAGATAGGAAGAATCAATATCGTGAAAATGGCCATACTGCCCAAAGTAATTTATAGATTCAATGCTATCCACATCAATCTACCACTGACTTTCTTCAGAAAACTAGAAAAAACTACTTTAAATTTTATATGGAACCAAAAAAGAGCCTGTATAGCCAAGACAATCCTAAGCCAAAAGAACAAAGCTGGAGGCGTTATGCTACCTGACTTCAAACTATACTACCAGGCTACAGTAACCAAAACAGCATGGTACTGTTACGCAAACAGATATATAGACCAATGGAACAGAACAGAGGCCTCAGAAATAATGCCATACATCTACAACTATCTGATCTTTGACGAACTTGACAAAAACAAGCAATGGGGAAAGAATTCTCTATTTAATAAATGGTGTTGGGAAAACTGGCTAGCCATATGCAGAAAACTGAAATTGGACCCCTTCCTTACACATTATACAAAAATTAACTCAAGATGGATTAAAGACTTAAACATAAGACCTAACACCATAAACACCCTAGAAGAAAACCTAGGCAATACCATTCAGGACATAGGCATGGGCAAAGACGTCATGACTAAAATACCAAAAGCAATGGCAACAAAAGCCAAAATAGACAAATGGGATCTAATTAAACTAAAGAGCTTCTGCACAGAAAAAGAAACTGTCATCAGTGTGAACAGGCAACCTATAGAGTGGGAGAAAGTTTTTGCAATCTATCCATTTGACAAAGGGCTAATATCCAGAATCTACAAGGAACTTAAACAAGTTTACAAGAAAAAAAAATCCATCAGAAAGTGGATGAAGGATATGAACAGGCAGTTTTCAAAAGAAGACATTTATGTGGCCAATAAACATGAGAAAAAGCTCATCATCACTGGTCACTAGAGAAATGCAAATCAAAACCACAATGAGATACCACCTCACGCCAGTTAGAATGGTGATCATTAAAAAGTCAGGAAACAACAGATGCTGGAGAGGATGTGGAGAAATAGGAATGCTTTTACGCTGTTGGTGGGAGTGAAAATTAGTTCAACCATTGTGGAAGACAGTGTGGCGATTCCTCAAGGATCTAGAACCAGAAATACCATTTGACCCAGCAATCCCATTACTGGGTATATACCCCCAAAATTATAAATCATTCTCCTATAAAGACACATGCACATGTATGTATATTGTGGCACTATTCACAATAGCAAAAACTTGGAACCAACCCAAATGTCCATCAATGATAGACTGGATTAAGAAAATGTGGCACATATACACCATGGAATACTATGCAGCCATAATAAAGGATGAGTTCATGTCCTTTGCAGGGACATGGATGAAGCTGGAAACCATCATTTTCAGCAAACTAATACAGGAACAGGAAACCAAACACTGCATGTTCTCACTCATAAGTGGGAGTTGAACAATGAGAACACATGGACACAGGGAGGGAAACATCACACACTGGGCCTGCTGGGGGATGGGGGCAAGGGGAGGGATAGCATTAGGAGAAATACCTAATGTAGATGACGGGTTGATGAGTGCAGCAAACCACCATGGCACATGTATACCTATGTAACAAACCTGCACGTTCTGCACATGTATCCCAGAACTTAAAGTATATTAAAAACAACAACAAGAAAAATAACAACAAAAAAACACTGGTGAAGAATCCATACCAACAAGCCCCAAACAATAAAACATCTCGCTATTCAGAATGATTACTTTCAGTTTAATGTCAGCCTCCTATCCCTTGGAGATTGAGGAAAGTGGACTCACTTATTCTTGGCATATTTGAGAACCTATTTTTAGCAATGTAGAAGTGCCACAGTAAATGACCAGACAGGAAAAGACAAGCAGAGAAATTTGGGAAGGTATTTCATCGCCTACCAGCCAGTTCGTAAATGTTCATTTTAAATGATTTGTGGTAAGAGTATAGCACTAAGTTGGTTTCTTTCTGCTCCCAGCACACTCCTTCTGGGCAGTCTCCTTTTTTTAAACAAGTATGACGGTACACTGACAATGTAAATTAGTTTTAATATTTTAAGATTAACCTTACCTTGGCTCCTGAGGTCTTGGTGCATTCTCAAGGGAAAGGAAGGAAGGCAAGTAGGGCAGTAAGGGCAAGAGAATTATTAAACCCATCTCAAGTCCCACTTTTCTCTTGATGAGGATGGTGACCTGTCTTAAAGCTATGGTCTTCTACCCAGGGGTTCTACAAAGACCCTGAGATTATATGTAAAATATTGTGTGCATCGAATTGTTACAGAAAGACACTTTCCAACTCCCTCCCCATCATCTTTCTTTGCCAAGTCATTCTGCAACACTTGCTATTCATGGACAGCTGTTCTTACTCCTTCACACTTTCCCAAGCCTGGAAACCCTCATTTTATTCATCATCGGTGTATTTTCATTCTTGCTCCTGCAATCCATTCTGTTCTCAGTGGTCAGTGAACTCAAGAAAGAAAAACCTTGTACATTTATACATGGGATGGGGAGGGGACAAAAACAAAAACAAAATCCCTCTTTGGTGGCTCCCCTTTGCACTTATAATAAAATCCAAAGTTCTACCCTGCAACCTAGTCTAGTGCCACCCCCTTCCTCCAGAAGTTTCTTCAGTTCTGCTTTCTCTCTATTCCACAGTGCTGTGCTCTTCTCTGATTCTGTTCTCACTGTCTGCAGTGCTCTCTTCTCTCTTTGCCTGGCCAAATTCAATCCATCCTGCAAGTTCAGCTTAAATTGGACACTCACAAAGGGAAATTATTGAATTACATCTTCTAAACGTATTTTTTTCTATTATGAATAGCATCTTCTAAAAAAGTTTCTTGGCTAGGTGCTGTGGCTCACACTTGTAATCCCAGCACTTTAGGAGGCTGAAGCAAGAGGATGGCTTGAGCTCAGGAGTTCAAGACTAGCATAGGCAACATAGAGAGACCTCATATCTACTAAAAAAAATTTTTTTAAATTAGCCAGGCATAATGGTGCACACTTGTAGTCCCAGCTACTTGGGAGGCTAATGTAGGAGGATCACTTGAGCCCAGGAGATAGAGGCTGTAGTAAGCTTTGATCTTGCCATTGCACTTTAGCCTGAGTGACACAGCGAGACCCTGTCTCCAAATTTTTTTAAAAAGTTTCTTATTATATTTTAAAACTATGTATTTATCTTTCTATTTATTCATATAATGTATATCTCACCTCATAGACTCAAGTTGTTGTGAAGACAGGTGCCTTTTTTCTCCTCAATAACTATTGTATTCCCATGCTTGCCTGAGTACCTGCCTGAAATATTGCATGGTCTTTAAAACTATTTATTGATTCACCTACTGACTGACTGACTGAATGAATGAACATTATTGGCATTTAAATTAAGCAGAGTAGTTTTGTTAGAATAAAAAAATAATGCTAAAATAAATGCAGACATTAAAAATTATTGAGGAAGGTATTTATTGGCATAGAAAGATATCCTGGTGGCTGGGCACAGTGGCTCACGCCTGTAATCCCAGTACTTTGGGAGGCCGAGGAAGGCAGATCACTGGAGGTCAGGAGTTCAAGACCAGCCTGGCCAACATTGTGAAACTCTGTCTCTACTAAAAATACAAAAATTAGCTGGGTGTGGTGGCACATGCCTGTAATCCCAGCTACTTTGGAAGCTGAGGCAGGAGAATTGCTTGAACCCGGGAGGCGGGGGTTGCAGTGAGCCGAGATTGTGTCACTGCACTCCAGTCTGGGCAACAGAGTGAGACTCCATCTCAAAAAAAAAAAAAAAAAAAAAAAGAAAAAGAAAAGAAAGATACCCTGGTATATTTTTGATTGGGGAAAGAGACAATTTACAAAATATTGTGCATTGTTTTATCTTTTTTTTTGTTTTGTTTTGTTTTTTGAGACAGGTCTCACTCTGTTGCCTAGTCTGAAGTGCAGTGGCATGATCACAGCTTACTGTAACCTCCACCTCCTGGGCTCAAGTGATCCTCCCACCTCAGCCTACTGAGTAGCTGGGACTACAAGTGTGTGCTACCATGCCTGGCTAATTTTTGTATTTTTTGTAGGAATGGGGTTTCACTATGTTGGCCAGACTGGTCTCGAACTCCTGACCTCAAGAGATGCACCTGTCTTTGCCTCTCAAAGTACTAAGATTATAGGCTTGTGCTACATGCCTGGCCTGGTGTTTTAATATTGTATATTAAAAAGAAAAATATTGGATACAAAGAATTCAAAATTTCATTTAGGTAGGAGGAATAAGTTCAGGGGATCTATTGTACAACATGATGAATATAGATAATAATATGTTGTGTACTTATTAAAATTGCTGAAAATTACCTAGAGTAGATTTTAGATTTCTCATCACATATACAAAAGAAAAGTGTGTAAGGAGATAGATCTGTTAATTAGCTTGATTTAGCCATTCTACAATGTGTGCATATATCGAAACATCATGTTGCACACCATAAATATATACAATTTTGAAAATTAAAAATAAAAATATTGGTCTACATGTATATGCCAAAATGTAAACAACAGTTCTTTGGGTGGCAGATTTTAAGTGGTTTCTATTTGTTTTATTTATTTGTGTTTTTTTCATATAATTGCTTTGTTTTAAAGTTATAGAAGCCATTGATTCCTTAAGTAATCTATTAATTCATTCAACAACTATTTGTTATCTACTTTGTGTCAAGCATTGTTCCAGAAACTGGATTTATGTGCTGATTATAAAATTCAAGTGCAAATCCTTTTGTGTACACCTTCTTTTTAACATTTCTTTCTCGTTAACCACTTTAACAGTGTAGATGGATCCTTCTAAATGTTTTCTTTGTTCCTTTGATAGGATTTATATACATTTTGTTCTACGCAGTTATAGATTTTTGAACATAATATGATCATACTATGCCTATCGTTCTGTGACTTCCTTTTTAGCAACTTAATATATCCAGGAAAAATTTTCATGCCACCACATTTAAAGGTATCTCATTAAGAAGGAAAAAAGCTGCATGTTTCCATAATTATTTCATCAATTCTCTTATTCATGAGCACTTTGGTTGTTTAAAATTTATTCTCTAAGTTACATGCACACACACCCAACAATATGTTATTTTGTTATTTGGGTTTTTTTGTTTGTTTATTTGTTTTGTAGAGATGGAGTTTCACCATGTTGGTCAGATTGGTCTTGAACTCCTGCCTTCGAGCTATCTGCCTGTCTTGGCTTCCCAAAGTACTGGGACTACAGGTGTGAGCCATCATGCCCAGCCCCCAACAATATATTATTTGTTTAATTAAAAGTAAGGTTAAAAAAAAGACAAGGAGCACTTAGCCATTCATGACACAAGGCAAATGTTATGCCAAAATGGCTTGTACGCTGGAAAAAAATTACAATTAATGTCCGTGGACTAGACTTGAAAAGGTGAGTGTTGTGACCACTTTTCAACTTGAAATCGACTTTTTGTGTCTAGAAATTCTTTTTTTTTTTTTTTTTTGCGACGGAATCTTGCTCTGTCGCCCAGTCTGGAGTGCAGTGGCGGGATCTCAGCTCACTGCAAGCTCCGCCTCCTGGGTTCACGCCATTCTCCTGCCTCAGCCTCCCGAGTAGCTGGGACTGCAGGCGCCCGCCACCACGCCTGGCTAATTTTTTGTATTTTTTAGTAGAGACGGGGTTTCACCGTGTTAGCCAGGATGGTTTCCATCTCCTGACCTCGTGATCCACCCACCTCGGCCTCCCAAAGTGCTGGGATTACAGGCGTCAGCCACCGCACCCAGCCTGTGTCTAGAAATTCTTAAATTGGGTCAATCTGAACATAAGGCCAAGCACGTCAGTGGTAGGCAATATTTTATGAGCAGATTAAATTATTCACATTTTGACGCCATTGTAATGATTTTTAGGTAGATGAAAAGTGTTTAATTTTAGTCTTTTCCCAAAGGAAGAATACTTTCCTTCAATGAGTTACTGTATATTGGTGATGCTTGCTGGGAATCAAAATGTGGTGAGAAAAGAAATTTCTCAGAAAAAAAAAATCTCAGAATCTTTTATACTGTAACAGAGGAAGGATGAAAGGGAAGGCCAAACTTGAATTACTTATGCAGATTTTATTTGGAAGTGATACCTACTTTATATGTTTGAAAAATGCTCATGCTTCTAATATTAATACCTATTGGATCAATAGATATGTTACAGCATGTTAAATTATATATAAAATAAACAAGATAGTGTTAGTGCTTGCCTTCTACAGGCTTAGAGTCTATAATTCCAAAGGTTATCTATGAATTTCAGATCTGAAAATTAGAGATTCACCTATGCCTTTTTTTTTTCTTTTACTTATTCTTAAGATTTTAAAGTAAAATTTACATAAAGTGGAATGCACCTATTAAGAATGCAGATTGGCTGGACGCAGTGGCGGATACCTGTAATCCCAGCACTTTGGGAGGCTGAGGTGGGAGGTTTGCTTGAGCCCAGGTGTTCGAGACTAGCCTATGCAACATAGGCAGATCCCATCTCCACAAACAATAAAAGAATTAGCTGGGTTTGGTGGTGCGCATCTGTGGTCCCAGCTACTGGGAAGGCTGAGGTGAGAGGATCACTTGAACCCTGGAGGTTGAGGCTGCAGTGAGCAGTGATTGTGCCATTGCACTCCAGCCTGAGTGACAGAGTGAGACTTCATCTAAACAACAACAACAACAACAACGAAAAAAAACAAGTGCATATCGATGAGCTTTGACAAATATATGAGGCTCTTTCATCCTTATCTCAACTGGGATATATTTCTATCACCCCAAAACTTCCCTCCTGCCCCTTTCCAGTCAACATTCTTCTTGTGCCCTAAGTCAATCATTCTTCTGCTTTCCCTCATCATAGATTACTTTTTACCTGTTCTTGGACTTCATATAAACAAAATTACATAAGTTCTTTTGTATCTTTTCTTTTATTCAACATAATGTCCCTAAAATTTATTCACATTGTTCTGTGTATCAGAAGTTCATTCCTTTTTATTGATGGAGTGCTATTTCATTATATGGTTATATTTCAGTTTGCTTATTCATTATCCTATTGATGGACGTTTGGGTTGTTTCAGATTTTGGCTATTATGAATAAGGCTGCTTTGAACATTTTATACAAGTCTTTTTGTAAATACATGTTTTTGTTTCTCTTGGGTAAGTACCTAGGATTGGATTGCTGGGTCAAAGAACAGGAGCCTGTTTAACTTCAGAAGACACTGGCAGCTTTCATTTCTTCTTTGGTGTAACGTGATATTCATTTTTTAGTTCTTCTGAAGTACTTGAGGGTCCTCAGAGGAATGAATCTATTAAAGCAAGAATGATTATTAATTAAAGTTTGTGACAAATAAAGTATGCAATTTTTGTGTCAGGAATTTCACCTCTGCAAAGAGTTGTCTCAATTACCTAAAATCAAACTTAATTACCTAAAATCAAACTTAATAATTACCATGGCGTTCCAAAAGCCTTAAAGGTCAATGTACTTCATATAAAATCTTGAATAATCTTTTAAAAAGAAAATTGTATTAGTCAGGATCCAGCCAGGAAAAAAAGTTATTTTAACAAGAGAAAATTTAACATAAATAATTGTTAACTAGTTATACAATTATTAGCTAGGTAACTGAAAAGGAAAGAGAGAATAGCAAAGTGTAATATAAGTAGCAATTACAGAAGCATCTACCTTTCCCTCAGGGTGGAGGAAAAGGGGAAGAGATTGAAATTCTTAAAATTTAGTAGTGTAGGTCTAAAACTCAGACTGTATGGGCATTGCTTGGCACATGTTGATGTTTTGAGGTGGGGTCAGGTGCCTATAGGCCTGCCCAGCCTACTACCTGTTTTTTTGTATAACCTGGGAGTTAAGAATGGTTTTTATATTTTTAAAACATTGATTAAAAAATAAAAGAATAAGGGTGTTAGTTTCCTAGGCCCACCTGTAACAAAGTACCACAAATTACATGACTTAAAACAACAGAAATTTACTCTCTTACAGTTCTGGGAACTAGAAATCCAAAATAGAGTTAGCAACAAGGTGATGATTTCCTGGAGATTCTAGATAGAATCCTTCTTTGACTTTTTCTAGTTTCTGGAGGTGGCAATCAGTCCTTGGCTTGTGGCTGCATTGCTCCAATCTTGGCTTCCACTCACAGAACGGACTCCTCTCTGTGTCCATGTCTTTGCATGACATTTTTCTCTCATAAGGGCACCATTTGGTTGTGTATGAAGGCTCATGCCTGTAATTGCAGCACTTTAGGAGGCGGAGGAAGAAGGATCACTTGAGCCCAGGAATTCAAGACTGGCCTGGGTAACATAGCAAGACCTCATTTCTAAAAAAAAAAGTAAAAAGGATACCAGTCATATTGGATTAGGGCCACCCTAATGACTTCAACTTAATTTGATTATCTGCAGAGACCTCATTTCCAAATAAGGTCACAATCACAGATATAGGAGGTTAGAAGTAAAACATATCTTTTTGAGAGCACAATTCCACTTATAATGATAATAATATTTTGTGACACATGAAATTCATATAAGATTAAAATTCCAGTGTCCAAAAATAAAGTTATACTTGCCATGCATATTCATTTAAATATTATCTACACCTGTTGCTACAACAGCAGAGTTGAGTAGTTGCTATACGAATGAATGGACTGCAAAACTTGAAATATTTTCTATGTGGTCCTTTATAGCAAAAGCTTGCTGACACCCATTCAATGTGACTGGTTTTGCAAGGATTGGAAAACATGCACATTGGATTCAGCTGCTGCTACTGGAAGGCCTTGATACTCTCAGATGAAGAAGACCTATTATTGTGTGATGCCCAGAGGGACATGGAACAGAGAAGTCCACAGGAAGCAAATGAGAAGGGGGAAGTTCCTTTATTCTCCTTCTGTCTTTTAGTTTCCCTATGTTGGTGGAGCTTAAGAGGGAAAGCCTAAGTTGGGAAAATAGAAGTGTGGTTTGTGAAGTCTCAGTTCCAGAAACATAAGGCAGAGAGAAGAGTAGCTTTGGAATTGGTAGATAATAATTTGTACATACACACACATGCACATCCAGCAAGGAAAAAATATGCATAGCTACTATAATCCTCATTTCCGTAACAACTCGAGGTCATAGTTTATATTATTCTTCTAGAAGTATTTTATGTAAAATAAACATATTTATATAGGTATAAAATTAAAATTACACACACATATATATAAGTATATATATATATATATAAAACCAAACAATCATTTTGAGATGACTGTAGATTTACCCACAGTTCTAAGAAATAATATAGAGAAATCCCATATACCCTTACTTACTTTCCTCCAATGCTAATATCTTACAGAACTTTAGTACAGTATTACAACTAAGATATTGACATTGATACAGTCAAGATGAAGAGAATTTTCATCACAAAGATTCTTGTAGCATTCTTTTATAGTATTCTTCCTTCTTTCTCACCCATTCCCAACCTCATTCTTAGCCTCGGGAAATCACCAACCTGTTCTCCATTTCTATTATTTTGTCATTTCAAGAATGTTATATAAATGGGCTCATACAGTACCTAACCTTTTGGGATTGGCTTTTTGGGCTCACCATAATTCTCCGGACATTCATTCTAGTTGTTGTGTGTATCAATAGTTCACTCCTTTTACTTGCTGAGCAGTATTGCATGTATGGATATACCAGATTTTGTATAACTGTTCACTCATGGAAGGACATCAGGGCTGTACGCAGTTTTAGGCTATTACAAATAAAGTAGCTAAAAACATCCATGTATAGGTTTTTTTATGGATGGAAGTTTTTTACCACCCCCTTCCCGCCCCCCGCAACTAAAAGCTGGTCTATTTTGGGTTCTCCATTCTGTTCTTGGGTTGGATGACAGTTGCATATTTAGTTTTATAGGAAGCTGCCAAAATAATCTCCAGAGTGTCTGTAGCATTTTATATTCCCACCAGCAATGTATGAGTGATCCAGTTTCTACACATTTTTGTCTGTATTTGGTGTTGTCACAATTTTTTATTTTAGCCATTCTAATAGGTGTGTAATGATATCTCATTGTAGTTTTAATTTACATTTCCCTGCCAGTTAATGATGTGAAATGTCTTATAATGTACTTATTTGCCACCTGTATATCCTCTTCACTAGTATGTCTGTTTATGTCTTTTGCTCATTTTCTAATTGGGTTTTTCCTTGTTAAGTTTTTAGAATAGTTTATGTATTATAGATACTAGTCCTTTGCCAGATACATTTTTGCAAATATTTTCTCTTAATCTGAAGCTTGTCTCTTCATCCTTTCAACAGAACCTTTTACAGAGCAAAAGTGTGAATTTTTTTTTTTTTTTTTTTTTTTTGAGATGGAGTCTCACTCTGTCGCCCAGGTTGGAGTGCAGTGGCGTGACCTCGGCTCACTGCAAGCTCTGCCTCCTGGGTTCACACCATTCTCCTGCCTCAGCCTCCAGAGTAGTTGGGACTATAGGCATCCACCACCATGCCCGGCTAATTTTTTGTAAAAAGTATGAAATTTTGATGAAATTCAATTTATCAATCTTTTCTTTTATGGCATGATTTTGGTGTCAAATCTAAAAATTCTTTAGTCTTAGATTCTGAAGAGTTTCTCTTATTACTTTTTTCTAAAAGTTTTATAGTTTTAAAATTTCACTTAAATCTTTAATCCTTTTTTTTTGGGTGGGGGGGACAGGGCCTTGCCCTGTCATCCAGGCTGGGGTGCAGCCTTGACTTCCTACACTCAAGCCATCCTCCCACCTCAGCCTCCTGAGTAGCTGGTACCACAGGCACATGCCATAATGCCTGGCTAATCTTTTGTACTTTTCTTTAGAGATGAGGTTTCACCATGTTGCTCAGGCTAATACTTTTTGAGTTAATTTTAATTTGATGTTGAAGCTTAGGGCCACGTTCATCTTTTTGGCTTACGGATGTCCAATTGTTTCAGCACCATTGTTGAAAAGTTATCGTTCCTCCATTGAATTGTTTTTGCACCTTTGTGAAAAAGTAACTGCACATATTTGTATGGGTCTATTTTGGGTTCTCCATTCTGCTCCATCAATGTATGTGTCTATTTTATCACCATGTAGCCTTGATTACTGTAGCTATATAATTTGAAATCAAGTAGAGTAATTCTTCTTGCTTTATTCTTTATCAAAATGGTTGTAGCTATTCTAGTTCCTTTGCCTTTCCATATACATTTTACCATAATCTTGTCTACATCTACAAATTCTCTTGCTGGAATTTTGATAGAAATTACATTTGACCTGTATATTGAGAAGGCTGTGAGTTAGGTTAGCAATTTGCAGAATCAATTTCCCTGTAACCATCTCCATTGTTTATTTGCATATATTAATATTCATTGACACACAAGCCAGTGTGTGCCTGTGTGTGCATGCATGTGTGTATGTAAAGAAAAAAGGGGGAGGGAGGAACTTCTTCCTTCTCCTGATTTGGTGTCATATGAGGTATAAGCAGCTCAGTGAGGGTTTGGGGCACAGGTGAAAAATCTACCAAATAAAATCTTTAGATACAACCATTAAGATGTGACCAATTTGGTTGAGGTATTTTGATGCAGGCCATTTAAAACACAGTATCACTGTTGTATTGCCAACTTATATTAGTAACGAATATCCCTGTGTCATTTCTAACCCCCATTCAAATCATGGAGGATTTTCATATTCAGTTGTGTTTATTTTTGTATTGGCCCACATTTTTGTCCTATGTATAAAGTTTAAAATTAATTTTTAAAAAATTTGAATAGGCAATGGATATATTCAAAATTTAAAAAATGTAATACATCATATAATACAATCACAAAAACATCAAAACAATATATGAAGAAGCAAACCTTATATTCTTATAGCCACACTATCCATATCCATTTAATTCTACCCCGCCCCCAACAGGTAACCACTTTTTAATTTGTTTATCATTCCAGGGAATAACCCGCATATATGTTTACATATACACTTAGAGTATTTACTTCAAAACACTATCATTAAAAATGTAAATAAATTTTGACTTTTTATTACTTTGTCTGACAGTAAATATGGTCTATGATCTCAGTTTGTTCCATTTTTAAAAAACACAATTTGTAATAATGTATCTTGAGAGTGAATACCCTCATTTGTAAAATTTTTGTTAAAACTTAAATCTTGGCAAGTTTTCCCCTCACTTTCTTACCTTTTATGTAACAATATTGTTAGATAAATCTGTTTAATTTTAAGGCCTGAAGATTCTTTATAAATCATGTAATCTTACTCAAGACATTTTGAGATCAGGAGAAGAGAAGGAGTGTGTTCAGGACCACAGGGTCAATTTGTGGCAGAGCTGGGAGTGGAACAGAGGCCCAGTCCAGAGCTGCCCTCTGCCCACACTCCTGAATACACCCATTGCTGTGAGATGACTCAGATTTATTGTTACCATGGCTGAAATCCATTGGAAAAATGTTTCTGCCATTCATCTCAATCCTCTGCTAGTCATGTGGTTTATCCTTTATAAATGAGGATTTCTTCTTTTTTGTTGACAGTTTCATGATTTTAGTTGTTTCTGCTCTCTTAACATTTGCCCAGTTCAATGATTAATCCTCTGATCTGAGCCCACTTAGACTGGAGTAATATCTTGCCAATGAGAATGAGCAAGTGAATAATTGAAATTTTTATTAAGGATGAAATTTCTTTACTATGTTATATTTATTATATATATGATAGTTTCAACTTTCTGAGTCTCTCTTGTCAAATGCATTCTTTCTCATTATCTCCTTTATAAAATGTTTAATTTAAATGGTCAGTCTTCTGTTCTTATGCAGGAGAATGTCAGCCTGATCCTCAACCAATTAATACCACGTTTCAAGTTGGGTTTGACTTCTACTAACGTAGTAGTCTGACCCCTAGTGGTTATAAGAAACATCTGCACGGCTTGTAAGCAAATTTTGACTGAATTTTCTGAAAAGTGAATATCGGACAATGAATTTCTCCTTGAAAATAAATAAAATAAAAATAAGAGAAGAATTTTGAGTCCATAGAAAAAATAATAGGGAAGTTCAGGTAAAATCATGTTTCTATAAAAATAATTTCAAATCGGTATTTTTACTGATTTTTTAGTATTATGTGATCAGGCTGCACTTATGTAACACATTTATGGTGAACATAACACACTTATGTTCCAGGAATTCATTCTATGTTATTTATTGGAAACAAAGCTTGTTTGCCCCCAAAATTAATGTTTTGTCATTGTCCCAGCATGCCCTTTCTAGTCTGCGTAGAATTGGGATCAAACTTAGAGCTGGATGACATTTTTGTGGTCTGAAGATCAGAGAGCCAGAAAGGACTGGCCACAAAGTGAAGTCACAAAGTGAAATTATCAGTAAATCTAAGCAAACTCTGTCTTTCATGAGGCCCTGAGGTCTAGGAGGGCCTGAGTCACATCAGGAGAGTACAGCCTGCCCTTGATTCTTGGGAGCTGGGAGGCAAAGTCGTGCTGCAGGGGAGAAGGAGGAGGGTCTCAAGAGTGCAGATCCAGAAAGGAACAAACTGTAACAACTATAAATGCAGTATGTGCTTACTGTAAAAATGTCCAAACAGAAGGATATGAAGTAAAAGGTAAAAATTCCTCCTTTTTTTCCAGCCTGAGTTCCGCCAAAACCATAGCCTAGAACTATGTACTTAGACATGCAACCACCAGACATTTTTTTGTGTGCATGCATGTGCGCACGCGCACACACACACACACACACACACACACGCACTGTCTTATTTCACATGGGTTCATGTTATACATATTGTTCTATAAATTGATTTCTTCACTTAATAAAATATCTTGGACATCTTTTCAAGTCAGTATATTCTTATTGTCTGCCTATCTACTGTTCTGATACAAGAATGTGGGCTAATTTATTAACTATCCTTAAGTAATTTACATGTAGATGTTTTTAAAAATTTTCTGCTATATAACCAGTGTTTTAATAAACATCCTAGGGCTTGTAACTACAGACTTATACAAGTATATGTGTGTGTATATATATATATATGGAGTAAATGCCATTAAAATGAAATTTTAGGTCAAAGCTTATGCATAATTACAATCTTGACAGTTAATAAAAGCATATTTTTGAAATTGATATTGTCCCATCTCCCTTTCTTCACTTATTCCTTGTTCCTGGTGCCCCTTCCCAGGCCCTGATGGCTTTATATTTCTCTTTCCCTTAGTCAACCCTGCCCTTTGTCCTTTATGCACATCTAACCTTTTCTTTTGTGAAAAGAATGAAGTCTTCCCCTGTGAATTTCCTCCACTCCCTTTGCTCTGTGTAGATGTGCTGACACTTTTTTCTCTCCCTCTCTCTTTATGCCTCTCAGACAGCTGAGGAAGAAGCACCCTTCTAGCCTCCACCTGTTCACTTTTGCCACATCCCTTCTTATACTTTCTGAGCCCTTCTCCCATCAGGTATCCCTTAATGCTTCTTTAATCTCTCCTTTTTTACTTCTTGTTTCTACCTGGTTATAAAATGGTATCCTCTATCCTTTAAGCCATGTTTTCCATAGGCTGTCTTCTAAACACTATTTTAGGAGGTACTCAGTGGAAAAAATAATCATTTCGTCAAATAAATTTGAGTCATTCATATACTGTTAACTTCCTTTTGAATATTTAGAACTCACAGTAGCTTGTTAAAGGTGCTGAGAAGTTCTGCAGTAATGAAAAGACATCTGCTTACCTTTGCTTACTCTGTATATCCCTAAATTATTTTACCATAAAACCTACCCTTTCCCTTTTTAATCTTCTGTAATGTTTTTTAATATCTATAGATACCTTTTGGGAAATTTTTCTTGTCTCTGCAACTCTAAATTCTAAAGCTAAGGTTTTTTAACTCTGCCAAATTCCAAAGCTAAGGTTTTTTCTTCTATTTTTTAAATTAAAAAAATTTTTAAATGGGTAGATAATCATACATATTTATGGGGTACGTAGTGATATGACAATACAAACAATGTGTAATGATAAGATTGGAGTAATTAGCATATCCATCATTTCAAATATTTATCATTTCTTTGTGTTAGGAGCATTCAATATCCTCCTTGTAGCTATTTGAACCTTTATATTGTTATTAACTATAGTTACCTACAGTGCTATAGAATTTTAGAACTTAGTCCTCCTATCTAGGTATAATTTCGTATCCTTTAACAAATCTCTCCCTACCTCCCATCCCTTTTCCCCTACACTTCTTAGCCTCTAGTATCCTCTGTTCTACTTTTTACCTCTATGATGTTAACTTTTTTTAGCTTCCACATATGAATGAGAACATGTGGTGTTTAACTTTTTGTTCCTGGCTTATTTCACTTAACATAATGTCCTCCAGTTCCATCCATCAAATGTCATATATATACATGATATGGTTTGGCCATGTTCCCATTCAAATCTCAATTTTAATTGTATCACCCGGAATTCTCACGTGTTTTGGGAGGGACCCAGGGTGAGGTACTGAATCATGGGGGCTGGTCTTTCCTGTGCTGTTCTTGTGATGGTGAATAAGTCTCATGAAATCTGATAGGTTTATCAGGGGTTTCCACTTTTGCTTCCTCCTTATTCTCTCTTGCCGCGCCGCCATGTAAGAAGTGCCTTTTGCCTCCTGCGGTGATTCTGAGGCCTCCCCAGCCATGTGGAACTGTAAGTCCAATTCAACCTCTTTTTCTAATGGCTGATAGTATTCCATTGTGTGTATATACCACATCTTCTTTATCCAGCCATCTGTTGTTAGATCCTAGGTTGATTCCCTATCTTGTCTATTGTGAATAGTTCTGTAATAAAAATGAGAGTGAAGAGGTCTCTTTGTTACACTGATATTCTTTCCTTTGGATAAATGCCCCAGTAGTGGGATTGCTGGATTATGTGGTAGCCCTATTTGTAGTTTTCTGAGGAACCACGTACTGTCTTTTGTAGTAGCTTTGCTAGTATAAGTCCTACTAAACACATGTAAGTTTTCCGTTTCTCTGCATCCTTGCCAGCATTCATTAGTTTTTATTTTTTGATAATAGGGGCTGAGATCATACCTCGTTGTGGTTTTGATTTGCATTTCTCTGTTGATTAGTGATGTTGAACATTTTTTTCATATACTTGTTGGCCATTTGTGTGTCTTTTAAGTTTTTTAAGGTCTAGAGTATAAAATTTATCTCTGCACTTTAAAAAAATACTGCTTATTCTTAGACAACCCATTGCAACATGGTCTCTACCCTGACCATTCTACTGTAGTCCGCTGAACCTATTTGATTCTGGGTTCCCGGTTGCTAAATTGGGGCCTTTCTCTCAGTCCTCCTGTTGAATTTCTTGCTAAGGAAACAAATGTTTTTTGTTACCAGAGTTTTTGATTTAATTGCAAAAAAAATTAGTAATTGATACACATAGGTCTTGAAACTTCTTCCCTTTCCTCGCTTCTGAACCCAGGAACTCTCCAAGAGCACCAGTTCATTTTGAAATTCTCTTCTTACGGCAGACAGGGATTCAGGCAGTCCAGGAAAGTCTGCTAGTTGAGAGAAACTTGAGCAGTTCCTCTCAACTAGCAGAGTTCCTCTAAACTTATAAAGAAATTGCCACTACTTCTCCTGTGTGCCCTTTTTTCACACAGGAGTAGTGGCAATTTCTTTGTAAGTTGAGCATTGTCTAAATAGTTCTAAAAAGAAGATGCGGAACTCACATACCAGTTCAAGAATCTTTCATCTGACGAGAAGGTAAAGCTGAAAATCCAGACACTGTGTGGAGTAATGGCAGTGGGTAATTACCCAAATATTTATATTTTCAACATTTAAAAATTTTTTTCTACAGCTATTGTTGGGAGAAACAGCTGAGTCATTTGTTCATGTTGACTAGGTTTTATTTGTAGAATAACTTACATTATTTTCGAGTTGGCATGTTGTCATCATTTCCTATTCTGTTTCCAGGGTCAGTTCTGCCTTCCTAAAAATGTTTCTGACACTTCTATGTTTGTTTAAATGAATTTTTTCATCACAACAATTGATTACAGAAGTCAGGATATGCCAGACCTTGACTGCCTATTCATGAGAGAGAGAAGTTATAGGGCCAGATGATGTCAGTTATCAGATGTTAGAGCCAGCCTGGTAAGACATGAGTTGGGAGAGAATTGAAGATCAGAGGAGTCCCATATGAAAGGTGAAACCAGAGTAAATGCAGAAAAGAAAACTGTAAACATTGATGGTCATGTATGGAGGTGCAATGCCTAGATTCACATTCGATAAAACTGTCCCTGGCCCAGTCCCTCAGATGGAAGATGAGCAGCTCCTGACCCCTGGATAGGATTAAAATTGTTTTGCAAATTTTAATAATTTCATAAACTTCTCTGAGATGACAATCCTCATTTTTGAATCTTCTCTGTTTTTTTGAAGCCCTATGCCTGGAGCATGGTGCTGGCTTCTGATGGGCAGGCATCTTTCTCTTCATTTTACATCCACAAATAAGTTAAGTGCCCTTTGGTGCAAAATCATGACAGAGTTGGGAATCTAGTAGGTTCCTGAGACCTCTGGGTTGGGTACTCACCATTCAAATGTAGTGGTTGGGAAACACTGCTTCCTAATGCTGCATGTGCAGAAGTTATTTTCTGAAAAAGAAATTTGAGGCTGTGCTAAGAAGGAGACACATAAATTCAATTTCTCTTTTCTCCTCAGTCCCTCCACCTTCCCTATACCAGTTGCAATCCTATTACCAATTGTCTGGTGGTAGGGGGCATCCAACACTAAGAAAAAATGTCATTAAAGAAAATAGTAGCCTTTAAAGGGCTTTTTAGTGATTTTCAATGAGTTTAACTGTTATCCTCAGGCTTTTGGACAACATTATCTATTCCTATTGAAAATAGATTGCACTTTTTGTTTTTAAGCTGAACGTGCCTAGTGCAAGGAAACTACTAAGATCAGTCTTGATATACCAAATTGAGGACATTATTGTAAAATTCATACTTACAGGGCAATTTGGATACTTATAAGGACCAAAGGAAGGTATAGGAAAAGGAAAAGGAAAAAAAAAAGAGGAAGTAAATGAGACCTGAGAAAAAGAAAAGGCTCTATGAGGTCATGATGAATAGAACAATGGCTCATTATTACATATGGAAAAGAGTGACCTTGCTGAGACTCTGAGAGGCCACCTATGCCGTAAGACACCCTCCACCACCAATGAGCTCTAGGTGCTCAAGGAAGATAAACATAACTGCATAAGTCTCATGAGGGGTGGGAAAAAACAAACAGAAAAACCCCACTGTTGTCTGGGTTCAAAACAGCTTTACTCTGAGATAATCTTATAAAATTGTACAGGAAAAGGGAAAGCAGTTCTCTATTAACTGGAGAGAATGATAAGCCACACACATCCCAGGGCTAACAGTCAATGATCCCAAATGAGCACCTGTAGGGGGACAGAGGCCCGAGACCAGCATCACTGGAAGATCCCAGACCTGAGCTGTAAGGAGTTGCTTTCGTGGTGTTTGGTGAACTCTTCCCTTACTAATCCCTCCCTTGGAGACTGAAAAAGTGATTTTTATAAGAGGTCCAATCCTGATGAGGGTTAGGGGCCATTTAAATGGTACATGTGGGTACTTCTGGAACTTTTTCAACTATTTGGAGAGAGAAGGCCCTATATAAAAAGGCTGAGACCTTTTGCTCCTCAGTTGAGAACTTAAAACACTGAGATTGAAGTAATTATATACATAACTCTGCTATATTCCCCACATACGCAGCCTGAATCCTAAGCATACTACAGATGATTTTGCTGCACACTAAAGTGTGGTAATCATTAGCTAGGGTTGATCAAGCCCAACTTGATGATCTCTGAGCATTGCTTTCTCACTTGTTACTTTTCAAGAATTGTTAAAAGAACCTGCTCACCTCTTATTTATAGAAGCAGGGGCCATTAGAATAGGGAGCTTAGAGATCATCTAGTCCAATAACGTTAGTTTACAGGCGATACTACCAAGGTTCATAGAACTCAATGACCTACTCCAAGTTTGCATGTTAGAGTGGAAGACAGAAAAGAATAGGTTCAAGTGGAAGTAATGGTGCATTCCCAGCATGTGATAAGAATATAATTAGTCTTGGCTCTACCTACTAGGTGGATCTTGAGCCACTGATTTTTCTATTATTTTGTCCTACCACTGAACCTCAATCTCTCTTTAAAATAATTTCAATATTTATTTTAGATTCAAGGGGTATATGTGCAGGATTGTTACCTGGGTATATTGTGTGATGCTGAGGTTTGGGGTGTGAGTGATTCCGTCAATCAAATAGTGAGCATCCAATAGTTATTCAACCCTTTTCTGCCTCCTTCCTTCCCCTTTAGCAGCCTCCAGTTTCTTTTGTTGCCATATTTATGTCCACGAATACCCAATGTTTAGCTCCTTCTTATAAGTGAAAACATGTGGGATTTGGTTTTCTAGTCCTGTGATAATTCACTTAGGATAATGGCTTTCAGCTGCATTCATGTCACTGCAGAGGACATGATTTCACTCTTTTTTATGGCTGCATGGTATTCTGTGATGTACGTGTGCCACCTTTTCTTTATCCAGTCCACCACTGATGGATACCTAGGTTGATTTCATATCCTTGCTATTGTGAATAGTACTGCAATGAACATCCAAGTGTATGTAACTTTATGGTAGAATGACTTATTTTATTTTGAATATATACCCAGTAATTGGGTTGCTGGGTTAAATGGCAGTTCTTCTTTAAATTCTTTGAGAAATCTTCAAACTGTGGCTGAACAAATTTACATTCCTACCAGCAGTGTTTAAGTGTTCCCTTTTTCCCAGCAACCTTACCAGCACCTGTTATTTTTTGACCTTTTAATAATAGCCATTCTGACTAGTGTGAGATGGTATCTCATTGTGGTTTTGATTTGCATTTCTCTGATGATTAGTGATGTTGAATATTTTTCCATATGTTTGTTGGCTAATATGTATGTCTTCTTTTGAGAAGTGTCTGTGCATATCTTTGCCCATTTTTAAAAATGGGGTTATTTGACTTTTTCTTGTTCAATTGTTTAAGTTCCTCTCTCATTCTGTAGGTTTTCTTTTACCCTGTTGATAGTTTCTTTTGCTGTTCAAAAGCTTTTTAGTTTAATTAGGTCCCACTTACTAAATTTTGCTTTCAAAGACTTAGTCATAAATTATTTCCCAAGGCCAATGTTCAGAAGGGTGTTTCCTAGGTTTTTTTTTTTTTTCTGGGATTCTTATAGTTTGAGGTCTTACATTTAAATCTTTAATCCATCTTGAGTTAATTTTTGTATCTGGTGAAAGACAAGTGTCTAATTTCATTTTTCTGCATATGGTTAATGACCTATCTCTGCACCATTTATGGAATAGGGTGTCCTTTCTGCATCTTTGTGAAAGATCAGATGGTTGTGAGTGTGTGACTTTATTTCTGGGCTTTCTAGTTTGTTTTATTGGTCTATGTGTCTGCTGTTTTTTGTTTTTTTTTGTTTTTTTAACCAGCACATGCTGTTTTGATTACTGTAGCCTTATAGTATAGTTTAAATTTGGACAATGTGATGCCTCTGGCTTTGTTCTTTTTGCTTAGGATCTCTTTGGTTATTTAGGCTCTTTTTTTGTTAACTTCTTTCTTTATTAGACTTTCTTAAATAGAGAAATGAGCAGCTATGTGAATATTCAGGTGTATGCTAGTGACTGATGATGTGTATCATTGGCTTGGGCTTTAATCATTTCTCCTTCCTGATAATTCTAAGTACTTTAGTTACTTTTTCTCATAGGTGCTGGAGAGGTATGTTATGACTAGAGAAAATAGTGTAGGAATCGGAGTCGGTGGTCCTTAGTTTAAGTCCTATTTAGCAATCTGCAAATGTAATGAGCCGTTGCTGCTGTTGTTTTTGTTATTGTTAATAATATCTAAATGAATGATCTTGAGAGACTTACATCTCTAAATTTTAATTCCTTATTTTTAAAATTTAAAAATTCCTGCTCTTGGATTTACTGTAAGAATCCATGGAAAAATGTTAATGAAATGCATAGAAAAGTTAAAAGCACTATATAAGTTATTCTATTATTATCACTTTAATATTACTAAAAGTAACAAATATGCTACTGAAACTCTTTTTAAGAATAAATCATTGGTTTTATGATGCTTTTTCCAAGAAGGATTTGTGGTGGCTTCAAACAGCCAAATAAAATAAAAATAGAGAAATATCAGTACCAAGGAAAAAAGAAGAATATAAAAGTTGGCAGAGTGTAACTTTGTTCATAGAACAGTAAATAGAGACACATGTAGGCATTACTTCCATTATACTCTTCAAATCTTTTTTCAAATGGCTGCCACTCCTGAGGAGAGACGTCTGTTCTATAGTACTGTTTAAACTTGTTTTTTAGATGCTTAAATGAGGGATACTTTATTGTAATTGGGGTGAACTCTACTGTACACCCAGGCTGAGGAGTCTCTTGGCTTTCGTTTGTCTTTTATTACTTTTTTGTCTCTAGTTGGAAGGATAGTGCTGCATGACATTTTAATGAACATATAACCAAAGTCAGATTTTTAAAAGTCTTCAAGTAATCAGAAAAATACATGAGAAATATCTGTTAAAAAATCTGCTAGGGGATACACAGTGAGAAGCATATAAAAACAACCTTGTGAATATGTACATTAATTACAGGTTAGTAAAACGTAACCAGGGTTGGGGGTGGTTCACACTGAGATCACTTCTTCAAAAAGGACATTTTTCATTGCAGTGAGGGCTGATTAAAAATGGATGAAACAATAATACATTGTCTTTAACACAAGATAATTAGGCTGAATCTCTAGGATATATACACACAGCTCATCGATGCTCAGCTTTCATTCTCCTGGCTAAAAGAAATGAAAATAGACAGTGTGAAGTTTAGACAGAGTAAAGATAATAATTGGAGTTTGAAATGAGGTAGAGTTGACAGTGAGAGCTATTTTGAACATGAAGTGAGTTGACTGAGTACTAGGTGAAGAGATAAGAGGGGGAAGGAAGGAAAAATTAGAGGAAGGGCCCATGATTAAGGGTGGATTAGATGAAGAAAGAGGTTCCATGTCTTTACTTGGGATGGGGACAGACATATAGGACCTTTTACTCTACTTACCTCCTGGTTTTGACAGTCTGTGGTTAAATATTTGGGGCGTGGGCTTTTGGGTTATGTATTATGATATGGAAGTGGAGAATCTCCCGTGAGCCTTATAGTGGGGCCAGCAATCATCCTGATAATTAATGAGATCAGATGATGGATTTGGATACTATCTGCAGGCTTTTAACGCTGACAGAAGAGAGGGGAAAAGCTAGATACTGGAAGAAGATGGGAAGAAAGAAAAGCATAAGAGTAGGAGGAGAGAGTGCATCACCTGATATGGTTCTGTGCTGTAGGGAGGGACTCTCAAACTCTGAGCAAGTGGTTCAGAAGGTCTGTGGGGGCCTGAGAATTTGCATTTCTAACAAGTTCTCAGATGATGTTGATGCAGCTGGCTTGGGGACTACACTTTGAGATCCAGTATAAGAGTTTATGGGAAGAGACTAGGAAAGATGTTTACCACTTTCTGATATCGACTAATTTTTTTTCAGTTTGTCGACCAAATTAAAAGTGATTTTTAGATCATTATTAAAGGCTTTAAACTACAAGTTGAGAGCCTTGAAAACAAACAGGAAGGATTTGACATCATTACACATGCACACTGAGAGCCTGAGCAATAAGGGTGAATGACTGGGCTGCTCTACTGTCAGGCTGTGCATAGTATTAAGTGAGATTGTGGATGGCCATAGTGCAAGTGACTTCTAACATTGTCCTAATAGAATGGTGTATGTGGGGAAGAAAAAAGCATATTCTTTTGTAAAAAGCCTCAGTCTCCTGCCAAAATTTTAAGCACCATCTTCTCCTCTTTCTGGTATAGCAATAGAATTTTTTATGAATACTTTCAGCTTTCAACAAGAAATAGAAATTCTTACTAACAGCAGATTAATAAAAAGACGTTTATTTTCAGCTCATAATAAGAAATCTATAAGTAGGTGGCTGCTGGGGTTGGTTCAGGGGTTTAGTGAAGTCAGAATTGCTTTCTTTACAATTCTCTTGACCTTTTCCTATGGTTAATACCCATGTTGTTTATGGCCTAGCATATGGGCTCTCCTGGAAAATGTTCCATGTGCACTAGAGAAGAATATTCTGCTTTTATTGAGTGAGTGTTCTATAGATGTCTGTTAGTTCTATATGTCTCTAGCTGGCAGCTAGGTAGAGAAGAATTTTGGTCTCAGCTGCACATGCCTGCAGTAGAGCTTCCATCATATTGATCTGGGGCCTGGGGGAAGTGATGGTATGTGAGCAAATTCATGGCTCAATTGCCCCAGGCTCTTGATGTCCTTAGTGAGATTTAGTAGATTTTCTGGACTAAATGATTTCCATTTGCTGTATGCCTTAAGACAATTTCTGGAGATTTTTTTTTATATCATTTTCAGCAGTTGAATGGTTGACTGGCAAGAGGGTCCACACTTCTCACATCATCACTCTGGGCATTGATTTCTCTTATGTATATTTTTAATTATACGAGTATCTTTCTGTTCTTTTACACTGATTAAGTAAATTAGAGCCAGATCAGTGAAATCATAGATAGTAGGTTAATTATCTTAAGGTTCGTGAGAAAAGCCAATTTCCCAAGATAAACATTGTTTAAAGAAAGAGTCAGTAAGTTCTTTTAACAAATATAGTTTCTGATAATAAACATTTATAGTCTCATGTTTATAAATTAATGACTCCTATAGTTGTTAAACATTTGATTTTTTTTCCTTGGGTAAACAGATTTAGGAAAAAATCAACTACGATTATAAGATCTTAAAAAAACAACTTTCACTGAACTTTTGAGGCAACTAATATGCAAATACCACTAACATTCCCCTTATTTTTCATTTCAACAAAGATAATTTGTAATCATCTGCTTTACATTCTCAAAAACCCTATTTCAACAGCTCTTTACTTAAAATTTCCACTAGTTGCTACTGAAACATATGACCTCTGAGTTTAATCAAGGCTGAGTAAAATATTTTGAGTTCAATAATTTATTTTTGAGCTGGTTTTGGAGAAAGTGAATGACATAAATGGAAGTAATATATTTGAATATAATTCTTGGGGAAATTTTATATTCAAAAACCAGTTTCATTAAGTGTAGTGACACAATGAATCTTCTACATACCCCTACTGCATGAGATTTTCCAAAGAGAATTTTGTCGCAATCAACAGACTTGCAGCCAATATCCAAGCAGTGCTTGGATCAACTGGGATATTACAGTAACTAGTCCTGTAATGCTGTAACGTTATTTAATATGTTAAATAACCCTGTATGCTGATGTGGGCTAGAATGATGACTATGACCAGGGGAAGAGACTATGACCAGGGGAAGAGATGAATGTAATTAACTTTTATTGTTTGGAGATAGCTTACAGGTGTTGCCAGATAATATACTGCAGAACACTGAGTTTATACCCTTTACTCCACAGGTACTCCACAGGTTGGTATTTGTCCTCTAACTTCTCCTGCCCCCATGAGATTTGTTCCATTCACTGAACAGGCCAAACATGGGAGAACTAGATTGTAGAGTTTATAGGCAACTCCTTGGTCACCTCAGAAACAGAAGGTGAGGTGAGACTAAAGTTTACAGATAGCACAGCTGTGCTACACTCATAATTCCTCATGAATGGGATTTCTGATGAAGTAAAATTGGGGTTTCAAAGCAATATGGTAGTCCTTGGGTTAAGGTTCGGCAATTCCATTTCATTCTTGATAGTTCAGCCTATGCAATTATCCTAATAAATAATAAAACTGTTGACTCCTGTACATAAAAGAGTGGAGAAACATTAAATGATGGCTACTTTTCAGTCTGCATTCTTTTGCAGCTTTCACGTCTAAGCAGTGTATTCAGAGTTGTGAAAGAAGCTGGCTTTTGTACATTTAATAATGTCATTTGTCTAAATATCTGATACCTATTAATAGAAACACGTATTGAAGGCTAGTCACTTTTCCTGAGAAAAATGCCACACTCTGTCCCTTGGTGACCTCAATCCATTTTTTTTAGCTTATTTTTTATGGGTACATAATAGGGGTATACACATCCACCATGGGGGCACGAGATGTTTTAATACAGGAATGCAATGCATAACAATCACAGCATGGGAAATGGGATATCCAGCCCCTCAAGTATTTATCCTTTGTATTACAAACAATCCAATTATACTCTTTTAGTTATTTTAAAGTGTACAATTAAATTATGATTGACTATAGTCACTCTGTTGTGCTACCAAATACTACGTCTTATTTATTCCCTTTGCTATTTTTTTTTTGTAGCCATTAAGCATCCCACTTCCCCTTCACCTCCCCCTAACCTCCCCACTACCTTTTGCAGTCTCTGGTATCTGTCCTTCTACTCTCTATCTCCAGGAGTTCAATTGTTTTAATTTTTAGATCCCACAAATAAGTGAGAAACATGCAATGTTTGTCTTTCTGTGCCTGACTTGTTTCGCTTAACATGATAACCTCCAGTTCCACCCATGCTGTTGCAAATGACAGGATCTCATTCTTTTTTATGGCTGAAGAGTACTCCATTTTGTATATGTAACACAGTTTCTTTTTCCATTCCTCTGTTGATGGACACTTAGGTTGCTTCCAAATCTTAGCTATTGTGAAGAGTGCTGTAACAAGCACGGGAGTGCAGATATCGCTTTGATATACTGATTTCCATTATTTTGGGTATCAGCAGTGGGATTGCTGGAACATATGATAGCTGTATTTCTAGATTTTTGCGTAACTTGCTCACTATTCTCCATAGTGGTTGTACCAATTTACATTCCCACCAACAGTGTACAAGGGTTCCCTTTTCATTCCTTGCCAGCATTTGTTATTGCCTATCTTTTGGATATAAATCATTTTAACTGGGGTGAGATGATATCTCATTATAGTTTTGATTTGCATTTCTCTGATGATCAATGATGTTAAGCTCCTTTCATCTGCCTGTTTGCCATTTGCATGTCTTTTTCTTTTTGAGGCAGCCTCTTGCTCTGTTGCCCAGGCTGGAGTGCTTGCTTGCTTGACTTGCTGCAGCCTTGACCTCCTGGCCTCAAGCAATCCTCCCACCTCAGCCCTACAAGTAGCTGGGACTACAGGCACGTGCCACCACACCCAGCTAATTTTTTGTGTGTTTATTTGTAGAGGCAGTGTTTCACCACGTTGCCCAGGCTGGTCTCAAACCGCGGCTCAAGTGAGCCACTCGCTATGGCTCCCAAAGTGCTGGGATTACAGGCATGAGCCATGGCACCCAGTCCTGTATGTCTTCTTTTGAGAAGTGTTTATTCAAATCTTTTGCCCATTTTACATTGGATTAATAGATTTTTCTCCTATAGAGTTGTTTGAGCTCCTTATACATTCTGGTTATTAATCCCTTGTCAGATGAGTAGTTTGCAAATATTTTCTCTCATTCTGTGGATTGTCTCTTCACTGTTGATTGTTTCTCTTGCTGGGCAGAAGATTTTTAACTTGATAGGATTCCATTTGTCCATTTTTGCTTTGGTTGCCTGTGCTTGTGGGGTATAACTCAAGAAAATTTTGCCCAGACCTGGAGAGTTTCCTCGAAATATTTTTGTAGTAGTTAAATAGTTTGAGGTCTCAGATTTAAGTGTTTAATCTGTTTTAATTTTAGTTTTGTATATGATGAGAGGTAGGGGTCTAGTTTCATTCTTCTGCATATGGATATTCAGTTTTCCCAGCACTGCATATTGAAAAGACTATCTTTTGTGTAGTGTATGCTCATGGCACTGTTGTCAAAAATGAGTTTACTGTAGGTAAGTAGATTCGTTTATGGGTTCTCTATTCTGTTCCATTGGTCCATACACCTGCTTTTATGCCAGAACCATGGTGTTTTGGTTACTATAGCTCTATAGTTTAAAGTCAGGTAATGTGATTCCTCCCATTTTGTCCTTTTTGCTTAGGATTTCTTTAGCTATTCTGGGTTCTTTTGTGGTTCCATTTACATTTTAGGATAGTTTTTTCTATCTATGTGAAGAACGCCATTGCTATTTTGATAGGGATTGCATTGAATCTGTAAATTGCTTTGGGTAGTATGAGCATTTTAACAATATTGATCCTTACAGTTCATGAACATGAAGTATCTTTCCATTTTTTTGGCGTCCTCTTCAATTTCTTTCAGCAGTGTTTTATAGTTTTCATTATAGAGACCTTTTTCTTCTTTGGTTAAGTATTTAATTTTATTTGTGGCTATTGTAAATGGGATTACATTTTTCTTTCCTTTTCAGATTATTCACTGTTAGCATATAGAAATGCTACTGATTTTCGTATGTGGATTTTATATCCTGCAACTTTACTGAATTTATTTATCAGTTCTAACAGTTTTTTGCTGAAGGCTTTAGGTTTTTGCAAATATAAGATCATACCCTCTGCAAACAAGGCTTATTTGAGTTCTTCCTTTCCAATTTGGATGCTCTTTATTATTATTATTTTTTGTCTTGTCTAATTGCCTTAGCTAGACGTTCAGTACTAGGTTCAATAACAGTGGTAACAATAGGCATTCTTGTCATGTTTCAGATCTTAGAGAAAAGGCATTCAGTTTTTCCCTATTCAGCAGGGATTTGACATGATGAGATGTGCAAAAAGGATTTTAGAGAGAGGGAATAATAGTAACAAAAATGAGGAATGAAGAAAATGTGAAGCTGGAGGGTAAAGTGGCCTGTTTTGCTTAGCTAAAGTGGGTTGAATTCAGAATGCTAAGGGATTAGTATTTAATTATGGGGAGTAATTGGAGGATTTGAGGGAGAGAATATGATGAATACTGTGGGCTTTGTACAGCTTTTGTTTCTTAGGCCATAGCCTTACTATTTCTCTTTCAGAGCTTTGAGCTTTGATTCCTTTTAACTTCAAATTTCTTTCTGATTCCTCATTGCCTATATTGACTTGGGAAAATTTTGGAAAACTGGAAAATGTTCTGAAAGTTGGGTTCTAGTAGTCCTGAATGTGTGGGCTGTCACATCCAGATGTCCTGATTTTTCTGAATTACCTTAGTCAACTTGGTTTGTTGGCCCAATGCAAGCCACTGTACTGTATTGCAAAACACACACACACACACACACACACACACACACACTCTCTCTCTCTCTCTCTCTCTCAAATATATTCTTTGATTTTCCCTGTTTTTAATTTTATTTAAATAGAATCACAGTTCTTATACTCTCCCGTGATTTGAATCTTTTACTCAACATTATATATCTGAGATTTCCTCATTATTTGGTGGTTGCTGTGTTTATTTTCATTTGTTTTTGTTGCTTTACAATTTTCCTTTGTAGAAATATACCATAGTTTATACTTTCTGTAGTTTGCACTTTTGGGTTTTGAAAAATGCAAAAAAAAAAAAAACATTCATGAACAAACCTTTCTTCTGATACAGATGTACAGGAAGTTTCTCTAAGGTCTATTTCCAGGAGTGTAATTGTTAGTTCAAAGGAATGCACATACCAAACTCTTTTTTTCTGAGCAGTTGCAAGTGGATGAGCATTCCTGTTGCTTCATGGCCTATTGTTCAGTTTATAAATTTCTGCCAAGCTGGCAGATGAGACGTTATATCTTGCTATGGCTATAGCTTGCTTTTCATTGATTACTAATGACTTTGAGCATCTTTTCTTTTTTGTAGTGAGCAATCAGTGAGAAACATGGTGACACATTTTTTTCATTATTATGGTGCTGGAATTTTCTATTTTCTTGTCGTTCTATCAATTTTGCTTTATATGTTTTGAGACCATTTTATTCAATACATATAAATATAAGATTGTTGTAAATCCTGGTGATTTAAAACTATCGTTACTGGCGGGGGTGGTTCCAAGATGGCCGAATAGGAACAGCTCCAGTCTACAGCTCCCAGCGTGAGCCATGCAGAAGACAGGTGATTTCTGCATTTCCAACTGAGGTACCTGGTTCATCTCCCTGAGGCTTGTTGGACAGTGGGTGTAGGACAGTATGTGCAGTGCACTGAGCGTGAGCCAAAGCAGGGCGAAGCATCACCTCACCTGGGAAGCGCAAGGGGTCAGGGAATTCCCTTTCATAGCCAAGCAAAGCTGTGACAGACGGCACCTGGAAAATCAGGTCACTCCCACCCTAATACTGCACTTTTCCAATGGTCTTAGCAAAAGGCACATGAGGAAATTATATCCCGCGCCTGGCTCAGAGGGTCCTATGCCCACAGAGACTCACTCATTACTAGCACAGCAGTCTGAGATCGAACTGCAAGGTGGCAGCGAGGCTGGGGGAGGGGCGCCCACCATTGCTCAGGCTTGAGTAGGTAAACAAAGCAGCCGGAAGCTTGAACTGGGTGGAGCCCACTGCAGCTCAAGGAGGCCTGCCTGCCTCTGTAGACTCCACCTCTAGGGGCAGGGCATAGCCGAACAAAAGGCAGCAGAAACCTCTGCAAACTTAAATGTCCCTGTCTGACAGCTTTGAAGACAGTAGTGGTTCTCCCAGCATGGAGTTTGAGATCTGAGAATGGACAGACTGCCTCCCCGAGTGGGTCCCTGACCACTGAGTAGCTTAACTGGGAAGCACCTCCCAGTAGGGGTAGAATGACACCTCACACAGCCGGGTACCCCTCTGAGATGAAACCTCCAGAGGAATGATCAGACAGCAACATTTGCTATTCAGCAATATTCACTGTTCTGCAGCCTCCACTGCTGATACCCAGGCAAACAGGGTCTGGAGTGGACCTCCAACATACTCCAACAGACCTGCAGCTGAGGGTCCTGACTGTTAAAAGGAAAACTAACAAACAGAAAGGACATCCAAACCAAAACCCCATCTGTACGTCACCATCATCAAAGACCAAAGGTAGATAAAACCACAAAGATGGGGAAAAAAACAGAACAGAAAATTCTAAAAATCAGAGCGCCTCTCCTCCTCCAAAGGAATGCAGCTCCTTACCAGCAATGGAACAAAGCTGGACAGAGAATGACTTTGACAAGTTGAGATAAGAAGGCTTCAGACAATCAAACTTCTCCGAGCTAAAGGAGGAAGTTCAAACCCATTGCAAAGAAGTTAAAAACCTTGAAAAAAGATTAGGTGAATGGCTAACTAGAATAACCAATGTAGAGAAGTCCTTAAAGGACCTGATGGAGCTGAAAACCGTGGCATGAGAACTACATGATGAATGCACAAGCTTCAGTAGCCGATGCGATCAACTGGAAGAAAGGGTATCAGTGATTGAAGATCAAATGAATGAAATGAAGTGAGAAGAGAGGTTTAGAGAAAAAAGAATAAAAAGGAATAAACAAAACCTCCAAGAAATATGGGACTATGTGAACAGACAAAATCTACGTCTGATTGGCGTACCTGAAAGTGACGGGGAGAATGGAACCAAGTTGGAAAACACTCTGCAGGATATTAACCAGGAGAACTTCCCCAGCATAGCAAGGCAGGCCAACATTCAAATTCAGGAAATACAGAGAACGCCGCAAAGATACTCCTCGAGAAGAGCAACTCCAAGACACATAATTGTCAGATTCACCAAAGTTGAAATGAAGGAAAAAATGTTAAGGGCAGCCACAGAGAAAGGTCAGGTTACCCACAAAGGGAAGCCCATCAGACTAACTGCTGATCTTTTGGCAGAAACTCTGCAAGCTAGAAGAGAGTGGGGGCCAATATTCAACATTCTTAAAGGAAATAATTTTCAACCCAGAGTTTCATATCCAGCCAAACTAAGCTTCATAAGTGAAGGAGAAATAAAATACTTTACAAACAAGCAAATGCTGAGAGATTTTGTAACTAAAAAAGCCCCTGAAGGAAACACTAAACATGGAAAGGAACAACTGGTACCAGCCACTGCAAAAACATGCCAAATTGTAAAGACCATCAATGTTAGGAAGGAACTGCATCAACTAACGAGCAAAATAACCAGCTAACATCATAATGACAGGATCAAATTCACACATAACGATATTAACCTTAAATGTATATGGGTTAAATGCTCCACTTAAAAGACACAGACTGGCAAATTGGATAAAGAGTCAAGACCCATCAGTGTGCTGTATTCAGGAAACCCGTCTCACATGCAGAGACACACATAGGCTCAAAATAAAGGGATGGAGGAAGATCTACCAAGCAAAAGGAAAACAAAAAAAAAGCAGGGGATGCAATCCTCATCTCTGATAAAATAGACTTTAAACCAACAAAGATCAAAAGAGACAAAGAAGGCCATTACATAATGGTAAAGGGGTCAATTCAACAAGAAGAGCTAACTATCCTAAATATATATGCACCCAATACAGGAGCACCCAGATTCATAAAGCAAGTCCTTAGAGACTTACAAAGAGACTTAGACTCCCACACAATAATAATGGGAGACTTTAACACCCTACTGTCAACATTAGATGATCAATGAGACAGAAAGTTAACAAGGATATCCAGGAATTGAATTCAGCTCTGCACCAAGCGGACCTAATAGACATCTACAGAACTCTCCACCAAAAATCAACAGAATATACATTCTTCTCAACACTACACACACCTATTCCATAACTGGCCTCATCGTTGGAAGTAAAGCACTTCTCGGCAAATGTAAAAGAACAGAAATTATAACAAACTGTCTCTCAGACCACAGTGCAATCAAACTAGAACTCAGGATTAAGAAACTCACTCAAAACCACTCAACTACATGGAAACTGAACAAACTGCTCCTGAATGACTACTGGGTACATAATGAAACGAAGGCAGAAATAAAGATGTTCTTTGAAACCAACAAGAACAAAGAGAAAACATACTGGAATGTCTGGGACACATTTAAAGCAGGGTATAGAGGGAAATTTATAGCACTAAATGCCCACAAGAGAAAGCAGGAAAGATCTAAAATTGACACCCTAACATCACTATTAAAAGAACTAAAGAAGCAAGGGCAAACACATTCAAAAGCTAGCAGAAGGAAAGAAATAACTAAAATCAGAGCAGAACTGAAGGAAATAGAGACACAAAAAACCCTTCAAAAAATGAATGAATCCAGGAGCTAGTTTTTTGAAAAGACCAACAAAATTGATAGACCGCTAGCAAGACTAATAAAGAAGAAAAGAGAGAAGAATCAAATAGATGCAATAAAGAATGATAAAGGGGATATCACCACTGATCCCACAGAAATAAAAACTACCATCAGAGAATACTATAAACACCTCTACCCAAATCAACTAGAAAATCTAGAAGAAATGGATAAATTCCTGGACACATACACCCTCCCAAGACTAAACCAGGAAGAAGTTGAATCTCTGAATAGACCAACAACAGGCTCTGAAATTGAGGCAATAATTAATAGCCTACCAACCAAAAAAAGTCCAGGACCAGATGGATTCACAGCTGAATTCTACCAGAGGTACAAGGAGGAGGTGGTACCGTTCCTTCTGAAACTATTCCAATCAATAGAAAAAGAGGGAATCCTCCTTAACTCATTTTATGAGGCCAGCATCATCCTGATACCAAAGCCTGGCAGAGACACAACAAAAAAATATCCCTGATGAACCAATATCCCTGATGAACATCTATGCAAAAATCCTCAATAAAATGCTGGCAAACCGAATCCAGCAGCACATCAAAAAACTTATTCACCATGATCAAGTGGGCTTCATCCCTGGGATGCAAGGCTGGTTCAACATATGTAAATCAATAAACATAATCCAGCATATAAACAGAACCAAAGACAAAAACCACATGACTATCTCAATAGATGCAGAAAAGGCCTTTGACAAAATTCCACAGCACTTTATGCTAAAAGCTCTCAATAAATTAGGTATTGATGGGACATATCTCAAAATAATAAGAGCTATTTATGACAAATCCACAGCCAATATCATACTGAATGGGCAAAAACTGGAAGCATTCCCTTTGAAAACTGGCACAAGACAGGGATGCCCTCTCTCACCACTCCTATTCAACATAGTGTTGGAAGTTTTGGCCAGGGCAATCAGGCAGGAGAAAGAAATAAAGGGTATTCAATTAGGAAAAGAGGAAGTCAAATTGTCCTTGTTTGCAGATGACATGATTGTATATCTAGAAAACCCCATTGTCTCAGCCCAAAATCTCCTTAAGCTGATAAGCAGCTTCAGCAACGTCTCAGGATACAAAATCATTGTGCAAAAATCACAAGCATTCTTATACACCAATAACAGACAAACAGAGAACCAAATCATGAGTGAACTCCCATTCACAATCGCTACAAAGAGGATTAAATACCTAGGAATCCAACTTACAAGGGATGTGAAGGACCTCTTTGAGGAGAACTACAAACCACTGCTCAACAAAATAAAAGAGGACACAAACAAATGGAGGAACATTCCATGCTCATGGATAGGAAGAATCAATATCATGAAAATGGCCATACTGCCCAAGGTAATTTGTAGATTCAATGCCATCCCCATCAAGCTACCAATTACTTTCTTCACAGGATTGGAAAAAACTAAAGTTCATATGGAACCACAAAAAAGCCTGCATTGCCAAGTCAATCCTAAGCTAAAAGAACAAAGCTGGAGGCATCATGCTACCTGACTTCAAACTATACTACAAGGCTACAGTAACCAAAATAGCATGGTACTGGTACCAAAACAGAGATATAGACCAATGGAATAGAACAGAGCCCTCAGAAATAATACCACACATCTACAACCATCTGATGTTTGACAAACCTGGCAAAAACAAGCAACGGGGAAAGGATTCCCTATTTAATAAATGGTGCTGGGAAAACTGGCTAGCCATATGTAGAAAGCTGAAACTGGATCCCTTCCTTACACCTTATACAGAAATTAATTCAAGTTGGATTAAAGTCTTAAATCTTAGACCTAAAACCATAAAAACCCTAGAAGAAAACCTAGGCAATACCATTCAGGACATAGGCATGGGCAAGGACTTCATGTCTAAAACACCAAAAGCAGTGGCAACAAAAGCCAAAATTGACAAATGGGATCTAATTAAACTAAAGAGCTTCTGCACAGCAAAAGAAACTACCATCAGAGTGAACAGGCAACCTACAGAATGGGAGAAAATTTTTGCAATCTCCTCATCTGACAAAGGGCTAATATCCAGAACCTACAAAGAACTCAGACAAATTTACAAGAAAAAAACAAACAATCCCATCAACAAGTGGGCGAAGGATTTGAACAGACACTTCTCAGAAGAAGACATTTATGCAGCCAACAGACACATGAAAAAATGCTCATCATCACTGGCCATCAGAGAAATGCAAATAAAAACCACCATGAGATACCATCTCACGCCAGTTAGAATGGCGATCATTAAAAAGTCAGGAAACAACAGGTGCTGAAGAGGATGTGGAGAAATAGGAACACTTTTACACTGTTGGTGGGACTGTAAACTAGTTCAACCATTGTGGAAGTCAGTGTGGCGATTCCTCAGGGATCTAGAACTAGAAATACCATTTGACCCAGCCATCCCATTACTGGGTATATACCCAAAGGACTATAAATCATGCAGCTATAAAGACACATGCACACGTATGTTTATTGCTGCACTATTCACAATAACAAAGACTTGGAACCAACCCAAATGTCCAACAATGATAGACTAGATTAAGAAAATGTGGCACATGTACACCATGGAATACTATGCAGCCATAAAAATGATAAGTTCATGTCCTTTGTAGGGACATGGATGAAGCTGGAAACCATCATTCTCAGCAAACTATCGCAAGGACAGAAAACCAAACACTGCATGTTCTCACTCATAGGTGGGAATTGAACAATGAGAACACTTGGACACAGGAAGGGGAACATCACACACCAGGGCCTGTTGTGGGGTGGGGGGAGGGGGGAGGGATAGCATTAGGAGATATACCTAATGTAAATGACGAGTTAATGGGTGCAGCACACCAATATGGCACATATATATATATGTAACAAACCTGCACGTTGTGCACATGTACCCTAGAACTTAAAGTATAATAAAAAATATATATATATATAAACTTTTGTTAGTATCTTTATCTCACCAGTTTTTTTTTGTTAGTATTTATCTTTTTTCTACCTTTTAACTTTGAAATGTTCTGTTTCCTCGTAGTTTATATATATGTGTATATAAATATATATTATGTATGTGTATACACAATGCACATATAATTCTTTTATACCCATTTTTGTAATTTTTGTCTGTGCTGCATTTAGTCTGTTGACATTTAATATAATAATATATTTGGATTTAAATCTACCATCTTATTTGTACTATCATTCACTTTATTCTACATTTTTATGTAAGTTTTTAAATTTTAGTGTATTATTCATATTTAGCTTACATATGCATTTATAAATTTGTACATTTTTCTCCAAAATATGTTTCCTGGGCTTTGTATTCTTTTATTCCCTTTTGTAGATTGATTTTTTTTAACCAACTCAGTTTCTCTTTCTACTAGTTTAGAATTTATATAATTTGTTTCTATTATTATTATTGTTATTATTAAGACAGAGTTTTTCTCTTGTTGCCCAGGCTGGAGTGCAATGGTAAGATCTTGGCTCACTGCAACCTCCACCTCCCTGGTCCAAGTGATTCTCCTGCCTCAGCCTCCTGAGTAGCTGGGAATACAGGCGCCTACCACCACGCCAGGCTAATTTTTTGTATTTTTTAGCAGAGACAGGGTTTCACCATGTTGGCCAGGCTAGTCTCGAACTCCTCACCCCAGGTGATCTGTCTACCTCAGTCTCCCAAAGTGCTGAATTACAGGCATCAGTCACCAGGCCTGGCCTGTTTCTGTTATTTTATTATATCCGCATAAATTAAAACATAAATTCCTAACTTATAAAATCCTATTATTAATCAAAACCTTCACTTTCCTCCAGGAAAACATAAGGTCCCTAAAACATTATAACTTAATGTACCTCCATCTCAATTATATTTTTCTTTGGGTATACTTAAATTCTATATAGAAATTGTATAAGGCTTATTTCTGTAGTATACATTCTTTAGAATTTCTTTTAGTGCAGTGTGGTGGTGATTTTTTTATGTTAACTCGATTGGGCTAAGGGATGCCCAGATAACTGGTAAAACTTTATTTCTGGGTGTGTCTGTGAGGGTATTTCCAGAAGAGATTAGCATTTGCTGCAGTAGACTGAGTAAAACTCTGCACTCATCAATGTAGAGGAGCATCATTCAATCTATTGAGGACCTGAATAGAACATAAAGGAGGAAAGAAAGTGTGAATTAGGTCTCTCTGTTTGAGTTGGGACATCCATCTTCTCCTCTCAGACATTGAAGATCCTGGTTCTTGAGCCTTTGGACTTGGGGACTTACACTAGCTTCTCCTCCCCACATCCCCCTTCTTTCCCTCGTTCTCAGGCCTTTGGACTCAGACTGAATTACACCCCTGGCTTTCCTGGTTTTCCAGCTTGGAGACAGCAGATTGTGAGACTTCTTATCCTTCATTAAGTGTATGAGCCAATATCCATAATCAATCTCATTCTCTCTCTTTTTATCTCTCTCTCCGTGACTCTCTCTCTCTGTGTCTGTGTGTGTACAGACATCCTATTGGTTCTATTCTCTGGAGAACTCTGATTAATACATTCAGGTTTACAAAGGCAAACTCTTTTCAGTTTTTATTTGTCTCAAAATGTACTGATTTCACCTTCAGTATTGAAGGGTTTTGTCACCGGTTATAAAATTTTAGACTGGCAGTCTCTTTGTTTTTGTTTTCTAGCACATGGAGCATATCTTGCTTCTAGCTTTCATTACTGTAAAACAGTCAAGATGATTGATCTTATCTCCTTGGCTGATTTTAAGGTTTCTTGAAATATGGTGTCCTGTCGTTTTCCAAAATGAATAATGTATCTAACTGTGGAGATTATGTCTGTATCTGTATTTTTTTCCTATATCATGCTTAATATTGTTGGGCTTCTGATAGTTGGAGACTTTCAAAAATTCTAGAATATTCTCAGATATCTGTTTCCATATTCTTCTAAATTTCCCCTATTATTTTATTTTATTTTTCTGGAACTTCCATTAGATTCATGCTAGATCCTCTCAATCTCTTTTCTATTTCCTTAATCTCTCTTTAAACAAATACTAATATGTTCATTTCTTTGTCTTTCCTGCTATGCTGTGAATAATATTTAGGCTTTATCTTTTAGTTAATAATTTTTTCTCTGTGTCTAGCATGCTGTTGAATGTATCCATTAAGTTTTACATTTTAATTATATATTTTCATATTTAGGAATTCTATTATTTTCATATATATCTTACAATTCTTTAGAGTTTTCTTACTCATGTTTTCAATGATCCCTTTTATTTCTGTATACATATTTTAATAGTTCTTTAATATTCTGTGAGAAATATTAGTATTTTGATAATTTCAAAAATCTCAAATTCTTTGCATATCAGATCCTAACATTTATTATTTTTGATTGCCCTCACCTATAGTGTTGTTTCTTTGTATGTTTTGTGACTTTGGACTTGACTTGCTGGTACTTCTTTGAATTTCACCTATGGGAATATTTTTGAGGTCTCCAGAGATAATTTGTGCTTGCTTCTGCCAGTTCCCTTAGGTCACTACCAATGCAGAAACACTTTGAATTCTCAATTAAAGTTGTATGGATTGCACAGACTGCATGGTTTGGCTTGCATACTAGTATGAGGTCTGGATTGTGGTTATGAGTTCTCAAGGGAACTCTTTTCTTTCCAGTTTCCAGTGCCAAGGTTGAGACTATTATATTTTTGTGCCTGAGTATGTATTTCTTTTTCAAATCCTTACACTGAGGGTGAAACCCAGTGAGATTTCAGTTTTATGAAGTATAATTTCTTATAAGATTCCTTACTTAGCACTTGCTCTAGGTTTTGCCTCTGTCCCTGACTTATGCAGACTTCAGAGCAGAAGTTGAAGGGCTCCAAGTTCAGCAGAAACATTATTGCCAGCCAGCTTAGTATTCACTGACCTCTCTTCTTTCTTACTTTCACCTATTTTTGTGTTCTTCATGTTCCCTTTTTCTTGCTGTTATTTAGTTTTGAAAGAAAAATATGAAAGTATATGGCTTCTGTCTGAAAATTGGCCCCATGTATTTTTTAGATGGTACTAAACCATAACCTGAAGATATTTTGGACTTAATTTTGAATTCCTAAATAATTTGGCATAATAGGATATTTTATTTTCATGAAACACTGAAATTTAAACGTTTGATTCTTATTTTCCATTCACTAAAGAGAAAATTACTCGAAAAAGCAATGGAATGTTTTTTTGTTTTTGTTTTTGTTTTTTTTGTCTTCCTGATGCATGGTTTTGAAAACTCCTTTTAAGTAATCCCTGAAGATTGTCATTATCATTCATAAAATTATCTGAGAAAACTGTTAATAAGTATAGGAGGAATCAGGGATGATTTAAATATGCTATTAAAAATACTTCAGTGGAATTAGACCTATTATGTCCTTCCAGTACCTAATTTTGGAAGGTAATTATAGATCAAATATTCAGTGAGGTTGGGGATTGATTTTCTTGCTCTGGGAGTACAGGATTTTTATCCAAGTGACATTTACATAAATATATTTTGGAAATACCACCTACACTAAATCTTATTATGCCTCCCATCCACACAGTTGAGAGAAGCAAAAAATTAATAGAAAATTTCAGATGTACTCTGAAAGAATCAAGTAATCTTGAAGAAAAGCTGAGTTATTTTGAAGCTAGTGTCTCTAACCATTGCTTAGTGTTATCCAACATTTTTGTTTGAGAAGCTGTTTTTAAACCCACTTCTACCTATTTAAGTCCCCTGTAAATTTTTTTCTTTGCCTTTGAGCAAGGGCAAACTTTCATTGTGATTTATGAATCATTCAAATGATATGTGCAAGATGGTATTTTCATTGACACTTGAAAAAAAGCAGTTCACTGTATGTTTCCATCAGAGCAGGCAGCAATTATGAAAATAATCTTCAACTTCCCACCTTCGCATTAGCGACACCAGTAACTCAGGATTACACTGGTAGGAGGGCAACACTTTCTATAGTAATGCCATTAATTTTTTAGAGATGAGTGACAGCAAGCTACAGCCGTGCTGGCAACAATGCCAAGCGAGCATAACATCATTGGCTTTAGGAGAAATGAGGCAAGATTCTGGTCTTGGTGCCGTCTCTGTACTTCCAGTACTGCAGGCTGTTTGGCATGCAGTTAGAAATGTGCACTGATTTAATAAATTTTAAGAACAGAGATGCTTTTGAATTTTAAAATAAAGCCATTGTTATAAAACCTGTTATATATTTAAACTATTCACCTCCCTAAATATGAATATTAAGAAGATACAGGATTTGTTAACTATGTTTTACTTCAATATTATGGTTCCCTTCCATATTGCATGAAACAACCATGACCTGTGTAGACCCCGGGTTATATTTTTAGACACCACCGAGACAGACTTAACATTTCCTTCGGCTTGAGTAGACTTTAGATGAGCCTTATTCCTCACTCTAAGCCTCTGGCCTCCTTTAATTGGACCTTTGGAAAACTTGTTATTGCAAATTCTTCCCTTGCCCCTTTAAGATGTGACTTTTTTTTAAAAAAAGCTTCTTGTCAGTTTTACAACTCAGGACAGGTGGACATATTTAATTCACCTAAGATACAGACTTTCCTGGTCCCATAACTTGGTCTCAACCCATGTTGTTAACTTCATTTTTAAAGTACTTTCTAGATTTTATGAACATAGACTTCACCCCCCCCTTTTTTTTTGCTAAGCTTACATGCTTATATTTTCTCTCATTTGAACTTCCTCTTCCCTATATTTACCTATCAAAATTTTACCCAGATAGATGTCATAGTCATCTTTCTACACACCCACAAAATAATTTTTTTACACACATTATGCTTATCATAATCTAATTTGTATTGTGGATATTGTAATACATGTTATCTACCCTCTATTAATTTGTCAAATATTTGAAGATGGCTTTGTGTCTAATATATCTTCATGTCTTCCCAATTACCTAATATCAATCTTACACATAGCAGAAACTATTTTAAAGATGTGTCTTAGGTAAGTGAACTAAAACCACATTATTGAATGCAAAATTGTGTTCTAAGCCTCTCCCCGATCCCGGGCAAAGTTGATAGTAAGCATTAACTGCATGTCCAGAGGCCTCTCCAATTACACGTGTGTCTGTTCTTGCCAACCACAGTTATACACACAGTCATTTGAATCACATTCCCAGGTCAGGAAACATGAATAAACTTAGAGTATGGCAGAAAGTGCCTCAGTTGAAAAGGCACCAAGCCTATGCTATAAAGGGACCCCACCCTATATTATTATATCTTGAGTCACACTCTTGTCTGACTCAAACAGGAAATTAGAGTTATACCTTGTGTGAGGAAGCAAATCTGAAATATTCAACTCCTTTGACTTATGGATATTAAAGAAAATGAAGATGTTTATTTTGATTGGTTGGGCTGCACAGTTAAATGTCTTAAAGGAGGCAGAGAAAAAAAATCAGTGCACTAGAGATCTCAACTAAAGCTCTGGAGGACTGGCACATCTACATGAAGCACAAGCTCATAGTTGCTGCCCAACATCCTTCCTCCCTTTTGCCTTAGCTACAGGAGCCCATCTTTGTTCACTATGGTAATGCAGCTAATTAAATACTCATTGTATTAATTTCCCTGCACATGCAGTCTTGCCAATGAAAAATAAGAGAAAACATTCTAGGTATGGTTTCTGGGAAAGCTATTTTTTTTCTTGAATAAAAAGAGATGGACAGGTGGCACATGCTATTAACACTTTCTCCTCTCCCTTCCTTCCTGGAACTTGATCTAATATGCTAATCTTTAGTAGTATAGCACCATTTTGCAAGCATAAAGAAGAAAGATACATGGTAAGGATGGTAAAGTGAAAAGATATAGAATCCTGGGTTCCTGGTGGCAACTTGGTATAGTTGTGTTAGTGTAAGACTTCTCATTTTTGCTTATTTTTGTTGTTGTTTGTGGAAAAAATTAACCTCGATTTGTTAATGCTAGTGTACTTGGATTTCTGTTATGTGTAGACAAAAGAAACCTGAAAAATATACTGGACATACTTAGAACACTTGTGGATGATTGAAGCACTTGGGAGAGACCGGGCCCCTAAGTATTTTATGCCATTGTTTATACCTTCCCAATTCACTTATTAGCTGGTTGAATGCAGAGTATCCAACAGATAACTCCAAAGGAATATCAAAGGATAGATACTAGAACCACAGACAGAAGAAGCAAAAAGCCCTAAACCACTACTGATCTGCCAAACATCTGATTGGACTGTGAGGTAAGCCAGCAATGAAACTTCATTTTGTTAAACCACTGAGATTTAGAGGTGTCAGAACAACTAGCGTTAGTAAGTCCAACTAAAACACCACCCCTCAGTGTCCACAGATAGATGAGTTGAGAAAAAATTGCAGCATACTCATAAAATAGAATATTATTGCCCTTTTAAAAGAAGGAAATTCTGCCATTTGTGACAATATGGATGAATCAGGAGGATGTTTTGCTAAGTGAAGTAAGCCAGTTACAGGAGACAAATACTACATGATTCCACTTATATAAAGTATCTAAAATAGTCAAACTCGTAGAAGCAGAGGTGAGAGTATCACCTGAGGGATAGGTGAGTATCACCTGAGCAGGGAGGTTGACGCTGCTGTGAGCCATGGTCATGCCACTGAGTGCCAGCCTGGGCAACAGAGTGAGACCCTGTCTCAAATATATAAATATATATATAAATGTATATATAAATATAAATATATATAAATATATATAAATATATAAATATAAATTATATAAATATATAAATATATATATAAATATAAATATATATATAAATATAAATATAAATATATATATAAATATATATATAAATATATATATATATATACACCTGACTTCCCTGACCACTGTTAGTAATATACAAGTATATCTTTCCAAAACATTTTTGTGTATGTATATGTATTTTCTTTAATAAAGTGAGATCATATTGTACATACTATGTGGTATTCTATATTGTACACTTAAGAATGGTATTAGAAGCAAATAGAAACCACTGTACTTGTTTATCTTGGTCCATTTTCTGCTGCTATAGAAATTATCCAGAATACAACAGACTGGGTAATTTATAAAGAACAGAAGTTTATTTGGCTCATGGTTCTGGAGGCTGGGAAGTCCAAGAACATAGAACTAGCATCTGGTGAGAGTTTTCTTGCGGCATCATTGGTGAAGGTATCACATGGCAAGGAAATGTGTACACAAGGCACAGAGAGGGAAAAAAAATATACTGAGCACATTGTTTTATCAGGAGACTGCTCTCCTGATACTAACACACTCTCATGATAATGTCATTAATCCATTCATGAGTTCAGAGCTCTTGTGATCTCCTTTTAAAGGTTCCACCTCTCAACACAGTTACAATGACAATTAAATTTCAACATGAGTTTTGGTGGGGACAATCAAGCCACAGAAATATTTTAAATAGAAGTGTAAAATAAAGGAAACGTATTACACTGCTGATTCAAGAGTTGGGAAGACAAACAGAATGATGAGGGAACCCAGAAATTATCAACAGTAGGAAAATGCTTCTTACTACTTTCATAGACCTTAAGGAATAAAGAGAAGAAGTGGAGTTAACATAACACAGATGCCAGGGTCATCCAGTGAGAGTTAGATCTACAGAGGGGCTGCAAAGTAGAGCTGGGATAATGGTGATGTTAAGTGGAAGCTGGAGCCACAGAGAAGATACATTTGCTGCTGGGGGTGCACCTGCAGCAGGAAAAGAAGAAAAACAGGCTGGGCGCGGTGGCTCACACCTGTAATCCCAGCACTTTGGGAGGCTGAGGTGGGTGGATCACCAGTTCAAGAGAGCAAGGGCATCCTGGCCAACATGGTGAAACCCCGTCTCTACTAAAATACAAAAATTAGCTGGGCATGGTGGTGGGCACCTGTATTCCTAGCTACTGGGGAGGCTGAGGCAGGAGAATAGCTTGAACTCGGGAGGCGGAGGTTGCAGTGAGCTGAGATCACGCCATTGCACTCCAGCCTTGTGACAGAGTGAGACTCCATCTCAAAAAAATAAAAAATAAATAAAATAAAGAACATAGCCAAGTTTCCTCACTTTTCCTATCCTTTGGCCTTCTGCTTGTTATATACTTTGGACCAGGGAAATGTAGTTGGCTGTGATACATAGGAGGGTGGAGAAGAGAAGAAATGGATTTAAAAGCAAACAGTAGAATGGCTGTTTATAGTCTATCCTTTTATTACTTGGCCTCCATTTTCATCCTTCTACCCATGTTGAATGCCCACACAACAACTTAATATTTCCATCGAAGAGAAGACAGCAGTCATTTACATAGAAAAAAAACCATTTTCTTCCTTTCCCTCAAAGTGGAGGCAAAAAGTAACTGTATTATCCAAGGACAGTTTATCCAGGTGATATGTAGCCCCTTTCATTAATTCTGGATACTTATTTATGGTGGGGTCATCTCTGAAAACTAAGTTTATAAAATTAGAACTCACTAGTACTCCTCCAACAAAATAGTAAAGAATAGATAAAAGGGGAAAATGGATATTTTGTTAAGAAATACAGGCACAGTAATAATAAAAACATGTATAGCTGATACAGTCTTCATTTATGTAACTGGTCATGAGGCCATAGCTGATATTTTTCAATTTCTTCTTCCACCATCTGCTCCCTGTTCTCTTACACTCAGGTGCACCTTAACTGGGTTCTCTTTTGGTGGCGAGATCTAAGTCTTTCTTCCTGAAACATTTGGTCTTCAGTGGTCCTGCCTTGATTTGGTTGTTATAATCTCCCATTAACTTTTACTACTGGATATGGAAGTACTACGATGTTTCCTAGTGGATCCTGACATAGTCTTCCCAGTCCCTATTAACAATGCAATTTCCCTTTGATAAATTGGGTAAACCATCAAAACTGGTGCAGTAACTCCTCTTCTGCCAGTTGAATCATTGGCATGAGGAGCCCCAAATGACCAGATGGCATTTAGGAACTAAGATCTATAAAGCTTCAGAACACAGGGCTGCAAGATTCCAATCATGGAATATTTTGTGTAATAGTGAAAGAGCCACTTCTATTTCCATCTGTTGATTTCAGGTCTATGTGTACTGGCAATGGGAGAAAATAACACCTTATATTTGCCTCTGTTTTAAAACATACTAGATCTTGGAAAATAGCACACCAACCCCAGTAAATCTTCTGTAGACCATCTCCTATTCTGTTAGGCTAGCTGCTTCTTGGGCTACATGATAAGATGAGGGAATAGTGCAGGTGCAAGTCTCCATTTTTGCCCTAAAATAACAAGAGGTTTTTGGTGGTTTAAGATTTTTCAGCTTTATCTGAGACACCCATCCCAAATCTTGCAGTCACATTCCTCCACATAATGTCTTAACTGTAATGTAAAAGACTTGAGTGTACTTGCATTGAATAACCCCAGTGAAGGCTACCTGATGGAAATTGGAGCCGAGGAGCAGATGCAGACTTTGCTGGGGACAGCACTGAGGCAGAGGGACAGGGAAAACATCCCTTAGTGTCTCCCTTTCTTCTACTGGTTTATAATGAGTTTTACTGGGACAAGAATTTGTATGGAAAGAACTATTACAGAAGTGTTTCTGGGGAAACCCCATAGGGGAGTGGAAGGAGTAGGATAAGGGAGGGGCAAAAGCCAAAATCCAGGCAAAGTACCTTAGAGGACAGCTGTAGCTGAATCCTGCAGGGACCATCTGAAGTGTAAGCTATACCTCAATTATTTGACCCTGAAGCAAAGGAGCTATGTTTTCTTACTTCCAGTCATCTTAGTCATTGGTTAAGGGTGACTGCCCCACTCTTGGAATTAAACTCCTGGGCATTTCCAGTTCTTTGCTAGGAAAAGTGGGCTCTGGGAACCTGCAAACAGTTTTCAGGAAAATAAATGAAGGCATTTCCTTGAAATGAAATCACATGAAAGCAGCTAGGATGCACGCAAAATCCATAAAAAAGGGATCCCAGGAAATCTGGGTGCAGTACTGACATTGTTGGCTGTACCTGTGCTCAGCTTTCTGCTTGTGCCTCTCATTGCAACTATTGGAAGCCACAGGACAAGGAAATATGATTCCCTCTGAGATGGAACAGAGCAGAGAATGATGGGGAATGAACTGAGAACAATTTTTTGACCTCCATAGCATATCATAAAAAATTTTCTCGGGAGCCAAGATGGCCGAATAGGAACAGCTCCAGTCTACAGCTCCCAGCATGAGCGATGCAGAAGACGGGTGATTTCTGCATTTCCAACTGAGGTACCAGGTTCATCTCACTGGGGAGTGCTGGACAGTGGGTGCAGGATAGTGGGTGCAGTGCACTGTGCATGAGCCAAAGCAGGGTGAGGCATTGCCTCACCCGGGAAGTGCAAGGGGTCAGGGAATTCCCTTTCCTAGTCAAAGAAAGGGGTGACAGATGGCACCTGGAAAATCGGGTCACTCCCACCCTAATACTGCACTTTTCCAATGGGCTTATCAAACGGCACACCAGGAGATTATATCCCGCACATGGCTTGGAGGGTCCTATGCCCACAGAGCCTCGCTCATTGCTAGCACAGCAGTCTGAGATCAAGCTGCAAGGCAGCAGTGAGGCTGGGAGAGGGGCGCCTGCCATTGCTCAGGCTTGAGTAGGTAAACAAAGCAGCCAGGAAGCTCAAACTGGGTGGAGCCCACCACAGCTCAAGGAGGCCTGCCTGCCTCTGTAGGCTCCACCTCTGGGGGCAGGGCACAAACAAACAAAAGACAGCAATAACCTCTGCAGATTTAAATGTCCCTGTCTGACAGCTTTGAAGAGAGTAGTGGTTCTCCCAGCATGCAGCTTGAGATCTGAGAATGGGCAGACTGACTTCTCAAGTGGGTCCCTGACCCCTGAGTAGCCTAACTGGGAGGCACCCCCCAGTAGGGGAGGACTGACACCTCACATGGCCGGGTACTCCTGTGAGACAAAACTTCCAGAGGAACAATCAGGCAGCAGCAATTGCGGTTCACCAACATCCACTGTTCTGCAGCCACCGCTGCTGATACCCAGGCAAACAGGGTCTGGAGTGGACCTCCAGTAAACTCCAACAGAACTGCAGCTGAGGGTCCTGACTGTTAGAAGGAAAACTAACAAAGAGAAATGACATCCACACCAAAAACCCATCTGTACATCACCATCATCAAAGACCAAAGGCAGATAAAACCACAAAGATGGAGAAAAAACAGAGCAGAAAAACCGGAAACTCTAAAAAGCAGAGCACCTCTCCTCCTCCAAAAGAACGCAGCTCCTCACCAGCAATGGAACAAAGCTGGACAGAGAATAACTTTGACGAGTTGAGAGAGGAAGGCTTCAGAAGATGAAACTACTCCGAGCTAAAAGGAAATTTGAACCAATTGCAAAGAAGTTAAAAACTTTGAAAAAAATTAGATGAATGGATAACTAGAATGACCAATGCAGAGAGGTCCTTAAAGGACCAGATGGAGCTGAAAACCACGGCACGAGAACTACGTGATGAATGCATAAGCCTCAGTAACAGATGCGATCAACTGGAAGAAAGGGTATCAGCAATGGAAGATGAAATGAATGAAATGAAGTGGGAAGAGAATTTTGGAGAAAAAAGGATAAAAAGAAACAAAACCTCCAAGAAATATAGGACTATGTGAAAAGACCAAATATACGTCTAATTGGTGTACCTGAAAGTTAAGGGGAGAATGGAACCAAGTTGGAAAACACTCTGCAGGATATTATCCAGGAGAACTTCCCCAATCTAGCAAGGCAGGCCAACATTCAAATTCAGGAAATACAGAGAATGCCACAAAGACACTACTCGAGAAGAGCAACTCCAAGACACATAATTGTCAGATTCACCAAAGTTGAAATGAAGGAAAAAATGTTAAGGGCAGCCAGAGAGAAAGGTCGGGTTACCCACAAAGGGAAGCCCATCAGACTAACAGCTGATATCTCGGCAGAAACTCTATAAGCCAGAAGAGAGTGGGGGTGAATATTCAACATTCTTAAAGAAAATAATTTTCAACCCAGAATTTCATATCCAGCCAAACTAAGCTTCATATGTGAAGGAGAAATAAAATACTTTACAGACAAGCAAATGCTGAGAGATATTGTCACCACCAGGCCTGCCCTAAAAGAGCTCCTGAAGGAAGCACTAAACATGGAAAGGAGCGACCGGTACCAGCCACTGCAAAAACATGCCAAATTGTAAAGACCATTGAGGCTAGGAAAGAACTGCATCAACTAACGAGCAAAATAACCAGCTAACATCATAATGATAGGATCAAATTCACACATAACAATACTAACCTTAAATGTAAATGAGCTAAATGCTCCAATTAAAAGGCACAGACTGGCAAATTGGATAAAGAGTCAAGACCCATCAGTGTGCTGTATTCAGGAAACCCATCTCACATGCAGAGGCACACATGGGCTCAAAATAAAGGGATGGAGAAAGATCTACCAAGCAAATGGAAAACAAAAAAAGGCAAGGGTTGCAATCCTAGTCTTGGATAAAACAGACTTTAAACCAACAAAGCTCAAAAGAGACAAACAAGGCCATTACATAATGGTAAAGGGGTCAATTCAACAAGAAGAGCTAACTATCCTAAATATATATGCACCCAATACAGGAGCACCCAGATTCATAAAGCAAGTCCTGAGTGACCTACAAAGAGACTTAGACTCTCACACAATAATAATGGGAGACTTTAACACCCCACTGTCAACATTAGACAGATCAAAGAGACAGAAAGTTAAAAAGGATATCCAGGAATTGAATTCAGCTCTGCAGCAAGCAGACCTAATAGACATCTACAGAACTCTCCACCAAAAATCAACAGAATATACATTCTTCTCAACACCACACCACACCTATTCCAAAACTGGCCACATAGTTGGAAGTAAAGCACTTCTCAGCAAATGTAAAAGAACAGAAATTATAACAAACTGTCTCTCAGATCACAGTGCAATCAAACTAGAACTCAGGATTAAGAAACTCACTCAAAACTGCTCAACTACATGGAAACTGAACAACCTGCTCCTGAATGACTACTGGGTACATAACGAAATGAAGGCAGGAATAAAGATGTTCTTTGAAACCAATGAGAACAAAGACACAACATACCAGAATCTCTGGGACACATTCAAAGCAGTGTGTAGAGGGAAATTTATAGCACTAAATGCCCACAAGAGAAAGCAGGAAAGATCTAAAATTGACACCCTAGCATCACAATTAAAAGAACTAGAGAAGAAAGAGCAAACACATTCAAAATCTGGCAGAAGGCAAGAAATAACTAAGATCAGAGCTAAACTGAAGGAAATAGAGACACAAAAAACCCTTCAAAAAATCAGTGAATCCAGGAGCTGGTTTTTTGAAAAGATCAACAAAATTGATAGACCGCTAGCAAGACTAATAAAGAAGAAAAGAGAGAAGAATCAAAGAGACCCAATAAAAAATGACAAAGGGGATATCACCACTGATCCCACAGAAATACAAACTACCATCAGAGAATACTATAAACACCTCTATGCAAATAAACTAGAAAATCTAGCAGAAATGGATAAATTCCTCGACACATACACTCTCCCAAGACTAAACCAGGAAGAAGTTGAATCTGTTAATAGACCAATAACAGGATCTGAAATTGAGGCAATAATTAATAGCTTACCAACCAAAAAGAGTCCAGGACCAGATGGATTCACAGCCGAATTCTACCAGAGGTACAAGGAGGAGGTGGTACCATTCCTTCTGAAACTATTCCGATCAATAGAAAAAGAGGGAATCCTCTCTAACTCATTTTATGAGGCCAGCATCATCCTGATGCCAAAGCCTGGCAGAGACACAACAAAAAAAGCGAATTTTAGACCAATATCCTTGATGAACATTGATGCAAAAATCCTCAGTAAAATACTGGCAAACCGAATCCAGCAGCACATCAAAAAGCTTATCCACCATGATCAAGTGGGCTTCATCCCTGGAATGCAAGGCTGGTTCAACATACGCAAATCAATAAATGTAACCCAGCATATAAACAGAACCAAAGACAAAAACCACATGATTATCTCAATAGATGCAGAAAAGGCCTTTGACAAAATTCAACAACCCTTCATGCTAAAAACTCTCAAAAAATTAGGTATTGATGGGACATATCTCAAAATAATAAGAGCTATCTATGACAACCCCACAGCCAATATCATACTGAATGGGCAAAAACTGGAAGCATTCCCTTTGAAAACTGGCACAAGACAGGGATGCCCTCTCTCACCACTCTTATTCAACATAGTGTTGTAAGTTCTGGCCAGGGCAATAAGGCAGGAGAAGGAAATAAAGGGCATTCAATTAGGAAAAGAGGAAGTCAAATTGTCCCTGTTTGCAGATGACATGATTGTATATCTAGAAAACCCCATTGTCTCAGCCCAAAATCTCCTTAAGCTGATAAGCAACTTCAGCAACGTCTCAGGATACAAAATCAATGTACAAAAATCACAAGCATTCTTATACACCAATAACAGACAAACAGAGAGCCAAATCATGAGTGAATTCCCATTCACAATTGCTACAAAGAGGATTAAATACCTAGGAATCCAACTTACAAGGGATGTGAAGGACCTCTTCAAGGAGAACTACAAACCACTGCTCAACTACAAACCACTGTTCCTTCAAACAAATGGAGGAACATTCCATGCTCATGGATAGGAAGAATCAATATCATGAAAATGGCCATACTGCCCAAGGTAATTTATAGATTCAATGCCATCCCCATCAAACTACCAATTACTTTCTTCACAGGATTGGAAAAAACTAAAGTTCATATGGAACCACAAAAAAGCCCACATTGCCAAGTCAATCCTAAGCCAAAAGAACAAAGCTGGAGGCATCATGCTACCTGATTTCAAACTATACTACAAGGCTACAGTAACCAAAACAGCATGGTACTGGTACCAAAACAGAGATATAGATCAATGGAATAGAACAGAGCCCTCAGAAATAATGCCGCATATCTACAACTATCTGATCTTTGACAAACCTGACAAAAACAAGAAATTCGGAAAGGATTCCCTGTTTAATAAATGGTGCTGGGAAAACTGGCTAGCCATATGTAGAAAGCTGAAACTGGATCCCTTCCTTGCACCTTATACAAAAGTTAATTCAAGGTGGATTAAAGACTTACATGTTAGACCTAAAACCATAAAAACCCTAGAAGAAAGCCTAGGCAATACCATTCAGGACATAGGCATGGGCAAGGACTTCATGTCTAAAACACCAAAAGCAATGGCAACAAAAGACAAAATTGACAAATGGGATCTAATTAAACTCAAGAGCTTCTGCACAGCAAAGGAAACCACCATCAGAGTGAACAGGCAACCTACAGAATGGGAGAAAATTTTTGCAACCTACTCATCTGACAAAGGGCTAATATCAAGAATCTACAATGAACTCAAATAAATTTACAAGAAAAAAAAAACCCATCAAAAAGTGTGCGAAGGATTTGAACAGACACTTCTCAACAGAAGACATTTATGCAGCCAAAAAACACATGAAAAAATGCTCATCATCACTGGCCATCAGAGAAGTGCAAATCAAAACCACAATGAGATACCATTTCACACCAGTTAGAATGGCGATCATTAAAAAGTCAGGAAACAACAGGTGCTGGAGAGGATGTGGAGAAATGGGAACACTTTTACACTGTTGGTGGGACTGTAAACTAGTTCAACCATAGTGGAAGTTGGTGTGGCAATTCCTCAGGGATCTAGAACTAGAAATACCATTTGACCCAGCCATCCCATTACTGGGTATATACCCAAAGGATTATAAATCATGCTGCTATAAAGACACATGCACACGTATGTTTATTGTGGCACTTTTCACAATAGCAAAAACTTGGAACCAACCCAAATGTCCAACAATGATAGACTGGATTAAGAAAATGTGGCACATATACACCATGGAATACTATGCAGCCATAAAAATGATGAGTTCATGTCCTTTGTAGGGACATGGATGAAGCTGGAAACCATCATTCTCAGCAAACTATTGCAAGGACAAAAAACCAAACACTGCATGTTCTCACTCATAGGTGGGAATTGAACAATGAGAACACATGCACACAGGAAGGGGAACATCACATATCAGGGATTGTTGTGGGGTGGGAGGAAGGGGGAGGGATAGCATTAGGAGATATACCTAATGCTAAATGACGAGTTAATGGGTGCGGCACACCAACATGGCACATGTATACACATGTAACAAACCTTCACCTTGTGCACGTGTACCCTAAAACTTAAATAAAAAATTTATTGTATTTAATGTATTGTATTGTGTATAATACAATAATTGTATTATAATAAATAAGTGTATTATAAAAAATTTTCTCTGATATTGCACATTTTTCTATAGCCTTTCTAGTAACTGCATAACAGACCAATATATAGATGTACATATCCATTTCTGCAGGCTCCTTTTTGGCTGGAAATTAGCTCATCCCTAGTTTGAATACAGAACAACTCTGCAACCAAAGTTTAGTTCATCTTCTCAACTTTTTCCATAGGACAAATAGCATCAGTACTTTAACAGGCCTTCTGTGGAGATGAGGATAGGCATAGTACTAGTCAAACACCACAGCAACATGTAAAATTCCTGGTATTGTTATCAGGAAGTGTGAGCATCTTTGGTTCTTGTCTGACTTGGAAGAAAGAATTCAGTCAAGAGACACATTGTAGCAGAATTTACTGAGGGACTATAGGTACATTCCTGGAGAGGAGTAGAAAACAGCTCTGGGTTGGTCCAGCTGGAAAAATAGTAGCAGCAGCAGTATCACCATTATTTAAAAAGACAGTACACTCTCAAAGTCAAAACAGAGTGGAATGCACAAGAGAATGAACCCAGAGCTAATGCTGAGGGACACTCTTTAGGAGAATCTTACATGATTATTTATGAAGGGGCGTGAGTGGGTGCTAATTGCAAGCATGTTTTGGGAGGTCTTTTTGGGTACACTGGCTCTATGGTTGTACATGTTAGTACAAACATTGCATGTGTTATTAGCATTTAAAATCTCCCAGAGGTGTGTTTTTTACTATTATAATGAGCAGAAGGCTATTCTAGGGTGAGTTTTTAGAGGAGTGGGCATGTTCGTCAGTGGGGAAAATCCCTTGCATACCTGTCTCCAGCTAAGGCATCGTAAGTCCCCTTCAGGGCCAGAGGATCCCAACCACGAGGCCAGATGTAGCCAACGTAGCCATCATCCTTGTTGCTGACTGTCAGTGGGCAGCCCTGACCATCAGTGGGCAGCATCTCCAGGACTTCTTTTCCTAGGAGGCTCCCTTGCCTACTCATTTTTGGCTATCTGCCTACTCTCTAACAGTATAAATATATATCAGCATACATTTTATACAAGGTCTGAGTTCCAAAGTCAGTTGTTTATAGTTTAGTGTTTGAAAATCAAAACATATTTTTATACTAAAATTATGTTATAATTGGTATTTTGGTTCCCAGTATATCTCTTGAGGCTATATTTAGCTCAAATACAGCTGAGCTGCTGAATTATAGTATGAATATGACCATCTCCTCCTATGTCTCTCTCTCACTTTCTCATTTCAATCCATGTTTTCATGAAAGGTCATCGCCCAGCTGTGGAAGCAAAATACTCCTTACCAGTCATTTAGATTTGAGTTGAAATTTAATTTGTCCTTGGTCAGAAGAATTTACAATTAAGTCTCTGTAATAGTGAGATACTTTATACCCTGGAAAATAATTTTTAAGTACCATGTATAGAAAAAAGTTTTAAAAGAGAAGGTAACTTTTTATCCTGAATTCATGGCTTATTATCTCTGCATACTTTATTCTTACTGCCCTTTAAGGTTAGTTTCCTGCTTATATTTCCCAGGAACAGTGAAATAGTGGTTTTCATTTTGAAAAAATGTCCTAGAAAAGTGGACATTTAGGAAGATGCTAGTCATTTAGGCATAGAAGATTTTCTAATCTTGGGTGTGCCGTTGTTCTCTGGTTGGTTTGTTATATATAACATTCTGTCTTGCTTTAGATTATGTTTAGTTCTGTTGAAATGTAGCTGTTTTATAATTAGCCTACATGGATATAATCAGATAATCACTTACTGGCTTACCATCAAGTCTGCTTCAGATATTTGTAGCTTTAATTTGTTTCTCAGAAAATAGTTTATTGGCTCATTTAAAAAAAAAAACTTCAAAAATAAACTTCATATTTTATCGATTTAGATTTACATGAAAATTGCAAAAATAGTACATGTAGTTCCTATATACTCTACTTCCAGCTTCTCCTATTAACATCTTATAGTATGGTACATTTGTCACTAGCAATGAACAAATATTAATCAATTTGTATTAACTAAAGTCCATGCTTTATTCATATTTTCTTAGTTTTTACCTAATGTTCTTTTTCTGTTCCAGGATCCCATCTGGGATATCACATTACATTTAGTTATTGTGTCTCATTAGGCTCTTCTTGGCTATGACAGTTTCTCAGACTTTTCTTATTTTTGTCATAGCACCAAACCTCAGGTCACTTTCAAAGACCTACCTGATATCTGGAAGACACTGATTTGAAAGGAGAAAGTTTTCAACGAAAGATTTACATATATGGTGAAGGCTGGTCAATTTTTTTCCAAGTTAATCTGGTGGACATTTAATAATTCAATGAATTATTTAGTATGATATTCACATTTCCAACTAAATTGAAGAGAAAATCTTCATGCAGAAGGGATTCTTTTTCTTTTCTTTAGCCAAGCTATGTGTTGTATATCTTCATTACTTCCACTGTAAAAAGATTAGCTTTTCACTGTTGATATATTCTGCATTTTATATGGAACAGAACTCTCAGGTAGAAAAGTGATTTTACTGTTTGACTTACAGAGCTTTCGATATTTATCATAATTCCTGTCATATCCTGTGGATATTACTTTGACCATTGCAGCCAGAAATTCTGATGTAATCAGGTCAGTTTTCAGGGAGTTCTTTGAATCAAAACCATTAGGAGTCTCTAAATGAGCCTCACTAGTGGCTCTTGCTGGGTTTTGCTCACAGGTGAGTTTCCATCAGTAATTAGATATTTCATTCCTGGCATTGAACAAGCAGTGCTTGTCATGCTAGGACACTGCAAGGTTTGGAGCATATTTGTGAAGTAAAGGAAGCAGAAAATGCAGACTATACTTTGGCAATTAAGACTATTAGATATTGAGCTTTTTAGTTGCTGGGAATGTCGTTTAATTTTCCACCAATGAATTTAAACAGAGGACTACTCCAACAATTCATTTTCTGCTAGTGTAAAACTTTAAAATTCTTAAATGGATAACTTACATACTTGTTCTGTTCAAAATGGAGATTTTTAGTATATCTTGTTTATCTTGCTTTTGGATCTACTTTTATTTCTCTATCTATCTATCTAGTTAGCTAGCTAGCTTTCATCTGTCGACCCACCCATCATCTTTCTATAACGTTTATATAATAGTAATATATAGAATTGGAGACAATGAATGGGATAATTGCAAATACTGAGAATGAAATGAGAGAAAGATGGGGGCATGGCTAGAATGTGTTTAGGAGCTCAGGGTTTCTGATCTTGGTGTTGAACAAGTTCTATATGCTTCCTATTTTGGCCCAACCCTAACATAGTGCCATTTGTACAATAGACACATTAAATTTTTTTTTTTTTTTGTCTTAGAGAAGATGCATGGTCATGGTTTTGAGAATGTCAGGGAAAAATAAAAAAAATCAGTGCAAACTTGATTTGTCAACTAGAAATACAATCCTATGAGTATAGTTTGGATTTAATAGATTTGGTATTTGGCATGGGGTCTTCATTTTAAACATAGGCATTTCTTTCGCAAGTGCTCCAAGAATCACAGATTTATTAACTCTATTTTATGATACACATCTCTGGAACCAAGATTTCTCATTTATTTTTCGGGTCACCCCAAAATTACCTTTCAAGGAGGATTTCCAATTCACAACAAATTGGGATATTGTCTTTGCTAGATTTCCCATTTTTTCACAGGAAGATATCGGCCTCCACTATTCTCCTCCCAACGCTGTCAATTGTTAAAGCACCTAATGTCAAAAATTGTTAAGGATCTGTGATTTTACCCTAATTGAAAGCTAACAAGTTAGCCTGCCATAGTTTCGTAGATGCTGGCAGGAGATATAAAACTCTTGTGTCAGAGACAAAGGACTTTATTTCTCCTAGCACAGCAAGTATCATGAGCTTCATGTTCACATTGGTTCTTCTTGTCCATTATATCCCATAAATGCAATGAAAAGTAGCCCAGGTAGATGCTGTGCAGACAGTAGATTTTTGTCACAGCTGAGAACCCCTGAATTTAGAAAACCCTCAATTGTATAAGAGTGCTGCTGGTAAACTTCCCCAACCTTGTCTCAGGAGGAAGACATTACATTTATTATCCCGGTGAGAAAACAAATATGCCCTCTACTCTAGAGGGAGACACTGCTTCTGTCTTCTAAGGCTGTGTAAACATCTTTGCAGAGATAGTCCAGAACAAAGGTGTCAATACCTTTTTCTTGGAAGACAGGCAGAAACACAAGAAAACTGTGGGGTATGTCTGCCAACACATGGCTTTACATATCATCATAATATATAAAATTATGTTCTATCTGTCTATTGTGTATTTATGTCTAGAGAAAAGAGTTAGCTAGACTCTACATACTAATTTTTTATTAATCTGTTTAATCATCCCATTTTTTTCTTTATTCATTCTCATATCTCAATGCTTACATTGCACTGTGCTAGGTTAGAAATACAGTAGTGAGCCAGAAATATGCAGTTCCTTACCTTGTGAAGCTTATATTCCATAGTGAAGAGAGACTCTAACAACATAATCACACAAATACCAACTCATTACAATGTGGCATATGCAAATAAGGTTCAACAAAAGTGAATAATTAGAGACATCAAGGTTCTGATGAACGAAAAGGGTTAAGCTCCTCCTCAAATTACCCAAAGACCCATATGCCTGGGGTAAAGAGTGAAGAGGAGAGGAGCCCCAAATAAGGCTGGAGACAGTCAGGAACCAGACAATGCAAAGCCTGGCCTGCTGTGAATAACGTGGAATTTTATTCTGAGGGCACCAGGGAAATACTGCAATGTTTTAAGTAGGGAAGTGATATCACTAGAATTGTGTTTAAAAAGGTCACAAAGTCTCTGTGTGAACCATGACTGGTGGAGCACAAGATTACATTCAGGGAATTTTGTTTTAGGTGAAATCATGACAAGTTAGTGTAGAAGTTTAGGATAGAGGGAAATGGTTTGTTCTGATAGGCAAAGTTAATAAACTTATTGACTGATGGGTGGGAAAATAATGGGAGACATCAAGGAATGCTCCTCGGTCTTGCTTGAACAGTGAGTGGATGAATGGAAGGCCACCTTGAGAGAACACATGGAGGATGGGGCTGGTTAAGTATTGACAAATCACTGCTACTCAACATCTATCACAATTATGTTTGAGAAAAATGTTATTTCTTGAGGCTGGCCTCAAGGTTATGCAGTTCACCTACTTCTCTCTATTCCCTAGATTCTACCTCTTAATTGAGTTATGTGCCCAAAACATCTTAGTCCTTTCAAGAATCACTTTTATTTAACAGCAGTTGAAGCTACCAGTTTGATGCCGTTATATTTTCGGGGTGGATGTTATGAGAAAGAATCATCTGACACTTAACTGCTGCATTTTCTGTGACACTCAGGGTCTTCTCTATGAGAACATTTGAAATAAATTATTCAGTGATCTTGGCACAGGATTAATAACTTCCTGAGAAACTGGTGTGTTCTTAATTTATAGATGTGAAACCATGAACCAGATTGCGATTCTTTCTTCATATGATTGGCTTTTAGAACGCTTGGAAGCAATTTTGTTGCCTACTTCTAACTAATATGGAGGCTTTTCTGGTGCGCTGACTTCACTCTTTCCTACCCATCCCTCTTTAACCTCATTCAATTATTTATTTCCTCTTGTCAAACTGAATGCCTTTTTGGTAGTTGCCATTAATCTTTTCTGGAACAAGTTGGAGTGCAAATAAATAAATAAATAGAAATCTTGGGTAAGTTGGATACATTTTTGTAATCTACTAGGCTTTGACTCTTCATCTGTACAATGAGATTTGGAACAGATGAACCCTTAAGTTTTTTTTGTGATTTTTTTTTTTAGAGCACCAGTTTCCGTTTCTAAAGGAAATTAGGAGTGTTTTCAAGTTTGAGCCATCACAGACAATAAAGTACCTAAAACTGACTAAACATCAACCATTATCCCTTTGCTAATGGAATTATTGATTATTCAGAACATTCCTGTTCTTGAAAATAACCTAGAAGCTGCTTTTGTAAGATACGTTCTTCTCCAACATTTACTACAGTGCTGTACACAGGATTGTTATAGTAAAACGAGAAAGCATTTCTCTTGCCCTCTTTTCTTGCTCTTGTTGAAGTTCACATCACTTGTAGAAATTTTAGAAGATGTTTGCTTTTTGCTTACTGTACACAAGTCTCATGATCTGGAGCCATTCTAAGAGCTACTCATTGGTAAGTGTGTTTCGAATATGTCACTGCCGAAGCTCCTTAAAGAAGAAGCTATCCCTCTGAGGGATGAGCCAGGGAACATGGTTCCATGGAAATTAAGCTGAAGTTTCACACCCTCAGGTAAGAGCTGGAGTTAATTTGAACTGGCCTGCCTGAAAGAAAAAGTAAGATACTCTGATGCCAGTTCTCATAGGTGTTAGAATTCTTTATTGTGAATTGAGTTTGCTGGATGGCACTATGACTTTCCATTACTCAAAGGCCAAGATGACCTTTCTCAGTCTGTCATCAGTTCAGATAGCAGTTCATTTGATACCTGAGTTAGTGCAATAACATATATTTACAAAACATCTCTGTGCATGGGTTTTTAGATGGTATATAGGGTCTCCCTGTCTTATACTTTGTATACAAATAGAGATGTATTTTAGGTGTAACTCTTTCAACAAACATTTACTGCTTACCTTTAATGGACTATTACCTGTGCTATGTCAGTTTACAGGAAGAAATGAGCCAGTCCTGCTTAGAATCTGCTTCGTGTCTTTTTGGGAAGATAGGTAAATAGGTACAAGGCTGGAGGATAAATACACATCAAGCTGTATATTTAAAAGAATCAAGTAAAGAATGGTGAGCTCTTTAGTGTCCTGAGATAGAGGATAGAGCAGGGGTGTTGAGGGACTATCTGGAAATTAGTTCATGGAAGAAGACATGAAATTAACTGTAAACTTCCTTTCATACTGCATTGTCCTAGCTGCTGTGGGAAAAATCCGCTGCAATAGAAAGATGTGACATATGATGGAATTTTTTTTTCTAGGACAAAATATTTCTTGCATTTATGAATCTTTGCCAGATCAATTTAGTGTTTCTGTGAAGGGTGAAAGCAGGACAAACTAGAGGAGAAATGAAGTTCTTTGTAGGGCTGATTGTACAGCATAGCACATGGAACAGTTTTGAGAGGCTGACTTTGACTGCTCTGGGTCAAAAGCTGTAAAAAGATACAGACAGGCTATAGTTAGACACAATCTCTCAAATATGCTACAAAAATCATAATAGAAAAAAGTTAGCCTGGCTTTCAAAGTAGAGAAGTAGGCAACGTTTCAGAGATTATTTAATATAAGGTTAGTGAGAATACAGCTCTAAGGACACCTCTGTTCTCCCTTTCAAAGCCCCAGACACAAGATTCCTATTTCTGGGTTGTTATTGATTTATTTATCTGTACACCAAGGTCTAGGTACAATACTGAACACAAACCCTGATGTTTGAAACTTAAAATTTTTCATTCTTGCAAGCCCCAGAATAAGGGAAAAGATGGGAATACGTTTGGAAAATGTTAGTTTCTTCTCACCAGGATCCAAGTGACTCCCTAGGAGTGAGTGAATGGTGTGCTCAGGTGTTCTAAGGGAGCAATACCCAGAGAAGGCAACTTCTTGGTGCAGGATCACACAGATATTGGAGACTTTTAATCAGAACACACAGTGGACCAAGATGACTTCTTCAGGAAGATGAGCATTCATGGGACCTTTCTGGGGAGTAACAATAGCTAACAATTTACAGCACTATCTGAGTACCAGGCATAATACTAGATGCTAATAAATTGTTTGATATTCACTTTATATATGTGAGATGTGCATACTCTTTAACATGTGAAAATCAAAGCCCTGAGATACTAAATAATCTTCCATTGAGGAAGAGTATTTGAAAATAAACATGACCTTGTCACTGTTAGAACATTGAATGTAGAGGGGACAAGAAAGCTAATGTTTATTTATCACTTATGGTTTTGGGGATCAAAAAGAACCCTGGAAGGAAGGTGTCATTATTATTTCCATTTAAGATAGAAAAAAACAGACTCATAAAATAATAGTTAATGTGATGAGCAGGTATGTATGAAATTTAGAAGGAATGCTTTCTCTTTTCTATTTATAAGAAAAGGCTTGCTGCTTGTATTATGTGGGGAGAGATTGGTAAAGACTAGACAATTGACCCTTTCTCCCAGTTTCTGTAGAGAATCTCAAGTTTTACTTGGCAGGCACTTAAGAGGAATGTAATTGACTTTGAGTCTAACAACAAAAACAACAACAAGGTATAAATTTATCTCTCACTCTTGAATGCTGGTGACTGTGAACTAGATCTAGGATTTTCTTTGTTTTGGTTGTTCAAGGATTTCTCAACCTGCCATGGTTGACCTTTGAGCTGGATAATTAGTTGCTATGGGGGCTGTCCTGTGCATTGCCCAATGCTTAGCAGCATTTGTGGCCTCTGTTCATTAGATGCCAGCAGGATCCTTCAGTTATATAACTGTATAATGAAGAATGTCTCCAGACATTGCCAAATGTTGTTTTGGAGACAAAAATCACCCCTGGTTGAGAACCAGTGGTTTAAAGCTACCAAGTTTTTCCAGTGATGACTTTTACTAAGTCTATTATATTTAAAAAAGGTTGTTATGCAGATTGTTCTGTGTGAAGTGAGAAGAACTAAGCTGTAGAAATCTACTTGCACCCCTGTCATTAGTGTGGGTCTACTCTCCTGCATGGTAGAAATACTTAAAAGGAACTTTCTCTGTGAAAGAGACAAGCCAAGAAGCTGAAAATACAGAAAGGTAGAAAGTAGTTTTTTAATGAAAATCCAGCTGCCAAGAAAGAATCTATATATGATTCCTTTTTGGGTTATTCTTCAGTTCCTCTAGATGGTATGTATAAAATTAGTAGAGAATATTATTGACTGAAATGTAACTTAGCAATTTCTCTAAAGTCCAAATATAACTTTCACTTTATTTAGTGCTGATTTAGTATAAGGAATTTCACTGGTTTAGTATAAGGAATTTTATTCTGAGGCCCTACAGGAGCTACAGTTGTCACCCACCACAGTCTGGACCTGTTAGCCATGTGGCAACCTCTTTAATTAACAGTCAGCTTCTGTATTGCTTTCATCCTCCTCAGCCAGGTAATGTGGAGATGGTCCAGAATTATCCTTGGTAATGTCTCCTGTACATTAACTCTGGGAGAAGCTTGAAGAGAGGACCAATTCCTTGTAACAGTTCAGTAAGTAATCAAGCCCCACAGTCCTCCCCAGAACTGTGGCAGTAGTTTTAAATATTGGGATTTCTCTTTATATGGGTGCCTCTTTCAGATAGCGCAGATTTTAAAAAGATGAATATTTTTTCTCTGTTATAAAAGAATTATGTGCCCATTGTGGAAAATGTAAAAAATATATTATGAAGCAAATAATAGTTGTCCATGATCCTATCATTAAGAGTGAATCACCATTAAAATTTTAGATTATTTTCTTCTTGGATTATACTATGCATTTTTACATTGATGGTATCACACTGTAAAATATAATTTAGTGTTCTACTAGTTTAAATTTTAAAACTTAGCTTTATTTCATCAGCTCATTTCTATGACATTTATAATCCTTAAAACTTAGTTTTTAGAATGCATTATTGAATCAATCATCATAGAAATCCTTTTGCTGTAGGTAAAGAAATTAAACATGATCCTCTTTGTACTGAAGGAAAATTAAAGTGCAGAAGTGAAGTGATTTTTTTTATATCTTATATCCATGTTAATTTATTGGGGGAACCCACCCCCAATATTTCAATGTAGGTTCTTTCTATTTTCCATAAGTGTCGGCTGGCTGAGAAATAAAGAGAGACAGTACAAAGACAGGAATTTTACAGCTGGGCTGCCAAGGGTGACATCACATATTGGTAGGAACGTGATGGCCTCCTGAGTCTCAGACCAGCAAGTTTTTATTAAGGGTTTCAAAAGGGGAGGGGGTGTAAGAACAGGGAGTAGGTACAAAGATCACATGCTTCAAGGGGCAAAAAGCAGAACTACTAATAAGGGTCTAACAAAGATCATGTGCTTCTGAGGGAACAGGACAAAGGGCAAAAGCAGAACTACTGATAAGGGTCCAACAAAGATCACAAGGCAAAGGGCAAAAGCAGAGCCACTGATAAGGGTCTATGTTTAGACGTGCACGTATTGTCTTGATAAACATCTTAAACAACAGAAAACAGCGTTCGAGAGCAGAGAAATGGTCTGATCACAAATTTACCAGGGCGGAGTTTCCCAACTCTAGTCAGCCTGAGGGTACTGCAGGAGACCAGGGCATATCTCAGTCCTTATCTCAACTTCACAAGACAGACATTCCCAGAGCGGCCGTTTATAGACCTTCCCCCAGGAATGTATTCCTTTTCCAGGTTATTAATATTAATATTCATTGCTAGGAAAAGAATTTAGCGATATCTCTCCTACTTGCATGTCCATTTATAGGATCTCTGCAAGAAGAAAAATATGGTTCTTTTTGCCCAACCCCACAGTCAGACCTTATGGTTGACTTCCCTTGTTCCCTAAAAGTTGCTGTTATTCTGTTCTTTTTCAAGGTGCACTGATTTCATATTGTTCAAACACACATGTTTTACAATCAATTTGTACAGTTAGCACAATTGTCACAGTGGTCCTGAGGTGACATACACCCTCAGCTTATGAAAATAACAGGATTAAGAGATTAATGTAAAGATAGGCATAAGAAATTATAAAAGTATTATTTGGGAACTGATAAATGTCCATGAAATCTTCACAATTTATGTTCCTCTGCCGAAGCTCCAGCCAGTCCCTCCATTCAGGATCCCTGACTTCCCGCAACATTAATTATTGATGTTAAAAGAAGAATTTGAATCTAAGATATTTGCATGATTACATTTGTGCTACAGGAAGAGTAGTGTTGTAGTGTTTTAGAGCAATGCCAGGCTGGACAGGGAGACCAGCTAGGAAACTGGTGCCATAACATACATGGGAAATGAAGAACTAATTGAAAATAAAACTAGCTGAATAGGAGATAGAGGGTAGAAGATGGATTAAAGAGCTATCAAGGGGTTACAAGTATCACTAGCATTTGGTTAGTGGTTTATGCGGAAAGTAAGGAAAAGGGAGGAATCCAGGCTATTCTTAGGTGTTAATATGGATACTGTTCACCAAGAAAGAGAAAGTTAAAAAGTAGAACAGTTTAAGAGAAAGATGAGTTCTATTTTGGATGTGATGAAATGGGAATTTTCATAGGACATGTAAGTGGGAATGTCTGATAGGCTGTTGGCTTGAAGTGTGGTGGGGGAAAAAGGAGGGAGGGAAGGGAAAGAGAAAGAGGGAAGACATAGAGAAAGAGAAACAGAGAGAGACAGAGAGAGAGACAGAGAGAATCTGGGTTAGAGTGTTAGAGTGGTTTTCTTGGGATAGACCATCATTTAGAGTATAACTGATGTCAAAGAAATAGATGAACTCATCTCAGGAGAACATGCCAGGTGAGAGAGCCTCAGATGGATCCCTTCTCCAACTCTCAAACTCATCTTTTTAAGTTGGTTTCTTGGTTAATCTGTGATATCAGTCAAGGTTTCATTTCTTCACTGAGATGGCTTTCTGCCACCAAACAGAAATGTTTCTTCTGATCTCATATGCCCTCACTGCAGCATTTAACATTGATTGTAACTTTGCCTTTTTGAAACTCCCTCCTTTTATGACATATGTACCTGTGTAAGTGTATTACTAAGCAAATATGGCATTTAATAAAAATTCAATAGGAGAGAGTAAGGAGGATGTTTACATCTTGGGCTACATAGCATTTCCAGAAATTTCCTTTGGGCATCTGACTTCTTCCCTATCTCTCTTCTCAATTCTACAGCTTTGTCATTCTTTCATTCAGAGCAATTTTTTTCTTTTTGGCTTCTATCTGCAAGCTTTTCTACCACTACCCACTACTTAATACTGTCTTCAAGTACTCCATAGTCATTAAAAGAAGGATTCAGATTTTAATTGTTCTCAGGAAAAAAAATCCACCTGTTACCAAAATCCATCCTTCTGTGAAGGCCTCAAGAGAATACATACAACAAATAATATTTAGCTGTTGATGTCTAAATAAAAAATATATGCACTGAATGAGTCTTTTAAAATTTACCAACTGAATATGGAATTATGTTGATTTTTTTCTGGGAATATTTTAGCCCTTAGAGTTCATCACTCTTTGCAGCTGACAGTCTGCTTTTCAATCTGGCTCTACTACAACCCTTCCTTCTGATGAAGGGAAAAAGTGTGGCTGTTGCAGGGATGTGGGGTGTGAGATTGAGGGGCATTAAAAGGAACACAAACATTTGGTAAACACCTTCCCACACAGTTGACACTGTGATCTCTTCATTCAACATTTCATTAACAATTACAGTGTGAGTTAAATATTATTGTTCTCATTTTATAGATGGGAAAAGTGAGGATCAGAGGTAGAAAGTGAGGATAGAAAGTGAGGTAGAAAGTGAAGATCCACTTTGGGAGGCCGAGGCGGGCAGATCATGAAGTCAGGAGATCAAGACCATCCTGGCTAACACGGTGAAACCCCGTCTCTACTAAAAATACAAAAAATTAGCTGGGAGCAGTGGCGGGCCCCTGTAGTCCCAGCTACTCAGGAGGCTGAGGCAGGAGAATGGCGTGAACCCAGGAGGCGGAGTTTGCAGTGAGCCAAGATCGCGCCACTGCACTCCAGCCTGGGTGATGGAGCGAGACTCCGTCTTGAAAAAAAAAGTGAGGATCAGAGGTAAGGTAGATAACTACCTTATTTCAAGTGGAAGAGATCAGGATATCCTGAGCTTGACAGCATGTGCTCCTGACACTGAGCCATACAACATCCATAGAAAGACATCCTATGCAGGGCCATTTCCTATTTTTTGGCCTCAAGAAAAGAAAACAGCTTTGGTTCTGTCCTTTTGTTGTTGCTTATTTTAGACTTTCTGCACATGGTAAGACTAAACTTTCCATGCCCAGAGGCTAAAGATTGGCCTGAAATGTGGGTAGCTGAATAGGGTTTAGGGTTCTAAATGTGTTGTTGTAAATTAGAAATCTTCTGTAGGTGAGGAGAGGGTCTTCCTAAAATTATCAATTTGGAAATTTGCAAAATTTTGTTTGTGCTGTTTGGAAATTGCCTATTTACCGTTAACTTTATGATTTAGCAGCTAATGTGTTTTTAATTAGGCCTCAGACTATTTGGGAGAGGACATCTATAATACAGTTTTTATAAGTAAGTCTATAAAGCAGTCACTGTGCAAGAATATGAGCACTGGCAGCCAAGATTGCCACATTCAGTCCAACATGCTACAATGTCTGTTGCCCTCAGATGAAATTTGAAAACTGTCATGTAATTGCAGTAATTCCAAGGGCACATAAAGCTGCTTCACTATGGAAGAAGGAAGAAAGCCTATCTTAATTTCCATTTCCATTTTATTTCGTTTTGTCTTTGAGCTAGACCCTTTTCATTTACTCCATGGATGCTTTCCAATTCATAATGTTACTTTCCATGAAGGGCTTTACAGGACAAAGCTTTGACAACCACAAAAATTTATGAATAGGTGCCAAACTAGCCAACTGCTAAAGAATAAAAAATATTCTCCTGTTAAATAAGAATAACATCTCTAAATTGAAGTGCCCAAAGCAGTGATGGCAAATAAAAATTTACTGCTTTCAACATTTGTTGTTCCACTTCTCTGGTACTCAGAAGTAGGAATGTGTTTCTGTGGCAAAGTAATATATCAGAAATCAAGACTAACGCACAAAGAGGCAAACTTTTTGGAATAATGCAATCAGAGGCACCTCATGTGGCTTTTGGGTATTGAAGTCCATTAGTCACAATCATTGACCTCATTCTTTTTTTCAGAGGTCTCATTATTCAGATAGTTCAAATGATGATAACTCCCTTTTCACCTCAATTTCAATACCTTTAATATTTTTTAAAGATACTCTGCTTGAAGATGTAGGGGATGCAGACTGAATATGACATATTTCTTTAAAAATTTTTTTTATTTCAATAGGTTTTTGAGGAACAGATGGTGTTTGGTTACATGAATAAGTTCCTTAGTGGTGATTTGTGAGATTTTGGTGGCCCCATCACCTAAGCAGTGTACACTGTATTTGATGTGCAGTCGTTTATCCCTCACCACCTGCCACACATTCCCCTGAGTCCCCAAAGTTCATTGTGTTATTCTTATGCCTTTGCAGCCTCATAGCTTAGCTCCCACATATGAGAAAGAATATACAGTGTTTGCTTTTCCATTCCTGAGTTACTTCACTTAGAATAAAGGTCTCCAATTCCATTCAGGTGGCTGCAAGTACCATTATTTCATTCATTTTTATGGCTGAGTAGTATTCCATGTTATATATATACCACAGTTTATTTATCTACTCATTGGTTGATGGGCATTTGGGCTGGTTCCAAATTTTTGCAATTGCAAATTGTGCTGCTGTAAACATGTGTGTGCAAGTATCTTTTTTGTATAATGGCTTCTTTTCCTCTGGGTAGGTCCCTAGTAATGGGATTGCTGGATCAAATGGTAGATCTACTTTTAGTTCTTTTTTTTTTTTTTGGCTTCAACAAGAGAATTTTATTTCTTTTTTTTTTTTTAATTATACTTTAAGTTTTAGGGTACGTGTGCACATTGTGCAGGTTAGTTACATATGTATACATGTGCCATGCTGGTGCACTGCACCCACTAACTCATCATCTAGCATTAGGTATATCTCCCAATGCTATCCCTCCCCCCTCCCCCCACCCCACAACAGTCCCCAGAGTGTGATATTCCCCTTCCTGTGTCCATGTGATCTCATTGTTCAATTCCCACATATGAGTGAGAATATGCGGTGTTTGGTTTTTTGTTCTTGCGATAGTTTACTGAGAATGATGATTTCCAATTTCATCCACGTCCCTACAAAGGACATGAACTCATAATTTTTTATGGCCGCATAGTATTCCATGGTGTATATGTGCCACATTTTCTTAATCCAGTCTATCACTGTTGGACATTTGGGTTGGTTCCAAGTCTCTGCTATTGTGAATAATGCCGCAATAAACATACGTGTGCATGTGTCTTTATAGCAGCATGATTTATAGTCCTTTGGGTATATACCCAGTAATGGGATGGCTGGGTCACATGGTATTTCCAGTTCTAGATCCCTGAGGAATCACCACACTGACTTCCACAATGGTTGAACTAGTTTACAGTCCCACCAACAGTGTAAAAGTGTTCCTATTTCTCCACATCCTCTCCAGCACCTGTTGTTTCCTGACTTTTTAATGATTGCCATTCTAACTGGTGTGAGATGGTATCCCATTGTGGTTTTGATTTGCATTTCTCTGATGGCCAGTGATGATGAGCATTTTTTCATGTGTTTTTTGGCTGCATAAATGTCTTCTTTTGAGAAGTGTCTGTTCATGTCCTTCACCCACTTTTTGATGGGGTTGTTTGTTTTTTTCTTGTAAATTTGTTTGAGTTCATTGTAGATTCTGGATATTAGCCCTTTGTCAGATGAGTAGGTTGCAAAAATTTTCTCCCATTTTGTAGGTTGCCTGTTCACTCTGATGGTAGTTTCTTTTGCTGTGCAGAAGCTCTTGAGTTTAATTAGATCCCATTTGTCAATTTTGTCTTTTGTTGCCATTGCTTTTGGTGTTTTAGACATGAAGTCCTTGCCCATGCCTATGTCCTGAATGGTAATGCCTAGGTTTTCTTCTAGGGTTTTTATGGTTTTAGGTCTAACATTTAAGTCTTTAATCCATCTTGAATTGATTTTTGTATAAGGTGTAAGGAAGGGATCCAGTTTCTGCTTTCTACATATGGCTAGCCAGTTTTCCCAGCACCATTTATTAAATAGGGAATCCTTTCCCCATTGCTTGTTTTTCTCAGGTTTGTCAAAGATCAGATAGTTGTAGATATGCGGCGTTATTTCAGACGGCTCTGTTCTGTTCCATTGATCTATATCTCTGTTTTGGTACCAGGACCATGCTGTTTTGGTTACTGTAGCCTTGTAGTATAGTTTGAAGTCAGGTAGCATGATGCCTCCAGCTTTTTTCTTTTGGCTTAGGATTGACTTGGCGATGCGGGCTCTTTTTTGGTTCCATATGAACTTTAAAGTAGTTTTTTCCAATTCTGTGAAGAAAGGCATTGGTAGCTTGATGGGGATGGCATTGAATCTGTAAATTACCTTGGGCAGTATGGCCATTTTCACGATATTGATTCTTCCTACCCATGGGCATGGAATGTTCTTCCATTTGTTTGTATCCTCTTTTATTTCCTTGAGCAGTGGTTTGTAGTTCTCCTTGAAGAGGTCCTTCACATCCCTTGTAAGTTGGATTCCTAGGTATTTTATTCTCTTTGAAGCAATTGTGAATGGGAGTTCACTCATGATTTGGCTCTCTGTTTGTCTGTTGCTGGTGTATAAGAATGCTTGTGATTTTTGTACATCGATTTTGTATCCTGAGACTTTGCTGAAGTTGCTTATCAGCTTAAGGAGATTTTGGGCTGAGACAATGGGGTTTTCTAGACATACAATCATGTCATCTGCAAACAGGGACAATTTGACTTCCTCTTTTCCTACTTGAATACCCTTTATTTCCTTCTCCTGCCTAATTGCCCTGGCCAGAACTTCCAACACTATGTTGAATAGGAGTGGTGAGAGAGGGCATCCCTGTCTTGTGCCAGTTTTCAAAGGGAATGCTTCCAGTTTTTGCCCATTCAGTATGATATTGGCTGTGGGGTTGTCATAGATAGCTCTTATTATTTTGAAATACGTCCCATCAATACCTAATTTATTGAGAGTTTCTAGCAGGAAGGGTTGTTGAATTTTGTCAAAGGCTTTTTCTGCATCTATTGAGATAATCATGTGCTTTTTGTCTTTGGCTCTGTTTATATGCTGGATTACATTTATTGATTTGCGTATATTGAACCAGCCTTGCATCCCAGGGATGAAGCCCACTTGATCATGGTGGATAAGCTTTTTGATGTGCTGCTGGATTCGTTTTGCCAGTATTTTATTGAGGATTTTTGCATCAGTGTTCATCACAGGTATTGGTCTAAAATTCTCTTTTTTTTGTGTGTCTCTGCCTGGCTTTGGTATCAGAATGATGCTGGCCTCATAAAATGAGTTAGGGAGGATTCCCTCTTTTTCTATTGATTGGAATAGTTTCAGAAGGAATGGTACCAGTTCCTCCTTATACCTCTGGTAGAATTCAGCTGTGAATCCATCTGGTCCTGGACTCTTTTTTTTTTTTTTTTTTTTTGAGACGGAGTCTCGCTCTGTCGCCCAGGCTGGAGTGCAGTGGCGGGATCTCGGCTCACTGCAAGCTCCGCCTCCCGGGTTCATGCCATTCTCCTGCCTCAGCCTCCCAAGTAGCTGGGACTACAGGCGCCCGCCACTACGCCCGGCTAATTTTTTGTATTTTTAGTAGAGACGAGGTTTCACCGTTTTAGCCGGGATGGTCTTGATCTCCTGACCTCGTGATCCGCCCGCCTCGGCCTCCCAAAGTGCTGGGATTACAGGCGTGAGCCACCGCGCCCGGCCTGGACTCTTTTTGGTTGGTAAACTATTGATTATTGCCACAATTTCAGATCCTGTTATTGGTCTATTCAGAGACTCAACTTCTTCCTGGTTTAGTCTTGGGAGAGTGTATGTGTCGAGGAATTTATCCATTTCTTCTAGATTTTCTAGTTTATTTGCGTAGAGGAGTTTGTAGTATTCTCTGATGGTAATTTGTATTTCTGTGGGATCGGTAGTGATATCCCCTTTATGATTTTTTATTGCGTCTATTAGATTCTTCTCTCTTTTTTTCTTTATTAGTCTTGCTAGCGGTCTATCAATTTTGTTGATCCTTTCAAAAAACCAGCTCCTGGATTCACTAATTTTTTGAAGGGTTTTTTGTGTCTCTATTTCCTTCAGCTCTGCTCTGATTTTAGTTATTTCTTGCCTTCTGCTAGCTTTTGAATGTGTTTGCTCCTGCTTTTCTAGTTCTTTTAATTGTGATGTTAGGGTGTCAATTTTGGATCTTTCCTGCTTTCTCTTGTGGGCATTTAGTGCTATAAATTTCCCTCTACACACTGCTTTGAATGCGTCCCAGAGATTCTGGTATGTTGTGTCTTTGTTCTCATTGGTTTCAAAGAACATCTTTATTTCTGCCTTCATTTCATTATATACCCAGTAGTCATTCAGGAGCAGGTTGTTCAGTTTCCATGTAGTTGAGCGGTTTTGAGTGAGATTCTTAATCCTGAGTTCTAGTTTGATTGCACTGTGGTCTGAGAGATAGTTTGTTATAATTTCTGTTCTTTTACATTTGCTGAGGAGAGCTTTACTTCCAAGTATGTGGTCAATTTTGGAATAGGTGTGGTGTGGTGCTGAAAAAAATGTATATTCTGTTGATTTGGGGTGGAGAGTTCTGTAGATGTCTATTAGGTCCGCTTGGTGCAGAGCTGAGTTCAATTCCTGGGTATCCTTGTTGACTTTCTGTCTCGTTGATCTGTCTAATGTTGACAGTGGGGTGTTAAAGTTTCCCATTATTAATGTGTGGGAGTCTAAGTCTCTTTGTAGGTCACTCAGGACTTGCTTTATGAATCTTGGTGCTCCTGTATGGGGTGCATATGTATTTAGGATAGTTAGCTCTTCTTGTTGAATTGATGGCTTTACCATTATGTAATGGCCTTCTTTGTCTCTTTTGATCTTTGTTGGTTTAAAGTCTGTTTTATCAGAGACTAGGATTGCAACCCCTGCCTTTTTGTTTTCCATTTGCTTGGTAGATCTTCCTCCATCCTTTTATTTTGAGTCTATGTGTGTCTCTGCATGTGAGGTGGGTTTCCTGAATACAGCACACTGATGGGTCTTGACTCTTTATCCAATTTGCCAGTCTGTGTCTTTTAATTGGAGCATTAAGTCCATTTACTTTTAAAGTTAATATTGTTATGTGTGAATTTGATCCTATCATTATGATGTTAGCTGGTTATTTTGCTCGTTAGTTCATGCAGTTTCTTCCTAGTCTTGATGGTCTTTACGTTTTGGCATGATTTTGCAGCGGCTGGTACCGGTTGTTCCTTTCCATGTTTAGTGCTTCCTTCAGGAGCTTTTTTAGGGCAGGCCTGGTGGTGACAAAATCTCTCAGCATTTGCTTGTCTGTAAAGTATTTTATTTCTCCTTCGCTTATGAAGCTTAGTTTGGCTGGATATGAAATTCTGGGTTGAAAATTCTTGTCTTTAAGCATGTTGAATATTGGCCTCCACTCTCTTCTGGCTTGTAGGGTTTCTGCCAAGAGATCCGCTGTTGGTCTGATGGGCTTCCCTTTGAGGGTAACCTGACCTTTCTCTCTCATTGCCCTTAACATTTTTTCCTTCATTTCAACTTTGGTGAATCTGACAATTATGTGTCTTGGAGTTGCTCTTCTCAAGGAGTATCTTTGTGGCGTTCTCTGTATTTCCTGAATCTGAACGTTGGCCTGCCTTGCTAGATTGGGGAAGTTCTCCTGGATAATATCCTGCAGAGTGTTTTCCAACTTGGTTCCATTCTCCCCATCACTTTCAGGTACACCAATCAGACGTAGATTTGGTCTTTTCACATAGTCTCATATTTCTTGGAGACTTTGCTCGTTTCTTTTTATTCTTTTTTCTCTAAACTTCCCTTCTCACTTCATTTCATTCATTTCATCTTCCATTGCTGATACCCTTTCTTCCAGTTGATTGCATCGGCTCCTGAGGCTTCTGCATTCTTCACGTAGTTCTCGAGCCTTGGTTTTCAGCTCCATCAGCTCCTTTAAGCACTTCTCTGTATTGGTTATTCTAGTTATACATTCTTCTAAATTTTTTTCAAAGTTTTCAACTTCTTTGCCTTTGGTTTGAATGTCCTCCCGTAGCTCAGAGTAATTTGATCGTCTGAAGCCTTCTTCTCTCAGCTCGTCAAAGTCATTCTCCACCCAGCTTTGTTCCGTTGCTGGTGAGGAACTGCGTTCCTTTGGAGGAGGAGAGGTGCTCTGCTTTCTAGAGTTTCCAGTTTTTCTGTTCTGTTTTTTCCCCATCTTTGTGGTTTTATCTACTTTTGGTCTTTGATGATGGTGATGTACAGATGGGTTTTTGGTGTGGATGTCCTTTCTGTTTGTTAGTTTTCCTTCTAACAGACAGGACCCTCAGCTGCAGGTCTGTTGGAATACCCTGCCGTGTGAGGTGTCAGTGTGCCCCTGCTGGGGGGTGCCTCCCAGTTAGGCTGCTCAGGGGTCAGGGGTCAGGGACCCACTTGAGGGGGCAGTCTGCCCGTTCTCAGATCTCCAGCTGCGTGCTGGGAGAACCACTGCTCTCTTCAAAGCTGTCAGACAGGGACATTTAAGTCTGCAGAGGTTACTGCTGTCTTTTTGTTTGTCTGTGCCCTGCCCCCAGAGGTGGAGCCTACAGAGGCAGGCAGGCCTCCTTGAGCTGTGGTGGGCTCCGCCCAGTTGGAGCTTCCCGGCTGCTTTGTTTACCTAATCAAGCCTGGGCAATGGCGGGCACCCCTCCCCCAGCCTGGCTGCCGCCTTGCAGTTTGATCTCAGACTGCTGTGCTAGCAATCAGCGAGACTCTGTGGGCGTAGGACCCTCCAAGACAGGTGCGGGATATAATCTCTTGGTGCACCGTTTTTTAAGCCCCTCGGAAAAGCGCAGTATTCGGGTGGGAGTGACCCGATTTTCCAGGTGCCGTCTGTCACCCCTTTCTTTGACTCGGAAAGGGAACTCCCTGACCCCTTGTGCTTCCCAAGTGAGGCAATGCCTTGCCCTGCTTCGGCTCGCGCACGGTGCACGCACCCACTGACCTGCGCCTACTGTCTGGCACTCCCTAGTGAGATGAACCCGGTACCTCAGATGGAAATGCAGAAATCACCATCTTCCGTGTTGCTCATGCTGGGAGCTGTAGACCGGAGCTGTTCCTATTCGGCCATCTTGGCTCCTCCTCCTTTTTTTTTTTTTAATGGAGTTTCACTCTCGTTGCCCAGGCTGGAGTTCAATGGCACAATCTCAGCTCACTTCAACCTCCACCTCCCAGGTTCAAGTGATTCTCCTGCCTCAGGCTCCTGAGTAGTTGGGATTACAGGCATGCGCCACCATGCCCAGCTAATTTTGTACTGTTTTAGTAGAGATGGGGTTTCCCCATGTTGGTCAGGCTGGTCTCGAACTCCTGACCTCAGGTGATCCGCCCACCTCGGCCTCCCAAAGTGCTGATATTACAGGTGTGAGCCACCATGCCCGACCTACTTTTATTTCTTTAAGGAATCTCCACACTGTTTTCCATAGTGGCTGTACTAGTTTACATTCCCACCAGCAGTGTAAAAGTGTTCCCTTTTCACCACATCCATGCCAACATCTATTATTTTTAAATTTTTTTTTATTATAGCCATTCTTGCAGGAGTGAGGTGATATTGCGTTGTGGTTTTTGTTTGCATTTCCCTGATAATTAGTGATGTTGAACATCTTTCCATATGCTTTTTGGCCATTTGTATATCTTTTGAGAATGTGTCTATTGATGTCCTTAGCCCACTTTTTTATAGGATTTTTTTTTCTTGCTGATTAGCTTGAGTTCTTTGTAGCGAATATGACGTATTTCTTAATTTTCAGAGTTTTGTAATCTTCGGAGAGAAAACTCTTAATTTTTAGTTTTGTAATTCATTTTGTAATTCAGATAACTACAAGGCAGATTGGCATAAGGAAAGGTCCATTAATTTAGTAGAGTTAGCATATTTGGAAAATAAGGGATAGAAATATTGATTCCAACAGTAGAAAATCTGGGGTGGAGAAGATGAAATGTGACCAACTATTTGAAGTATGCATAAGACTTTATGCAGAAGAGGGAGAGAGGAACAGTTAGGGCAGATGTGATTGTATGATCAAAGGAGTAGGAATTGGACAGTCTGAAATTGTATAGTTGGAGATAAATTTGGATGGAAATCTGAGGTTACTAAAGGTATTGCATAAATGAAAGATAATGCCAGAGTACAATAAGAGTTTTCAGAATTACATTTTCTGATTTTGAGAATCTAGATATAATTTAGTAACTTTTTGCTCCAATATTCTCAATAGTTTTTTAGTACTAGATTTTACATTTTAATATATAATTTCTGTTTTTATTATTTTTTTCCTAAACTTTTTCCTAAAATTATTTTTGTCCAGTCTAGTACACTGTCAGTTTATCCTTTTCCTATGGAAATACCTTATAACTGGTTTTCTTGTTTCCCCTTTTGCCCTCTTCCAACTTTTTTTCCTGTACAGTAGCCACAGTGACCATTTAAAAAAATGAAGCAAATTTTTTCACTCTTTTGCTTCAAACTTGTGGGTGGATTTCCATCATTCTATTTTAAAAAATAGATTAATGAACATCTAGAAGACTTTAAAAAGAAATAAGCTATTTGCGATATATAAGGGAAAAGAGTTCGATACTTCTGAAAGAACTTTCTTTATGATCCATAAAGCAAGACTTCCTGTCAGGGGTTCAGATATATAATGTGTAATAGTAATAGTTCATCACCACTAGGCACTGCTTCAAGGACACACACACACACACACACACACACACACACACACAATCCTCACCATTATTATATGCATAAGGTACTAGTATCATCTCTATTTTATAGGTAAGAAGGCAAAGGCACAGATAATTTGTATCTAAAAATCCAGACAAGGAAACCTTAGCCAAACTGGTGATCCCCAGTTTCATGGTCTTCTAATTTCGTGATCCCACTGACTGCAGATCAGTGGTGTCTGCAAGACATTTTTCACTTGTCATTTCTTGATTTCCATGCCTTTCTACTAAGTTCAATTTGCTGTTTGTTTAAGTATCTAGAGTGAAAATCTGTGGGAGTGGGAATTTTCTTAGTGTTTGTCTAAAAATGTGTTTATTTTGCCCACATTTTTTGAATGATAATTTAATAGGATATAGAACTCTAGACTAAGATATTTTCCCCCAGCACAATGAAATATTATTTTTGGATGCTAGCCCCTGTTGCTGCAGTTGAGAAATCTATTGTTTTTCTAATTGATTTGTTTTTCCTCTTTGGTTACTCTTATTTATTTTTAAAATTTTATTGATGTATAAAATACACATAGGAAGTGTACAAATCATAATTGTACAACTCTATTAATTTTGATATATATACACACTTACTTTACCACTCAGATCAAGGTTTGAAAACATTTCTAGGATCCAGACTGTTCCCTTATGTCCATTCTCAGTCAACATCCACCCTTTCCCCTCTAGCACTTGGATCTCTCTCCTTTTTTAAAATCATAAGCTCCTATCTACGCTCAATTTTTTTTGCTCTTTTATCCAGCATTTCTAGGTGTTTATGGATGGAAGTTTTTCAGGTGATCTTGCTTGAAATATGACGTTAAGTAGAAGTCTAAGGTAAAGGTTATTTCCCATTGCACTTAAAATAAAATCTCACCTACTTAACCTGGCCCACATTATTCTGTATGAACTGGCTCCTGTGCACCCCTTGAACCTCATCTCACACAACTCCCTTCCTCATTCAAGCAGCACTGGCCTCCTCTCTGTTGCAGAGTACAACAAGCCCTTTCCTAATGCCAGGCCTTGTATTTGCTGTCCCTCTGCTTAGAACCTTTTTTTCTGTAGTTCTTTGCATGGCTAGTTTACCCTTCAAGTCAGACTGCAATGTCAGCGCCTCAGTGTCCTCCTCAGTGTGACCTTAATCTCTACTCATCACTCTATATATTTCTTTCACAGCATTTATCACAGTGTATATCTTAATTGGTAATTTATTTTTATACTTCTTTAAAAAATCACCTTTTATTTTAGATATAAGGACTACATGTGTAGGATTGTTACATGGGTATATTGGACCCAGATAGTGAGCATGGTACCCACTCCCTCCTGCCTCACTCTAGTAGTTGACAGCATCTATTGTCCTCGTGTTTATGTATATGTGTGCTGAATATTTAGCTCCCACTTATATAAATGAGAACATGTGATATTTGGTTTTCTGTTCCTGTGTTAATTCACTTCAGATTATGGCCTTCAGCTACATCCATGTTGCTGCAAAGGACATGATTTCCTTATTTTTTATGGCTGTATAGTATTCCATGCTGTAGGAGGCATCGCATTACCCAACTTGAAATTATACCACAAGACTACAGTAATCAAAACAGCATGGTATGAGTACAAAAACAGACACACAGACCAATAGAACAGAATAGAAAACTCAGAAATAAAGCCATACACCTACAACAATATGATCTTCAACAAGGTTGACAAAAACAAGTAATGGGGAAAGAACTCCCTATTTAATAAATGGTGCTTGGATAACTGGCTAGCCATACACAGAAGAATGAAACTATACCTGTACCTTTCACCATATACACAAATTAAGATAACATTTCTTTTTCAAAAATTTAATTTTTAAATTTTTTGTTTCTGACTGCTTCTCTATCTCAAATGTCAGCTCTCTGAAATTAGGCACATTATCTGATTCATAACTATGTGATTCGTCACCACTATATTCATTTTCTAAATAAATGAATGAAATAACTTTTGTAGCTTCAGAAAATTTTAACTCCAAAGAACATATATGTTACGTATGCTTGATCACTGAACACTTAAGAGTCTGTTCTCACACTGTGAACCAGATTCCTGCAGTGCTTAAGGCACTGCTCACTAGGCAAGTTAGACATCTTCTGAAATCTGGGCCAGTTGTGGCAAGTTAATGATAGACCATTTAATAGACTAGCAAATAAATGTATTAGGTTGGTGCAACAGTGATTGTGGTTTTTGCCATTAACTTTCAATAGTATATCAAAAGATATCAAAATGGCAATATTTCTGGGGTGGTTCATAAACAATCTAAGCCCCATTGATGTTGGGTCCCACTAACCCTTGTTATCTCACCCCCAACCTGCCTTCTGGGTCTAATTTTAAAGTTAAGCTCTATTTCTCCCTTATCTCTCTTTTCCAATATAAGCTACCAGCCCATTTCTTGCTATCAAGTTTTTAAACTATTTCTGCATTTCAAATAGAGTCCTGAAAATTCCTTTCGTAAATCAGAAGGGTTATCTGCCATTTTCTAAGCAGCTGATTTAAGAGAATTGGATATATAATTGTGCCAGGTCCTTAGACAGCTCATTATATATGTAAGCTTATATTTTATTGCTTCGAGAAAACTGCATAAAAGCAAAATCACAAATTCCAGCAGCATACTGAAGTGACTACATTGAATGTAGATATTAATCTTTGCATTCTCCAATCTCTTATGTGCAAAACCATTTGTGAAAGCAAAGATAGCATGCAAGCTTCTTAATGAATATTTGTCCAGTGAGCATAAGAATAACAACATTTTGATATTTTCAATCCAGGTGATAGAGCTTTCTTTTTCCCTCTGCTCTCTCAGATGTCTCTAGTGGAGTCAATGGTTAATTAATTGGTCAATATTTTAAATATTTATTGCACTTTTACCATGTGTATAGCAATGGGAGAGGGCTATTATGTGCAGGGGGAAGAGAGTGGCATCAGTAAGGAGGTGGAGACAAAGCTTTAAGACAGTGTTTTTACATGAAGATAAGAGAACAAAATAGTAGTCATTTAGCAAATATTTATTAAGTACCTATCACGTATTAGGTATTGTCTTAGACATTGGAGATACATTCTCAATTCTCATGGACTTTAAATACTACTGGAGTGAGAAAAACATTTAGCAAACATATTGGTAAATTAAATGATATATTATGGTGATAAGTATTAAGGAGTAAAATAAAGGAGTGAGGAAGTATAGCGTGTTCAAAGACTGGAGGCCTATAATTTAAATAGGGTGGTCTGGGAAAGGGACAGTGAGAACGTGATATTTGAGCAAAGACTTGAGAGAAGGTGCAAGTGATGTGGATATCACAGGAGTTTACGGTTATAGAAAAATTTAATATTAAGCAGATTATTTGTATTTGTTTCTAAATCTAATAAATAAATAAGAAAATAAATAAATAAGCAAAAAATCTTGAAACCTCTATGAATACTGTCAAATCAGCCTGATTAGTATATGGGTCTGCTCTGCTAGTCCTTTACAATCCTGTTCTTGCATCCAGTTGAGGTGTTGTCTGGCTGAGCAGATGGGCTGTTAATAAGCTTGAGTTCTATTGTGCCATCTGAATCTTCTTCATCTCTGTAGCATTAGATGTATCACAAGGTGAGTCAGGGAGCTGGTGAGGCAGATGGCACCTATGTCTCACTGTGGTTGCATTAGGCAATGTCCTATGCATGCATATGGAAGTGCAGACAGACAGTGCAGGTGGGTGGGAGGAAACCAACTACCCAGAGAATTTTCACTAGGAATCTTCTCACAGCAGAAAACTGGAAGATTGATCACCTTATATTTATTCCTTCATTACAATGAGGACCTCCAGAGTTTTACAGCCTAAGAAACGTGTTTTAAGAGGCAACTTCTCCAAGAACACTTCTCTAAAGAAGACTTTTTGTTTGCTCTCTTAGACTGGTTCAGGTGTGACTTTACTATGACTTTCTAAACTTCTGCTGAATTCTGCTCTTTTCACCACTGTACAGGAAAGGGCAGGCCTTGTTGACTATAGGATTGCTATGAAACTTTCTTAAAAGTTACCCAGAGGTGGTGTCTGTCTTTCAGAATGTGGAAGATAGTATCACTTTAATTTGGCCATCTCTGAAGATGGAAATAGGGAAGGGAGTTGGTATTATAAGGAGGAATTTTGATGTTATTTTTTCTACCACTTGCATATGATTAATGGCCAATTACAGGTATTCCAAGTTAGTCATAGGATCCAGTTATTCTCATAAAATTCAAATGGTCACCTAGAAGTCAAGTTTTTTTTTCCCATAAAATATTGGGAAAGATTTATTTGTTTCATTGCTTTTGTTTTGTTTTGTTTTGTTTTTGGAGACAGTGTCTTGCTCTGTTGCCTAGTCTGGAGTGCAGTGGTGCTGTCACAGCTAACTGAAGCTTCTATCGCCTGGGCTCAAGCTATCCTCTCACTTCCTGAGTAGCTATGACTACAGGTGTGCACCACCACACCCAGCAAGTTTTTATTTTTGGTAGAGACAGGGTCTCACTATGTTGCTTAAGCTGGTCTAGAACTCCTGGACTCAACTGATCCTCCTTCCTTGGCCTCTCAAAGTGCTCGGAGTGCAGGGGTGAGTCACCACACCTGGGCCAGAAAGATTTATATATTACATTTTATGATATCTACAAAGGGAAACTTTTGCTAGAAGAAAATATGTCTATTAGGCAATCATTCATGTCCCAAATTGCAATTACAAGAATCAAAAAGGATGGGGAGAAATAAACATATGTTGAAAACTTTCTGTGTGTTGGGTGCTTTCCATATATGGTCATCTATTTAAACTTCACAAAAGCCCCATGAGGAAGGCATTGTCCTCAATTGACGGGTAGGAGAGTTTAGGAAACTTTCCCAAGGTCACACATCAAGAAAGAGTTAGAGTCTGAGTTGAATCCAGATCTGTTTGACTCCAAACTACTTCTCACTGTGCTATTTCCTCTCTGCATGGATGGTGCTTTCTGACTTTCCCATTAGTACCATTAGTTACTTGTTTTACATATTTTATTGTCTCTTTGGCAGATAATGGGTATTAGGTGCCAAGAATTCATTAAAACATTATACCATAAAACAATTATTTATAAAACAATATAATATAAAAATAGTATTAACTTTCTGTATTAGTTATCTATTGCTATGTAAAAATTATCCCAGTTGGGTAATAATGATGCGTCAATGTAAGTTCATCAATTGTAACATATGTACCACTCTGTTGGGGGATATTGACAATGGGGGCGGCTCTGTGCACACATGGAGGGAGAAAGGATATATGGGATATTTCTGTACCTTTCTCTCAATTTTACTGTGAATGTGAAACTGCTAAAAAAAGAATTCTTAAAAAAATTTCAAAACTTATTTACCCCCAAACATAGCAAGTAATGACAATATATATTTATCACTTTCTAAGAGTTAGGAATCTGACAATGACTTAGATGGGTGATTCTGGCTCAGGATCCCTTATGAGGCTGCATTCAAGCTGCTGGCTGGGGCTGCAGTCTTCTGAGGGCTTGTCTGGGGTAGGAGGACCCATGTGTAAGGTGGCTGTGAAGAAGAAGCCCCAGTTTTTTGCCACATGAGCCTCTCACTAGGTTACTTATGACATGGCAGCTAGTTTTCCCCAGACCATGTGCTACAAGAGAGAAAGAGAGTAAGCAAGCTGGAAGCTGTCCTGTGTTTTACAATCTGATTTTGGAAGTGGTATTTCATCACTTCTGCTGTATTCTGTTGGTCAGTGTGGGAAAGGACTGTATAGAGGTATGAATAATAGGAGGCTATCTGTGAGCCTTCCTGGAAGTTGGCTATCACACTTTCTACAATTTTAATACTTTTTCTTGGTTGAGAATTGGGAAAAACATCTTCCATGAATTGTCTTTTTGGGCACCTTTTGCCCGCTTCTTCCATGATAATATTTAAAGGTTATCTAATTTGATCATTCTCTTGTTAGCTTAGTATCAAGCACATGTGCTGGAAAGAACTTTGATTATTACTTTTGTAGGGACTATTCAGGCTTCATATCCTGAACACTCTTTATAGAAAGAGATACAGAATTCTTATCCTGTATCTTATTTTAGCTCTAACCCCAACCCCAAACCTAAGCATCATATGCCTGCAAATTGCCTCAATAATGTTTAAAAAAATCCAATCATATCTGATCAAATATAGGGCCATCTTTCTATTCTGGAGTATCTTTTCTATTACTCTTTGACTGCGGCAATTTTTGTTTTATCTCCAATTGTCTCAGAGTTGAAGCTGGCAAAGTGAGAGTAAATATTCTTCCCCAGTGCAATGCACTCTGCTATTTAGACCATGTGCATTTGGTTTAATACATAAGTGCCCAGTGAATAAACATGAGTTGATTTTCTTTAAATGACAGCTCCATCTTCTCAGGACATCCAAGGTCCAAAAGACCATCTGTGTCATTGTGGTAGACGTTGTAGCTTCTCCTTGCCCATCTTAAGTGCAAGTTTTTACACCTCAGCTCTTCTCTACTCAGGTTGAGCCCCTTCCCTAATCCAAGGTGACCATTATCCCTCAGCAGCTTAGATAACTCACTGTAGGGATTCTAGTGTCGGCTTTTTATAAAGCTCTCTGGCCTCTCAATCAAAGTAGTCCAGAAGCCCATATCAAGAATATTTTATCTTATTATTTGTCAAAGTTCTACTTTTTGGAAGGTGGGAAAACACTTGTTAAAAAATGCACATTTCTAGGCCTTCTCCAGATATTCTGAATCAGAATCTCTGTAATTGGGTGGGTAGGGAGACTCAGACTATATCTGTGATTTTTTTTTTTTTTTTTTTTTTTTTTTTGAGAAAGGGTCTCTCAGTATCACCCAGGCTGGAATGTAGTGGCATGATCATAGCTCACTGCAGCCTCAACCTCCCAGGCTCAAGCAGTCCTCCCACCTCAGCCTCCTGAGTAGCTGGGATTACAGGTGCACACCACCACTCCTGGCTAATTTTTGTCTTTTTGTAGAGATGGGGTTTTGCCATGTCACCAAGGCTGGTGGTTTTTAATTTAAATAATACATTTATTAAAACGAAATTTCATACAAAGAATTTACCTTTTTAAAGTATACAATTCAGTGGTTTTCAGTATATTCACAAAGGTCGGCAACCATCACCAGTAATTAATTTCAGAACATTTTTTATCACCCCCAGAACAAATCTTGAACTCATTAGCAATCACTTTCCATGTTCCCTCTCCCTAGCTCCTGGCAACCATGAATCTACTTTACTTTCCGTTTCTATGATTACTCATTCTGGTTATTTTATATATGGAATAATACAATATGTGTGGCCTTTGTATTGATTGGCTTCTTTCACTTAGCATAATGATTTCAAAGTTCATCAATGTTGAATCATAAATCAGTATTTCATTCCTTTTTATTGCCCAATAATAATCCATTGTATGGATATAGTATACTATGTTTACCCATTCTTCAGTTTATGGACATTTGGTTTGCTTCAACTTCTAGCCATTATGAATGCTATGAACATTCATGTATAAGTTTTGTGTGGACATGTTTTCAGTTCTTTTAGATATTGTTATGGCCTAAGTTATGCCCTCCCCACAAATTCATATGTTGAATTCCCAACCCCAATACCCCAGAATGTGATTACATTTGGATACAAGGGTTTCAAAGAGATGATTAAATTAAAATGAGGCCATTAGGGTGGACCCAAATCCAATCTGATGTAAGAAGAGATCATGACTGCAGAGAGATACCTAGGGTACACATACACAGAGGGATGAACACGTGAAGAGAGGTGGCAAGAGGGCAGCCAGCTGCAAGGCAAGGAGAGAGGCTCCAGGAGAAAGCAGCCCTGGTTGGCACCTTGATCTTAGTTTTCCAGCTTTCAGAACTATGAGAAAATAAATTTCTGTTGTTTAAGCCACCCAGTCTATAGTATTTTGTTTTGACAGCCCTAGCAAATGAATATAGGTGTACAGCTAGAAGTGGAATTGCTGGCTCATATGGTAACTGTATATTTAACATTTTGAGGAATGGCCACACTGCTTTCCAAAAAATTGCACCATTTTACAATCCAATTCCTTCACATCCTTGCCAACACTTGTTGTCTGCTTTAATTTTTTTTTAGCTATCTTAGTGGGTATGAAGTGGTATCTCATTGCAATTTTGATTTACATTTCTTGAACGATTCATGAGGTGTGCATTATTTCTTATACGCTTGTGTTTTAAAACGAAGTTCACAAATAATTTTTATTCATTCCAAAATTTGAGAACTGCTGTGCAGATTTATCATACTTCAAAGTTGTTACCCAGCTTAAATGCTTTATCTGGGACTTCAGTTGTCCAAATTAAAGTGACCTATGCTATAGTATGGTCAGTAGAAAATATCTATGTTAAAGTTAATTTATGAGTAGGCCAATCAGTCCTTAGGAGTATATGTGATGTGACCTCAGAAACTTCACACCAGCTTGTTTTCTTGCCTGCATCTGTGACATCTAACCTCTGAGAGCAGTAAGTGGCAAAGTCCACTTTGTCTTGGGAGCTAGTTAGTGGGAAAGAGAAGCCATCCTTGTGTGATATCCTGGGTGTGACCCTTGTTATCACTAGAGACACAACCATCACTGTGCCTCCTCATGGATTAACTGCAGGCTGGCTGAGCCTTTAGAAACAAGTTCAGCATCCCCTAGTTTGGACTTACTGCTTTATCCAAGTCCAGCTTCTGCTTTTGGCTTCACTCACCTTTTGAATTTACATTCTTTTTTGTCTAATTCTGAGAAACGTAGGTGTTTCCAAATTTACACTCTCTAAATGTAACTGAGTGTTGATATAACGTGGCTCTGAAATACTGTTGGAGAGTCTGGGAAACAAAAAGTTGGGCAATCTTTTTGAGGAAATGCTGGGCAGTAGTTTTTACTTGTGTCTCTATTATAAGTCACATGTTCTTATAAATAAGCAAGAAAATTCCTTTAACATTAAGTGCTGTGTAAGAAAACTGGATGGAAATACGTCACTTTTATTCCTCCTTACCATTGCTAGATTAAAGTGTGTCACTTACCTGCATGTTGGGGCCTCGAGATGCTGAGAGTAGAAATCAAGTTCTGCTCTCTCTCCATGAACTTTTGGATCAGCAGGCCGCCACTGTTAATAGAAGTAATCCTAAACCCCTGAAAATGCAGTATTATTAGCTTGAAATTTCTAGGCAAGTTTTTTTTTTAAAGATTTAACAATTTTTGGCAATTTCTACACATTTATATTACGTGGATTGTTATTTCTAATTCCTGCTATTAAATATCTGGCACAAAAGTAGGGATGTTAAATCTTTGCATTTCAGAGCTCAGCTCAACAAACGTGGTGAAGTTTCATAACAACAAGTGGGATGCTAGTCTGTCAGTTTTCAGCAAAATGCTATCTCTCTTTGTTATGATGCTTCTTAGTGATGATAGTTTCTCTGTAAGGCAGTCCTTGGTATTAACTGAACATAATTAAGCTTTACTTCTGCATTGTAGCAATTAAAGTAAAATAGAAGAAAAATCTGGCCTGATACATGTTAGAGTTGTTAGATTTTCATTTCCATCCTCTATTTCTATTTGTGGAAAATTCTCCATTCTCCCACCATTCTCCTCCTAATGAAGCTTCAAGGGCCCTTTCTTCCTTTTCCCGCCCTCTGGCATTGAGGATAAACTAGATCCCAAGATTCAGCAGCTACCTCAGCTGACTAGGAGCCAGCTCAAGATTTTTGTACATGTTAGATTGAAAGGCTTAATGGACTCCCAAGGGGGAGAGATCTAACAGGCAGTTGGACACATGGACAACACATTTATTTTACAAAGTTGGACAATGAAAACAATATATCAACTCAATGTTTCTGTTTCAGTAGCAAAATATTTGCAAGCATTATGTAATAAAATATGAAATAATATAGAAGTAACCTGATAGATAATTTGTACATAATGTCTTAGTAATGTCTAAGGAAATTGGTAACATCAATTCAAATTACAGAATTATCATAATGGTTTAGTTATATGAAAAGACTGTTAACATTTCATTGGTCACCATTGATAATCTCTTTTTATTAGATTTATATTTAACAGTGATTAAGTACCACAATGTGCTGGCAACAGAATAGAATAAGGGCTCAGAAATTGTTCCTCTCCAGTGATCTTATAATCTTGCCTTATGCCCATGAATTTTCTTTTTTATTTCTTCTGTGTGGACCATGGAACAGTTTGCATTATTACTGCTCATAAATTCTGCCCTGATGAGATTAGTTTTATAGATGTAGAATCAATAATACTTGAACACATTTGCAGCTGTGTACTGCCCAGTATTGCTCATTAATGGCTTTAAAAGAATCAGTGCATTTTGCTAGAAGCAAAGATAATGAGCCATTGATTATCCCTGCACAGCACAATTTACAGCCCATTTTATTTTTAATGCAATGTTAAATTAATTTGTAAAAGATCAGAAGCATTGCTTTATTTTCAAGCTGTGATTAAACAGTTATTGAACTTTTCATGGAGAGCATTAATCAATTCTCATCTCTTCTGATTTCCCAGAGTTCTCTGAAAATAAAGATGAATAGCTTGTGATTACCCACACTTATTGTGAGGCAGCAAACATGGAGGAGAAAACATCCTTATGGGGTTCATCTCTATGTGATGGAATTTGTCAGGAAGGGTTCTAGTCCAAGTATTTTTCCTTAAGTTCAGATTATGGATATATTCTAGATCAATGAGTGGGGATGGAAATTTCACTAGAGTTTTAACTAAAAGCACCTTGAAGAGTATGAAGATACATAGAAGTTAAGGCATGCATGTGTATTAGTTAATTCTTCCACTGCTATAAAGAAATACCTGGTCAGGCACAGTGGCTCACACCTGTAATCTCAGTACTTTGGGAGGCCAAGGTGGGTGGATCACTTGAGGTCAGGAGTTTGAGACCAGCCTGGCCAATATGGTGAAACCCTGCCTCTTCTGAAAATACAAAAATCACACCTGAGTGTTGTGGCACACACCTGTAATCCTAGCTACTTGGGAGGCTGAGGCAGGAGAATCAGAACTCAGAGGCAGACGTTGCAGTGAGCCAATATCGTGCCACTGAACTCCAGCCTGGGTGACAGAGTGAGACTCCGTCAAGACCTGAGACTGGATAATTTATAAAGAAAAGAGATCCACAATTCCACAGGCTCCACAGGAAGCACGGCTGAGGAGGCCTCAGGAAACTTACAATTATGGCAGAAGGTGAATGGGAAGCAGGCACATCTTGCAAGGTCAGAACAGGACGAAGAGAGTGAAGGGCAGGTGCTACACACTTTTAAACAACCAGATCTCATGAGAATTCACTCACTATCACGAGAACAGCAAGGGAGAAATCTGTCCCCATGATCCAGTCTCCTCCTACCAGGCTCTGACTCTTAACACTGGGGATTAAAATTCTGTATGAGATTTGGGTGGAAACACAGATCCAAACTATATCAGCAAGAGTCATGCTTTTGCTTTGGAATGATGTATGATTTAACTATGCTCACCTACCTGTATTCTTTCTTCTTAAATGTCTTTTAAGCTCACTTTAAAAATATTTACAAACTCATATAGCTTTTACCTTCTTTATCATTTATTAGCAAACTTCTATCCTTAACCGAGTCTAGCTAAATTAGATATTAATTGTACAGAAGGACTAACATCATTGTGGTGAATTGCTTAGGCCACTAAAATGACCTTCAGACACCTGTTTGACTTCAGAAGTAAAGGACTGATTTACATTCTCAATGAAGTACTTCATAGTAGATACTAGGGAGAAATTATAGGAAAATGAGCAGAGTAGAAGAAAGTGTTATATAGAGTCAGATGTCACAATTTTTGATTAGATGGTGATAGAACTCTAATAGGAAAGACAAAACTGTTCTATCTGGGAATTAGCAGGATGTAGAGGCTTCTTAATTACAGTGGGAAGAATAGATTTAGAGGGGCTAAGAACAACAACTAGACTTTCCTATTAAGGGAAGGGCAAGTTCTAGAATGGTTGGGATAAGAAAATTATCCTGTAAGGGCTGGAAGAAGGTCCACGTTAAATTTAGTATCCACGGAATAAAGTCAATCAGGCAAGCAATTACATTAGGGGCCCAGAAACAGGCTATAGAAATCCAAGTAGTCTGTCAAAACCCAGAAATGGGGAATGAGGGACAAGTTGATCTTACGGGCCCCGCAGGACAGTTAGGGAGAAACTATGAGCTCAGGATTCCAATCCCTACTTATCAGAACTAAGTAGCAGTCCTGTTTAAAGTTAGAATAAATTTAGTGGTGATGTTCACCCAGCATCAAGTATCTACTACACATGCTTTGGCAGGTCTGATTTGTTGGATTAGACAACAGGGACATAGGGTGAACTTTAGGGACCTAGAGACGACCTATGGAGAGTGAAATGCCTTCAAATAATACTAACAGGGAACACTAATGAAAGTGTTTACAGGCTGGCCCAGTAAGCAGGTAGTCATCTAAAGATGTGGTTCAATGACCGATGAAAGGATCATCTGCTTCAAAATGGCTCTTTGACTGGCTTGCTGTCTGATTCAGTATCTTCAGACCTTCCCCACTCCCTGCCACTTGCTTTCTCTCTCTTTCTCCTAGATTTTATTTACTCTTTGAATTATTGTTTCTGAAATATAGATACGGTGCTTGGGTAAAAAGTCTTAATGATTTGAGGTTGACATGTTTTAGACTGAGGCACAGAGAGAATAAGACACAGAACAGATTTGCTTTGTGTAGGGTAGGAGAGGACAGAAGAAATTAGACACTTAGATAGATATCTCCACAGATTGCAAGCCTGGGTTAAAAGTAGTGAGTGGTGCTGAACATCTGGGGAATTGTGAAAGCTCTTGTTGCTCTGAGGGAGTGGAGAAATTCCAGTAAAGGAATGCAGAGATTTGGTAAGGGCAAACTTCAGTTACCTTAAAATGTTGTCCGCGACTGTTCTGTACAGCAGTAAATCAACAGGTTAAGTAAGGTTTACATTGGAAGGAAAGATGGGTTGCGACTCTTTCTTGTTTGTGTATGTTTTTGTGTGTGTGTGTTGTAGTTCAAAACAAATACATAAATAAATGAAATTAGATTGAAATCCACAAATGGGAAGGCAGTGGGATGCACTAACATGAGAGGCACTAAGTGGTCACATGGGAACTGTTCAGGTAGTGGTGTTGTCAGAGTCAGATGTGTAGATTCCTAGGTAAAGGGAAGGCATGGTTAGACAAAGAAAAATGAGGGACACATAGGTTATATGCATTAAAAGGATGTAGTGAGGTGTGCCTTAAGGAATTGTAATAAGTGACTTAAGGAGAAATTGACATAAGATTGAGGAGGTGTTCAGTATTTATAGATTCAGGATATGGGGCTATAAAGTTACATAAAATATTTGTAGCAGCAAAGGGCTTGTGTGAAATCATTGTACGTGTTCAGCTTTGAACCCAGATCATTGCTATTATCTTTTCTGTGTCAAAGAGAGGTGTATGCTGTTTTAGGAAAACTGAATATACAAAAGTATATACTCATATATATAAACATACATGTTGGAAGTGATTTGTTACATTAGAAAAGGGTTCATTTCAGCATTGACCATGCATTCTTGGGGGACTATTGCCTTTGAACTGGCATGGCCATAGGGGAAATCTGATCCAAGCTTTTACCAAGGCAGGGAGCCCATCCATAGCAAATCTGTTACATAAGTATTGCCTTTGTGTTAACACTTCACAGTATGCAGTAAAGAAATCACTGTCTCAGTTTTACAGATGGGAAACTAAAGTAAGAAGATATCTAAAGTTATTTAGCAAACTACCCCCGATTTCTAATTCAGAGCTTTTCCCAGCCGGCTCTCCAGTTGCTCATCTTCCACCAATATTATCAGATGCCTCTTTGCTCTGAGACTTTCCATTAGGTGGGGTATTATTGAGACAACTGGAAGATGATGCAGCTTTGGGCTCAGCCCTGGGTTTAGACATTGGCTCTGTCATCTATTAGCTACAATTAACTAAACCTCTTTGAGTCTATTTGCTCACTTTTAAAATGGAATCAGATGTCTACTTTATTTTTTTCTACAAGGATTAAGTGAGATACTGAATATAAACTGCCTAGGACAGTACCTGACACTTAGTAGGTGCTCAAAAAATGTTTGATTGCTCGCTCCACATATGCCTCAGTTGTTCACTTTGTCTATGAATACATGCAGAGCTATCTTAATGACAGACTAATTTCTGCAACGTCATGTCCTTTCTAAATATGTAGTTCATTTCTTTTTAACACATGCCATTCATCTAAGCCTCTCTGTGGGCTGTAAAAGATTCATAAAATTCTTGATTTTGACATATTTCTAGTGATCGTTTTGAATTAGAGATTAAAGTTTGAACTACTGCAGAACTTTGCATAGGAATTTGACTTATTTGTCTTATACCTTAACTGAAATAAACTTGATATTAGACCTTTGCTTAAGTTAGCTGAATTAATTCTGCTTTAATTCAAGTTCATCTCTGCAGTGGAAAATGACAGGCATTATTGAGTTATATACACTTCTCATCCTTGCAGGAGCAATTTAATACACTGCAGAGCCTGTCAAAATTCAATTCAAGGTTGAATGACTAATGCATAAAAGTCGATTCCATATCCTATCACAGATAAAGCCAGTTATTTCTTTTTATTAAGTAGATGGGGATGCTATTTGGATCTAAGGTAGTAAAAGTTTGAAACTCCAAGCTTTGCAAAGTTAGAGGAGATGTGAGTGTGTGGAAAACTAGGGAGTTTCAGGAGTAACATCTGCCTAAAGAAATGAATGAACACAGACAGAGTTTGACTTGGTCATTTTGTCCTTTATGCAAGTACAATTTCCATAGCTTTTGAATTTAGGAGTAAACTTAACACAAAGCCAAGAGCTGGAGGAATAAGAAAAGTTTTCTAAGGCTCTTACTTTCTAGCAATGCTGCTGTAATCTAAATTTATATGTGGGTATGTATGTGCATGTGTACATATGCATGTATATGTGTATTGGGGGAACCTGCCCCCGATAGTCACGTAGGTTCTTTTCTATTTTCCCTAAGTGTCGACTGGTCTGAGAAATAAAGGGACAGAGTACAAAAGGGAGAAATTTTAAAGCTGGGTGTCCTGGGAGACATCACATGTCGGCAGGTTCCGTGATGCCCCCTGAGCCTTAAAACCAGCAAGTTTTTATTAGTGATTTTCAAAAGGGGAGGGAGTGTATGAATAGGGTGTGGGTCACAGAGATCACATGCTTCACAAGGTAATAAGATATCACAAGGTAAATGGAGGCAGGGGGAGATCACAGGACCACAGGACCAGGGCGAAATTAAAATTGCTAATGAAGTTTCGGGCACACATTGTCATTGATAACATCTTATCAGGAGACAGGTTTTGAGAGCAGACAGTCTGACCAAAATTTATTAGGTGGGAATTTCCTCGTCCTAATAAGCCTGGGAGTGCTACGGGAGACTGGGGCTTATTTCATCCCTACAGCTGTGACCGTAAAAGACAGCTGCCTCCAAAGCGGCCATTTCAGAGGCCTACCCTCAGGGATACATTCTCTTTCTCAGGAATGTTCCTTGCTGAGAAAAAGAATTCAGTGATATTTCTCCCATTTGCTTTTGAAAGAAGAGAAATATGGCTCTGTTCCACCCAGCTCACTGGCAGTCAGAGTTTAAGGTTATCTCTCTTGTTCCCTGAACATTGCTGTTATCCTGTTCTTTTTTCAAGGTGCTCATATTTCATATTGTTCAAACACGCATTCTCTACAAACAATTTGTGCAGTTAACGCAATCATCTCAGGGTCCTGAGGCGACATACATCCTCCTCAGTTTACGAAGATGATGGGATTAAGAGATTAGAGTAAAGACAGGCATGGGAAATCACAAGGGTATTGATTGGGGAAGTGATAAGTATCCATGAAATCTTCACAATTTATGTTCAGAGACTGCAGTAAAGACAGGCGTAAGAAATTATAAAAGTATTAATTTGGGGAACTAATAAATGTCCATGAAATCTTCACAATTTATGTTCTTCTGCCATGGCTTCAGCTGGTCCCTCCATTCGGGGCTGCTGATTTCCCACAACATATGTGTATGTGCATACATGTATGTCTGTGTGTGTATGTATGTGTGTGCATGCACATTAGTGTGTGCAAAAAGGCACAAGCATGAGCATAGGTCCTGGCACTGCAGGCAACCTGCCTGACATTTTTCTGGATGCTGAAGGTATAGGAGTGAAGAAAAATTCCTACCCTATGGAGCTTATATTTTAGTGGAGGGAGAAATACAATAAATAATAAAAATAATAAGTATATTATGTTGTATGTCTGATACTGGTAAGCGCTACAGAGAAAAATAAAACAGGGGCAGAGGAAAAGGAATATTGTGGGAGGTACAGCTTTGTTAAATAGAGTGAGCATGGAAGGCTGAAGTGAGCCATGGAATTATTTTGGGGAAAAAGCATTGTAAGTAGAAAGAGCAGCAATTACAGAAGCTCTGAGGCTGGGCATGCTGGCATGTTGGGAGAACACCAAGAAGGTCAGGGTTTTTGAAGAAAAGTGAGTGAAGGGGAGCAGTAGGAGATGAGATGAGGGAAAAACAGGAGTCTAGATCCTGTCCGCCTATAGAGGTGACTTAATGGACTTTGTCTTCTTTTGGAGTGAGATGAAAGCCATTGGAGGGTTTTGCAGGAATAATATGATCTGAATTCTATTTCTGTGGCTGCTGTGCTCAGAATAGACTTTAGAGGAACATAGAGAAGCAGGGAGACCAACTAGAAGGCTAGGATATGACAGTAAGGTGACAAGTTTTTCATAATGCCACTGTTGAAGCATGGCTACAGGAGGAGAGGCTGAAGTAGGAGGAGGACAAGTTAACTGGAGGGGAGGAGGTCAGCCATGAGGCCATGTTATTGTAAGGGTCATCTACATGTGTGAGGCTAAATGTTACCTCTTGAGGAGATTTGCTGGATATGACTTGGGGCTATACTCCTAAGTCTTAATGCCTGCTGTCATTGGGCCTACAGAAACCATCAAGAACTTTCATTGGAAAAGACTACAGCAGGCTGGCTGGCATTTTACCTTTGTTGATATGTACCCACAGTCCTTCTCATTAGCCATTTTGCCAGATAATACCCAAACTCAGAGTTAATACAATGTCGGTGCATTTATTTTTTGTTATACTTTAAGTTCTGGGGTACATGTGCAGAATGTGCAGTTTTGTTACATAGGTATACACTTGCCATGGTGGTTTGCTGCAACCATCAACCCATCATCTACATTAGGTATTTCTCCTAATATTCTCCCTCCTCTAGCCCCCCATCCCCTGACAGGTCCCAGTGTGTGATGTTCCCCTCCCTACGTCCATGTGTTCTCATTGTTCAACTCCCACTTACGAGTGAGAACATGCAGTGTTTGGTTTTCTGTTCTTGTGATAGTAATATCAGTGCATTTATGATGAAATACACTCTTCCACCAATATTCTCTATGTCCTGTCTTGGAGATTCTACTGATTAAATACATTTCTCATTCTCTTGGCATTGCATTTTCATTTTATTTCTTTTGATGAGAAATTCACTTTTAATAGGGAAAGTGAGCTTTATGCAGGCACATTTTTAGAAGTAATTTATATGGATAATTGTGTGTCTTTAAAAATTTTTGCATCATACAAAATGTTCTTATGTGATAAATATAAGCCAGGGTTTCTTTTATCAGTCAGCAAATCAAAGCATTTAATTAATTTTTGTGTGTGGAGAGCACAATATAGAACTCAGGGAAGAGAGCTACAAAGGGAACAGAAGATATAATTTTTTTCCCATGAAACTTATGGAATAGTTTCAGCGTATACAGAGAAATCGAGAGAACAATAATTTTCAAAGGAGCCCACCAAGCGGTCATCTAGCCAAATTCCTGGTAGAGGTGTGAACAGAATTAGGCTTAATCACGGAAGCCTTCTTAGAAAGATGGACATTGATGGGGCCAGATTTTTATAATGAGCTTCTATCTTAGAGGTACAAAGGGAGAGGAAATTCCAAGGAGAGAATGAAATGAGTTCCATGCAGAAGATCCAAAGTCAGTATGTTTGGGGTAGAAAAATACATGGAAGGAAAAATTTAGAAGTGAAGTTGGTGAGTCTTCACTGCTGCACTGGGGATTTGATATGAGAATCAAATAATGCTGGATAAGTAGTGTCATATAATGAAAAATGGTGCTGTTGTTTTTTTTTTTGGAGACAGGGTACTCCAGACTGGAGTTGTAGTGGCCCAATCAAGGCTCACTACAGCTTCAAAGTCCTAGGCTAAAACCATTCTCCTGAATAGCTGGGATTACAGGTGTAAGCCACCACTCTTGGCTAGTTTTTTATTTTTTATTTTTTTTTCTTTTAGACAGAATCTTGTTCTGCCACCAAGGCTGGAGTGCAGTGGCACCATCTTGGCTCAGTGCAACCTCTACCTCCTGGGTTCAAGCAATTCTCGTGCCCCAGACTCCTAAGTAGCTGGAATTACAGGTGTGTGCCACCATGCCTGGCTAATTTTTGTATTTTGAGTAGAAATGGGGTTTGCTATGTTGGCTAGGCTGATCTCAAACTCCTGGCCTCAAGTGATCCAGCCTCCTCAGCCTCCCAACATGCTGGGATTACAGACATTAGCCACTGGGCACAGCCCCTGCTTTATTTTCTTTGCACATTTATAATCAAGCACAGTCTGAATGAGCTGTTTTAAAATTCCCTATATTATGCATCATTTTACTAGGATGTGAAGCCTGTGAGGCAGGAATTTCATTACTTTTTGTCATGGCCAGCATCTAGAACATTGTCCGCGCATAGTGGGTCCCAGCAGACACCCGCTAAATGAATTAGTGAATGAGCTGCAGAGTTAGCCAACAAAGGGAAGCACGTTAAGCCATAGGCCTGGTCTACAATGGATTAATGGATTTCCCATTGAACTTTCAGAATCTGCTGGCCTTCTATCACAGTCGCTCTGCTGCAGAGCACCATTTTTGCTATTATAGGCAGTAAGCCAGCTAGCAAACAGCCATGCTGGGGTACTTGCCAAACTCAACAAATGCCATTTAGAAACAAAAGAACCTCTAATGGAGACATCAGCCGTTTGTTAAACAAACCATTAGTTTGGAAGCAGAAGCTGCACATGTGATGAATCTACTAATTTACAGAGCATTATTGGACATTAGTTAATTGCCAGACAACTTCATGTCCCAGGATACATTGAGGAAGCCTCTATTACTAAGGAGAGATTGGATGTCTTGCCTGTTAATGATTACAGGACGCATATACAAGAATGAACGAGTGAGTAGCTCCTGCATCATCCTAGTGTTTCACTGCCACTTCTAGAATTATTTCTGAGTTTTTATTTTTAAATAAAAGTTATACTTACACGCTGAATATTTATTTATATTTATTTATTTATTCGTTTATTTCTTGAGATGGAGTCTTGCTCTGTCCCCCAGGCTGGAGTGGCCTGATCTTGGCTCAGCACAACCTCTGCCTCCCGGGTTCAAGCAATTCTCCCACCTCAGCCTCCCGAGTAGTAGCTGGGATCACAGGCATGCGCTACTGCTCCTGGCTAATTATGTGTATATATATATATATATTTCAGTAGAGATGAGTTTTCACCATGTTGGCTATCCTGGTCTCAAACTCCTGACCTCAGGTGATCCACCCGCCTCGGCCTCCCAAAGTGTTGGGATTACAGGTGTGAACCACCGCGCCTGGCCTTTGCTGAATATTTAAATGGAACAGAAAGATAAACAATTAGAATTAGTCTCTTTACCCGAAGTCCCTTTCCAGATGCATTTTTTTAGTCATTATCCACATATAAAATGTCACAAGCACTCCTCTTGAGATTTTACTTAATGCCACATTTAGGAGATTTTTACAGCACAAACAAATATAACCAATTCTTATTTAATGGTTGCATAGTGCTCTATTTTGTGTGTGTTTAATAATTTAATTAATGGGACAGTACTGATAGTTGGTATTTAGGTTTTTTTTTTAAACTGTTATGCAAAGAACAAGATAAATGTACCTGTAATGTCCTATGACCATAATGTCATGAGTATATTTGTAAAGCAAGTTCCTGACAGAAGTATTTCTGAGACAAGGAATATTTGTGTTTAAAAATATGAAACTGCTATATTGGCATCTTGAATAGAAAGTAGCCATGAGAGTGCCTATTTCTCTTCACTGTTGCTAAACTTACATATTGTAACATTTCAGTTTGTGTCAATTTGAAAGTTAAAAAATTATGTCTAATTTTTATAGTTTGCATTTCTTTAATTCTGAGTAAGTTTGAATATCTTTTCCGTATACCAGTTGGTCTTGTATCTCTCTCTCTCTCTCTCCCCCTCCCTGCTTCACTCCCTCCCTCCCTCCCTCTCTCCCTCTCTCTCTCCCTCCCCCTGTGTGTGTGTGTGTGTGTGTGTGTGTGTGTGTGTGAAGGCAAGGTTAATATGCCATTCAAAAGCTTTGCCCATTTAAAAGGTGTGGTTGGCCTTTTCTAATAGATATATATCTGTGGATAGGACTTAGGTTCCATCCCTCCCTGCTGGACTGTGACTCTGTAATGAAAGGACTATACTGTATTTATCCCACAGTTTGTTAAATGGGTAGATTTCTTTTATGTATATGGATGGTGTAAAAATTTGACAAGAAGTCATTTGGTATAGTAAGCATCAGGAATAGTAAGGCTAATGGATAGAAAAATAATGAAGGAAATCAAGCAGCTTAAAGGAAGTTTGCAGCCAGTTGAAATGCAATTTGCTGAAAACTTAATGCAAATAAATAATTATATTTGCACAGTTTATGATGCTGCATCACATTTTCACTTTCAGTTTCTGACATTTGTAGGAAAATAATAAAATTTTAAAATCTCCTTATTATTTATTTGAGATCTGTTACTATTTTTAACATTAGTCTAGCAATGTTGATATTTTCTTTGTAAAGGGTAGTAAGCTCAGTGTGAGTTCTTAAATATCTAGGAACCCATTTTTTCCCTCTGTTAAAGCATGTATTTAATTTTATGAAGTAAGCAGAAATATAGAAATTATATGGAAAACAGAAAAATAGAAATTATATACTAGAATTTTATTTAACTTGCTGGGGAAATTTTTTAACATGGGTAGTGATGCAGTCATTACTTTGAATAAACTTATGTATTTATTTAAATATTATTTATAATATTTAGAATACTTTTTCAGACCAAATACATGTTGGAATTAAGTGTATTGTACATATTCTCTGCTGTTGAGTGCATAGCTGCAACATAGATATTAAAATCTTCTTTTCAAGCAATAAAAAACTTTAAGCATTGCCAACATAATTTAAATGCATATGTGTGTTTCATTCTTTTCTCTATCATAAAAGTAATCAAAAGAGTGTTAGATACCATACCAATTGTTTCAAAATCATGACTGCCCTCATTTTTGTTTGTGGTCTTAAAGTATAAATATGTGAAGGCTACATGTAAACATAAAGAGAGCCCCTTTACAACCAATAGTCCTTAAAGTAATATACTGGCACATCAAAAACCTGACACAGTCTTAAATCTTTACCGAAGGTGTTGTAAGAAAAAGCAAACAGAAGAATGAAGTCGTATATATAAGAACATATGAGGTAGGTAAAGCAATCAGCATTGGTTCAAGACAATAAATCAGAGCAGGTTACATTATTTCCTGGCCACAATCCTTTTGAATGAAAAGCAAAGGAAAAGAAAACACAAAGCCGTGGAAGCATAGTTGTTTTGGGTTGAAAGTGAAAGTTGGTGGACCTAAATAAATGTGAACCTGCTTGGTAGACAGGCCTCTCAAGTGTGACTTGTCTGCAGTAAATTTAACTTTTAACCACATATTCTTTCCCAAATCAATGAGATATTTGTTTGTTTTATGGGCTGGAAAAACAAAATGATTGTTTTCTAAAAGCCAAAATATTTTATTTCTTTTCTGGATTATGGAAAGTAAAAAGCAAAAAGATGCAAAACTGAGAAAAAGCCCTAGAGCACAACTCTGATTAATTACTATAGCTAAGTGCTCTTTCTTTCTTCTTTCTTTCTTTCTTTTTTCTTTTTTTTTTTTTTGAGACAGAGTCTCGCCGTGTCACCCAGGCTGGAGTGCAGTGCCGCAATCAATACCCACTGCAACCTCTGCCACCTGGGTTCAAGCAATTCTCCTATCTCAGCCTCCCAAGTAGCTGGGACTACATGCACAGGCCACCACACCCGGCTAATTTTTGTATTTTTAGTAGAGACAGGGTTTCACCATATTGGTCAGGCTGGTCTCGAACTCCTGACCTCAGGTGATCCACCCACCTCAGCCTCCCAAAATGCTGGGATTACAGGCGTGAGCCACCTTGCCCAGCCTGCTAAGTGCTCTTTCTATTCACGTTCTAAGTAGTTTTATTTAGAGATTATTTTCCCTTCTGCAATTTCTCTGTCTAGTCTTCCCTGTCATTCTTTAGCAGCCAAGATCACTTTTTGTCTAGGGCTCCAGGCCCTCTCAGTCATTTGGACTGGTCTCTGTGGGCCTTTGTTTCCAATGGTCAACACTTTCAATGACTTTTTTGCCTGATAGGTCTTCAAAGAGTTCACAGAAAATGCATATTATTAAAAAAAATGTTGTTCTTTGCCCATTTTTAAAATGAGGTTGCTTTTTGCTTGTTGACATGAAGAGACACTTCTCAAAAGAAGATATACGGCCGGGCGCGGTGGCTCAAGCCTGTAATCCCAGCACTTTGGGAGGCCGAGGTGGGCGGATCACGAGGTCAGGAGATCGAGACCATCCTGGCTAATACGGTGAAACCCCGTCTCTACTAAAAATACAAAAAATTAGCCGGGCGAGGTGGAGGGCGCCTGTAGTCCCAGCTACTCGGGAGGCTGAGGCAGGAGAATGGCGTGAACTCTGCGGGGCGGAGCCTGCAGTGAGCCGAGATCGCGCCACTGCACTCCAGCCTGGGCGACAGCGACACTCCGTCTCAAAAAAAAAAAAGAAAAGAAGACATACAAGTGGCCAATAAACTTATGAAAAAATGCTCATCCTCACTAATCATCAGAGAAATGCAAATCAAAACCACAATGAGATACCATCTCCTATCAGTCAGAATGGCTATCATTAAAAAGTCTAAAAACAACAGATGCTGGTGAGGCTGTGGAGAAAAGGGAATCTTTAAACACTCTTGGTGGGAATGTAACTTAGGTTAGCCACTGTGGAAAGCAGTTTGGAGATTTCTCAAAGAACTGAAAACAGATCTACTGTTTGACCCAGCAATCCCATTAATGGGTACATATCCAAAGGAATATAGATCATTATATCAAAAAGACACATACTTGCAAATTTATTGCCATGCTATTCACAATAGCAAAGAGATGGAATCAATGTAGGTGACGTCAATGGTGGATTGAATAAAGAAAATGTCGTACACACACAACATGAATACTACATAGCTGTGAAAAAGAATTAAATCATGTTCTTTGCAGCAACATGGATGGAGCTGGAGGCCATAATTCTAAGTGAATTAATATAGGAGCAGAAAACCAAATACCACATGTTCTCACTTATAACAGAGAGCTAAACATTCAGCACTCATGGACATAAACATGGGAACAATAGACACTGTGGACTACAGGAAAGTGGAGGAAGAAGTGGGAGATGGGTTGAAAAACTACCTACTTGGTACTTTGCTCACTACCTGAGGTCGATATACCCATGTAACTAACCTGCACATGTACCACCTATATCTAAAATAAAAGTTGAAAAAAAACCACAGCTATGCACAGAGTTGAAAAAAAATTTTGTGTCAAAATTAACTTGTACTAACTTATAACACTGAACAGAATCTAGTTTGAGGTACTAAGAAAGATAAGACATGAGTTTGAAAAGAGCTCCTATCAGAACAGCATGACTTCTTCGAAAATTGAAGAAAGAACAAACACCAGACTTATTGTGAAGCTTGGGTGGAAGAAAGAATGGTAAAATCATTGATCCTTTATGAAAAGTTTATGGGGATAATACCCCAAAGAAATCAGCAGTTTATAAATGGATAACTCATTTTAAAAAGGGATGAGATGATGTTGAAGATGAAGCTCACAATGTCAGACCATCCACATAAAGTTTCCAGGAAAAAATTAATCTTGTTTGTGCCCTAATTGAAGAGGATTGATGATTAACAGCAGAAAAAATAGCCAACACAATAGACATCTCAACTGGTGTGGCTTACACAGTTCTGACTGAAAAAGTTGAGCAAACTTTCCACATGATGGGTAGAGAACTGTTCCACCCAGACCAGCTGCAGACAAGAGCAGAGCTTTCAATGGAACTTTTAAATAAGTGGGATCAATTTCCTACAGCACTGGTTCCAAGAATTGTAACAAGAGATGAAACATGGCTTTACCAGCACAATCCTGAAGCTAAAGCACAACCAGAGCAATGACTATCAAACGTTAGAGGTGGTCCAGTCAAAGCCAGAGCAGATCAATCAAGAGCAAAGGTCATGACAACAGTTTTTTGAGATGCTCAAGGCATTTTGCTTGTTGACCTTCTGGAGGACCAACGAATGATAACTTCTGCATATTATGAGAGTGTTTTGGGAAAGTGATCCCAAGCTTCAGCAGAAAAACCCCCAGGAAAGCTTCACTGGAGTCTTTCTCTACCGCGACAATACTCCTGCTCCTTCCTCTCATCAAACAAAGGAAATTTTGCAAGAATTTTGATGGAAAATCATAAGGTATCCACCTTACAGTTTTTATTTGATGCTTTCTTACTTATTTTGTTTCCTAATCTTAAAAAAAACTTTAAAGGGAACCAATTTTTCTTCAGTTTATAATGTAAAAAGTCTTCATTGCCATGGCTAAATTCTCAGGACCTTCAGTTCTTCAGGGATGGACTAAATGGCTGATATCGCTTATAAAAGTGTCTTAAACTTGATGGAACTTATGTTGAGAAATAAAGCTTATAGTTTTAATTTTTATCTTCTAATTCTATTATTCTATAACCTTTTTGAAGTTCCTTGTATTTGGAGTACTAGAAGTGCTTCATGATGCCTGTAGCATTCGTTGCATGTGTATGTGGATGAGGGCGCATACACACACACACACACGAGCTGAAGGTGAATCCATACATGTATATGTGCATGAGGGTACACACACACACACACACACACACACACACACGAGCTGAAAGTGCATCCATGCATGTATATGTGCATGAGAGTGCACACACACACACACAAGCTGAAAGTGCATCCATGCATGTATATGTGCATGAGGGTGTACACACACTGACACACAAACACAAACACAAGCTGAAAATGCTTGGAGTTGTATGTCCTCCAGGAAGTCATGGGCTTTCATAGCCTTATGTGATGAGGGCTTTGAAAGTCGAGCTCCCTTACCTTCAGCTGAGACAAACTTTATACCCCAGAGCTGCCCTGAGAATCTGGCAAAGCCTGGGACTTGGCTTGTCCTCTTCCCCTTTCCTGTCCTGCTTCCTCATTCTTTTCCTGGTTTCTCTGGGAGCAGTTTCTTAATAAATCACTAGCACAGAAATCTCCCTCTCATGTTTACTTTTGGGGAATCTGATTAAGAGAGCTGGGTATATTGGAGCTTACCCTGAGTCAATGAACAGTAGCACAAGACAGTACATCTGAATGAGTCTGAACTACAATTTCAGGTTTTCTTCTTTGTGGTTTTATTTGGAGTATCACAGAAAATTTGTGAAATGTGCCAGACATAGTTGTGCTCCCAACTCACAGATGGGAAACAAAGGGCCAAATGACTTGCTCCAGCTTGTGGAGCAATCACGGCCCGGGATGCCTGTTCTTCAATGTTTCATCTTGTGCTCGCTCCGCTTCACTGTTCAGCTTCTTCAAGTTAGAGCTTTTGTTCTCTCCCAGCGCCCCCATGAGGCACTGAAAGAAAACTAGGTCCCTTTTAGCTTCTCGACCCTGTACTGTCCAAAATAACAGCCCCTAACCCCATGTGGTTATTTAAATGTAAATAAAGTTAAAAACTCAGTTCCTCAGTCAGACTAGCCACATTTCAAGTGATGAATACTCACAACCTTGCAGAAAGTTCTTTGGATAGTGCTGTCTTAGACCCTTTACTCTTCAGAAGTTTCAAGTATTTTTCTCTTTGCGTGTATCTGCTAACTTGATATGTTTTTCTTTTTTTAAAACAATCTTGGGACCAACATCAGGGTGATTGCTACCTTGAATTCACCATTACAGGCATCTGAATCTGCATAAACACATGCTAGATGGGCTTTGGGTAAAAGAGAAGGGGAGTGGCCACAAATACACATGTAATTAGGAAAGAAAATTTCATAAGGACTCCATTTTTCTCTCCCTGAAATACTAGTGAAATAATTCCTGCTTTTGCCTACCACACAGATGTAGAATTGAGGTGAAATTATAGAAATAAATTAGAGCACCGAGAATGAATTAGAACAATTCTAAAACTTATCTTTGAGCTTATTTATGTAGGCATAATGTAAGTATATGGGATCATTAGATTTTAATTAAATGTTATATGTTAATTAACAGAAGACTGCTATTTTCTACAAAATGAAGAATACATTTTTTAAACAGTAATAAAAAGATTTAGAAAAAAATGACAAACTTATGATTTTAATCTTTGAATATGTATTATCAACGAAGACAGTCAATTTTTTTGTGCTCTGGAGTAGAGTGAAAAAAACAACAGCATCAAACAATGGTAAAGAAGTGAAATGATAGGGATCATAAAATTCGGCAGGATGGTGACGCTTGCTGTGAGAATTTGAAGGCTGCCATATACCACCGGAGGCTGAGGAGGCTTTGTGAGGTGATGGGAAGAATTAGAGAAGCTGCAAGTGGTAGGCATTTTTGGAAATGGAATTAAATTTAGAAACCAGTGTTTTTACAATTTAAGGCTAGAATGAAAATAAATTGTTTATGCAAAATTTAAATAGAAGTTCTTTCTTTCCTCTTTATAAGTACTTTTAAAGCAAGAGACACTCGAATTGATAGCAATAGAACAGAAAGAAAACATTACATATTTTGGAAAAAAATTAAAGATTTGTTTTCAGAAAGCCCACATTACCTGCCAAAATTTCCAATATGTAATTTCAACTATAGAGATAGAGATTTATCTTTTGGGCAAATTACTTTTTTCTAAGGCTTGGCAAATATTGCACAATAAGTCACAAAATGCTAAGATGAATGAAGGTAATTGAAATCACATTTCTCAGTATAATCACATACTCAGTTGAGTATAATGCTGGATAATGAGGACACACACACAAAATATGTATATGATGAAAAAAATCTTCATGTTTGTTAACATTTTAGTTTCAATGAGATGGACTCACTTGTTTATTTACTTTTAAATTTGATTTAATGAGGTTTTAAAAAGGATTGATTTAATGAGATTACTCAACTATTCCATCTAAGTAAATTTGAGACCTAAAAGTGCTAATGACACCAGATGTCACTCTCAATTTTAAAAAGTAAGATCAAGACTTCCGTAGGTAAAAGAAAAATAGTTACTGGGGAATTATTTTATATTATTTAAAAGAAAGGGCGCTATTAAGAGAAAGCGTAGCTATGTCTACTGAAAGGAATAAGAGAACATGAGAAAGCTAAATTGTTCTGCATAAAAAGGCCAAGGGGGCTGGGGGGATGGGGAAAGAGGAGAGGCATTACCTCTGATGATTCAGGAGGTAGGAAAGGTGCCTCTAAGCCATATAGAGAAAGGATGAAGAGGTAGGTGGCAGCTAGAGAGGAGAATTGGAGATGGGAGGTGTTCCGTCATTCAGTGTTGCATACAAATTACCCCCAAACTTAGTGACATAAAATGAAAATGTACTATATTCACAGATTCTGTGAGTCAGGAGTTCTTAGATTTGTTTGGGCAGTCTCTCATGTAGTTGCAGTCATATGCTGGTTGGGGCTTCACACACCCGAAAATTTGATGAGGGTGCTGGAGAACTCACTAGCATAGCTGGTAAGTTAGTACTGGCTGTTGACTCGAGGCCTCAGTTCTCCACGTGGGCCGCTGCATGGAGCTGCTTGAGTGTCCACATAACACAATAACTGGCTTTTCCCAAAGCAAGCAATCCAAGAGGGCAAGTTGGAAGCCATGCTTCCACTATATACTCTTGATCACTCAGAGCCAGTGCTGATTCAGTATAGGAGGAGATTACTCAAGGTCATAAAAATCAGGAAACATGGATCAGTGGGGTCCATCCTGGAGGCTAGCCACGACAGAGCAAGGCCACAGATATATTTATTAGAAATTTGAAAAGTATTTTTACACATAATGTGCCATTAACCATTCCTCAGCCTCCTCACTCAATTTTCAGTAAATCTAATACACTCATTAATGTTTTGTGGAGTTGGATTTGCTCCTGAGGTCTGCTTTAAGTGGGCTTGAGACAAGAGGAGAGGACATCTACAGTTTTGGACACATCTGAGTTAAGTACATATTTTGACATTTTTCCCAAATGAAGCAGGGAGTCTCTGAATTACGTTATAAAAACTCCTGTAAAAGTGATAGGAATATCTAAGGTTTCTTTTTCTATTCTTCTTGCAAGTGACAGATTACTCTCATTTTGTCACCACAATTACAGTGAGAACATCTAATTATTTTCCTTCCCCTAGGCAATGTATACCTCAGGGTGAAGAGAATAGCTTTCTTCTATATTTGACCTTTTATATTGGCTTGAGACCAAAAAAGTTCATGTGGGAGATTCCACCTAGTCCGATTTTTGCCATATACACATCCTCAGAGGGTCACTTAAAACTCTTTCCTTCCATGCAAGAGCACTTTCCCTCCCACCTCTCTTTTCCTGATACCTTGACAAGGAGAAACAAGAGCCATGAGGATCCAGAATGAGAAATAGGAAGACTTAGGGAGGAAATGTCCTAATCCACAGTCTTCTGGGAAGTCAGAACTTCTCTTTTCAGTTCAGCTCATCTTCTGTTTCACAGGGAGAATGATTAGTCCTGAAGAATTAACTGTTCATCAAAAATAAAATCAAGTAAAAACGAAGGTAAAGGAAATTGACTCTTTACCATTGTGGAAAGGGCTGAAGATCTGTCATTCCTATTTCAGATTTAGTCAGAGAGAATTTGGGTAAGCATTGGCTTTCATAAATGCACTTCATGGCACACAGCTCCATGAATGTTCTCTCACAAATCGTCAGTGTGAATCAATGTAATACTCAATAACATTTCCCTTTGGAACCTGTTTTAAAAGAGCTATTATTGTGATGGCAAGAATATGCTAAGCACACAGACTATTATCCATTTGATTTTCTGCTGAAGAGAATTACTGCAAAGGTACCAAAGCAGTTTGATTATCACAGGGAGAGTTTTTATTTTCAGCTTTTTCAAGCTGTGTATTGAGTTGCTTTGCTTTCATTTAAACATTACATTCTATAATTAATTTACAATACACTCAGGGAAAAGACTCCTTGGTGTAAAGCAAAAAGCTACAAAAAAGTAGAAGATTTAATTCCCTCAAAGGCTTCAAATTAAATTTCAATTCAATGCAATTAACATTTATTGAATGTCTGCAGGGATCATAGCACTGTGTGGGTACTAGAATTCAAACTATGCAGAAGTTCAAGAGGGTTTCAAAGTTAATTTTATAAATATAGGTAGAGAAAAATCAGAATCATTTAAACTATATTCTTTTTGAAGTCTAGATTTCCTTTGACAGATTCTCAAAATGGTGTGTAATCTGATTGGGAGTTCCCTTGGAATACGGCAAAGAGCACAAAAAACATTCTTTCTTGAGTCTTAAATTTGGAGTAAATAAATTTTTATTACTACCTCAAGAAATGGCTTAAATGATAGAAGAAACTAGTTTAAAATATTTTAACTAAAATTAGTGAATGATAGTGTTGCTTTCAGAAAGATACCATAAAATAAAAAGACTCCTGTTATACATGGAATTTAACATTTCAGATTTGGAACGTATTTACTCTTTAAGTGTCATTCAAAAAATAACAAGTAGTAGTCTGGTTATCACCAGGAACTAGGAATAATTTGGAAAGAGAGTAGAGATACTTTTAGAACTGCTGGAATTTTTCAAAAGACCTACCAAAATCTAGCAAAAGAAGTACATCAAAATTTCTCCAGAGCCCTCCTTACCTAAGAATGTTTCATATATCTGCCAGCCCTTTTCCTGCAAAAGTCAAAGATGGGTCTAGATACAAAGCAGATGCAATGAGTTCCTTTCTTAGGATCAAAAACCACACCTCATCTGCAGACGAGATCCTGAACACAAAAACACTGTTTCTTTGTCTATGTTTTATTATCAATTTGTCCTGTTTATCCTGTGAGATTCTTTCTTAAAATTTTGTTAATGTGATTCTATGCAGCCATAAAAAAGAATGAGATCATGTATTTTGCAGGGACAGGAATGGAGCTGGAGGCCTTTACTCTTAGCAGACTAATGCAGGAACAGAAAACCAAATACCACATGTTCTCACTTATAAGTGGCAGCTAACCGATGAGACCCTGTGGACACAAAGAGGGGAATAACGCACATTGGGGCCTATTGGAGGAGGGAGGGTGGGAGAAGGGAGAGGATCAGGAAAAATAACTAGTGGGTGCTAGGCTTAATACCTGGGTGATGAAGTAATCTGTACAACAAACTCTCATGACACAAGTTTACCTATGTAACAAACCCACACATGTACCCTTAAACTTAAACTAAAAGTTAAAAAAAATTAATTTAATTCTGAGTCAGTACTGTTTACTGAAAAGTACTTCCTTTCCCCCTGCCCTATGGTGGAAACTGCCACCACTTTCGTTGTATATTAGCCAACTGTATATTTGTGAGTCTGTTTCTGCACTCTATTTTGTGTCATTTTTCTATTTGTCTATCCTTGCATCCATTCCATTTTAACTGTTATTTGTTGACCCTTGCAATCTGAAAATCCTCTAACTTTATTTTTCTTTTAAGTTTGTTTTGGGTATTCTTAAGAGTTTTTATGTCCATACAAGTTTTAGTTCAACATCAGCTTGTTAATATCAACAATTGAAAACAATAGCAACAACAATAACAACAACAACAACCAAAGCCAAAAACCAACCAACCAGACAAATAAACCTCTTGGGATTTTATTTGAAATTGCATTTAATCTATGGAGCAATTTGAGGAGATCTGAAGCTTTACAGTATTGAGTTTTCTAGTATGCAGGCGTGGTGCATTTTATCATTTATATGGGTAGCTTTAATTTCTCTTATAAATGCTTTCCAGATAGAAGTCTTGTGTAAGTTGCATTAGATTTATTCCTGTATTTGACTGATAGTTTTGAAGCTATTATAAAGGGTAGAAGTAAAAAAAAATCCAGTTGTTTGTTGCTAGCGTGTAGAAATACAGTTGATTTTGTATATTGATTTTGTATCTAGAGACATTTAAAAATCACTTATTTGTTCTAATATTTCACCTGTAGACTCTGCTGGATTTTCTAAGTACAAAACTAGGTTGTGTGCAAATAATGGTAGTCATGGTTTTTCCCTTAAAATCTTTATAGTGTTTCTTTCATTTGCATTACTGTACTAGCTAGGATATACAGATCAAAATCGAATAGATGAGGTAAAAGCAAACATCTCTGTATCGTTCTTGATTTCCGGGAGAATGATTTTAATGCTTTACCATTAAGTATGGTATTTGCTATAAGGGTTTTTGTAGATAAGGATTGATTTTTATTATATCTATTTTAGTTGTTAATAATTGTTAATCGTTGTTTCATTTCTTTTTCTTTAGCCTACTTTCTTTCAGCCTGAGACTGAGTCCTCCTACACCCTCCAACAGCTTTGTAAACAGTTTTGTAAAATGCCTCTTGATTTTCCACACTGTCAAATCTGCCAGTTAATCAGATCCATTCCTTTTTTTCCTTTTCTGGAGACATGTAGATTGTTTGCACTCCACCTGGGTGCTTCTAGGACTCCCTTTGCCATCATTCTGGGAATTCCAGTTGCCTTTTTCTGATTTCCAGGGGCTGTTCTTGGTTCCTTAATTTTCTTTCTTCTTGGCTTCTTCCCATGTTTCCGTGGTAAACAACTTTAGCCATTTCCTTTGGGCACCCGAGCTCACAGTGCAGCATGGAGCATCAGGGTAGGTCTGTGGGAGACTGATTTGAGAAAACTCAAATGAGCAGAGGGGCTTTAGGACAGAAAGTGAGGAGGGGAAAATGGGAAGAAACAGCTGCTATGCTTCAATCCATGACAATAATGAGGCCATTTTGAGTAACACAAAATTTGGTCAATACCATATCTAAGAATGTATTTTCCATACCATTTATCAAAATGGCTAAAGCACATTAAAAAAATTCAAGTAAAATATTCACAGAATTCCTGAAAACCACTAAGATTTATTAAAATTTGAAATTAATTACCAAAGATTCCAATGAACTTTTCTGTAAATAATTAATATTCATTCAATAAATATTAAAAAATATTCAATATTTTTATATGCTCCTAGATGTTTGAAATGCATAATTGAACAAAATAGACAAATCTCTGCTTTCATGGGGGAAGATAGGCAATAAACATAGTAAGTTACTTTGTAGCATAATAGAAAGTGATAAGAGATGTAGAAAGGATATGGATGACTAGGAGTCCTGGGCAGGATGAAAAGTGCAATTTTAAATAAGGTTGTCAGAGTAGGCTTCATGGAGAAGGTGGTATTTGAGCAGAGATTTGAAGAGGAGCACTGCAGGCAGAGAAAATAGCCAATGCAAAGGCCCAAAGGTGGGCACATATCTGGCATGTTCAGCAACATGGGGGGCCAGTGTGGCTGAAGTAGAGTGAATGAGAGAGAGCATAACAAGAGGTTAGGTCAGAGAGATGATGAGGGCTAAGCCATGTTGAACCACACTGGCCATCATAGTACTTGGGCACTCACTCAGAATGAATATAGGAGCCCTCAGTAGCATAGATTTGGAGCAGAGTGACATGATCTGGCTTGTATTTTGAAGCAATCACTTAGGGGTGGTGTTGAGAAGAGGCTGTAGGGGCCAAGGACAGGAGGAGGAAGGCCAGGCAGAAGCTACTGAAGTGATTCTGGCTGGTGGCTCCAATCAAAATGGCAGCAGTGCAAGTGGCAGTGCAGGTAGTGAGAAGTGAACATCATCACTGCTGGGTAACACTGCCCTAAAACCAAAGTGGCTTAAAATAATTTATTATCCTCATTCTGTGGGCTGGCCAAGTGGTTCTTCTGATGGTTTCTTCTGGACTCATTCATGTGGCTGCATCTGCGGCAAGGCTGGCTCCCTCACATGGCCAGGGGACCTTGGTTCTCCTTCATCCAGCCTCCAGCCTTTCATCCCCCAGTGCTAGGCCAGCCTCCTTATGTGGTGGCCTTAGGGAGTATTCCAAGAGAGGGAGTGGGGATGCTACAAAGTACCTACCTTGAAGTCACATAATATCATTTCTGCCACATTCTACGTTTTTAAACCAAGTCACAAGGGCAGTTTAGATATAAGTGGTGAGGGAAATAGACTCCATGTCATGATGGGAGGAATAGCAAAGTTAATTGCAAAGGAACCTGCATCCTGGGGTAGGAGGAGTTTGTATCCAATTTTTTAATCCACCAAAGAAGTACTTAGCATGCTCTTTTTTTTTGTTTTTTTTTTTTTTTTTTTTTTTTTTTTTTTTTTTTAGACAGGGTCTTACTCTGTCACTCAGGCACAATCATAGCTCACTGGAGCCTCAAACATCAGGGCTCATGTTGTTTTCCTGCCTCAGGGGCTCCTGAGTAGCTGGGACTATAGGCATGTACCACCATGCCCAGCTAATCAGTTAATTTGTCAGTTTTTTGTTTTTTTAAAGAAGGGGTATTTTTATATTGCCTAGGGTGATCTTGAACCCCTGGGCTCAAGGGATCCTCCTGCCTCAGCCTCCCAAAGTGTTGGGATTATACTTTGTAAGCCCAAAGTGTGAGCCATCATGTCCAGCCAAAAAGTATTCAGTATTTTGAGAGTATAAGTTGGATATGTGATGTGAGAGAAAGAGAGGAATCAGGGATGACTTTGAGATTTCTGGCTTAAGCAACTGGCAAGTAGGAGTTTTTAATCAACTGAGGTGGGGAAGACTGTGGGTAGACTAAGTTTTGGGTGAGAAGAGCAGGATTCAGTCAGGGGAACGGAAGGGCAGGCTCTCTGTACCAGCACTCAGTATGCAGTTTCATATCAAGTCAAAGGCTGTCTGAGACCAACACTGGTCTTTGAGAGTGGGAAGTTCAAGCAAGCAGAAGATGACAAGTAGGTGTCGCTGGCTCTAATGGAAGATGGGCAAGAGAAGGCCTCTACATTCTAGAAAGTGAACTTGCTATGTGGTTTGCCTGGCAACGGACAGGGTGAGGTAAATAATGCCACAGAAGTTCCAGGATGAAGGATTACAAGAGGTTTGTAAGAAAACTCCAGGGGTACAGTGGTTCAGAAATGGACATAACAGCCTAGAGGAAGACCTGGGAGAAGCCCTTGAATAACCATTGGTCCATTGTGCATCTAGGGTCCTTAACAAAAAGATAAAAGACAAGTGTATAATATGTTGGAAAAAAAATTTCCCATTCCCACACAGGTAAGTGTCTACAGCAAAGCTATCCCTGGGTCTTGTAAATGTGGAATATGGCCCACAATTTAAAGTCAGCTTCTTTTTTTTTGAGTGAGGAAAAATCTCATAAGGAAATGCCTGATCCTTCTTTAGGCATAAAAAGAGCATGATTCACACCCAAGGAAGAGAATGTTGGGGGGAGTGCACCCACGCTGTGTGAAACTTCATTGTCATGCCTCTGTGTGAGGGTGTGTGGATACAGTGTCTGGGTGTATTTGCACACACATTTATTTCGGCAAATATTGGTAACTGCCTGATTGACCTTTCTTTAGGGCAAGGACTCAGATGGTTAGGAGGGAGAAACAGGTTGCTCCTCAGGCTGGTGCACATTCTTGGCTACATTTTACAAATAAGCTGTAAAAGATGGAATATATTTGCTGGCTGGTTTGACAGTCTACCCAGAGGTAGGAGGATGGACTCTATGACCTTTGAAAGTCAATTTTCATCCCAAGATTTCATGTTCCAATTATGGCTGATAGACTATTTAAATAAATGATGGTTTTTCTATTAGGAAAGAAAATTGACTGGAATTCATTCTATTTGAGCCACAAAAATTTGAAAATAGGTCAACTCTTAATTACCCAGGGTGATATAATAGGGAACATCTTGGATGGATTATCCCAAACCACAGGTAATTAACAAAATGTGCAAATTAGGCACTGATTCATAGCATTCATTAAAATTTACATTTAAACTACTACTTAAGCAGCATAGATTTATAGATGAGCAACTCAACATGGTAAAAATAATTTTAAGATGAATATACGCATTTTAAATAAAATGTAGAGTTGAAGATATTGCCAAAAGACTGGACAATCTGAAATATTTTCATACTCTAAAATTCAGAACATTTACCTAGTGCTGCATAAGACATTTGGCAGATTTAAAAAAATCTCATTTTTATAAAAGGCAAGGGAGAGATCAACAGAGGTTTTTCACCCCCTGGAAACTCCTGTGCCCGCCCAATGCTGGACCCTTCCCTTTGTGCTGGTGTTCAGGCCCACAAAGCCACCTCTTTCTCTCCCCGACACACTTCTGTGAAAAATGTTGACAGAAGAACAAAGACTAGGGTGAGTCAGGAAGTGAGAAAAAGAAACTAGAGACAGGAATAATTATAGCACAATCCTTAACCGATTATGGAAACCAAAATTTTAGTGCCATTTCTATCTTACCCAAGGAAAACAATGAAATGAACTTTACTAAAATTTAATATGGGTTAGCACATAACACATACATTTATATATAAATTTACATACATTGGCTGCGGATATTAAACCCTGGCTCACATAATCTTGGTCTTCCTTTGTACTCTATTGTATGGCATCCAGTCGTGCACAGGTGTGATCTGTCAGCCTCAAGCTTCAGCTCCTCCATATCTCTATCATCTATTATTCTTTCTCTACCTCTGTCCAGCCATGCTCAAGCATGCACAAATATGGAAGTGTGAGAAACTTGACTCAATGGGAGCTGAGAGCCAATGGATAAATACTTAACCTTTCCCATGTCCTGGATGAACAATTCTAAAGTGCATTCTACATGGTTCTTCAGAGGGACCTCATTGGCCCTTATTGGCCCTTAATAGTAACCAGCCCAATTATGTCCCCTTTGAATTGGCCTCTGCCCTTCCCTGTTTTCCCTTTTCCAGCCCCTACTATCCTGTTCTCCTTGGTAGGATTATTCCTGCAAATAAACTCCCTTTATGGAAGCCATTGTCTTAGACTCTTTTTGAGTCTTAGACTCTGTTTTTTTGAGGAAGAAACCAGGCTATGCAAGATTTATACTAAAACATCTTTATGAAAGGGTATAAGACAAATATTTTTGAGACTACTAATCTAAAGCATTGATTGTCAATGTATTTGTAAAAAATAAGCCCACAATATACTAATATTTGTATATGTGGCAAGCTATGTGCCACACATGTGCTGTTTTTATGAGCACATTAGGTATACCTCTACCCCCTTTTCTCCCACCCCATGCAGCATATTGACACAAATCAGAAAGAGTACTTCTATTATGGGGATGTTCTTACATTTACTCAAAGTTATAAATAAAGCTAATCAAGTGTAGGCTGTAGTACTTTATTATTAATACCAAATTTCTTTGAAGGCCTGGTAACTAATTGTGATTCAGAATGTTTTAGGTGGGATGCTTTGGTTGAAATCTCTAAAGCAAACAGATTCAGGTTTAGAAAGTGGAACTCGATGCTAACAACTATTTTTCATACTTAAGCAACTTCTCAAGTTATTTACTTATAAGCTATACATATAACTTTACATCTTTATGTAAGAGATTACATACAACTTTTTGCCATCTTAGTCCTTGCTCAAAAACAGCTCAGAGGTTTCCTTCATATATGCCAAGAAAATTAAAAAATTAAGAGTAAGTTAAGAAAACAGCTCAGGGGTGTTATGAGAAGGGTACTTTACCTCTTTAGCATTTTTCATCAAAATTTGTAACTTCAGTCTAATGAGAAAATATCAGACAATCCAAATTGAGGAGCATTCTACAAAATGTCCAGTACTCTTCAAAAGTGTCAAGATCCCCCAAAACAAGACAAGACTAAACAAGACAAGACTAAAAAACTGTCATAGATCAGAGAAGAATGGAGAGACCTGGTGACTAAATGCTTTGGGCTATCCTGGATTGGATTCTAGAATAGCAAATAAGGTGAGTGGGAAAAGTGGTGAAATACAAATAAAGTCTATAGTTTAGTTCAGCATTGTTTAGTATTGTGCTAATATTAATTTCTTAATTTTCAAAAATGCAGCATGGTTTTATAAGTACTAACATCATGGGAAGCTGGGAGAAGGGTATAGGGAAATACTCTGTACTATCTTTGTAACTTTCCTGGAAATCTAAAATTATTTCAAAGATTAAAATGGAAATATATTTTAAAATAATGTCCAATTTAAAACTAACAAACAAAGCAACTCATGTAGACAACTCTGGTTAATTTGGGCAGACTCTTGCCTGTAAGTCTTAATTAGGAAATACTTAAGGAGACATGGTCTATAAAAGCAGAAGTGTGTGTATGGAGAAGTGATGTCTACTCAGTCAGAAGAAAGTGCTCCCCTGAGATTTACAGAGCCTATTTGTACCATGAAGACCCAAAGTCTACTTTTTTCTCATTTAGGGCATTTTTGGTACAGAATTATCTAATCACTTCAAGATGCCACTTGGCACAGCCAATAAATCCAGCTCTCTTTCTTCAGGGGGTTAAGTGGTAGCTCATAATTTTTTTTGCAATTATTTTTCTATTAGCAACTTTCAGTAAATACTTTTGTAATTGCCCATGAGTTGTCAAGCACTCATGAGATGAAGTTCCAACTCTACAGATGAAAGCCCTGTTTTTGAATCAAGCACTTCATGAGTAAGGATTTCACAAAGCTGCAAAATCTGCTCTTGAGAACCCCTGACAACTAAATATTCCATGGCTTCCACTGATAATCATGCTGTCAGTTAAGTATTTTGCTTTTTTTAAACAGCTGGGTATATTTTTTTCTCTATGAAATTCTGTGAAGAGAGTTTGATGTAGCAAATTTTTTTTTTTAAAAGGCTTGTCATATACCAGGAGGTATCAACAATCACCAAGCTCTCGTGCATTAACTACCTGTTTCACCTCCATTGAGGATATGTCTCAGGTCAATAATTGGATCTATGGTGAGTTATACCAGCTGCATTTTTGGATTCATTTTTATATTTAACCCAAATATATGCTTAAACATTTTTGGTCATTTTTAACAATCATAAAAAGCAACATTCTGAATCATAAAGTTATCTTTAATCAAAAACTAAACTTGGTTCAAATAAAATGTATTTCCATTTTAATCCTTTTCTTAGAAACCTGGCTGTGATAAATACCAAGGAATTCTATGCCAGTTCACAGCAGTAAGAGTGCAGAAGTGCCAGGTTAGTACAACATGATCATTATGTTATATGACTAGATGTGTGTAAACAGATCCATCAAAATCTGTCTGTCCTTTGGTAGGTGACAAAATTAGATCAGGAGACCTGGCATCTATCCCAGATGATTTCCTTTTCTTTCTCTATCATAAACTTGATATTGAAGCTTGAATGGATCTTGATTTTGGACAATTAAAAAATGAAATTGTGGGGAGAAGGAAAATCTTTCAACTTTGAATTCAGACAGATCCAACAGTGAACCAAAAAAACACTTACAATTTTGCCTATTATAACTTGCATTTTTAACATCTAATGGGCACTTAAAATTCATGAATTTAAATTTGTCATTTTGACTAATGGAAGGCCAGAGCAGAACTGCTGTTTTTGAGTACATCACATGAGTGGCAACCTAGATTTGCACAACACAATGCTACTGCCCCAAAGCTCACGTCTCTCACATTTTATCAATGTGTTGAGGGATACCTTGGAGTCATGGGTTTTTAGGATGGTATGCAAGTTGACACCCTTTTGGCTGGTGAATATGCCATGCTTGCCACCCAGCAACTACATCTCAATTGACTTGTTATATATGCAGACAATATATTCGTAGATTATAAAAGTAAATCTACAGAGAAATCTGAATCTGATTATAGTAGTGATGGAAGAGAAGATAAAGTTAATAAGCTGGAGGAAAAAAATGTAAAAATCAATTTTTCAGGTGTGTGAAAATCTCAGTTTTATGCCTGTCAAATGTCAGGAACTTCAGAACATAAAATTGCAGCATGTCATTCCCTTTATTATCTAAGAAGGTAATCAGTCCATTAGTAAACATATCTTCAACAACTATTTTTTGTTTTAGCATGATTCTTGAGGCTTAAGACAAGTGAAAGAATGACCAGAGATGATATCAATCATCAGTTCTTCAAACCTTTTTGAGAAGACAAAAGGAGCCTAGAGGAGACAGGAACAGTAACAGTGTTGTTATAAAAGCCTGTCTAGAAAAAAAAGAGCACTGATTGGGAGTCAGGAGAAGCAAATTTAAGTTCCAGCTCTTACAATAATTTTTCTCCACTACCTTCCAGAAGCTGATGTGCCCAAGAACTGAGCCCAAGTCTTAGCACAAGATCTCCATCCATCAAATAACTGTAATTTATCACCCAGACTGAGACATTTCTGAGAGTGAAAGGGAGCTTCATGAGTAATTATTCCAGAACAACTGGAGTATATTGGGACTGTCTTAGACAAACTAAAAGGCAAAGTCATTCTACTGCCATTCTACTCCCAAACTTCTAGACTCTGGCTGATTCTCTCCACAGACCTCTTCCCGGTGAAAATATCCTCCTCTTTGTAGCATATTTGTACTTCTACTGAATGATAAATGATTATATGCATTCCTTGTTTTTATGTAAGAAAATACAGTTTCCTGATATTGTTTGAGAATTTTAGAAATTATGTCCTCATTTTGGTATTTTAATCCATTAATGGGAAATTTCAGACTGGAAGAAAGAAAACCAGTAACCCTAGGGAGATATTTTTATCTATACCAGTACTTTTGGTCACTTTCAAGTCTCCTGCCTAGGCAGCTGTCTGATCAGCCCATTTAAAACAATCACTGAGATAAGTACTAATAAAATGAATTCAAGAAAATTGCTTTTTAGATGTTAAGTTGATAAGAATATATGCCTATTAATAAGTACCTCTGTGCTTACTCTGCACAGGGTTATGGTATGTACAATTTGTGCACATGGCATATATATGATCAATGAAAACATGAAACTTGTTTTAACAAAATCAGTAACAGGGAGTAACATACGCCAAATGTGTGTTGGAGAAAACAAGAACCACGGGACCCAGAAAAGGAGAGAAATTGAATTTGACATGTACCAGGAAGGTGGATGGAGCTTATACGGGTGGTGTGTATGTAGGGCAGCTGGCGGGTGGCGGGTGGGGGGTAGGTTCGGAGCATGCTGGCGGGAGGACAACCAGATTGTCTTTTAGTCTGCCAATGGTGACATAAAAAAATTCTGCTCTTTAAATTTGGCTGACCAAATTCTATAAGATTTGAATCACATTTTCCCATCAGAAACTAATTCACATCACACCGAACTGTGAAAGTTCAATCTGCAAGACAGATTTGATTTAACAGTCCATGCATTCCACTTGTGTGTGTGTGACGTTATTGAAGTAGGTGTGCTCTAAAGGCATTTTGTAGAAATGCCTTTGTCTAAACGGTGCTTAGGCACAACACGAGTGGCCTTGATGATGTACTTTACGCTAAGGTAAATGTGTAGAGAAGCCTCACGTGTGAATGCGTCGTAGTAAATCCACAGCAGACTGCAGATTTATGGATATCGTTATTCCGTTGTACAGACGGCACCTCCATTGAATTTAATGAGCTGAACTAGGTGAAAAGTTCATTCTAATCTCCTGGTGCCTGGAACTCAAGCACTCCCTGAAATCACAGAACATATGCCTTCTCTTGTTTTAAAAACTGAAGGTGACTTTCTGATAAACAAGTCTCTCTTGAGGGTAATGACATAGGAAGTTATTTTGAAGACGTTTCCTTCAGTGTCTTGACTGAATATTAACCTACAACAGCTACCTGTTGCAAAGCTGAGAGGTGATTTGTCAAATTTAAGATCGATGGCAGATTTGCTTTAATTGATTTTTGTTCCCTAGAGTGAGTTTACTACTTTGAGAATGGCTTAGATTCTCTCACCTATGTTTCCTTTGCTATTCAGAATAAGCATTAGCAAGTGATTTCTCTTCTGCAGTCTTTTACATGGTAATTCTGAACTAATTCTAACATGTTTATCGTAATTAGGTTAAATGTTTATGAAAGACGTCTACAAAACTAACCTGATGTTCCCTCCATATTTAAAAAACACTCAACAATGAATTTAGGTAAAGAAGACTTTTTTGAGACAGTCTCGCTCTGTCACCCAGGCTGGAGTGCAGTGGCGGGATCTCGGCTCACTGCAAGCTCCGCCTCCCGGGTTCACGCCATTCTCCTGCCTCAGCCTCCCAAGTAGCTGGGACTACAGGCGCCCGCCACCACACCCGGCTAATTTTTTTGTATTTTTTGGTAGAGATGGGGTTTCACCGTGTTAGCCAGGATGGTCTCTATCTCCTGACCTCATGATCCGCCCGCCTCGGCCTCCCAAAATGCTGGGATTACAGGCGTGAGTCACCGCACCCGGCCTTTTTTTTGACAGTCTTTCGCTCTGTCACCCAGGCTGGAGTGCATGATCTCGGCTCACTGCAACCTCCGCCTCTTGGGTTCAAGCGATTCTCCTGCCTCAGGCTCCGAAGTAATTGGGATTACAGGCACCAGCCACCATGCCCAGCTAATTTTTGTATTTTTAGTAGAGACAGAGTTTCTCCATGTTGGCCAGGCTGGTCTCGAACTCCTGACCTCGGGTGATCTGCCCACCTTGGCCTCCCAAAGTGCTGGGATTACAGGCGTGAACTACCATGCCTGATCAGAGAATACTTTTGTTGTTGTTATTGTTTGTTCTTGTTTTTTCCACTATCCTCCGCTAGAATAGAACTTTTAAGGTCTCTGATGGAAGCTTTGAATTCTCACAGTGCTGCATTCACACATGGGAAGCACATCAGTGAAGTGAAACAATGGGTATATCTCAATGGGGAGGCTCCTGGCATTTTGTGGGTGTGGGGGACATTTTGTGTGTATGTGCAAGTCTGTCTACCTTATTAAAGGACTTTTACAATCACTGGACCCTACACTGTAAATGCCAGGATCACACTCCAGTTACTGCAACCACCAAAAACATCCCAACACAGCTATCTAGCAACTCTTAAGGTATAACTCATTGCAGATGGTAAAAGGGCAGCTGCTACCTAGATGTAAGTAATTTCTAACTTGAACAGTTTATGTTTTCAAAGATGACTTTGTTAAGTCGAAATGTAGAACACATCACTCTATATGTAACGCAGAATATAAATGGCGACTATGTCTCCAGGCTGGTGACACCTGCCTGGCTTCCATGACCCCTATTCACAATCCCTACTTCAAGTTCTCAGACTAAGACAACTTAATTCCAATCTTTCAATCTCTTTCCCTCTTCCTAAAATAGGCTCTTCTTAAAGTCTCTTTGATCCAGGAGAATTTACGGTGCCATATTTCAGGAGTATATTGATTTCAGATCAGAGTTTTGCTTGATCAGAACTTGTTGTGGCTCTCACCGTATCCCCAGTGAGCTGGTTCTTTTCTTACATCCCAGTTACTGATGTAGTCTCTATCTGGGTCTCATTTGCTTTATGTCCTGCTTTACTTCTCTCTTTGCTGCCACTGCCAGACTCCCTGATGGTTGTTCTTCATGTCCCACGGCGCCACTTGTTTGCCGCTTTTGTGGAGCCTTTTTGTTATCAACACCTAATGGGGCATCTGATTATTCCTTCCTTCCAGGCTGAAGAGGCCATGTCCATCTGCTTATTGCAATTTCTTCCTGAAGATTGTTTTTGGGTGCTTTATCAATTGTCCACATTGTTCTGGGAGGTAGGTCTCTAGCTCCTGACTCTTTCCTAGGAAGGGCTTGCCTGAGCACCAAGCGTTAACAGCTATCTCACTCTACTGCAGACATGACCCAGCCCAAATCAGGAAACTGGATAAAAAACATGGAAACAATGCTGTTGCAGTATGGAAATTAAACGAAACTGGAAACAAATCGAATAAGAGTTTCTAAATCTTTAAATCTGATGCATAAAGTAGTCTTAATTAAAGTAAAAGAGGAGATAAATGAGAATTTACTTTAAAAATCTGAATTTTCTGAGCCTTTAAGGCAAGGTCTTTAGAAACTGGTGGCAATGACTTTTTATTATGGTTAATTTCCCTTCAGAACTTGTGAATTTACTGTTCCTTCATATGGAAATTTTAACACTACTCTTAGGCAGATCAGACATAATTAGGATAATTTTTTGCCACACAAGTGAAATGAAAAGATAGATTTCCCTATCCTTCCTACAAGATAATTGGGTAAAAAATGAAATAGTGAGCTAAATGAAGAAAAGTTTTAAAAATAAATGGGTGTGGGTAAGCAAAATGAACAGCTTGATGGGGAGATGGAAATAGCAGATAAGGCACCTTAATGCACCTTATTATTATTTTGTGGGTAAAATAATTTTGTCTTATTTGTTAAATAAGTCTGTATTTGCGAAATCAAAAGAGACAAAAAGATAACTACTGAAAAAAGTGAATCTTCCTCATACCTCTTTAATCCTGCTGACCCAGTTGCTTTCCCTAGGAGAAGAGTGTACATTGTGGATTTATTATGTATCTTTCCAGAGATACTATTAGTTTGTTTTTATTTCAATAGCTTTTGGGGTACAAGTGTTTTTCAGTTATATGGATGAATTGTACAGTGGTAAAGGCTGATATTTCAGTGTACCAGAGATATTCTATGAATAGGCAAGTGTTTGTATGTATACATGCATTAACACACACATACATATCTAAAAATCTGAATTACTTGGATAGATTTATGTGCAATTGGCACTGAAGTTGTGGAGGACCCGAAGGCTCTTGTCAAGAAGTTCAGTAAGATGGTTATGTCAGGCTTTATTAAAAACCTTTATTATTAGAAACATATTTTCTCTTTTTTTTTTTTGAGATGGAGGTTCACTCTATCGCCCAGGTTCGAGTGTAGTGGCGTAATCTCAGCTCACTGCAACCTCCACCTCCCAGGTTCAAGCAGCTCTCCCGCTTCAACCTCACAAGTAGCTGGGACCACAGGTGCCCACCACCACGCCTGGCTAATTTTTGTATTTTTGGTAGAGAGGGGGTTTCACCATGTTGGCCAGACTGGTCTCAAGGTCCTGACCTCAAGTGATCCACCTGCCTCGGCTTCCCAAAGTGCTGGGATTACAGGTGTGAGCCACTACACCCAGCTGAAACATATTTCTTTATAGTCTCATCTTTCAGTTGCAGCCATATGCCATCTTTAGTGTGGATAACATCAATAAAATGGTGGTTTGGTTGACCTTATCCACGTCTACTTGTTCCCTCTGAATGGATGGATGGCTATGATATGGTGCCTTGTGCTGTCCTTGGGCACAAATTTTCTAATATGTCCTGATCTAAAACAGTTTCCATCTATCTTGGAATGCAGTGGTTAACCTGGATTCTTCCTTCCCCATTACCCTGGACATTCTCTTCACTGTTCTGTTTGGTTGAAGGCATTTTTTCTTACATTTTATATTTTCTTCTTTCTTAGTTTGCTTCCTCATTTTGTTGGAACACATAACTACCAGTTACGTTTTGAGAAAGGGTATGTGACAAATAAATTTGAGATGTTGTACATCAGTAAATATCGTTAGTTTACTTTTCCACCTGATTGATAGTTTGACATGTATAGAATTCTATGTCGGAAGTAATTTCCTTTCAGAATTTTGCAGGTATTTCTTCACAACCCTTCAGCTTCCAGATTGCTGGTAAGTCAGAAGCCATTCTGATGCTGCATTTTGGTTTTGCAGTATATTATCTGTTTTTTGTTTTTTTAATTCCCAGGAGCTTTCAGTATCTTCTCCATGTCCTCAATGTTTTGAAAAGTTCCCACCTATTGTGTTGAGCAGTTGGTGGCTCCTTTCAACCTGGAAAATCAGGTCTATTAGTCCTGGGAAATTTTCTTAAATTATTTTATTTATGATATCCTCCCACCTGTTATTTTGCATTCTGGAACTCTTATTCAAATTAACCTAATATTTGAACATGATACTTTTTGCTTCCTTCTTCAATTTCTTTTTTTTTTTTTCTATTTGTTTATCTTTCTACTTTACTTTCTGGGAGATTTTCTCAAATTTATCTTCTAATCATTCTATTGATTTTAAAAACTTTTCTGTTACCATATTTTTAATTTTCAAGAGCTTTAAAAAAAGGGAGCATCATACTTCATGGAAGTAGCTTCTCTTATTACTCTGAGGGTAAGTATGGATTATTTTAAGTTTTTCTTTTCTAGTGGAATTATCTCTGTTTTCTGTAAATTGTTATTTACAGAATAATAATTTGTTTTTGTCTTTATCTGTCTTATTAACTGATTTCTTCAAATGTTCCTTGACCCTTGGTTGTCTGCTTGGATTAAAAGCGAGAGCCTACAGTGCTCACGGAATGTGGGGCGATTTGAGTTTCACTTAGGATGATTTGGTTTTCTTTCCTTATCTTATTCTCTGAGGTTATTTAGGTAAATTTTTCAGCTCTTTCTAATGGGGTGAAGCCTGGCTCCCAGAGTTGTGGGACGTTAGGGCCAGGTGGCTAAAGGTCTCAGCACTTAGTGTAAAGCAATTAATAAGCATTTGATATCTTAATTTCCCTTTTATGTATGGCACCCAATTCTTCAATTATGACTGAGTTATTCCCTGGTTCAGAAACCCTGTTTTATCCTTCTGAAGGCAAAACTCTCCGTTTCTCCTGGTGTTGGGAAAGACGGTCATCTTTCAGCATGCTGTGGGGAAAAGGATCTAACTGCTACACACACAACTATAATTAAATTTTCCTTATGTTAACCTCTTTGTCTTCATTGCTCACTCCTAGTTCTACAGGTAGCTGGAATTTACAGTGTAAATCATCTAATTTATCAGCTTTCTTAGCCGTTGGCTTTAGACATCTTTGCCTTGGGTTTGTAAGTCAGTTCCCTCTCATGATCTGCTTTCCATCTTCCAAAATTTTGTTGCTGTTTCTCCAGGACTTCCCATCTTTGTGGATTTATTTCTTAAAAAAATTCCTTTATTGTAGTTTAATTGTGTTGGATGAGGAAATAAAATATGCATTTTAATTACTAAATCACCTGAATGTGGGCAGCTCATTAGTGTTATCCTCTGTCAACCAGGCTGGAGGGTAGTGGCACAATCACAGTTCACTGCAGCCTTGACCACCTCAGCTAAAGGGATCTTCCCATCTTAGCCTCTTGAGTAGCTAGGATTACAGGTGTGGGCCACCATGCCTGGCTATTAGTGTTAGTTTGGATGGTGGGTTTAAATATGATTTTTTTTTTTTTTTTTTACATTTTAAAATACTTTTACATTTTTATCTTACTTTTTGTGATTTTAATTTGTGAATTCTATATATTCTGAATTTACTACACTTGTTAATATTTTACTTTGGTAAAAACAAAACAAAACAAAATACAAAATACAAGCTCATAGAATTATTTTGAAAATTCTAAACATTTTCTTGCCCCCAGAGATAGAAGTTACTTGAGGTGAAATAAACAGTTATGTGTAATGAAAGAGTGGAATCACTATTCAGTAGCATCCTTTTATCTGCAGGGCATGTGTTTCAACACGCCCAGTGGATGCCTGGAACTTTGGATAGTACTGGACCCTGCTGCCATAAATTAGAACACATTTCTGTTTATATCTTACCCACAAATTTAATGTGTTTTCTATCTTAACTAAGCACTTATCATTTACTGTGGCTGTAACTTTTGCAGTTTGAGGCAAGACAGCAAAACTAGCACAAATTTCTTTTTTCTTCTTTACAGTTTCATGGATGAAAGATTCATTCTTACTGTAGATCTCAGCAATTTCAGCATAATTTTTTTTTCTTTCTTAAGTAGAACATGTTCCACTTAATGAAAGCACTTGACAGCTTCTCTTTGGCATATCTGAATTGTCATTATCACTACTCCTGTGCTGTGGGGTCATTATTAAGTAAAATAGGGTTTACTTGAGCACAAACACTGTGATATGCAATAGCAGATCTGATAACCAAGACAGCTACTAAGTTATTAAGCGTGGACAGCATGAATACGCTGGGCAAAGGAAAATTCAGATCCCAAACTGGAAGGAGCAGGAAGGAGATTTCATTGCACTACTTAGAATGGCATACAATTTAAAACTTATGAATTGCTTATTTCTGGAATTTTCTATTTGATATTTTTGGACTGTGGTTGGCTGCAGGTAACTGAAACTGCAGAAAGTGAAACCACCAATAGGCTTGGGGACACTACTGTATGCACTTGATCTCCTGAGGAAGAAGGTGGTTTGGGCAGTCTTTTGTGGCAACCACCAGATGATGCCATTGACCAAGGTCAGCTTGGTTGTGGTTTAGCTTTGAGGGAGGGGGGTGGGGTATTGTTTTGAGATTCATAAGGATTGAGGAACATCATCTATCAACTTTCCATGTATGGTGTGTATGTAAGTTTGGCACGCTTTCATTCAGTATATTTGGTCTGTCCATTCTCAGATGTAGAATGAGTTTTGGTGGCAGTTTTTCAGTTGGTGTTTGTTTCAGCTGCTTTGAGATTTTGCCTTGAAGGTCAAGTGATCTAGCTGATTTAAATGATGTATTTTATTCAGTGAGAACCCTATTAAATGTATTAAGAGAGCTCACTTTTGATTAGTCATGGAGATAATGAATGAGGAAGAAAAAGCTGATGTAAATCCACCCACAATCCTAAAGTCTCATTTGTAAAGTCTGGTGTTTTCTTCCTTGATATTTTATGTATTTCTGCTAGGGAAACCAGTTTCTTGAATTGCATAATAATTGAAAAATAAAGAAAGTGAAATCAATAAAAACAATGCTACTAGCTGGTGCTAAATGTGACCTGAAGCTGATATCCTTTAGATAAACACGTCAGGGTTGGGAGCCCAACTCGTAACTATTTTTATAAATACGATTTTTTTAACAAAAAGATTCTTAGAAAAATCTTCTTCTTATTAAAAAAATTACTTTTCAAAAGGCAGCTCTTGATTTTTGTTTTTACCAGTTTTCATCTGGCTAAACACTGATTTAAATAAATGTAACTAATGGTAATTTTACATAAGCCTACAATGGGTCATTGGAAGGATTTAATACCTGCATAAATGAAACCATAACTGGGTCTGAGGGTTTCAGGCTCAATTTTATAGAAGCTGATAGTAATGAGCTTTATGTAGAATAATGAAGTTCTCTGAATTTCAACAATTTTTTCTTTTCCTTTTTCTTTAATTTTTTCCCCTTGTCATACTTTTTATAGGAGAATGAGCTAATTCAGCTAATGAGAAACATATTAGCTAAAAGGACTGGAAAACAGGTTGTGGCCAGGTGTGGTGGCTCATGCCTGTAATCCTAGCACTTTGGGAGGCTGAGGCGGGTGTATCACCTGAGGTCAGGAGTTCAAGACCAGCCTGACCAAATATGGAGAAACCCCGTCTCTACTAAAAATACAAAATTAGCCAGGTGTGGTGGCACACGCCTGTAATTCTAGCTACTTGGGAGGCTGAGGCAGGAGAATCGCTTGAACCTGGGAGGCAGAGGCTGCAGTGAGCAGAGATCGTGCCATTACACTCCAGCCTGGGCAACAAGAGAGAAACTCCGCCTCAAAAACAAAACAAAACAAAAGCAAAAACAACAACAAAAAACGAAAGTAGATTGTAAGAGTTAAAGTGGTTGGGTGTGGTGGCTCACACCTGTAAATTCAGCACTTTGGGAGGCCAAGGCGGAAGATTTCTGGAATCCAGGAGTTTGAGTTCAGCTTGGATAACATAGGGAGACCCCATCTCAACACACACACACACACACACACACACACACTGGGTGTGGTGGTGCATTCCTGTAGTCTCAGCTACTCAAAAGACTGCGGCAGGAGGATCACTTGAGCCCAGGAGGTTGAGGCTGCAGTGAGCTGTGGTTACACACTGCACTCCAACCTGGGTGACAGAGCAATACCCTGTCTCAAAAAAAAAAAAAAAAAGAAAACTTTAGGTAGTACTCAGGAACGGATACGACAAAAGGGGTTTAGGAATATACAGACCATATAACATAAAAATGGATTCATAAACTAAAATAATTTGAACACAACTGTTCTTATGAAGCTTCTTGAAATTATGATTTTAGGAGTTTATCATTTTTCTTGCTTCACCTTCTCTTTCACATTTATAATGGAAATTAAATAGGAATGAAAATCGGTTGGAGGCTAACTGCCCAAATGAATTAGGTTGAAAAGATGAGATAAAGAAATGCTTCCTAAGTATTTCTTCGTAAGGTTTAAAGGAAATGAGAACCAGAGAGAAGATTGGAAACAATATATTTTGCCTCTGGTATTATTATACAGATTATTTACAAACTATGTAGTTGTGGTTCAAAATGCAAAATTTTATCTCTGCAAATACTACTACTTGGTAAATATGCTTTATCTACCAAGACTGGAAAATAGAAATGGAAAAGTGAAAATGTAGGTGCATATGCCAGATATGTACCTGTATAACCTGAGGAAGGAGCAACAGTGGGGCACCCCGATTGATCCTTGAATTTTCTTAACATTTATCTATATATAGTTCATGTCTGTGTCATATTCTACTTTCTGGGAGACTATTTAAACTTTATTTTTCAACAATTCTATGGACATATTCATTACTCATATCATATTTTTAATTTTCAAGAGCCCTTCTTTAATTTATTATAGCATATTCTTCTCACTTCATCTGAAGATATTAAAGGAACTTTTTATTCATAAAATTTTCTTTGGATCCCTACATTATCTCTTTTTCACCTGAAATTTTTTATTTGGGTTTATCTACTCACTGTTATGAATGCCTTTTTTTTTTTTTTTTTTTTTTTTGAGACAGAGTCTCACTGGAGACCCAGGCTGGAGTGCAGTGGTGCGATCTCGGCTCATTGCAACCTCCGCCTTCTGGGTTCAAGCGATTCTCCTGCCTCAGCCTCCTGAGTAGCTGGGACCACAGGCGCGTGCCACCATGCCTGGCTAATTTTTTGTATTTTTAGCAGAGACGGAGTTTCACCGTGTTAGCCAGGATGGTCTCGATCTCCTGACATTTTGATCCGCCTGCCTCGGCCTCCCAAAGTGCTGGGATTACAGGCATGAACCATTGCACGTGAGCCACTGCGCCTGGCCTTATGAATGCTTTTTATCTAAAATCTCATTTAATCTTTACAACAACCTTATGAAGTAAAAATCTTATTCTATTTTACAGATATGAACATTGAGGTAAAGAAAGATTAATTAGATTGACAATGGTCACACACTTAGTAAGTGTTGGAGTCAGGATATGAACCTAGGCTGTCTATCTCAAACATCTTGTGTCTTGTCTACCCATCCATATTTTAGAGTGGAGCTCTAAACTACTGTGAGGAAATTCTATGCACATAGCTGGGGCCTCTCAGCTGCCAGACTTCTCTGTAGGGAACAAAGCAAGAACCAGATGATTGCTGATGGACCCTGACATGCTGCATCTGGAGATGTTTCCTCAGAGAGAAACCCTCTGTTCCCCTGTGCTGAGAGACTGTGAGTCCAGGGAAGGGGTTGGCATCTTCATCATTCAGTAAGCAGATGGTTTTCAGCCTGGTGCCTCAGCCCTTCCCTCCACTGTCCCAGATTTTATCAAATTTGGAGCTTCCCTGATTCCATTTTTCTAGAACATAAAATACTCTGCTCCTGTGATGATGGGAGAGGAGATGTCACCTGGCTACATAAAGTAAGAGAGGAGAACTGGCGGTCAAAGTCCTCCTTATCTAGACTTCCTATAGTCCTGTTTTTCTGCCTTTTTCTGACACCACCTTCAGAAGTGTCTGTGGCTTCCAATTCCTGAGACTACCCAAGTTCTGTGGTGTGAATTGATGTGTAGTTTCCTGTTGCTACTGTAACAAATTACTATAAATTTAGTGCCTTAAAACAAGACAAATTTATTATCTCAGAGTTTTCAAGTCCAAAATGAGTGTTAATGGAGCTAAAATCAAGGTGTTGGCAGGGTTGTGTTCCTTCTGGTGGCTTCTGGATGGAATGTTTTCTTTTTTTTTTTTTTAATTAAAAAAATTTCACTAGTTTGTGGAGGAACAGGTGGTTTTCGGTTACATGGATAAGTTCTTTAGTGATAATTTCTGAGATTGTGGTGCACCCATCACCTGAGCAGTGTACATTGTACCCAATGTGTAGTCTTTTATTTCTTCCCCCGGGCCCTCTTCTACCCAGGTCCCCAAAGTCCATTGTATCATCGTTATGCCTTCGTGTCCTCATAGCTTAGCTCCCACTTACAGGTGAGAACATACAATATTTGTTTTTCCATTCTGGAGTTACTTTACATAGAATAATGGTCTCCAACTCCATCCAACTTGCTGCAAAAGACATTCTTTTATTCCTTTTTATGGCTGAGTAATATTTGTGTATATTTACCACATTTTCTTTATCTGCTCTTTTTTTGTTTGTTTGTTTGTTTATTAAGATGGAGTTTCACTCTTATTGACCAGGCTGGAGTGCAATGGCGTGGTCTTGGCTCACTGCAACCTCAATCTCCGCCTCCCGGGTTCAAGGGATTCTCCTGCTTCAGCCTCCCCAGTAGTTGAAATTATGGGAGCCTGCCACCATGCCTGGCTAATTTTTGTATTTTTAGTAGAGATGGGGTTTTACCATGTTGGCCAGGCTTGTCCTGAACTCCTGACCTCAGGTGGTCTACACGCCTCAGTCTCCCAAAGTGCTGGGATTACAGGCATGAGCTACTATGCCCAGCTATCCACTCCTTGATTGATGGACATTTAGGATGGTTCCACATTTTTGCCATTGTGAATTGTGCTGCTATAAACATGTGTGTTCAAGTGTCTTTTTCTTATAATGACTTTTTTCCCTCTGTGTAGATGTCCAGTAGTGGGATTGCTGGATCAAATAGTAGTCCTACTTTTAACTTTTTAAGGAGTCTCCACACTGTATTCCATAGTGGTTGTACTAGTTTACATTCCCACCAGCAGTGTAAAAGTGTTCCATTTTCACCACATCCATGCCAACATCTATTATTTTTTGATTTTTAAATCATGGCCATTCTCGCAGAAGTAAGGTGGCATCTCATCGTGTTTTTTAATTTGCATTTCCCCTAATAATTAGTGATGTTAAGCATTTTTCATAGTTTTTTGGCCATTTGTATATCTTCTTTTGAGAATTGTCTATTCATGTTCTTAGACCACTTTTTGTATTTCTGTGGTCTCAGTTGTAATATCTCCTTTTTCGTTTCTAATTGAGTTTATTTGGGTCTTTTCTTTTCTTGGTTAATCTTGCTAACGGTCTGTTGATTTTGTTTATATTTTAAAAGAACTAGTTTTTGGCTGGGCATGGTGGCTCATGCCTATAATCCCAGCCCTTTGGGAGGCTGATGAGGGCGGATCATGAGGTCAGGAGTTTGAGACCAGCCTGACCAACATGGTGAAACCCCATCTCTATTAAAAATACAAAAATTAGCCAGACATGGTAGTAATTTTTGTATTTTGTGCCTGTAATCCCAGCTACTCAGGAGGCTGAGGAAGGAGAATCGCTTGAACCCAGGAGGCGAAGTTTGCAGTGAGCTGAGATCGCGCCACTGCACTCCAGCCTGGGAGACAGAGCAAGACTTAATCTCCTAAAAACAAACAAACAAACAAACAAACAAAAAGCTAGTTTTTTGTTCCATTTATCTTTTGTATTTCTTATTTAATTTTGTTCTGATCTTTGTTATGTCTTTCTTCTGCTGGGTTTGGGTTTGGTTTTGGTTTGTTCTTATTTCTCTAGATTCTCAAGGTGTGAGCTTAGATTGTCTATTTGTGCTCTTTCAGAGTTTTGATGTAGGTATTTAATGCTGTAAACTTTTCCTTTAGCACTGTTTTTGCTGTATCCCAGAGGTTTTGATAAGTTGTGTCACTATTATTGTTCAGCTCATATAATTTTTTAAATTTCCATTTGATTTCATTATTGGCCCAAAGATCATTCAAGAGCAGATTATATAATTTCCTTGTATTTGTATAGGGTATAGAATAAACCCTAAATTTATAAATATATATATATATTTATATATTAAACTATACTATTTTATATATATAAATTATACTATTTATATATTAAACTAAACTAATAAACTATACTATTTGTATAGTTTAGGGTATAGTTTAATGTATAGAATAAACCCCTTTGGAGTTAATTTCCAGTTTTATTCTACTGTGGTCTGAGAGGATATTTGATGTAATTTCTATTTTCTTAAATTTATTAAGACTTATTTTGTGATCTATCATATGATCCATCTTGGAGAATGGATCCATCTCGGAGAATCCATGCTGAAAAAAGAATGTATATCCTGCAGCTATTGGGTAGAATGTTCTGTAAATATCTGTTAAGTCCATTTGTTCTAGGTTATAGTTTAAGTCCATAGTTTATTTGTTGACTTTCTGTCTTGGTGACCTGTTTAGTGCTGTCAGTGGAGTATTGAAGTCCCCCACTATTATTGCATTGCCATCCATCTCATTTCTTTGGTCTAGTAGTAATTGTTTTATAAATTTGCGATTGTCAGTGTTAGCTGCATATATATTCAGGATTATGATATTTTCCTGTTGGACTAGTCCTTTTATCATTATATAATATCCATCTTTGTCTTTTTAACTGTTGTTGCTTTACAGTTTGTTTTGTCTGATATAAGAACAGCTACTCCTTCTCACTTTTGGCTTCCATTTGTGTGGACTACCTTTTTCCACCCCTTTACCTTAAGTTTATGTGAATCTTTTATGTGTTAGGTAAATCTCTTGAAGACAGCAGAAACTTGGTTGGTGAATTCTTATGCATTCTGCCATTCTGTGTCTTCTTTTTTTTTTTTCAAACCATATCCAGCTTTATTAAAGATACTTTCCATAAATAATCATGGTATTTCAGGCAGGACATGGGCAGACAATTGTTAACAGTATACAACAACTTTCAAACTCCCTTCTTCAATGGACTACCAAAAATCAGAAAGCCACTATAAAACCCAATGAAGTCTTCATCTGATGCTCTGAACAGGGAAAGTTTAGAGTGAGGGTTGACATTTCACATTTAGCATGTTGTTTAACAACTTTTCACAAGCCGACCCTGACTTTCAGGAAGTGAAATGAAAATGGCAGAATTTATCTGAAGATCCACAATCTAGAAATGGAACCACTGCTCTTTTGACAGGTGCCATCTCAGTGGCATCACTGGAAAGTCCAGATTGCCTGACACACTGGTAATCAATGACTGGGGGTCAGGTCCCAACAGATGTCTCGGCTCAAGGGAGTTAAGTCTATGCTGAAAGATGGAAAAGGAGAAGAGGACATAAAAACGAATTTGTTTTTCTATACCACAAGGCTTTTGTGCCAAGGTGGCCATGTGTGTCAGAGTCAGGGAATCCCTCCTCCTGGGAGCCAAGAGGAAGTCTCTCAAAACTAGAAGGGAAAGGTGTTTTCCTCACATAAATCCAGCTTTGGAGACTTTCTGTTAGTGACATGTGCCCCTTCCCCCAAAAACAACAATGAAGTGTTCTGTGTGCTAACAACATAGCTTAAAAAAAAAAAAAGTAAAACAAAATTCTGCATTTTTATAAAACTTGATAAAAATAGTATTTCAAACTGTACAGTCACCAGAAGTACACAGTTATCAAAAATGTACACACTTCACTTGGCATCTCCAGCACCTTCAGCTTTCTGTGCCTGGTCTGTTTTGGCATCTCCATTTTCTGCAGGGTTATTCCCCTCCTTGCCAGCATCAGCTTTTCCCTTTTTCCCTTTGGGTACCTTCTCTCCCTTCTTTACAGGGGACTTTCTAGGCTTGGGCTCTGGCTTTGGAGGAGCAGGTTTGGCAGACAACCTCGCGGATCTTCTCTGCGGTTCGTCCTTCACCTTGGCTTTATCTCCCTTAGCATCCCCTTCAGCCTTTCTCTTGGGCATGGTGACGGCCACGACGGTGGCGGGATGTAGGTGCTGGATGCGGGATGCAGCTGCGCGCGGGCTTTGGTCAGTCCGGGGGTCGTTCTCGCCTCTTCTTCGTCACACTGCTCCTGTATCTTCTAAGTGGAGCATTTAGGCTATTTACATTCAATGTTAGTATTGAGATGTGAGGTATTGTTCCATTCATCATGTTAATTGTTGCCTTAATACTTTTTTTTTCTCTGTTGTGTTTAGGCCCTGTGAGATTTATGCTTTAAGGAGGTTCTATTTTTGTGTATTTTGAGGTTTTGTTTCAAGATTTAGAATTCCTTTTAGCATTTCTTGTAGTTCTGACTTAGTAGTGACAAAATCTCTCTGTTTCTTTGTCTGAAAAATACTTTCTCTCTCCTTTATTTGTGAAGCTTAGTTTCACTGGATACAAAATCCTTGGCTGACAATTATTTTGTTGCAGGAGGCTGAAGATGGGACCTAATCCCTGTGGCCTGTAAGGTTTCTGCTGGGAAGTCTGCTGTCAATCTGATAAGTTTTCCTTTATAGGTTATCTGATGATTTTTGTCTCACAGCTCTTAAGATTCTTTCCTTTGTCTTGACTTTAGATAACCTGATGACTAAGTGCCTAAGTGATTATCTTTTTGTGATGAATTTCCCAGGTGTTCTTTGAGCTTCTTGTATTTGGATGTCTAGATATCTAGCAAGGCCAGGGAAGTTTTTCTCAATTATTCCCTCAAATAAGTTTTCCAAACTTTTAGATTTTTCTTCTACCTCGGCAACACCAATTAGTCTTAGGTTTGGCTGTTTAACATAATCCCAAATTTCTTGGAGGCTTGGTTCATTTTTTAAAATTCCTTTTTCTTTGTCTTTCTCTGGTTGGGTTAATGTAAAAGCCTTGTCTTTGAGCTCTAAAGTTATTTCTTCTATTTGTTCTAGTCTATTGTTGAAAATTTCCATTGTATTTTGTAATTCTCTAAGTGTGTCTTTTATTTCCAGAAGTTGTGATTGCTTTTTCTTTATGATATCTATTTCTCTGTAAAATTTTTCATCCATATCCTGCATTTTAAAAAAAATTTCTGAGTTGGTTTTCACCTTTCTTTGGTATCTCCTTTAATAGTTTAATAGTCAACATTCTAAATTCTGTATCTGGCAATTCAGAGATTTCTTCTTGGTTTGGATCCATTGCTAGGGAGCTGTTGTGATTTTTTTGGGGTATTATGGAATCCTGTTTTTTCATTTTACCAGAATTACTTTTCTGGTTCCTTATCATTTTATCATTTGGGTAGACTATTTCAGTGGAAAGGTCTGAAACTCAAGGTCTGCTGTTCAGATTCTTTTGTTTCATGGGGTGATCCCTTGATGTGGTGCTCTTCCCATTCCCCTGGGGTGGGGCTTCTTGAGAGCTGGATTGCAGTGATTGTTATCGCTCTTCTGGGTCTAGTCACCCAGTGGGGCTTCCAGGCTCCAGGCTGGTGCTAAAGGATGTCTGCAGAGTCCTGTGATGTGATCAATCTTCAGGTCTCCCAGCCTTGGATACCAGTACCTGCTCTGGTAGATGTGGGAGGAAAGTGAAGTAGACTCTGTGAGAGTCCTTGGTTGTATATATGTTTAGTGTGCTGGCTTTCTTGAATGCTGGTCATGCTAGCAGTGAAGTTGTCACATGGACATACTCAGAAGCTTGGATTTGTCAGGATGTTGCAGGCAGTGGAGTTAGATGTTATCTTCTTCCTGGGATCAGGGTTATTCTGTCATGAATTGCTGTAATGGTCTGAGTTGGTTGGCCTTCAGCCAGGAGGTAGTGCTTTCAAGAGACCACTAGCAGTGGTGGTAGTAGTAGCAGGCTCTAAGATTGCCCTAAGATAGCCAGGGTAAGTATTTTGGTTTCTCAGGCAATGGGCATGGCCATAAAGCTCCCAAGAGTTTCTATCTTTTATATTTGGCTACCAGGGTGGGGAGGGAAATTCCATTAGGTGGGGGTAGAGGTAGGCAGATCTGGGCTCAGCTTATCCTTTGGTGGGGCTTGCTATGGCCACTGTGGGGATGGAGGGATTGTGGTTCTTTGGCCAATGGGATTATGTTCCAGAGGGGGTTAGTTCCAGAGTGCTGCCTCCGCTGTATCATATAGTTTGCCAGGGAAGTAGAGGAAAGCTGGTAGCGAGAGGCCTCACCAAGCTCCCATGGAGTTGGTAAGGCTGGTCTCACTCCTGCAGTGCCTTGCTCAGACCTTACCCCAGGCCATGTGCTACCCCACTGAGAAAGCAGTTATGGCTTTCAGATCTCACCCTTCCCCACCTGCCCACTCTGTCGGCTGCTCCTGCACTCATACCTGCAGCAGCTCCCACTCATCCCCCAAACTTTGCTCAATAAAATTTGTACACAGTTGAAACCACTACCAATTTCAGTTGGGAGCCTCCTTTGCCTTGTGACCCCTCCCCAATTCCACTGGCTGCCTGTCCCAAGGGCCTTTCTTGTATATAGTCAAGAATGGCTTCCCTAGGCTCGAGCTGGATACTGGGAGTACCTGCAAGGCACTTTCCTGATGCTACTTCTACTTTTATATTTTGCACTACTCTCTAAATTCATTTCTTCTCTAGGTAAGGTTAAATCCTTCTCCCATAATCTGGATTTTCAGATTCCCCAGGAGGAATGTGTATTTGGAGGCTGGTTTTCCCCCGTCACACTCTGGGAACTCACAGCTTTTCACCATTTCATGGAATTTGCATCAGTGTACTGCCTCTTTCAAAGGATCTGTGAATTCTTTTGGTTTTCCTGATACATTCCTCTGGTGGTTCTTGGAGCAAAAGATTACAGTGTGAGTCTCCACACGCTCTTCCATCTGTCCATGTGGAAGCTGCATGTTAGCCCTGTCTCCTAACCACCATCTTCCTATCTACCCATAGGGTGGGCTGTTTTCTTGCCTTTTCTAGCTTGCAAAGCTTGCTGCATACCTTGGCTCAGACCTCGCGTCACTCCAGCCTCTGCTTCCATCATCACGTCTTGTTCTCTATCTTTGACTTGCTTATTCCCTTCTTTCTCTTTTCAGGACCCTTATGATTATATTGGGCCCACCCAGATAATCCAGGACAACATCTCCATCTCAAGATCCTACTGAGTCTCATCTGCCATGTAAGATTACATATTTACAGTGCCAGGGATTGGGATGTGGATATCTTGGAGGCCATTACTTATCCTACCACAGTTGGGTTGCTTCTTACTGACTTTCTCCTGTGCTGACAATTTGGTTGCAGTTGTGTGTCTCTGCAATTACCATCATCTATCTGCTATTCATCCTCTACAGTCACTTATCTTCTGTTGTCTTTTCTCCCATTCCCTGTTTTTGTGGATTTATATGTTTTACAAACTTTTACTATCATTTTGAAGTATGTTCAACTTTGGTTTTTAACAGGAACTCCTCACTTATTTTACATAATCTGAGATGCACAGTGTCTTAGTCTGTTTGTGTCGCTATAACAAAATGTCTGAGACTGGATAATTTATGAAGAACAGAGATTATAAATAAATATGAGAGGCTGGGAAATCCAAGAATAAGTCAGTTATCTGGTGAGGGCCCTGCATCTTCTGGAGGGAAGAAATGCTCTGCTCTCACATGGTGAAAGGTGGAGGAGCAAGAGACAAAATGCTATATGAAGCCTTATAAAATAAGGGCCTTAATTCCATTCATGAGGAAGGAGCCCTTGAGACCTAACTTCTTAATATTATCACATTGGCAACACCTAAATTTTGGAGGAAATATATTCAAACCATAGCATAGATAATTTACGTGACTTGCTCAAGGTCATAGAGATAATTAATGGCAGGAATAAAAAGCAGGTGTGCAAGACTCTCAGGTTATTTAACAGTCTTTTAAAAACTATATATGCTGCTTCCCCACCCCAATGGCCCAAGCTTTCTAAGTATGAGCTAAAGAAACTATATTGATGCAACTAGGAGAAAAGATAAGAAATTTTTACTTATGGGCCTCCATGTTTGCAGACTCTCCAAGATAAGGGTCATAATAACTAATATTCACTGAGCGCTCATCATGTGCCATTCTGTCTTCTAAAAGCTCTATTTCTTGTGACAACCTTATGAAATATGTGCTTATATGATCCTTATTTTTCAGGTAGGCAATGAAAGCAAAAAGAAATTCATTTACTTGCATAGATTGTATAGGAATTACATAGATTGTTTAGAAAGGATGTGACAGAGAACATATTTGAAGGCAAGCATTCTGGCTCCAGAAACTTTGCTTTTGATTGCTATCCAAGGTTGGAGCCCTAATAAAGGATGGGAGAAGTAGACAATGCAGTCTACTTTCATATACCCAGTGCTTTAGTAAAACTGGATTAGAAGTTCTTCCTGTACACATTTTGTAATTTCTCAACTCTATACCTTGAGTCATACATTTCTCTTTGCTCAAAATGCCTTTCCTTCCAAATACTTTATATGCTTCTCTTTATATACCCTCCTCCCAATTAAAAAAATAGCCAGTATTAGAAGCTTTTCTAAGATACTTAGTAGGAATTAATTGCTCCTTTCTCTGAACTCCTGAGGCATTTTGTTTTCCTATTTAGTGGTACTTACTATTCTCTACTTTTTATTTATTGAATCTTCTCCATTAAGTTGTAAATTACTTGAAAACAGAGGCATTTACTTCTGTATCCTTTTAAATTCCAGATTTAGGCTGTGCTCATGGTACGTGCCTACAAGTTTGTTTAATAACCATTGCTGATAGACATTTTCAAATTGCATGTCATTTTCTTGTAGGGAAAATCGAGACCCTGGGCAGTGGTTCACATACACTCTCTCTTTCTGTGCCTAGATAAAATTGCTTCCTGTGTAGTAGTCTCATTGGGGCAGTAATGTGATTTTCAGAAAGATATCCATGGATACAGTTAGAGGCCTAAAGTTTATTTAATTGCAAAAAGAATAGGTAGATTTTCAGAGATATTTACTTAAGGCAAGTGATAACATAGAGATTAGACAGAGATATGGTTTCCCCAGTCTTCCAAAATTTCCTATAGGGAACTATAGCTGTGGATCGTATCATATATAAAGAATGAAGATTCAGACATTTAACTGTTCTGGAGAAAGGCTGCATTTCAGCCTCCCTAATAGGTAAAATTTACCTTCGCAAACAGCCCTAGCATATTCCTCAGAGGATTGTGAGACTGGATAAAGCAAAGGCCAGTTTTTAATGAGATGCCTCAATATGTTTCAGCTTTATCCAAAGTCACTGCTAAAAGATGTAAGTTCTGAGAGTGGGCCACTCTTACCCTTGAGATTTCAAGACATGATTTTTCTAAATAATTTCAGGTGAGGTCTTGAATGCATATTGAAGACTTCTTAATTTAGCTGTCTTAGAAAAAAAAAACCACAGTTCTACTCTTCTCCCTCTTATTTTCTTATAGCAATTTATTTTCATTATAATTAACGTTCCTCCGGGTCCCTAGTGTCTATTCAAAGGTCTGCTGCTCTTATGCAATTTCATCTTTTCCAATATCCTGGGGACATTTTCATCCTCTAATTTCCCCCCTGCTTCAGTTACTCTTTTGTTACTCCCATTTCACTTCTTTTTCTTTTTTCGCTTTTTCTCAGATTGTAGCTGGAACCAATAATGGAAACACTTTCTTCATTGTAGCATCCCTTCTTCCCTTTGGGAAAAAAAAAATTCCCCGTATGACTATGAATAGGGTCTGCAAAGGAAGACCCATAACTTCAAAACATTCACGCAGTTCATAGGGGAGAGCAATAAGTTGGTAGTCAGGAAGGCAAGTAAACAACGTATTATTCTGAAAAACCTTCAATAGTTTTAAAGCAAGTGCCTGCTTGGTGACAAATGATACAAAAGGAAGTAGGAGAGAGGGCACTTAGCTCTCAGATATTGCTGAATCTCCTTCCAAACCATCAAAAATAATGATAAACAATACAGTCTTGTCTGTGGAAGAGATATTATTTTGTTCCATAATGTTATATATATTTGTCAAGTGCTGTAAGCCTTCCATGCTTTAAAATGTATTGGTGCTTTGGGGTAACTTGTTTTGAATGGTTATGCTACAAAAAGAATTCACATAACCAGCTTCTCCTTTAACTAGGGTCACTTTTCTACCATGATTAAGGTCTGTAAGCTTCGCCTACAGTGAGCCTACCCCATTTTTCAAGATGGTAACATTCTTTACGACTTAGCTTATTACACGAAATTAGCTACAACACAATTCAAAACACCCGCCTAAAGTGCCTAAAGTGAAACAATCCCAAATAGGCTGATGTTATATGACTGGCTTCTAATTATGCTCCATATTTGGATTCGTTACACAAAACCATTTGGGAAGAATTATGGATTCCATTGTTTCAAGCATTCATTGGTTATTTTTCAGCATGTTTATTACCAGCTCTGCTGATACCCAGTGCCCCATAGATGTCTTGCCCACAGTGATCAGTGGGACTGGAGAAGGAAGGAAAACATCTTTGGTTCTTTCTGTAAGAATTCTTTACAGAAATGGGCAAGTGTAACATCCCTAGGTGTGTCAGTTGACATTGCTAGTTGTAATTTTTTGATGTAAAAATTAGCAAACTGTGATGAAGAGATGGATTTCCCATGTTTCAGAGTGTATGCTTAAGTATTCTAGGAAAAGAAAGTTCTATTCATGTTCTGAGCCTGCCAGCTTTATGGGGGCCTATATTCTAACTGGTAGGAACAGCACAGAGTAACTGAATAATAGAATGAAAGCATTTAGCACGGGCAGATGTATGTTCCCAGTGAGGCGTAAGATTCACAGGACTGCAGGTAATATTTTCAATGCAGCCAATGACTGGGGAGGCCTGGTATGAAATAAGGAAAAAGACCTCAAATGAGGATGATGAAGGGAAGTGTCTGTGCAGGGCTTTTAACCCTTCAGGAGTTTGGCCCAGTTCATCAGAGAGAAAAGGGAGTAGGTACTTGTCACAAAGTTTGGCTTCAGTATCAGGTTTTCATATGGCTGGCTGGAACCTGTATAAGGACCCAGGAATGGATAGAGCTACTTTGTAATGAGAGACTTTGACACATTTGACCCCACTTAAACTGAAGCTGGATGTCCTCTTAGTTGAAAAATACTCTAAAACATAGAAAACCCACTTCCAAGGTGGGTATCTTTAAAAAAAAGATACCTTTTTTATCTTTAGTGGGTATCTTTAAAAAAAGGATATCTTTTTTTCCCTAGAATTTTACATCATCATGCATATCTCAGAATTTGGAGAATCTTATTATCCAGATATTCAAAAATTTTCCTTCTAGCATTTAAAATTTTTTCTTGCGTGCATATGTTTGGGTATTTTATGTATTTTATTAATTATTCTTGGAATCCTTAAACATTTAAGTTGGTTTTGATTTTTTAGTATTAAAAATAATGCTGGTATAAGCAAATTTTACATAACGCTTTGTATTTAAAATTACTTTTCCTGGCAAGATAACTATAAAAAGAATTACTGATTTAAAAGCTATAAGCAATTTTAGGCTTTAGATGTATATTGCTATTTTTTTCCCCAGAAAGAAAGAATTAATTAACATGTCTATCAGCAGAAGAGAATTGCCCAGTTTATTGTATCCTCATCAGCATTGGGCATAATCTGTGCTAATTTAGTTATTGTTTTTTAATTTGGATTTTGGGTTATTACTTGCATTGAATATTCTGATATGTTTATTACCTATTAAAATTTTAGTTACTTAACTGAGATTCAAATATATATTATCTATTAAAATCTTAATAGATAATAAACATACTATGTACTCGAATCTCAGTGAATTAACTTTTTATATTTCCTGTTGAAATGTGGAAAAAATTTCCTGGCACATCTCATCTGACCATTAACATTTCTTGGATTTTTATTTTTTTTTAAGAATACAAAGATTGTCTATTTTAATAATTCTGCAACCTTCATATAATAAGAATTTTAGCTTTCTTAATTTTGACTGATGTTCCTATAACTCTTACTACAGGTAAAACTCAACTCATCAGGGTAACTAAAGTATTTATTAAATGCCTACTTTCATATGACATTGTGTTAGAGGCAAAACAGAAGCAGTTTTTCCAGCCACATGCCCTGTTAATTCCCAAGCTTGGCCCTTGTGGTAATAACAGCTGATGAATTCATGCACTTGTTTTGAAAACTACTTATTCTGTGCCCAGTGTTTGAAACTATTAATGAGTACTTTGGCCACCTTGGGATGCTAGTGACTTTAAATATTCTCTGTATTTATTTCCCCCCCACTTTTCAGCTTTGCCACACAAGCTGAAAACCATCACCAGGCATCTACGATTGCTTGTCAATTCCCCTCCAACCTTAAGATATATTACTCACCATCCAGAATGAATGAGGAACAAGAGCTTTAAATAAAAGGGAGTTCCTTGTGTTCACTTTGACAGCACTTCCCCCCGTTAAATTTAAACATTCCTCAATACCCACAGGGATGAATACGTGTCTGGATTATTGGAACATTACTGAGGCTCCAGCTCCTTGACCTTGGCATGCAAGCTTCTTCACCTTTGAACTAAAAGCTTTCTCTGGGTTGTGGGTGTGATGATGTCTTTCCAAAGCCATTCAAAGCAGTGCTGCCACTTGGGAGCTATTTTAAGGTCTCTCATAGAGCCTGAGATGTATTTCTTTGCTTTAACAGTGACCTGTCAAAGCCTCTGTGCTGTGGCCAAAGACTTCCCTCTGCTCCTGGGATCCTGTGTTGCTACTGGAGGAAACAGGGGTACCAACCATTCCGAGGTGGCCACACTGGGTCACTGCCTTAGCAGAGGGCACACTGAGCCACATCACACCACACTCTGATTCTTGGTGACTACACTTCAGATATGTCTCTTAGCCTCAGTCTCCTCATTTGTCAAATAACAGAACAGGAGTAGATAGTTACAAAGATTTCTTCAATCTGTATGAAAGAATCGATGAATGAGTTTATGAATGAATGAATCTAACTCTACCGGCCTCTGTAGTCTTAATTTAAAAAAAAAAGATTCACATCCTCTTACCGCAGAACATTAATTATTTTAATATACATTTCTTATAACCATGTACCAACCATGAGCATCAGTCAGGAATCTAGTTTTTACTCTCCCCCAATTATAGAATCAAATCAAATGTTTCTTAAAATATGTAAAGAATCAACAAGGTTGAGCAATCATACGGTGAAGTCATAGTTGTCAGATGTGGGCTGTGAGGCTGTGAGCCTAGATGATGGTGCATCCATGACAGTAGACACCGTCAGAGGAAGCTTAGGCAGGAAGGGACAGCGGTTATGTTAGAGAAGTCCTGTAGAAACTATTTCTATGATTAATACAAGACAGGTTTTGCATTGTAAGACAAGATATTCTGTGGAATTATAGGGCTGACAGCTCTCTTCCACAAAGCTATGAAGAAAGTAAATGTAGAAGTACAGATGAAACATTGGAAACCAAAGCAGTTCTGGGCCACAGAGCCAGTGGCTTGACAGCAGGACTTGAGAGCCTATTTTGAATGGTGTATGGAATGATTTGAAATGTTTAAGGTTTAACAAATTTGTAATTGGTTTATCTAAGTTGTGTTTTTTTTATTTTCGAATAATTTCCTTGTTTATAAAATTTCAATGAAAGTTTTAGTTAAATATAGTTGGAATTGAGAAATGTAATCTTAGGTAGAACCAATCATACATCTGTTTAGTATATTAAGTTCCAGTAGTATCAACAGACAGCAGGCACCCTGAGCATTAATGTTACCCTGACTAGGGACCCTGTTTAAACTGGCACCTGCAAAGATGGTCTTATGACTCTACCTGTAAGCACAGTTACTGGGTTTATTTGTTAACGCAATATTCGGAAATGTTATGAACTAAGAACAAGCCTCCAAAGTAAAAAGTAAACTAAATCACTTTCTTGAGCTGTCTTATTTTAAGTTTGATTGTAAATAAGTATAACTGCAAAAGATAAACACGTGTTTAAGATTATAGTAAAAAAAATTTGGAATCCTACCAAACAGCATTTAAAAAATTCCTGATTGTTTTGAGTGTAAAGTCCACATTAAGTACACTTTGCTATTTAGTTGTACATTTAATATTGGTAGTTTGAAAGGAAATTTTTCACTGGGATTGAAATAATGAAAAAAATTAACTTAAATTTGTATTCCAAATGAATTAGGTATTGGAGTACTTGAAGTGTAAAAAGCACTGGGAAAGCTTATAGCTCTGTATCCATATCCATACCTTTATCTATACTTTTAAAATAGTCATCAATCGTCCCTATGATCAGATAATAGAAATACTGTATAAAAATATTTCAAGGAAAATCAAACAGATTTCTACTTTTTAACTTTAAGTCTTTGGAGGAAGTATAAGTAGTTTGACCCAGGGTTAGAGCTGCGCTTGAGAGCATTAGGCTCACAGAAGTGAGGAAGTCTGTTGTCCAGGCTGGTTCTGCCTGTGTCAACCCTTTTGGTATTTATCTCATTGAATCCACTAATCTTGATCAGTTTGAAAAAGATGAAGCCATTTTATACAGCTGATTGTCCACTGCCAAAGTCCACAGTTCACAAAATTGACTAGAATTTAACGTCTTATATGGCATTTTGTACTACATTCTAACTTCTAGAGAATATAGTTCATTTATTTTGAAAATATTATAAAATAAGAATTCTCAAATAAACTCTTTGTGGTATTCCACTTAGGAAATATAAAGCCCAATAGCTTAGAGATGCTCACATCTGGGGCTTTATTATTTGTGTTTTAGGTTCAGCAATAGTAACTGCTGAGCAACTCTTAAAAGTTTCGATGATTAGCTTAGCCAGTAAGTTCCCAGACAGCTTTAAAACACTGATCTATGATCTTACATCTTCTACATCAGCTCACAATTCTATGGCTATATTTTCTGTGTAGTAGGAATTAATGTTTAGAGAGAAATGTGATGGCCTAATTGATTCTGAACCTAGAACCTCAAGGTAGCTTTTGCTACAGTTATCTGAAAATGTCTCTCCCACTCTGTATTAGACAATTCTACCCCAGATTTTTACACACTGGGTAGAAAGCAGTGTCCACCTGCTTTCCCTGTTAGGCTCCAGACCATCTGCCATGGTATTGCCCTGTCCCAATGGTACCACCACTTCTGCCCATTCCTGCTGCTGCTTTTCCAGGCACCACCACCAAAGCTCCCAGGCACCCCTGCTGATTCCACTGGGAATGGCTGTATTTGTTGGGGCTGTGACTGCCCTGGATCACTGGAGGGGCAGAGTCTCCATCATTTCATATGGTAAAACTTCCCAGCACTAAGCTCAAGGTTGGGTACAGAGCAGGCACACAATGCTTTACTCCTCTTCCTTATATATTACTCTGCTAAAGGGGTACCACAGTATTTCCACCTTGAGGCCATGTTTTAAAGAAACTTTAGTGTAAGCAACTCTTTTGCTTTTCTCTAACAAACGACCTTCATTCCCATAGAAGTAGTCCAGAAGTTCCTGGGAAGACAGGTTGGGGCAGATCTGAGAGAGATTCTACCCTTTCTCAGAAGTATCCCTAATGCCTCATGACTAATTATTATTTCAAGCTGACTTACCTATCTCCCTTTAATATCATTTTTCTCCAGTAGGACCTCCAGCACCTTACGAAAATAAATTTATGTGAAATTTAACACACATTATGTGAAATGTAACAATATCAAAACAAATATAAAATTTGAATATCTTCCAGGGTATACAAGCAAATCATCTAAAGAAGACCAAGAATCAGATTGACATCAAATTTCTAACAAGAATCAGAATGATATCAGATTTCTCAATAGTAGCAATGCATACAAAAAGATAATGAAGAAATAATTTTAAAGAAGATAAGTAACACTGAATTTATAATTTTATATCCATCCAAACTGTTATTCAAATAAAAGGGAAGAATAAAAACATTATCAGGCATGAAGGACCTCATACAATTTGCTATGCAAAGATTCACATTAAAAACATTTGGAAGAAATACTCAAATAATAAGAGAAACGAATCCAGAAAATGATCTAGGAGATGTGAGACCACCAGTTAGAATGGACACTGGCCATAAACAACTGTCATGGCTAAACTGGGGCATGTTGGCAGAATATCAGCCTGGGCATTAGGGAGATCAGATAACTTAGTAAGATTTATGATTGTCTTAGGGGAAAAAAGTTAGGACAAAAGAAGAGACATAGAGAAAGCATGTAGAATGCCTATGCAAACCCAGAACTGCAATTTTGGACTATCAGCATGATGGAATTTGGGGTGGGCAAGTTAAGTGAGCAAGTGATACAAGAGCTTGCAAAAGGAATTTTCTTGTTAGGGGAAAATATAGATATTGACTGACTTAACATATCTGTTTTTACCTTCATGAATCTCTCCTCCACTTTTTCTATCATTAACATCATTATTATTATTATTATTATTATTATTATTATTATTATTATTATTATTATTATTATTTGAGACGGAGTCTCACTCTGTCACCCAGGCTGGAGTGTAGTGGCGCGATCTTGGCTCACTGTGTCATTAACTTATTTACTTTTTCCTTTCACCTGCATCCTTCTTTATTTCTTCTTTTCTTTATCTTTACCTTCTAACTACCATTCCCATTCAAAATTTCTACAATCAGAGGTGTTTATTATAAAATACAGAATGGAATATCAAAGGTATAGTTGGTGTCTTTGGAAAGAGTACAGAAAGGTGAATGTTTGATAAATATTAATCTAAAGTAGAGGGCTCCATAACCTATAGCCCATATAATTTATTTAAAACATAATGCCAGAAACAGCCTGTATACTTTTATTCCCTTTTGTAATTATTGCTTCCTCTAACAATTACATATACTCAGTGGATATTTCCATCCGCAAAATGATTCTTAGATTTACTTTTTTTTTTTTTTTAAAGATAGGGTCTCTCTCTGTCACCCAGGTGGCTGAGATGCAGTGGCACAATCATAGCTTCAGCCTCCAACTCCTGGGCTCAAGGGATCACACCCCCACAACCCCCACCTCGCCAACACTCCTCTTCCTTACCTGCAGTCTCCTGAGTAGCTGGGATTACAGCAGGTACATTCCAACATGCTTGGCTCCAAATGTTTCTAAAGCAAAGGTTTGTTCAATCAAGTTTAGCCTAAAGCTGCCTCCCTATGTATTTTAACCTCAGCCTCCCTATGTATTTTAACTTCAGCCTCTGTACATAGTGAACTACAACCTAAATAGAGATGTAAACAGACTGTGACAAACTATTGTGCCAGTTACCGAGTTTTGGCCAATCAAAGGGGGCCGACTTTTCAAAACGTGTTCAGATAAGGCAAATGCCAAGTTGTAACCAATCTGGCTATTTCTGTCCCTCACTTCCCTTTTCTGTACCTCACTTTCCTTTTTCTGTTAATAAACCTTCTTCCACCATGTGGCTGTGCTGGAGTCTCTCTGAGCCTACTCTGGCTTGGGAGGCTGCCTGATTCTCAAATTGTTCTTTGCTCAATTAAATGCTGTTAAATTTAAGTTGGCTAAGATATCTCTTTTAACAGATCAAGCCTTAAATCATTGCCACACATCTATTAGGCTATGTATTGTAGATCACCTTTTATTTGTCCATTAACATATAGAGAGAACACATTGATTTTTCTTACAATATTAGCCCAGTGTTTAGGCTAACCTTACTGTAATCCTTCCTAAAACTAATATTTCAATGTGTCTCAGTGGCAACCACTATATTTTCAGAAAATCCACTTTGGCAGGGTTCTCTTAGAGGGACAGAACTAATAGGATATATATATCTATATATCTATATATATATATCCTATTAGAGAGATACATATATATCTATATATCATATAGATATAAAGGGGAGTTTGTTAAGTATTAACTTACATGATCACAAGGTCCCACAATAGGCTGTCTGCAAGCTGATGAGCAAGGAGAGCCAGTCTGAGTCCCTAAACTGAAGAACTTGGAGTCCAGTGTTCCAGGGCAGGAAGCATCTATGTGATGCAAGGGAGAAAGATATAGGCTAGGAGGCTAGGCTTGTCTCGCCTCTTCACATTTTTCTGCCTGCTTTGTATTCACTGGTGGCTTATTAGATGGTGCCCACCTGATTAAGGGTGGGTCTGCCTTCCCCAGCCCACTGACTCAAACGTTAATCTCCTTTGGCAACACCCTCACAGACACACCCAGGATCAATACTTGCATCCTTCAATCCAATCAAGTTGACACTCAATATTAACCATTACAAGTCCACCACTTGTCAACTTCAACCCATACACATCTCCTGAGATCACACACAGTCTTCAAATAAAGACAATAAGGTCAAAATTATGCCTAACACAATACAGCTGTCCTTCATACAACCAGAAACCCACCAATCCCCAACCCAAATACTATTACATAAAGTTAACAATACTTAAATGCTGATATGAAGTTAGTAAATCTTATGTCACATGATAAAGGAAAAGAAAATGAAGATATATTTTCTTAGTACAGGTATATACATGCACAAACATGTTTTTAACAAAAGAAGGAGGAAATACTCATGGTAGTTACAGTCCTCGTTTCTGCAGCTGGTCATGTGGTCATAGCTGGTATTGATGACTACTTTCTTCTACTACCCATTCTGTATTCCCTTTGTTTTCAGCAAACACTCCAGCAGGTTGTGGTTTCTTTCCTGGTGGAGTGACCCAAACCTTCATTCCTTAGGGGTCTGGACCATTTGTAGTTCTGCCTGGATTGGGCTGTTGTAGTTTTCCATTGACCTCAATCACAGGGCGTGGTAATAGTAAGAGACACCCTAATGGATCCCCTGTATTCCATGGATACTCTTCCTTAGCTCTGTTTTGGAGCAGTAGATTGATTTCATCTTGATAGTCTGGGTCAATCACCCCAGCAAACACTGTATTTCCCTTCTTAGCCTGTTGACTTAAAGGTAGGGGGAACCCAAAGTGTCCAGGTGGCAATCATAACTTTCAGTTTAATTGAATAGTTGTGTCTGCTGGTGGCAGCATTCCTCCCTCTGGAAGTAAGACCTCTAGGTCAGCAGAACGTAATGTCACAGGAACAGGAAGCAAAAATTTTGCTAGTGGATCACTATGGGTGATAGTGAGTGGTGCCACTTCCACTTCTACCCCTTGATTCCTGACTTGTGAATCCTGGCTATGGGAAAAACGGTAGTATATATTGGACCCTGATTCAGAGTATACATGGCCTTCTGGAGAACTTTGCCCCAGTCCGGCAAAGTATTGTCACCTAGCTGGCATTGTAATTGTGATTCCAAATGGCCATTCCACCGTTCTATCAACCCACCTGCTTCAGGATGATGGGGAACATGGTAAGATCAGTGAATTCCATGAGCATGAGCCTACTACCACACTTCTTTAGCTGTAAAGTGAATGCCTTGGTCAGAGGCAATGCTGTGTGGAATACCATAATGGTGGATAAGGCATTCTGTGAGTCCATGGATGGTAGTCTTGGCAGAAGCATTGTGTGCAAGATAGGCAAACCCATATCCAGAGTAAGTGTCTATTCCAGTGAGTACAAACCTCTTTCCTTTCTATGATGGAAGAGGTCCAATATAATCAACCTGCCACCAGGTAGCTGGCGGATCACCCTGAAGAATGGTACCATATCAAAGGCTCAGTGTTGGTCTCTGCTGCTGGCAAATTGGGCACTCAACAGTGGGCGTAGCCAGGTCACCCTTGGTAAGTGGAAGTCCATGTTGCTGAGCCATGTGTAACTTTCATCCCTGCCACCATGGCCACTTTGTTCATGGGCCCATTGGGCGATGACAGGGGTGACTGGGGAAAGAGGCTGAGTGTTGTCCACAGAACAAGTCATCCTATCCACTTGATTATTAAACACTGCCTCTGCTGGGGTCACCCATTGGTGAGCATTCACATGGGATACAAATATCTTCACAGGTTTTGACTATTCAGAGAGGTCCATCCACATACCTATTCCCCAAATTTCTTAGTCACCAATTTTCCAATCATGGTTCTTCCAAATCCCTGACCATTCAGCCAAACCACTGGCTACAGCCCATGAATCAGTATATAATTCCACATGTGGCCATTTTTTCTTCCACGCAAAGTGCACAACCAGGTGCACTGCTCGAAGTTCTGCCTACTGGGGAGATTTCCCTTCACCACTGTCCTTCAGGGATGTCCTAGAAAGGGGCTGTAGTGCTGCAGCTGTCCACGTCCAGGTGGTGCCTGCATATTGTGCAGAACCATCTGTGAACCAGGCCCTAGTCTTCTCTTCCTCTGTCAACTGATCATAGGGAACTCTCCATGAGGCCATCGGTGCAGGGGGAGAGAAGGCAGGGTGGCAGGAATGGAGACCATGGGCATTTGAGCCACTTCCTCATGTAACTTACTTGTGTCTTCAGGACCTGCTCGAGCCAGATCACATATATACTACTTTCATTTGATGATGGAAGGCTGATGTGCACAACCCACTTTATGATTAGGTGGGTCAGACAGCACCCAATTCATGATAGGCAGTTCAGGTCGCAAGGTGACTTGATGACCCATAGTCAAACGTTCAGTTTCCACCAAAGCCCAGTAACAGGTGAAGAGCTATCTCTCAAAAGGAGAGTAGTTATCTGCAGAAGAGATGGCAGGGCCTTGCTCCAAAATCCTAGAGGCCTCCGCTGTGATTCACCTATGGGAGCCTGCCAAAGGTTCTAAACAGTATCCCTATCTGCCACTGACACCTCAAGCACCATTGGATCTGCTGGGTCATATGGCCCAAGTGGTAGAGCAGCTTGCACAACAGCCTGGACCTGTTGCAGAGCCTTCTTCTCTTCTGAACCCAATTCAAAACTGGCAGCCATTTGGGTCACTTGATAAATGGGCCAAAGTAACACCTAAATGAAGCATGTGTTGCCTGTAAAATCCAAATAGGCCCACTAGGCATTGTGCCCCTTTCTTTGTTGTAAGAGGGGCCAAACGCAGAAACTTATCCTTTACCTTAGAAGGAATATCTCGACAGGCCCCACACCACTGGACCCCTAGAAATTTTACTGAGGTAGAAGGTCCCTGAATTTTAGTCATTTATTTCCCATCCTCTGGCATGCAAATGTCTCACCAATAAGTTCAGTGTGTTTGCTGCTTCTTCCTCACTAGATCCAATGAACATAATGTCATCATGCAATGCACCAGTGTGATATCTTGCAGAAGTGAAAAGTGATCAAGGTTTCTCCATATAAAATTATGACACAAAGCTGGAGAATCTATATACCCCTGAGGTAGGACAATGAAGGTATATTGCTGGCCTTGCCAGCTGAAGGCAAATTTCTTCTGGTGGGCCTTATGGACAGGAAGGGAGAAAAAGGCATTTGCCAAGTCAATGCCAAGTCAATTGATGTGTTAATTTGCTCAAGCAATGAAACCACATCTGGTACAGCAGCTGCAATTGGAGTCACCACTTGGTTAAGCTTACAGTAATCCACTGTCATTCTCCAAGATTCATCGGTCTTCTGCACAAATGGAAGGGTTGAATAGGGATGTGGTGGGAATCACCACCCCTGCATCATTCAAGTCTTTGATGGTGACACTAATCTCTGCAGTCCCTCTAGGGATGAGATATTGTTTTTGATTTACTATTTTTCTAGGTAGGGGCGGCTTTACTGGCTTCCATTTTGCCTTTCCCAGCATAGTAGCCCTCACCCTACTAGTCAGGGAGCCAGTGTGGTGGTTCTGCCAGCTGGTAAGTATGTCTATGCCAATTATGCATTCTGGCACTGGGGAAATGACCACAGGATGAGTCCGGGGACCCACTGGACCCACTGTAAGTCAGACCTGAGCTAAAACTCCATATGTTACCTGACCCCCATAAGCCCCTACATTAACTGGAGGACCACAGTGATGTTTTTGGTCCCCTGGAATCAACATCAGCTCAGAGCCAGTGTCCAGTAGTCCCTGAAATGTCTGATTATTTCCCCTTCCCCAGTGCTCAGTTACCCTGGTGAAAGGCTGGAAGTCTCCTTGGGGAAGGATGGGAGAAAGATCCACTGCATAAATTATTGGTAATGGGGTCCTTCCTCAAGGAGACCTGGCCTCCCCTTCATTCAAGGGGTTTTGGGTCTGTAAACTGGCTCAAGTCTGGAAATTGATTGAGGGGCCGTGATTCTCTGTTTTTATAATTCGAGTTAGTCTTTTTTCCATTCGACCTAGAAGTTTTCTGTTTGTATAATTAAAGTAGGAATGCAGTAGGCTTCCTATCAATTTCACTTCTAGGAACACCGTGATTAATTAGCCAGTGCCAGAGCTGTACATGATTCTGATTGATGCTTTGCCTCTGCTGTCCATTACGGTAGCTATGCCCACCTTGCTTTTGACAGTTGAATACTGCCACTTGGCTCCTGAGACCTTGAGATCCAATTATTCCCATTGTATTTAAATTTTGTAGTTGAGTGACTGTGGTTCCCACCATTAGATCTGACATACAGAGAAGAGCAATTATAGGGCTCTTCAAAGATGCAAGTGCTGCCCTCACAACTCTGTTTTGCAAGGCATTTGTCAAGAGTATATCTTCTGGACCCTCCCAGCTGGAATGAATAGGTCTAAAGTGACTAATCTATTCAGCCATCCCAATCTCTCTAAGCCTTTGGATCCCTTCCTCTACATTAAACCAAGGGATATTAGGCATTTCCAGCTCCTTCATAGTGGGCCATCTTTTAATCCATATTTCAGCTAACCAAGCAGATAAACTATTAGAACCATTTTTTAGCCCCCTAAGCTGCAACATTAAAAGCAGAGTCCCTACTTAGTGGGCTCCTTTTCGAGGGTAGCACACCTCCTCATGGGTCACACTCTCAACCTCACTTGTAGGGGCCCACTGGGATTTTAGTCTAAAAGCAAACAGAGGTGTTGGGGGTGGCTTCTGAGGAGAATCAACATTTTCCTGCCTGGCAACTGCCTCAGGGGAGGCCATCACTGTTGCCTCAGGCAGCACAGACTCTATCTCCTTAGACAAAGGTGGAAAGTCTGATGGCAGCATGGGTCAGGGAGGGGATGTTGCCACTACTGGGGATGGAGAAGCTGTTCCATCTGGCAAAAATGTTTAATCAGAGTTTACAAACTCAGTGTCCCCAGTGTCATCAGGGTCCTCCCACACATCCCTATTCCAAGTTGCATGGTCCCATTCTTTTCCAATCAATGTTCTCACTTTAACAGTAGACACCTGGTGAGGCTGTGTATGCATCTTTTGTTGCAGGTCAGCCACTTGCATGATAAGAGCTTGTGTCTGTTTTTCCACAATTTCAGCTCTCACTCAAGGCAGTCTTAGCAGATTTGAGGCTCAGTATCTGCTTCTGAACCGGGGAGGCAGAATCCCTGAGTTCATCATTTTCTTTTCTCACTTTGTCCACTGAACTTAGGAGCAACCAACCAGCTTCATTATATTCCTTGGTTCTCCAAATATGGTCAGAGGTATTATGTAGAGGGTCACTAAACTCCTTGCCTCTCACGAGTGGTGAATCAGGAGTGTCAAATCATTTATTTTGCATAAGTCTCTAAACAGTTTCCACCAAGGACTATCAGTGTTCTCCATACAATTAGAAGTAGAGTCCTCTGTTCCTGTAGAACCACTCCTAGTACCAAAATCTGTATTAGTCAGGGTTCTGTTAGAGGGACAGAACTAATATATATATCTATATGTGTGTATATATATATGTGTGTATATATGTGTGTGTGTATATATATGTATATACACACATACACATACACACATACATACACACAAAGGGGAGTTTATTAAGTATTAACTTACATGATCACAAGGTCCCCCATAGGCTGTCTGCAAGCTGAGGAGCAAGGAGAGCCAGTCTGAGTCCCAAAACTGAAGAACCTGGAGTCCAGTGTTCCAGGGCAGGAAGCATCCATGTGATGCATGGGAGAAAGATACAGGCTGGGAGGCTAGGCCCATCTCATCACTGCACGTTTTTCTGCCTGCTTTATATTTGCTGGCAGCTAATTAGATGGTGTCTAGCCAATTAAAGGTGGGTCTGCCTTCCTCAGCCCATTGACTCAAATGTTAATCTCCTTTGGCAACACCCTCACATACACACCCAGGATCAATACTTGCATTTTTCAATACAAGTTGACACTCAGTATTAACCATCACACTTGTCAACCGTATGAACCACAAATTCAATGAAGTTTAATTCAACAAATACTTATTAAATATTATTATGCCCAGAGCATTCTGTTAGATACTATGGATTAATATGAAGAAGTCTTAGGTTTTGGTATTTTATTAGGAGAGACATATATTAAATACCATTTAGTTCAGTTTAATTGAGTAAATTTTACTGTGAATGAACCATATGGTAGGCACTGTTTGGTGCCGGAGACACAAACAGAGTCTATGTGCTTGAGAAATATATAGTCTAGCAAGGAGAAAACAGAAATCTGTGGAGAACATTGATTTTTCTCCATACATGGAGCAATGGTGGAGAACAGTAATTTTTGTCATGATTGCCATATCCATAAACATTGTAGACACGCACACACACATATACACACACACACACCACTTCAGACATCAGTATTGCAATTGAGACTAGGCTTAATCTTGTTACAGATTGGTGATAAACATACTAAGAGGAGGAGACAACATTTCATCTGAGCCTTGTGCTATGTCTAATACTGTGCTGACTGGACAAGAGAGAGAAGGACATTCTAAGTAGACTGAACTGCATGAGTTAATGTAAAAAGGCAGAAAATATATTACAGCCTCAATGCATGTGGTCTGAAATTGGTGAAATGGTAGAGCAGCAGACTGCCAGAAATCTATTTAGACAAAGAATTCAGGAGACTCCTGGGAGATAACTCATCCCAGGAGGAGAACATTGAATGGACAAGCTCGACTCAGGAATAAACCACTCCCTCAGTTATTAAAAAGTGACTTTGAATGCAGTTTCATGGATTGCTCTTGTCAAGGATGACTCAGTAATAAAGCATTTGGAAAATGAAAATAAGTTTAATTGCTAAGATTGCAAGAGAGATCAGGCTTTAAAAGTTTTAACTCACAAACTTAAATATAAAGCGATTCTTTAAAGAAAACACTCTCTACGAGATTACTAAGGTGACCATGTTTATTAGCCAGCACTTATCAAAATGCTGTGTAACAAACAACTATAAAATCTACTGGCTTAACAAGCATATAAGTACGTTAGCTGAGGTGTATTAGTTCTAGTCAGGGTTTGGCTGGTGGCTCCAACCTTACGACTGGTCTTAAGCCTACTCCAAGTGTCTTGCATCCTGTCTTCCTTGGTCCAGTGGGCTAGCTGGGGCCTATTCTCAGGTGATGACAGAAGCTCAGGGGTGAATAGATAAAGGTGATGTCTGTCAAGGAATGAGACCTAAACTAGCAAGCTGTCACTTTCACTTACTTCCCATTGGTCAAAACAAATTATGTGGTGAAGCCCAAAACCAATGGTGTGGGGAAGCATACTCACCTCCACTGGGTGAGACTGCAAAGCTACATGTCAAAAAGCAAGGTTGGAGGGAGGGTAAAGAACTGAAAACATTCTGCTATGCTGACAGTTCACGGTGGAGAACAGTAAGTTTTGTCATGATTGCTGTATTCATAAACATTGTAGACACACACACATATACCTTTCAGACATCGGTACTGCAAAAGTTAAAAAGAACTTTATTTTTGTTTGGGAATCAGTTATGGGAAAGGCTTAAGGTGTCACTTATTTTGAAGACTAGAACTAGACAAGGCAACCCTGTTTTTTATTTATTTATTTATTTTTTATTTTTTTTTGCTTATTTGGGGATTATTGCTTGTTTGTTTTTCCTGACTGTGAGACGTGATGGTCATGCTTCTCCATGAAGGTAGCAGGTACCCTCTGTTCTGCATAAAGACCTCCTGCCTAAAGCTGACTTAGGGGTTGGGATAGTATAACATGATATGAGGCTGGAAAAAAATTGGCTGGGATCAGGTTGTAAATTATATGTATATCAGGTTAAGGAGGTTGACTTTACCCTCTGAGGAGTCTTCAGAAAGCTTCGAATACATTGAATTTGAATATATCAGATTTATATTGTAGAAATTTGACCCTAATGATAATTGAATAAAGACACAAGGAAAAATACATGAATAGAGACAAATGTAATTTGGTGCAAGGTAGACAATAATTATTATTTTAAAAATACAGCAGAGGGAGAACAGAGAGTGGAAGAATTAATTCCATCGGGGAGATTTTGGGAAGATCAATAAATAAGATAGGCATCGAAATGACTTTCATAAATGGAAAACAAGTAATGGGGAGGGAAAGCAAACAAGAAAGACAGTAGAACATTCATTTATTTAGCAAATAGTTACTGAGTACTACTAGATTCTGGGTACTGTATTAAATATTGGGGGTGTAATTTTGGGCAAAACCAAAAATATTTTTTGCCATTGAAAAGTTTATTTCTATTGGAGTCAGACTTTAACCAGACAGTAACTAAAAATAAATGTAAAGCTGCATATGTAGCAAGCCCTGTGAATGATAGCTATACAACGCCAAGACTTTTCAACAAAGAGTTTTCCATGGTAGGGTCAGGGAGATCAGGGAATTCTTGCATGAGGAAGCAACACTTAAGCTGAGACCTGGAAGATTAAAAGGGGTTAATTAGGTAACGAGTGGAGGGATGATGTCTGACAATGTGGAGGGCTTACTCTGTACCAGATGTTTACTAAATGCCTTACATATAACCAATCTTTTCATTTTCTGAATAACTCTATGATATAGACTGTTATTATCCCCATTTTGCAGATATTAAAACTATGGTTTTCAGAGAGTTTAAGATTATACAGCTAGTACAGGGTACACCTGGCATTTGAACCCTTCTGTTTCAGTGATTCTGTTATCTCTGTTTTTATTATGTCATCTTTCCAGGTAAGGAGGAGAATTTCAGGCAGAAGAAATGACATGTTCCAAGGTCTAGAGGTAGTGTTTCTAAAATGAGGACCTGAAATGAGGCAATGTCAAGCAAGCAAAGGTAGTAAGCAGCAGGGAGTAATGGGGTCAGGCAGGAAAGGCAAATAAGGAGCATGGATACAAGCTCCGTAGTCCAACTGAAGGAATCTTCTTCCCTCCCCTCCCCTCCCCTCCCCTCCCCTCCCCTCCCCTCCCCTCCCTCCCTCCCTCCCTCCCTCCCTCCCTCCCTCCCTCCCTCCCTTCCTTCCTTCCTTCCTTCCTTCCTTCCTTCCTTCCTTCCTTCCTTCCTTCCTTCCTTCCTTCATCTCTTTCTCTCTTTCTCTTTCTTTCTAAAGGAAATGTAAGATATTGAAGGATTTTAAACAGAGTTCACATTTTTAGATATTCATTTTGAAAATATTGTGGGGAGAGAGTGGGGGGAGCAGCAGAGATACAACTGGGCCATTTCAGGGCCATTGTGTCATGCCAAACAAGAAGTTATGGTAGTTTAGACAAGGCTGCTGCTGCAAAAAATGGGAGGTTGGCATGGATCTGAAAGCTTTTCAGCAGGTAAAATTGCAAGGACTTTGTGAATTGAATTTTAGAGAGGCAAAAGAAGTGTCAAGAATGACTTGGTTTCTGGCTTGTACAACTGGGTGGACGGTGACACTACTGAGGACAGACTTGCTTAATGGATTATTTTTGGGACTAGGTTAAGTCCACTCTGGCATGTTTGAGGATTGAAATAAGGGGAAAAGAAATGCAGTCTAGGATAACTAGCAGAGAGAGTCCTGTTTGTCTATGGCTTTTCCTCTTACTGTTGCAAATTAGTAGTTGTCAGCTGCCACAAAAATATAGATACAATTAAAAGTAGAGAAAGAAATTCACTTCCTCTGGTGAACAAAATTAAATATAGAGACAAGAATTACCTTATTAAGTTCAGGATTATTCTCATATCCATTATACAACATATGGCTTTATATATAATGTAAGTATAGAATATATAGATCATATAAATTGTATACAGATTTTTTTACATAAATGGTAGAAGAATCATAAAGCTGGACAATTGTAAGTAGTTTTGATTCAAGATGAGTTGTATTTTTTCATTGTCTAGAATCTGATAAAATAGAGGGCCCTAAGATTAGATCACAGCTCAAGAGATTAAAGTGTACTCCTTTTCTTCCAAGCTCAAATGCATTCAGATTGCCACAAACTATTTTTCCCCTTAAACATAGCCATAGAAAACTAGCATTTATTTACTTATTTATTGGCAGAGTATTTGCTTTCCAAAAATGAGAAGAAAAAAATCTTGCTAGCTCCTTTCCATATGAAAATCAGATGGATTGAAAGCAATGCTTTGCCTTAAAGAACAGACCTACTCTGTTGCAAAAATTTAATTAAGCTTAAAAGTGCCATGAAATGCAATTGAACATTGCAAGCAAGTGGATTGGAATAGTACCTTCAGGTGATAAAAAGGGTAGTAAATGTATTTCAAAGTAAGGTTCAGATATAAAAGGAACTGCCTCACTAGAAGCTGTTTTTAATTAATGCTTTACTTTTGGCTCACTTGTATAAGAGCTAATAAGGATACTTAAACACAAAAATTTAACTTTGCTTTTATGCCCTTTCTTGAGACACAAATTATCATGAACTGTAAAGCACATATGGGAGATTATTTTCAAAATCTTGATTACATTCATTGCAAGAACTTCACAGCTCAATCAAAAACATGGTCTAGGCAGTTTTTCAGTGAATTTGGGTCACACAGATAAGCAAGATACTTTAGACCACTGGTTCTCACAACAATGCCATTATGATCCTATGCAGATTGTTTTAGAAATTTGTGGAAGTCTTCTTTTGAAAAGTGTCTGTTCATGTCCTTTGCCCTGGGTATATACCCAAAGGAATAGAAATCATTATATTATAAAGACACATGCACACATATGTTCATTGTAGCACTATTTATAATAGCAAAAAATGTGGAATCAACCTAAATGCCTAGAAATAATAGATTGGATAAAGAAAATATGGTACATGCACACTATGGAATACTATGAAGCCACAAAAAAAGATGAGATCATGTCCTTTGCAGGAACATGAATGGAGCTGGAGGCCATTACTTTTGGCAAACTAACACAGGAACAGAAAACCAAATACTTCATATTCTCACTTATGAGTGGGAGTTAAATAATGAGAAACATTGACACATAGAGGGAAACAACACACACTGGGGCCTATTGGGGAGTTGAGGGTGGGAAGAGAGATATGATCAGGAAAAGTAACTAATGGGTACCAGGCTTAATACCTGGGTGGTGAAATAATTTGTACAACAAACCCCCATGATACAAGTTTACTTATGTAACAAACCTGAACGTGTACCCCTTAACTTAAAATAAAATTTAGAAAAAACAAATATGTGGAAGTATTTTGGGCTGTCACAATGACTGTGACACTTTACTGCTGTTTGATGGGTGGGATCAAGATGTTGAGTATCCAGCCATGTGCAGGACAGTTTTATAAATCATGTAATTTTACCCTACATTGCACAATTTCTGAATATTCTATTCATCATTCACATAGGTGAGAACCTCCTTTACACTTATTTGAGCCTAAAACCTAACTTGGTTTTATATATCAACACAAAGTCTTTTTTTTTTTAGAGCTTTAATATACACTGAATATTTCAGAATCACAGTTGCAATGTATACTGAGGAAAAATTTTATATTATTTTATTTTCAATTTTACAAAGATGTGTTTTCCACTTTGATAAATCATGCCATCAGTGAGAATATGTGCTGCTTATAGTAGATATCTGAGTAACTAATACACTGCCTCTCATCAGTCTGCATTTACTGCTATTGTCCAGTTCATGGTGATTCTATATAGAGGTGTAAGAATCTGACTTCTTCATTATGCCTTCCAGAGTAGGTGCAGTATTGCAAATGTAGCTACCTGATAACTTATATCTCTAAATACCAATTATTTTAGTATTCATTGTTTAAAAAGTTTAATATATATTTATATATATTTGGTAATGATGAATATAGACAAGTTATATTATCTATGAGAGTGCTCATTACAAAATGTATGTTACAAAAGGGGAATTTTTGGTCTAAAAAGGTTGAGTTTTAACATTATACAAACATATATGTGACATATATCAATTTTAAAAGGCCAAGGAGAGATATTTGAGCCCACTGCAGTCAGAGACTAGGTTATAGACAGTATAAATCAATACCTGAGCTTTGTATATGGGTATTTGATTGAAATATCAAATTCAAGTAAAAAAATACTAACAATTATTTACATTATACTACACATATATACATCAGAATATTTTGAAGGTGAGCACATATTTGGCAAATCATGCATAAATCTATATGAATTTTAAATAAAGGCACTCAAATTTCTACCCTTAATTAGACACTATATTTAAATTTGGTTTGGACAGTTTCTCTGTCTTATTTTTAGAGCACTCCATTTAGAGGTAAAATAAAACTAATTTATAAAAAGTTAGTGTTTGACCTATTATATTGAAAATGTTAATATTGTTTCAAAAATGTACTATTGAGCAGTTAGAATATTTTGATTTACATAAATATTGCATGTACATGCCAAGATGATATAGGCACACTCTTTTTAGCCAAATTATTCAAGTCTTGACTTCATGACTTTGATGCTTTGTATGTATTATTTATATATAAAACAACACAACACGACAGAATATATTTTAGATGAGGGAGTAGATTTGGAATATCTAAGGCAAAATCTCCGTTTCTTATCACAGATTTTTCTCCATTTAACCTCACTAATAATCTCAATATACACTTTGTTTGCCTAGAAGATTCAGGTCATGAACAAATGGGTGAGACAAATAAACTCTAAAATTTGGGATCTGAATTATTATGTTAAATTCTGCCAGAGCTAATATTCAGACTGAGAATACATATCTCACTATAAAGTAACATGTTATAGTTATGTAAGAAAATATGCAGCTCTCAACTCTCATAATTCAACATTCTTATAATCAACATTGATACAATCAACATAAGCATCTTTATACTGTCTTATCTATACTAAATTCAGATTTTCACTACATCAGCTAGACAATACATTTTTAAAAATATTACACAGAAGTGACCAGCCATCACGCCATCTTACTAAATGTTTCCTTTGCTTACTAGCTATGAAATCATATGCAAATGACTTTAACTTGCTAAGCTTCAGTTTCAAATGGAATAATTGTGGCATCTCATAGTATTGCAGTATTAAATGGAATAATGCCTATAAAGTTGTTTTATATAGTCCTTACATAAAAGAAACTCTTAGAAAATTTTAATACTAGGAATATTAACTATTGGTACTAGCAAAGTTCACAACTATCTGAACATTTTACTTTATTTTCTTATTTTTTTAAGAAACATGAGGAATAATAAAAGTTAAGGTGCTTATATTATTGCTAAAATGCTTAGTCTCACAAAATTAAAATAACACAGAGTTGGAAATTATTAGCTAAAGGCTTAATGTGTCGAGTTGTTAGTATTAAACTCACACTCATTGAACCTAAGCTCAAGTTTACATACACTGAGTTTATATATGAAGGAAAATATCAAAATTAGAGATGATGTATGAAATATGGAGGCTATATATTAGAAAAATTGTTTTGGAAAGATAACACATAATTTTACTTTTATAGTAGTTTTTAGCTCTTGGAATAAAAGTTTTATCCTTATAATATCTACTAAATGTTTTCACAGTAAATTTTTGTTTTAAAGAAATATATTGTATATGAAAATAAAGAAAAGCCTGTATAGTAAATTCTAATTACAAATTTTTCTTTTCTTTTCTTTCTTTTTGTCTTTTTTTTTTTTTTTTTGAGACAGAGTCTTGCTGTGTTGCCCAGGCTGGAGAGCAGTGGTATGATCTCGGCTCACTGCAACTTCTGCCTCCCAGTTTCAAGTAATTCTCCTGCCTCAGCCTCCCAAGTAGTTGGGACTACAGGCCCGCACCACCACGCCTGGCTAAATTTTTTTGTATTTTTAGTAGAGATGGGGTTTCACAATGTTGGTCAGGCTGGTCTTGAACTCCTGATCTCAAATGATTCACCTGCCTCAGCCTCCCAAAGCGCTGGGATTACAGGCGTGAGCCACCATGCCTGACCTTATTTTCAGGTTTAGCTCATGGCTATGCTCTAACAATAAAATTCTGTTGCTAGTAGATGTGAACATACAGAAGGAATTGAGATAATATATATGTGCTAACAGAATTTCTTTCCTTTAAAAAATTGAAAAAAGAAGTTATTAATGTAACTATCTTCTTATATACTGGCTTCCCTTGCAGAGGATGCTGCATAGGACACCCTATTTCTCATGATCTTATAGCATATTTTTTGAAATTCTGTATTTTACAAAATATATGGCTTTAAATTAAAAAAAATCTCTTTCTCAATTTACTTGTATCTTCCTGAGGGTCAAAGATGAAATGTTTTTGAAGAATATTACCATTATATTTCAAAGCAGCACATTTTCCCCCAGGAGTTTGGTTCTACATGGTTTCCAATGTGCCAAATTTTTAAAATATTTGCATGTACATTCTATTAAAAACCTATTACATACCTCTCATATAGTGAAACTAAGAAATATTCTTATTCCTCAAGGCAAAATTGTTACATGGTAATTTAAAAAATTGCTGAGAGTGATAGTAAGAAATTATGTATATTACCTACTCGTTCTTTTCTTTGAGTGAAGGGACACAATTAATTTGGCCCACGGTCCCATTGATGATAATGTATATGGATCTAGAAAGTCAATGGTCAAGGTTTAATAAGTGAGCCTATTTGTAAAGGCAATAAGCTAATAGACTGACTTAAAATACAGAACGTCTAACAAAGAGATGGAAGAACAAAAATTAGAGAAGTTAGTTATCTTCAGGGGATGAATAGTAGAGATCATATTGAAGTTGTCACCGACAATGTAATGATCAAATGCTGGCAGATACTTCATGGCACAAAAATGATAAAATCTATATATTTAATTGGCTCTGGTTTTAGGAAGTAATTTCTAAGTTCTGTATTTTAAAGCATAATTGACTTAGGGCAATTCTATAGAATGTACTATTTGTAAACTGTTGATGTTTTGGTAACGACTAAACTTTCCTGAACTTATTCTCTCCACTTTATCTTCATCTATAAGTGTGTGGGACCTGGAAGCCAATGTGGGGATTCTGCTGAGAGTTGGGCATGTCAAATTTCAATTACCTATTCAGGAACAGGGGATGCAACCACAGGGACTGCACATGGAGACATGGGGCACACTGAAAATGTAAGAAGAGCCTGAGCTTAAAACTCCAGGTATCGCCAATTACTGGTGTATCACCACAGGTATCACCACTTTGACTGGTGGACCACCTTTGTGCTTTGAATCCCTAAGGAAAGGCCAGGCTTAGTGGCTCATGCCTGTAATCCCAGCACTTTGGGAGGCTGAAGCCAGCGAATCACTTGGGGTTAGGAGTTCAAGACCAGCCTGACCAACATGGCAAAACCCCATCTCCATTAAAAATATAAAAATTAGTTGGGCATGGTGGTGTACGCCTGTAATCCCGACTGCTCAGGATGCTAAGGCACGAGAATCGCTTGAACCCAGGAGAATCGCTTGAACCCAGGAGGAAGAGGTTGCAGTGAGCCAAGATTGTGCCACTGCACTCCAGTTTGGGCAACAGAGTGACACTCTGTCTCAAAAAAAAAAAAATAAAATAAAATAAAGAATCCCTAGGAAACAGTTCGTTGAGAGCCTGTGTCTAGAGACCCCTGAAAGATCTTGGTATTTCCTTTCTCCTGTGTGTGGTCACTTAAGAAAATGGGAAGTTACTTTAGGGAAGAAAAGAAAAAAAAGTCAGTATGCATTTGTATAGTGTTACACAGCCCTTCCTCAAGGGCTTCTTCAAACTTTTCTTCAGGTAAGAAACTTGAAGTCCATGAACTGGCTTCATTATGAAAACTGAATGGGAGGTTTTGGCTCTCCTGTGTGAAACTTAAAGTCCAGTTTCTAGCCCTGGGTTTTTCTATTAAACGCATCAGGCGACATTTTAGAACCTCCCCATCTATTTCCTTCCTTGGAAAAACATAATCAGTTAACAACTGTCAGCTCTATGAGGGTCAAAACATTCAGACTACCACATTATCTCTACTTTCTGCTGCCCCTTATGGAAATTATTTTTACTTTGCTTCCCATGGCTAACTATTGCCATTTGGTCTTTGCCACTTGGAGATCCCATCAGCTCCACTAAAACCAGGGACCACATCTCACTACTGACACATCCTTCTTTCATCCTGGCCTACACAGACAAACCCCATAGAAATTTCCAAAGATATTGGTACTCCTATCACTGATGTATTTTTTCAATGTCTTAATAAAGTAAGTATTTTTTTTCCAGGAAGATATAGCGATCATCGGGATGTGCAGTTTCACAAGACAAATTTACTGCAACATCTCTATCTTCTTATCTTTTGGTTTCCTTCCTCTACATGATGTTAAGAAAGCTATGGCTTCTCAACTCTACCAAATAAACTGTTATAGGCACTTCCAGCTGCTAGAGCTAGCACATGACATCCAGGATCTCTTGCAATGCCCTCACCAGTAAATTTAAACTTAATATTAAATTCCATTCTCCTTGATTTAACATTCTTAGAGTCCATTCACATGTATTTCTCAGATTTCTGCCAATACAAATTGGCATAACCTTGCAATTCCTTTGAGTATAAGTTATTTTCTCCTGCTCGTACTCTGCAGTTTTCTTTCCAGAGCATGATGAGATCTGACTCTACTTATTGGTCTAATGGCCTTGAGGGATGATGGGGTCGACTTTGAGGAGAATGGGTATCCCTTTGTAGGATGGGACTGGAAAGTTAGGATCAAGATCACATGTGAAAGAGTTATTATCTTGTCTCAGCAGCTTCTTCCTCACCCTGGACAGAGGCCTGGGCCTCTGAGCTCACGTAAGCATCCCTGTGCTTGGAAAGGGAGTCTTACCACCTTGGGGTTCCAAGTGGTTACCTAGATTGATGAGACCCTGAAATCTTTTGAAACAAAATCTAAAAGCCTGATGCCACTGGTACTGTCAAGGAAGATTTGTTCTTGTCTGCAACTAATTGGCTTTTACATAGCTTTGTATATAAAATTCATCACAGTTTTATTAGAAGTTGGGAAATGCTGAATCAGGGAATTGTTTGAATAAGAATGATGTAAAGGATGCTATCACAGAAGGATAATATCATTATCATCAACTAATGGTCAGGTAGTTCTCAGTGAATTAAAAGTACTGAGGCTGGGCTTAAGGAATATATCAAGGTTGCCTGACTCAGACACTGACTGGCTGTGACTTTGGGAAAATCATTTAATCTGAGCCCCAAGTATTTTTTATGTGAGATGGTAAAGTAATGCCACCTGACTACCCACAATACAATTATAAGGATAAAATAAGGGTGAGGTTTGCTAGAATGGTGCACAGTACAGGGCAAAGGATTTAAGGATAAAAATGTGGATATCTACACACAAAAAAATCTGTTCTGATTCTTATTTTCTGTTGTGAGACAAGAATGAGATTGGTATATGATTGCAGTGGTCATGCATTGATTTTATTTTATTTTAAGGAATATAGCTCCCTGTTGAAGCATATGGGAATTTGTTATATTATTCTATCTGTTTTTGTGTATGTATTGATTCTACATGATAATGTTAAGAAGTTAAAAAACTACAGGACCATAATTTAGAATCATTCTATATTTGGAGTGGTGTTAAGGAATAAAGCTTTTGTTACAAAAGAAAGATGATTAGAAACAATTATGAAAAAAGTAAGTGTAAGAAGGAGGGTGATGAAGATAATAATGAATCAAAAAGTAAGAGTTATGCTTGATGCTGGAAAGGAATTGAGAAGGGGCAAATGAAATCTATTTTTTTGTAAAGAAACAAAGGGTAGAAAATAGTAGTAAAAAGAAAAGAGAGGAAATCAAAAGACATTAAATACAATAATTCAGTGGATGGACAGGCAAGAGGCTCCCCATCCATGCCCAAGATTTCTGCTACCATATATGTGTGGAAGAGTTTCAAATTTATGAGACTTTAACCTGGACTAGTTTCCAGAAGCCTATGCCCAATGGGTTACTGGATATGTCTTCTTAAAGTCCTGCAGTCCTTCAAACTCGGCATGTCCGAGGCAGCAATTATTTCCAATTCCTCCCTGCCCCAAAATCGCACACACTTGCATATGCACATGTGTGCACACACATGCACACATACTCACTTGCTCTTCATTCTTATTCTCCTTGTCCTGGCTAATGCCACCCAAACATCCACTCACCCACACACTTTTTCTTCTCCATTCCTCCCCATATCCAATTGGCTATCAAGTCTTACTGCTTCTGCCTTCTGAACATATTTGTCATATTTGAACAAATTTGTCATATACTTAATTTGTATTCTTTTCAGATGTATTACAGAATGTTCCTAGCTGATCATCCTACCTGATCATCCTTTCAGTGCTGACTTTGTCTAAAGTGTGGTCTTTCTAAAGCCCAGATCTGATAGTGCTACGCCTCTGCTTAAAAGTCAAACAGTTTTGCTTTATATATTAGGCCCTCTATGATCGATTCCTTGCCTGCCTATTTAGCATTATTAGGTGCTAATTCACACTTGCCACCTTTCTATTGGTATAAGACTAATTGCAGTTTTTCCAACATGGCATGCATATTTATCCTTATGTGTTTTTACACCTGCTTTTTTCTCCACATGGAGTGTTTTTCTGTCTAGTTGATGAACTTTTGGTCAATCTTTTAAGAGCAGATTTAATAACCCCTTTCTCTGTGAAGCCTTCATTGACACAAATACCATGCCAACTCAAGCATAACATAATTAATATTCCCTTTAAGCTAACCATTGTCTCTTGTACATACCACTGATATGATACCTGATGCCATGTGTTTTCACGTCTGTCTCATAGTCTGAACTTGTCGAGGTCAGAAATCTTGTTTTGGATGTTTCTATATCCTCAACGACAAGCTCAATACCTGGTACATAAAAGGCTTTCATTCAGTGTTTAATGAGGAATGAATGCATACCTTCAATATCTGATTACTGGAGTTTGACATTAGCAGATCCTATTGATGTTTTTATGTCCTGAGCATAGTGCCATTTGTAATGAGTCCACATGGCTGCTTTGAGACTCCAATGCCACCTGCTTTCATCACTGGTTATCTCTGGCTGCAGTTGCTCCATGGCAGAAATAACATATATTTCATGGACAACAAAGATATTTCAGAGTGAGTCCTCAAAGCCAAAGCCCTTTCACTGGTCATCCTACCTATCTTTGTGGTCACTGATTGGTAACTGTTTAGAGTTATTTCCAGATATGAATCCTGTGCCATTCTCACTTAGGAAGTGATATTTTGTCGTTTATCCTGGTTTTTGCCGAGGTAGGGGAAAATCTCTTGTTTAGCGAGAGAAAATGCAAGTGCTATAGATAGCCAGAAGAGAGACGACAGTCCTAGATCTAATAGTTTATAGTGCCTATTTCCCAGCTACCCTCTCCTGATAGTTGACCTCAGTTCTGGTGAAAATGTTTGGCTGCATTTTTCCAGCCCCATCACAAATGTTAATTTAATTATCAAACACCAGTGATGTCAGCATTGTCACTCATCCTGCTTAGGCTTAGGTGCTTTTTGAGTTACTTTTATAACACTTTTTCAAATGGTAGGTAAAGTAATTGGGGAAAGGGTTACATTTACAAGTTAGCTATGCTTCCCTCAGTATGCTTTCTCTGATTTGCTTGTATTTGACTTGAAAATCAAAAGTCAGTGTTCAGTGGTACTGCTATTCATTGGCTGTGATATTTATTTTATGAGATACTCATAAAGGGAGGGAGTATTTTGAAATAGAGCTATTTACCTTTAGTAGCTCTAATGCATGTGCTCGTTAATGGCACTTTCTCATTATCCAAGATAGGGCACTTGAATTGATAAACTGATGCTGCTTGGTTTGGATAATCAACTTCTGTGAACTGAGTGTGCAATACACTTAGCAAGCACAGTATGGGAAACTAGAATTTTGAGGAATATGCCTCCTAGGTAACTAGTTTTCAAAGCAGAATCACTACACTTCCTTAATAAAAATAAGACCATAGAGTATGCAAAACATACTAACATTTTAGTTAATGTATCCTTGCTTCTTGGAAATACAAAGCTAAAATTTACCTTTAAAAGTCATCTTGTAAAGAATTCTGAGATGGAAAATCTGTAAATGTTTGAAGGGCATGGAGAATTTGAGATATTTCCTAGCCAAGAGTTTAGATGAAAATCTAGGCAATTATGGTGGCCTTTTATAGCCTTCAAGCATATCTAAAGACATATTAAGCACACAGTGCTTTGATGAAGCAGGGGAAAAATGTAAAATAATTTGTTGGAAAATGTTTTGTAACTAATGGATTGTGGTATTAAAAAGTGAGAATGGATTAATATTCATTGAAATCTCAAAGGAGTTTATAAAAATCCTATGGGACAATTGAGTGACAGCTACAAGATAATGACTTAAAGATGTGATTATTTCCTGTGAAATCTTAAACAAGGGGATCGTTGGAACCAAAGGATTCTAGGACTCTTGGTGCCAACAGAGCTACTCTACTATTTATTTGAAGCCAGTTGACTGAACCTACCTTATACCACAATCAAACCCCCAAGGGCATCAAATAGGATAAAAGAAAAAAGCACCCATCCAAAAGATAACAGCCTCAAAGCCTGAAGGAACATCAGCCAACAAAAATGAGGAAAAAACAGCACAAGAACTCTGACACTCAAAAAGTCAGAGTGTCTTCTTTTCTCTAAACAACCACAATAGTTCTCCTGCCAGGCTTCTTAACTGGGCTGAGATGGCTGAAATGACAGAAATAGAATTCAGAATATGGATAGAAACAAAGGTCATTGAGATTCAGGAGAACATTGAAACTCAATCCAATAGGAACAAAGATCATAAAGATTCAGGAGAAAATTGAATCCTAATTCTTAGGAAGCTAAGAATCACCATAAAATGATACAGGAGCTGACAGACAAATAGCCAGGATAGAAAAGAAGGTAACTGACCTGATAAAACTGAAAAACATAAGAATTTTATAATGCAATTGCAGGTATTAACAGCAGAATAACCAAGGTGAGGAAAGAATCACAAAGCTTCAAGACTGGTTTTCTGAAATAAGACAATCAGACAATAATTTTAAAAAAGAATAAAAAGGAACAAATAAAACCTCCAAGAAATATGGGATTATGTAAAAGACTAAATCTATGACTCATTGGTGTCCCTGAAAGAGGTGAGGAGAATGGAAGCAACTTGGAAAATATATTTAAGGATATAATCCATGAAAACTTCCCCAACCTAGCTAGAAAGGCCAAAATTCAAATTCAGAAAATGCAGAGAACCCCCACATGACACTTAACTAAAAGGTCACCTTCAAGGCACATAATTGTCAGATTCTCCAAAGTCAAAATGAAAGAAGAAATGTTAAAGGCAGCTGGAGAGAAAGGACAGGTCACCTACAAAGGCAAATCCATCAGACTAACAGCAGACTGCTCAGCAGAAATTCTACAAGCCAGGAGAGATTAGGGGCCTATATTCAACATTCTTTTTTATTTTATTTTATTTTATTTTTTATTTTTAGAGACAGAGTTTCACTCTGTCGCCCAGGCTAGACTGCAGTGGCGCGATCTCCGCTCACTGCAAGCACCGCCTCCCGGGTTCAAGCCATTCTCCTGCCTCAGCCTCCCGAATAGCTGGGACTGCAGGCGCCCGCCACCGCGCCTGGCTAATTTTTTGTATTTTTAGTACAGACGGGGTTTCACCGTGTTAGCCAGGGTGGTCTCGATCTCCTAACCTCATGCTCCACCCGCCTCGGCCTCCCAAAGTGCTGGGATTACAGGCGTGAGCCACTGCGCCCAGCCCAACATTCTTAAAGGAAAGAAATTCCAATCAAAAATTTCACATCCAGTGAAAATAAGCTTCATAAGCATAGGAGAAATATCCTTTTTAGACAAGCAAATGCTGAGGAAATTTGTTACCACCAGACCTGCCTTAGAAGACTTTCTGAAAGAAGCACTAAATATGAAAGGAAAGACCATTACCAGCCATTACAAAACCACATTTAAGTACACAGACCAGTGACACTATAAAGCAACCACAGAAACAAGTTGGCATAATAAACAGCTAAACATGATGACTGGATCAAATCCATACATACTAATACTAACCTGGGATGTAAATTGGCTAAATACCCCAGTTAAAAGGCACAGAGTGGAAAGCTAATTAAAGAAGCAAGACATAATGGTATGGTCTTCAAGAGACCCATTTCACCTGCAATGACAGCCGTAGGCTCAAAATAAAGAAATGAAAAATAATCTACCCAGGAAATGGAAAACACAAAAAAGCAGGGATTACAATCCTAGTTTCTGATAAAACAAACATTAAACCAAGAAGGATCAAAAAAGACAAAGAAGGGAATTACATAATGTTAAAGTATTCAATTTAACAAGAAGACATAACTATCCTAAATATATATGCACCCAATATAGGAGCACCCAGATTCATAAAGCAAGTTCTTAGAGACCTTCAAAGAGACCTAGACTCCCACACGATAATAGTGGGAGACTTCAACACCTTACTGACAGTATTAGACAGATCATTGAGGCAGAAAATTAACAAAGATATTCTGGACTGCACTTAACACTGGACCAAAGGGATGTGATAGACATCTACAGAACTCTCCCCACCAAAACAAAAGAATACATTCTTCTCATCACCACACAGCACGTACTCTAAAACTGACCACACAATGGAACATAAAACACTTCTCAGCAAATACAAAAGAACGAAAATCATAGCAACCACTCTCTCAGACCACAGCACAATAAAAATAAAAGGACCAAGAAAATCACTTAAAACCATACAATTACATGGAAATTTAACAAGCTGCTCCTGAATGACTTTTGGGTAAATAATGAAATTAAGGCAGAAGTCAAGAAGTGCTTTGAAACTAATGAGAACAAAAACAAAACATATCAGATTCTATTGGACACAGCTAAGGCAGTGTTAAGAGGGAAATTTACAGCACTAAATGCCCACAATACAAAGTTAGAAAGATCTCAAATTAACAAACTAACATCACAACAAAAAGTACTACAGAAGCAAGAGCAAACTAACCCCAAAGCTAGCAGAAGACAAAAATAATTGAAGTCAGAGCTGAAATGAAAGCGATTGAGACACACAAAAGAATTGTCTAAAATATCAACAAATCCTAGATACTTGGGAGGCTGAGGTAGGAGAATCGCTGAAACCCGGGAGGCAGAGGCTGCAGTGACCTGAGATCATGCCACTTCAGTCCAGCCTGGGCAACATAGTGAGACTGCATCTCAAAATAAATAAATAAATAAAATAAATCCAGGAGTTGTTTTTTTTAATTAATAAGGTAAATAGATCACTAGCTAGACTAATAAGGAAGAAAAGAGAGAAGATCCAAATAAACGCAATTAGAAATGACGAAGGGGATATTACCATTGATGCGACAGAAATACAAATATCCATCAGAGACTATGATGAATACCTCTATGCACACAAACTAGAAAATCTAGAAGAAATTGATAAATTTCTGGACACATACACCCTCCCAAGACTGAAGCAGGAAGAAATGAAATCACTGAACAGACCAATAATGAGCTCCAAAATTGAATCAGTAATAAATAGCCTAACAATCAAAAAAATCCCAGGACTGGATGGATTCACAGATGAATTCTACAAGATGTACAAAGAAGAGCTCATGCCATTTCTACTAAAACTATTAAAAAGCAATGAGTAGAAAGGACTCCTTCCCAACTCATTCTATGAGACCAGCATCATCCTAATACCAAAACGTGGCAGGGCCACGACAAAAAAAGAAAACTTCAGGCCAATATTCTTGATGAACTTTGATGCAAAAATCCTGTACAAAATACTAGCAAACTGAATCCACCAGCACATCAAAAAGCTTATCCACCATGATCAATTAGGCTATATCCCTGAGATGCAAGGTTGGTTCAACACACTTAAATCAATAAATGTGATTTATCACATAAACAGAACTAAAAATAACCACATGATTATTTAAATAGATGAAGAAAGGCTTTAGATAAAATCCAACAACCCTTCATGTTAAAACCTTTCAACAAACTAGGTGTTGAAGGAACATACCCCAAAATAGTAAGCACTATCTATGACAAAACCACAGTCAACATCATACTGAATGTGCAAAAGCTGGAAGCATCCCCCTTGAAAACTGGCACAGGACAAGGATGCTCTCTCTCACCACTCCTACTCAACATAGTAGTGGAAGTCCTGGCCAGAGCAAACAGGCAAGAGAAAGAAATAAAGGGCATTCGAATAGGAAGACAGGAAGTCAAACTATCCCTGTTTGCAGATGACATGATTGTATATCTAGAAAACCCCATAGTCGAGAACAAAAAGTTCTGTAAGCTGAGGACCAACTTCAGCAAAGTCTCAGGATACAAAAATCAATGTACAAAAATGACTAACATTCCTCTACACCAACAATAGCCAAGCAAACAACCAAATCGGGAACACAATTTCATTCACAACTGCCACAAAAAGAGTAAAATACCTAGGAATACAGCTAACCGGGGAGGTGGAAAATCTCCATTATGAGTAGTAACAAAACATTGCTCAAAGAAATTAGAGATGATAACAAACAAATGGAAAAAACATTTTATGCTCACGGATAGAAAGAAACAATATAATTAAAATGGCCATACTGTCCAAAGCAATGTATAGTTTAAGTGCTATTCCTATCAAACTACCAATGTCATTCTTCTCAGAACTAGAAAAAAAAAAACTATTTTAAAATTTATATGGAACCAAAAAAGAGTCCAAAATACTGTTCAAACCAGAAATCCCATTACTGGGTATATGCCCAAAGGAATATAAATCATTCTATCATAAATACATGTGTACTTGAATGTTCAATGCAAAACTATTTACAATAGCAAAGACATGAAATCAACCTAAGTACCCATAACAATAGATTGGATAAAGGTAATATGGTACATATACACCATGGAATACAATGTAGCCATAAAAAGAATAAAATCATGTCTTTCGTGTGCATGGATGGAGCTGGAGGTCATTACTTTTGGCAAACTAACACAGAAACAGAAAACCAAATACTGCATGTTCTCACTTATAAGTGGGAGCTAAATGATGAGAACACATGGACACAAAGTGGGGAACAACAGACACCGGGGCCTACTTGAGGGTGGAGGGTGGGAATAGGAAGAGGATCAGGAAAAATAACTATTTGGTACTAGGCTTAGTATCTGGGTGACAGAATAATCTGTACAACAAACTCCTGTGAGTTTACCTACATAACAAACCTGCACATGTATTCCTGAACCTAAAATAAAATTTTTTTTAATGAAGTGAGAAAGCTCAGGACCTTCCAATTATGAGACTGGTGGATTTGTTAATAAACTTGACTTAGTCACTTACAATGTATACATGTATTAAAACATCATGTTAAGACCATAGATATATCCATATTTTGTCAATTAAAAATAAATAATTTTAAAAAGACATGTATGTAAAAAGTGAGAATGCAAAGATGTTACTTATGAATCTTATCTAAAGAAAAAGATAAGAATTTATAGCGCATATTCAAATTATGTTCAATCTTTTCTAAGTAAGAAATCCTGATTCAGTCCCATAGAAGCTGTAATAAAAGCTCAGTTTTATTATACTCTATTATGTTAATAATACCCTCTTGTATTATTTATGGTCTCATGATCCTGTCCACAGAAATAGAATAACAGGGTACTAGATCCAAGTTGAGACAGGATGGCCTTCAAGATTCCTGGTGAGGAGCAAGTACAAACGGAGATATTCCAGGAGCAAACCTAAAGAGAAAGCACTGTAGGAAATATAGCCAAGACATCAGTCCACAGGGGCTTTGCTAATTTCATAAGGGGCCTGGGCCCTTGATAAGCATGAAGGGTGAACAGTTAAGAGTCTTAAACTGGCTCAGACAGCAGTCAAATGTGTAGGAAATGTGTATAAATGGCATTTAAAAGAGAATTCTTGAATATTGTATATGACAATGATTTCAATATACAGTTAAGAAAAAAATAGAACATAAAGTTGTGTATGCAACATGATCCAGATTTTACACACACACACACACACACACACACACACAAATACAAGTAGCCATAGGGAAAAAAAGCTAGAAACCATCTCTAGGTAGCATTATGGTTATTTTTTATGACTTCTTTGGCAGGTTCTGTGTCCCAAATATTCTATTACAAGCACACATTACTTTTGAAATCAATAATTAAAAAGTGCAAGCATGGAAACTAATGGAAAAATGGCAGATAGGAGACAGGACTAACACACAGCTCCCACTAGATGGACAGAACAGCATGTGGAGACTCACACTGTGAACTTTTGCTCCAAGAACCAGTGCAAGAACATACCAGGAAAACTGAAAGAACTCACAGTCCCTTTGAAAGTAGTAATTTGCCACTGCAAACTCTGCAAGAGAGCTGAAAAACTGAGTTCCCAAAATGTGTGAGAGAGAAACTCTGTCTCTGAACACACATCCCCACTGGGGAACCTGAAAATCTAGATCGGGGAGAAGGATTTAACCTTACCTAAGATTTAGGGGGGCAAGTGAAATATAAAAGTAGGAGAAAAGGCAGGAAGAGCCCTGTAGGCACTCCCAGTTCCTAGCTCAAACCCAGGGAAGCCACTCCTGGCTTTATCACACAGGGGTCCTTGGGGAAGGCAGCCAGTGGAATAGGGGAGAGGGCCACAGGATGAAGGAATCTTCCAACTGCATTTTGTAATAATTTTGACTGTGCATGAACTTTCCTGAGCAGAATCTGGGAGGGCAAATTGGGAGTGCAGATACAAGAGTAGAAGCTACAGCCAATGGTACAGGCAGGCAGAGAGGAGTGAGGCCTGAGAGCCCTGCTTGGTTTCTCAGCTGGGAGGCTTATAGCCTAGGACAGGATCTCAGACCTGCTCCCAGCTGCTTGGATATAAACTCAGTGCTCTTGTTGGGCACTGGGGGAATGAGACAGGCCTTGCTGGCTGTCTGAGAGCTGGGCGAGGCCTGTCACTTCCGGCTTTCTCTCAATTCCCTGACAACCTGTATGCCCCAGCAGAGGGAGCCGTAATTTTCCAGGAAACACAACTCCATTGGCCTGAGAACTACCCCTTCATCCCCAACAGTGGCTGCAGCAAGCCCTATCCAAGGAGAGTCTGAGCTCAGACCCACCTAACCCTGCCCCCACCTGATAGTTTTTCTCTACCTTCCTGGTAGCTGAAGACAACAGACATAAACTCTTGGGAGCTCTGTGGCTCTGCCCATCACCTGAGAAAACAAATACTTATCCTGGCCAATGTAGGGAAATATTATATCCTTCTTCCACTACTGTAGCTGGTGCTCTCTTGAAAGAACCACCTTCTGGTTGAAGGCCAACCAACTCTAGTCATTACAGCAACTCATAACAGAACAACCCTGCTTCAAAGAGGAAAAAAACACCATGGCTAACAAGAGGTCCTGAGTCTGTTCACGTGACAAATTCACTACTAGCATCACCAGCACACTAAACCAAACTACAACCAAGGACTCCCAGACGGTCCAGTCCACTCACCTGCCACCTCTACCAAAGCAGATGCTGGTATCTACAACTGGGAGACCCGAAAACAGATCAAATCACAGGACTCTTTGTAGCCATTCCCTAGCACCAGCCCAGAGCCCAATAGCCCATCTGGGTGGCTAGACCAGAAGAATAATAGCAATCACTGAAGTCTGGCTCTCAGGAAGCCCCATCCCTAGGGGAAGGGAAAGAGCACCAAATCAAGGGATCACCCCATGAGACAAAAGAATCTGAACAGCAGCCATTGAGTTCCAGATCTTTCCACTGAACCAGTCTACCCAAATGTGAAGGAATCAGAAAAGTAATTCTGGTAATATGACAAAATATGACTCTACAACACCCCTGAAAGATCACACTAGCTCTCCAGCCATGGATCTAAGCCAAGAAAAAAAATATCTGAATTGCTAGGTAAAGAATTCAGAAGATTGATTATTAAGGTACTCAACAAGGTACCAGAGAAAGGTATAAACCAACTTAAATATATTTAAAAATATATAGGATATTGATTAAAAAGTCCATCAAAAAGTGGGCTAAGGACATGAATAGACAATTCTCAAAAGAAGATAAACAAATGGCCAATAAACATATGAAAAAATGTTCAACATTACTAATTATCAGGGAAATGTAAATTAAAATCACAATGTAATACTACCTTACTCCTGCAGAAGTGGTAATAATTTAGAAGATCAAAAAATAAGAGATGTTGGTGTGGATATGGTGAAAAGGGAACACTTTTACAATGCTGGTGGCAATGTAAACTTGTACAACCACCATGGAAAACAGTATGGAGATTCCTTAAAGAACTGAAAGTAGAACTACCATTTCATTCAGCAATCCCACACTAGGTATCTACCAAGAGGAAAAGAAGTCATTATGTGAAAAAGACTCTTGCACATGCATGTTTATAGCAGCACAATTCATAATTGCAAAAAATATGGAACCAGCCTAAATATCCATCAACCAATGAGTGGATAAATAAAATGTGGTATGTATATACCATGGAATACTATTCAGCCATAAAAAGGAATGAAGTAATGGCATTCACAGGAACCTGAATGGAGTTGGAGACCATTATTCTAAGTGAAGTAACTCAGGAATGGAAAACCAAATGTTGTATGTTCTCACTTATAATTGGGAGCCAAGCTATGAGGACACAAAGGCATAAGAATGATATAATGGACTCTGGGGACTCAGGGGGAAAGGTAGGAAAAGGGTGAGGGATAAAAGATTACACATTGGGTGCAGTATGCACTGCTTGGGTGATGGTGGCACCAAAATCTCAGAAATCACCGCTGCAGAACTTATCCATGTAACCAAAAACCACCTGTTTCCCCAAAACTATTGAAATTAAAAAAAAAAAGCATGGAAGCTGAAATATCTAACATTTTGTGACACCATGGTTTGTGAATTTTAGGGGATGGTTCAATAGAAGATATAGACAAAAATGGAAATTTAATTAGAGAGCTGAAGAAAAAATATGAGTTGCAAGTAAAGTAAGAATGTCTCATTAGGAGAGAGAAAATATTTGGTCATTTTGATGAGGACTTAATTACATAGAGGCTGTTAAAGAGGGTGATAGCTGCAAGTTTGTGGCAGTGGGCTATGGTGATTCACTGTTAGTTAAGATTATAGGAGGAATAAACTGTTTAAATATGCCATGACTTTTTCCACAGGTAATGAAGGCAAATTATAATGCTACATAAAAGGAGCAAATAGCATAATTTAAAAGTAATAGGAAAATAATATCAAGGTAGGTCACAAAATGAATATGACTGTATCTTTGAAGTAACAGCCATACATATGGGCACTGAAATGAGAGACTAGGAGCAAGTTTATGTGAGAAGAACACACTTTTCCTACTGTGCAATTTTGCCAGATATTGGCTCTAATAATGTCGAAACTAATGATACACCATATAACCCTAAAATCCTACTTAAATGAGTAATGTTTTCTTCCAAATCATGTAGCTAGCAATTTTCTCAAAATAGAAAACAACTCACTTTTGAAAAATGTAAGAAATTAACTTAGAGATAATTTAAATTTCAATGAGGAAAAATAAAAGTCCAATAATGGAGAAAATACTGTTCTAACTTTGATAGGAGGAAATATGTTTTTTTTTTCCCCAAGGAAGTTCCTCAGATAAATGTTTAAATGTGTTAAATTTTTCCTCCAGATACCTTCTTTTTTCAATCCCTTATCTGCTTGATAATTTTTAGTTTTTCTTCTTCCCACTTGAGTGGGTTCACTTTTGCCTCATCTTTCTTAGCTCACTCTTTGGAAAATGTCTACTGTTATTTACAATACATCCTGAAATTAAGTTAATTATTTCAGTAGTATTTACTCTTTCGTCCTCAAAACTAATTTTTAAAAGAAGTATGTGGCCTTCACTCCTCATATTTTAAGTCTTAGGCAAAAGGAGGCTTGGATATGCAATGGTAACAAGAAATTCCAAAATCTCAGAGACTTGAAAGAACCAAGTTTATTTCTTGCTCACACTGCCGGTTGGTTCATTATGGGTTGACAGGGTATCTGCCCATTGTAATGAGCATTGCAGGCTGACAGAAGCTCCATCTCAACCCATGCTTCCATAATAATGACAGGGAAAAGAAAATATACAGTGCGTTCTGTGTTCTTTTATGTGATGGTTAGTCAGGTGGGACCATGAAAGAAGATGCCGGATAGGCTGAGGAGAACAAAGTTTATTATACTCACAGGTCCTAGCAACAAGAGGCATGGCATACCACCTAGGGCCACATGTGAAAATACCTGGGTCAGTCTGGAGGCAGAAGGGATACGCATGAGGGGAAGGAATCGGACACAGTCTTTATTGTAGTTTTAGAGGGAACAGCAAGGCAGGACAGGATAAACATCTTAGGATTGGCTAATTTAAAAGAATTCCAGTGAGCTCTAAGCTGTAAGAATGGTCCCTAGTTGCCTGGAACCTAGCCCTGGGATGGTTAAGGTAGAGGAATATTGCCCCTTGAGGTGTATGGAACAGATAAAGGAGGTATGCGTCTGGATTGGTTAGGTTGCATGTTGAAGGCATGCTCCCAGAGAAGCCCCTTGCTATCTCTAAGGATCGACTAGCCCTCGGAGGAGCAGACTTTCCAGCCAGAAAGGCTTTTAAGATGTCAAAACCTAATATACAGAAAATAAAAATATAAACAATACATAGGGAAATACACACTGGCTTTAAAAATTTCTGCTTGGAAGAGACCCACTTTATTATTCTCACTTTTTTAATGGCCCAGGCAAGTCACAAGGCCATGCACGAGTTCAAGTGGACGGGATACCTTCCCCATGCATGTGGATATTGATGAACAATAAGTTTATCATAGAGGGGAAGTTGTATTTGTTGCAAGTGTTTTCACCTAACCCCTTGCTCTTTCTCCAGTGCAAGATTACCTGTTGCTTCAGTTAGACTGATCGCTTGAGCACAGACACAATGGATGCCATTTTACCCAGCATGGCCTCAAGAATTTATTAGGCCCATTACTTCTTTAAGAACTTGGAAGAGTGAGAATTTTTTTTTCTTGTGGGGCTTCAGTGGTCAATAGGAAGTTACTTGAATACTAGGCAGGATCTGTCCCTACTTTCATTTCTGACTTTATTTGAGTACTCCTTTTTGTTTTTATTTAGTCTAGCTAAAGTTTTGTTCATCTTGTCAATCTTTACAAAGAACAGGTTTTGATGCCATTAATACTCTCTTTTGTTTTTTATTCTCTATTTCATGTATCTCCATTTTAATCTTTAATATTTCCTTCCTTCTACTAGCCAAGTAAAATAAATTTCTAATTATTGTTTTATTCATTTTTCTTTTAAATTTTGTAGAGAACAAAAAGAGGAGTTACATAACAAAAATGCAATGTTAGTGGCTTTAATGTTTATCTATGTATTTACCTTTACGTAAGTTTTTTATTTATTCATGTGGCTTCAAATTACTGTCTAATATTTCTTTAATTTCAGCCAGAAGGACTCCTTTTACCATTACTTAAAGGGAAAGTCTACTATCAACAAACTCAGTTAAGGTTTATTTGGGAATGTCTTAACTTTCTTTTTCGTTTTTGAAGGATAGTTTTACTGAATATAAAATTCGTGATTAACAGTTTTTTTTTTTTTATCTGTTTCAGCACCTTCAACATGTTATCCTAATGCCTCTGGCCTCCATGGTTTCCAAAGAGAAACCAGATGTTAATCTAATCAAGGATCCCTTGCATGAGATGAATTGCTTCCCTCTTGCAGTTTCCAGGATTCTCTTTGTCTTTCAACAGCTGTAGTGTGTTTCAGTATGGACCTCTTAGAGTTTATTCTGCTTGGAGTTCATTCAGCTTCTTGAATATGTAGTTTTATACCTTTTATTATGTTTGGAAAGCTTTTATTTATTATTTTTTCAGATGTTTATTCTCTCCTTTTTTGTCTCTTCTCTTTTTCTTCCAAGACTCCCATTATATGTATGTTAGATATGCAGTGGTAACAAGAAATTGTATACAATTGTTGATGTCCTAAAGCTTTCTTCAACTCTGTTCAAGTTTTTTTTCTTTTTGTCTCCCTGCCCTCAGACTGAATAATTTCAATTGACATATTATCAAGTTCACTGGTTGTTTCTTTTGCCTACTTAAATCTGCTATTAGAATGTTCTCAGCTTTCCATTTCAGTTTATAGTACTTTTTAGCTTCAAATTTTCTGTTAGTTTTTTGTTAATGCTTTTAAAAAATTTGAAGTTCTTTTTTCTTATACCATTCTCTTGGTGTTTATTCCTGGTTTCATTTAACTCTTTGAACATGTTTCAAACAAAAGTTTTGAAGTTTTTGTCCAGTAATTCCAACATCTGTGTTTCCTTAGGAACTGTTCTGTTAATTTCTCCTGTAAATGGGCCATACTTCCTTATTTCTTTGATGCCCTCTATTTTTTACTAAAAACTAGATGTTTTGTTTTTATAGTGTGGTAACTCTGGATAAGAAATACTTTCCCCTCCTTTGAGTTTGTCCTTGTTGCCTGCTGTGTGCTGTAGCTATTCATTTATTGACTTGTCTAAACTATTTTTGTAAAATATGTATTTGCATGTGTGGTCTCTGAAGTCTCTGTTTCCTTAGCTTATGGTCAGCTTGAAATTTGAAGGACTTTTCCTTGAATGCAAGGAAAAAAAATTGGGAAAGGAAGCAGTGAAGGAAAGAAGAAAAACAGAAAGAGTAAAATGAGAAAAATACTTAATTCTTGGTAATTGGTTTTCTTTTGGGGCACCTTTTTAATACTTAACCAGGCTGTTTATAACTCTGCCTTAGCCCTCACTTGCTGATGGTGCTGAGTCTAGAGATCAGCCAGAGGTTAAAACTTAGGGAATTTTTAGGAATTTTCTGAGCATGCCTCTTGCTCTGGTCATGCATGGGGCTTTCTAAATTCCCCAGCATACATGGGTATAATTGAACCCTAATTTCTCAAACCCCAGATTTTCCTATAAGCCTTTCAGCAATCTGTTTTTTGCCTCAACTGTAATATTTGGCCCCAGGTGATAACTCGCTGTTTGTTTGGTTTACAATGTCTTTAAGAAATTTCTTTTGCGTTTTCTACCCAGAATGAGTTTAAGTTAGGTGGAACCGAGTCGAGTGCCTTGTTTCAGTCCTTCTGGTAGTTTCTCATAGCATCCAGACAGGTAAAAATAGAGAACAACATTTATTTGAAAATAAGGTCTGCTTGGCTTCCTCCATAACTAGAGACCACACGGGGGAACATACGTTATCATTTCCATGACTGATGGTGAAACAGGGTGGTTGATGGGGTTAAGAACATATTAAAATAGCAAAAGGCTTTAGTTTTAAACTTCCTTTATTTATGTTAAAAGTTGTACTCTATAAACATTTTACTATGTTCCAGAGTACTTATGAAGGTGATGCTGACAGATTTTGATTTATATTTTGATATTTCTGTGTAGGGCAGACACTTAGAGCTACCTAGCCCTCCATTATTGCTGATGTCTTACCCTACATATGCCTTTATAAATGAGCATAAGACCTGCTAGGTTTGTAAACCAATAATGGTAACATTTTAAATACATTCTATGTAATGGATATATATCATATTATATAGTAGTTTAACTATTTAGAATCAATAAGATATGAGATGAATACACCCCACCAGCAACAAGCAAACAAACAAAACCCATCAAAATTGTGCAAATATGTAAAATCTTCTCATCTCCCAGGGCTTTGCTGAGGACTTGTCAGCTCTTTTCTAGTTTTCCTCCAAATGCAGATCAGAAACAGCAAATTAAAAGGTTAAGAACTGGAAGCCTTAAGAAGGAGAAAAAATCTGCACTAATGGAAGAAGTATACAGATAAGTTAAAAGCAGACATGGACTCAAAATACAGGAATTTGTTCAATTTTGTGTTTTAATTTTTGTGGGTACAGAGTAGGTGTATAGACTCACATCAGGTTAAATGGGGTATCCATTGCCTCAAGCATTTATCCTTTGCGTTATAAAAAATCCAATTATACTCTTTCAGTTATTTTAATATGTACAATTAAATCATTTTTGACTACAGTTGCCCTGCTGACCTAGAAAATACTAGGTCTTATTCTTTCTATTTTTTTTTTTGTAACCATTAACCACCCCACTCTCTCCCACCCTCTACTATCCTTCTCAGCCTCTGGTAACTGTCCTTCTACTCTATCTTGATGAGTTCAGTTACTTTAATTTTTACTTCCCACAAATAAGTGAGAACATGCTAAGTTTGTCTTCTGTGTCTGGCTTATTTCATTTAACATTATGACCTCCAGTTTCTTTCCTTTTTTTTTTATACTTTAAGTTTTAGGGTACATGTGCACAACGTGCAGTTTTGTTACATATGTATACATCCACCATGTTGGTGTGCTGCACCCATTAGCTCGTCATTTAACATTAGGTATATCTCCTAATGCTATCCCTCCCCCCTCCCTCCACCCCACAACAGGCCCTGGTGTGTGATGTTCCCCTTCCTGTGTCCATGTGTTCTCATTATTCAATTCCCACCTATGAGTGAGAACATGCGGTGTTTGGTGTTTTGTCCTTGCGAGAGTTTGCTGAGAATGATGGTTTCCAGCTCCATCCACGTCCCTACAAAGGACATGAACTCATCCTTTTTTATGGCTGCATAGTATTCCACGGTGTATATGTGCCACATTTTCTTAATCCAGTCTACCATTGTTGGACATTTGGGTTGGTTCCAAGTCTTTGCTATTGTGAATAGCGCATTATGGCCTCCAGTTTTATCCATGTTGTTGCAAATGACAGGATCTCATTCTTTTTTATGGCTGAATAGTACTCCATTGCATATATGTACCGTATTTTCTTTATCAAGTCATGTGTTTATGGAAACTTAGGTTGCATCGAAATCTTGGCTATTGTAAATAGTGCTGCAATAAACATGAGAATGCAAATATCTTTTTTACATACTGATTTCTGTTCTTTTGGGTATATATCTAGGAGTGGGATTGCTGAATCATATGGAAGCTCTATTTTTAGTTTTTGGAACCTCCAAGCTGTAGTGGTTGTAATAATTTGCATTCCCACAAAAAGTGAATGAGGATTCCCTTTTCTTTACATCCTCACCAGCATTTGTTATTGCCTGACATTTGGATAAAAGCCATTCTAATTGGGGTGAGATGATATTTCACTGTAGTTTTGAATTACATTTCTCTGATGATCAGTGATGTACAGCACCTTTTTATATACCTATTTGCCATTTGTATGTCTTCTTTTAAGAAATGCTCTATTCAGATATTTTGCCCATTTTTAAATTGGATTATTAGATTTCTTCCTATAGAGTTGAGTTCCTTATATATTCTGGTTATTAAACCATTGTCAGATGGGTAGTTTGCAGATTTATTTTTCCTTTTTTGTGGGTTGTATCTTTACATTGTTAATTGTTTCCTTTGCTGTGCAGAAGACTTTTAACTTGATATGATCCCATTTGTCCATTTTTGCTTTGGTTGCCTATATGCTTGTAGGGTATTAGTCAAGAAATCTTTGCCCAGTCCAATATCCTGGAGAGTTTCTCCAATATTTTCTTGAAGTAGTTTCATAGTTCGAGATCTTAGATCTAAGTCTTTAATCCATCTTGACTTGATTTTTGTAAATGGTAAGGAATAGGGTCTAATTTCTTTGGCATATAGATATCCAGTTTTCCCAGCACCATTTATTGAAGAGACTGTTCATTCCCTAGTGTATATTCTTTGTAGCTTTGTGAAAAACAAAATTACTGTAGATGTTTGGGTTTATCTTTGGGTTCTTTATTCTGTTACACTGATCCATGTTTCTGCTTTTATGCCAGTTCCAAGTTGTCTTGGTCACTATAACTCTGTACTATATCTTAAAGTCAGGTAGTGTGATTCTTTCAGTTTTGTTCTTTTTGCTTAAGCTAGCTTTGACTATTCTGCATCTTTTGTGGTTTCACATAAATTTTAGGGTTGTGTTTTCTATTTCTGTGAAGATTGTCATTGGTACTTTGATAGAGGTTGCATTAAATCTGTAGACTGTTTTGGGTAGTAGGAACATTTTAATAATATTAATTCTTCCAGTCCATAAATATGGAATATCTTTTGGTGTGTCTTCTTCAAGGTCTTTCTTCAGTGTTTTATAGTTTTCATTGTAGAGATCTTTCAATTATTTGGTTAATTTCTAACATGTTTTTCTTCATTTGTTGCTATTGTGAATATGATTACTTTCTTAATTTTTTTCTTAAGATGGTTGGCCGTTGGCATATAGAAATGCTCCTGATTTTTGTATGATGATTTTGTATTCTGCAACTTCACTGAATTTGTTTATTAGTTCTAATAGCTTTTTGGTGGAGTCCCTAGGTTTTTCCAAATATAAGATTATATAATCTATAAACAAGAATAATTTGACTTCTACTTTCCAATTTGGATGCCTTTTTTTTTCTCTTGTCTGATTGCTCTAGCTAGAAATTCCAGTCCTATGTTGAATAACTGTGGTGAAAGTGTGCATTCTTTCTTTGTCCCCAATCTTAGAGGAAAGGCTTTTATTTTTTCATCATTCAATATGATACTAGCTGTGCTTCTGTCATATATGGCTTTTATTATGTTGAGGTATGTTCCTTCTATACCCATTTTTCAGGGTTTTTATAATGAAGGGATTTTCAATTTTATCAGATGTTTTTTCAGCATCAATTAAAATGATCATATGGTTTTTATCCTTCATTCTGTTGTTATAATGTATGACACAAATTGATTTACATATGTTGAGCCATCCTTGCATCACCCACTTGGTCATGATGAATGTTTTTAATGTGTTTTTAAACTTGGTTTGCTAGCATTTTGTTGAGAATTTGTGCATCAATATTTATCAGAGATATTGGCCTATTGTTTAATTTTTATATGTATTTTTGTCTGGTTTAACTATCAGGGTAAAGCTGGCCTTGTATAATGAGTTTGAAATTATTCCCTCTACTCTATTTCTCAGAATAGTTTGAGTAGGATTGGTATTAGTTCTTCGTTAAATGTTTGGTGTCATCCATCAGCGAAGTGATCAGGTCTGGGCTTTATTTTATTTTATTTTTTTGCTGGGAGACTTTTTATTACAGCATCGACCTCATTTTTATTTATCTGTTTAGGTTTTGAATTTCCTTGTGAGTTCAATATTGGTAACTTGTGAGTGTCTAGAAATTTATTCATTTCTTCTGAATTTTCCAATTTACTGGCATATAGTTGTTCATAGTAGCCACTAATGATTCTCTGAATTTCTGAGGTATCAGTCATAATGTCTTCTTTTTCATCTCTGATCTTGTTTATTTAGGACTTCTCTCCTTTTTTTTCTTAGTCTGGCTACATGTCAATTTTATTTATCTTTTCAAAACACCAGCTTTTTGTTTTGTTGATCTGCTTTTTTCCTCATTTCAAATTTATTTCTTCTCTTACCTTTATAATTTCTTTTATTCTACTAATTTTGGGTTTGCTTTGCTTTTGCTTTTCTAGTTCATTAAGAGGCATTCTTAGGTTGTTTATGTGACATTTTTCTCCTTTGATGTAGGCATTAATGGCTATAAACTTCTCTCTTAGTACTACTTGTATTATATCCCATAGATTTTGGGATTTTGTGTTTTTATTATCATTTGTTTCAATAAATTTTTCAATTTCATTCTTAATTTCTTTATTGAACCACTGATTATTCAGGAGTACATTGTGTAATTTCCATGTGTTTGTATAATTTTTAAAAATTCTTTTTGTTATTGATTTCTAGTATTATTCCATTGTGGTCAGAGAAGATATTTGGTATTTTAATATTTTGAATGTTTTTAGACTTGTTTTTTTATCTAGGATATGATCTATCCTTGAGAATGATCCATGTGCTAATGAAAATAATGTGTATTCTGCAGCTGTTGGATGAAATGTTCTGTAAATATCTATTAAGTCCATTTGGTCTATAGTACAGATTAATTGTGATATTTCTTTTTTTTTATTTTCTGTCTAGATAATCTGTTCAATGCTGAGAGTGGGGTGCTGAAGCCTCCAGATATTATTTTATTGGGATAAATCTCTCTCTTTTGCTCTAATAGTGTTTGCTTTGATATATCTGTGTGCTCCAGTGTTGGGCGCATATATATTTACAATTGTTATACTCTCTCTTGCTGAATTGACCCCTTTATCATTATATGATTACCTTCTTTGTCTCTTTTTATATTTTTTTGTTTTAAAATCTATTTTTTTCTCATGTAAGTATAGCTACTCCCACTCTTTTTTGTTGTTTGTTTCAATTGACATGGAATATCTTTTTTTTTTCAGTCTATGTGTGTCTTTATAAGTTAAGTATGTTTCTTGTGGGCAACAGATCATTGGGTCTTTTTAAAAAAATGTATTCAGCCACTTTAGTTTATTTACATTCAATGTTATTATTGATATGTAGGATTTACTCCTGCCATTTTTTATTCAGTTTCTCTTTTTTAATGGTCTTCTTTTCTCTTCTTTCTTTCTTTCATTCCTTCCTGTCTTCCTTTTAGTGAAAGTGATTTTATCTGCTGGTATGATTTACTTTCTTGCTTTTTACTTTTTTGTATGCATTGTATGAATTTTAATTTGAGATTACTGTGAGACTTGCAAATAATACCTTATAATTCATTATTTTAAGCTGATAACACTCTTTTCATAAACAAGCAAGCAAAAAGAAAACTAATAAAAATGCTACACCTTAACTTTGTCCCCTTTCAGCTTTTTAACTTTTTGTTGTTTCTATTTATATCTATTGTATTATATCATGAAAAACTGTTGTTATTATTATTTTTGATTAGTTCATCATTTAGTTTTTCTTAAGATAAAAGTAGTTTACACACCATAGTTACAGTGTTATAATATTCTGTAGTTTTCTGTGTACTTACTATTGCCAGTGAGTTTTGTAATTTCACATGATTTCTTCTTCCTTATTAATATCCTTTTCTTTCTGATTGAAGAACTCTCTTTAGCATTTTTTTAGGACAGGTCCTGTGTTGATAAAATCATTCAGTTTTTGTTTGTCTGGGAAAGTCTTTATTTCTCCTTCATGTTTGAAGAATATATTTTGCCAGATATACTATTCTAGGGTATAAGTATTTTTTTCTTCAGCACTTTAAGTATGTCATGGCACTGTCTCCTGGCCTCTACAGTTTCCACTGAAAATCTGCTGCTAGATGTACTGGAGTTCTATCATATGTTGTTTCTTTTCTCTTGATGCTTTTAGAATCCTTTCTTTATCCTTGATCCTTAGGAATTTGATTATTAAATGCCTGGAGCTAGTCATCTTTGGGTTAAATCTGCTTGATGTTCTATAACCTTCTTGTACTTAAATATTGATCTCTTTTTCTAGGTTTGGGATGTTTTCTGATATTATCTCTTTGAATAAACTTTCCATCCCTATCTTCTTCTCTACTTCCTTTATAAGGCCTATGAGTCTTAGATTTGCTCTTCTGAGGTTATTTTCTAGATCCTGAAGGCATGCTTCGGTTTATTTTTATTTTTTTCTTCTCCTACTGTATATTTTCAAATAGCCTGCCTTCAAGCTCACCATTTTTTTCTGCTTGATTAATTCTGCCATTAAAAGACTGATGCATTCTTTCTTATGCCAGTTATATTTTTCAACTCCAGAATTTCTGCTTTATTATTTTAAATTATTTCAATTTCTTTGTTAAATTTATATGATAGAATTCTGAATTCCTTCTCTGTGTTATCTTGAATTTCTTTGAGTTTCCTCAAAAGAGCTATTTTTAATTATTTCTCTGAAAGGTCACATACCTGTTTCTTCAGGATTAGTCCCTCGTGCATTAGTTCATTTAATGAGGTGGTATTTTTCTGGGTGTTCTTGATGCAGGTGGGTGTTTACTTGTGTCTGGCATTGAAGAGTTAGATATTTATTGCAGTCGCCACAGTCTGGGCTTCCTTCTACCCATCTTTTTGGGAAAGGATTTTTGGGTATTCAAAATGACTTGGCTGTTGTAATCTAAGCCATATCTCTATTAGGGTGCACCAAAACTCAGTAATGCTGTGGTTCTTGCAGACTCATAGAGGTACTACTTTGGTCATCTTGGATAATATCTGGAAGAAATATCTGCATTACCTGGAAAAGACTCTAGTTCTCTTTCCTTACTTTGTCCCAAACAAGCATAGTCTCTTTCCCTGTTCTGAGCTGCCTGGAGCTGGTGGTGTGGTGTTACAAGTTCCCCTGTGGCCACCACCACTAAGACTGTGATGAATCAGACCTGAAGCCCACTACCTGTCCTTTGCCTATGTTTGTTAAGGCACTGGAGCTCTACTATCACCAAGTGGTGAAGCTAGCCAGGCTTATGTCCTTTGTTTCAGGGCAATGAGCTCTGTCAGGCCCTGGGTAGGTGTAGAAGTGCCATCCAGGAGCCAGGGACTGGAGTAGAAAACCTGGTGTTCTACTGTACTGCAACTGAGCTGACACTCAAACCATGAGATGCAGTCCTTCCCACTCTTCCTCCCCTTTCCACAGGCAATGGAGCTTCACTCCATGGCCACCAGTGTCACAGGCCCGTGGGGAGTATTGCCAGACTACCAGTGATGTTCCCTTCAGGCCCAAGGGCTCTTCAGTCAACTTTCAGTGAATGCTGCCTGGTCTGGGACTCGCTCTTCAGGGAAGTGGGCTTCCCTGTGGCACAGAGAAGGTCCAGAAATGCCATCCAAGTGTCACGGCCTGGAATCAGGGACCCCAGTAGCCTTCTTGATCTTCACACCCCTGTGACTGAGCTAGTACCTAAGGTGCAAGACAAAGTCCCTTTTCTTTTTCCTCCTCTTTTCTCAAGCAGAAGGAGTCTCTCCCCATAGCTACCATACCTTGGAATGTGCTGAGTCTCAGTTGAAGCCAGCAAGTCTCAGAATCTCACCTAAGTCCCATGGTGTACTACCTAGGTATTGCTGCTGGTTATTCAGGGTTCAAGGGGTCTTTAGTCAGAAGGTGATGGGTCATCCCAGGGCTGGGTGATTCTCTTCAAGGCAGTGGGTTTCCTTTTGGCCTAGGATGTGTCTAGAAATGTTATCTGGGAGTCAGGGCCTGGAATGGGGGACTCATGACTCTGATTGTTGTCTTATCCTACTGTTGCTGAGCTGGTATCCAAGATGCAAGACAAATATCCTCATCATTCTTCTTTCTCCTCTCCTCAAGTGAAAGAAAGGGGTCTCTTTTGGAGTCATGAGCTATGCAGCCTGAGGTTGGGGGGTGGGTGGAACCCTGGCAGGTATCTGAGTATGTCTCATGCCCCTGAAGTCCACTAGTTCTGAGCCCAATTCAGCGCCAGAACTCACCTAGAAATTGCAGTCCTTGTGGCCTAGGGTACCTTTCAAGTTTATAGGCCCTGAGCAAATTAGCCCACAGTGGCAAGGCTTGCTGGAACTCAAGTTCTGACCACTGGGATGTGCAATTTCCCTCTTGATAGGCCTGGTTTAAATAATATTTCATGGACAGGCATCAGCTGAGTTCATCCAGGTTTTGCTTTCTGCTGTGACAAGGCAGCACTGAGTTTAATGTAATGTCTCACAGTTGCTGCACTTTTCCTCTCCCAAGAGCACAAATTCTCTGTGCTGTGTGGCTGTTGCCAGGAGATGGGGGAAGGGTGGCAGTGGTGATTTGAGACTCTTTCCTACCATCTTCAATGCCTCTTTCATCGATATGAAGTTAAAACTAGGTACTGTGAGTGCTTACCTGATTTTTTGGTTCTTATAAAGGTGCTCTTGTGTGTGTGTGTGTGTGTGTGTGTGTGTGTTTGTGTGTGTAGATAGTTGCTAAATTGGTGTTTTTGCAGAGGGAATAATTGGTGTAGCCTTCTATTCAGGCATCTTGCTGTGTCCTGCTTTTCAAGATACAGATATTTGGGTGGTATAAGTAATATATGAGTGAAAAATCAGTAGCCATCAAGGATATTATTATACAGTAGGGCTCAACTAAAAATTAAACAGCTGATATCTTTTGCAATGTGAGATCTCACAATAATAAGTATAGACTAATGATGTTAACAATAATAATAGCTTATGGTTTGATTTTCACTTTATTCCAGACTGTGATCTAAGAGTTCTATATCTATAAACCTATTTAATCATCATCAGGTATACTGATAGTAGCCCCTGTTTACAGTGAATGCACAGACATGTCACAAGGTCACATAGCAATGTCAGAGAATGGCCAAGAAGGGATTCAGACCCAGGCTTTACAGCCCATGCTTCCAAACATTTCAGTGTGTCAATAAACATGGAATTTGAAATCTGATTATTATACCAATGACTACCAAGACTGAAGTATATCCAATTCTCAAATGAATTATACATCCATTTATCTCTTGGTCCCCTTCCCTTTTCTCACTGCCACAGAAAAATTATAATTTTTAATAGTTATTAATAATCAAATTTTATCCTTAGTATTATACTTAGACCTCCTGGAACCTCATCTCCACTCCAAGACAATGCTTGAACTAGACCCTTTTATGCAGAGTGAGGTTACCAATAGACTGGGAAGATTAGCTCTGAATACAAAAAAGAGATGAAGGGTGGCTTCTGGGTCAATTGCATGGAGTATTCCAGAAAGTTAGAAACAAATCATAGTAGGTTATTCAAAGTCCTAAGTTATAATCTTTTTTTTTTAAGTTTTTTTTTCTTTTATTATTATACTTTAAGTTTTAGGGTACATATGCACATTGTGCAGGTTAGTTACATATGTATACATGTGCCATGCTGGTGCGCTGCACCCACTAACTTGTCATCTAGCATTAGGTATATCTCCCAGTGCTATCCCTCCCCCCTCCCCCCACCCCACAACAGTCCCCAGAGTGTGATGTTCCCCTTCCTGTGTCCATGTGATCTCATTGTTCAATTCCCACCTATGAGTGAGAATATGCGGTGTTTGGTTTTTTGTTCTTGCGATAGTTTACTGAGAATGATGATTTCCAATTTCATCCATGTCCCTACAAAGGACATGAACTCATCCTTTTTTATGGCTGCATAGTATTCCATGGTGTATATATGCCACATTTTCTTAATCCAGTCTATCATTGTTGGACACTTGGGTTGGTTCCAAGTCTTTGCTATTGTGAATAATGCCGCAATAAACATACGTGTGCATGTGTCTTTATAGCAGCATGATTTATAGTCCTTTGGGTATATACCCAGTAATGGGATGGCTAGGTCAAATGGTATTTCTAGTTCTGGATCCCTGAGGAATCGCCATTACAAGAAAAAAACAAACAACCCCATCAAAAAGTGGGCGAAGGACATGAACAGACACTTCTCAAAAGAAGACATTTATGCAGCCAAAAAACACATGAAAAAATGCTCATCATCACTGGCCATCAGAGAAATGCAAATCAAAACCACAATGAGATACCATCTCACACCAGTTAGAATGGCAATCATTAAAAAGTCAGGAAACAACAGGTGCTGGAGAGGATGTGGAGAAATAGGAACACTTTTACACTGTTGGTGGGACTGTAAACTAGTTCAACCTAAGTTATAATCTTACACTATTTAATCAAGCTGTTCATTTGTGCAGGTTACTAAACCTCTTCTCTGATATTTCCTAGACAATAAAATGGAGATGCTAATACTTAACTAGTGGCTTAATTATTCATTTTATAAATGTATTTTGAGCATCTATTATGTCCAGGAGTACATTAAACCAATCATGTTTGGGCCCTCACTCAACTTACAGTCCAGTTGAGAAGACAGAAAAAGTATAAGCAAATCAATAATTTCAAAGAATGATAAGTACTCTGAAAGAAATTCAAGAACAATGGGATGAAGTGAATAGTGGGAGAGGTCAGAGATAACTTATTAGTTAAATGAAATTTGGACTGACAAATAAATGATGTGATGGAACTGATACAATAATGATGAGAGAGAAGACAGCAGAAACAGAAGGAATAGCCTGGGGAAAAGCATCAAGGTGGGGATGCACTTTACATACAGAAAATACAAAAACAGGCCAGATAACTCAGATGACATGACCCAGAGGGAGTAAGGAGGGAGGTGAGGTTGAAGAGAAAGCCCAGAGCCAGACCATATTAGTTGGAACTTAGGGTAACATTTGCTGTGAAATCGTGGTATGCATCATTATGTTTTGAGAACATGGTAAATTTATCAACAATTTTATATAAAATTTATCTTGGAGAGGATGGGCTAAAGGTGGGTTGCACTAGCCTTCCTTATATGTGGTTATCCTCTGTGTAGCATCAGATGTTATTTTCTTGGCAGTCCCCATGTTTCCACACATTGACTGTTGTTGCTGCTACCTATACTATCATGCTTATTTTGTGTATTCCCATTTTAGCACTTCACAGAAATCATATAATCTTAATGCTGGAAGGCCTCCACGGATCAGGTAGGCCAATGTCTTAATTTTACAGATGTGGAGACAGAGACCCAAAAGAGGAAAAGTTTTCAATGCTTTTTGCAGAACCTCTGCAGTCTCTGTGAGAGTTTTTTTCTTCTGTTTATGAACTTTTAAATCCTTCAGTACTTCTGTGCCTTTAATGGTTCTGGTCATTTCCACATCCCCAGGGCAAGCATCCTGAATACTGATTCTTTCAGATATTTTGCAAACTCACTTCCCATTTTAAGATGGGACAAGAGCAGTTTCTCCCTAACAACTTGTTATTGTACCTGCTTCCGTTCAAATTTAGTTAATTTTCTCATGAATAGTAAAATTTCCAGCACCGTAAGCCAGCTCCTTTTTTCCTGCTCTCCTTCAGGTTATGGCTGCTTAGTGAAGCAGAACCCATTTTTTTTTTTTTTTGTAGAGACCTGTGGATTTATCAACTGTCTGCAGGAAATGTTCTTATTCACATTGCTCTTTTTGCCTGAGCTATAAGTTGTTGTAAATGTCTAAAGTCTCTTGCCTGGGTGGGAAAATAAAGTGATCTTTTCTCACTTGCTTAGTCTGACTCCAGCAGTTTGCACATTTGAAGTGAAACATTGCTTAAATTGTTCCCAGTTTTCTTTGACATTTCCTGAAAGGCAGAGTTTAGGCAGGCTTTTTCTATTATCATTCTTTCTTTGCTTGTACCATTTCTGGCTGTGTTGAAGGAGATTGATAGACACCAGCATAATATCTCACAAATGGAACTGTTGTTGAGAGACTGTTTCTATGTGTGGCACTGGGCTCATTCTACCTGAGTAAACGTTTCTAAACCATTTGCTTCAGGCTTGATTCTCATGTTTGTCAAGTAGAAAGTATTGTTCCACTAGCTCTGGATCTGAACTCAACTTTTATGAACTTCTTGAAAAAAGGAAATAAAGACTTTAGACATGACATGGTATCTAGTTCACTTATTTATTAAAAATAAAACTTTATAGAAAATTTGCAAAAAAGTAAATGATATAGAATAGGGAACACATGATGGACCTATGTAGAAAACAAATTACTTGGGTACAACTTCCCAAATAATGCACAATGTCCCTTTGTATCTTTTCTTTATTGTTATTATTATTGTGTAAGTTCTGGGGTACATGTGCAGAATGTGCAGATTTGTTAAATAGGTATACACGTGCCATGGTGGTTTGCTGCACCTATCCACCTGTCATCTACATTAGGTATTTCTCCTAATGCTATTCCTCCCCTAGCCCCCCACACCCCAATGGGCCCCAGTATGTGGTGTTCCCTTCCCTGTGTCCATGTGTTCTTATTGTTCAACTCCCACTTATGAGTGAGAACATGTGGTGTTTGGTTTTCTGTTCTTGTGTTAGTTTGCTGAGAATGATGGTTTCCAGCTTCATGCATGTCCCTGCAAAGGACATGAACTCATCCTTTTGTATGACTGCATAGTATTCCATGGTGTATATATGCCACATTTTCTTTATCCATTCTATCATTGATGGTCATTTCGGTTGGTTCCAACTGTTTGCTATTGTGAACAGTGCTGCAATAAACATATGTGTGCATGTGGCTTTATAGTAGAATGACTTATAATCCTTTGGCTATATACACAGTAATGGGATTGCTGGGTCAAATGGTATTTTTGCTTCTAGATCCTTGAGGAATCACCACACTGTTTTCCACAATGGTTGAACTAATTTACACTTCCATCAACAGCATAAAAGCGTTCCTATTTCTCCACATCCTCTCCAGCATCTGTTGTTTCCTGACTTTTTAATGATTGCCATTCTAATTGGCATGCAATGGTATCTCATTGTGGTTTTGATTTGCATTTCTCTAATGACCAGTGATGATGAACTTTTTTTCATATGTTTGTTGGCTGCATAAATGTCTTCTTTTGAGAAGTATCTCTTCATATCCTTCACCCACTTTTTGATGGGATTGTTTTTTTCTTGTAAATTTGGTTAAGTTCTTTGTAGATTCTGAATATTAGCCCTTTGTCAGATGGGTAGTTTGCAAAAATTTTCTCCCATTCTGTAGGTTGCCTGTTCACTCTGATGATAGTTTCCTTTTCTGTGCAGAAGCTCTTTAGTTTAATTAGTGTAATTTAGTTTAATTAAGTCACATTTGTCAATTTTGGCTTTTGTTGCCATTGCTTTTGGTGTTTTAGTCATGAAGTTTTTGCCCATGCCTATGTCCTGAATGTCCTAGGTTTTCTTCTAGGGTCTTTATGGTTTTAGGTCTTACATTTAAGTCTTTAATGCATATTGAGTTAATTTTTGTGTAAGGTGTAAGGAAGGGGTCCAGTTTCAGTTTTCTGCATATGGCTAGCCAGTTTTCCCAACGCAACTTATTAAATAGGGAATCCTTTTCCCATTGCTTGTTTATGTCAAGTTTGTCAAAGATCAGATGGTTGTAAATGTGTGACATCTTTTGTGAGACCTCTGTTTTGTTTCATTGGTCTATCTCTCTGTTTTGGTACCAGTACCATGATATTTTGGTTACTGTAGCTTTGTAGTACGGTTTGAAGTCAGGTAGCATCATGCTTCCAGCTTTGTTCTTTTTGCTTAGAATTGTCTTGGCTACTTGGGCTCTTTTTTGCTTCCATATGAAATTTAAAGTAGTTTTTTTTCAATTCTGTGAAGAAAGTCAATGGTAGCTTGATGGGGATAGCATTGAATCTATAAATTACTTTGGGCAGTGTGGTCATTTTCATGATATTGATTCTTCCAATCCATGAGCATGGAATGTTGTTTCATTTGTAGTTCTCCTTGAAGAGGTCCCTCACAGCCCTTGTACAAACTACCATCAGAGAATACTATAAACACCTCTATGCGAATAAACTAGAAAATCTAGAAGAAATGGATAAGTTCCTGGACACATATACCCTCCCAAGTCTAAGCCAGGAAGAAGTCAAATCCCTGAATAGACCAATAACAAGTTCTGAAATTGAGGTAGTAATTAATAGCCTACCAACCAAAAAATGTCCAGGACCAGATGGATTTATGGCTGAATTCTACCAGAGGTACAAAGAGCTGGTAGCATTCCTTCTGAAACTATTCCAAACAATATAAAAAGAGGGAATCCTCCCTAACTCATTTTATGAGGTCAAGCATTACCCTGATACCAAAACCTCACAGAGACGCAACAAGAAAAGAAAATCTCAGGCCGATATCCCTGATGAACATCGATGCGAAAATCCTCAACAAAATACTGGCAAACTGAAACCAGCAGCACATCAAAAAGCTTATTCACCACAATCAAGTCAGTATCACCCCTGGGATGCAAGGCTGGTTCAACATATGCAAATAAATAAATGTAATCCATCACATAAACAGAATCAATAATAAAAACCACATGATTATCTCAATAGATGCAGAAAAGGCCTTCAACAAAATTCAACAGAGCTTCATGCTGAAAACTCTCAATAAACTTGGTATTGATGGAAGGTATCTCAAAATAATAAGAGCTATTTATGACAAACCCACAGCCAATATCATAATGAATGGGCAAAAACTGGGAGCATTCCCTTTGAAAACGAGCACAAGACAAGGATGCCTTCTCTCACCACTCCTATTCAACATAGTATTGGAAATTCTGGCCAGGGCAATCAGGCAAGAGAAAGAAAAGAAAGCATATCCAAATAGCAAAAGAGGAAGTCAAATTGTCCCTGTTTGCAGATGACATGATTGTACATTTAGAAAGCCCCATTGTCTCAGCCCAAAATCTCCTTAAGCTGATAAGCAATTTCAGCAATGTCTCAGGATACAAAATCAATGTGCAAAAATCACAAGCATTCCTATACAGCAATAACAAACAGAGAGCCAAATCATGAGTGAACTCCCGTTCACAATTGCTAAAAAGAGAATAAAATACCTAGGTATACAACCTTTGTATCTTTTCTCTGCATCTTTTGTTTTAGTATCTGTACAACTTGGAATAAGAAATGTTTATTTAGGAGGGGCTTCAAGATGGCTGACTAGATGTATCTGGTACTCACCTCTTGTATAGTGGGGACCAAAATACCAAGTAGATCGTCACACTTCATATAGATCATCTAAGAGAGAACACTGGAAATCAACAAAGTGATGGGAAGTCCTAACAGCAAGAAAGGAGATGGAAACAAGGCAGCCTGTTTGACCAGGATCCGCTGGGCATCTGAAGTGGCTCCCTAATAAAGGGGAAAAGTAAGTGAAAATCCCCCAGCAATCCATGTTCCTGCATGAACTCCTATAATATACACTGTTGGGGAGCCTGTCAACTCTCTTGAGCCTCTAGGGAACTGCCTGGAGATTGTGAGAAAGCTTTGCTCCAGAGAGAGAGCTCACACTGGATCTCACAAACCCATAAGTCCTGAGCTGCTGCAGCACAGCACCATTTTGAAAGCACAGCCCCTGGCAGCCTACATCCTGCCCTGCTGCCAGGGTCAAGGAAGGAGCCATGGGCAGCAATCTCATTTCCCCCTACCCCCAGCAGAAAGGCAGCCATGCATTTTCACATGTCCTAAGGACAAATTCCACTGCCTGTGTAATACCAAGACTGCAGGCTGCTGCAGGGCTGAGGAGCAGCTGCCTACCTATGGCAGCATCCAGGGATAACATCCCTCCTATATCTAGTAGCAGGGCTGCAGTGCAGCTGTGGCCGCCCCTACTTGAGCATTCCACTGGTTTCCTGGGGATTGCCCCATTCCTATCACAAGGAGCACCTGCATGGACCATGGGGGAGCCTGAAGGCAGGTCTGCCCAGCTTTGCTCCACTGCCTCCAGTACCTGAACATACCATCCAGGGGTCTTACAATTACCCTCACACACCATCTAGGGGCTTGGGGAATCACCCAGCCCAGTTTACTAACAGTGGCACCTGAGAACTCCTCCAAAGGTTTGAAATCAGGCCCACTCAACCTGCCACTACCCCTGTAGCTGGCACCCACCCACATGCACCACCTATAGGTTAGAGAAATGGCCCACCCAACACATTGCAGCCAATGCCAACATCAGCATGGGTTGCTTGGGTCCCTGAGGGTTGTCCCACTACTGTTACTGTCATTGCCCATGCCATGCTTGTTGCCCAGGGGCTTGAGAAACCATTCACCTATTTGACCCACCATATCCAATTTTCATATCAAAAAAAGCCAGCTGGAGGCTTAAGAATTGACCTGTCTATACCTGCCAATGCAAATTCCAGCATACACTGCCCTGGGTCCCATGAAAAGGCACTCTCAGTCCACAGCTGCCATTCCTGGGGCCTGAAGACTGGCCCACTGAGCATCCCAGTCCCCAGGAAAAATTCGTCACAGCCTCCACTAACAATTATACCCTAAGCCACCAGGAAATCACAGACACCACTGACACTGTTTACAGCTAAAGAAAACAGAGACTACACTACTGAACACACCCAGAATAAAAACCAAAGTGCCCTACCCAGCTACCATTATTGATACATCGTCAGGAAAAATTCTTCCCCTATGACAGAAATTTTAAAAAATTGGAAGAAGTTACTGTTACAGCAGGTGCACAGATATCAATTTAAGGAAACAAGAAACATGATAAAGCAAGAAAATATGACATCTCCAAAGGAAAATAATAATTCTCCAGTAAGAGATTGCAACTAAAAAGACATTTAGAAAATCCTGGGGAAATAATTTGAAACATTAATACTAAAGAAACTCAGTGAGATACAAGAGAATTGTGGAAAAACAATACAAAGAAACCAGAAAAACAATTCAGGATATGAATGAGAAATTTACCAAAGAGATAAATGTAAAGATGAACCAAACAAATTCTGGAGCTAAATAATTCATTGAATAAAATACAAAATACATTTGAAAGCTTAAACAACAGACTAGATTAAGCCGACAAAGAATCTCAGAACTTGAAGACAGGTCTTTTGAAATAACCAAGTCATATAAAAAATAAGAAAAAATAATAAAAGAATGAGCAAAGCATTCATGACATCTGGATATATGGGACACTATAAAGTGATGAAATATTCAAAATTTTGGCATCCCAAAAGGTGAATAGACAACAAAAGGGTTAGAAAACTATGTAACAAATAATAGCTAAAAAAGTCCCAAGTCTAGCAAGAGATTTAGACATCCATATACAAGATTTCCAAATAGATACAATGTAGAAAGGTCTTCTCCATGGCACATTACAGTTGAACTGTCAAAAGTCAATGACAAATAGAAAATTCTGAAAACAGTAATCAAAAAGTATCTGTCACCTATAAAGGAATCCTTATCAGTAACAGCAAATTTCTCAGCAGACACTTTAGATGCCAGGAAAGAATGAGATGATACATTCAAAGTGCTGAAGGAAAAACAAAACAAAACAAAACAAAAAAACACTGTCAGCGAACTTACTCTCTTCCCCCTTAGAAGAAACAGAATGGCTAAATAAATTTTTAAAAATGACCTAACTGTATTCTGTCTACCAGAAACTCATCTCACCTATAAAAACACATATAGAAAAATAATGAGATGGAAATAGATATTTCATGCAAATGGAAGCCAAATGTGAGCAGGAATAGCTATATTTATGTCAGATAAAACAGATTTTAAGCCAAAACAGTAAAAATAGAAAAAGTCATTATACAATGATAAAGGAATCAATTCAACAAGAGAATATAATTCTGAATATATATGTACCCAATATTGAAGCACCCAGATATATAAAGCAAATATTATTGGATCTAAAGCAAGAGATAGATTCCAATACAAGAATATTTGGGGACTTCAACACTTCACTTTCAGCATTAGACAGCTCACCCAGACAGAAAATTAATGTGAAACATTGTACTTAAATTGCACTTAGATCAAATGTACCTAACTGATATTTATAGAATGTTTTATCCAACAGCTGCAGAATATATATTCTTCTCTTCAGCACACAGAAATTTCTCCAGGATAGACCATATGTCAAGACACAAAACAAATCTCAACAAATTTTTTAAGTTAAAATCATATCAGGTGTCTTCTCAGACCATAGTGAAATAAAATTATAAATCAATACTGAGAAAAATTTTGAAAACTATAAGCACATGGAAATTAAACACTGTACTTCTGAATGACCATAGGGTCAAGAAATAAATTAAGGAGGAAATAAAAAAACTTGAAACAAACAAAAATGAAGATGCAACACACTAAAAACCTATGCAATACAACAAAATCACTGCTAAAGGAGTTTATAGTAATAAACACATACCAAAAAAGTAGAAAGAGTTAAACAATTTAAGGAGGTACCTCAAGGAACTAGAGAAGCAAAAACAAATCAAACTCAAAAATTACTAGAAGGAAAAATAATAAAGATCACAGTAGAACTAAACAAAATAGAGACTAAAAAAAGTACAAAGAATCAATGAAATAAAAGGTGTTTTGTGAAAAGATAAATAAAATTGATGAACCACTTGCTAGACTAACCACAAAAAGGGGATACCCAAATAAAACCAGAAATGAAAAAGGAGACACTACAACTGATACCATCAAAATACAAAAGACCTTCAAAGATTATTATAAACAACTGTACACTAACTAGAAAACCTATAAGAAATAGATAAATCACTAGACACATATAACCTGCCAAGATTGAATTAGAAAGAAACAGAAAACCTGAACAGACCAATAATGAGTAATGAGATTGAATCAGTAATCATCTCCCAAAAAAGAAAAGTCCAGGACCAGGTGGCTTTACTGACAAATTCTACCAAACTTTCAAAGAAGATCTAACACCAGTTCTCCTTAAATTAGTCCAAAAAATTGAAGATGAGGAGTTTCTCCCTAACTCATTCTATACGGCCAGCATTATCTTGTGTCTTGGTCTATTTGTATTGCTCTAAAGGATTACCTGAGGCTACGTAATTTATAAAGAAAAGAGCTTCATTTGGCTCATGGTTTTGCAAGTTGTACAAAAAGCATGACACCAATATCTGCTTCTGGTAAGGACCTCAGACTGCTTTGACACATGATAGACGGCGAAGGGGAGCCAGAATATCACATGGTAAGAGGAGAAAGAATGACAAGGGAGAGAGGTGCCAGGCTATTTTTATACCATCAGTTATCACAGGAAGTAAAAGAGTGAGAAGTCACTCATTATGGTAAGGATGGCAGAAAGCCATTCATGAGAGATCTACCCCCATGATCCAAACACCTCTCACTAGGCTCCACCCTAAACATTGAGGATTAAGTTTCAACATGAGATATTTGTGGAGGGACAAATATCTAAATTATATTACTTTGCTACCAAAACCAGACAAAGGATACAACAACAACAACAACAACAAAGAAAACTAATATCCCTGGCTAACACAGACTCAAAAATTCTCAACAAAATACTGAATCCAACAGCACATCAATAAAGTAATACACCACGATCAAGTGGGATTTATCCCGGGGATTCAAGGATAGCTCAACGTATGCAAATGAATAAATGTGATATATCATTACACAATGAAGGACAAAAAACACTATGATCATCCTAATAGATGTAGAAAAAGCATTTGGTAAAATTCAACATCTTTCATTATAAAAGCCTCAACAAACTAGGCAAAGAAGGAACGTACCTCAACATAATAAAGACTATATATGACAAACAATAGCTAACATCATACTTGCTGGGGAAAAGTTGAAAACCTTTCTCCTAAGAACTGGATCAAGACTAGAATGCCCACTTTTACCACTGCTATTCAACAAAGTACTGGAAATCCAAGCCAGAGCAATCAGGCAAGAAAAAAACAAATAAATAAAAGGTGTCCAAATTGGAAAAGAGAAAGTCAAATTGTCACTCTTTGCTGATGATTTCATCTTATACCTAGAAAAACATAAAGGCATTTCCAAAAAAAACAAAAACCTCTTTGGTCTAATAAATAAATTTAGTAAGGTAGCAAGATACAAAATCAACATACAAAAATCAGAAGCATTTATATATACCAATAATATACTGTCTGAGAAAGAAATCAAGAAGGCAATCCCATTTACAATAGCTACAAATAATAAAATAAAATGCCTAGGAATACATTTAACAAAGGAAGTGAAATACAAAGAAAATTACAAAACCCTAACAAAAGAAATTGAATAAGACACAAACAAATGGAAAAATATCCCTTGTTTATGAATTAGAATAATTAATACTGCTAAAATGACGATACTGCTTAAAGAAATCTACACAGTCAATGTAATTTCTATCAAAATAGCAATGTCATTTTTCACGAAGTAGAAAACAGTCCTAAAATTTTTATAGAACCAAAAAAGAGCTTGAATAACCAAATCAGTATGGGCACTGTATTAATCCATTTTCTCACTGTTAATAAATACATACCCAAGATTGGGTAATTTATACAGGATAAAGGTTTAATGGACTCATAGTTCTACATGGCTGGGGAAGCCTCACAATCATGGCAGAAAACAAGGAGGAGCAAGTCATGTCTTATGTGGATGGATGGCAGCAGGCAAAGAAAGAGCTTGAGCAGGGAAACTCCCCCTTATAAAGCTATCAGATCTTCTGAGACTTATTAACTACCATGAGAACAGTATGGGAAAGACCTGCTCCATAATTCAATTAACCCCCACTGGGTCCCTCCCACAACATATGGAAATTCAAGATGAGATTTGGGTGAGGACACAGCCAAATTATATCGGGCACAAAAAACAAAGCTGGAGCCATCTTCACACTACCTGATTTGAAAATATGTTTCAAGGCTATATTAACCAAAACAACATGGTATTGGCCAAAAAAAAAAAAAAATCACAAAAAACAAACAAACAAAAAACCCCCAGACACATAGAACGATAGAACAAAATAGAAAATCCGGAAATAAATCCATTGATTGCTCTTACAGCAATCTGTTTTTCGATAAAGACATCAAGAGCATACGTCAGGAAAAGGACATGCCCTTCAATAAATGTTGCTGGGAAAATTGGACATTCATATTCAGAAGAATGAAACTGGACCCCATTTCTCATAACATAAAAAAAAGATGGACTAAAGACTTAAATATAAGATTTTATAAAACTATAAGCTACTAGATGAAAACATAGGGAAAACATTTTAGGACATTGGTCTAGGCAAAGATTTTATGGATAAGACCTCAAAAGTACAGAAAACAGAAACAAAAGATAAATGGTACTATATTAAACTATTAATGTGGTGCAAATTAATTGCAGTTTATATTGTTACTTTTAATGGCAAAAACCACAATTTCTTTTACACCGACCTAAGAAAAAGCTTATGCAAATAAAATTAGTCACCAGAGTGAAGAGACAGTCTGTTGAATGGGAAAAAATATTTGCAAACTATGCATCTGACAAGGAATTTATATCCAAAATATAAAATAAATTCGAACAACTCAACAGAAAAAAAAAAAGAATTCCATTAAAAAATGGGCAAAGGACATGAAGAGACATTTCTGAAAAGAGGACATACAAAGGCAAACAGGTATATGAAAAAAATGCTCAACATCTGTAATCATCAGAGAAATGCAAACCAAAGCTACGATGAGTTATCACCTTACCCCAGTTGGAATGGCTGTTATTAAAAAGTCAGAAAATTACAGGTGCTGTTGAGAATGTGGAGAAAAGTGAACTCATACACTGTTGGTGGGACAGTAAATTAATACAGCCACTATGGAAAACAGTGTGTAAATTTCTCCAAAACTAAAAGTACCATATGATTCAGCAATCACATTATTGTTTATCCAAAGAAAAAGAAATGAGTATATTAGAGGGATACCTGCACTACCATGTTTATTCCAGCACTATTCACAATTGCAAAAATATGGAATCAACCTAAGTGTCTGTCAACAGATGAATGGATAAAGAAAATGTTGTATACACACACAGTGGAATATATTTGGCCATAACAAAATGAAATTCTGTCATTTGCAGCAACACAGATGGAACTGGAGATTATTCTGCTAAATGAAATAACATAATATTTATGTTATGTTATTAGGCATAGAAAGTTAGGCAGAGAAAGACAGATTTCCCCCATGTTCTCACTCATATGTAGGAGCTGAAAAAAATTGACTTCATCAAGGCACAGATTAGAATGATTGATACCAGAGGCTGGGAAGGGTGTGTGGGTTGGGCCAGGTGCAGGCGGTGAAGAGAGATTGGTCAATGGCTACAAATACACAGTTAGATAGAAGGTATAAGTTCTAATGTTTGATAACAGAGTAGGATGACAATAGTTAGGAGCAATATATGGTATATTTCATGGCAGCCTCAAGAGAGATCTTGAAATGTTTCCAACACATAAAAATGATAATTACTCAAGATGATAGATATGCCAAATACACTGACATTATCATTACACATTCTATGCATGCAAGAAATATCACATGTACCCAATAAATATGTAAAGTATTTGTATCAATAAAAAGTATTATATTGTATCTCTATAATATATGTATCCATAAAAATAAGCTTATCAAATAAAAAATAATAAAAATATTTATTTGAATTAGTTAATTATGAATTAAAATTTTAATTCATCAGATCATCTCTTTTCCTTTTTTAATTAATTAATTTTTAAACATTTAACAAATCATTTATTGGAAGTTTTTTTTTTTAATACTTTAAATTCTGGGATACATGTGCAGAACATGCAGGTTTGTTAAATTGGTATACACGTGCCATGGTGGTTTGCTGCACTCATCAATCCGTCATCCTCATTAGTTATTTCTCCTGATGCTATCCCTCCCCTAGCCCCCCACACCCCGACAGGCCTCAGTGTGTGTTATTCCACTCCCTGTGTCCGTGTGTTCTCATTGTTCGACTCCCGCTTATAAGTGAGAACATGTGGTGTTTGGCTTTCTGTTCTTGTGTTTGTTTGCTGAGAATGATGGTTTCCAGCTTCATCCATGTCCCTGCAAAGGACATGAACTCATCCTTTTGTATGACTGCATAGTATTCCATGGTGTATATGTGCCACATTTTCTTTATCCATTCTATCATTGATGGTCATTTGGGTTGGTTCCAACTCTTTGCTATTGTGAACAATGCTGCAATATACATATGTGTGCTGTGTCTTTATAGTAGAATAATTTATAATCCTTTAAGAATAGACCCAGTAATGGGATTGCTGGGTCAAATCGTACTTCTGGTTGTAGATCCTTGAGGAATCACCACACTGTTTTCCACAATGGTTGAACTAATTTACACTTCCATCAACAGTGTAAAATTGTTCATATTTCTCCACATCCTCTCCAGCATCTGTAGTTTCCTGACTTTTTAATGATCACCATTCTAACTGGCATGAGATGGTATCTCATTGTGGTTTTGATCTGCATTTCTCTAATGACCAGTGATGATTAGCTTTTTTTTTTCATGTTTGTTGGCTGCATAAATGTCTTCTTTTGAGAAATGTCTGTTCTTATTATTTGCCCACCTTTTTATGAGGTTGTTTGTTTTTTTCTTGTAAATTTGTTAAGCTCCTTATAGATTCTGGATATTAGCCCTTTGTCTGATGGAGAGATTGCCAAAATTTTCTCCCATTCTGCCTGTTCACTCTGATAATAGTTTATTTTGTTGTGCAAAAGCTCTTTAGTTTAATTAGATCCCATTTGTCAATTTTGGCTTGTGTTGCCATTGCTTTTGGTGTTTTAGTCATGAAGTCTTCACTCATGCCTATGTCCTGAATGGTATTGCCTAGGATTTCTTCTAGGGCTTTTATGATTTCAGGTCTAATGTTTAAGTCTTTAATCCATCTTGAGTTAATTTTTGTATAAGGTGTAAGGAAGGGGTCCAGTTTCAGTTTTCTGCATATGGCTAGCCAGTTTTCCCAACATCATTTATTAAATAGGGAATCCTTCCCCCATTGTTTGTTTTTGTCAAGTTCGTCAAAGATCAGATGGTTGTAGATGTGTGGCGTTATTTCTGAGGCCTCTATTCTGTTCCATTGGTGTGTATATCTGTTTTGGCACAAGTACTATGCTGTTTTGGTTGCTGTAGCCTTGTAATATAGTTTGAAGTCAGGTAGCATGATGACTCCAGCTTTATTCTTTTGCTTAGGATTGTTTTGGCTATACAGGCTATTTTTTTGGTTCTATATGAAATTTAAATTAGTTTTTTCTAATTCTGTGAAGAAAGTCAGTGGTAGCTTGATGGGGATAGCACTGAGTCTATAAATTACTTTGGGCAGCATGGCCATATTCATGATATTGATTCTTCTCATCCATGAGCATGGAATGTTTTTCCATTTGTTTGTTTCCTCTCTTATTTCCTTGAGCAGTGGTTTGTAGTTCTCCTTGAAGTGGTCCTTCACATCCCTTGTAAATTGTATTCCTAGGTATTTTATTCTCTTTGTAGCAATTGTGAATGGAAATTCACTCATAATTTGGCTCTCTGTTACTGGTGTATAGAAATGTTTGTGATTTTTGCGAATGGATTGTGTATCCTGAGACTTTGCTGAAGTTGCTTATCAGCTTAAGAAGATTTTGGGCCCGACGAGGGGGTTTTCTAAATATAAAATCATGTCATCTGCAAATAGAGACAATTTGACTTCCTCTCCTTATTTGAATACCCTTTATTTCTTTCTCTTGCCTGATTTCCATGGCCAGAACTTCCAATACTATGTTGAATAGGAGTGGTGAGACAGAGCATCCTTGTCTTGTGCCGGTTTTCAAAGGGAATGCTTCCAGTTTTTGCACATTTGGTATGATATTGGCCATGAGTTTGTCATAAATAGCTCTTATTACTTGGAGGTATGTTTCATCAATACCTGGTTTATTGGGAGTTTTTCACATGAAGGGCTGTTGAATTTTATCACAAGCCTTTTCTGCATCTATTGAGATAATCATGTCGTTTTTGTCATTGGTTCTGTTTAACTGATGGATTACATTTATTGATTTCTGTATGTTGAACCAGGGTTGCATCTCAGGGATGAAGCTGACTTAATTGTGGTGGATAAGCTTTCTGATGTTTTGGTGGATTCGGTTTGCCAGTGTTTTATTGAGGATTTTCACATTGATGTTCATCAGGGATATTGGCCTGATATTTTCTGTTTTTATTGTGTTTCTTTCAGGTTTTTGTATCCAGATTATGCTGGCCTTATAAAATGGGTTAGGGAGGATTCCCTCTTTTTCTGTTGTTTGGAATAGTTTCAGAAGGAATGGGACCACCTTCTCTTTGTACCTCTGGTAGAATTCGGCTGTGAGTCCATCTAATCCTGGGCTTCATTTTTGGTTGGTAGACTATTAATTACTGCCTGCATTTCAGAACTGTTATTGGCCTATTCAGGGATTTGACTTCTTCCTGGTTTAGACTTGGGAGGGTGTATGTGTCCAGAAATTTATTTATTTTTTTTCTAGATTTTCTAGTTTATTTGCACAGAGGTGTTCACAGTATTCTCTGATGGTAATTTGTATTTCTGTGGGATCAGTGGTGATATCCTCTTTGTCATTTTTTATTGCATCTATTTGATTCTTCTCTCTTTTCTTCTTTATTAGTCTGGCTAGCGGCCTATTTTGTTGATATTTTCAAAAAATCAGATCCTGTATTCATTGATTTTTTTGAAGCATTTTTCATGTATATATCTCCTTCAGTTCTGCTCTGATCTTAGTTATTTCTTGTCTTCTGCTAGCTTTTGAATTTGCTTGCTCTTGCTTCTTTATTTCTTTTAATTGTTATGTTAGGGTGTTGATTTTAGATCTTTCCTGCTTTCTCTTGTGGGCATTTAGTGCTATAAATTTCCCTCTAAAAACTGCTTTACCTGTGTCTGAGATTCTGGTATGTTGTGTCTTTGTTCTTATTGGTTTCTAAGAACTCATTTATTTCTGTCTTAATTTTGTTATTTACCCAGTAGTCATTCAGGAGCAGGTTCATGCATGTTCAGTTTCCATGCAGTTGTGTGGTTTTGAGTGAATTTCTTAATCCTGAGCTTGAATTTGATTGCACTGTGATCTGAGAGACTGTTATGATTTCCATTCTTTTGCATTTGGCCTCCAGACACTTTTAAGTTTTTCTTTTAATGTCTTCATTGACCCATTGGTTGTTCAAGAGTCTGTTGTCTAATTTCCATGTATTTGTGAATTTTTTGAAGTTCCTTCTGTTATTGAGTTCTAGTGTTATACCATTATAGTAAGAAAAAGTATTTGATATTGTTTCAATCTTCTTGAATTTGTTAAGACTTGTTTTCTGACCTAACATATAATCTATCTGTAGAATTTTCCATGTACAGTTGAGAAGTACTCTGCGGCTGTTGAATGGAATATTCTGTATAGTCTGTTAGGTTCATGTGGTCTAGAAGAGTGCTTAAGTTCAAAGTTTCTTCATTGATTTTCTCTCTGGATGGCCTGTTTGTTGCTAAAAGTGGGGTGTCAAAGTCCTCTGCTACTATATTGCACTCTCTGTCTTCAGATCTATTAATATTTGCTTTATATATTAAGGTGTGCTGGTGTTGGATGCTTATATGTTTTAAATTGTTATATCTTCTTGCTGAATTAACACCTTTGTTATTATATGATCTTGTCTCTTTTTGCTGATTTTGACTTGAAATCTATTTTGTCTGATGTAAGTATGACCATTCCTGCCCTATTTTGGCTCAGTTTGCATAAAATATCTTTTTACATTCCTTCAATTTCAGTCTATTTGTATCCTTGAAGGTGAAGTGAGTTTCTTAGAGGCAGGCAGCATATGGTTGGGTCTTTTTTTTTTCTTCTTCTTCTTCTTTTTTATCCATTCAGTCACTCCACGTTGTTTGATTAAAGAATTTAATCCATTTACATTCAAAATAATTATTGATAGATAAAAGACTTATTGTTTCTACTTTGTTAATTGTTTTCTATTTGTTTTGTGGATTTTTTTGTTTCTTTCTTTTTTGTGGCTAAGTGATTTTCTCTAGTGTTGTGTTTTCATTGCTTGATTTTTATTTTTTGTGTATGTACTATAGGTTTTTTTCTTTGTGGTTAGCATGAGGCTTAAAAGTCATCTTAATAAACAGATTGTTTTAAGCTTATAACAAACTTAACTTTGATCACAAAAAACTTTATATTTTTACTCCATATCCTCACTAGCATTTTAATTTATGATGTTACAGCTACATCTTTTTATATTGCTTATCTCTTAACAAATTATTATAGTTATTATTATTTTTCGTAGTTTTGTCTTTCACTATTTATACTAAAGATATAAATGATTCATACACCATCATTACAGTATTAGAATGTTCCAAATTTGACTGTGTACTTACTTTTACTAGTGAATTTTATACTTTCAGCTATTTATCTTACTCATTAACTCATTAGCTCCCTTTAGCATTTCCTTTTTTTTTTTTTTTTTTTTTTTTTGTTGAGATGGAGTCTTGCTCTGTCACCCAGGCTGGAGTGCAGTAACCCAGTGGCTCACTGCAACTGTGTCTCCTGGGTTCAAGCAATTCTTCTGCCTCAGCCTCTGAGTAGCTGGGATTACAGGTGCCCACCACCACACCCAGCTAATTTTTGTCTTTTTAGTAGAGGCAGGGTTTCACCATGTTGGCCAGGCTGGTCTCGAATTCCTGACCTCAGGTAATCTGCCTGCCTTGACCTCCTAAAGTGCTGGGATTACAGGTGAGAGCCACCATGCCTGGATAGCATTTTTAGTAAGACAGGTTTAATGATGATAAACTTCCTTAGCTTTTGTTTATCTGGGAAAGTCCTTACCTCTCCTTTATTTTTGATGCACAGTTTTGCCAGTTATAGTATTCTTGTTGACAGGGTTGGTTTTTTTTTTTCTTCTTCAGCACTTTGAATTTATCATCCCATCATCTGCTGGCCTGTAATGTTTCTAATGAGAAGTCTACAGCTAGCTGTGTCAAAACCCTTTTACATGTGATTTGCTTCTTTTCTCTTGCTGCTTTCAGAATCTTCTCTTTGTCTTTGATTTTTGACAGTTAGATTGTAATATGTCTTGTGGTAGTCTTACTTGGATCAAAACCAATTAGAGACCTTCTTGTACCTGGATACTTATATATTTCTGAAGGTTTGGATACTTTTCTGTTATTTTTTTAAATTATATTTCTACTCCTTTATCTTTATTTTTCTCCCTGTGACTTGAAAATTTTCTCCTTTATTTCCTCTTATGACTTGAAAATTTGCTCTTTTGATGCTGTACCATAAATCCTGTATGCTTTCTTCATTTCTTTTCATTCTTTGTTCTTTTCTCTCCTCTGACCATGTATGTTCAGATAACCTGTTTTGGGGTTCATGTATTTTTTTCTTCTGCTTGATCAGTTCTGCTGTTGATGCTATCTATTTCATTTTCCATTTTAGTCATTGTATTTTTCAGCTGCATAATTTGTTTGATGTTTTACAATTCCAATATCTTGGTTAATTTTTTTGTTCTGGCCACTTACTCTTTTCCTCATTTGGTTAAATTGTTTCTTTGGATTTTCTTGAAACTTGCTGAGCTTATTTAAAGAAGTAATTTTGAATTTTTTGTCTAGGAAGTACATATATCCATTTTTATGGTGTAAGTCATTGGCATTTTATTTTGTTCCTTCAGTGATGTTATATTTCCCTGATTGTTCTAGATCCTTGCGACCATGCATCAGTGTCTGTGCATTTGAAGAAGTAGGTACTTATTTCAGTCCTTGCAGACTGGCTGTATCTGGAAAAGACTTTAAGTAGTTTGTCTAGCGGGACATGGTGGTGGGCGCCTGTAATCCCAGCTACTTGGGAGGCTGAGGCAGGAGAATCACTTGAACACAGAGGTGGAGGTTACAGTGAGACAAGATCATGCCACTGCACTCCAGCCCAGGGTGACAGGATGCGACTCTGTCAAAACAAACAAACAAAAAAACAAAAAGAAAACAGTTTGTTGAGAGATTCTGGGCAAATCAAAATTCTCCTGTATCAGGGGAACCCGCCCCCAATATTTCAATGTAAGTTCTTTCTATTTTCCCTAAGTGTCAGCCGGTCTGAGAAATAAAGAGAAAGAGTACAAAGAGAGGATTTTTACAGCTGGGCCGCCGGGGGTGACATCACATATCGGTAGGTCTGTGATGCCCACCTGAGCTGCAAAACCAGCAGGTTTTCATTAAGGACTTCAAAAGGGGAGGGGGTGTACGAACAGGGAGTAGGTCATAAAGATCACAAAGCAAAGGGCAAAGCAAAGATCACAAGGCAAAGGGCAAGATCAAAAACTCCTGATAAAGGTCTATGTTCAGCTGTGCATGTATTGTCTTGATAAACATCTTAAACAACAGAAAACAAGGTTTGAGAGCAGAGAACCGGGCTGACCTCAAATTTACCAGGGCTGGGGTTTCCCAATCCTAGTAAGCCTGAGGTTACTGCAGGATACCAGGGTGTATCTCAGTCCTTATCCCAACTGCATAAAACAGACACTCCCAGAGTGGCCATTTATAGACCTCCCCACAGGAATGCAATTCTTTTCCTAGGGTCTTAATATTCCTTGCTAGGAAAAGAATTTAGCAATATCTCTCCTACTTGCATGTCCGTTTATAGGCTCTCTGCAGGAAGAAAAATATGGCTCTTTTTGCCCGACCCCACTGGCAGTCAGACCTTATGGTTGTCTTCCCTTGTTCCCTAAAATCGCTGTTATTCTGTACTTTTTCAAGGTGCACTGATTTCATATTGTTCAAACGCACGTGTTTTATAACCAATTTGTACAATAGTGGTCCTGAGGTGACATACATCCTCAGCTTACGAAGAGTAACAGGATTAAGAGATTAAAGTAAGACAGGCGTAAGAAATTATAAGAGTATTATTTGGGAACTGATAAATGTCCATATTAAAATGAAATCTTCACAATTTATGTTCAGAGATTGCAGTAAAGACAGGTGTAAGAAATTATAAAAGTATTAATTTTGGGAACTGATATATGTCCATATTAAGATGAAATCTTCACAATTTATGTTCCTCTGCCATGGCTCCATCTGGTCCCTCCGTTCGGGGTCCCTGACTTCCCGCAACACTCCTGCGGCCACTGGAGATGATGAGGTGTTGGAGAAGAGAATCCTGCAGCCTCTGAAGCTGTGGTGATGCTGGAGCATACCTGGGCTTGCTGCAGCTGGCAGAACCCTGAGGTGGGCCAGAGGTTGATTGTGCACTTCAAGCATGAAGCCTGGGACTGTGTGGTTCCACTTGGCATTGAGATTGGTCTGAAGGCTTTGTCTGCTGGTATCAGCCTGGAGTTTGGGGCCAAGAGGGGCTGCCTGGTGCTGGGTTTTACTGTGGTGGGCCTGGCTTTGAGGTCTGATACAATGTCCTGTGCTCATTTATCTCTCTTTTTTCCCATTGGATGGCCTGTCTTTGAGGTGGACAGAAGGGGAATATAGGTAACGTAAAACTCCTTCCTTCCCTCTTCAATGCATCTCTTATTATTGTGTTATGCCAGGTACTGTGATCTCTCACCTGATTTTCTGAGCTCTTATGAAAATATTTTTCTGCATGGATAGTTGTTCTAATTGATGTTTCTGTGGATGGACAATTGCTGGAGAGTCCTATTTCACCATCTTGCTCTACCCCTTTCTAATCTCCATTCAAAAGATAAAATTAAAGAATAGACTGATTAAATAGCTTGCCTGGGTCACATATTTCATATCTGCTGGGTGGCTACAATACCTGTGCTCTGAGTTTTAGATGCTTTTCTGAACTTTAATGTTTGTTGTTCTAAACACTTTTTAGACCACTTGAATATAGATTAAGCTCCATGTATTTAGAAAGGTTAAGGTTGACCTTTGTGCCAGTCATTCATTTGTTCACATGGTTTTGGTTTAAACTTGACCCTAATGTCATTTAAGGTGAAAGGTTGAACTGGAATGGCTTTTTTTCGTTAAGGAATTAAAAGTAAGAAAATTATTGCATTTCAAATATGGCCATGTTTTAACTCTTCTATGGTAACATATATGAAGCCAGACTTTCTTTCTTTTGCAGAGGAAATTACTTCTATAGAATCTGCTTATCATTATGCTGTGATAAACCCAGCTACTGTGACAAATCCCAAATCACCATACACATCTGGTAAATGTCAACTGACTTTACTGGCTTTCTAGGTTTAGGAAAACATAAATCCATATGTAAGAAGAGAATTTTTTAAATAATTAAGTATATCTTTAAACTGCAAGGGTTCTGAGCTACAATATCACTAGAATGGAGTAACTGCCAGGAAAGCTTCTCTGTTTTATCAAAATTCTTCATTTGTCTGAAATTTAGAAGCATTTGCTATATCAAATTCAGGCTAGGATCAGAGTTTATGATAGGAACATTTCTAAAATTGCAATTCTATATAAGTCAATCTGATTTATTAATAGTCCATTATTCAGTAAGACAACCCCAATATTAATGCTCTACAGGAATTTATGGAACCAATTACTCTTCAGAGATTGTCACTTGTTTACTGTGTACCATGCAGTAATGTTTGGTTAGGAATAATTCATAAGTCAACATAAATGTAGTATGCAAGTAAATCAGAGAGGAAAAGTTTTGGAATGAAGAGAGAAAACTTTCACGATAAAGGGTTACAATAGAAAGTTGAAAAGACATGAGAGCCCAAGGCAGGAGGATCAGTTGAGACCAGGGTTTGAGACTAGCCTGGGCAATATAGCAAGATTGCATTTCTTTATTTTTACTTTTATTTTAGGTTCAGAGGGTACATGTGCAGGTTTTTGATGCAGGGAAACTTGTGTCATGGGGTTTGTTGTACAGATTATTTCATCACTCAGGTACTAATCCTAGTACCCAACAGTTATTTTTTCTGATCCTCTCCCTCCTCCCACCTTCCACCCTCAAGTAGGCCCCAGTGTCTGTTGTTCCCCTCTTTGTAAGACCCGATTTCTTAAAAAAAAATATAGTCGGGCATGGTGGTGCACACTTGTAGTCCTAGCTGCTTGAGATACTGAGGTGGGAGGATTGCTTGATCCCAGGAGTTCAAGGTTATAGTGAGCTATGATTGTGCTGTTGTACTCCAGCCTGGGTGACAGAGTAAGACCCTGTATGAAAAAAAGATTGAAAAGAAGGTCAACCAGAATATTAGGGAATAGAATAGGATAATTACCTATAAAATCATTAGTATATGAATATTTTCTGTTTCTGATGAAATAGAAACTCTTTGGAAAGGTTTGAGAAACATTGAGGCCATAGAAATAAAATAACAGTAAAAGAGTGAGAAGTAAATTAGTGTATTTCAGCCCTGGATGAACATTAGCATCACTTGAGGAGCTATTAAAAAATACTAATCAATCTGAGACAAGACTTGAGCACATTATTTGAAAGTCCCAGGTGAGTCTAATGTTCATCTAGAGTTAAGAAACTCTAAATTAAATGATGCTTTGAAGGCTATTTATAGGTCTCTTACTTTTGAAAGATCAAAGATGCGAGCCATAAACAGCTTTATATCAAATTTTATCTTCATAACATTTCAAAATCTTTGTTTTCTGTGAAAGTTCTTAAAAAGAAATCTGACTTATTAGAACAATAAAAGCCCCTGATGGCTTATATTTCACAAACTTTTATATTTTATACTTTTATTTGGGTGATATATTTTTTAAAATTTGTGGTAACCCTTTCTTACTCATAGTAGCTATGGAAGAAATTAAAGAAAAACACAACCCTCATTTTAGAAACAACTTTAAAAAGACTATAGCTCTGTTTCTTCATGTTGATTTAAACAACAGCTGCCCTGCTTTTTATTCTTCTTTCTAAAGAAATCATCAAAAATTCTGTTTGGTATTTATATGATATGAAACATCTATTTTGTGTAAACATAGAATAACTTTCTACATGACATTATACATTTGTCAAAACCCATAGAATATACAACTTAAGAGTAAACCCTAACATGAATTATAAACTTTGAGCTATAATAATGTGATAATATTAGTTCATCAGTTGAAACAAATTTGCCACTATGGTGGGGGATGTTGATAGTGGGGGTATGTGGGGATAGGGAGTATATGGAAACTCTCTATACTTTATACTCAATTTTGCTGTGAACCTAAAACTGCTGTAAAATTGAGTTTATTAGTTAAATTTTTTTCTTTACTTTTCTTAGGAATTTAAATAGTAGTAACCAGGACTATTGGCTTTTTAAACTAATTTACAGCCAGTTATAATTATAATGGCCAAAGATACTTTATTAGTTTTCTATGATTGCTGTAACAAATTGCCAATAAAGTTGGTGACTTAAAATAATATATATTTGTTCTTTCACAGTTCTGGAGGCCAGAAGTCCAAAACCTGTATCAGTAGGCTAAAGTCAAGGTGTTGGCAGGGTCATGTTTCTTCTGGAGGCTCTAGGGAAAATCTGTTTCTTGCCTTTTCCAGTTTCTGGTGGCCGCCAGCATTCCTTGAGTCATGGCAGCATCATTTCATTCTCTGCCTCCATAGTCACTTTGCGTGTGTGTGTGTGTGTGTGTGTGTGTGTGTGTGTGTGTGTAAAATCTCCCTCTGTTTCCTTCCCATAAAGATACATGTGGTTGCATTTAAGGCCCACCTGGATAATCCAGGTTAATATCCCCATCTCCAGATCCTTAACTCAATCACCTCTGCAAAGACCACTCTGCCCCCAATTTTTGCCATATAAGATAACATTCACAGGGCCCAGGGATTAGGAAATGAACATATTTGGGGGTGGGGAGGGACACATTTTTCAGCCTGTTGCAAACACCAGGTAAAATCTTGACCTTAGGAAAGTTTACTTTAAAACGTGTGCCATGGACATAGATAATAGAAGGATGGCTACCAGAGTCTGGGAAGGGTAGTAGGGATTGGGGGGATGGTGGGGGTGGTTAATGGGTACCACAAAAATAGAAATAACAAATAAGAGCTACTATTTGATAGCACAGTAGGGTGACTATAGTCAATAATAATATATTTTAAAATACAGAATGTAATTGGATTGTTTGTAACTCAAAGGATAAATGCTTGTAGGGATGAATACCCCATCTAAAACAATAAAAAGTAAATAAAATGTGTCCCAGGTTAGAATGCCACCTAGTATCCTTCCATCATTCCTGATGCATCGATGGGAAGCATTGGTAATGTTCTCTTTTTATCCATTGCCTGAGCTTGTCTGTCTCTTTACATGGAAACCAGAGTGTGTCCTCTCCCCATCTCCAGTGACAGCTTCTGAGGAAAGTATTATATTTGATAAATGCTTACCTTCTACTGTGTTTCCTAGGCACATGGTGGTTATATTTATAATAATCATAATTACAATAATACATATTTATTGCATTAATTAAATAACAAGATCCCCATCCTTATCCTGCCTTATTTAATGGAAAAGGCAAATCTTGATGAGGTATTCCTGTATGTATGATAACCAATGTAATAGAGAAGGCCTCAGGTTTGTAGGAAACAAAAGAAATGTTTCCATTTAGAAGCAGCTGCAAGATAAAATTTAACGCAATTTCCAAGAACCCTGCCAATATGAGAGTTGCTGCTTGCCGGTCTTGTCAGTCTGTTGCCTCTATAATATAGCTAGTAAAATTAATTAAAATAAAATGGACTTTCAACAGAAATCGTTCGGGAATTAGAAACAAGTGTTAGCCATTGAGCTTTTTAGGTTGTTAAAGCATGACCTTAAAATGCATAAACCTGAGTGAATTTGGCAACTTGAAAAAGGCTTAGGAAACTTTTTGAAGCATCAGTAGCAGCCTGACCCTTGGTTTCAGAAGATACTATTTCCAGTACTTCAGAGGCGTGTGGGTGGACTGAGTCATTCTCATTCCTTCCCAGTGCAATCTCTCCTTTCCATCCTCCCCCAGCACCCATGAGCAATTGGCTCCCTTCTGTCCAGCAGAAGGCAATAACTTACTGAGAGTGCTTCTGAAAAAAAACTTAAAAAGCCAATCACACATATAAACATATAGCAAATCAGGATTCATTAATTTACCATTTATCAACTCTGCTTCCTTCCACTACTCTGATCCAAGCTGGAATATTGGCAAGAACACTTGGATATATCAACATCAATAATGCCAGGCCATTTTTCAGGTTAAACCCTACTGTAGGGTAAGAAGATGAATAATGAAGCATAGAACAAATGGCACTGGATGCTCTGTTCTGTTGGCACTGTTGATTTTCTTTTGTGCATTCTCAAGAGTGGGATTTAATTCTGTAAGAGAGAACCTGAAGGTCTTTGCATCTGTGAATCATGAAGTCTCAGCAACCCACAAAGCCCCAGGCTCCTTTCAAAAATATTTGTTGGACACGCCAGGAGATTCTCTATACCAATAAGGGCATGGTTAGAGATGACACTTTGCTGTCACTTTTGTGCTGCCGTCTCTGCATCTAGAAGTTATGCTCCTTGGGTTGCACTTGTGTCAATTAATTAGATATTAATAGCGGAACATATGTGCTGCTCTCCCCTGCTGCCTCTTGGCTTTAAACGGGCTGCTGAGGGTCGGTGAGAGATTACTGATATGTATGAAGACTTTGGAAGGATGTGAGAGGGGAAACATATTATGCTTCCAATAACTTCTAGATGCTTGTTCCCAGCTCCTGCTGCTCTGCTTTGCCAGAAGATGACTCCCTCCTGACCCTGCCTGTCATCATTTTTGTCCTTGAAACTCTCCCAGAAACAATTCATTGAATCAGAGATACTGTGGCTTTCCAGAGGCCTGCCTCTTGTAACATTCTTGAAGATAAATATTTAGGGGAAACAAGAAAGGCCATTAAGACTTTGTTTTCAGGGATATTGAGTTGGGAAAGCTAAAATGTGCCTCAGTACCTGACAGACAATGGGACATCCTCCAGTCCTGTGTTTCCTAATGCTTGCATGCCAAGTACAATCCCTTGAATGCAGCTTCCTAATCAGGGTTTTGAAGTGGAGGGTCTTCTAGGGAAAGACCTAAAGTTCCACTTTTCATTTGTTGTTTTGGCAACCCCTATTGTGATGGTTAGTATTAGGTGTCAACTTGATTGGTTTGCAGGATGCCTAGATAGCTGCTCAAGCATTGTTTCTGGTTGTGTCTGTGAAGGTGTTGCCAGAGGAGATTCACATTTGAGTCAGTGGACTGGGAGAGGAAGACCCACCCTCATTGTGGGTGGGCACCATCCATTCAGGTGCCAGAGTGGCTAGAATAAAACAAGTGTAAGAATGTGGGATACATTGGCTTGCTGAGTCTTCTGGCTTTTATCTTTCTCACATGCTGAATGCTTCCTCTCGTTCCTCCTGCCCTTGGATATCAGACTCGAGGTTCTTCTGTTTTGGACTCTTGGGCTTACACCAGTGTATTGCCAAGGGCTTTTGGCCTTAAGCCACAGACTGAAGGCTGCACTGTCAGCTTCCCTGCTTTTGAGGCTTTTGGACCTGGGCCGAGCCACTACTGGCTGCTTTCTTCCTCAGCTTCTGGACAGCCTATCATGGGACTTCACCTTGTGATTTTGTGAGCTGTTTCTCCATAATAGACTCCCTTTCATATATACGTATACCCTATAAGTCCTGTCCCTCTGGAAAACCCTAACTAATACACCTATTCTGTTTATCTAAAAGTCTAGCTAGTGGTCAGATCACTCACTGTGCACTGCCTATGATTTACCCTGCCTGTTCCAATAGATGACAAATCCTCAGGATGATAGCCTATTCAAAAAAGAGCTATTTTGTCAAAATTTCCAGAAGACTACTTTAAGTCTGCTGCTCATGGCGACTGGGACTGCCTCCTTTCATCACAAGCATACTTTTTCTCTTGCAGTATCTTTGCCCTGAGTAAAGCCTGTCTGCTCCAGTCTAGTCTGGGTGATTCAGATATGAGGACACTGGGAGTCACGTTGGCTGGTTCCGTTTCTGCACCACCTTCGTGAGTTACTTGGGTGAGTCAGTTTTGAGTTCAGTCTTCTGATCTATTAGATGATTGGGTTGGATCAAATGATGTCTCAGGTTCCTTCCAACTTGATTACCTTTGGATCAAAAGAGCTTTTTGAGTTACTTGGTATATTCTCAATAGCTGTTCACTTATTTGTTACACAGAAGGTTCTAGGAAAAGATCTAGGACCATCCCTATTCTTTAAAACCTGATATGTTCAAAAAATGGTGATGAACTACATGTTCATCACCATGATAATTCCTACATTTATACAGAGATAAGTAGTTTTATAAAGTGTGTTCACATTTATTATCTCAAATGGCCTGCTTAGGGCAGGCAAAGCTGGGGTTCAGAAAATTAAGGTGCTTATTCAAGACCTTGAGGCTAGTTGTTTTCATCTGTTTTGTGTTACTATAAAGGAATACCTGGAGCTTGGAATATATAAATAAAATAAGTTTATTTATCTCAGTTTTGTAAGCTCTACAGGTATGGCGCTGACATCTACTTGGCTTCTGGTGAGGGCCTTAGGCTGCTTCTACTCATGGTGGAAGGATAAGGGGAGCCAGTGTGTGTAGATATCCTATGTCAAGAGGGGAAGCAAGAGAGAGAAAGGGGAGGTGCTAAGCCTTTTTTAACAACCAGCTCTCATGGGAACTAATGGAGTAAGAACTCATCACCAAGGAAAGGGCATTAATCTATTCATGAGGGATCTTCCCTTGTGACCAAAACACCTCACATTAGACCCTATCTCCAACATTGGGAATCAAATTTCAACATGATTTTTGGAGGGGTCAAACATCCAAACCATAACACTAGTAAATGAGCTGGGACTAGAATCCACTTTTTCTCACTTGAAGTTTGGCACTCTTTCCACCTCACTGTAATAAAATAGTACTGAAACAATACAAGCCAGAATGCAGTAATATCATCCAAATGGTATAGACTATGCTCTGTGTATGTCTTCTGTAAAGAAGGTAACAAGTGAGTGGAAAAAGGTTACATTTTAGTTTCTCTTAAAAGATATTACAAGTGTCAATACTATTGCCATGGTGAACATTCCTGTTAGTTACATTTCTTAAGTACCATAGTCACCAGTGCAGCATTTATTTTGTTTTTATGAGCTAGACTTTATAGTGCTGGTTGTTTTCCTATTCTGGGCTGGTTTTTCCACCACCAAGGATCTTTGTTTGTATACCATTTTCTTATTTTGGTGCTTGAAAGAAATGATAGGTTACCTTGATAGAGAATGTTGATACCTGTACAAATTAGCTTTTCTCCTACTGTATAGAGGTCATCCTTATCAGAAATCTAATCTATAGCACTCTTCTTTGTTCTAAGAAATGGTATAGAATCAGATTGGCTGGTTTACTATTTAAGTCTCATCAAAGACCAATTGGAAGGATATCTCTTAACTTGGCATGACTAAGCTTACAAGCACTAGAGGGTAGAAATTAATGAGCAATTTATAGTTGTAGAATATTTTTCTTATTAGAATTGACTTCTCTTCTAATATCATTTTTTATTCTGTGCCTTTGTAAATTTTAATTGAATTAAATTTTACCAAAGAAGGACAGTAGCATTTGAGGTATACAGAAATGTTTAATACATTGGGGATGGGAAAAGAGAAAAAAAAACAATAGAGAGCCCAATTAATTTCTTCCCTGTGAACTCCCTATGAACCTTCTACAGTTAAGAGAGCAAACTGTACTCAAAACTCCATTGTTCAGGAAAGAGTCTTTGTTTAAAGAACTAATGCAAATTCCAAGACTTCAGCTTATTGAATTTACTTCAATGGCTTGTGGCCAAAAATTTAATGAGGACTGAAACAGCTGATATCTCCCAGCATTCAACTCTGTACCACCGGGTCTACAGCTGAGAGAGAGAGTTGTCTTAAAGTTCAAGACAGAGTTAATATATTCTGTCTATTTGCAACTTTCATCAGAATGAAGTCACCTTCATAACAATGACTTGTAGCATGAGTTTGTCCTCATTTGCCATTTTTAGCTGAAATTCTGAGTGAAAATAAAGGAAAATAAATCACTCTGTCCTTTTCTTTCTCTTTTTACCTTACAGATTTGGGGACTGCTTTTAAATTTCACAGTGACAGGGATGAGAGCAAAGGAGAAAATATCTTTTTAGTAATTTGCAAAGCTAATTTGAGTGATTAGCTTCATGAATGTTAGAAGAGTAAACCTGGAATTCTTAGTCTCACTGAATAATTAATAAGTAATTCTGAGTGGACCAAACTGAGATGAAGAATGAAAAATGAGAAGGCAAGGAGCACACAGTTCTTAGATCTCCCTGTTTTATCTCTATAAGCAATACACTGCTTTCAACATTTTTCAGTGTCTACCATTTATTGAATATTTAGAAGATAATGCACTACTATGTCATGCTTAGGGTATCTGAAAGACAAAGAGATGTGAATCCCAGTCCTTTCCATGTGGAACAGAGCTAGATTGATACAGAGAAATTAGGTTATTATTAGCCATTGTATGAGTGTGTGCATATGTGTTTATGTGTTTATGTGTATGTATGTATTTATATGTGTGTATGTATGTGTTTATGTGTATGTACGTGTACATATTTTCCTTCTGGGATCTTGACAAGTATCTTGGGAATTACAAATTGTATTATTTTCTCTGGATCAAAAGTGAGTAGGAATATTAGCAATCAGCATCAAACACTTGGATTTCATTTCAGCACAAGAACAGGCAGGAAGCTTCCTACCTTGCTCTTGCCTTACAGAATCTGGATAGGGTAAAATATTGGGCATTAGATAACAATAGGAGATAAACCCGAGATTAGAATGTTACTTGGGATCTTCTAGCTTTTTTCCTAGAGATGTATTTTTTCATGCTGAGCATACAACACTAACTCTAGTCAAATTAATACCAGCTTTTAATCTGAGTTGAAACTCTAGAGATGTTGGCTCTAATATTCACATGTAGAATAGCTGAACCTCAGGCACTGATGCTTTAACAAACAACACAGTTCAGCAGAAATAGACTTTTACTGTATATTATCAAGCAGGTGAATTTAATGTGAAAGTTATTTCCATAATTAAGGCTATTGAGAGTGTCACTGTAATTGTAGATACTTAAAAAAAGTTCCTTTCTAATTATCATCTGAGGGGTATGTGCTCTCAGTGGATTAATGATAGTATTACCCACTGCTGAACTAGACTCAGGATTAAATAGACCTAACATCTGCTGCTGTGACATCTACCCAATGCACTTTATGGTAATATATTGGGTCAGGCCTCTATTGACTTGTCTTTAAAAGCTATGTGTGCTTCAATTAGCTAGAAAGTTCTAGCATAAGTGGACTTAATGCCTGAATTAATGGGAAACCTCTTTCAATTTTCCACTTTATTTTGCAAATAGAAATGGAATTTCAATGCATGGCACAGGGTAAATGCTAAATATTAAGTTTATTGGGGATTTTATTTTAACTTCAAGCATTTCTTTTTTAACATCATAGAATGAAATTGACTAGGATAGAGAATAGTTTTTAAACTTTAAAATTTTCATTGTGGAAACTATAAATTGACTGAGGGAAAATAGGGATTCCTTGGGGAAAGGAGGTGGCTTTTTTGTAAATCAAGGCCATGAAACAGTGCGGCAAATTATCTCTGTACATATAGGTATTGTGAGTCATATTAATTAGAAAGTGGCAGTTTTTGGGGCAGGTAGGTCTGAGTTTGACAGCGTCCTCAGAATAATTATTATATGCAAATCTATTTTTATTAGGTAATAAAATCTATAAAATATTCACTGTTTATTTTTAATTATTACATAAATGATTGTGTTTTTTCCAAAGCAGCAAGCTCAGAATGCAAAGAGCTGAACTTGATAAAGAAGTTAGTCAATTGGCATGAGAATTTCTACCTAGAAAACATATTTTTTCCAATATGAATTTATTTTGATATAACTGGCTCTAATATCCTACTGAGGTTTTATAAGAGATGTTCCAGTGTGTGGCAAGGTAATGAGATAATGGAATCCTTGTGAGGTTTTATATGCTGGAAAGTCTTTTGGGGGTTTCCAGCCCAGCATGTAGGGAGCTTAGAAGTCACCACTTCTTCCTGACAACAAGAGAAACACTCAACAAAATGAGAAATCAACAGCTCTTCTTAGTTTCATCAGAGAAGTGAGGTCACAGGGAAAACCAGTGTCTCCCCAAGTTGGAGAGACAGACAGTCAGATACAGAGGATTACAACTTACCAGAACAGAAACCCACAACCAGGAAATTCCTTCAGAAGCAGTGATGGGGTAGGACAATCTGAACTGCAATTGATGTATTACTAGGGGCTCGGTGTGAACAAGTCTGGACAAGACCCCAGGGCGGGGGCTGAATCATGGGGGACTCTAATTTTTGTGAGTTTCACCTCCAGTAGCTCTACTAGGTCCTCACATAAATATCCCTTTGTACTTCTGTCAGAGGTGTATGAACCAGCACAACTCCATCTTGAATAGGAGCTGGGTAAAATGAGGCTGAAATCTACTGGGCTGCATTCCCAGACGGTTAAGGCATTCTAAGTCACAGGATGAGATAGAAGGACAGCACAAGATACCGGTCATAAAGGTCTTGCTGATAAAACAGGTTGCAGTAAAGAAGATGGCTAAAACCCACCAAAACCAAGACAGCGATGAGAGTGACCTCTGGTCATCCTCACTGCTATACTCCCACCAGCACCATGACAGTTTACAAATGCCATAGCAATGTCAGGAAGGTACCTTATATGGTCCAAAAAGGGGAGGCATGAATAATCCACCCTTTGTTTAGCATATCATCAAGAAACAACCATAAAAAGGGGCAACCAGCAGCTCTCTGGGCTGCTCTGTCTATGGAGTAGCCATTCTTTTATTCCCTTACTTTCTTTATAAACTTGCTTTCGCTTTACGAACTCTCCTTGAATTCTTTCTTGTGTGAGATCCAAGAACCCTCCCTTGGGATCTAGATATGGACTCCTTTCCTATAACACTTCCAGCAGGTGGGAGGGAAAAAGGAATCTTTTTAAAATGTTCCAGAGCACTCTGCTCTTCTTAATAAGGCCTACCCTCAGGAGAAATTATTTTACCAGAGTCTAATTTGCTGGAATTTAATTACAGTGGAATCTACCTGAGATGAGACTCTAGCCATTTTGTCCCACCTAATGGGGAAAAGAGACAGAGAAGCACTGATGAAGTTCACAATACAGAGGCACAGGCTTACCAAAAAAAGGATACCCAATCAGAGTAGAAAACTTCAACTCTCTCCATACCATTAAATACCTATTTATTGGTATTCAACTTGTATTAATACATCACGTTCGGATTTGAAAGAAAAGTTGGAAGGCATATAAAAGGCAGAAACAGTTGGAAGAGACTGAACAAGCATCAAAACCAGCCTCAGATATGGCAGAGGTGTTGGAATTATTAGACTGATAACTTTCAACAACTATAATTAATATGTTAAGGGCTCTAATAGAAAAACATAAACTGGATGTGGCTGAGGCAAGAGTCTCTGAGCTTGAGGATATAACAACAAAAAACTCCAAAACTGAATAGCAGAGGAAAAATAAAACTGAAAAAGAAACCCAAACCCCAAACCAAAAATACCAGAATAGGATATTTAAGAACTGGGAAACAACTACAAAAGGTGTAACATACATACAATGAGAATAACAGAGGAGAAGAAATAAACAGAAGCAATATTTGATGTAATAATTACTGAGAATTTCTCCACATTAATGTCAGACACCAAACCACAGATCTGGAAATCTCAGAGAACACCAAGCAAGATAAATGCCAAAAATGACACATGAGCATATCATATTCATACTTCAGAAAATCGAATATATAAAAGAATCCCAAAAGAAGCCATAGGGAAAAAAATACCTTACCTACAGAGGATCAAAGATAATAATTACATCTGACTTCTCCTTATAAAACATAAAATCAAGAAGAGAGTAGAATGAAGTATTTAAAAGATTGAGGCAAACCCCCCCCCACCAAACTAGGATTCTGTATCCTATGAAAATATCCTTCAAAAGGAAAGGCATAACACTTTCTCATACAAACAAAAATTGAAGAAATTGGTTGCGAGTAGATCTTCCTTGCAAAACATGTTTTTTAAAAAAAGGTCTTCGTAGAGAAGGAAAATGATACAAGTCAGAAACTTGGGTCTACATAAAGGAAAGATGAGTATCACAGAAGGAAATAAGTGAAAAATGAGTCTCAGCCACATGGGACCAAAGAATCTAACTCGTGTTTTGGAATTCTTCCTCCTCCACTTCTTAGATGACTTGGAACTGCAGCCTTTCCTCTTCAGGCTGTCCCTGAACCATGCACCTAGTCACAGTGCTTGCGAACTTGCTCACATCCTTCTGACTGTCAGCTTTGCCCTCACCTCCACAACCCCATGACTTCAACCTGTCCTTAGCTGACATTGGTTTCACCCCTGCCACAATTTCAAAGATAACTGTAGACCTCCAAACTCACAGCAGAATCATTTTATACATGAGCTGCCTGAAATAGATGTCTTTTAAAATTATTTTTGGATGTTTGCACAATCTACTCATGACTGTGATGGCCTATGACCCATTTGTGGCGACCTGTCATCTCTTGTACTACACAGTGATCAGGAATCCCCACCTCTGTGGCCTCCTGCTTCTGGTCTCTCTCTCTCTTTTTTTTTTTTGATCAGTCTTTTGGAAACCCAGCTGTACAGTTTGATGGTGTCACAAGTTCTCTCATGCAAATGTAGACATTCCTCATTTCTTCTGTGACCCTTCTCAGTTTCTCCACCTTTCCTGTTCTGACACTGCCACCAATAACACATTAATGCATTTTATTGGTGCCATCTCTGTGGTCCATTCTCAGGGATCCTTTACTGTTATACTCAAATTATGTTCTCCATACTCATAACCCTATAAAATGTGGGAAGTATAAAGCAAACCTTCTCCACCCATCGCTCTCACCTGTCAGTTGTTTGCTTATTTTATGGAACAGGCCTTGGAGTATACCTTAGTTTGGCTGGCTCACCTTCCCCAAGAACAGGTGTGGTGGCCTCAATGGTATATACCACAGTCACCCTCATGTTGAACCCTGCATTCACAGCCTGAGGAACAGAGACATCAAGAATACCTGGTGGTGGCTCCTCAGCATAACTGCCTGGTATCAATACCTGTGCTATCCTTTATGGAGTGTGGTTAGAAAAAACAGCAAACTCAAATATCTGGAGCCAGAAACGCTGCATGTTTGGTTACATATTTTTTTCAGCTCTTATGGCTTTCAATCCTCTTGTTGTTTCATATCTGGATATTGCTTCTTTTTGTAAATCTTTAATGGGATCAAGAGAGTATTCTGGAATCCTACCTACATTATAATCATGATTGAATCCTATTACAGCTGTAGAGCCCTCTTTATCTCTCCTTTGTGATCCAGACATATGGGATAAATGTACAACTCTCTGTTCTAAGAAATACCATTTTCAGAGCAGTTTTAGGTTCACAGCAAAACTGAGAGGAAGATGTAGAGATTTCCCATATACTCTCACACATGCATAGACTCTCAAATTTTCAACATCCTCCACCAGAGTGGTACATTTGTTACAACTGATGAATCCACATTGACACATCATAATCACCTAAAATCTGGAGTTAGCTGAAGGGTTCATTGTTGGTATTGTACATTCTATGGGTTTGCACAATTGTACAATGATGTGTATCCATCATTCTAGTACATACAGTATTTTCACTACTCTAAAAATCCTCTATGCCCTGCCTGTCCATTCCTCCCCTTTTCCCCACCCCAACTCCTTGTAACCACTGATCTTTTACATCTCCAAAGCCATGTAGTTGTAATCATACAGTATATAATACATATAGTCAGTTGCGTGTAGTAATTTGACCAGCTGGTAGCTTAATAGTCTGTCCCTAGGGGGAGTGGCATAAAGTAAGACAGATGATGAAGAGAGGCAGTTATTTATAAAGCAAATTTCTGGGAAAAAATGGCTAGTCCTCCATAGTTAGATCAGATTGGGGTAAGTATTTCATATGGTTTCTGAGCAGTGGTGGTACCAATCATTGTGAGGAGAACAGTGTGTAGGCTCTGTGACACTTCTGGATTAGGTGAGATCACAGCTAGTAACTGAAGATACAGGAACTGGTTCTAGTTTCAGAGAGGGCATAGATGAAGCTTAAACACATTTCAAATGTCTTCTATTCCCAAGAGTCCATATTACTGGAATTGAGAAAAGGGAACAAATCTGGAGATTCAAAGGTCCTAATGTACATTTAGGCATTTTTTTCCAATCATTAGAGACCTGACCTGCTAGGCTGACCTGGTAGCTAAAGGTCTTCACTACTTGATGGAATTGGAGTGATTAGCATATGCAGATAAAGTAATACTATTAGCTACCATTTGTTATACTCCTACTATGTACCAGTTATCTGTATGTTTTAAGTCTCATAACAATACTGAAAGATGTTTTATTACTTCATTGGACGGTTTATCTTTAAACCGTCCAATGAAGTAATGAAACACCTTTTTCTTTCTGCCTTCAAGAAAAAGAGAGCTATATTTTTAAATTGCTAATGATAAGCTCTCTAGGTATGTGGGACTACTGGAAGAATAAGAAAATGATAGAATAATAGAAGAATAATATTAGAGGAAAAATATAGGAGGAAACAGGGCCTGTGAAGAAGGTAGAGGAAGGAGAGAAAAGATGTACTCTGGGCAAAACAAAGAAGGGCAAAAGCATTTTCACCTTTGGAAAAGAAAATAGGAGATTACCAGAGAAGAGTACTAGTGACCTTGGAGCTAATTCTGAGAGGTTGGTTTGAGAAATGTTTTAAGATTGGGCTGGGAAAACTGGCTAGGCATATGTAGAAAGCTGAAACAGGATCCCTTCCTTATACCTTATACAAAAATTAATTCAAGATGGATTAAAGACTTAAATGTTAGACCTAAAACCATAAAAACCCTAGAAGAAAACCTAGGCAATACCATTCAGGACATAGGCATGGGCAAGGACTTCATGTCTAAAACACCAAAAGCAATGGCAACAAAAGCCAAAATTGACTAATGGGATCTAATTAAACTAAAGCGCTTCTGCACAGCAAAAGAAACCACCATCAGAGTGAAGAGGCAACCTACAGAATGGGAGAAAATTTTTGCAATCTACTCATCTGACAAAGGGCTAATATCCAGCATCTACAATGAACTCAAACAAATTTACAAGAAAAAAACAAACAACCCCATCAAAAAGTGGGAGAAGGATATGAACAGACACTTCTCAAAAGAAGACATTTATGCAGCCAAAAAACACATGAAAAAATGCTCATCATCACTGGCCATCAGAGAAGTGCAAATCAAAACCACAATGAGATACCATCTCACGCCAGTTAGAATGGCGATCATTAAAAAGTCAGGAAACAACAGGTGCTGGAGAGGATGTGGAGAAATAGGGACACTTTTACACTGTTGGTGGGACTGTAAACTAGTTCAACCATTGTGGAAGTCGGTGTGGTGATTCCTCAGGGATCTAGGACTAGAAATACCATTTGACCCAGCCATCCCATTACTGGGTATATACCCAAAGGATTATAAATCATGCTGCTATAAAGACACATGCACACATATGTTTATTGTGGCACTATTCACAATAGCAAAGACTTGGAACCAACCCAAATGTCCAACAATGATAGACTGGATTAAGAAAATGTGGCACATATACACCATGGAATACTATGCAGCCATAAAAAATGATGAGTTCATGTCCTTTGTAGGGACATGGATGAAGCTGGAAACCATCATTCTCAGCAAACTATCGCAAGGACAAAAACCAAACACTGCATGTTCTCACTCATAAGTGGGAATTGAACAATGAGAACACACGGACACAGGAAGGGGAACATCGCACACTGGGGACTGTTGTGGAGTGGGTGGAGGGGGCAGGGATAGCATTAGGAGATATACCTAATGCTAAATGATGAGTTGATGGATACAGCACACCAACATGGCACATGTATACATATGTAACAAACCTGCACGTTGTGCACATGTACCCTAAAACTTAAAGTATAATAATAATATAAAATAAAAAGATTGGGCCCTTTAGAAGCAGAACCTGAGAAGAGGATTCTTATGGAAATATTTAGTGAAGGAGGGCTCTCCAGTAGTGGAACCTGTAAAGAAATGAGGAAAGCAGGGTAGGGCAGAAGAAACTAAGAAAAATATGAGTTCAGGTGAAGTGTAGTCTCATCCTGATTGAAATGGACCTTGGAGCTTGTGTGGCCAGCAGCAACTGGGCTTGCCTATTACGGCATGGTATTATCCACTGGCTATGAGCTACTGGGGGTTGGTGTGTGACTTCCCAGTATCTCCAAGATAGGCAGGGTTCAGAAGTGAGCCATTTGCATCCAATACCCACAGACCAGGCTTATATAAGGGGATCATGTTGAGACACCAATAGCATCTGTTATGGGAAGGGGAGAGCCTGCTGCTTGGGAAGAGTCAAGTGGATGGGCCTGGAAAAGACCACAATAAGAGGCATCAAACAAGTTCTCAGGACCACATGGAAAGCAGGTCTTTACTTGCAGACCTCCTAGTCTTTGATTGAGCACTTCCCATTATCTGTATCTAAGAGCTCTTTCAGCTCTTGCCCTCATGCTGTCTGGTAAGGATCTTATTCAACTGCATCTAGAACTTTGCCTGTTGGTGGACCAGCAGGGCTAGTATCAGTCTGTTCCATAGGAATATACTCAGTGCTCATCACATTGCCCACTGTGGATATCCCTATACTTAGTGTCTAATAAAAACAAAGAATTGATAACTAATGGTATAGAGGTAGGCAGACTCCTTATACTTGTAACTGGGGGAGGTGCTGAATTAAAGCAGCTTAGACAGCCTTTACATTGGAAAGTGATTAACAGTTAGTTCCCTTGTAGTTATTAATAGCTGCTCATGTAGCTCACACTCCTGGAAATGTAAGGCCTCTGGTAAACTGAGTCAGAGAATATGGCTTACCTGTGAGATCATGGAAGTCCTCTTTTTCTCACATTTAATTTAAATCCTAGAACACACATACTGGGACTATTGCCCAGAATTTCAGATTGTTAAAACTAGGTTGAAGAAGAGATGCCAATACTCTTGGCCAAACAGCAGCAGGCCACTAATAGCAGGCCTGTCTCACCACCTCTCACACTCCTGTGTAGGAAGATGGGACTTGGATAAAAAGTTTTTACTCCCAATGGCCCAATGCACAAACCAGAGGAAAGAGAGAGAAAATTGTTCTGTGTTCTGGTCATTGGGTAATGCATCTGAAATCCAGTTCAAAGTGTCATACTTACGGTAATTGGGTTTCTCCTTTTCTGTGAATAAGTAAAGAAGGCAATATAGACTTGGAAATACATCTCGTTAGACTGAAAGGTAGGAAACCTATTTTCTGTTCTTGGTTTTGTCCTTGTGTAACCTTGAGAAAGTCATTGAACTTCTCCGTGCTTCTGCTTCTCCACTGTAACTGTGTAAATGTTTCCTAATCATCTTCCTAAATAAGAAATCAGGATGTGATTATTTTGCAGCCCAATTATTTTACTAATGATAAATGTGCTTGGGATGAGCTCAAAACGGGCCATTCAGGTGGCCTGGTCAAGGTGTTATGGTCATGCTGGGCTGTCATTAGAAGGAAGGAGACAAAGACGACTATGTCAAGTTACTCAATTAGGCAATTGTGTAAAATAATTCAATCCACTCAACTGAGAAAGAAAAATAGTCAACAAATTACTGTCATAGAGATAACTATGTCTAAAATTTGTTTAAGTGGCTTTTCAATTTTTGACTAATTTTCTTGGCAGCAAGCAAACTTTTTGGAAAATATGTTAAAATGCATTTTTATAATCTTTTGAATTCTTAACTTTTCATTTTATGAAAATATTATGAAAATTATATATTTGATTCTGATACTTGATGCTAATAGCAATGATACAACTCCACGTTTCTAAATTACATCTATTTAACTTGACCTCACAGAATTTTACATTTATAACTATCACACAGGTGGTGGGTATGTGGTTTCAGAGACATTAAGATATAAAGCACCTGGGGTGTGTACTAGTATTCACTCTCAAATTAGTTTAACGATTAACAGAAACTGCATATAAACTGTTTTGCTTTTTTATTGTCCTTTTCTTTAATCTGCTAAATTTCTATAAGTATCAAGAGAATATAAACGAGAGAAAAAAATAAGCAAAGGCTCTGGATCAATTACCAATCATCTCTGAATTAATTCTTTTCTTAAGTTAGTTTCTCTTAGACCATTGCCCTTTTTATCCCTCTTTAAGATTCTTGAGGGCTTTCTCCTTCCTGACTTTTGTCCTCAAACATTCTCATGAGGTAGACTTGGGAAGATGGTAACAATTGTATGTAACACTTGTGAAACATTTCTCAGTTCACCAACTCATACATATGGTCCCATTTATTCTTTCAGAAAATTGGTAGATTTGGTAGAATAGGAATTATTACTCCTTATCTAAATATGAAGGAATTGAAAGGCAGTTTTCCATGTGGATCAACCCGTGGCCCAGTGCACATGGATAAATTTGGAAAGTGACACAATAAGGAATGCCCACAAATGCCAATGGGATATTCAGGAAAGGAGTCTGTTTTTGCTGGTTTGCTCTGTTTCATATCCCTTTTTGAGTTGCATTCTCATTTAATATTTTAAATTTATTTCTTAGGAAATATTTGATACTTATAAAACAACAGTATAAAATACATATGAGGATTATGAAGCATAATGATAAGGTGAATTCCCATGAAACCAGCACCCTACATAAGAGTTAGAACAATACTAATAGAATTTTTTATTTATGTGTTACTCTCTTGCTTCTCTGCCTCCCTGATTGCTCCCCACCTAGAAATAATGACTACTTTAGATTTCGCATTTTTCTCTTAAAAAGTATTTAAAATCGTATATGTAGATTCTCCTCAACAATTCGTTGTTTAATTAGTTTTGCATTGTTTGATTTTGACCTTTACAAAAAATGACAACAGTTTATAGTCTTAGGAGATTTGCTTTTTTCATTCAATAGTATGTTTAAAGATTCATTTCTGAAGATTTGTTTGATGTGGTTTATTCATTTTTATTGTGGAAGAATAGACTTTACTAGTTTATTCATTTGTTTATCCATATCCTTGTCAATGAACCTTTGGATATTTGAGTGGTTCCCCAATCTTTTTTAAAAAAATTTTTTTTAATACTTTAAGTTCTAGGGTACATGTGCACAACGTGCAGGTTTGTTACATATGTATACATGTGCCATGTTGGTGTGCCGCACCCATTAACTCCTCATTTATATTAGGTATATCTCCTAATGCTTTCCCTCTGCCCCTACCCCCACCCCACAACAGGCCCCAGTGTGTGATGTTCCCCTTCCTGTGTCCAAGTGTTCTCATTGTTCAATTCCCTCCCATGAGTGGGAACATGCTGTGTTTGGTTTTTTGTCCTTGCGATAGTTTGCTGAGAATGATGGTTTCCAGCTTTATCCATGTCCCTACAAAGGACATGAACTCATCCTTTTTAATGGCTGCATAGTATTCCATGGTGTATATGTGCCACATTTTCTTAATCCAGTCTATCATTGTTGGACATTTGGGTTGGTTCCAAGTCTTTGCTATTGTGAATAGTGCCTCAATAAACATACGTGTGCATGTGCCTTTATAGCATCATGATTTATAATCCTTTGGGTATATACCCAGTAATGGGATGGCTGGGTCAAATAGTATTTCTAGTTCTAGATCCTTGAGGAATCGCCACACTGTCTTCCACAGTGGTTGAATAGTTTACAGTCCCACCAACTGTGTAAAAGTGTCCCTATTTCTCCACATCTTCTCCGGCATTTGTTGTTTCCTGACTTTTTAATGATCACCATTCTAACTGGTATGAGATGGTATCTCATTATGGTTTTGATTTGCATTTCTCTGATGGCCAGTGATGATGAGCATTTTTTCATGTGTCTGTTGGCTGCATAAATGTCTTCTTTTGAGCAGTGTCTGTTCCTATCCTTCTCCCACTTTTTGATGGGGTTGTTTGTTTTTTTCTTGTAAATCTGTTGGAGTTCATTGTAGATTCTGGATATTAGCCCTTTGTCAGATGAGTAGATTGCAAAAATTTTCTCCCATTCTGTAGGTTGCCTGTTCATTCTCATGGTAGTTTCTTTTGCTGTGCAGAAGCTCTTGAGTTTAATTAGATCCCATTTGTCAATTTTGGCTTTTGTTGCCATTGCTTTTGGTGTTTTAGACATGAAGTCCTTGCCCATGCCTATGTCCTGAATGGTATTGCCTAGGTTTTCTTCTAGGGTTTTTATGGTTTTAGGTCTAACATTTAAGTCTTTAATCCATCTTGAATTAATTTTTGTATAAGGTGTAAGGAAGGGATCCAGTTTCAGCTTTCTACATATGGCTAGCCAGTTTTCCCAGCACCATTTATTAAACAGGGATTCCTTTCCCCATTTTTTGTTTTTGTCAGGTTTGTCAAAGATCAGATGGTTGTAGATGTGTGGTATTATTTCTGAGGGCTCTGTTCTGTTCCATTGGTCTATATCTCTGTTTTGGTACCAGTACCATGCTGTTTTGGTTACTGTAGCCTTGTAGTATAGTTTGAAGTCAGGTAGCATGATGCGTCCAGCTTTGTTCTTTTGGCTTAGGATTGTCTTGGAAATGCAGGCTCTTTTGTGGTTCCATACGAACTTTAAAGTAGTTTTTTCCAATTCTGTGAAGAAAGTCATTGGTAGTTTGATGGGGATGGCATTGAATCTACAAATTACCTTGGGCAGTATGGCCATTTTCATGATATTCATTCTTCCTATCCATGAGCATGGAATGTTCTTCCATTTGTTTGTATCCTCTTTTATTTCATTGAGCAGTGGTTTGTAGCTCTCTTTGAAGAGGTCCTTCACATCCCTTGTAAATTGGATTCCTAGGTATTTTATCCTCTTTGAAGCAATTATGAATGGGAGTTCACTCTTCACTCATGATTTGGCTCTCTGTTTGTCTGTTATTGGTGTATAAGAATGCTTGTGATTTTTGTACATTGATTTTGTATCCTGAGACCTTGCTGAAGTTGCTTATCAGCTTACGGTGATTTTGGGCTGAGATAATGGGGTTTTCTAAACATACAATCATGTCATCTGTAAACAGGAACAATTTGGCTTCCTCTTTTCCTAATTGAATGCCTTTTATTTCTTTCTCCTGCCTGATTGCCCTGGCCAGAACTTCCAACAATATGTTGAATAGGAGTGGTGAGAGAGGGCATCCCTGTCTTGTGCCAGTTTTCAAAGGGAATGCTTTCAGTTTTTGTCCATTCAGTATGATATTGGCTGTGGGTTGGTCATAAATAGCTGTTACTATTTTGAGATATGTCCCGTCAATACCTAATTTATTGAGAGTTTTTAGCATGAAGGGCTGTTGAATTTTGTCAAAGGCCTTTTCTGCATCTATTGGGATAGTCATGTGGTTTTTGTCTTTGGTTCTGTTTATATGCTGGATTATGTTTATTGATTTGCATATGTTGAAACAGCCTTGCATCCCAGGGATGAAGCGCACTTGATCATGGTGCATAAGCCTTTTGATGTGCTGCTGGATTTGGTTGGCCAGTATTTTATTGAGGATTTCTGCAGCAGTGTTCATCAGGGATATTGGTCTGTTATTGTTCTATTCAGATTCAACTTCTTCCTGGTTTAGTCTTGGGAGAGTGTGTCAAAGAATTTATCCATTTCTTCCAGATTTTCTAGTTTATTTGCATAGAGGTGTTTATAGTATTCTCTGATGGTAGTTTGTATTTCTGTGGGATCGGTGGTGATATCCCCTTTATCATTTTTTATTGCATCTATTTGATTCTTCTCTCTTTTCTTCTTTATTAGTCTTGCTAGTGGTCTATCAATTTTGTTGATCTTTTCAAAAAACCAGCTCCAGGATTCGTTGATTTTTTGAAGGGTTTTTTCTTTCTCTATTTTGTTCAGTTCTACTCTGATGTTAGTTATTTCTTGCCTTCTGCTAGCTTTTGAGTGTGTTTGCTCTTGCTTCTCTAGTTCTTTTAATTGTGATGTTAGGGTGTCAATTTTAGATCTTTCCTGCTTTCTCTTGTGGGCATTTAGTGCTATAAATTTCCCTCTACACACTGCTTTGAATGCGTCCCAGAAATTCTGGTATGTTGTGTCTTTGTTCTCATTGGTTTCAAAGAACATCTTTATTCCTGCTTTCATTTCGTTATGTACCCAGTAGTCATTCAGGAGCAGGTTGTTCAGTTTCCATGTAGTTGAGCAGTTTTTAGTGAGTTTCTTAATCCTGAGTTCTAGTTTGATTGCACTGTGGTCTGAGAGACAGTTTGTTATAATTTCTGTTCTTTTACATTTGCTGAGGAGTGCTTTACTTCCAACTATGTGGTCAATTTTGGAATAAGTGTGGTGTGGTGCTGAGAATAATGTATATTCTGTTGATTTGGGGTGAAGAGTTCTGTAGATGTCTATTAGGTCCGCTTGTTGCAGAGCTGAGTTCAATTCCTGGATATCCTTGTTAACTTTCTGTCTCATTGATTTGTCTAATGTTGACAGTGGGGCGTTAAAGTCTCCCATTATTATTGTGTGTGAGTCTAAGTCTCTTTGTTGATCTCTAAGGACTTGTTTTATGAATCTGGGTGCTCCTGTATTGGGTGCATATATATTTAGGATAGTTAGCTCTTCTTGTTGAACCGATCCGTTTACCATTATGTAATGGCCTTCTTTGTCTCTTTTGATCTTTGTTGGTTTAAAGTCTGTTTTATCAGAGACTAGGATTGCAACCTCTGCCTTTTTTATTGTTTTCCATTTGCTTGGTAGATCTTCCTCCATCCTTTTATTTTGAGCCTATGTATGTCTCTGCACATGAGATGGGTATCCTGAATACAGCACACTGATGGGTCTTGACTCTTTATCCAATTTGCCAGTCTGTGTCTTTTAATTGGAGCATTTAGCCCATTTACATTTAAGGTTAATATTGTTATGTGTGAATTTGATCCTGTCATTATGATATTAGCTGGTTATTTTGCTTGTTAGTTGATGCAGTTTCTTCCTAGCCTCGATGGTCTTTACAATTTGGCATGTTTTTGCAGTGGCTGGTACCAGTTGTTCCTTTCCATGTTCAGTGCTTCCTTCAGGAGCTCTTTTAGGGCAGGCCTGGTGGTGACAAAATCTCTCAGCATTTGCTTGTCTTTAAAGGATTTTACTTCTCCTTCACTTAAGAAGCTTAGTTTGGCTGGATATGAAATTCTGGGTTGAAAATTCTTTTCTTTAAGAATGTTGAATATTGGCTCCCACTCTCTTCTGGCTTGTAGCGTTTCTGCTGAGAGATCTGCTGTTAGTCTGATGGGCTTCCCTTTGTGAGTAACCCGACCTTTCTCTCTGGCTGCCCTTAACATTTTTTCCTGCATTACAACTTTGGTGAATCTGACAATTTTGTGTCTTGGAGTTGCTCTTCTTGAGGAGTATTTTTGTGGCATTCTCTGTATTTCCTGAATTTGAATGTTGGCCTGCCTTGCTAGATTGGGGAAGTTCTCCTGGATAATATCCTGCAGAGTGTTTTCCACCTTGGTTCCATTCTCCCCATCACTTTCAGGTACATCAATTAGATGTAGATTTTGTCTTTTCACATAGTCCCATATTTCTTGGAGGCTTTGTTCATTTCTTTTTACTCTTTTTTCTCTAAACTTCTCTTCTCACTTCATTTCATTCATTTCATCTTCAATCACTGATACCCTTTCTTCCAGTTGATCGAATTGGCTACTGAAGCTTGTGCATTCGTCATGTAGTTCTTGTGCCATGGTTTTTGGCTCCATCCGGTCATTTAAGGACTTCTCTGCATTGGTTATTCTAGTTAGCCATTCATCTAATCTTTTTTCAAGGTTTCTAGCTTCTTTGTAATGGGCTCGAACTTCCTCCTTTAGCTCAGAGAATTTTGATCATCTGAAGCCTTCTTCTCTCAACTCCTCAAAGTCATTCTCCGTCCAGCTTTGTTCCATTGCTGGTGAGGAGCTGTCTTCCTTTGGACGTGGATGGGTGCTCTCATTTTTAGAATTTTCAGCTTTTCTGCTCTGTTTTTTCCCATCTTTGTGGTTTTATCTACCTTTGGTGTTTGATGATGGTGACATACAGATTGGGTTTTTGTGTGGATGTCCTTTCTGTTTGTTAGTTTTCCTTCTAACAGTCAGGACCTTCAGCTGCAGGTCTGTTGGAGTTTGCTGGAGGTCCATCCCAGACCCTATTTTACTGGGTATCAGCAGCGGAGACTGCAGAACAGCGAATATTGCTGAACAACAAATGTTGCTGCCTGATTGTTCCTCTGGAAGCTTCGTCTCAGAGGGGTACCTGGCCGTATGAGGTGTCAGTCTGCCCCTACTGGGGGTTGCCTCCCAGTTAGGCTACTGGGGGGTGAGGGACCCACTTAAGGAGGCAGTCTGTCCATTCTCAGATCTTAAACTCTGTGCTGGGAGAACCACTACTCTCTTCAAAGCTGTCAGACAGGGACATTGAAGTCTGCAGAGGTTTCTGCTGCCTTTTGTTTGGCTATGCCCTGCCCCCAGAGGTGGAGTCTACAGGGCCAGGCAGGCCTCCTTGAGCTGCGGTGGGATCCACCCAGTTCGAGCTTCCCAGCCACTTTGTTTACCTACTCAAGCCTCAGCAATGGCGGGTGCCACACCCCAGCCTCGCTGCCACCTTGCAGTTTGATCTCAGACTGCTGTGCTACCAATGAGTGAGGCTCCGTGGGTGTGGGACCCTCCGAGCCAGGCACGTGATATAATCTCCTGGTGTGCCGTTTGCTAAGACCGTTTGCGCAGTATTAGGGTGGGAGTGACCCAATTTTCCAGGTGCCATCTGTCACCCCTTCCCTTGGCTAGGAAAGGGAATTCCCTGACCCCTTGCACTTCCTGGGTGAGGCGATGCCTCGCCCTGCTTCAGCTCACACTCGGTGGGCTGCACCCACTGTCCTGCCCCCACTGTCTGATGAGCCCCAGTGAGATGAACCCGGTACCTCAGTTGGAAATGCAGAAATCACCCATCTTCTGTGTCACCCACGCTGGGAGCTGTAGACAGGAGCTGTTCCTATTCAGCCATCTTGGAACCGCCCCTTGTGGTTCCCCATTCTTAATGAATAGGAACAATGTTTATATGAACTTGTGCTTGTATGCAAGGGTTCTGTACATATTTATGCAGGAGCATGACCATAAAATATGCATCTACTAAACTTCAGCAGGTTATGGCATGGTGCTTTCCAAAACGGTTGTATAAGTTACACTCTTACCAATAGTGTAAGAGAGTTCTAGTTGATCAACGTTCTCACTATTTTATTGCTATTATCATATTTGTACATCTTTTCCCTCTTGTGGGTGTATATAGTGCTTTGTCTTGAAGTTTCAGTTTTAAATAGAGGTGGGATCTGCTTCTTTTAAAGTCCTTAATCTCACCTAGCAGTTGCCACCTCTCCTAATCCATTTGTTTGCAGAGAAATTGGACTGTGCTTCACAATTAAATAAAATCAGGGTCTGCTGCCCTACAGAGAAAACTTGAATTCTCTCATGCCTTCCTCCTGCTTCCTCATTAATACATTGTGCCTTCACCAGAACACAGGAAGAAGACACAGCTCCTTAGTCTTAAGACTGTTTCTTCTGCCACTCTGCTTACTCAGATTGCACAAACAAACATATGTGAGGCAGATCCAGTTTTTCTTGTTTTTGGTCTACTGCAAGCATGACTGCTCTGCTGAGCATATTAAGATCTGAAGCTGCATGGTTAGTAATATGTTGAGTGAAAGAGTCAGAAATTCGCAGTGGGGCATGAATGATGGATTTTCTATAGCAGCAGGGATAGAATCTGCTGCTCATCAAAGGCTGAAAAACAGGCCTCCCTTAGAAGTCAAGACAGAAGAAAAATGAGATTGGAATGAGAAAGTACATGATAGAAATGTGGATGTCTTCAAAGAAATATGAAAGTTAATGATTACGGGCATATGCGAGCTCCACACTGAGATATGCCTGTCCAGATAGCAATATTTTCATAGGTATTTAAAGACCCTGGAGATGTTCTTCAGCCCAAGAGAATATCAGCAGATATTCTGAAGCCTAGAAACGGTGAATGACTTGCTCAGGATTACACAGCTAGTTATTCACAGACCTAGACTAGACTCTGGGATATTTGAGTACCACATAAGCATGCTTTCCATTAAAGCACAAACTATTGCTTCCTCTATTTGGCTCTCTGCTTTTCCTTCTGCTGATTAAACTGAAACAATGCCATAGTATACAAATTCACAAATTAGAAATATATATTGTATTCTGTTAGAATAAAGGTTCATGACAAAAATGAAATAATTTTTTAAAGAATTTATATTTGAGTTCTCACAACCAAAATATCTTCTTCCTTTCTTACAAGCCAGTTGTGGTACAGGGACTTCTGTGAAGTGTGACTTGTTAGAAAACCTTCCCAGAACATTTTATTGGAATGGGAAATTGGTCAGGGAAAGGAAGGAGGCCAGGCAAGCAGGACTCACAGGGAATGATGGTCCAGCTCCACAGGGAATCTTGAAGATAGAGTAGACCACACCTTGGAGTTGTTTCCAAGAGGAAACAAGGAAGCTAGGGTATTTATATACACTTACAAGTCAGTCTTTGGTTAAGGTTATCCCTGTGGTGAGAGGAAGTGAATCCCCAAGCACTTCTGGCTTTCCTTTTGCACAAAGCAGATTCCAGCAGCATGAAGGAAGCCCAACAAAGACTCACAGCTGGCCGTCAGGATTAAAAAGCACATCAGTAGTTGGCGTGCATGAACGTGGTAAAGAAATCCAAAGAGATATAGCAGAGCACTGACTGCTTCCGTGGCTGCTTTAAACTAGATCTTTCCTATTAACAGAATTCTCTGAAGCAGTGGTGGTGTAGTAAAACTCTACTACCTAATATATGTCCTTGGGCTGTCTCACACATGGCTGATAAAAAAACAAATTCATACAATATTTTTTGGGGAAAGTTTGGCAATATATCTCAAAAGTCTTAAATGTAGAATTTTCTAATAAAAATAAGACATATTATTTATCAAGTGTTTAATATGTTGCAGATATCATACTATGTGGTTTATTTCTAGGATCTTATCTAAAACTCTCAACAACCTAATAATATAGATATTATTACTATCTTCATTTTATAGATGAGGAAACTGAGTCTCATTGATTGATTGAATTGCCCAAGTCACACAGTTGGTAGGTGGTATAGCTAGAATTTGAACCAGGTCTGTTTAATTCCAGGTACTGTACTTGATTCCAGAACCATTTACATTAAATGATTAGGAATAGGTACACAAATTTTATCCATAGTAATGTCCTTACAGTGTTTTATATTAAAAAATTTGAAACTACCACAAAAACCCAAGAGGACAGGGTTCAGTGAGCTTCTGGATAGCTGAACATATGGAGGTTACTAAAGGTGGCACACTCAGGGAGGACATGGAAGCTTTGTACCCTTTCCCCCATATCTTGCCCTATGCATCTCTTCATCTGTATCCTTTACAATATCCTTTATAATAAAACAATAATGCATTAGTCCATTTTCACACTTCTATAAAGATACTACCTAGGACTGGGTAATTTATAAACAAAAGAGGTTTAATGGACTCATAGTTCCACATGGCTGGGGTGGCCTCAGGAAGCTTACAGCCATGGCGGAAGGTGAAGGGGAAGCAGGTGCCTTCTTCACAAGGTGGCAGGAGAGAGAGAGAGAACACAGGGGAAACTGGCACTTTTAAAACCATCAGATTTCATGAGAACTCCTTCACTATCACGAGAACAGCATGGGAGGAAACTGTTCCCATGATCTGATCATTTCCCATTGGGCCCCTCCCTCAACACATGGGGATTACAACTCGAGATGAGATTTGGGGGGGATACAGGGCCAAACCACGTCAAGTAAACATTAAAAAAATCTGAAACTATTAATATTTACATGTCTAAAAATTGAGGTCTAGTTGAAGAATTTGTATTAGAACTATTTGATGGGATAATTTTTAACATAAAACTAATATTGAAAATCTGTATTTTGTTTGACATGAAAAACTGTTCGCTATACAATATTAAATGAAAAATCAGGTGAAAACAGCTATAGATTATGTTTCCATTTTTGCGAAAACAAAATAACAAAACAAAACAAAACTACACATGAATGGTTAGTGAGCTATGTGAAATAACAGATCTAAGCACTGGATGGTATTTTTGACCATTCTTTTCTAAAGGTTTATGAAATGCACTCACCTCTTGCTATGGTTTAAATGTGTCCCTCAAAGTTAATGTGTTGGAAATGTAATCTCCAATGAATCAGTGTTGTGAGGTGGGGCCTAATAAGAAGTAATTAGGACATAAGGGCTCTTCCTTCATGAATGAATTCATGCTATTAAAACCAGAGTGGGTTAGCATTGTGGGAGTTGGTTAGTTATGAGAGTGGGCTTGTTATATAAACAAGTTCAACCCCTTCTTGCTCCCTCTTGCCCTCTCTTTGCCCTTCTTCCATGGGATCATGCAGCAAGAAGGCCATCACTAGATGTTTTGTTCTTGGACTTCTGAGCCTCCAGAACTGTAAGCCAAATAAATTCCTGTTCTATAAATTGTCCAGTCTGTGGTATTCTGTTATGGTAGTGTAAAATGGACTAATCCACCTTTCTAATTCCTTTTCAAGGCATCTCCACAAAGTAGTGAGGGGCTAGAATTTTTCTACAAATATTTTGAATTTGATAACCACAAATGGATGAAGAGGACCCTACTAAAACCTTGCCCATAGAGTAATTTAACCTGTTTTCATACTCACTTCCTAAGATTTGAGCACTGTAATCCTGGTAGCCTCTGCTTGGAAAGTTCTTTCCCTCTAAACCACCCTATTAATTCATAAGCATTTTTCACATCTCAACCCCAGGAGGGTCAGCCATCCCTTCTTTTTCAACATTTCTTTTCTCACTTAATAAAATATGTAAGCGCAAGATATTATGCTGGGCACCAAATAGGACACCAGAAGAGAAATTAGCTTAGGGACTTGTGTTCATAATATGTCACAGAACATTTGGACAGGAAGAGATATATGGATGAATGAGATTCAAAATGAGATTTTTCAAAGGCTTATTCTGAAATGAATGGGAAGGGTCATGTGTGTATTTACAAATAACTCATAAGCTGTCATGCATATCCATTTTTAAGTGCCTATTAAACTACCAAAATAATAATAATAACAACTATAAGCTGTCATGCATATCCATTTTTAAGTGACTATTAAGCTACCAAAATAATAATAATAACAACTAAGGCCATAAAGGGCCATATATGGTTTACAATTCTTCACAAATATTACTCCAGAAATAACAGGATATTTGGAGGAAGATCTCCAAAAGGTAAATATTTTAGTCTTTGTTACTTATTTCCACAACTAAAGCAAATGGCTATTGAGTATAAGCATCTGCAAATATTTTTCTTGAGCATGTTGTTTAAAGAAGGAGAACTTGGTTACTGGGCTAGTTTGAGGAAAGCACTTTGGGCAGAATTACTTACCTTATTACACTTGATAGATGTATGGTGACGTGCATCACTTTAGGTACCACTCACACAACCAGCCTGAAGGACAACCACAGAGGACAGCAGAGGAATAAATAGAACTTTAAACAGAGAACTTGGTGTTACTTCAATAAGTCTCACATGTGAATGAGTAGGAGGCTCTGAAAGTTGATGTTCAGAAGGATATCATAAATCAAAATTCATTTGGCTTTGAAAAGTTGTCTGGAAGAAATACATAATATAATTTATCCTTATTCTTCTTTTAAAAAGCCTAGAATATCATTTGCTCTTATATACTGTATTGGAATCTATTCAGATTATTCAAGTGTTATAGTTCAACAATCCTTGGTGAAAGGCCAGGAAAACCTGAATGACAACACTACATTTGTTTTACAGGTAAAAATGGAAATTGTACAATCAAAATCGAGCTTCAGAAATATAATTCAGCATGAGAGAGTTACGCAGAAATTAGTGATCCCATTAAAAAGATGCACTTTAAGAATAAATATGATTTTTGTTAGTATTTAATTTTAAAAAGTTTAAATAAAATGTCAAAAATTGTGGTGTACATTGGTGCACTCATCCCATTTGAAGTTTTGTAGACTTAAATTTCTGCTTTCTACTAAATTATTTTTTGTTTACCCTATTTTTCTACTAACTTTGTGTTATTCACATCCACATATCCAAAGGTAATTAAAATATTGATGACTATTAATTTTATGAGAATATCTATACTGATATCTGTCACTTGTTCATTATGAAGACCTAATGGAGGAGCGATATCATTCCCTTTGATGTTAGGAGATCTAATTTCTAGGTCCAGTTCCATTTGTAATAAGCTCGATGACCTTGGGTAAGTCACATAATTATATGTTAATCTTCAATTTTCTCATCTATGAAATGAAGTTGGACCATATGATTTTGAAAGTCCCTTCTATCTCTGAAATTATACTGTCAGCTCTCATTTTTACTAATTTGGAGGAGCAATGATCTGCTGTTACGACACAGTAGATTAATCCCCACTGTATTTGCCTAATTGGCATGAAAAGCGACAGAGACTGAGGAATGGATGCAGCTGTCTTTGGTGCAAGTGGGTACAGGCTGAAGCTCCTCAGTGCTCACTCCTGAAGATTTTCAGTGCCTTTCCATTTTTCATTAGCCCCACTGTCCACATGCTCTTGACCATTCTCAGAGTCGGGATCTGACCATGACTCTAGTGACCTTCAATATATATAATCATAAGTTGGTGTCCTTTGTCTTATAGTTGTTTCCTGAAGAATCGTCTCAAATGTATACAAATCCTGGCATTTAATTGTGGGAATGGATCTGCTACTGTGCACAAAAGTGAGTTGCTTAAGAATGCCTTATCTATTTCACATTGGAGTGCTATAGACTGTAAATCTATGGACATGATCTTGGGAAACCTCTCTGACCTATCTCAGAGTAATGTTTTTAAACACATAAAATACACAGGATTGCAAAGAAATGAAATAAATAGAAATACAGTTTCATTAATAAATCAAAATTTAAGACCTGTATGAATATCATTTTCATCTAGACTGTAAACTCCCTGAGATCAGGAAGTATGTCTCGTTCATTGATTTATCCTAAGTGCTTAACACAGTGCATAGTTCAGTCACTTATTTAGTGACACTATTTCAAAAATCTTCTTTCTTTGAAGTCTGCATCCTCATCAGATTTTAAGTTCCTTGGGGATAAGTGTAGACGCTTATCCACTATTGCCTTTCCAGGTCTTATATGGTGTTCCAAACTTAGTTGGTGCTCAACTAACATTTATTAAAAGGACATATAGTTGAGCTAGCCCTGTACATTTTCTGCTCTCTTCTGGCTACTTTGAGTACTGGGTTATTGGCTTATTGCTGGCAATTCTGTTCTCTGGAGGTACAGGTTGGCCTGAAGTCTTGAAGAACTAAGGAGGAGGGTATATTAGTCTGCTAGGGCTGCCATAACAAAATCTCATAGACGTGGTGACTCCGACATCAGAAATTTATCCTTTCATAGTTCTGGATGTTGGAAAGTCCAGCATCAAGGTTCTGGCAGGGTATGCTTTTTGGTGAGAGTTGTTTTCCTTCCTAGCTTGCAAATGGTCACTTTCTCAGTTTCTCCTCATATGGTAGAGAGAGAAAGAGCTCTCTTGTATCTCATCTTATAAGGACACTAATTCTATCATATCAGGGCCCCATCCTTATGTCCTCATTTAGCCTTAATTACTTTTATAAATGCCATATCTCCAAATGCAGTCACGTTGGGGGTTATGTCTTCAACATATGGATTTTGGAGTGATACAGTTCAGTTCACAGCAGAGAGTCAGTGTGGTGCACTGAAATATGAAGGAGACTCCAAAGTCTCATTCTGGCTGTGCCATTAACTAGCCAAAGAGAAAATCCACTGTTTTCTCACATGTAAACTTTTTGACTAGATAATCTGAAGTTTCTTACCTACATTCAAATTCTTTGCACCTGTATGAAGATCCCAGTGAATCTCAGTAGAACAAAGTTGCTGCCCAAACTGAAAATTGTCTTTTAGAATATTATCATACATCATTTCTGAAAATACCACACAATCAAGTTAACTTTTGATTGAAGTGCTTCAAAGCTTTTCAGTGAAGTTTAATACACAATATGGGTTGGTAAATTAATGCCAAATCAGTAGTTCAGAGATCTGTACGGCTTCCTGGAGAATGAAATGGCTTGAATTTGTAACTGGCATTAGGAAAGCTAGCAGTGCTAGAAAACTAAACTAACATTCACTTTTACTTCTTAAAGTTACTTCTTTAGATCTTCTCAGGGTCATATTGATTCCTTCTTTGTTGTTATTCAAATAGAAAGAGGTAACAAAATAACTTCTAGAGTGTATTTTTTGAAATAAACTTATATCTAGGAAATTAATAAACAAATATGATTAATAGAAGTATTCATTAGACATTAATCAAATAGTGACTTCAACACTTTTAAAAATGTTTATTTCTGTCCACATGCTCTTCCCCTCTGATTTCTAATGTGTTTAATATTCTTCATAGTAATATTATGCAAGCTAAACTAACTGATATGTACTGCTTTGCTGAGAATTTCAATATTTTATAGCTTGATTAGAACCAGTGTTTCTTTTCTCAGAAAGAAAAAGGCTGACAATGTTTAATAATTTTTTATAGAGCGTTTCCATGATTATTAGTGTTTTAAAAAAGGTCAGACATTTGAATAGGTTTCATAAGTCTTAAAAGCAGCAAAAGCTTTTGAATTGATTAATTTGGGCTACTAATTTTACAGAGTACTAGAAATAAAAGGATTTTGAATGATAGTATAATCCAGCTTTGATGGTATAATCCAACTCTCACACATTACAATGCCCACAAATTCTCTATGACTTGAAGTTATACTTAGCTGCAGTTATTTAATCAGTCATTCAAACCACTAATTTATTTATGTTTTCATTTATTTATTCATCATTTGATGAATGAGGCAGTACAGCATAGTGGTTAATAGAATGGGCTTAAGTTAGAATCCTGGTTTCTCTATTATTAGTAGTGTGTGACCTTACTCAACTTCAGGAAAGCTTCTGTTTCCTCATTTTTAAGAAGGTGCTAATGGAAATGCCGACTTCTCAAATTTGTTTCAATGATTAAATAAGACTGTATTTGTAAAACATTTAAAAGGAGTGCCTGACACATATAAATGGCTCAATAAATGTTAGTCCCTCATATATACCCATAAGGCTGTTATAAGGATTAAATAGATGATGGGTATAAAGATTTCAGCCAAGTACCTGGCAAATAGAATCCATCAACAAAGGTGAGCTAGTATCATTAGGAAATATACACGTAGGTTTTGGGGACAAAAAGATGAATAAGTATCATTGACTTTTTAGAGTCCCTTCAGTCTTTATGTCTTATTTCTTTAGGAAAAACTAGGCTAGGAGAACACAATTCAGGTTCTCTCCAGATGCAGAAGATAACTAGAAAATGCCGAACAGAAAAATAACCAGAAGAGTTCATTATGGTTTTTTTCCAGAACGATTACTCAGTGGCTTGTCCCACAGATGAAAGATATTAACTCATCTTCATTTAGGAGCTTCAGACTAGGGGAAATAAAATTATGGAAGAGATGAAGTGGAGATAGATAAATCGTCTTTGAAGATAGACTTTAAAATTTTAATTTGTTTTAGAAAGGTTAATACTTAGAAGGGATTGACTAGAGTCTTAAATTAATGAGCAATGTGACTAAGGAGATAAAAGAAACACTAAATGCTACCAAGTCCCAAAAATTAAAAAGGGGGGTATCTTTGGAAATCTTATGGAGTTAAATTTGAGCAAATTAAGAGCATAATTTTCATACATAGAAGTTAATATAGCATAAAATTGATTATTTAAAGAAGTAGTACTGCTATACAGGATTCTGGGAAAATAATGAAAAGGTCATAAATAGTTATTCAGAGAAGCTGAGATAAAGGGTAACATCTTCCATATTCTTACAGGACTTCTCATGGGACTTTTGGCAACAAAGTCTATATTATATGGACTGAAAACCTAATCCAATAAGGTTATACTATGCTCCCATATTTTTTCCATTGCTAGTTAAGTGGATAATTGATTATTGTTATTATGATAAACCGGTGAGCTTTTATTGTAGTTTGGAGAATTTACATAGAAAAATTCTTTCTCCAGTTTAGCAATTCAGTATGTAAATCTCTCACAAGACATTCATGTTTAGGGTAAATCTAAAGCCTTCATAATGCAACTGAAGCCATTTTTTGCTTTTGTCTCAGAGGATGTTGAATTCTATTGCTCTAATAGCTCTTAATGGGCAAAAAATAAAAGGAATAATATGATTTCTTCAGCCTTTTTTGCAAGGATGTTATTCTGTATTTATTTAATTATCTAGGTGGCTGTCAAAGGTTTCCATAGTTCTCAAATCAGAATATTCCATAGGGTTCTGAACTGTATGTATGGTCATTATTAAGTCCTGTAAATAAGCACATCTCATTGTACCTATGTCCTGAATCACTAAACATGTACTGCAAGATTATGTATTCTTCCAGATATGCATCTTTTAATGCTTTCATTATACCTTCAACTGATGCATTATTTAAAACTTTAATATGCCTCTCATGTTCCTGTTAATACATCCATCTCAGTGCAATTTTTAAACCATTGCATCTCATTTTACATTTTTCTTCATGCATCTCTGTGCTCACTTCCATTTAGCCATTTCATTATGCTTTCTCACTATAATGCTCCTTTTTATTAGTTTTGGATTTCTCCCTGAGAGTGGGGAGAGAGGTGTGCTTGCTTCCTCTCCTCTCGTCTTTAGTATGACCTCAGTAAGATTTTCTAATTTTTTTGTAGCTATCCTCTCCTATCTGAGAGGATCTCCAGGGATCATTCTAGAAGTTTCTTTTCTGAGTGAATTTTCTGCTTTGGCTCTTTTTCATTCTTTACATGAACTGTTTGTTTTCTAAGGAAACTGCTCCTACATACTGTTTATTCAAAGCCCTCACAGACTATATTCTAGGAACTTCTGTGGCAGGAGAGGTGGGGGAGAGTGTTCATGTTTATTGTTTTACCAGGTATTTTAAGTTTCCTTGTATTCTAGCATTGTTGAATAAAAACTGACAGCATAGACTCTCTGTGTACATTACTTTGTGTGATCTATATTAAAAGAAAAAAGTGATGAGAAGGCAGCTCTTATTTATTTTTCACAACATTTCAAGCCAGTTTTATGTTTTGATTTGTCAGTCTTTTATTAGGTCCTAAATGGAACATATGAGGCAGAGAAAACACCTTTTCAATATTATTTGTTGATATTTTTCTCAAAGGCAGATGTCTAATATTCATATTTCCCAGTAGACTTCTGGGAACCATCAAACGTGAATATGGGTGATAAGTAGGACCAAAGTGCTGCCCCCATTTTTTCCCCTTTGTAAGCCACCATGATTCTTGAAATTACCAAAGCTAGTTATTGGTGAAACATTTTCTATGGTATCAATTAAAGGTTCAGACAAAAATTAGCATTAAATGATTAGGGAAATATAGCTGATTTTAAATGGTATCTGTCTGGCAATCTTTGGAGCCATCTCTTCTAACTTTCTTTTTAAAGTTTCATTTATTCACTTATTTCCTTATTCATTCATACTCACTGAATGTGTGACACATGCCATGTCTGTGATTTCTACCCAAATTGAAAAAAGATAGAATTTATATTATAGCCTTCAGTATAGTCAGACAGACACTGAAAGTCATTCTACTGATGAAAATGAAAGAATTTCTATTATTTGGAAGGACAATGAAGTTGCACGCAGAAAAACACTTAGTGATCTGTGTCTGCTACCTGAATCAAGGCAGCCCTGTCAACCTGAAAGAAATTTGGAGGATATGTATTCTTCTGTCTATGTCTGCCTTTGGGTGAGGCCTGAGTTATCCTAAAGTTGGGCAGCTGTCCATCATCAGTAAGACACTTTTCAGTATCCATTTAGAAACAACATGCAGCTCAGGGTGTATTTCCCTCCTCCCCAGTAGGGGTCGTAGACTCTATGATATAACTTGCTGGAGATGGTGGTTTTTGATGTGTTCCAGTGGAAACAGCAAATCATAAGATCCCAACGTGGCTAGAGAAGCTCTTCCTCCTGCAGAATGACTCAGAGTGAACACTGATCACCCCAACACTGGAGGCTATGTCACTAGAGTCTAGCCTGAAGTCAAAATAGACTTTTTTTACTTCGTACTTCTAAGCATGTCAGCTTGCATTTTCATTATTTTATTATAGTAAACATAATTGTTTTATAATCTTTCTGATAATTCCTATCTGACATCTGCTGCTATTTGTTTTGTTTTGTTTTGTTTTTCCTTGCTGGTTCCTTGTTTTCTTTTGTGTGTCATTTTCATTCTATTTTTCTCAGTGTCCTTAAAAAATGATTTGCGGTGGTACTCCGCAACCTAGAATTATATCATCTTAGTTTGGACTGAATAACAAAATACCATAGATTGTGTGGCTTAAACAACAAATGTTTACTTCTCACAGTTCTGGAGGTTGAGAAGTCAAGCTCAGGGTGCCAACAGATTCACTGTGTGGTGAGGGTCTTCTTGGTTTGCAGACTAGCACCTTCTCACTATATCCTCACATGGCAAAGGGAAAGAGATCATCTCTTTCGTTTCTTTCTTTCTTTTTTTTTTTTTTTTTTTAACTTTCAAAGGTCCCAGCTCTAAATTCCATAATCTTGGGGATTAGAGCGTCAACATATCCATTTTGGAGAGTCAGTTCATAGAAGATGGTGTCTTCCTCTAGAAAGAATGTGGATTGCCTTTTGTTTTAGTGTCTTGAGGCTCCTATAATAAAATACCTTATCCTGAGTAGCTTATAAACAGCATAAATTTATTTCTCATAGTTATGAAAGCTGGAAAGTCTAAGGTCAAGGCTTAGATCTGGGGTCTTGTGAGGGCCCCTTCTTCATAAACAGCACCTTCTTGCTGTATCCTCATTTGGTGGAAAGAACTAGCTAACCCTCTGGGGTCTCTTTTACCAGGGTACTAATTCTATTCCTAAGGGGGCAGCCCTCACGACCTAATCACCTCCCAGAGACCCCACCTTCTAATACCATTACCTTCAGAAGTAAAATTTCAACATATGTGTTTTGGGGGGATACAAATATTCAGACCATAGCAGTTTCTGCCAGATGCTGAGCGCACTCAGGGACCAGTTTAAACCAAGTTTACAGATTCAGGTTTCCTTGACCAGGCAGAATATGTATATATGAATGGCCAGCTTGTGTAAAGTTTGGATTATGGCCACTGCCACTGATTCTAAGGGATTTTTTTTCTTATTTTTGCATCTGTGACACAGCTATGATTTTTGAGTGTCTGTGGCAGGAAGGAAACAAACAAAACTCCCCACAATCTTAATTTTTGTAAGCCACTAAATTTTGAGGTTGTTTGATTAACTTGGGCTAAGCTGAGAATAATGAGAATGCTATACAAAAATTTTTGTTCAGGGATTTTTACCTTTATTTTTTAGTAGTGTAAAAAGAGTTTCATTAAATTAACAAGAGGTTTTAAAATTAATTATTCATCAACAAGATAGAACACTAAACATTCATTAAAAATTCTGTGTTGGAAGAATAATTATGGAAGCAATGCTCATGATATTATTAATCAAAAGCACTTTACCTTGTAGTATGTATCACATGATTCTATCTGGGTAAAATGAAAATAAATTAAATGTATATTTCCTTTTCACATTTTTTTACATTTTCCAATTGCACAATAGTCATGAGTGACTTTTATGTTCAAAAATAAAATGCCTTCTTTTTAATGCCATCTTCTATTTTCCTAAGCAAAATTTAGTATCTTTCCTCTCTGAATATGTGTTGTTCTGTATCACTTTGTTTAGAGATAAGATTTTATTTTATCCTGTCAATCTCTTAAACAATAAAAACCATATCTATCTAACATTATTAGGAGAATCAAAAGAGATAATTCTTATAAAGCAATGAGCATAATGTCTTGCATATAGTAACCACTGAATAATTTGTTTTTATGATCTTGGCAGTTTTAGAGATGGATATAATTTTAAGTCTTTTGGCAAAAGTGGAGTGGCAGGATGATTTTTTGGGTGAGCACTTACTCCTCTTTGCTCCTGGAAAGTTATCATTTCTTGCAAGTGAGTCTTCATCTTCTCATCGGGAGTTTCAGAACCCAGATTCTTGAATACACACATGCACTACCCATTTCCAGTATGCTCCACTGGAAGGTGCTGCTAATGTAAAAGACACGATTAACATACGATTCATGGGAGATGAATCAAAAACAGTTTTTGTTGTCTTCAATAGTCTCTTAAAAATGTATTCAGTAAGAGCATCTTTTTTCTTGCCACTAGATTACTTTTCTTCTTACTCATAGATAATGAATAGTTTAAGTCTAGAAACATATTTTCAATTTAGAAACTTTCATTGTCCAATCCAAAACAAATTAGCATTTCATTCTTCATTCAGAAGAATGGCTTCTCTGTGTCCTCCTTTAGTTAATGCTGAAAGTTTGATTTGGCAATTGCCCACTTTTGGGGAAGGAGCTATATTTGTCTTTTTGTTTCCCCTCTGTACATGCTCACTGGCTACTTTTTAGACACCATCATGATCCACAATCTCCTCTTGGAAATTCCTCTTCACATTCTAATCACCTTTTAGATTCTTGGTCTAGCTGAGGGTTCCAAAAGTGACAGAAACATTTGTTGAATATTTCCTTGTAAATTCTGTATTTTGCCTTGGCACTTCACTTTGGTATGCAAGCATGATTGTGTCTTGGTGGCCGGATGAGCATTTCGGTGCTGACATCCTTTTATATGACTGTTTTAAGGAAATGGTAGAGCACAGCAGTGAGACAAAGGCGTTGGGAGGAGCAGAACTCTAGCAGTGCTGGAAAGCCGACGGGAAGTAGTAAACTTAGTGGTTAAAAACACATATTTTAGAACTCAGGTAAGCTCTTCCACTGATTAGCTATAATTTCGGGCAAGTAAATTAACTTTAGATTTCTCATCTGTAAAATAGGATAATAATAGTGCCTGTCCTATAGTCTGTTATGAGGATTGCATGGGATAATGCATGTAAAGAATTAGCACAGTGTCTGGCATATGGCATGATAACAGGCCATAAACAGATTTAGCAAATATTGTCAAAATAACATGATGATGTCCTTGTGGCTTTGCAACTTTGAAGTTGTTTCAGGTACTATCCTAAAGTCTGTCTGCTTCTGAAAGCCACCCTCTCCTCACACTTTTTACCTGACACTGACAACTATATTTATCTATAGTTCCCATTGCTATAGAAATAGAAAGTCTCCATCTATTAGAGCTTTTAGCCCAAGGAACACTTGAGACTTGGTTCAGGTGGAGTCTGAGACCTGGCTTGGTTATCTCAAGATCATTATCTCCCCATTAACATGACTTTAGGTGTGATTCTACACTTCCCCCTAACTCCCAGCTATAATCCATATGATTTTCTTCTCAGCCTTGATACTAAAATGGCCTTGGATAACTTTTCCTCTCTGCTTTCTTTTCTGAATTCTGCCTCATAGTCTAAAACCATACCACATTGATTTGACTAAAATGCTAGCCTTTTCATTTAGAATATTTTTACGTGTTTCTATAATGCTCTTTCTAAATCACAAAGCAATTTTGTCATTAAATCATGTATGCTCTCTTTAGTTCCACTTCAAAATGGCTTTCCCAGAGTCAGATGAAAGTCTTCAAAATGACTTCTGACAACTATCAAAGAAAAATGGCATTCTTGCCACCACGTTGTTTCTAATCTATGAGAAAAGGGTGACAGGCATTGAAGAAAGAATGTAACCACTTTCACTAGAGGATTGCTAATTTAGTAAAGTTATCAAAACTCCCCAAATCATCAGTTAAAATATTTTTTCAAGATTTTTGTCATCCAACTTGTTTCACACATACTTTGTGTGTGGAGGTGGGGGTGAGGTAGGGATTGGGGGGGTAGGGTAGGGTAGGGGTAGCTTCTTATTTCCAAATAATCAAGCCTAAACATCTATTGACACTAAATTAGAACACCCTATATTTGGATCAGAGGCATGGCATGGTGGTTCATTTTCACATTAAAAAATGTGTGATGGTTAATGGATGTGATGATATGCATCTTTTTAAGCACCTGAGAAAATGTCTTTAAGCTACTGTTTTCTTTCAACTTTAGCTGCTGGAAATATGCAAAATTTTAAATTTTACAGGTGTATTAAAAGATACATTTAAGATTAGTATCTGTATAATAGACCAAGATATTTGTAATTTTTCTTTCCAAGTTTTCTCCATTTTTTTCATTGATACAGTGGAGAAAGAACCTTGGCATTTGGGTGCATTGCAGTTGCCTCTATTATCTGATTCAGTGTGATCTAATAATAAAATATAGACTATGTTAGCCGCACCACCATCATAGAATTTCAAGGAATAAGAAGTAGCAGGACTTAGGGAATATTACAATCTAATAGAGGCCAGTGAATCTTTTATAAATGAATGACTATTCATGTAAAAATATTTGCCTTAATTTTGTGTTAATAGTATGAGAAATGATGCTCAAAAATTCCTAATATTTGGGGAATCTGTATTCTAGGGTTCTGCCCTTGCACTTGTGTCTCTCAGGCACGTGGGTTTCTGTAGCAAAACAAAGGGCGGCAAAATTGAGTAGGAGGTAACATGATACTTTGCAACTTTTTTCAGGGCAGTAATACTTAGAATGATTTTCCTCTATGATTTTGCTTCACTATGATGTGCTTAGGTATGGTTTACTTTGTATTTATCTTTCTTGAGTTTCATACTTTTTGAATCTTTGACTTGACATTTTTCTTCATTTTTGAAAAATTATTGGATATTGTCTTCTCAAATATTACCTCTACCTTTTTTTCTACCTATGCCTCCTGGAACTCCAATTATGTTCATGCAACAACCTTTTCATTGTGTTCTATAAGTCCCTTTCCTTTTCTCTATAATTTCTAATCCCTTTTCTTTAACTGTTTCAATATGTATATCCAGTTCACTGATCTTTTCTCTGGCTGTGTTCAACTTGCTGGAAAAGGAATTTTTTCCAAATATTTGTTAATTCACAAAATATGGAGAAACTGCTATATGTCAGGAACTATTTTAGGCATTGGGGGTGCATTAGTGAACAAAACATATAAATCCTGCCCTGGTAAAACTTATATTCTGTGGCGGGACACAGACTATAAATAAAAAGTATAAGTAAGTATTTTATGCAGTACTTTAGAAAGTGTTGATTACTGTGGAAAAAATAGAACATGGTAAATGTCACCAAATCAGGCCTCATCAAGAAGGTGACATTTGAGCAAAGGCTTGAAGGAGATGATAGAGTGAGCGACAATGGGACAAGCAGTACAGAGAGCCTATGCTTTAACAGGATCACTCTGGCTGCTGTTGAGAAGAGATTATGAGGTCAAGACTGAGAGCAATAGACAAATTAAGGGCTACTGAACCAGAAGTAGCAGCAGATATGGTGAGAAGAGACTGGATTCTGAAAATATTTTGATTATAAGACTAACAGGATGTGCCAGTTGACTGGGTAATGTGAGAAAAAGAGAGATGTTGAGGTGGATTCCAAGCTTTTTTGCCAGTAGCTGATACAGAGAAGTGTGACGGGAAGACAGGAGTTCACTTTGCAGCATATATTTGAGTTATAAAACACTCAAATGCCCGTGTAATTAGGCAAGTCATCACACTCTCAGCCACTTCACCCAGTTTTATTGCTCATTAATCTTATTAATTTTTTCATGTGTTGTTTATTGTTTGTTTGACTATTAGAATGTGAGTTACAAGAAAGCAGGGATCTTTTCCAACTTGTGTACCACCGGATCTTAGAATGTTTCTTGGCAAAAAAGTATGTGCTTTATAAATATTTATTGAATTAATTAATGAATGCATACAGTTTTCCAAATTTGCAGTGGGTAGATTGATACTTGCATTGCTGAATTCTTCACTGTAGTTGCGAAGGTTAAATAGCATATAAAAACACAAGCAGAATATAGACATAAATGCCTCTATATCTCTGTGACTTTTAAAATTAATGTTGATTTCTGTATGGCTTAAAAAGCAGGCTGGCATAGTGATTTAAAGCACAGGCTTTGGAGCCAGAAAGACCTTGATTTGAATCCTAGTGAAGCTATTTTCTAATTGAATAACTTTGGGAAAATTGATTAATTTTCTGTGCCCTTTGTTTCTTCTATAACTTGGGAATAATGATATTATCCTTAGTTTTTTGGTAACTATTCAATAAAATTATGCTCATAAAGGGTATGTGAGACATAGTAATTGTTCAAAGTCAGTTATGATTATTATTATTATTCTGTCTCCTAGTTGATATACCTGACTGGGAATATTTATAATGTTTACAAGGCACCATTATATGTCTTCTATGCAGACCTCATGTTCTGTCTATTGCATCTTGTTTTTTTTTTCTCCTATCCGGTAGAACTTTCCTTTTATCAGCCTCTTCATTCCAAAATTTACTCCATACCGCACAGTTTTGGATGATGGTATTTTCTAAGGACTAAAGATTAATGGAAAGGACAGCTAGGGACAAAAGTAGCCAGACATGTTAGGCAATAGAATTGAGCAAAAGTCAGTTACCTGACATTAAATTCAGGTGTAGGGGCTTTTCATTTCAAAACCAGTAAACCTGCCAGAATTCTTAAGGAAAAAGAAGTCCCAAAGGTGAAGTTCTGTCTTCTTTGCTTTACACAGTTACAGGTGGGAAAATCAGTGAGGTGGTATAATCACACAGAAAGGATTAATGCCACATGAATATTCTCCTATGATTGTGTAGCTGGTGAGCCTCCTTATGCTTATTCTCAGAAGGCTGTCTTGATAACTTTGCCTTACAAACCTCTAATGAGTGAGTGACAGAGGATGAGGGAAAGTGGAGGAGAGGGCAGCAAGTGAAGGTTGATCTACTGCCAATAACTAGCCAGGCTCTGAGCAGGGATCTACCCATTGGGAGCAAGCCTGGAAAAGCGCATTAGGACTTTTTCTGGAGGGTAAGCTGTAAACTGTCAGCCATAGCTGTTTTAAATGACTAGCAAACACCTCCAGGGTCTCCTTTGTCCTTTGAAGGAAGATTATTTTTGGTTTAAAGTTTGGAGTAGTAAAGCCATGTACAATGTAGTGTGTAAATGAAACAGTAAAACTAACTTTGGCATACAACAATTTAGTGGAAATTGATGAATATCACTAATGCTATTTGGCACTTTTTAAGAAGGTCCTTGTCAAGGGGCTTTATAATTTAAACAAAAAAGTGCTCTGTCCTTGTAAATTATATTCTGGTGAACTCTCTAGTAAAATGCTAATTATTTTTCAGGTGCCAAAAAAAAGACAGAATACAGGAGCCGGGATGGTATGCACAGCAGGGACAGAGGTGCTCTTAGTGGAAGCTGGATCTGGGGCTCATGGGTCTGCCTGTCCATCATGTTGACAGCAGTAATTAAGCTTTCTAGACACAATGCAGTCAACTAAGTGTGTTAATTTTTTAATGCAACACTGCAGAATGATACAATGGAGGGCATTATAGCAAAGGATAAACTTCCTACCCTAAGATGCTGGTGCCCTGAGAGGAGTTAATGGCATAACAGAACAAATACCAGTTTGCTGTGTGCTCATTAAATTTTAAAAAACTTAACAGGGAATATAGAGATAGAAAGTAATAAAATGAGATAATTTTACCTTCTGAATTTTTTTTAACTTTTCTTGTGTTGCCACAGGTACTCAGCATTACCTGCATGAAATACGTCAAGGAATAGCTGCTCTGTTAGCTATGTAATTGGGCACTGTAATTCACTTGTCCTTTTCCTTCCTCCCTCTGACTCTTAACTACCCCATCTTACTAAGACAAAGGCAAATCATATATGGGTCCATTAATTTGGACACAGAAAAAGTTGGAAGTCTGGCATTTCTTCCATTTACTTCGGACAGTGATGGCTAACTTTCAGAGGTTCTTGTGCTCATGTTGTTTAGCTGGAAGAGACAAAATGATCATGCTGACTCAAAAGATTGAATGTGGGCCAAGGACCCAGGAGAATGCTCAGAGTTCTGTGACCTCTCCGAAATTACAGCAGTATTTCAATGTATGAACATGTTGGAATTTTTCTGAAAAGTTTTAAACTTTCAGCCCTTTGAAATTATATTCAGTATTTTGATGTATAGACATGTTTGAATTCTTCTGAAAAGTTTTTAACTTTCTGTATATTTTCAAATGTGTCCATAAACCTGTAACAGTTAATGCGTCTGGTTTGCATGCCCTTACACACTCCTTTGTACATATTCAAATTCCACACATCTTCCAAAATCAAATCTCATTGTTCATGAACTTTCCGTAACTATTCTGACTCACAATGCATACTTCCATCTCAGAACTTGAATGAAAAAAGTACAACTGTTGTAAGTGTCCCCAGAGAAAGTTATTTGGTGTGTGAGAGAAAGGAAATGAGGATGGGATGTGGTTAAGGGGTCAGGAAAGTCTTCCTGGGGAAGTGATGCTGGAGCTGAGGTCTGAAGGAAGGTCAGCAAGGAACAAGGAAGAGAGAGAGAAGAGTAGATGCTTAAGGCACATTTTAAACTGATGACTAGAGTTGATTTGGCGATGGTTGGTTGAAGAAAATTTTCAGATATTCATTATGAAAATGGTTGTTTCCCTTTCACATATAAATACTAGAGCTAGGGGCTAGGACTATGACAAGACAGTCTTGCACACAATTGTGTAGATTCTGCCTACTTGGGGTAACATCTCACTTTGCAATTGAGAATATTTTGTGTGACTGTGTTTTCTTCTAAATTTATAGTTTCTTTTAGGTAAACGTCTAGGTCTACTCCTGAGATTCTGAATTATGTCATTGATGGGGCCCAGGCATTGGCACTTTTCAAAAACTCCCCAAGTGATTTTAGTGAGAAGCCAATGTTGACAACTACTGTTAGAAAGCCACCAAAGAAACATTAACAGGATTTACAAATTATAATACCCAGTGTTGACAAGGGCATAGGACACGGATACTCTCTAACACTGCAGCTGAGAGTTTAAATCACTGTGAACTTTCTAGAAGACTATTTGATAATACATTTCAAACACTATACAATTTCGTATTTTTTTCCCCTAGCAATTCTGCTTAAGGAGTCTACACTAAAGAAACCATTTAGTATATGGACCAAGATTTTATACAAGGTTGCTCTTCAGAGTGTTTCTATGACAAAGGCTGATTGAAAACAATTTAAAACCCTGGCAAGAGGGGATTAGTTAAATTAGTCAATTCTTTTTAGCAGTTCTTTTTATAATGATATACAACTACTAGAGATGATATAGCAAAATGCTTAGTGATATGTGGAAGTGTTCAAGGTATAAAGTGAGGAAAGCAATTACAAAGTAGTATGTATAATGCCTGTACTAAAGAAAGAATTGGAAAAGCCACAACAAAGTATTTAACTATATCACTGTTAAATAATATTTTAGGCCCGGGGCGGTGGCTCACGCCTGTAATCCCAGCACTTTGGGAGGCCAAGGCGGGTGGATCACCTGAGGTCAGGAATTCGAGGCCATACTGGCCAGTGTGGTGAAACCCTGTCTCTACTAAAAATACAACAATTAGCTGGGTGTTGTGGCAGGTGCCTGTAATCCCAGCCGCTTGGGAGGCTGAGGCAGAAGAATTGCTTGAACCTGGGAGGCGGAGGTTACAGTGAGCCTAGATCGCTTCCCCTGCACTCCAGCCTGGGTGACAGAGCGAGACTTCATCTCAAAATAATAATAATAATACTACTATTTCAGATGATTAAGTTTTTTTAAATTTTTTTTTATTTTTATAGATTCAGAGGATAAATGTACAGTTTTGTTACACGGATATATATGTATAGTGTTGGGGTTTGGGCTTCTAGTATACCCATCACCCAAATAGTGAACATCATACTGAATAGGTAATTTTTCAAACCTCACCCCTGCTCCACCAATCTCCTTCATTCTGGGATCCCCAGTGTTTATTATCTTCTTCTGCGTGTCTGTGTGTACCCATTGTTTAGCTCCTACTTGTAAGAGAACATGGAGTGTTTAATTTCCTGTTCCCGAGTTATTTCACTTAGAATAATGGCCTCCAGCACCATTCATGTTGCTGAAAACAAAACAAAACAAAACAAAAAGATTGCTTTCATGACATTGCTATTGCAAATAGTGCTGAAATAAACATACATATGTCTTTTTGATAGAACTATTTCTTTTCCTTTGGGTAGATACCCAGTAGTGGAGTTACTGAGTCAAATGCTTGTGCTATTTTTAGTTCTTTAAGAGATCTCCATACTGTTTTCCACATCGACAGAAGTTGTACTAATTTACATCCCCACCAACATTGTATAAGTGTTCCCTTTTCTCCACATCCTTGCCAATGTCAGTTGTTTTCTTACTTTTTAATAATGGCCATTCTGACTGATATGAGATGGTATCTCATTGTGGTTTTAATGTGGTTTTAACTGCAGGATTGTTAGTTTGTTGGTTACTTATATGTCTACTTTTGAGAAATGTCTGTTCATGTCTTTTGCCCACTTTTTAATGGGGGGTTGTTTTATTCTTATTGAGTTGTGTGAGTTCCTTCTAGATTCTGAATATTAGTCATTCATTGGAGACAAAGTGCAAAAATATTTTCTCCCATTATGTAGGTTGTCTGTTTACTGTGTTGACTACTTATTTTGCTATGCAGAAGCTTTTTAGTTTAATTAAGTCCAATTTGTCTATTTTTGTTTTTGTTGCATTTGCTTTTGAGGTCTTAATCATAAATTCTTTGCCTAGAGTTTTTCCTACATTTTCTTCTAGGATTTTTATAGTTTCAGGTCTTACATTTAAGTCTTTAATCCATCTTGAGTTAATTTTTGTATATGTTGAAAAATAGGGGTTCAGTTTCATTCTTCTGCATATAGCTAGCCAATTTTTCCAGCACCATTTAGTGAATAGAGTGTCCTTTCCCCATTGTTTATTTTTGTTGACTTAATCAAATATCAGTTGATTGTGGATATTTGGCTTTATCTCTGGGGTCTCTATTCTGTTTCATTGATCTGTGTCTGTTTTTATAGTAGTACCATGATGTTTTGGTTACTAAAGCCTTGTAGTATAATTTGAAGTCAGAAAATGTTATGCCTTTAGCTTTGTTCTTTTTGCTTAGGATTGATTTGGCTATTTGGGATTTCTTTTGGTTCTATAGGAATTTTAGGATTGTTTTTTCTAATTCTGTGAAACATGACATTGGCAATTTGATAGGAATTGCACTGAATTTGTATATTGCTCTGGACAGCACGGTTGTTGATTCAGTAACAATGTTGATTCTTCCTATTATGAGCATAAGATGTTTTTCCATTTGTTTGTGTCATCTGTGATTTGTTTCATCAGTGTTTTGTAGTTCTCCTTGTACCTCCTTGGTTAAATTTTTCCTGGGTATTTTATTTTTTTGTGGCTATCACAAATCAGACTGAATTATTGATTTGGTTCTCGCCTTGGTTGTCATTGGTGTATAGAAATGCTACTGATTTTTGGCCGGACACAGTGGCTCACACCTGTAATCCCAGCACTTTGGGAGGCTGAGGCGGGCAGATCACGAGGTCAGGAGATCAAGACCATCCTGGCTAACACGGTGAACCCCGTCTCTACTAAAAATACAAAAAATTAGCCAGGTGTGGTGGCACATGCCTGTAGTCCCAGCTATTCAGGAGGCTGAGGCAGGAGAATCGCTTGGACCCAGGAGGCGGAGGTTGCACTGAGCCAAGATCATGCCCTTGCACTCCAGCCTAGGTGACAGAGTGAGATTCTGTCTCAATAAAATAAAATAAAATAAATGCTACTGATTTTTGTATGTTGGTTTTGTATCCTTAAACTTTTCTGAAGTCATTTATGAAGTCTAAGAATGTTTCAGAGGATCTTTAGAGTTTTGTAGGTATAAGATTGTGTCATCTCATAACGGAGATAATTTGACTTCCTCTTTTCCAATTTGGATGCCTTTTACTTTTTTCTCTTGATTGATTTCTCTGGCTAGGACTTTCCAGATGCTTTTTAATTTTTTTTGTTTTTTTGCTTCTCTGAATTCTGTCAACATCTTTATAATAAACATGCATTATTTTTATATAGAAAAATTACAAAATTTTAAGAAGAACATTGACAAAGGAATACACACATTATTAGAAGGATAAATGCCTTACCTCATGAGACATACTTCAAAAAATAATATGAAAGAGAAATCCCGACTGGGCTGAATACCAGACAACCTGGGATCTTGATTAAAAAATGCAGAATCCTGGACTCCTTCTTTATCAAATTCTCCAGGAAGTTCTGATGTAGACTTTAACTAATAGGGTTTTGGAAATTCCCAGGAGAGTTCAATCTTGTGGCATCTCTATGATTTTAGTTAATATTTTTCCCTTACCTAAACCTTTCATGTTTCCAGACATAGTTTCAGAGAATCTCATTTGATGTAGGTTTATTTTAAGGAATCAAGAGAAAGTAAGTGTCAAATCCTTGTTTGGACTTCAGTGATAACTACACCATTGGGCCTCATGGATAACGAAAGCCATCAGGACAAAATGCATCTAGAGTGGCCTGGCCACACCTCAGGAAGCAGGTGTCTGAACACCCTCTGCTAATTCCCTTATGGTCTCCCAGTTACTCTGGGGAGGCTGCTATGTACTCACTTCACTCATTAAATCAGGCAGCTTCTGCTTGCTTATGTCTTCTCTCCCTCATGGCTTCCTGGGTCCCATTTGCTTGTGCTTTCTCTTTCTCTCCTTTTATCTTTCTCCTTCTGTTCCTTCCACTGAATCTCTTCTTCACTCTTCAGTGCTGAATGCTGGGCACCTTGCCAAAGGCATCTGCCTTTGGGTGAGACATTCACCCATGGTCCAGTCCTCTGTGGCAGTGCAGCCATGTGTTACAGAGCATGGACTATGCTGAAGAAACCACAAATGCCTTCATTCATTCATTCATTCAAAAAAGTGCTATGGAACAATTACTGTGTGCCAGGCAGTATTATTCTCTCAGAAGCAGTTGTAGCTTTGGAAGGTCCTCAGAGTGTTTTAGAGCTTTCTCTGATTTTTTCTTGTATCTAGGTTTAGCATTTAGACATTAGTGGGAGTGGCTTATTGACTCAAGGGGGAAATGATCCTGAAGGAGAGGAGTCAAGTTTCTTTTCAGAACTCTCTTGTCCCTCTTTGTTGAGTCTGTCTGCTCTGATCAACTGATTTTTTTTTCCAGAGAGAGGCTGCTGAGCAACATCCTGCTCATTTCCACAGTGGCCTAATTTGATCCTGGGAACAAATACTCCTGCCTGTGGTTTCTTCCTTCCGACACTTCAGTGGTTTGATTATGGAACCAATTAAGGGATTTACCTCCTCTTGCCTTGCTTATTTAGTGTATTTTAATATAATGCAAATAAGTTTTAATTGCTCATTTCTGTTCAGCAGTCTAGCATGTCCCTAATCAGGTGGAGGGAGAAGGCACTGTTCTTTCTTTGGAGCTGTCAGGGCTGTCAGCACTAGCGTGGGGTGGGTGTGTGACAGACAGCCTGATGTAGTGGCTACACAGAAGAAGGAAACTGACTATGGAGGACACATACCTCTCTCTACCCTTACCTTCCTCTTGCACCTTTTTGATTCTTTGAGACCGTGATACTCTTTTCATGTCATAGAAATTGGAGGCTCAGAGAATCAGTGTTTCATTATCAATTGTCAGCCCAGAATTTGGGCTTTTTGACCTTGAAGCTTAGAATCTTTCTAGTGAGGTTTCCTGTTGCTGCAAGGGAGGATCCTATGGAACTCGCCTTTTTTCATGAATAAATGAACAATGAGAGGCTTTAAATTAAGTAGCGTGGGTAAACAAAGGTAAATCTGTCTGGCTCCTTCTCCTACTCCTCATTTGAAGTGTATATTATTCTCATTGTGGGCTCAACTGAAATTCCATTTTTCCACTGAAGCTTTTCAAGACCTTTTTAGCCTATGCAAGGTTTACCTGATTTGAATTTTTATTTTTTTATGATCCATTCAGGGCTCGGATTGTATCTGTATTATTGTCACTTATATTTTTATCATATGTCCTATCACAATAGACAGTTGACAAACTATTTGAAGGGCAGAGTCCAGGGACCTCTTCCTGTGAATTCTAGCTGTATATATTTGCAAGTGATCATTACTCAATGTTGGTTGGTTGACTGATTTTGGAAAGCTGCTGAAAACCTCTCGCAGAAAGTCCTTCTTTTCAACTTCTGGGCAGAATTGCTACCTCCAATTCTATTCCCTAAGAGTTTTGGGTGGACCTTGAAGAGCAAGTCCCTTTAGACATAGAATATATTTTAGAGTTAGGGGGCTTCACTTGTGTAGGAATTCATTTTATGAATCATGAAACTGAGGGCCAAAGAACTTGCTGCTTTCCCGATTCCTGGAGCTAGTTAGACATTCATGATGACATTTTGGACTTGAAAGCTTGAAAAGGATGTAAGACTTGATGTTTTACATTAGCCCAGGGAAATCTCCTGCTGGGAAGCCAACACACAAAGCGTTTTGGATGCTCCTGAGGATAAATAATACTCTCACAGACCCTCTAAGCTATGAATATTACTAAAATGGCCCTTTTGACTAATAGAAGTCTATTTTTGGAATGTGAAGCTAGAAGAGAAATTTGGAGCAGAGATCTGAGTCATTCTCTGTTATTCTGGTTAATTACCACAACTCTGCTTGAGGGATACTGACTGTTGCTAAGTAATAAAAATAGATAAGGCCCACAAAGGAAAGTGGGTAATTGTTATGAAACTTGCAAGCACTTTAGAAAGATAAGACTGAGGTGGAAAGGAAAATCTTACTGAAATGGAAATCTAGTAAGAAAATGAAACTAATATTCTATACAGCCTATGCTTAGAAATCAGTCAAAGCAACTAAAGCAAATAATATCTTTATTTCTTTGTAATTCAGACATTTATTGCCATTCCATTTATTTCAACTTAAATAGCTTATTAGTAAATTTCTATTTGAAGGCTTTTAAAATTGCTAAATCTTCAGATTTGCAAATGGAATAGGCCAATTTTACCCATTAGATTAATAGGAACAAAAATGTAGACCCTTTAATTATTTCCCAAAGAGTAGTTATTATAATGACAGCAGTTATGGACCAACCCACTGGACCTTCAAAAATGAGAAATCAGCAGATGGAGGATAAAAAGCAGTCATAGATCTGTGAATGATGGTTAGTTTAGTTATGATTAGTTTATGCTAAGTCTAACAAATTGAACTATATATGCTTGTACTAACACTGTTGTTTTTTCTTCTTCTATTTATTGCTTTCTTCTTTCTTTTTCACCTAAGCTATTTTTTTGCTTTACTTTTGTCTTTCTACTTCTAATTTTAACTGCATTTTTGTGTGAATTTCTCTTTTTTTCTATTTTCTCTCTTTACCTTTTATCTTGCTCTTTTTTTTTGTTATATTTCCTTTCTGATTCTCTCCTTTATTCCCCTTTCCTTTCTCTTCTTTTCCTTCTATTTGCAAAGTTAAATGGCCATGGGTATTTAGGCATTAATTATTATTTAATAGAATTTGATTTTCCATATTTAAATTTTAAATCAATTTAGTTTATGTATACATATACATCTCATTTTGACCTCTTGAATTTGTAGAATTTTTATGCCTATCACATATGAGCATTTATGAGCAATTACCATTTTCCAGGGAATGCATTAGGTGCTGGAGCTAAGAAGATACAATGTTTTCTAGTCCCAGGCCTCGAATTGCCCTTAAGGTATTGGGAGACTCAGACTTGTGAGCCAATAATACAATGCGAAGGTATCAAGTACTCTAGTACTAACAAAAGCTTGCCTTTGGGTAAGAAGAGAATGGATACTTACCTATGCCTAGGGATGTTGAGGGAAGTTTCCTAGAAAAGAATCTACTCAGGGGAGGGAAGTCTTGAAACAAGAACAGAGCTGCAGGTAGAAGACTGAGAAGAGGATATTGGGTTTTATTACCATGTGACCTTCCACAGTTATTCTCTGGAAAGTTAGTGGCCTTTATGAAAATGCGTCCTAAAGGGTAAGCAGTGGACACACTCGATTGTGTGTGCTGGGAAAAAGGCATACAAATAACTTCTGACAGGAATAAGAGTTTTATATGTATATGTGTGTGTATGTATGCATGCATGTATGTATGTATGTATTTATGTATTTATTTATTGAGATGGTCTCTCACTGTTGCCCAGGCTGGAGTGCAGTGATGTGCTCTCAGCTCACTGCAACCTCCTTCTCCTGGGCTCAAGCTATCCTCCTGCCTCAGCCTCTTGAGTAGCTGGATTATAGCCATGCACCACCATGCCTGGCTAATTTTTGTATTTATTGTAGAGACAGCGTTTTGACATGTTGTCCGGGCTGGTCTCAAACTCCTGACCTCAAGTGATCCACCCACCTCAGCATCCCAAAGTGCTGGGATAACAGGCATAAGCCACCTTGCCTGGCCTGGAGTTCTGTTCTGGGTTACATGGCAGCTTCAGGCCATCATGAGGAGACAAAAATTAGCAGAACCTCCACTAGAGCAGAATTTCCCAAACTGCTCCAGAGAGATGTTTATAGATATTAAGAAAACTAACATTCTATGGTTTAATAGTTTGGGAAATAGTGAGGTTAAAAAAGTTTATAAGTGGCATTCAGGACTATTCTAATATGCTAATAACCACCAAAAGTCTTCCAGAGGGATATATACTAAGAAGATTTCCAAAGTGACTTGACCTTGGGCTTTTCTTCATGGGTTTGAATGGAGGGTTCCTGACATAAAAGCCCACTTTTTTTTTGCTCTAAGCACAGAGAGATGTTTTTCCTCTCTGCCTCTTTCCTGGAGATTCTGTTCTGAAGCAAATATGAATAGCTTTTTATACTATGTGCCTGCCTGCTTGCAGAGCCCCCCCCAAAAAAGAGAAATATAGTCAAAGCTAGTTTCCTGGCTCATTCTGAAAGTTCACTCAGCACTGCAAGGATTAGCCACCTATAAGCTGAGTAACCATACACAAACCTCAATACCTCTCTGAATTTCTGCTTCCTTCCTTGACACTTCATCCAAAGCAGTTAAGGGAATGCAAGTACTGCTAATAAACCCTGACTGTTGTACCTTTCCTAGGGGAACTAGAAAAATAAGTCTTTCGTGCCAAAAGAAAAAAATCTTCTAGAGGTTGATTTTTAGGCATTTTGTCAGACAAGAATAAGCTTGTTTGAAAATAAATGGGTTAACAGAGAGTTCCAAATTCCCATAGAACAATATCACATAGTGAACTGCTTTATCTCTCTACTCTTCAACTGGGCCTTTGGTGAACTTTGGTTTCCTAGTCTCTTCTCTAGAAAGGGATGCCCAACAATATCTTGCTGACTAAAGAGTCAAACGAGGACATGCAAACCCAATTAGTACTCACCCCTTCCGAAAAGGGCCATCTGGAGGCTCAAATCTTGTGTCTTAAAAAATTGGCAGCTTTCTTCTTAGAAAACTACATTTGGTGGTGTTTAAAGAATTCATCCAATGTGGCTTGAGTTTTATGGAGCTCTAAACATTTGAGCAATATTTGGGAAAATGGCAAGCTTAAAATGTTTCTGAGTAAATCTACAGCTATAGTTTTTTTTCCCCCACTCCTGAGTCCTAAGGATGAGTTTTCTGAGTAAAAATGGAATTATAGATGGACTAAACAACTAAATAAAACCTTCGGCTTTGTGGAAAACTTCCAGGGTAAGTTAAACAGTCCATTTAAATTATTTAATGCTCCTTATATAACTAAATTTTTATGTATGGCACCTATGACCTTTACTGTGTAATGTCTTGACAAGATAAGCTACTAGAAAAATAACTCAGTGAGGAGTGAATGTTTATAAGAATTTTTAATTGCAAAGAAGCACAAGGGTCTTTGCTTTGAGGACAAAGGGTTATTGAGAGGTCACCTGTGTATTTTCTTAAGAATCTTAAAAGTCCACCTGTATTGAATTTTTTAAAGCCCTCTATTCATGTGGAGATCTATCTGCAAACCTCATGGTTAAGTCCAGATTTGAAAAATAGAATGCCTACATTTAGGATCAGGAGGTAAAATGAGATAAAGTGAAATAAAATAAATTTGAGGGGAGCACAAGTTTTTACTTTGTCATTCTCTGAAATACCTATAGTTACTACGGAACTATGAATTCTTGGAGACCCCTAAGGCATTTTAAAGTGTGTTCACTAAATTCATTTGAAGCATAAAAGGTAGAAATTTCATCAACCTTCCTCAGTTTTCTGCTCTACAACCAACACTCAAGACTTCTACATTTCCTCGTTACTGGTTACCATACTCATCGTAAGTGTGCCCATGCCACTAGTGCTTAAGTGTGTCCCTCTTCAAAGCATGAACAAGGTATTCCTTGTTTCCCGAGAACTGTGTGTGTTTATGGGGGAGAGGCAGCAGTATTTAAAGGACATGAGGGGACATTTCTCATTCATCCAGGAACTACTGTGTCTGGGAGGGGGGTGAAGGGTGCCGCAACAACTTTAAGGTTAGTTCTAAGCTTCACAGAAGCATCCCTGGTGCCATCAGTGACGCAGGGAGACTAGTGTTATTGTTGAGGTCACCAATCCATTAGCTACAGAGATAGTCTTGTAGGTGAGAAGTTCAGCTACTTTTCACTTGACTCCAGTTTCTTCTGCTTCTAGCCACAGATACGGTGACTTTCACCCTCACTTAGCTCTTGTTGAGTGGTACGAAATTTAAGGAGGTAACCTGTCTGGGTACTAGATATGCTGATTTCCCTCTTCTTTTATTACTTTAGTGACATGGGAGGTAGGGTTGACGTGAGCTGTAAGAACTGAATAGGTCTGAAAGGATCACTTCCACATGGTAGAATGCTGGCTATGCAGGGTTCAATCGGGACAGCAGCAGAAAATGAAGTATTCTGGTGATATATGATTTTTTTTTTCCTTAAATCAAGACCACAATTTGCCGTTGGTGAACTTTGACTGATGTGTTATGTAAGCATCCAGATTTCTATTAAGATGGCATAGGACAATTATATCAAATTATAAGAGGACCAATTTTAGTCATTTGATTGTTGTGAAGATAGGAAATGAAACTTCGCGTTGACTACTGATAAGAAAGAGTGCCATCTAGAGGCGCTGCCTAGAACTCCACCTTATTCTCAAGAATCATCCTTCAATGTGACCTTCAGCTGTGTTGCTCTATAACTGTGGCGCTGAAGATTGATAATGAGCGAAAGGGAGAAGTACGCGCTGCCATATGGCAATAGACTCAGATATTATAAGGACTAAATTGTGTTGACACAAAGTGAGGGCTTGGTCCTTACTTCGTTCCTAAATAATGCCCTTTCTCCATCTTTCCAGGGATGCATCTAGTCACTTGACAGCTTTTATAGTACGGTAGTTTGCCTTTAGTCTTTATATTTTAAAGTTTTTTTTTCTATAACAGAAATAAAATGCTTAGAAATCATATTATTTTTCCTTTGTTAGGAAAAGTAAGTTGGTCAGGTGATTACATCGTCGTTTTTTTAAAGCTCTAAGAGGAGAAACTGGAAAATAAAGAGCAACATGGGAGGTGCAATGCCATCTCTCATTCTACTTTGACACATTTAATTTGACTAATTGTTAAGCCAGGCTCCTTAATCTTCCTGAGGATTAGTTTCTTTCCCCCATACTGAATCATACTACTTAATAGTATTAAAATAATTCCCAACCTAGTGCTGATGTTTGCTTTACAATCTTCAGGACCACAGTAAACCACAGATTTGGATAAGAGACCAGAAAGAGGTTCGAAGTCACACATGTCACCATTATCATGCTATAGATATGTGGCAGGATTTTCCTACGAAACCAAATAATACATCAATAATGACTTCACCATTATTCTGATAATATGATGGTTAACAACACGTGAAATAGTGGCCAAGGTAAAAATTAACCCCCATTCCCCGCGAAAGAAACACAAATGAAGTTGGCAGTAGACCCTGAAGTCTAGAGTCCTTGACTAACAAACTACTTCTAAAATGAATGGCTTTCTCTGCAACAGAGAAAACAGGCAGGTGTGTTTCAATTAAATATCTGCAGTATTGGATGTTTCTGTTGTGACTTTCACATAGGAAGTTTGGACAAATGCCTTTGTTCTTTGGGAAAAGTCTGGTTCTTACGGTAGATATTTCTGGATTCTGCTGTGATAGGTGAGCTAGAGTGAAGCAGTGAAGACTCCACAATTTTCAATGATAATCTTTTTGAAATTTGTTCAGGATGATCCACACCCCTCGAGATGGTGATTACTGGTATTTGGCTTACCAATGACACGTTAAAAAATGATTGTATCATTTGTCTCCAAACTTCAGTCACCAATGGTAAAAGCTCAGTTTGTTTGCCTCCTTCTTGCAGTTAATTAAAAAGAGGATTTTTATAGCCTCAAGTGTAGTGTAATTTATAACAGGCATTTCTTCCTCCTGTTTTTAATTACCATCTTTGCATGGTGATGTTGGACCTTTTCCCTTTTATTGACTACTAATGCATAGTTTCCCGAGACCAGCTCTATGGCTGTTAATTAGAAAATAAAGAAATTTTATTTATTTTTAACCACTTTCAGCTAGGCAGAAGAGTAGAATTGTCTGATGGGGGTTCATTTCCCCTTTATTTTTCCCCATTAAAAAGGCTATCTTCCCTATCAAATAATGTTTTCTACTCCAAAATATGTTATGGATAAAAGTTTAAGAAGACTGGAATGTGTGTCCAAATCTAAGTTATAATTCTTTTGTCACCCTGACTATTGCATTGCGTAGGCAAAAACGCAGAGTTTTTCAGTGCTCCCAGAAGAACTCTTGGCATTTCTAATTCATTGAATAAATACATGAATGTATTTCTTTGCTTGCTGATCAATATAACCCGATTCATGGAGGAGTGGAGAAAAGAAAAGCAAGAAGCAAAACAATAGTTACTTAGATATTTTGGGAATCTAGAGTTTCAAATAATTGAAACACTGGAGTAAATTCCTTGGTGTCAGCTTTGTGCAGCAAGTGTTAAATGGGTGTGTGCAATCAGTAGAAAGGGGTACTGCCACAGCTTGGCCATTGGCCTGTCTATTTACTTCAAGTTTAGAAGTGGAGCTGGAAAAAGTTTCAGAGGAGAGAATAATAGCACTGTCAGTCCAGGATATAGGGCTGCAAGTCTCTGATATTTGTATGCTTTCTTTTTTATTCTTTCCTTCCTTTAGAAATAAAGAATAAACCCAAAATGGCAGAGGAATTTGCTTTTTATTCCCACAACCATATCCCAAAGCAATCTTATAAAAATAAGGTAAATTCATCTTTAAGTGATAAATGCAACTGATTACTAGGATAGAATTGCCCATATTTCATGGAGCAATTGGAAAGATTACATTTTTAATTTAATCACTATAATCTACAGATACTATTTTTCCACTTTAGAGATTTTAAAAAATTAGTGAGTGGCAGAGCTAAAAGTCCAATCAGCCTTGTCTACTTGCAAGGCCTTTTCTTTCTCTTGCTGTACGGCTGAGATCACAGGTGTGAGCAAACCTTGAATGGCTTCATTTCCTTTCTCCTTGGGAAGGTAAAATCAAGTTAAGACTTCACCTTGCCTGAGCTTCATTGGTAGAGTCACAAATGTGAGCCCGACAATGGCAAGTGGAGCTGTTTGGAGCCCCCAAGGTAGAGCTAGGTGGCTTGGAACATCTCCACTATGCAGGTTTGCTCAGCAGCCATAGCGAGCTATAGATGGGAAGAGATGCTCGTCCTTTTCTCTTTCAAGCAGATCTTTAGGCCACACGTGTCTGTGGCAGCATTCACTTTCAAAAGCACATTCTTACTTTCTAATGAGAATAGAGAGCTTCAGTCTCTAAAATCCTGTGGATAGTTTTTATCTTAATGTTCTTAACATGTTGTATTCTGTACTTATGGTACCAGCATCCCAATGATGTCCTAACTCTGTGCTTCAAACATCAAAGGCAATGTAACTGAAATCTGATGCTTAGATTTTAGGGATGCACTAAGATCTGTAGACACGATTGAACAAACTAATGGGCTTGGTGGGAAGAAATCCTGGCAATAGGGTTTTTGTCTTGTCCCAGGTCTTAGCAACATTTTGGAACATGAATATTTTTTCAGAAAAAATAAAAGCTAGGATTTTGATAAGGATTGTGTTGAATCTGTAGATCAACTTGCAGAGTTTTGTTATTGTCTTATACTATTCAGGCTGCTATAACAAAATACCTTAGACTGGGTAGTATATGAACAACAAAGATCTATTCCTCACAGTTCCGGAGCTGGGAAGTACAAGATCAAGATGCCAGCTGACTCAGTGTCCAGGGAAGGCCTGTTTCCTGCTTCATAGATGGCACCTTCTTGCTGTGTCCTCACATGGTAGAAAGGCTAGCCAGTTCTCTGAGGCCACCTTTATAAGGTTACTAATTCCAATCATGAGGGCACTGCCTTTGTGAACTAATCACCTTCCAAAAGCCCCATCTCCTAATACCATCACCTTGGGGGTTAGCCTATCAACATATGAATTTTGGAGAAACATATTCAGACCATAGCAGTCATCTTAATGATAAGTCTTTCAATCCATGAACTTCGAAAGTTCTTTCCATTTATTTAGGTCTTCTCTAATTTCTTTCAGCAATATTTTGCAGTTTTTAATATACAAATTGCTGACCTCTTTTGTTAATTTTATACCTATGTGTTTATTCTTGTAGGTGATATTGTAAATTAAATTGCTTCCTTTATTTCATTTTTGGATTGTTCATTGCTAGTGTATAGCAGTGCAATTGAGTATTGAACTTGTAACCTGCAATTTTGTTGAACTTATATATTAGTTTCAATAATTTTGATTTTTGTGTGAATTCCTTAGAAGTTTTTATATTATGAGACCATGTCATCTATTAGTAGTGATGGTTTCACTCCTTTCTTTTCAATATAAATACCTCTAAATATGTAATATTACTTGTCTATTTAAATTTACTCTTTCTTTTTTTTTATTATTATACTTTAAGTTTTAGGGTACATGTGCACATTGTGCAGGTTAGTTACATACGTATACATGTACCATGCTGGTGTGCTGCACCCACTAACTCGTCATCTAGCATTAGGTATATCTCCCTATGCTATCCCTCCCCCCTCCCCCCACCCCACAACAGTCCCCAGAGTGTGATGTTCCCCTTCCTGTGTCCATGTGATCTCATTGTTCAATTCCCACCTATGAGTGAGAATATGCGGTGTTTGGTTTTTTGTTCTTGCGATAGTTTACTGAGAATGATGATTTCCAATTTCATCCATGTCCCTACAAAGGACATGAACTCATCCTTTTTTATGGCTGCATAGTATTCCATGGTGTATATGTGCCACATTTTCTTAATCCAGTCTATCATTGTTGGACATTTGGGTTGGTTCCAAGTCTTTGCTATTGTGAATAATGCCGCAATAAACATACGTGTGCATGTGTCTTTGTAGCAGCATGATTTATAGTCCTTTGGGTATATACCCAGTAATGGGATGGCTGGGTCAAATGGTATTTCTAGTTCTAGATCCCTGAGGAATCGCCACACTGACTTCCACAATGGTTGAACTAGTTTACAGTCCCACCAGCAGTGTAAAAGTGTTCCTATTTCTCCACAACCTCTCCAGCACCTGTTGTTTCCTGACTTTTTAATGATTGCCATTCTAACTGGTGTGAGATGGTATCTCATTGTGGTTTTGATTTGCATTTCTCTGATGGCTAAATTTACTCTTTCTATAGTAGGAAGATTCCTCAAAGAACTAAAAGTAGATCTATCATTTGATCTAGCAATCCCTCTACTGGGTACCTTCCCAAAGGAAAATAAGTAATTATATCAAAAAGACACCTGGATGTGTATGTTTGTTGCAGTACAATTCACAATTGCAAAGATATAGAATCAACCTAGGTGCCCATCAACCAATGAGTGGATTTAAAAATGTGTATATATACCATGGGCTACCACTCAGCCTTAAAAAAATGAAATAACATCCTTTGCAATTCTTGGAATGAACTGGAGGCCGTTATTCTAAGTGAAGTGATTCAAGAATTAAAAACCAAATACTACATATTCTCACTTACAAGTGGGAGCTAAGCTATCTACTGGTATGCAAAAGCATACAGAGTGGTATAAGGGACATTGGAGACTTCGAAGAAGGGACGTTGGGAGGACAACGAAGTATGAAAAACTACCTGTTGGGCACAATGTACACTGCTCAGGTGATAGGTGCACTGAAATCTTAGACTTCACCACTATACAATTCAACCATGTAGCTCAAAACCACTCTTACCCTTAAAGCTATTGAAATAAAAAAAAATTTTTAAGTTACTCCTTCTTCTTGAGTAAGGTTTGATCATTTGTGTCTTTCTAGGAATTTGTTTGTTTCATCAAGTTATTTCATTTTTTGGCATACGATTTTTAATAATGTTTTCTTGTAATTATTTTTATTTTTAAAAAGTCAGTAATGATGGCTCACTCTTTCATTCCTCATTTTTGAGCCATACTTTCAGCCTTTGCTTCTTTTCTCTTGGTTAGTCTATGCTAAACTGATTCTATAACCCATGAATAGATTTCAACCTGCAGTTTAAAACTTAGCCCTGGGTGCATTAAGTAATCTATCTGGCCCTCTAGCTCCCCTCCATAACATGAAAACCCCATAAAGGGCCTTTCAAGTTCTAACAGTTTAAGATTCTATAAAATTGTATTCTAGAGCATTGTGGGTTCTTGTTACATTGTTTCCCAGATGAAGTCCTATGTGAGTAGCTGGTGCATCTAGAACAGTGACGCCCCAAAATGTGATTCCGTGCCAACAGCATCAGCATTACTTGGGAACGTCTTAGAAATGTCAACTCTGAGGCTCAACCCCAGAACTGGAAACTCTGGGGTGGGACCCAACAACTTGTGGTTTTTATAAGCCCTCGCATTAATTCTGACATATGCAAAAGCTTGAGCATGACTGGTCTAGAACAATCTCCTCGGAAATAGATTCCCTACATCTCTAGTCTTCTGATTTTAGCGTCTCTGCTTCTATACCTCATCCCCTAGCCCCCAATATTCCTTGAGAAAACAGTTCCTACACTATCTCTGGGTGCTAAGACAGTGCAGTGAGGCACTTCAGATAAAGTAAAAGTAACTCCAGCCTTTCCTGGCCCATTGTGCACAGAGTTCCTCTTCCTACAGAGATACCCAATGGTCTTGAGAAGGGAATGAGTCCAATTTAAAGAAGAGTTTCTGCGCCCTCTAGTGGAAAAGACCGCAGTTTCTCTTCTCTTCCAGCATAAACTCACATTTTATGTGCTGATGGAGGCGTCAAAATGCTGGGCTGCTTGGTTGTTGTTGATTTTCATAGATATATAATACAAGGATTGTTGCTTTTTTGTTTTTATTACGTTTTTAATATTTTTGCCATGTCAGGTTTTTCCAGCATAGGTATTACCCATTCCCTGGGTCAGAAAAAGCCCTCTTGAGATATCTAGTTAGATATCTTAGCTATCTCCTACGTAAGAAGGGTCCTCCAGACTAGTGCACACTCGTGATGGATTGCAGAAGAGGGAAGTTTCAATAAGGTACTTGATAATCCTCTGTGTGTTTGTCTCCATTTCACTTTTTTTATTGAAACATTATGTAGAATATAAGTGAAATTTTTATATTGAACAATCCTAAAGAGAAAAAGGAAAAGGATGATATTTAGCCCACAGTCCTTTTTCTTTTTCAAAAAGAAGACTGCTGTATCTGTGAATTTAGCCATTTTGATTTGTTTACAGCTGTATTTCTAACTGTTGTCCCTGCCCTATGACATTATCACACAGTTAACAAAGTCAGCAGATCTAGATGCTAATCTAAATATCAGAAAATGATAAATTAGCTATCTATTAACTTGCACTCTTGAACAAATTACAAATCATTCTGATTCTCACTTTCTTTATCTATAACGTAGGGGTGATACATCCTCAAACCTACTCATAGCATTGCTGTTGGAAATTACTTGATCAATTAGTTTAACATATACAGCACCCCCTGTGTGCTAGGCAGTAGGGATAAAACAAAATTGGGGTGGGGGAACCCTGTCCTATTAGGACATAACGTACAGTGGATGGACAATAAAAGACAAGCAAAAACTAGAAAGTATATCACCTAGTGGTAAGTATTAGGGAGAAAAAATGTCTGACCATGGGGATAGAGAATGGTTCAGGGAGGAGATGAATATACTTTCTAAAGAGTCAGTCATGGAAATCCCACTGAGGACGTGACATTTGAGCAATGATCTGAAGGACATAAGGGAGTAGCTGTGATGATATCTGGGAGAAGAAAATTCCACATGGAGGGAAGAATAAGCCCTTGTTGAGGGCGTGCCTGTGGTGTCCAAGGAACAGAGTAGGGGCCAGAGAGTCTGGTATGGAGTGAGAGGGGGAAGAGTGGCAGGAAGTTAGGTCAAAGAGGTGACAAGGGCAGGAGGAGAAGACATGTCTGGTCTTGGGGCCACTGCAGGATGTTGGCTTTTACTCTGAGATGGAAGCCACTGCAGAATTTTTTTTTTTTTTTTTTTTTTTTTTTTTTTTTTTTTGAGACGGAGTCTCGTTCTGTCGCCCAGGCTGGAGTGCAGTGGCGCGATCTCGGCTCACTGCAAGCTCCGCCTCCTGGGTTCACGGCATTCTCATGCCTCAGCCTCCCACCACTGTAGGCTGTGGCACAGTCTCCTTTCAAATCCTGCAGTAGCTGGGACTATAGGCGCCCGCCACCACGCCTGGCTAATTTTTTATATTTTTAGTAGAGACAAGTTTCACCTTGTTAGCCAGGATGGTCTTGATCTCCCGACCTCGTGATCCGCCCTCCTCGGCCTCCCAAAGTGCTGGGATTACAGGCGTGAGCCACCGTGCCCGGCCCGCCACTGCAGAGTTTTAAGCAAGGGACCACCATGATCTGATTAATTTTTAAAACGATTACCCTTGGCTTCTTTGTTAAGAACAAACCATTAGGGCACAGGGTGGAAGGAAGAGACCAATTAGAAGGATGATGGTGGTTTTCTTCAGAAAAGTAGCCAAGATCATGGTGGGAAGTGGTCAGATATTGGATCTGTCTCTAAAGGTAGATTCAATAGATGTTGCTGATGGGTTGGATGTGTGCTTTGAGAGAAAGAGAGGAGTCAAGGATGGCACCAGGACATCCGGAGTGAGCGAATAGTAGGATAAAGTTGTCTCTCCATTTCTACGTTTTCCCTTAATCTGGACAACTAATTAGAGTGAAGATCTGTAGATGTCTTCTCTAAAGTGTCATCACGTGTCACTTGTTTTCTTCCCTAGTTCAGGCCTTTTTCTCAGTCATCAAAAGTCTGTATCTCAGAGTGCTAGTTCCACCAGCTACATAACGGAAAAGTGGTTCAGTATTCAACTCAGTTGGAAAATGCTGTATTTCTGTCTCTTTTGTAGGTTTGGCATAAAGGCTCTGAGAAAAAATGCAACAAAACACATCTGTTTTACTTCATTCAATTTAGTATATCCTTTCTTTCTTTGACTTGAAATATCTTTGATTCACTTACCTTCTATTTATATCCCCGAAAAATTTAAGATACATGTTGGGAAATGTTGAAATAAAACAACCCCACCTCCAGGACATCCTCTAAGCCTCCTGTTAACTGTTACCACATTAATTTCTCTAAAATACACTTTTGCCATATCATTTTATCCTCGAAAGTCACATGGCTGTCCCCTTGTCTATAGGGTGAACTCTAGACCGTCTAACTCCACATTCACTCAGCATTGTTCATAGTTCAGTCCTGATGCCTTCCACGTGCGATCCTAGTGCTCTGGTGCTCTCAATGGCCTCCAAAGCCTCTAGACATGTACTCTCACAACTTCTCCACTTAAATAATTTCTACTCATTAGCATTGCCCAGTGCAAGGGCTGTTTCTTCTAGGCAACTTCCCGTGACCACTGCAGGCTGTGGCACAGTCTCTTTTCAAATCCTGCAGCATACAGTGATCATGTTATTCATGTGCTTCTTAACATATATTACTGTGTGCTAATGTTAACACTTAAATTGTGTACCTTTGCTTCAAAATATATTCCTTTGAAAGCAACAATTATCTCTTGTTCTTCTTTGTATCACCTATGAAACCTAACACAGCAACTTATATAAAATACATGTTTAGGCCGGGCACGGTGGCTCATGCCTTTAATCCCAGCACTTTGGGAGGCCGAGGCAGGCAGATCACCTGAGGGCCGGAGTTCGAGACCAGCCTGGGCAACATGGTGAAACCCTGTCTCTACTAAAAATACAAAAATTAGCTGGGTGTGGTGGCATATGCCTGTAATCCCAGCTACTTAAGAAGCTGAGGCAGGAGAATTGCTGGCACCTGGGAGGCAGAGGTTGCAGTGAGCAGAAATCATGCCATTGCACTCCAGCCTGGGCCAACAAGAGTGAGACTCCATCTAAAAAAAAAAAAAAAAAAAGTTTATATATATTTGCTGATTGATTTTAGTAATTTTGAAGCAAGCTACCGGAGTATAGTAACAGGATTTGCCATTTTCCAGTTTTATTATGCCATTATGCTACATATTTGCCCTCATTGTGACTCATGCTATTCTATTCCGTATCCTGGTGGGCTTGCATGGATTTCTGTGATACATTTATTCTCATAGCATGCTGGTAACGTCATGACCAGAGTAGACTCGAGTGTGAAGAACTTGGGGCCTTAGCAACTTAAGACAGTGGGAAATAAGAAAAATTGAAACCAGGAAAGAACAGATTGCTGGGAAAATTGAGTCAGTTGTAAGCCTTATCTTTAAGGGAAGAGCAGTCAGTATATATGGTGTCTATGAGGCTTGGCACCTGTGGGCTTTTCTCCCCCACCTATGGTGTGCTTGAGGGAGGTGTATCCCAGGAGAACCTGCAGCAGAGTGCTCCTGGGGAGCAGATGAGCTGCCCTCTCACAGCTGGGGGATCCATCTGTTCAGAGCAGTGTATACGCCAAGACCAAGGGATGTAGGAAACAGAATTCAGCTTCCTACGGAGGGACTTGCAGGTGTTAGACATGGCATCTCAGAGAAGCAGGCCAGTCTACTGTGCTAATGAGGACCTGGATGCTCAGCAGAACTTCCGGATGCACAAACGGAACCATCAGCGGTGGGTAAGTGGGCGACTGACAAGGCTCAGAGCTTATCAGAGGGAGTAATTCATTTTCTAGCCTTTGGAGTCACCAAAGGAAGTGTACCACTTGCAACTTTCCCTAAGACTCAGTTCTCTCCTTTCATTAAACTAGGGAACTTAATGCCTACCTTGGAGGGTTGTTGTATAAACTGAATGATATAATGTAAATAATGTGCCTTGTGCTGGGCACATAGTACATCCTTAAATGTCTCTATTGCTGGGTGCAGTGGCTCATGCCTGTAATTCTAGCAGTTTGGGAAGTGAGGTAGGAGGATTGCTTGAGCCTAGGATTTCAAGACCAGCCTGGGCAACATAGGGAGACTCCATCTCTACAATATAAAATAAAAAAAATGTTTCTGTTCATTCTGTATATCTACCCACTGGAGTACCAAAATTCCTATTTTGATCAGTATTAGTCAGAAAATGGGTGAACTGAGCCTGTGGTTAAAATATATCAGTAAATAACAAGGGCTATATAGGCCTGGGGAAGGTAGGGTAGGGAAGTAATATGGCTAGCTGGGCCCAGCATGATCACTATATCTATTGAAACCAAGCAAATGAAAATAAGTGAGCTAAAAGGGCAGCCAGAAGACAGTAATAATACATGATAACACTAGTAACAAGCATTTTAGTGCTTACTAAGGGACAGGTAGTGCTCTAAGCACTTTACTTTCTCCAGTAAATCTACAGGGTAATACTGTCATATCCCCATTTATAGATGTGACACTGAGCTATTGGAAGGTTGGGTTTTGCAGCTAATAAGTAACACAGCTGGGATTCAGAACAGCAAGAAAGCTCTGACGCTTTTGAATTTTGGACACTAGAAGAAAAGACTAGAATAGATGTTTACAGCTTCTTTGGACTAGGCCAGACTTGCTGCATCAGAATCATCCAGAAGTCTTTTTAGAAACACCAGTTCTCAAGCCTTATCCCTGGAGGTTGTAACCCAAAAGGTTTTGGTGGTTTCAGAAGTCAGCTTTTAGAAGGCTGCCAAGGTGATTCTGAAAAGCAGCTGCACTCGGGAGCCCCTGAGCCACATAGTTTCCAAGCTAGTGTCCAGGTCACCTCCTTTATTCCCAGTTTGTAATTTAGAAAAGCAGGCTATGAGCTTGAGATTTGCTGAGATTGAAATAATAATTTATTTTAGCGCTGGTTAGTTTCCAGATTTAGAGCCTACAGACTGCATTCTAGTGCTTTCCGTGGAGGCAGTGCAGTGGTGCCTGAGGATCTCACAGGCAGCAGGGCCACTGGCTGACCACTGGATGGCATCCCTGGCCTTCCTTTTCTTGCAAGATTCCTGCTTAGAATTCACAGCTCTTGTTAGAGTGCTCCCATGGCCTCTTGCCAGTGTCTGTTCTTACAACAATGAAATACAATCAGTGGATCCCACCAAGCCCCTTGACCAGCAGGGGTGTGATTTCAGACCCAGGTAGGCCCTGTGTGAATGTACAGAACAGGAACTTTTTAACGTGAAGGGAGGTTTTTCATTTACAAAAATAGCCTCCCCCTATCTCATTCTGGAATATGTTTATAGATTATGCTTTTAGTGATGGAGGATGACAATGCAAAAGAGAAGTCCAGGAGAGGTGATCAAATAAAGATTTTCAGCAATGAAAATCTCTGAACCTATAATGTTCAAATCCTGTCTCCTATAGGAAAATAAAATTTGTTTATATCTGATTTTAGAAGCAATTGTGTTCTGTGAATAAGGATATTTATTTGTTTTTTATTTACTGCCCTCTAGTGGAAACACATTAGAAATTTAATTTACTTAAGATTTTCAAGATAGAGTACGGCCGACTCCAGTAGGGATGTCTCTAAGACACAGAGTTCTGGGAAGTTAAATGAGTTTCTCATTAAAAAGATATTTTGAGACCAGGTCAATTGCTTTTCTCAGACAAACATTAAGCAGAATCTATCATTTAGTTTACATTTTTTACACCATTTATATGATCATAGGTCACAAAAAAGCTTGACCATAGAAAGATTGGACATTGAAATGTGCTTTTTAGAAACATGTATTCATGCTGTCCAGGCTTTTTCATTTCATTTAAATATGTGCTTAGTGAATATGCAGGGGCTTTTAAGTTATGTTGTATTTCTGACCTTTGCTTTTCCCCCTTACTGTTTTCATATTTTATTGAATGTTTAGCTTTCTTACAAAGTCCAAAATACTCTTTCCTGGGCAGCTTTGCTTTACTGGAAGATACTATGCTCCTGCTGGTCTTTCTTTGAGTTTGTCATGCTGACAGGCTGTAATTCTTATTAGAGTTTTGTTAATGTACTAGAAGGAAGGCCAAACCTGATTCTTGGAATTGAACCTCAGTCTTGCCATGGAGATACTTGGCTACATTCTGGATTCAGAGGAAATCTCAGCTCTCAGGACTGCTCCATATATTGGTGGGTACAGAGAGCTGGACAGCTCCCAGGTCTGCTGTCCATGCAACATTTTATAGTCTGCAGTTTCTTTAGTTGATGTTTTCAATTCCAGAATAGCAACAGAGAGAGCACCTAGCAACCAAGGGGAAATATTTAATCCCTCACCTTTTCTCTTCCTTAAAAAAATATTAAATTTTCTTGCCTTACCTTTCCTCTCTCTTTCTATTGCTGGGAATTTTACTTATTGCATTAGACTGCATACACATGCATGCTATAAAAACTAATCTTATTTGCTATCCCCTTAAAAATATAATCAACGACCCCTTTGCAATACCCAACACAATCAAATCACAATACAAACCATCCTATAGATTTCCTAGAGGATAAAGCGTCATTGGTTGTGTGTCTATTTCCTGCTGTGTCTTATTTTAAGCTCCCTGAAGCTGAACACAGTCTCATTTCCATCTTTGCGAGGGTACTAGCTTACCTCGTGTAACGTCTAGATGTGGTCACTTGGATTGCGTCTCTGTAGACATTTCTAGATTAGTGAATATGCAGGGGCTTTTAAATTATGTTGTGTTTCTGACCTTTGCTTTTCCCCCTTACTCTTCTCATATTTTATTAAATTTTTAGCTTTCTTACACAGTCCAAAATACTCTTTCCTGGGCATATTTGCTTTACTGGAAGGTAATATGCTCCTGCTGGTCTTTCTTTGAGTTTGCCATGCTGACAGGCTGTAGCTCTTACTAGAGTTTTGTTAATGCACTAGAAGGAAGGCCAAACCTGATTCTGTCAGATAACATTAGAAAAGCCACAACATTTTGTATCGTAATGGGTATCGTTCAAACGTATTTGAAGGTTCAGAAACTTTGATACCAATTAAATAGAATGCTTGTTGAGGTTCTTGTGCCATGTAAGGTGTAATAGAAGAGACCTTGTATAAGATAATTAACAAGAATTATTGAGCACTTGCTATGAGCCAGACACTGTTCTCACTTAGTTCTCACCACCATCCTTTGAGGCGAGGATGTTGAAAGAAGTTTTACCTTTATTGTGGTTCATGGAAGACATATAATACAGAAAATCAAGACTATCTTGCACAAGGAAAAACGACAATGAACCTCTCGGTTAGATGCCCATGGGGTGCCAGACTGTGGCCCTCCCATCTGTAGGCTTCGACATTTTGAACAAGGAATACCTGAGAGTAGATCTGAAGGTGACTCACATTTGCCATATTTGGGTACAGTTTTATGTACATCTGCACACAATGAATGTCAAGTAATGATTATCTGTTTCACTTTGGCTCACCTGTCACCTTCCTTGAAACGAACTCTATGGGAAGCGGTGGTGCAGTGAGTCTGAGATTAGATCTGGAGGGAGTTTGATGATGTAGAAATGTTAAGGACACTTTGGGTCCCTTCATCCAGCAGGAAGTGAGTCTTACCAACTCTGTCTCTCTCAGACAGTGCTCGAATGAGAACTACAAATGTTTGTTCCTGCTACTCTTCTTTTAATTTCTGTCATACTTACAAGCCTCCTGCTGTTCACATGATCTTTCTTCAATTGTGGTTTAATGGAATTGCTTAGTTTTGTGCTTAACTAAATTAGAATCTCATTTTAACCTCACCTCACCTCCTTCTGATTCTCTCCAATCATTTAAGTTGAATTTTTGGATGTTCCCTGATTCATTGTCACACATTTAGGCAATCTTTGTATCTGTTCCCTGGATGACTGACCATAATTCTCATGTGGGGATTTTGCTATTATTTTTAAACTATCATTGGAAAACTATATTTTTAAATTCTTAGGAGACAACTTGTAGTATATACCACGTACAAACAATAGGACTGTTATGCTATGCTGTTTCCTTTCTCATGTTCTTATTAAAAGATAATGACTCCTTTAAAAAAGAACAGGCTGTATTCAGAGCAGTTTAATACTGCTATGTTCCAGAAACCTGGCAGAATCATTAATAAGGAAACCAGTTGTGTGTAGATTTAAATTAATCAGCAAGCATCTAGCAGCTAGTAACCTAAGGGGAGGGGAAATCTTTCTCCTTGAAAAGAGAAAATATACTCCCTTCTCATTGAGAAAACACACACAAGCACACAAGTGTGTGCACACACACATTTATGGAGAAACGGACATATGGTGTGACCATAATCTTTTCTCCTTCGTGGTTTCTGTCACACTGTATGAAAGAAAAAGTTTAATTCTTTAAAAGATGCACTGCACTCCCAGGAGAATGATTTCCTGAGGGATGGAGCAATCATGCTGGCTTATATTCACCATTGTGAAGAGACTTATTGGATGTCAACTCCAGTAGCACAGGGAGCCACATTCACGGTTCCACGTCAAATTAGGTAAGAACAGAGATGCAGACGTAGGGAAGAGAAAGCATGGAACAGGCTGCAGGCAAATTAGGGCTTTCCTATCACCAAAACCACTGGCAAGGCCCTTTCTTGGAGTCTGGATTGATGATAGCTGAGATTAATTCTAACTCAGAAATTTTGTCTCTCTCTTTAATAAAGGCATATAAAAACCAAGAGCAATGAACAAATGGGAGTTTGACACTTGACAAAGTTGTTTAAGGCTGTAAATGTTTGAATAAATTCCATAAGAGCTAAAAGAGATTTAAAATAAATTGGAAAGCTGTTTATTTTGAGCTAAGCTATCATTAATTGAGAATTGAGGCACCCAATTTACCTCTTTACATTGTGATGTATCATTTAACCATACTACTTCTTTATATTAATGCTTAGTTGTTAATATACTCCAGTTTTTGTTTTGAAGGAATAATTTAGTTGAAAAACATGTGGATATCTCTTTGACATTAGTAATTTGATACTTATGGGAAAATTTTTTACATGAAACAGAAGGACTTCACGCAATGGATAAAACATTGAACCATGTTCCAAGAGCCTGCATTCCAAAACCACCTCTACCCCTTACAAGAAAGTTTACTTGGGACAAATCTTCTTCCTCCTTGAGCCTCAGTTTATCATGAGTAAGACTAGTATAAGGAAAAGACCCCACCTTATCTGAGCCATAAGGTGATTTTAATTATCAAATACAGTTAAATCAATTTAGAAGTGCTAGGGAAGTTAGGAATTACCATAAAAATTTAGTTTTTGTATCTTGAATTTTTGTTTTGTTTTGTTTTTTTTGTTAGTGAATTCATAGCTCTGTTATCACCTCTGTGATCTTAGAGAAGCTGCTTCCATTCAAAGGAGCTTAGTTCTTCCATCCATTAAATAAAAAGACAGGACATGGCGGCCATTTGGTGAGCTCTGGCCGTGAGGCAGGAGACTTGCTAGCTGTGATGTTTACACTGTGCTCCATTGCACCCTAGTTCAGCACTACCTGGAGAAAGACGTTGGTACCCTGTGTTCACTAGAATAGTTCCACCTTTATCTGATTTAATTGGTCTTCTAAATAAACTTTTCTTTACTGAAATTCTTCTCCAGCTAAGCAGAAAAATAATATTTAGGAACCATTGGATTAGATAATCTATTATTTCATTTCACAAGTCCACAGTTGTATTTCTATTATCATTTTTGCCATTGTTGTTAATACTACAGCACAGACATCACCCACACTGGTGGCAGCACATCTGAAGAGCAGTCATAGAACTTGAAAGAAAATGTCAGATCTTGGAAAGCTGGCTTGTTTTGCAAATCTAAATAAGCAGAATGGTAGAAAACATCCCAGGCCTTTATTTAGGTCTGTTTTACTAATCGTGGGCCACTACTTGAGTGAGAAGGTGTGTGTGGATTAGCATGCCCTGACTACTCTGGGTCTGCTGGTGACACGGTCACATTAAAGGAAATAATGCTTTCATTAAGGTACAAGCTCCTTCCTTCCTCAGGTGGCACTGACACATTCTCTAACACTTGCTCCTTTCACTGACTCTGTACGATGCCAATGTCCTGATGCTCCACCTTTTTAAACTAGCAAGACATCTGATCTCTTTTGAAGATATTGACTTACTGGCCAGGCACGGTGGCTCACGCCTGTAATCTCAGCACTCTGGGAGGCTAAAGTGGGTGGATCACTTGAGGCCAGGAGTTTGAGACCAGTCTGATCAACATGGTGGAAACCCATCTGTACTAGAAATACAAAAATTAGCCAGGCGTGGCGGTGGGCACCTATAATTCCACCTGAGACATGAGAAGTGCTTGAGCCTAGGAGGTGGAGGTGGCATTGAGCCGAGTTCGCACCACTGCTCTCCAGCCTGGGTGACAGAGCCAGAGCTAGACTCAGGTTCTCAGATTCTGTCTCAAAAAAAAAAAAAGAAGAAAAGAAAAGAAAAAAGGTACTGACTTATGTTTGTACATTTATAAAACAGAAAAGCTAATTGTGGATAAAATATTCCACAAATAAATGACAAGTTTGTGGATAGAGCCTGGTGGTAAAAGTAGGTAGAAATGTGACAAAAGGAATATTTACATCAAGTCTTATGTGATATGTGATTAATCTCATACCAACTTTCTTAACCAAAAAACAGCTGAGATAAGAGCCTCACGTTTTTAGGGCCATACTTAAACAAAAGCTCACTTTATGTCTCTCTCTCTGTCTCTATACCTATAGATATTTATATATATAGACATCTAGATTCATATATTAATATCTGTAGCTATTTATATGTCTAGATATCTCTATGTGGAGTAGATCTATATATTTAGATAGATATATCTATATGGACCTATACTAGCTCTCTCTATCTCTCTCTCTCTATATATATATGTATGTATATATATCCATACTATATATCCTTATTTATAGAGAGGCAGATAGAAAGGTAGATAGATATAGCTTGGGTTAAAATAATGGCAAGGCTGTTGGGGATTGAAATATATCTACCTATATAAATAAAAGGTAAAACAGTATAAGCTTAAAGAGTAAAACTGAACATATTACTACTCATTTTGGCCATATATTCTCAAACCATCAGCACCATTTCAGGTAGCATTAACTTTTTTCAGGTTAATTTCAGGTTAATTAAAAGATTCTTCAGATTCTTACAGAATCCTCCAAGAGATGTTCAACTTTCAGACGGAGTTCTCTTTTTCCCCTTTAAGGGGGAATTTACCTACATGTGATGTTCCTTGTGGTTTTTTCCTTCAGATTATTGTTCTCCATCATGTTTACTGCTTCTGATCCTCTAATTTCACAAAGTTTTCCTCAGGCTGTTGTAGACAAAAATGACAAGCCTGACACTAATCTTATCAGTAATGATTTAGCTATTGTGTTCATCTGAACCACAAAGAACATAAATACTCTAAACATTTAAACTGCATTTGATTTTTTAAAATATTACTATTCCATACAGTATAGCCCTGTCATACTATATTGAAGGTCTTTAATACAGTTTTAATGCAAAAAGACATTAAACACAAGTTAAAATAATGGCAAAACAGGTGTTGACATTCTCTGGTTTATTATGTTCGAATCACTCTTCTTCAGTCCAGTATAACCTATGAGGCTGACAAGGTAGTTATTTAAAATTACTTCTTAGTGGCTCTTGTCCTAGACTTGCAATATCTATTAAAAATCTTAATGAGGGGATTAAAAACCTTTTTGGCAAAGGTAAATAATACAGACTCTTTTATTAAAATGGATAATCTGAAATGAAATTTGAAGCTGGGATAACAACAGTGAGTAGGCTAGTGATTTAGCTCCTCTAAAAGACAAGCTTCCACCATTTCATTATGGAGTCTAGAAATTTGGCCCTAGACTATTTTTTAAAAAATGGGCCAATTTCATTGCATGGAGGGTTATTGACATATGTATCCCTTTAAGAAAATAACATCTCCTGTGTGCTCTGTGATGAGATTTCACATTAAAATCTTGTTTCTTATGTTGCTAAGGTTTTGAGACTTAATGAACTTGAAGTGCATATTTAAAAAGGTAATTAATGCTCAATAATTTTTATTTTCTTGTTGATTTTATTTTTAAAAAAGATCTTAAACTGCATAGCATGAAAAACAAGGCAGATGCAAGAAAAGCTCTGAATGGAACCAGTTTGAGTCAATATGTGTGTGTGTGAACACATGCACACATATAAAATATACCTATATAAATAGTTTAATACAAATAGAATGATATTTTATATGTTGTTTTTAACTTGATTTGTATCATTATTTTATAGATTCTTCACATGCCAATAAAAAGAATACCACACCATTTTTGTCTTTTACATATTAAATATCCAATAAGTATGTTTTAAAGAAATTTATAGTGGTAGAATATATATTCAGTGGCCTGCATGATTTGACATTGTTATATCTTAAAAGAAAAATAGGAGTGTGTGTAGAATATGTGGCCTCCAATATTCTAGAATACAGGTGTTAAAAATGGACATATGTGTGTTAAATATATAATATGTGTGTGTGTATATATATAATCACTGATATAAATAAAAACTGGTATCTATCTATCTACCTACCTACTTACCTTCTGAAATAGTCATTAGTATGGAAGAATGCTGAAGGATGCTTCAAAAATGTAGAAGGATCATGTGTAATTATATATAATATATATAAATATATATAAAGTTTTTATTAATATCAATGATATATTTAGATTTTTAAAAATCTGATATATATGATATAATTATCATGTATATATTTTATGATTTTTGACTTATATGATTCATATAAAATGATAATATATTTATAAATCACATAAAATGATTTATATGATGCATATAAAATAATAAATTTATGAATCACATAAAATGATTTATATAATTCATATAAAATCCTTCCAAATCTTTGTAGCATCCTTCAGCATTCTTTCATACTAATGACTATTTTGGAATATATTCTCTTCTACAGATCTGGTGGTTAGGTACTTTGAGGACTATCTGAAGATCCAAAATAGATTTCTTGTGGTCTTTGTGGCAATTAGGTAATCAGTAAAGCAGGTTGCATGTGCATACCATCTTATTCTCAGCACTGATTAAGTACTGAAGAGGATATAGAAGATAAAAGACATGATGAGGACCGCCTTGGGTGATCTGTTTATGATAATCAATGTTACCCATTCTTCAGGGCTTAGCTTAGTCATATGTATTGATCCCATTAATCCTATTTTGTTCTTCTAAGACTTCAAACCAGCAATTCTTACCTCCTCTCCATGACTCTGTGATTTGACTTCTGCCTTATCATCCTCACACAACTTGCATTTCAACCACATGAATCTATGTACAGTTTTCTAAAACACAATGTTTTCTCTAAGATTTTTTTTTCCTGGTTTTAATGACTTTCCTAACTCCTCTCTTTCTGGTAAGCTCTTAATTATGCTTCAAAGGTCAGCTCAAATATCATCTCCTTTGGAAAGCCTTCTCAGGACCTCTCTTAGTAAAATTAATCATTTTTTCCTCTTTCCATGTAAAATAGTATAAGCCTGCTTTTTTTTATTAACACTTATGGCAGTGCTGTGATTACTATTTGTTAGTGTTTGTCTCCTCACGTAGAATTCATCTTTCCATTTGTAGCACTGAGTACAGTTTCTGAAAAATAGGAAATACTAATACAACCAACATATGACCAGGTCTCCATGGAGAATCTTTGCTCTTGAAGCCAAACTCTGCATTCATGAAATCTTCAGAAAACATATTTAACTTCAGAAAGCATTAGCAGTAATATACATTTTATAAACGATTTTGGGGAGAAAAGAGGATTAAGGCTTTGTATCAAACACCAAATCACTAACAACTTGATTAAAAACCTTTAGCTTTTTTCTCCCTATTTCTTTCTGTCAGGTTTCTCTTCTGCATCCTCCAATGCAAGGGGCACATCAGAATCTTTAAGTGTGTATAATGGTGTTAGTGTTGGGGGCTGGTGCATGCAAGTTGTATGTCAAATGGATGCAGATTTAAAAAGTGTACAGGGTAAATATCCAGTCTGGTAATTATGCACAGGAATGTGAGACCCTCTATGACCTAATTTCTCCAACTTTCCGGCCACATCTTTTGCAATTCCCTTCCTTGCCTATTCTGTTTGTAGTTTATGGTACATAACAGGACACTTCATGACAGAATTTCCTCACTCATGCACTTTGCTTTTTCAGTAGTGCAGTGTTTCACATCTTTACCTGGATTATCTCAATTCACTCCTCAAATTCTCTAAGAATCCTTACTTAAAATGTTGCAAGTCCTCCTTCTCTGTGCACTAGTGGGAGAAACTGTTCTACAGAAAAGGAGAAGCACATGAGCAAGAAATCAGCATGACAAAGAGTATGTTGTGTGCCATAAATGAAAAAGGAGATTCGCTGAAAAAGGAGGTTCAAATATGGATGTGCTCTCTTTCATACTCCTGTTAGTCTATGAGCTTCTCAAAGGTGGACAGTAAATTATGGGTTTTTGCCTGACATATAATAACTGATTAATAAGTGTGTTGAAATGAACTATATTCTATCCCAAGTAGAATGTAGGCTTTTTCAGAGAGCATAGTTTGCATGTCTTTTAGCATATGCTGTACTGACCACAGTTCATTATTCGACAAATTAATTTTACAATTTCTCATTGTTTTGCTACCAAAAATTACAAACCATACTTACAGAGATAAATCTGTGAATTGAGTTTCCATAATGCAAAACTTATTGGAATAGTTCACAAGAAATTTAACTGTGATGGGTCAATTTAAAATGTGTAGCTTGTTAATGACAATGTTTGTCCTTAGTCTGACCAACTCAAAACTGTTAGTCAGACTAAATTAACTTCATCTTGATGTATTTTGGGATGATTATTTGGAGATCTGGCAGAGATCGTGATATACAATTTGGTGCAATTAGAAAGAAATTTTTTATTTATTCTTATTTCTATTTTATTATTTCTTTGAGACAGTGTCTTGCTCTGTCACTCAGGCTGGAGTGCAGTGGCATGATCATAGCTCACTGCAGCCTCAACCTCCTGGGCTCATATGACCCTCTGGCCTCAGCCTTCGAAGTAGCTGGGACTACAGGCATGTACCACCATGCCTGGCTAAATTTTTCATTTTTAAACCAATAGGAAAGCTGTTTATTCTGTTTGGCTGTAGTGAAATCCTTTAGTCACTTTGAAACTCTGTTGTATTATGTATAAAAATGGAGAATGTACAACTATAACTACATGAACCATATGACTCACTTAGGCTCCATTTAATTTGATACAGACACCATGATTATCTACATTATGGGTTGGTAAACTACATCCAGTGAGATATTTTGGGCTACCACCTGTTTTTTCAAATAGAGTTTTATGAACACTGCCAACCTCATTCTTTACATATTGTCTGTGGCTGCTTTCTTTTTCTTTTTTCCAACTTATTTTAAGCTCAGGGTTACATGTGCAGGATGTGCAGATTTGTTATCTAGGTAAACATGTGCCACGGTGGTTTGCTGCACAGATCATCCTATCACCTAAGTATTAAGCCAAGCATCCATTAGCTATTCTTCCTGATGCTCTCCTTCCTTCCACCTTTCACTTTCCAACAGGCCCCAGTGTGTGTTGTTCCCTATTATGTGTCAATGTGTTTTCATCATTCAGCTCCCGTTTATAAGTGAGAACCTGTGATGTTTGGTTTTCTGTTCCTACATTAGTTTGCTGAGAACAATGGCTTCCACCTCCATCCATGTCCCTGCAAAGGACATAATCTTGTTCCTTTTTATGGCTGCATAGTGTTCCATGGTATCTATTTACCACATTTTCTTTGTCCAGTCTATCATTGATAGACATTTATGTTGATTCCGTGTCTTTTCCATTGTGCATAGTGCTACAGTGAACATACACATATCTGTGTCTTTATAATAGAATGATTTATATTCCTTTGGGTGTATATCTAGTAATGGGATTGCTGGGTCAAACAGTATTCCTGCCTCTAGGTCTTTGAGGAATCGCTACACTGTTTTCCATATGGTTGAACTAATTTACACTTCTACAAACAGTATAAAATCATTTTTTTCTCTGCAACCTCACCAGCATCTTTTTTTTTTAAACTTTTTAATAAAAACCATTCTGAACTGGCATGAGATGGTATCTCATTGTGGTTTTGATTTGCATTTTTCTAATGATCAGTGATGTTGAGCTTTTTTCATATTTTTGTTGGCCACATGTATGTCTTCTTTTGAGAAGTGTCGGTTCACATTCTTTGCCCACTTTTTAATGGGGTTGTTTTTATTTTCTTGTGTATTTGTTTAAGTTCCTTGTAGATGCTGAATATTAGATCTTTGTCAAATAAATAGATTGCAAAAATTTTCTTTCATTCTGTAGGTTGCCTCTTCACTCTGATGATAGTTTCTTTTGCTGTGCCAAAACGCTTTAGTTTATTTAGATCCCATTTGTTAATTTTTGCTTTTGCTGCAATTGCTTTTGCAATTATATTAGTATACTTTAGGTTCTGGGATACATGTGTAGAATGTGCAGGTTTGTTACACAGCTATACATGTGCCATGGTGGTTTGTGGCACCCATCAACCCATCATCTACATTAGGTATTTCTCCTAATACTATCCCTTCCCTAGCCCCCATACCCTGACAGGCCCCAGTGTGTGATGTTCTCCTCCCTGTGTCCGTGTGTTCTCATTGTTCAACTCCCACTTATGAGTGAGAACATGCAGTCTTTGGTTTTCTGTTTCTGTGTTAGTTTGCTGAGAATTATGGTTTCCGATTTCATCCATGTCCCTGCAAAGGACATGAACTCATCCTTTTTTATGACTGCATAGTATTCCATGGTGTATATGTGCCACATTTTCTTCATCCTATTATTGATGGACATTTGGGTTGGTTCCAAGTCTTTGCTATTGTGAATAGTGCCACAATAAACATATGTGTGCATGTGCCTTTACAGCAGCATGATTTATAATCCTTGGGTATATACCCAGTAATGGGATTGCTGGGTCAAATGGTATTTCTGCTTCTAGATCCTTAAGGAATCACCACACTGTTCTCCACAGTGGTTGAACTAATTTACACTCCCACCAACAGTGTAAAAGTGTTCCTATTTCTCCACATCCTCTCCAGCATCTGTTGTTTCCTGACTTTTTAATGATCTCCATTCTAACTGGCATGAGATGGTATCTCACTGTGGTTTTGATTTCCATTTCTCTAATGACCAAATAAACATCTACAGAACTCTCCACCCCAAATCAACAAAATATGCATTCTTCTGAACCCCACATCACACTTATTCTAAAATCAACCACATGATTTTAAGTAAAACACTCCTCAGCAAATGCAAAAGAACAGATATCATAACAGTCTGTTAGATCACAGTGCAATCAAACTAGAACTCAGGGTTAAGAAACTCACTCAAAACCGCACAACTACATGGAACCTGAACAACTTGCTCCTGAATGACTACTGGGTAGATAATGAAATTAAGGCAGAAATAAATAAGTTCTTTGAAAGCAATGAGAACAAAGACACAATGTACCAGAATCTCTCGGACATAAATAAAGCAGTTTTGAGAGGGAAATTTATAGCACTAAATGTCCACAGAAGAAAGCAGGAAAGATCTAAAATCGACATCCTAACCTCACAATTAAAAGAACTAGAGAAGCAAGAGCAAATAAATTCAAAAGCTAGCAGAAGGCAAGAAATAACTAAGATCAGAGCAGAACTGAAGGAGACAGAGGTACAGAAAACCCTTCAAAAAAAATCAGTGAATCAATGAAATGAGTTATTTTGTTGTTGTTTGTTTGTTTTTCATTCACCAGTCAGTTTTATTTACTCACAAAAACAAATCCAAAGCCTGGTGCAGCAGCTCTGAGCTCAGACCTGCCCTGCCCTGTTTTGTAGGCCTGTACTTGAAACACTGAACATGACGTGTCCTTCATTCACCACAGCACTTTAATCCCCACAACAGCCCTGCGAAGTAGGAATCACCACCCTTCCCCCCGACTCATGTTACAGATGGGGAAACCGAGGCACACATTCAACAGAGTGCACATCACATGGGGAGTTCAGGGTTAGCCTGGAGTATGAACACATGTGACTCTTGGTTCTCACCATGGCCCAGTCAGTGGCCCACTTGGCCTCTTCCCCTCCCTTTGGTGGCCCCATCAGCAGCAGCATAAGAATCTAACCCTTCGTTTTGCTGAAAGCCCCTGCAGATGACAGTTTCCTTCCTATCATGTCTGCAGAGCTCCAAGGCTGGGGGTGACATTGAGGCCAAATTCAGCCACAATGTCTCAGCTGTGCCTCTCCTCCAGAGTGAGTGGCCGCCCCAGCATGTCCCTGGCACATGGGTATGCATAACAGACTCCTGTCCCACACCCCTAGCACTTGAACGTGGCCACATCTCCCCAACCACTGAGCCCACACAGCGTGCACAGGTGGGGGAGTTGACTTTAGTGGCATTCCTCCTGTCACACGCATCCATGTGAAGAGACCACCAAACAGGCTTTGTGTGAGCAATAAAGCTTTTTAATCACCTGGGTGCAGGCGGGCTGAGTCTGAAAAGAGAGTCAGCAAAGGGAGATGGGATGGTGCAGTTTTATAGTATTTGGGTAGGTAGTGGAAAATTACAGTTAAAGGAGGTTGTTCTCTTGCGGGCAGTGGCAGGGGTCACAAGGTGCTCAGTGGGGAGCTCTGGAGACTTATTGTCCAGGAGAAGGAATGTCACAGGGTAATGTCATCAGTTAAGGCAAGAACCAGCCATTTTCACTTCTTTTGAGGTTGTTCAGTTGCCTCAGGCCATCTGGATGTATACGTGCAGGCTTGGGCTCAGAGGCTTGACATTCCTGTCTTCTTATATTAATAAGAAAAACAAAACAAAATAGTGGTCAAGTGTTGGAGCAGCAAAAATTTTGGGGGGTGGTATGGAGTGATAATGGGTGATGTTTCTTAGGGCTGCTTCGAGAGGGATTAGGGGTGGCTTGGAAACCTAGTGTGGGAGAGATTAAACTGAAGAAATATTTTGGGGTAAAGGGTGATATTGTGGGGTTGTTAGAAGGAGCATTTGTCATATAGAATGATTGGTGATGGCCTGGATACTGTTTTGTTTGAATTGAGAAACTAAACAGAAGACACAAGGTCTGATTAAGAGAAGGAGAAAAACAGGTATTGAAGGACTAAGAATTGAGAGGACCTAGGACATCCAATTAGAGAATGTCCAAGGGGGTTCAGTGTAATTATTTGTTTGGTTGGTGAGTTTTTGGGCTCTATCCTTGAGTTTTTTTATGTTGTCGTGTAGCAGGCCAGATTGATTTAGGTAAAAACAACACTCTTCATTTAAAAATGTACAGAGTCTTTCTTTTTCAGTAGTGAGTAAGTTGAGGACTATTCCTGTCTTTTTATATTAATAATAATAAAAAACAAAATAGTAGTGAAGTGTTGGTGTCATAAGGGGAATAGGAAGTTGTTCAGCCCTATTTGAAAATTGATTTTGGGGGGTAAAGAAAACTAGTGTACATGTGCCTGTCCAATTGATGGATAGACACATGTAGGTGGAGGAATCACAGAGGAGGAAGAGACCTTTGTAAGGCAAAACTGGAAATGTAAAGTGAAAAGATGAGAGGGAGCACCAAAAGGGCTTGACTGAAGTAATGGGGGCTGTCCCTGAAGCCTTGAGGCAGCACAGCCCAGGTTAAGTTGCTGAGACTGATGGGTCTCAGGGTTAGTCCAAGTGAAAGTGAAGAGAGGCTGGGATGAAGGGTCTAAAGGAATAGTAAAGAAAGCATCTTTGAAACCCTGCACCCAGACTCTTAGGGATTTAGTGAGGGCAGCAACCCTTAGAGGTTGTAATGGGGATTGATGGGGCAACTGGGTAGGGGGGAGGTTCTATTTTTATGGTGTATGAGAAAGCGCATAGTGTGTATGAGTAACCTTTCACTGCTATTCATGGGGCTGGGTATAAGCAAGCAAGAGGAGAGGCTAGGAGAAGAGTTCAAAGAAGAAGGGGAAGGTAGCCAAGGATGGAGTGATATGAAGGGCAAATGTCTTAAAGGAAATGAGAGGTTCTAAGATGTGGGTTAGTAAGGCTTGTAACCTACAAGGTAGAGGTTATGAAAGGATGATAGAATGGGATGAGCCTGTGAGGCTGGAAAGAGGAATTTTTCTTGGTCCAAGAACCATTTGGCTTCTGTGGGAAGAGACTGATACGCGGAAGTTTCAGTGGGAGAGTAGGTGGGAGTGATAGAGGAGAAAGAAAAATACTGGCTGCTTCTTTAGCTGTCTTATCAGCATAATTGTTGCCTTGAGCAATGGGATCTGAGGCCTTTTGATGGCTTTGCAATGAAGGACTCCAGCTTCCTTTGGAAGTAATGCGGCCTTGAGATGAGTTTTTATTAAAGAGGCATTAATGATGGAGGACCCTGGTGTAGTGAGGAAACCTCTTTCAGCCCATATAACAGCATGGTGGTGCAGGATATGGAAAGCATGTTTAGAGTCAGTGTAAATATTGAGTTGGGAAAGGATTTAGGATCTATAGGGTCAGCTAGGTTTCCCTTTCTGAGTTTATATAATGGGTTTTTTTTTAGGATAGCAAAACCAGGTATCCAAAGGCGAAAGTACCCAACCATGCCTAGGAAGGAAAGGAGTTGTTGCTTTGTAGAAGGGGTTGGGGTTTGAGAGATTAGCTGGACATGATCAGCAGGGAGAGCACGTGTGTCTTTATGAAGAATTATGCTGAGATAGGTAATGGATGAGGAAGAAATCTGGGCTTTGGAGGGGGATATGTAATATCTTTTTGAGAATAGATGTTGGAAGAGCAGGAGGGTGTCCTTTTGGGAAGTTTCACAGGGGTCTACAAAGTAGAAGGTCATTAAAATATTGAATAAGGTGAGAAGCAGATGGATGGAAAGAAAGTAAGTTATGAGAAAGGGCTTGACTGAAGTAATGGGGACTGTCCCTGAAGCTTTGCAGCGGTACAGCCCGGGTTAAATTGCTGAGACTGATGGGTGTCAGGGTCAATCCAAGTGAAAGGAACGAGAGGCTGGGATGAAGGGTATAAAGGAATAGTAAAGAAAGCATCTTTGAAATCCAGAATAGAATAATGGGTTGTGGAGGGAAGTATTGAAGATGGGAGAATATATGGATTTGGCACCATGGGGTGGATAGGCAAGATAATTTGGTTGATAAGTCGAATATCCTGGACCAGCCTGTAAGACTTGTCTGGTTTTGGAAAGGTAGGATAGAAAGGTTGTAAGGAGAGTTTGTAGGCCTTAAGAGGCCATGTTGTAACAGGCAGGTGATAACAGGCTTTAACCTTTTTAAAGCCTGCTGTGGGATGGGATATTGGCATTGAGTGGGGCAAGGGTGATTAGGTTTTAATGGGATGATAAAGGGTGCATGATCGCCAAGGAGGGAGTAGAGGTATCCCATACTTGTGGATTAAGGTAGGGAGATACAAGGGGAAGATGCGAAGGAGGCTTTGAACTGGGGAAAAGGGTGGCAATGAGGTGTGACTGTAGCCCAGGAATAGTCAGGGAAGCAGACAATTTAGTTAAAATGCCTCAACCTAATAAGGGAGCTGGGCAGGTGGGGATAACTAAAAAGGAGTGCATAAAAGAATGTTGTCCAAGTTGGCACCAGAGCTGGGGAATTTTAAGAGGTTTAGAAGCCTGACTGTCAATACCCACAGTAGTTGTGGAGGCAAGGGAAAAAGGCCCTTGAAAATAAGGTAATGTGGAGTGGGTAGCCTCCCTATTGATTAAGAAGGGGACAGACTTACCCACCACTGTAAGAGTTACCCAAAGCATCTGTGATAGTCCAGGAGGCTTCTGAGCTGATCAGGCAGTGTCAGTCTTCAGCCACTAAGTGGGAAGGAGTCAGTCAGAGAGCCTTGGGCCAGAGTTCCAGGGGCTCTGGGAGTGGCTGCCGGGTGAGTTGGACAGTCTGATTTCCAGTGGGGTCTTGCACAGATAGGACACAGCTTAGGAGGAATCCCGGGCTGTGGGCATTCCTTGGCCCAGTGGCCAGATTTCCAGCACTTGAAACAAAATCCTTGGGGAAGAGGTCCTGGAGAAATGCCTGGCCACTGCGGTTTAGGTGTTTTGAAGTTCTTGTGTGCTAGAGATGTGGCTGGAGTTTCTCTCACAATGAAAGCAAGTAATTGCAACTCAGAAATACGTTGCCACTTGGCTGCCTCTTCTCTATTATTGTACACCTTGAAGGCGAGGTTAACTAAGTCCTGTTGTAGGGTTTGAGGGCCAGAATCTAATGTTTGGAGCTTTTTCTAATGTCGGGAGCAGATCGGATAATAAAATGCATATTGAGAATAAGACGGCCTTCTGGCCTCTCTGGGTCTAGGGCGGTAAAGCATCTAAGGGTTGTTGCCAAAAGGGCCATGAACTGGGCTGGGTTTTTATATTTGATAAAAAACAGCCTAAATGCTAATTGATTTGGGAGAGGTCGGATAAAGAAAAAGGAGCATTAATCTTGACTATGCCTTCATCTCCAGCCACCTCTGTAAGAGGAAATTGTTGGGCAGGTGGGGGGAGGGCTAGTTGCAGAAAGAAACTGTAAGCCAGAGTGTGAGGAGGGGAGGTGTGTGTGAGGAGGGGAGGTGATAGAAGGATTATAGGGTGGGGGAGTGGAGGCTGAGTAAGAATTGGGACCCGGCGCGTCTTGGTGAGGAGCAGCCTGGGGAGGAGGGGAGAGGTCAGATGGGTCCACAGAAAAGGAGGATTCAAAGGACTCAGAGCTTGGGGTGGAGATTGAAGGAACAGACAGGAGAGAAAGAAAGATTTGGGATGAGTCACATTGGGAGCGGAGATTAGGGAGGGACCGATTTGAAGTTCTTGAAAACACAGGCTAAGGGAGAAGAAGGGGGACTGGAGGATGGAAGGTTGTCCATAATGAAGGAGGTAAGTTTAAAGAGAAAAGTAGAGACACGGAGAAGGGGGTGGTGAGCAGCCCTGGGCTGTAATGTGGGTGAGCAGCCAAAGCAGGCATTCCCGCAATTGACTTGCCACCGAGGAAATGTAGATGAATGATCAAGGCAGGTGTCCTTGTGGTGATCAGACACCAATGGAATGTGGGTGAATGATCAAGGCAGGCATCCCCGTGATGATCAAACACCAAGGGAAGACTGTCTTCCTGAGTCCATGACCAGCGTGGGAGTTTGGGGTCCACAGATAAAATGTGTCTCCTTTGTCTCTACTAGAGAGGAAAAAGAACTGGAATTGGAAGGACAGGGAGACTGAAGGGTAGCGAGAGAGGCTGGAGAAGAGAGTGAAAAGACCACTTACCTGATTTGAAATTGGTGAGATGTTCCTTGGGCTGGTTGGTCTGAGGACCAGAGGTTGTAGGTGGATCTCTTCACAGAGTGAGGGCAAGGACAGGGGACCGGTGTCCCAGAAGAGTCCCCTATCCTGGGTCTTCGTCACCAAATGTCACGCGCGTCTGTATGAAGAGACCACCAAACAGGCTTTGTGTGAGCAATAAAGCTTTTTAATCACCTGGTGCAGGTGGACTGAGTCCAAAAAGAGAATCAGCAAAGGGAGATAGGGGTGGGGCAGTCTTATAAGGTTCAGGTAGGTAGTTGAAAATTACAGTTAAAGACGGTTGTTCTCTTTCGGGCAGTGAGGCGGGGTGGGGGTGGGGGGTTGGTCACACGGTGCTCGGCGGGGAGCTCCGGAGACTTGTTGTCCAGGAGAAGGAATGTCACAAGGTAATGTCATCAGTTAAGGCAGGAACTGGCCATTTTCAACTTTTGTGGTTCTTCAGTTGCCTCAGGCCATCTGGATGTACACGTGCAGGCTTGGACTCAGAGGCCTGACACCTCCAACAACTTATTGTAAAAGAAACAAGGCATTTTATCCTGGGTCGCGACACCCAGCAGCATCCGTTCATACCGCCAAGGGCAGGTAGCTCCGGTGCACAGGGATCCCACTGTGCTTGGTGAAATCCAGAGTCCTGGGATCCAGAGCAGCCCAGGGAGCCCTGGATTCTGGAAAGGATGCAGCAGTGGAGGCAGCGGCGGCAACTCCAGCTCCTAGCCCGGGATCACTCCACACGGTGGCCCCAGCCAGCTCGAAGCAAGCTCATGAGCGACTCCTGTCCTCGTGGTTCCTCACAATCATCTTTTTGTATAGCTTCTGCTGCTCCTCCTTGAACATGTCCTTTACCTTCTCCCTCTTCAGGCCCCCATCCCACAGCAGGTCGACAAGTTCTCCCTGCCTGGCGATGGCGGATTTTATCGTATTCATAAACTGGACGGCATCTTCATCTGCCCCTCTGGTCATGGAAGGCAGGTACCACATGCTGCAGATAATGGCCCAGCTGGTCATCATTCGCAGCAGGTAAGTCATCATCCCTTATTTGCTGCTGTTCCAGAAGGCATTGCCGAATTGATGGTCATACTTGATAGCATCAGGGTAAACTGTGGCTCCAATTTCAAAACTTCCCTTTTTGAACATCATCACCGATGTATTATTGATGCAAATTCCTTCTGGGAAGATGAGGGATAGGCAGCTTGCTTATATCTTGCACTTGTTCAGTCAGTCTCTTAGCCAGCAGGTGGCGATCCTTCACTTCCAAGCGCTCAAACCAGATGTGTGGGCAAGTCTTCACCATGGCTCTCTGAATCAAACCTATGAGTCCCCCATGCATTTGACCCACTGTGGCATAATAGCCATCGCTGGCCAAGATGATCACATCGATTGGCGAGGTATGAAGCAAGTATCCCGCCACAGTCGTGCCCACCACTAGAAGGCTAATCCCTGTCAAGGCCAGCGCTATCCTGCGCAGCAGCAGGAAGCAGTACCAAATCAGCCCTGCTAACCCGCACAGGACCGTGACCTGAAGGGTGATGTACCTGAAGTTATAATTGGTTCTGCTCAGCAGGTTCCAGGTCTCCAGTTCTTCTGCTGAGAATCTCTTTGTCACCTCATCATCCATAATGGTCTCCATTCCTTTCCGGCAAAAGTAGAAAATGTCAGAGAGCTGGAACTCTGGAGTGTTGTCCAGAGCCTTACTACTGCCACTTCAACGAATCTCTTTGATCTCTTCTTCTAGTGAAGTGGGATCCTTTGCAATATTTCTGTTGGTGTAGGGCTTGTAAAGCTGGTGCTGCTTCTTCTTGGCTCTTTGCCAGTAGCTGGTTTTTTGAAAAGATTAACAAAATAGATAGACCACTAGCCAGACCAATAAAAAAGAAAAGAGAGAAGAATCAAATAGATACAATAAAAAAATGATAAAGGGGAGACACCACTGATCCCACAAATACAAACTACCATCAGAGAATATTATAAACACCTCTACATAAATAAACTAGAAAATCTAGAAGAAATGGATATATTTCTGACACATACACCCTCCCAAGACTAGACCAGGAAGAAATTGAATCCTTGAATAGACCAATAAAAAGTTCTGAAATTGAGGCAGTAATTAATAGCCTACCAACCAAAACAAGCCCATGACCAGACAGATTCACAGCTGAATTCTACCAGAGGTACAAAGAAGAGCTGGTACCATTCCTTCTGAAACTATTCCAAGCAATAGAAAAAGAGGGAATCCTCCATAACTCATTTTATGAGGCCAGCATCATCCTGATACCAAAACCTGGCAAAGACACAACAAAAAAAGAAAATTTTAGGCCAATATCCCTGATGAACATAGATGCGAAAATCCTCAATAAAATACTGGCAAAGAGAATCCAGCAGCACATTAAAAAGCTTATCCACAACAATCAAGTTGGCTTCATCCCTGGGATGCAAGGCTGATTCAACATATGCAAATCAATAAATGTAATCCATTACATAAAAAGAATCAATGGCAAAAACCACATGATTATCTCAATAGATGCAGAAAAGGCCTTCGATAAAATTCAACACCCTCTTGCTAAAAACTCTCAATAAACTAGGTATTGACGGAATGTATGTCAAAATAAGAGCTATTTATGACAAACCTACAGCCAATATCATTCTGAGTGGGCAAAAGCTGGAAGCATTCCCTTTTAAAACCAGAACAAGACAAGGATGTCCTCTCTCACCACTCATATTTAACATACTATTGGAAGTTCTGACCAGGATAATCAGCAAAAGAAAGAAATAAAGCGTATTCAAATAGGAAGAGAGGAAGTCAAATTGTCTCTGTTTGCAGATGACAGGATTGCATATTTAAAAAACCGCATCATCTCAGCCCAAAAGCCCTTAAGCTGATAAACAACTTCAGCAAAGTCTCAGGATACAAAATCAATGGCAAAAATCACAAGCATTCCTAAACACCAATAACAGACATACAGAGAGCCAAATCATGAGTGAACTCCCATTTACAATTTCTACAAAGAGAGTAAAATACCTAGGAATACAATTTACAAGGGATGTGAAGGACCTCTTCAAGGAGAACTACAAACCACTGCTCAAGGAAATAAGAGAGAACACAAACAAATGGAAAAACATTCCATGCTTATGGCTAGGAAGAATCAATATTGTGAAAATGGCCATACTGCCCAAAGTAATTGATAGATTCAATTCTATCCCCATCAAGCTACCATTGACTTTCTTCACAGAATTAGAAAACAACTACTTTGAATTTCATATGGAACAAAAAAGAGCCTGCATTGCCAAGACAATCATAAGCAGAAAGAACAAAGCTGGAAGCATCACACTACCTGACTTCAAACTATACTACAAGGCTACAGTAACCAAAACAGCATGGTACTGGTACCAAAACAGATATAGAGACCAATGGAACAGAACAGAGGCCTTAGAAATAATGCCACACATCTACAACCATCTGATCTTTGACAAACCTGATGAAAACAAACAATGGAGAAGGATTCCCTATTTAATAAATGGTGTTGGGAAAACTGGCTAGCCATAAGCAGAAAACTGAAACTGGACCCCTTCCTTCCGCCTTACACAAAAATTAACTGAACATAGATTAAAGACTAAAATGTAAGACCTAAAACCATAAAAACCCCACAAGAAAACCTAGGCAATATCATTCAAGACATAGGCATGGGCAAAGCCTTCATGACTAAAACACCAAAAGCAACGGCAACAAAAGTCAAAATTGACAAATGGGATCTAATTAAACTAAAGAGCTTCTGCACAGCAAAAGAAACTATCATCTGAGTGAACAGGCAACCTATAGAATGGGAGAAAATTTTTGCAAACTATCCATCTGACAAAGGGCTAATATCCAGAATCTACAAAGAACTTAACCAAATTGACAGTAAAAAAAAAAAACCCATCAAAAAGTGGTTGAAGGATATGAAGAGACACTTCTGAAAAGAAGACATTTATGTGGCCAACAAACATATTTTAAAAAGCCTTGATTCTCTTCTAGGGTTTTCATAGTTTTGGGTTTTACATTTAAATCTTTAATCCATCTTGAGTTGTACATGGTGTAAGAAAAGGGTCCAGTTTCAATTTTGTGCATCTGCCTAGCCAGCTTTCCCAGCACTGTTTATTAAATAGAGAATCCTTTCCACATAGCTTGGTTTTATCAGATTTGTCAAAGATTAGATGATTGTAGGTGTGTGGTCTTATTTCTGGGTTCTCTATTCTTTTCCACTGGTCTGTGTGTCTGTTTTCGTGCCAGGACCATGCTGTTTTGGTTATTATTGCCTTGTAGTATAGTCTGAAGTCTGGTAGCTTGATGCCTCCAGCTTTGTTCTTTTCGCTTAGGATTGTCTTGGCTATTTGGGCTCATTTTTGGTTCCATATGAATTAAAAATTTTTTTTTCTAATTCTGTGAAGAATGATAATGGTAATTTAATGGGAATAGCATCAAATCTATAAATTGCTTTGGGCAGTATGGCCATTTTCATGATGTTGATTCTTCCATGATGTTGAACCTCCTGAGCATGGAATGTTTTTCCATTAGTTTGTGTCCTCTCAGATTTCTTTGAGCAGTGGTTTGTAGTTCTCTTTGAAGACGTCCTTCACTTGCCCTGTTAGCTGTATTCCTAGGTATTTTATTCTTTTTGTGGCAATTGTAAATGGAACTTCATTCACAATTTGGCTTTCTGCTTGCATGTTGTTGGTGTATATGAATGCTGTAGATTTTGTATCCTGAGACTTTGCTGAAGGTGCTTATCAGCTTAAGAAAGTTTTGGGCTGAAAGGATGGGTTTTTCTAGATGTAGGATCATGTCATCTGCAAATAAAGACAGTTTGACTTCCTCTCTTCTTATTTCAATATTATTTATTTCTTTTTCTTGCCTGATTGCCCTGGCAAGAACTTCCAATACTGTGTTCAATAGGAGTAGTGAAAGAGGGCATCCTTGTCTCGTGCCAGTTTTCAAGGGCCATGCTTCCAACTTTTGCCTTTTCAGTATAATATTGGCTGTGGGTTTGTCATATATAGCTCTTATTAGTTTGAAGTATGTTCCTTCAATACCTAGCTTATTTAGAGTTTTTAACATGAAGGGATGTTGAATTTTATTGAAGGTATTTTCTGCATCTATTGAGATAGTCATGTGGTTTTTATCTTTAGTACTGTTTAAGTTATGAATCATTTATTGATTTGCATATGTTGAACCAGCCTTGGGGATGAAGCCCACTTGATCATAGTGGTTAAGCTTTTTGATGTCTGGTGGATTTGGTTTGCCAGTATTTTACTGGGGATGTTTGCATCGATGTTCATCAGGGTATTGGCCTGAAGTTTCCTTTTTTTGTTGTATCTTTGCCAAGGTTTGGTCAGGATGATGCTGGTTTCATTGAATGAGTTAGGGAGGCGTCCCTCCTTTTTAATTTTTTGGAATAGTTTTAAGTAGAAATGGTATCAGCAATTTGTACCTCTGGTAGAATTTAGCTGCAAATCTGTCAGGTCCTGGAGTTTTTTTTGTTTGGTAGGCTATTTATGACTGAATGGCTGCTTTCAATAGCAGAGTCGAGTAGTTGCAACAGAGATGCAAAGACAGTATGGCTCACGAAGCCTAAAATATTTATTTTCTGGCCTCTGATCACATTCCATTTTCATGTATAGTGATCAAATACAAAGAATAGGTGTCAAATATTTGCTTGGAGTTTTATAAGGTTTTCCTCTGGTCCACAATGGAAACTAAATATAATAAAGCAAAATAAAATTAATTTTAAAAACAAAATGTTTGATCTGTATAATATTGAATAAGAGAAAATTTTTAGATGATTTTATTTTTATTTCTATCTGAACACTTGTGCACCAATAGCTCTGGGATGCCATGTGACTTGATGTGAAATTTGAAGATCCAATAACAATGTTCCTTATCATTAATAATGAACATAGTCTCTCCTCTTACGCATGATAGCCATTACTTTACTATATTTTTGATTCCTGTTGTATTCTCAGTTGCTTTAGCCCTAAATGCATGGATGATCTCATAGGTAAACTAACAAAACCGAGAGATCCTTTTGCATGTTGGATTATAAATTAGATACAGAACATATCAATTGTGCCTCTTCTCCAAATTAAAATAAGCATGAAGAATACAGAGGAAACAATTAAAAAAATTGAATGCTGAGAAAATGGTTGATATTTATACCCCCAATCAATGACATCATTCAACTAAAATTATAAATCCACAGTCACACAACAAATGTCTGCTATGAGTTATCTCCTTTGGCAGAAGCATTATAGAGCTATTTAAGAGCTTCACTCAGATGCATAATTTGTCTATCTTTGAAAAAGTGTGATATTTATTTTCATTGTATTCTGACAGCCTACTCATATGATTATGCATTATGATTATTCTCCTTTTTGGAGCCTTCTCACACTTTACAAAATTAATGTGGTGTATCCTTCATCACCATTTTCTAAAAATGGAGTATTTTCAATCAATGGATCTAGCCAAACAAATAGCCTTATATTCTTTGACATTTTTTAAATCATGGCAGAATTGAGTGCTTTATTTTTTTCTTTTGATTTAAACAAACAAAACAGAAAAAAAACAAAAAAAAACCTGTCAACAAAAGTAATTAGGATGTCAAAAATAAAAGCTTTATTCATAATCATTACAGAAATGCTGAGGTGTGTTTAATTTAGAAGTCAGATATTTTGAAATGAAAAATCTTAGCATTTTGTGGAAATTCATACTTGCCTTGTGATTTTCCATTTATCTCCTTCCCTCTTGTGTTTGAGTCATAGAAGAACTATATGAGCTATCAGGCATTTCTTTCTGAGGCTTTGTTTTTTTTTTAATTGATTTGCTCTTCTTTTGGGTAAATAGGTCTAGAAATGAAAGGATCTAAGAAAAGAAATATTAGATTCAAGAAAAATACTGTCAAAAACTGAGTTAATATTTGAAATGTATTGCAAGTACAATTTGGAATTGGTCTTAATCCTCCAGTTGTTGCCTCCTGTTCAGCTCTGCCTGGGCAGGCTGGCCTTCGTTTGTTTAGAGACTGGCATGATGGATGAGCTGGTGCTAGGACAATGTGTTTAAGTAAAACCTGGGAGTTCCTGGGTTAGCGAAACACAATTCATGTAAAGCCTTGGGAACATCCAGCAGCTGTATTGCTATTTGCCTTATCAAGGAGACTGATTGAACCAAACCACGTCCAATTTTTATTTTTGAAAGAGGAAAAGAAATAATTTGAGGGCATTCTCCCAAACTTTGAACTTGATTCTCATTCAAGCAGAAAACTTTGAACATCTTTCTAGAAAATAGTAACAGAAACACCTGGAGAATTTATGGTGAGGAATACTCTAGGCTCCAAACTCCTTACAGACTTTCCCATCTGGCCTGAAATGACAAATAGAATTACCTACATTTCACAGGCAAGAAAATAGAAGTAAGGAGAGAATAAATGGTTTGGGCAAATTGGAAAGGAAGGAAATCAAGCTTCAGTTTTCTGGCATTCTTTTATCTGCCCTAGAATAGTAAACTTTCAATTGTTTGAAGATGTTGTTTTGTTTTTGTTTACACAGTCCAGATGCTACAGAATACATACATTTTACAACATCCTCACGTGGACATCTAGTCAGTGGTTAAAAACCTGTAGTGGGGCAACCCACTTAATTTTGGTATGCTTTTGACTATAAGAAGATTCCTCTTCAGATTAACTATGATTTCCCTCTTTTATCTTCCATTCACTTGTTCTAATAATTCTACTTTTTGGAGTCATATGGAACAAATCTAACATCTGTGTTACATCCAAGCCATTCAAATATTTGAAGATAGTAATCATACTCTCTTTGGATTAAAATGTCTTATGTCCTTTGATGTTTCTTCAACAAGTGTGGTTTTAAGGCCCATCCTTACTCTGATCTATCTTGTAGGTTTAGTTTTTTTCTTCTAACTAAAATCCGTTAAAATAATGCAAAGCCTAGAACAAAAATGCAACAATTTAGCTATGATCTGATCATGAAAGAGTTGACATAAATTCCTTCATTCTAGATTGTGTGCTTCTATGAATTTAGCCTAGGCTCACTTTTTTTTTTTTTTTTGAAGCATCACATTACTTAAACTCAGCTTATTGTAAATTAAAATCCTTAAGACCTTATGTATGATGTTGCTGTGTGATATATTACCTCATCTTTTCAGGTAGGGTTGCTTTTCCAGTCTAAAATGCACATACACTTATCTCTGTTCAATTTAATCTTATTAAAACCAATGTTTCAGTTCAGTCTAACAGACATTTTGGAGGCTATTTTGTTTTTATATTTTAGAGGCAGGGACACACTGTGTTGCTTAGGCTGGAGGGCAGTGGCTATGCAGATGTGCAGCCATAGAGCATTGCAGCCTTGAACTCCTGGGCTCAAGGGATCCTCCTGCTATGGTTCGGATATTTGGCCCCTCTAAATATCATGCTGTAATTTGATCTGCACTGTTGAAGGTGGGACTGAATGGGGGGTGTTTGGGTCATAGGGGGAGATCCCACATGGATAGATTAATGCCCTCCCTGGGGAAGGGGGAGTGAGTGGATCTATTAGTTCCCACTAGATTTCCCCTGAGAATTGGTTGTTGAAAAGAGCCTGACCCTCTTCCTTTCTGTCTTGCCATGTGATCTGTATACACCAGCTCTCCTTCTCCTTCTGCTACAAGTGGAAGCAGCCTTAGGCTCTCACCAGAATCAAATGCTGGTTTCATGCTTCTTGTACAGTCAGCAGAACCATGAGCCAAATAAACCTCTTTTCTTTTTAAATCACCCAACCTCAGGTATTCTCTTATAACCATACAAACAGGCTAAAACACTCCCATCTTAGCCTTCTGGGCAGTTCGGACCACAGGCCTGTGCCATCACAGCCAGCTAAATTTTGCAGTTTGGTTGTAATATCTAGCATGCACTTTATCCATTTTGAGCCTTGTCTTATCTGCAAATGTGATGACCATGCCCTCTATGTCACCATCCAAGACTTTGGAAATCATTTTGCATGCTACACAACTAAGGGAAAATGCTCTCCTTCCTAATGTGTATCCTTTGCTTAGTACCATTTTAGTCTGGATATTTAAAAATCGTAATTCTCCATCTAAAATGCCCTTATTTCCGAGTCCAAATCTCTTAATCTTTTGTTAAGGTCATTGTTAGTGACCTCATTAAATCCCTTGCTAAAGTCCAGGCATATTATGCTTATGTTTGCTATGGAAGATTATTCAATCTAATAATTCTTTTTAAGAAAGAAATTAGATGCATCAGCCATAACTTGTTGATAATGAACCTAAATTGAGTCTGGTAGTCCTAACTCTAGTGAAACTTTATGGCGAGTGAAATGCAGTAAAGACTCAGTGAAATGCATTAGTCGTGGCTCAAATATGACCTGAAGCTTTGAGCTTTCATGGATTATTCAACTAACTACTAAAATATTTTATTTTATATGCTTTGAATCAGGAGAAAATTAAGCTAATAATACAAGTATTTTAAAATAATTTCAGGGAGGAGCTCACAAATTTTCTGGGTATTGAAATGCTGTATTCCAATTATCCACAAATATAATATCAAGATCTAGATCAGAATTTCTTCATACTGAAGAGTCACACATCCATTAAGAAAGAACACACTGATTAAGTCTAGGAAATCTATCTCACCCACAAGAAGTTTGTCAAATAATTTTTTGAAAAGAATAAGAGGAAATATATTAATTAGCCAGAGAAGGATTCCTATTGTGTCTGGAGTTGGTTCCTTCCAGTGAGTTCGTCCTCTTGCTGACTTCAAGAATGGAGTTGCAGACCTTCGCAGTGAGTGTTACAGCCCTTAAAGATGGCATGGACCCAAAGAGTGAGCAGCAGCAAGATTTATTGTAGAGAGCAAAAGAACAAAGCTTCCACAGTGTGCAAAGGGACCTGAGCGGGTTGCCGCTGCTGGCTGGGGTGGTCAGCTTTTATTCCCTTTTTTGTCCCCACCCACATCCTACTGATTGGTCCATTTTACAGAATGCTGCTTCTTCCATTTTACAGAGCACTGATTGGTCCATTTTACAGGGTGCTGATTGGTCCATTTTACAAACCTCTAGCAAGCCACAGAGCACTGATTGGTACGTTTTACAATCCTAGCTACAAAGTGCTGATTGGTGCATTTTACAATCCTCTTGTAAGACAGAAAAGTTCTCCAAGTCCCCACCTGACCCAGAAGTCCAGCTGGCTTCACCTCTCACTATTATCATCAGCTTTTACATTTCCAAAGGTATGGGGGGATTATTGTCTTTATTTATTTAGATTTTCTTTGCTTATTTTCCTCTGACTCGGCAGATGATTGCTCTGTTCTAGCAAACATGTACGTCTTGAACTATCAAAGAAAAACAAAGAGCATACGAATTTTGGAACAATTCTTAGATGTCATGAAGTTCAATTTTCATCTAGGTGGCATCTTTCTCTATGATATTCTTGACAGATGGCCAGTCAGTCTTTACCTGAATGCCTGATTGATATAGTTTGTATGTGTGTCCCCACCCACATCTCATATTGAAATGTAATCCCCAATGTTGGAGGTGGGGCCTGGTGGAAGATGATTGGATCATGGGGGCAGATTTCTCATGAATGGCTTAGCACAATCCCCCTTGGTACTATCCTCGCAATAGTAAGTTCTCTTCAGATCTAGTTGTTTAAAAGTGTGTAGCACCTCCTTCTCATGCTCTTATCCCTGCTCTGGTCGTGTAATGTGTCTTCTCCTTCTGCCATGATTGTATGTTTTCTGAGGCCTCCCCAGAAGCTGAGCAGATGCCAGCATCATGCTTCCTGTACACACTGCAGAACTGTGAGCCAATTAAACCTCTTTCACTTATAAATTCCCCCTTCTCAGGTATTTCTTTATTGCAATGCAAGAACAGCCTGATACATTCATGTAACAGGGAACTCATTATCAATAAAGAAACTACTCTAAACATGAAAAAGTTTAAAAGTTTTAAGTATTAAAATGTTTTAAAATAATATTTAGAAAATATACCTTCCCATGGCTTTCAGCTTTTACTCTGGGTCTTGTCTTTTGTGTGAAAATAGAATAAGTGTAGTCTTTCCTCTACCTGGCAGCTCTTCAGATTTTAAAGGTGACTATCTAATTTAAAAAATTGTTTGATATTCGAGTATGAACTGTAGATCTTTTCCCTCTGCCTAGGCCAAGGAAAAGGGAGAAGCAGTGACATGAAACTCCCATGGGAAGGCATAGTCGTAAGGTGGTTAAATTAGAAAACAAAGGACTTGCAATCTACTCTAAGTTCTTACTTTAAATATGATTTGAGAGTCTCTCGTATCTATGCCTCAGCTTCACCATCTGTAAAATGAGACCCATGCTATTTTCCTAAATATAGAAGAATGCTATTGAGATGTAATGAGAGAATAAATGTTAAAGATCTCTGTAAAGAGAGTTGTAAATATAAACACTTAAGACTTTAGAGGAAAAAAATAAGCAACAGAAGAAGTTATATCTGCACCTCTGGTCAGTCATCAGCATTCTCTGTCCCCACTTTTTTTTTTTTTTTTGCTTTCTCAATGCCTGGTACAAAGGATTTGTTTTCTCTGACTCCCTCTTTCCTAACTATGAGTCCTCCCTTATTCTTTTCATCGACGAGTATCCTTCATTCAGTTTTTCTTTGACTGTTGGCCCAGATCCTGAAAGCCCTTCTTTTAATTGCTCTGCTCTTCATCCCCTTATCCCTAATCAACTGTCACATTTTTATTAGGAAAATAATTTTTAAAATTTCAAATCCTAACTACTATTCTGTCTAGTTCTATTCTGCTTCCTTATAATTTCAGTGTTCACAAATACATTAAATCCCTAATTAAAATGAAATAAAATACAAGCTTCTTTTGGGTTTGCCATATATCACCTTATTCTTTCTTCTCTTCAAACCGCTTACTCCTGCTTTATAATCCTTGCTCCAAATCCTCCTTTTATATTACCAAAAAAAAAAAAAAAAAATCAAATACCTAGGCCTCCTCCTGCTAAGACCTTATTTCTAGTTTTTTAGCCTCTGTAACTCCTCAATACCTAGCTCCATTTCCAATTTAAATCAGTCTTTCTATAAGAATAATTCTGCACTCATCTTTTAATCTGCATACTATGAATACAACCAAAGGGGTTTAAAAAATAAAAACCAAAATGCTTTTAGAATTGGTGGAGAGAAGGGACTGTATGTTGGGGATTCTGAATCTTTTTGTTTAAGAAATGCCAAATTTGGGCACTTGGGTGTAACATTTGGGATGACCCCAAGTTATCCAGGTCTTACTTACTATAGTCACTTCAAAGGAAGAAACAAAGGCCAAGGCAAAAAGGAAAAGTGTGTGTCCTAGCAGACAATATATTTTTCCTCCCATAATATCATTACTTGTGATGGTAATCACATTGCTCCGAAAAGAAAACAGATTTCCATTTTATTTTATGGTCCTAATGAATAGATCTCCATTTATGCTGCCACAAAGTCGTTTCAGGGTATGGGCTCTTCTTTTTCAGAGTAGTTAGAATAATGGATGATCTTTTCTGCAATTACTCGGGTGTAATTAAATCTGTGGATTTTGCTGACTACTCTAACAGTTGAGCACTGAAGCTTATTCCTGGAGGTTTATCTATCAATTGAATGGCAACTCTCCTGCCTAGCTATGCCCCTGTAGATGGGTTTATGAATTTATGGTTCATAGTACCCTTTTCAGAACATACTGGGTACAGCTGAGATGAATGAGGAAGGAAAGGGGAAGCGTATTTCTATGGAGATGTACTCTAGTTGTACTTTTCTTATATCTGGGTAAGGCAGAGACCTGAAGAGGTTTTATGTGAGATGAATCTGCTTAGATAGGCTGAAAACAGGTGCCCCTGTAATGGGAAATAGAGCATCTGACTGACAAAAAGCCGCATGATGTAGAAACTTTGTCCCATTCATTTTTGTATAACTGATACCTAGCATGGAGATTGGCATTTAGAAGGTTCTCAATAAGCAATGATTGACCTGAACATGGCCTGGGATAAATCACACTGAAACAGAATCTTGGTCCTTAAGAAATCTAGAGCTAAGGCCAACAAGAATATTTCCCTTCTGACTTTGTCCTGGTGTCTATTTTAACAACCAGATGATTGTTCAACACGTTGATGAACACTATGCAAATATTAAGTTGCATAAATTTAATGTTCAATTTCTATTTTCATAGCATCATAGGATTAGAAGATTTCATGACCCTCTCTATTTGGGTATGAGTGTTCCTACGTGATACTCATAGATGAAGTTTTCTATTGTAGCGTTGAAAACTTCCTTGCATTGATACCCACAGTAGCAGTAAATATTTTTAATAGTTGTACAATTATTCCAAATATCTAATTCAAATCTTTAAATATGCATCAAAGCCATTCTTTTTTTGTTTCTTCTTCCCTCAGTAGAAAATCTTTCTCTTCATATAGAACACCTGCAAATATTTTTTGCTAGAAATTAGACTATTGTCTAAAAGCCTTGTCACTTCTCTCCCCAGCTTCTTGGAGATCAACAACAATCCAAAGGCAGAAGGGAAGATAATTAGAAATTGAGGATGGGAAAGAGGAAGAGAGAAGAAATAATGACTTTCAGAGGACTTTCTCTCCCTTAGAACAAAATGAAAAGGAACACCTAAAATACTCAGCATGTGGTACTTTTGTCTCTGCTTTCTTACCTTGGGCCCTGTGATTCTTATTAAGAATAGTGATTGTCCTATATGTCCAGCTTCCTCTATTTATGAGGTAACAGAATTAATTTCTTCCTCAAGTCCCATTACTGGCATTGCTTTCTTCTTGACCAAAGCTGAGTTCTGCACCAATGCTGAGTCTTCTCATTTTGTAAAATATTTATGGTCATAATCCACAGTCATATAGGATAGTGGTCCTATAAGATTACAATACTGTATTTTTACTATACCTTTTCTATGTTTAGTTTTGTTTAGATATACAAATACTTACCATTATGTTACAGTTGCCTATAGTATTCAGGACAGTAGCATGCCATGCAAGTTTGTAGCCTAGGAGCAATAGGCTACACTATATAGCCTAGGTGAATTGTAGGCTATGCCGTCTAGTTTTGTGTAAATGTACTCTTTGATGTTGCCTCAATGATGATGTCACCTAACAGTGCATTTATCAGAAGTGCCCCCATCAATACACATGACTGTATTTGGTCTTCTTCCTAATTTCCTGATATATGACTACTAAAACCTTAAAATCTCCTAAGTTATAAGAGCGTCTTTTTTATGCTAATGATATGACTGGTGGCTGGAGACCCCTAGATAGCTTCAGGATGGGAGCTGGTCACCAGAAAGACCAAGGGTTGATTAGAGAGAGTTGGGGCTTTCAACCCCACCCTCCAATTTCCAGGGAGAGGAGGGAGGCTATAGGTCACATTGATCACCAATGGCAAATAATTTGATCAATCATGTCTACATAATGAAACCTCCTTAAAAACTCAAAAGAAGAGAGCTCAGAGAGCTTCCATATAGCTTTACAATGGAGGTTCCTGAAGGGTAGTGCACCAGGAGAGGACGTGGAAACTGCACCCTTTCTCCCATACCTTACCCTAGGCACCTCCTTCATCTGGCAATTCATCTGTATCCTTTGTAATATGCTTTATAATAAATGGAGTAACATAAGTAAGTGTTTCCCCGAGTTCTGTGAGCTGTTCTTACAAATTAATTGAACCCAAGGAGGGAGTTATGGGAACCCCAATTTCTAGCCAGTCAGTCGGAAGCACAGGCCACGACCTGTGCTTGCAATTGGCATCAGAAGTTGGGGGCAGTGTTGTGGGACTGAGCTCTCAACCTGTAGGATCTGACGCTATCTCCAGGTAAATAGTGTCAGGATGGAATTAAATTACAGGATCCTAGCTGGTGTGCACTGCACAATTGTTTGCTTGGTGTTTGGGGAAAAAATCCCCACACATGTAGTCACAGAAGCATTCTGTGTTGAAAGAGTGTAGTAGGAGAAACAGTTTGTTTTTTCCACTCATACATAAATAGTCTAAAATAGGACAGAGAACACTAGAAGTGTGCTTCCACATTACTACAACATATACATCTTGACCACTGGCTTATCTCCAGTTGTTATCTTGCCAATTTCCAATCGCTTACTGATTTTCTATTACTGAGTAGAACTCAGTAGACAAAAGTGACTATTCTTCAATTTGATTCATTTTTAAGGATTAAATTTTAACTCTCTTTCACGTTTTTGCCATGGTGATCTAAGAATTTGACAAAATTTAGAAATAGCACTTGCTTGCTCCAATAATGAGTTCTCAAGAGAAAGCCAACTTGTTCTTTCTTTGCTGGGCTTAATATCTATTCCTAGGTTACTTATGAAAGAGTAATGAAAGTAAAGACTATGGATGAGATATTTTATTGGCTATTCTCAGGTTTCATTTTGAGGTAAGTAAGTAGAAATCGAGTAAGGCAAATAATAGAGAAAATTTGAGCTTTGTGCCAGGAGAGACTTCTTTCTTAGTACCAGTTAGCTGCATTTTCTTTTTTCATCCCTTCTGGAAGGTATGAGTTTAAGTAGGTGTCTGACAAGCCTCTTTGGTAAGATCCTTCTTTTAGTTCAAAATTTATAGAAGTAATCATAACTTTTTATTGTCCCTACATTACAGTGGAAATATGGGAAAGGTCCAGAAAAGTACTGCTATCGAAAGAACCATGATATAGCAAAGTGAGGGCATGGTAGACCAAAGTGAGGCTATTTACAGATGGTACTATGGGTGCAAATGTTATTGGTGACCAAGTGTAGTCTCTGGGGCTGGGGTTCTCAAAGCATGGTGCTTGGGTCAGCAGCATTAGCAACTCCAGGGAGATTATTCAAAATACAAATCCCTTTTCCTGTCCTAAAAATACTGTCCCAGTAACTCTGAGGGTAAGGTAATTCTGATGTGAGCTTAAGTTTGAGAACCACTGGTCTGGTGCAAGAAAGAGTTTTTGCATCATGTAGATTTCAATAACATCTCATCACTTGCAGTGTACACAAGCTTGAGTAGATAACAAGACCTCTGGATCCTCAGTTTTGTTATCAATGAAAGGGGATAATAACACCTCCTTTTTAGAGTTGTTGTGATGATTATAGAGCCAGGGAAAGATACCATGTTATTTAGTGCTTCTTGTATACCAAACATTGTTGAAAAGATTTTATGAGGAATGACTTTTATTCTTCAAAACAACCTGATGAGACAGTACATTTTACAGCTGAGGAAATGGAGACAGAGAGGTTAAATAACTTGCCCAAGCTCACACAGCAAGTGAGTGTCAGAGCCAGATGTGAACAAATTAGAATTAGAACCTTTGCTCATGACCACCTGCCATTTATAAGGTGCCTGACGCATAGTAGGAAATGTTAATTCTCTTTCCTACTTTATTCTCTTGGGATGTCATGATATGATCTATGGAAAATTATTACTTACTGATTCAGTCTGGTTATACTAATAGGAAAAATTAACTTTAATTTAGTACAAATTGAAAATCAAATCAGTGGAGATTCAAATTAAGGCTTACAATATGGGTAATTCCTGGACATTTGAGAAACCAGTATTAGTCTTAGTCTTATTCTTGCAATCTTGACCATTTCTTTCTCTTTCCCTCTTTCTCCTACATGAGTTTAACGTAGAAAAATTAGCAAGCTAAGTCACTGGTTGTCAAACTTCTTGGCTCAAGGTCCCCTTTACACTCGTACAAATTATTGAAAATCCAAAGAATTTTGTTTATATGGGTTGTGTCAATCAATATTTACAGTATTAGAAATTAAAATGGAAATTGTTAAAATGCTTAATTTATTTAAAACTAAATTACATGCTAACATAAATAACATATTTTTATGAAAAAAATCATATTTCCAAAACGAAACCATTATCGAGAAGTGTGGTATTTTTCTAATTATTAAAAATATGTTGAAAGAGTGGCTAATAGAAGACAACTGGATTCTCACACTTCTGCATTCTATCTGTTGCATTATCATGCCAGGTAGCCTCTGGAAAACTCCTCTGTATACTCACAGGAAAATGTTAGTGAATGGAAAATGATTTCCTAGTATTATTACAAAAATAGTTTTGACCTCACAGACCCTCTGAAGGGACCAGGGGTCATTGGGTCATATTCTGAGAACTCTCTGGGCTAGCTGATAGTCGAATAGAGGTACACAGTTAATCCAGAAATCTCATGCTCTAAGGCTTTCTCTTTCCTCTTAATAACAATTTTTTGGTTACTGATTTATCGACCAAGAATTAATCAAAGTGAATTCATTTATATGGAACTATGCCAGAAGCCCCAAGAGTAAGATATATGATAATGTATGTAGCACAACAATTGTAAAATAAACTTTATTTTGATTAACTTATTATTAACTTTGACAGCTGAGCAAAACCATTTTTAGCACCAATAGAAATAGAGCAGAAATAAGATAGTGGGAAAGTGGATAGGTGAGCTTCCATGACAAGAAATAGAACTCTATTTGTGTGTTTTTATTGCTCACAAGTGGTTTAGAATGCCTGAAAAATACACTGTGTCTGCAGCATCTACTTGTGTTAGGAGATATGTAAAAGTTTAGCAATCCTCTCTCTTATTTAACAATGTGTGCTTGAAATTGAATTTAAGGAATATCTGAAGTTTGCTAATAGTAAAATAGATCTACTACAAAGAGTAATTATTTCAGTGTCAATCTTTTGATAAATAGGCAGCATCCCTTAAGTTTCTGGGGAGTTTATTTCTAGTCAACAGGGATAGTGTGGAATAAGGATGACGTGATTAAAGTGAAAGAAACATTTAGTAACATTTATTTTATATCAAAGCAGTTCACAACAATTATTCTTTTACTTATTGCTTCAAATAACCAGGAATTGCACTGCTAAGAAAAAACTTTAAATAAATGCACTATAGGATCTCTGTTCTTTTATTTGCTGAGTTCCTTAAACTTCATGCTTTACATATGAATGTGACATGCTTATCAACCTCAGTTTTGATGTTCTTAAGAAAGATAGAATACACTGGGTATAGTGGCTCATGCCAGCACTTTGGGAGGCCGAGGCAGGTGAATCATCTGAGGTCAGGAGTTCAAGACCAGCCTGGTCAACATGGTAAAACCCTGTCTCTACCAAAAATACAAAAATTAGCTGGGCGTGGTGGCACACACCTGTAATCTCAGCTACTCAGGAGGCTGAGTGAGGCAGGAGAATCTCTTGAACCTGGGAGGCGAAGGTTGCAGTGAGTTGAGATCACACTGTACTCCAACTTGGACAAAAGAGCGAGACTCTGTGTCAAAAAGAAAAAAAAAGATAGAATACGGTTTTCTATATATGGACGGAAAAAGTTCAAATACTCTGTACTATAAATATGTATATACATGATATCCTAATTCAATTTCAGTGGCACTATAGAATGTGGTAAAATCGCAATAGGTTAAACAGGATGACTCATGCTATAATAATGCATAGTTTAGCCAGAAGGGATACATAAAATATATACAATAAACATAATAAACATAATGTTTACTATACTATAGATTATATTTGGCATGTTTGCTCTGTATTTTAAAAGCGTATCTGAAATTTTATATCATCTCCAACAGATGGGAAATAAACAGTAACAGGAGTTGTTAATTTTTTTTATTATACATTGGGAGAAAGAGTAATAATGCTTGGAAAAACATATTGAGGCTAAAAAACTAAATAAAATGTTTTTAAAACCCATTTTAAAATCTTGTGGGGGAAAGGAATAAAAAGTAAGTTGAAATGCTTCAACATCTGTTATCAGTAATGGCAGCCCTAAAAGTCAGTTTCTGTTAGGTAAGAAAAACACTTTTTGGTTAAAATATAGCCAGCTGGCCTTTGAGATACTGGGGACAGGTATTTGTGAAGTAGATGAATTAAAGCAGAAGGAAACTATAGAACTCAAGTGAGAGGCAAATTAGAACGAAGTTGAAGACTCATTTAAATACTGGTTTAGATCTGAAAGCAAAGGGTAATACACGCACACAGATACACACATACATATTATCTTTTGTAAGCAGGGCATTTTGAGACATATTTGGTGCTGCTTTAGGTCTTGACAAAACCATGTGAGGAATACTTTCATCTTGTCACCTTTGTTCATCAGTATAGTTCAAGCTTTCACCCTCTCCCTGATTTTTGCTTCCTCCTAACTGGTATACCAGAAGCACGTCTTTTCCAACTGTGCATAACCCTCCATATTTCCTCCACAATAATTCTCTTAAAAATATATATGGTGAGCTGGACATGGTGGCTCACTCCTATAATCCCAGTACTGTGGGAGGCCGAGGTCGGCGGATTACTTGAGTTCAGGAGTTCGAGACCAACCTGGCCAACATGGCAAAACCCTGTCTCTACTAAAAATACAAAAATTAGCTGGGCGTGGTAGATAGAGCACCTGTAATCCCAGCTACATGGGAGGCTGAGGTAGGAGAATCACTTGAATCTGAGAGGTGGAGGTTGCAGTTAGCCAAGACTGAAACCACTGCACTCCAGCCTGGGAGACGGAGAAAGACTTCACCTAAAAAAAAAAAAAAAAAAAAAAAAAAAAAAAAAAAAAAAAAGATATAGTCATGTCATCCCCAAGTTTACAAGCCTTTGTTGGCCCTGGTTGCTCACAATCTACACTCAAGCATGGCATGTATGGATCTTCAATTCTCTGACCCAACACATTTCTCCAGCCTCCTCGACCACCCTCACTGCATCGGCCTATAACCTCCAAGCTATAGTCACCATGCCTTCTACTCTTTTCCACATACTGAGCACTTTTCAATTGTTCTGTATTCTGTACATGCTCTTCCTCCAGCCTGGAGAGATATGCTCCTCTTGAACTTCTCTATTTATGGAGGTTCTGCTCATCCCATAGATATTGATCCAGTATTTCTTCCCTTGAAAATTATCTCCAGGCTGCTCAGGAAGAGTTCCTCTACCTCAGTCTTATCTTAACAAGAACAGTCTATTCACAAATTTATGGAGGTATTTATTACATAATGTATTTATTACATGTTTACAGTTGTCCCTGGGTTGTGGGCTCCTTCTGGATAGAGTCTCGTATTTTCATCGCTATAGCCCTAAGAAGGATATTTTATTGGTGATTGGGAAATATTGACTGATGGTAAGATTAGCTGGTGAGATCTCTGAAATACCTTTAACAGTCATGGAAGTTTACCATTCCACAAATGGAAATGAAGCTTGGAATGTTAATCTCCATGATATAGAATAACTCAGGTGGTAGTGGTGGTTGTCAGATTAAATTGAAAGCAAAGGCCAAATAGCCTTCTTCTGAAAACTTCAAGAAGAAAGAGAGAAGCAAGCATACCTGGGAGAAAGAATGGCAGCAGAGTGGGGAAATTCTACAGAAAAGGGAGGCTGAAGACAAGCAAAGTATGAGAAAGACCTCTTGGTTCACATTAGATTTCCTTCTTCCCTGAAGGGCAATCTGATAGAACCTTTAGAATTGAAGGGGAAGCATTTCATTCATAAATTGTGCTTCAAACTGTTAAATGTTTTGTTTTTGCAAAAGATGATAGACCTGGCAAAGAATTAATGCCATTTTAGAGAAAGGTGATAAGAATAGATAACTCCAATCTCTTGTTTCATCAGTGAATACAAAACCCAGGGAGGGTTATTGAAGGCAGATAGGAGAGACTTCTGTTTGCAGAAGTCTTCTCTGGGTTTGGTCAGTGGCTCCTGCTTGGCCCATGTTGCCTTCTGTGGGACCACAGAAAGCAAAGAGCCTGACCTGTAGTCTTAGGATTTGAAAAAGCCTCACCACCTCCCACTTTCAGGGGCTGGCTGATGAAATTGTGGGTTAAAGGTTGTAGTGTCTTTAATCCCCTTCAGGCTTTCTAGCCCACCCTCTTAGTCTTTAAGCTCCCACCTTCATTGTTCTCTCTTTCCCCAAGGTTAGAAGGTCTAGCTCTACCTGCACTTGACCAAGCTAATCAATTAAGATATTAGAGATCCAGTGTGCTAAATCTCATTCCCCTCAAATCAGTTAATCTTTCTCAAACCAGATGCATTGGGAAGAAAACTGTGAGCAGAGAGGTATAAAGTACTCATAACGGGCTTTCAAGCATTAATTGGATGAAGAATTTGCCCTTCCATTATGCCATGTGGGTAGTGGCTTATGTTGTCTGTGTATAAGGCTGACCTCGCCCATTATCTTTACATTGTCTTGGTGTATAGTTCACATGAGTACTGAAAATAATAAAAAACATGTTTGCATGTGGAAAAATACTGAATGGAACAAGCTAAAGTAAAATGTAATCCAGTCTTATACATCCAGGCTAATGGGATTCTACTTAACTAGGGTGAAAAGGGAGAGCATGTGGATGACTCTGTCAACACAACGGGGACAGAAGTTGGCTGACCTTGGCATATATGAGAGCCTCCTGAGCAGCCAGGGGGATAGAGCAGGGGCTTCTGCCCGCAGCCCTCTTCTCACTGAGGCCTTAATGAAGCTCAGAGCTGCTCAGCTCTGCACAACCAATTGAGCTGTGCCTCTCCCACCGCTAATTCCTAAGAATGTTGGAAAGGTAGCTGGGGAAGCAATTAGAGAAGAAAAAAAAAATTCAGTCTTGTTGCTTTTTGTACAAAATCAGGGTTTTGTTGTTTCTGTTGTTTTTTTCTGGCACAGACCAAAGGAAATAAAGCAGTTCAAGACTTTTATGTCAAATTGTTGCTTTCAAATTGCCAGAGGAGAAAATAAAACACAGATAAAAGAGCATGCACACACACATACCCCAGACACATATATTTCAAATTACAGATTTGCATACCTTTTCATTTTGTTTTCCATCATGTCAGATTAATTCATTTTAATTTAACAAATATTGAGCATCTTCTATGTGCAAAACACTAAGTTGAGTTGTAGGTGTGAAAAGAAAAGAAATTAGGCTTACATTTCAAAACATCAGCATCTAATAGGAGAAAGAGCCATAGATAAGAATCTCAGATACAAAGATTTAGCATTTATCATAATAATAACTATGATAAGAAAGTAATTATCACATGTTTTGAGCTCATCTTATATTTTCTTGGCCCCACCTCTTCCCAGCCACTTTTGCAGGGACTCGTTCTGTACTGGTTTTAGTCTGCTTTGCACAGGGCCAATCTGATGGTGCCTCACTTTGGCCTCTGCTTCTTGCTTCATGTCCAGAGTCTTATCTGAAGCAATTGTGTAAAACACCTGCAGGAAGCTGCTCAACTCATGCTTTAGCAACCTGGAAATGTGGGGGAATTTAGTTGATGCAGTAGAAGGCATTGTATATCTCTGATCATTCAAGAATACGAGCTAATGGATAAATGTTTCCTCTTGTCATCACCTGGAACACCATTCTAAGGCAGATCTCATAATGTTTTCCTGAAGGTCCCCTGCAAAGCATCCCCAGTCAATTGCAGTGGCAAAGAATCCTAGTATTACCTTTCCATCCTCCCTGTATTCCTGCTTCCTAGGATTACCTCCCAAATAATGTACCTGCACATGGGTGGGCCTTTGCTTCAGGCTGTCCTTTCAGGTGAACCCAGACCAATAAAAATAATAGTAATTAGTATTTTTGAGTATTTACAATGCATCAAACATTACATTGAGCACTCTATATGTAATATCTCAATTGATTCTTCCCAGATATTTATTAAAGTAGAAAGAGGTATTACTTTTCTCATTTTACAAACGAACAGTTAAAAAAACTTCAGTAACCTGTCCAAGGTCATATTGTTGGTGACAGTGCCAAAATTTAAGTGTAGGTTTGTTTAACATTAAGGTCCAAACTCTCCCAGCAACCACACAAAGCTTAAAGGTGTATGGTTGGTGTGGTGGCCATTGCGTGCTCCAACATCTCTTCCATTTCTCTGTGTATAGCCATGTGGGAGTTGGCCTTGCCTTCCTTCCCCCACAACTTCAGAAGTGACCTTTGGTTGGTCTAAACCTGATTAATGTTTAGTGATTGTGTTAGACATGTCAGGCATCTCCCCATTTAGAGCACTACATTTCCCAGGCCACAGTGATTGGTTCATGTAGGAGCATATGACTCAAGATGTTTCCATTAGAGGTGGTTAACTGCTTAACACTGGAGTTCTCAGAGGTCGGTCCTTGGATCTCTTCTGTATCTATACTCATTCACTTGGTGACCTCATGCAGTCTCATGTCTTTAAATACCATTTATATATCACAGTCTCCAAAGGTTTATATCCAGTGCAGACCTCTTCTTGGAACTCTATACTTAAAAGTATAGTTATTCATCACATAGCAATGGGGATACATTGTGAGAAATGCATCATTAGGTAATTTTGTCATTGTATGAACATCACAGAGGTACTTACACAAACCTAGATGGTATAGCCTACTACACACCTAGGCTATACGGTATAGCCTACTACACACCTAGGCTATACGGTATAGCCTATTGCTCCAAGTCTTGCATGTTACTGTACTGACACTGTAGGCCATTGTAACACAATAGTAAGTATTTGCATATCTAAACATAGAAAAAGTACTATAAAAATAGGGTATTGTAATCTTATGGGACCACTTTCATATATTTTGTCCATCATTGACCAAAACATTATGCAGCTCATGACTGTTTATCAATTACCTCTTAGATGCTTCCACTTGCATATCTAATAGGTGTGTAAAATTTAACACGTCTAAAAGTGAACTCTGGATCTCCTTTTATCTCATCTCAGTTAATGCTAATTCCTACCTTCCAGTAGCTCAGGCAGAAACTTCAGAGACATCCTTTACTTTGCCCTTTTGCTCACACCTCCTGTTGTTCATTCACAAATGATTGGCTCTGCCTTTAAAGTGTTGGCAGAATCTGACCATGCCTGTACTTTACTGCCTCCAGGCATTCAGGCCAGCACACCTTAAGCCTGGATTCTTACACCTGGCTTTTCTGCACTCCCATGACCTCCCTCTCCCCTACTCCTAATTTAACACTTACCTGCTTTAACACTTTTTTTTTTCACCTTTGGAAAATGCTTCCATTACTCACAGAGAACTAGGTGGTTATAAATTCAAGGCTGTTGGCTATGAATATCCATGATCAGCATTTCGATTAGGCCTTTGGGGCAATGTAGTTTTTGGTGATTGTTAAAACGCTCTGGAGGCTTACAGAGCAATATTTTAAATAACATCTGCGACAGGAAAAGGGGGGTGCTGTTACTTTCTTGAATTAACTCATAGCTGGAGAGGTCAAGTCATTTCTTGGGACAATTTTTATGTCTTCACCTGTAACTTGGGTACCTTAATACAGGGAAAGAGCTTCAGGCCAGTAGTCAGGAGAGCTGGTATTAGTTCTGCCTAATTAGCTTTTTCCCTTAGATAAGTCACTTATGTTTTTTGAGGTAAAATCCCCTCGTGTATAAAATGGGATAGATAATACTTGCTTACCTGCCTCACAAGGCTATATATCATTTTATATCAGTTTAAAATAATATAATTTATCAATGATAGGTTTTTAACATTTCCCGTGAAATCCTGTTAAAAGATGTATGTGAATTCTCATCTCTCATCTACCCCGAATTGTATGTAAAATTGTGTGTGTGTATGTATATAATACATTGTTTCTTTTTTCTGAAAATAAGGTCTATAGCTTTCATCACCTTCCCAAAGGGATCATGACCTAAGAAAGATCAAAGTATTTTGGCAGAGGTGCTTTGTAAACTGTAAAGTACTATTCAATAAAAAGACCATCTATTGGACTAATTCTTACCCTCAAATGTCCTAAAAGACTTAATTATATGTAAAGACAGGAATTTTTTAGTAAAAAATGGTGACCTTGGCCTTTAGAAATCAGTGATGAATCAACAAGCTTTATGTGTCTATAGCTCCTTAGCAAGATTGGTAAACATGGCTTTCCATACAATTGTCTAGCATATAGAGTTCAGCAATCTTGATACTGCCGTAATCGAGACCTGACTATGAAATTTTGATGGAGGATGACGTAGCTACCACTAAAATATCTGAATAGCTCTCACTGCAATTCTCCAGACACAATAGGTTACTACATTGAAAATTTCCTTCCAATATACACCCTCCCTCCATTTCTTCCTTCCTTCCCCCTGATGTGGTTTGGGTTTCTGTCCCTGCCCAAATCTCGAATTGTAATCCAGTGTTGGAGATGGGGTTTGTGGAAGTTGACTGGATCATGGGGGTAGATTTTCCCCTTTGGTGCTAGTCTCATGATAGAATTCTCACATGATCTGGTTGTTTAAAAGTGTGTATAGCACCTTCCCTGTTTCTTCCTCCTGCTCCAGCCATGTGAAATGCTGGCTCCCCCTTCACCTTCTGCCATAATTGTAAGTTTCCTGAGGCCTCCCCAGAAGCTGAGCAGATGCCTCCATGTTTGCTATACAGCCTGTGGAACTGTGAGCTAATTAAACCTCTTTGCTTTATAAATTACCCAGTCTCAGGTATTTCTTTATAGCCATGCGATAACAGACTAACACACTTCCTCGCTCCCTCCTTCTCTCCTTCCCCTTCCTTCCTCCCTCCCTCCCTCCCTTCCTTCTGTCCTTCCTTCCTTTCCTCCCCAGGCATTTACTGAATACTCAGAAAGACTTGAACAGCACCATGTTGACATCACTTCCTCCAAGTGACTTGTCCTGTGAGTTTGGAAAGGGAACACCCTTGTCCTAGGAAATAAGTTCAGGACTAGGAGACTGAAGCATGTCTGGGGGCCCAGGTCTGCTATTAAAATCACTTTGTGACCCTCTGTCGGTCACTTAACCTGCTGTGCTGCTATTTGCTCATCTGTAAAATTGCTCTCCCTCTTGGGCTTATTGTGAGGATAAAAGAAAATAATAGGTGCCAAAGTGCACTGAATGGTAAGAGTCTAATACTAAATCAAGTATTATCATTTTAGAAGTTTATCCCTGAGTAGTGCTGACACTGACATATGGAAGTTAAAGCTGCAGTTAGGGGTCTGCTTCATCTTTAATCCACCAATAATAAAGCATTCTCCAAGCAATGACCCAATTTCAAGTGCCCTATGGTTATTTGCAACTTTTTCTTCTTATTTTTGGTATAAGTATAGTAGCTTAAAATTTTTGAGGACAAATCCAATATCAACTAGTCTGCAGTATTGCATCTTTAAGTATGCATTCAAAAAATGTACCAATAAAGCTATTAGGAGCCTTATTACTGGGTTTAGGTCTGTGTGATGGTTTTGTTTAGTTCAACAAATCTTTACTAAGGCCTGTTATGTGACAGATGCTGGGGATACAGAGATGGATAAAGCATATCCAAAACCTGAAGGAGCTAACTGCCTGGTAAGAAAAGACAATTAAGAAAATGTGTTCTAAGCAATGGGGGGATATAATTAAAGCATCTCTCCTTTAGTAAACAAACATTACATGCTAGGCATAGTGCTAGAACTTTTCATAAGTTATTATTTTTATACATTCCAATAAAATAATGAGATAGGTAATTTTACATTCATTTTCAAATGAGGCCTTTGAAACCTCAGAAATGTTGAGTAACTTGGTCAAGATCTCACAGCTAATTGGTTTTGGCAGGATACAATTTGGCCTCCTGACTTATAGATGCTACAAGGAAACAGAGGAAATCCCCCAAGGAGGACCAGAAAAGCAACTAAAGAACTGCACTGAAGTTTAAATTGAACAATGCACTTGTCTAGTGCTGAGGGTTGGGACAGATTTTCTTTAATAGATGCAGTGGTATTACATCTTGATTTTGGAAAACAAACTAAATATTGATCAAAAAAGCTGTATCATCATCTTGATATTTCTAAGACACAAGCAGATATAGGTAACTCTAAAATTTTCATAAACAAAATCTCAGATGTTTAAAATAAAAAATAAAATGACTTTTTTCATGAAAACCGTACATTTGGTAAACCAAACTAATCAAGCATTCACTGAATGAGTAGGCGCCTATTATATATTCTATTCTGACCATAAAATTAACAAAGACCAGTTCAGGCTAGCACTGTCATTTGTGTATTTCTTGCATTTACAATATTCTTTACTGACAGTTTTGAGACTTGGGTAAATCAGAGATGTTTCCTTAGTCTCCCGATAATTACATATTCCCAAAACTCCGCAGTGAGAAGTGAGAACTTCATTGCTTTACCTGATATCTTTACACTTTATTGTCATAAATGCACTTTGAAAATAATAAGCTTTTAAATCAGGAATTGGCAAACAATGACTCATGGGTGAAATCTGGACTGTGACTTATTTTTGTATGGCCTGCTAGAGCTAAGGGGTGTTTTTATATGTTTAAAAGATTTTTTTTTAAAGGGAAAACATAACAGAGACAATACGTAACCCATCAAACCTAAAATATTTACTCTATGTCCCTTTACGAAGTTTGTTGACCTTGCTTTAAGTTATAATAAGTAGTTATTTTCTCAGGGAAGGGCAAGTTTTCAAGCAGAAGAGAGAAAGGCTTTTGGGCCCTGGGTATATATATTTCTCACCCACTGAGTGTAAGGTTCTCCCCGGGGCCCGAAAGCTTAAGGAGATGAATAACTCCTCCCTTCTCAGGCCCAGTCCCAAGGCACAAGGCCACCTGTGTCAGCAGCATACGTCAGCAGTGTGCACCAGCAACATAGCAGGAGCAGGAAAAGAGCCGGCCGGAAGACACGTACCCCTGAAGATCCAGAAAGAGGCCATCCGGTTACAACATAGCAGTTATGTCAGACTAAGACACTTCCTATTTACAGGAGACTATAAAACCTTTGTCCCATCCTCACTTGGTGTTGATGCCATTTTAGGCCTCAGCCCGCCCACACCCAGGCGCTCATTAAAACAGCATGTAGCTCCACACCACCTCGTGTTGTCTGTTGGCTCCCTCTCGGGGTTCGAACCGATACAAGAACCTTACACTGAGGAGCAGTGGGAACCAGACAGGTGCGCCACTCAGCTCTCCCTCCAGAAGAGAACTTGCCCTTACATGGAGTGTAGTCTCTGCCTGGGACTCTTCCAATATCTGCCCTGGCTTTTAGGCTGAGGCCTTGCTCTTCCTGGGCAGCCTCAATGTCTGACATGACAGTGTCAAATGGGTTATCCTAGGATAAACGGCTTTACTCACAATTTAACATGAGACTAGACATAAGAGGTGAGCAAGAAAAGAAATAAGATATTAAGATAATTTGGGGAGAGTGAAGTACAGTTGTTTCTCAGTGGTATACTAAGGGTTTGGTTTCAGGACTTCTCCCATACTCAAATCCATGCATCCTCAAGTCCCTCAGTCAGCCCTGAGGAACCTGTCTATGTGAAAAGTATGGAGCTGCCTATCTTATGAATACTATATTTTTCAATATGCATTTGGTTGAGAAAAATGTACATATAAGTGAACCCACACAGTTCAAATCCATTTTGTTTAAGGGTCAACTGTATAATTTTGCTTGAACATTGTATGACAGTCAGTTGCATAAACTAAGCCAGGCTTGTCAGATTTGGAAAATAAAAATATGGGAAACCCAGTTAAATTTGAATTTCAGATAAACAAATCTTTTAGTATATGTACATTTCTTAGCATAATTTCTGAAAGGGGAGTGCTGAGTGTATATGGCGTGTAAAAGGAGTTCTGTACTAATTAAAAAATATATTTGTATAAGTGTGTCCCAAATATTGCATGAGACATTCTTATACTGAAAAATTATTCACTATTTCCATGACATTTAAATCCAACTACATATGTCCTACATTTTGTCTGGCAACTCTAGCTGTAGTGTTATCTGCTTAATACTATTAAAATCATTAAAACATGAATCATATCTTAATTCATCAGAAAAACTAGTCTTTTAAAGTTGAATGGGAATTTGATATTCTTTTGTCTATCATATTTATTTTAAATGAGGGAACTCAGGCCTGGAGTAGGTGTCTTGTTATGCGTAATAGAGCAAGTTAACTTCAGAACCGTGTTTAAATCCAGTGTGCTCTTGTTACCGGAAAGGGGTCCTGATCCAGACCGCAAGAGAGGGTTCTTGGATCTTGCACAAGAAAGAATTTGGGGCAAGTCCACAGAGTAAAGTGAAAGCAAGTTTATTAGAGAAGTAAAGAAACAAAAGAATGGCTTCTCCATAGAGCAGGGCGTTCCCGAACACCCCACCTTAGGCACAATGCTTGTTTATACATAAGATAACAAAGCCAAAAAAAAAAAAGTCATGGGGGAAATGTGCTCTATTACAAGGGCTAGTGACAAAGGATTCTTAAACTTTGTGTAACTACTGACTTTCACAAGAATCTCTATTGTTGTCTTTAAAGCAAAACTTAAACTACAAGTACTTTGTCCTTAAGATATTGGAACATCAGGACATTTCCTGGATCTGTGAAGTCTTGAGTCTGTTTAATAAACATTATTAATCTGTTACCTTTAAAATAAATATCTTGTGACTAAGAATGCCTAACCTTCTGGGAATGAAGCCCAGTAGGTATCAGCCTCATTTTCCGCAGCCCTTATTCAAGATGGAGTCACTCCAGTTTGAATGCCTCTGACACTCTAACTTCCGGTTCAGAGTTCTTTCTACTCCATTATCAGTCCCCTTCCAAAAGGACACATTTCGGGCACCTGTGATTCTTTTGAGCTTCATTTGTTCCCTTTTATTTCTATCCTCTTTCTTATCAAATAGGTCTTTATCATGAGCTGGCTTTTTTGTTTTTGTTTACACATAGAATATGAATAGTTAGTACATTTCACAAAATATTATACCTGTCTGCTTGGATCTGTACATCTACATTTCTATTTTCAACATTACAAAGGTTGTTGTAAAAAGTTCAGAAAATATAAAACAGTACAAAGAAGAAAATACAAACTACTTATAAGTTCTATGTTTGCAGATAGCTAATACAAACATTTTGGTGGGATTTTTTAATTTTGTATTAAAAAGAATATTGACATAACATTTGCTCTAAATAAATATAACCTCTATAGACACATATAATTATATAAAATATGCATTACATATTTTATATATTTAATGTTATATTTATTTTAATATATTTTATGTAAACCAAAAATAAAATTCTAAGCCCCAAAACCTTCTAAATGGACGCTTCTCTTGGCCAAGGGCATTACAGAGTTAACCTGAAAAACTAGTTCAGGCCTTGATAGAAGAGGGGATCTCCTACATGGCTCATTATACCCTCCACCATTGACATCTACACAAACCTTAAGTCTGATGATAAATATTTACAATCTATTCTCTCTGAAGCCTGCTACTTGGAGGCTTCATCTGCATAACAAAACCTTGGTCTCCACACCCCCTTATCTTTCCTTTCTACTGATAATAACTCTTTTAACCAATTGCCAATCGGGAAATTTTTAAATCTACTTATGACCTGGAAGCTTGCTGCCCACTGTTTTCACCTCAAAATTGTCCCGCCCTTTAAGATTGAACCAATATAAATCTTGGGAGTGACTGGAAATATGATAATGAGGTTCCTAGGCTTCCTGCTCCTAACCTGATACTAGTTGTGACTCCCAGGGCTGCTAATAAGGAAATGAACTGTATTGCTCTTTTTGGGCTGTTATGTAACCTAGCAGGGACAGGGAGTTCTTGGTTTGGAGGGACAAGGTTAACTTTGGGGGTAAGGTAGACCAGGGTGCAAGTGCCTGTCCGGTTGGTAGGGAGACAGAAATAGGTTGTGGATCCACAGAGGAAGAAGATGCCTGAGGTGTTAATGCAAACAGACAAATGGATTGAGAATAGGTGTTGGAGTGTGTAGGTTCCTCACTGGAGAGTCTCAGTTCAGCCTTGGCAACCCAGAGTGAGGAGAAAAGAGGGAGTCCTTCATAACGGGGGTGACAGGTTAATTTAGTAACCTTCCAATCATCACTAGATGAAATCACAGACTCCATCACTCACCTCCAAAACCAACTAGACTCCTTAGCGGCAGTCACCCTACAAAACCACAGAGTCCTTGACTTCCTTACCGCCGAAAAAGGAGGCCTATGCCTCTTTCTGGATGAACAGTGTTGTTTCTACCCAACCAATCCAGGTTAGTACGAATGCTGTCAAAAAGCTCGAAGATTGAGCACAAAAACTTAAAGATAATCATCCCACCTGGCCCCAGTGGTTCCATGACTCCTGGGCACCCTGGCTACTGCCTCTCCTAGGTCCTGCCATAATCTTCTTCCTCCTTTTAGCATTTGGATCTTGTCTCTTACGTCTCCTTACCCAGTTTTTACAGGACTGTATTAGAGCGTTCAGCCATGGAACAGTACAAGATATGAGCTGCTCCAAGAATACTGGCGGCTCCAGGAATGGAAGTCCCTATGACCCAGCCTCTCCCACAAACTGTCACCCCTATCCAGCAAGAAGCAGCCAGATGACAACGATGCTCCTCTTCTATTACCTATCAAAAGGCTGGAATGCTAGGGACAAGCTGCCCCAGGGCCCCCCTGCCCTCAATGCTGCTGACCCTTACCCTAAATACTCTGCAGCTGCATTCCTGAACCCTTATCTAGGCACCACAGCAAGGTCACCAGAATTGCAGAGCAAAACCCTGATTACAGCTCCCCCAAGTGGCACAGGGGAGGTCATGAGAAATGTGGATAAACCTAAGTTACACCCTCTTGTACATTCCTGTATTGTAAGCCAGTCACGAGATGATATGTGGTAAAGTTAACTGACAACCCGAGGGTCTCTCTCCCCCATATAAACCCCTCATTTTGGACGCTCAAGCCTGCCTCCTCTGACTGTGGTAGAGCAGCCCGGCAGGTTAATAAACTTACTCGCTTGACCTTGGGTCTCTCTCTCTCTCATCCTTTCTCTCTGCCAAACTTACAGTATTGATTGATGTATTATGTCCCCCTAAAATGTATAAAAACAAGCTGTACACTGACCAACTTGGGCGTATATCATCAGGACCTCCTGAGGCTGTGTCACTGGTGTGTCCATAACCTTGGATAAATAAACTTTCTAAATTGATTGGGACCTGTTTCAGATACTTTTGACTTCATATTATATTATGTATAATAATCATATACATATTTATAAAATACATATTTACATATTTCTAATATATAAAAAACATATCTATATATCTTATAACCTGTTCTTATAAATTAACATCTATATGTGTTTTTTCTTTGTTATCAAATATTTTCTACCACACAAGGCAATTAATGGCTAGATAGGGCCTCTATTACATGATTATACCATGTTTTATTCAACTACTTTTCTACGAAATACATAAATACATTGAGTTTCTTTTATTTCCCCTGATGGTGATTGATGCTTTGATGAACATTATTATAGATAAAACTTTGTACACTTTACTGATAATTTCCACATTTAAAGGGTAGACATAAATTTCTGAGTTATAGAGGGAGCTTGTTTTAAAAGCTATTGATTTATATTATCAAAATATTTTACAGAAAGTTTGGGCCAGTAAACAGCTGACAAGCAATGTAGAGTTGGCCTCTTTTCTGTACCTTTGTTAAGCATGTTTATTGGCAATTAAAAAAACATGTTCATGAGAAAATTAAAATGATTACATAGATTATTTAATTTTTCATTTTGTTTCCAAAAGACAGGTAGAATTTTTTCATACATTTTTAGACCATTTGTACTTTTTCTATAGTGAATTGCTTACTTTTCTTTTTTGTTGTGTGTATGTATGTGTGTGTGTTTGTGGGTATATATATATATATATATATATTTTTTTTTTTTTTTTTTCTGTTAGAAAGTCAATTTTCTTACTAACTGGAATTTAAAAAATATATATTAAGGTTATTAATAATTTGTTTTATCATATGCCAGAAATATTTTCCTCTAGCTCATCAATAATCTCTTAATTTTATTTGTGAATATTTTTATTATGCAGAAATTCTGAGTTTGTATGTAATCAAGTCTATCAATTTTTCTTTGAAGTTATACTGAAAAAAGTCATGCTGGGAAAGTTACACCCTCCTTCATTTGCAAAATATACTCATCAGTATTTTTCTTCATTTTTTAAATAAACAAATTGAAGTGTTTGCACTTAACTCTCTAACCCAGACCAAATTTATTTTGGTGTGCAGTTTTCTTCTTGATTTTTCTGATGTGAGCATTTTAAATGCAATTAAAGAAAAAAAAAGTCTGTAATAAAAATAGTTTTTTCACATACAGTCATTTTCTCCATTCCTGCACAGAAGTACATATGCAAAGAATGTGTAAATGTTATGGCCCCCAGGGAGATCTCAGGAGAGAACACTTCTTTAATGTCTTAATGCTTCAAAGGATCTGTGAACAAAGAAGGCTTTTCTTTTTCTATTGACCTATTATATTTGCATAATCTTTTCTGATGTCACAGAGAAGAAGAGAGAAGACTTGTTCCGGCATCAGAAGGCAGAACTAGGACAGATGGGTGAAAGTTATACAGAGACAGAGTTCAGCTCAAAGTAGGGAAGACAATGCTGCCTAGAAGTCATTGTTCTTTTTACCTTCTCCAGTGCAGGTCTTCACTCAGAGGCTTGGTCTGGCATTCAGAGAAATGCCTTTATTAAGGATGCTTTGTGATGTGAGTTAATGGATAGGTATTCTACCATCAAGAATCTGGGGTGGGAACAATGTCTTTTAGTTAAGTATTTTAAATCTTCCTGTTATGGTTGCTACTTATTATCCCAATAGCAGATACTTAAAACAAACATTTTACTTTGCTCACAATTTTGTGAGTCAGGAAGTGAGGGTAATTTTGGCTTGGGAGCTTTTGTGAAATTGCAGCTAGTTGTTGGCTGTTGCAGTTAGTAGTTAGTGGTTATGCAGTCATCTGAAGGCTCAAGTGGGCTGGATGTTTCAAAAGGTTCACTCATGACTGGCAGTGCATGCTGGCTGTTGGCTGGGAGCAGAGCAAAGGCTGTTGACCTGAGCTCCTGCATGTGGTCTCTCAAGCATATTGATCTCAGAGTAGCTATACTTCTACTTGGCACCTGGCCTCCCCCAGAGCAGGTATTCCAAGAGAATCAGGTGGAAGCTAAATGGTCTTGTCTGATTTAGCCTTGGAAGTCACATAGGATAACTTCTATCATACTCTGCTTGTCAAAAAAGTCACAAACCTGCCCAGATTCAAGAAGAGAGAACATACACTCCATCTCTTATTGGGAAGAATGTAAAACAAATGTGAGAACATTTTTTAAAAACTGCCACAAATATTTATACACATTTTTACCCTGCCTCTTCTTCAACCATGGTTCTTGTTTTGTGGCTCCTCATCTGTGTGACTCTACCAGCTTTGTTCCAATGCAGAAATACAGTTGGGGGGTGGGAATTAGCCAAAAGCAAACATATAATTTTTGTCTACAGGGCATTTCAAGCAAACCATTTAAAGAATTTTTTATCATAATTTTGCATTGAGTTACTGTCTTTTTTGGATAGATTTGTTAGACATCAAAAACATAATTGCATCCTAAATTCATTATATATTCATTTATTTCCAGACAAAAGCTAATTTTTCTAGGAAGAGAGAGAGCAAATACTTCACATTGCATCAGGGTCTATTTACCTTCTCTATGCCAGGGTTCTGAAGTTGACCCTGGTTGCTGGCCTATAACTCTCTGGAATGACCTGCTGAATCTACTGCCCCTTTATGGATTTCTGGGATTGACCATCTGTGACCACAGGCTTGGTTCAGCTCCCTTTGTTCAACATCCCTGGTGGGCAGGCTCTATAAGGAATGCTATAAGAGATTCCTTTCTTAGATGGGAGAATTAACTAAATGCCTTCTAAGATTTGATATCCCTTGTATGCATACCTTTTAGAGCTTAGATAGTACGCTTATTTAAAGTGGAGAACACTGACTTGTGGATGAGTTTATGTAACTCACATAAGCATTGCCATAACCTGGGAGCTGAGGAATCAGGCAGGCAGCCCCTTCATTTGCTGTCTGGCTGCATCTGCAGAGCTGTGTGTCTGCTTTAATTAGGACACGTTTCCAGTTCCAGAAGGGTATGAATGCAGCATCTATTTGTTGGTTTGTGTCCCAATAACATCACAATGGCCTAGGGTTTATTTGCATCAACTGCTCTGGGGAGCGGATGACTTTTTGATTGTTACCTTGCTCAGTTTAGCTTGTCAGGGACCCACAGCAGTGGAAAGGGGAAGGAGTGAAGTTGTGTAACACAGGTGCAGTGCTGCTCTGTGCTGCAGCCTCTAAGGGGGTGGCAGCCAAGACCATGGGATTTGGTCTAATGAGACAGTGAAAACTAGATCCATACAGTGAGTTAAATCTCCCTTTTTTGACCTGCTTTAAAGGCCTTCCTGCTGTTCAAGTTAAAAAAAAGAGTTAATGGATTGGGTAGAAAACTCTAGCTATGATACATACACTGTAGGTTTAATATTCCATTTTAAAGGTCCATTTCTTTCAAATAAAACATATGTTTGCCTTTTTTTTTTCTTTTGCTCTATGATATGTGGTCATCATCTAGGGATCAGAATTTGCCTTTGTAAGCCCAAATCCTTGTATTTACTCTTTGCTTCCTAATCTAGCCATTTGTTTTCATGCACTATCATACTGGGGCTCCCATGCTTCCCAGGCAAGGAGACTGGTTCTTGCCCAAAACAGAAAAGATATTAAAGCTCTCTGGCATTAGCCAATAATGGTCTGACATTAAGGTCCTCCTGAGGACCTCTCACAACGTTCTGAGTCACAGTTACCCGAACTACCTCTTAGTTTTGCTGTTGATCCTGCACTGGCACTTGAAGCATGCCTAAATCCTCCTGCCTTTGCCCTTCTTTCCTTGAATTTATGACTTACTGCCTCTTAAGTCTCACTGTGACACCCAGAGATGCAGCCATTGAACACTGTTTGGCTGAAAGAGGATTTTTTTTCTTAGCATAGCAACATTCAGGAATATTTTTCTACCAAAGTAATGAATAGCAGAGTCCAGCATATTTCTCCACAGAAGCCAGGGGTTGGGGGTAAGATTGTACTTTATATCCTGTTGAGGTCTACAGTTCATTAATTAGTTCAACACATGTATTTATTGAGTACTTAGTGTGTGCAAGGTGCTGGGACATAGCAAGAAAATTTCACGTCATGAAAAGTGCCATGAAGAATATTTATGCAAGACAACGTGACAGAGAGTGATTGGGGCCACAGAATTTACGTGGCCAGGGGTTGAGAAAACATTATAAATTCTGTGGCCAGGAAGGAGTTTTCTAAGAGAGTAGAGACCTGAATAGCAAGAAAGATTAGCCAGGCAGAGATGTGGGGGAAAGAAAATTCCAGGTAGATGGGGTGTGTAAAGGTCCTAAGGAGAGAAGGATCCTAACAAGTGCAAATGGCCAGAGGTGAAGTGAAACAAGGTAGAGAGTTTGCAGGAAGATCTTTTAAGGCCTTGTAGGCTAGGGCAAGAATTTCAACGTGTATCCTTAATGGTTATGCTAAGCCATTGGAGGTTTTTAAGTGGGTAAATGGTACAGTGTGAATTTATGTTGGGGCCAAGACTGGAAGCACAGAAGCCAGCTAAAAACCTACAAGAGTTTTTTTGGGTAAGAGATAATGGTGAAATTCATGAGAGTATAGTATCTTCATTAGAAAGGAGTGGTTAAAGAATGGATGGGACTTGATGGATTTGGATGGTGAATGGTAAGAGAAAAAGCAGGATCAAGGATGGCTTCTAGGTTTTCAGTTTGAACAATTGAACAAGGTGGTGCCATTTACAGAGATGGGTGAGGCTGGAGGAGAAGCAAATTTGGAGAAAGCAAATACTGGCATTTAGAGTCTAGAGGAAAGACCACATTTGGAAGTTTGCCATTATATATGGTATTTAAATCCATGAGATTATATGCAAATGGTTCTGCAATTGAAGTGTTAGAAGGAAAAGGCCAAGAGACAGGTAAGGAAATGATTTCTTAACTTAAAAAAAGAGGAGTCTGAGAAGTGGAAGAGCAAGAAAGAAATGGACTTCACCTGAAGCAGAAGGGATTATTGGAACTACACAGACACATGAACCAAACTGGACACCTGAGTGAAAACTAAAACAAACCTTATAAAGATCTTTTAAAATTACATGTAAATAAAAAGCTGAGTGCACATATCATGTGTGTAGCTTACTGGATTTCCACAATATGAAAATATTTGTCGTACCAAAAAAAATTCTGATTTGGAGGCCACTAGACTAGGGTGGCTCTGACACTTTAAATTCCTAGCATTGAAAATTTGGTATAGTGTGACTATACCAAAGCCCAATGTAAACGGTAAATTGAAAATGAAAACTGAAATTGAAATCAGAAACCACCAAATAACCTCTAACTAGGAAATTTTCATTGTAAACAATCATAATTGTTCTCTTTGTTTGGCTTCTACAACCACTTAATAAAAGTTCCCTATCTTGCCTCTTCTGTTAAAGTGCTAGCCACTTGAGGTCTGATGATACAATGAGTACTCACATAAATTCTTTAAAATTTAAATATGCTGAAGTTTTTCTTTTATCATTGATCAACACTCAGATCAGATACATTTACCAGCATCATAGAAGTAACTTACGTTCCTCACTATTAAAAAAGTGACTTCTAATAGCATAGATTAATTTTGTCTTTTTAAATTTTATATGAATAGAATAGTACATACTATTTAGTGTCTTTCTACTTACTCAACATCAGGTTTGTGAGATTTATTCATATTGTTCCATGTTCATTCTCATCGATGAATAATATCCTATTGTCTCTTACCTATCTACTGTTGATGGGAATTTAGGGAGTTTCTATTTTCTGATCACTATGAATAATACTCTTATGAACATTCTAGTGCATCTTTTGGTGAGCATGTGTGCATATTTCTGCTGGGTATATAGCTAGGAGTGGAATTATTCATTTGTAGTGTATACCTGTGTTCAGCTTTAGTAGATATTGTCGAATATTCTCCAAGTTGGTTGCAGCAATTTTTCCTTGCATTAGCAGTGTATGAGAATTAAAGTGTCTCAGAGCATCACTAACACTTGATATTGTTGATCTTTTTAACCATTTTAACCAAAATGTTGATTTTAACCACTTTGATGGGTACCTAGGTGGTATCTCATTATAGTTTTAATTTGCATTTATCTGATGACTGATTAATTTGAGCACTTTTAAGTGTGCATTCACATCCCACTGAAGTAGAATGTTGCTTTTGTCAAAAGTTAGGTGACTCTAGGGGCCAGGCATGGTGGCTTACACCTGTAATCCCAGCACTTTGGGAGGCTGAGGTGGGGGGATCAGTTGATGCCAGAAGTTCAAGACCAGCCTGGGCAACAAAGCAAGATCCTGTCTATACAAAAACAAACAAAACAAAACGAAACAACCAGGTCATTCTAAATGTGTGAGTTTATAAAGGTTTTCAACATTGAACCCAAGTCTCTCCTTTCCTCTACCAAAGAGTAACTGTTAGAAACAGATATTTAAAGTCAAAATATAACAAATATCTTCTAGTGCAGTGGTGCTTGAAGTGAGGCCCCAGACCAGCAATAACAGCATTACACAGGACCTTGTCAGAAAGGCAAATTCTATGGCCCTACCCAGACCTACTGTATTAGACACTCTTAAGAGTGGGGCCCAGAATCTGCATTTCAACAAACCCACCAGGTGCTTCTGATACATATTCAAGTTGAAGAAAAATTATTCTAACTTATCTCCTATTTACAGATGAAGGTACTGAGAGCAAAACTAGTTAGAATTAATGATGCAAATATATTCATTTTACTAATATGGAGCAAATTTAGGAACTTCAAAATACTTGACATTTCTAACCTGAACAAAATAATTATTTTGTTTAGTTTGATATGAATTTCTTGTGAGCAGAGATTTTTAGAGGAATGAATAACTGAAGGGGTTTAGAATCTCTTTCCTTGAGACTCCCCTAATGCCGCTGCATGCCTTCAAGTACTGTTTGGGCAATCAAGAGAAATATCCCAAGGCAGAAAAGTGATGGACTGGGAAATTTGTTGAGGATATTTCAAGCTTTTGTTTATAAAACTCACTTACCTCTTTTGAATTCATTATTCTTCTCTACTTATCTGAATATTAAATGAGTGCAGCTCCTACTTTTAGAACCACAAAGATGGAAGCAGCTCCTCTGTGCCAGGCTCTGTGAGTTGTTTGTCCCTCCTAAGCAAACCCTTGGTGAATTATGTATTGAGAGCTCCTGCTCTGGCCTGCCACCTGGATGATCACTACTGTGGTTTGAATGTGTCCTCTAAATTCCATGTGTTGGAAACTTAATCCCCAAATTCAAATGTGGATGACATTCAGAGATGGGGCCTTTGGAAGGTCACTGGGATTGGATACGGTCATCAGGGTGGGGACCCATGGTGGGACTAGTGGTTTTGTGAGAAGAGGAAGAGAGACCTGAGCTGACATGCTCTTGCTCTCTCACCATGTGATGCACTTCACCATGTTATGATGCAGTAAGAAGCCCCCGCCAGATGCCAGCACCATGCTCTTGGACTTAACAGCCTGCAGAAATGAGAGAAATAAATATATCTTCTCTATAAGTTATCCAGTCTCAGGCGTTCAGTTGCAGTAACAGAGAACGAACTAAGACAGTTACGTTCTTCAGCTCCTGAAATGAGCCATCACCTCAGAGGTGCCTCCTAATTAGAAGAGGAGATTTAGCAGATAACCTAGAAAGGTCATATGAATTGTTGCCCATTACTCCTTCCATTCTTGAAATCACATGGTGAAATACGTGCCTGCTGCATAGAGGCTACTTTCTGGAATGTAGATAAGATGGTCTGGGCACTGTCTCTAAAGTACTTCCACATTTCCTCTCACTAGCATAAGCAGAGAAAAGAAAAGAATAGAGAGAGGCACTCAAGGCCGTTCAAACTGAACTCAACTTCAATTCTTCTGTTTGCTAGTCAAATGGTATTTTGCCACTGTTTTGCCTCACTCTCAGGGAAGGCAACCTAGGAAATATGAAAATCAATTAAAAAGTGCTGGGTTTCTCTTCCTCCTGTTCTGAGAGTCTGGGGCAAGCATTCAAATTAGACAAGATTGTAACTATTTCTTTACAGTCAGCTTTGTGGGACTTTCTAATGACAAATGAGTCAATATTTCCAAGACTGAAAATAAAAAGATCTTGAGCCATCAACTGTTATTAGTATTGTTATTAAATTTTATCTTCTTTTGAAAATTGCCCTTTCCTTGTTTGCTTCTGTTTTAATATGTTAGCTTTTCATGACCTTCACATTATTTGTTTGCAGAGTAAGTAGAGTTAATGCTTCACACTTAACATAAAACTTTTCAACTTCAAAGAACTCTTTAAATAAGCTATTTGAAAGCAAGCTAATGGAGGAATACAAAGTTAACATTAAAAAGGGCTCTAAATATGAATCTGAAAAGATAATAGCAAAAAGCAAATCATTCAAAAACGTATTTATGAGAATGAATTGAACATATCTGGAGGAAAATGTGAGCAAAGTCTGGAAGTCTGGATGGAGGATCAGTGCTAATAAGGACTGCATGCATGCCTCTGTGTGTGTGTGTGTGTGTGTGTGTGTGTGTGTATACTCTCTTGTTACTTATCAAAGTTAGGCTGTACAAATTTTGAAGAAATTCTGCCTGTGCTACTTATTCTAAATTCTAAAATGAGCCTATTGTCACTTTTTCACCCTCATGGTAATTGTAGTCACAATTGGGTAAGTGGAAATTCATTTTAAGGTTAGCGATAGGTGCTTGAAGAATTTTCAAACACAACTTCCACATACAGTTAGGGCTCCATTTGGATGAACAGCTGGCCTGGCTTTTGTAATCATACTTGGCCTTTTTGATTTGCTAGTTTGATTCTGTTGGCACTATTCATAGGTACCTTCCAGCTCATGATGAAGGAAATAGCATGTTTGAGTCCGAGAGCTCCAAGGATCTGTAGGTAATGTGAGGTCACATACCATCATTGCTCTATCCCAGTGTCTAGCACAGTGCTCAAATACATTCAACTAATATTTTCAGTGTGATTAAATAAATTAACAAATCATCTTTGGGCTACTTGTAAAACTTTTAAATGGTTAGTATGAGAGGTCACCCTTGCTTGCTTGGCTGTCCCTTTTTATGGGTCTTTTAGAAAATATAACCCAATCAGCAGCTAGCTTTCTTTCTTTGTAACATAACAACTGAGTATTATGAATAATATCTATAGTTCATTCAAATTCTCCTTCGCTTGAAGCTCTCTGACATATAGGTGCCATTTGGACTGTGGAGAAGATTTGCATATAACCTCAGTTATTTATTTTGCAACAGAAAACAAAAAGCACTAAACAAGATTACAAAGTGCAGGTGTGCTGTTAACTCCATATGAAATATTGATTTTTCATAGGGGTCTCTTCTCTACCTCCAAGCCACATAATTGGCCATAATACCTCATATGAGGAAAATAACATCTTGTTATTAATAAATCCTGGACTCTTAATGGTTGATAATGGAAGACAATGCAAAAGGTCTTCTAGGTCCTAATTCTTCTGTCTTAAATTTCCCCTGACTCCTGGAGATCTCAAGTTCATTTTCCTGCTACCTCCATGTTGGCATTCTATATATTTCTAAGTAACTTTCTGGCCTAATGTCAATGCTTGATTCCTTATTATTCCATAACAGAACAGAGACAAGGCCAACAGGGAAGGGTCGATTTTCTTTAGTCCAATAAATCAAGTAGTTAAGAGTGTTTCTGTTGTCAGAAAGACTTAAGTTACTGTTCTGCCCATTTTTGGTTGTCTGCTTTTAGGCAGGTCATTTTACTCCTGAGTCTCACTTTCTTCCTCTCTGGAACAGGGATTCATATAATACCCATTTCCTGGGACTATTGAGAGCATAGAGTTACCAGGGAAATTTAGCATAGTCCCTTCTACATAGTAAGTGCTCAGTAAATGTTAGCTATTATTTTTATTACAAAATACAGTCAACCCTTGAACAACATGGGTTTGAACTATGCAGGTCAACTCACACATGGATATTCTTCTGCCTCTGCCACCCCTGAGACAGCAAGTCCAACCCTTCTTTTTTCTCCTCCTCCTCAGCCTACTCAATATGAAGACAGCAAGGATGAAGACCTTTATCCCGATTCACTTCCCCTTAATGAATAGTAAATCTATCTTATCCTCCTTATATTTTTCTCAACATTTTCTTTACTCTAGCTTATTGTATTATAAGAATATAATATATAATACATATAACATGCAAAATATGTGTTAATTAACTTTATGTTACCCATGAAGCTTCAGGTCAACAGTAGGCTATTAGTAGTCAAGGTTTTGAGAAGTCAGTAGTTATACACAGATTTTCAACTGGTTGAGGGAGTCAGTGCCTGCAACCCTCACATTGTTCAAGGGTCAAATATACCAGGAAGTGGTAAAGAAGAGATAAACACAAAAAGGAACATGGATCCAGATAATTGGATTTTAAGAAAAAAATGGACTTTCTGGGATTACAGGATTGAACTCACTCTAACTCCTAGTATATTTCAGAGAGGGGATCAATATCCTGGCACACAGAGCCTAAGAACCTGGGCCTGGACCCAAGGGGTGGGACCAGAGCATGAAAGCCTTTCTTCTCTTCCCAGTTTTGTTTTCCTCACTGAGAAACTGTCTCTGTCAAGATAATGGGAACTAGAACTGACTTGGTTTCTGAGAGAAGTACTGTGCGACATGGGATATAAATGGCTGGCCTCAGCAGGAAAGTAACAGAATACAGCAAAACAAGCCTAGCACCCATGAGAAATATACGTAAATAGCAACAATGAGGACATTTTATTACATCTAAAACTTTTTCTCATTATTCTGTGATTTTCCTTATTACCTTCCAATGTTTTCACCCACATACAATTAAGAGTTATTTTGTGCTTCACTCTCTTAAAATTCCATCTGGGCAGCTCCTTTCCTGGCAGGATAGCCCGTGCCTCTCCAGCACTAATGCAGAACCAGAGGATGAGCATTGGTGAATAAAGAAGGGGACCTCCCTGGCATGCCAGAGGGGAGAGGGCAACTCCAGGAGATCAGTGAGCAGCCCCGGCTCCAGGCTCCAGAACCAACTCGGACTCTCAGAGGGTCTAAAGAAGAGGAAAGGCAGGTCCCTTTGGTGGAGCAGACACTGTGAGGATTTTTAGGAATCCTTTCACCATTACCCAGCTCCAGGAAAGGCCAGATCAGACTTCATTTGGAAAATTACTTTGTGCCAAGCTTGGGGACTACCATGGAAATAAGATAATAAAATAATTATGACCCATTGAGAGTTGTTCTATACAGTCAAGCCTACAGGAAAGGAAAGCCTATGGAGAGGTAGATTCCATAGTGGTTAAGGCAGAGATTTTGGCTTGCCTGGGTTCAAATCCCAGCTATGCCTCTTAGTGGATGTGTGATCTTGGGCACATTAGTTAATGTCTCTAGACTGTAGTCTTTAAAAGGGTGATATTAATAATATTTACCATATAAGTATCTATGAATTAAATAAAATAATGTACAAAAGGGCTGGGTGCGGTGGCTCATGCCTGTAATCCCAGCACTTTGGGAGGCCGAGGCAGGCAGATCACGAGGCCAGGAGATTGAGACCATTCTGAAGAACATGGTGAAACCCCATCTCTACTAAAAATGCAAAAAATTAGCCGGGCATGGTGGTGGGTGCCTGTAGTCCCAGCTACGTGGGAGGCTGAGGCAGGAGAATGGCATGAACCCGGGAGGCGGAGCTTGCAGTGAGCCAAAATGGTGCCACTGCCCTCCAGCCTGGGCGACAGAGCGAGACTAAGGATATGAACAGACACTTCTCAAAAGAAGACATTTATGCAGCCAAAAGACACATGAAAAAATGCTCATCATCACTGGCCATCAGAGAAATACAAATCAAAACCGCAATGAGATACCATCTCATACCTGTTAGAATGGCGATCATTAAAAAGTCAAGAAACAACAGGTGCTGGAGAGGATGTGGAGAAATAGGAACACTTTTACACTGTTGGTGGGACTGTAAACTAGTTCAACCATTGTGGAAGTCAGTGTGGCGATTCCTCAGGGATCTAGAACTGGAAATACCATTTGACCCAGCCATCCCATTACTGGGTATATACCCAAAGGATTATAAATCATGCTGCTATAAAGACACATGCACACGTATGTTTATTGAGGCACTAGTCACAATAGCAAAGACTTGGAACCAACCCAAATGTCCAACAATGATAGACTGGATTAAGAAAATGTGGCACATGTACACCATGGAATACTATGCAGCCATAAAAAATGATGAGTTCATGTCCTTTGTAGGGACATGGATGAAGCTGGAAACCATCATTCTCAGCAAACTATCGCAAGGACAAAAAACCACCAAACACTGTATGTTCTCACTCATAGGTGGGAATTGAACAATGAGAACACATGGACACAGGAAGGGGAACGTCACACACCGGGGACTGTTGTGGGGTGGGGGGAGGGGGGAGGGATGGCATTAGGAGATATACCTAATGGTAAATGACGAGTTAATGGGTGCAGCACACCAACATGGCACATGTATACATATGTAACAAACCTGCACGTTGTGCACATGTACCCTAAAACTTAAAGTGTAATAATAATAAAATTAAAAAATAAATAAATAAATAATGTACAAAAGCACCTGACATGTTGTAGTGCTCATTAATATTAATCTTCCTCTTTACTTTCTATAACCAAGGCATGGAACCATTGCTTCCCAACTCATCCTCTCTTTTCGGCATAGTAACCTTTTAAGTAACTTCATGTCAGAAAGGTATTTTAGGGGCATGTTTTCACGGGCAAAGTAAATAAACCCAGGCAAATTTATCTGGCTCTATTCATTCAAAAAGGCCTGAGAGTAATTTCTTCATTTGGATGATTAACATTACTTATGGGGTCACAGTAGCTTGAACTTGCCAATAAAACAAGGCTTGTAGAAAAGAGTTCTTCTCCAATATCAGAGCTCATCCTCTGTTTTGTGGCTCTGATAGCTCAGACTCTGAGCCTTGCATACCTAGATTGGTAGAGCTTTTTGTTCTTCCTGATTCGTCAGTCCTGTGTGGGTCAACTTCTCATCTGCTAAGTTCTCTGGCTGTGTCATCTCTTGGTCCCCCTTTGCCCACAGAGCCTGACCTCCCGGTTGACGTATCTGGGTTTGCTTGGAAAGCAGAAACTACTGTATGTATTTTAAGCCACAAGTTATTTAAAACAGGGAATGAGATGCTCCCTGACCTACTGGGAGGCCTGGAGAACAGGTTCTAAGCTTCATCTCCAGGGATGGCTTCCAGAACACTTGCATTGCCTCTGAGGCTTTCACAAGAATAAATGGTTCCAGAACACATTGATGAGATTGCCACCCAGGGATGGGGCAGCCACTACTGCCACCACTGCCGGTGATAAATGCCCCCCAACACCCTGGTGATGGGGTCTGCCTACTGCTTATGCTACAATTGCCTCTTCACATCCAGAAACCTGGAGAGTGGACATTGAAACAATGTTGTAGAAAAGCTTGACATTTCCATGGCTTGTGTGCCAGTAAGAATAGCCCCAGAGGACTCTATTCTGCCTTTGAAATCTCATTGAAGGGATCTAATAGGTGAATTCTCATTCACCTGTAGCATGCCCTTGGATGCACAGAAGACTTAGAAACGTATTTTTTAGCTTTCCTGCCTCTTTAATATAGGAAGGCACACTGAAGGAGTTCCAAAAGGTAATTAGCTAGTACCAACAAAGGAAGTTGAAAGACTTGGGTGGGCCAAAGTTTAGGTTCAGGTTGTTTATCAGCTAAAGAGGTAGAGTAGAATGGTTACCAGGGATCCAGAGGTTAGGAACTCAGCCAACAAAGATGAAAAACTAGCTTTGGGAAATTGGGTGGCAGAAGGTTGTGAGTATAGGCAAAGAGCGTGGTCAAAAGTTTTCACAATCCAAGCATGTGTAAGTCCAGCAACAGTAATGGAATCTGATTAAAATCCAGTGCTTTAGGAGCTGTAGGTTTCTGGTATCCTCCCTGTTCAGAGTCTCAACTTACCTAAAGTATTGGTAGGCCTGAGCATGCAAGTGGAGGGATACAGGCACATTCAGCTGGAACAGGGAAAAGGAAAGGCAGAGAGCAAAGCAGTGTGGATACCAAGTACCAGATTCCACATGATTATCAGTGCCTCTCTGGCCTCCTCCTTGCCAAAATGAGTTGGTACCTGTAACCATATTTATCTCTCCTACTTTCTGCAGACTTGCTTCATATGTAAACACTTAAATATACTATTCTGAGCTTTGTGTACTTACTAAAAATCATGTAACTATATTTGAATGTATTGAGAGAAGGTATTAACTTAAGACTGGGTTGTATGTTTACCCAACTCATTGATAACATGCATTAATTACTTAGTAATAGAAACAAAAACACTAAGCACTTTGACAAATGATTGTTATGTAAAAATTTCCAGATAATTTATACCAACCGCAAAACAAGAGTAAACATTAACATGAAAATGCAGGAGATAATGAAAAATAAATTCATATAGGCAGACACACACATATACACATGTGCATATATTTGTACACATATGTATGTGCATGCACACACATTCACATAAACCTATAAACATATACACAGGTAAATTGTTTTAAGACAAATAACGATGACAACAAAAATTTCACCACCTGAATTCTCAGGACTTAAAAAGTAGTGAGCAGTATTAACACACCAAAAATTACCTCCTTGGCAAAATAAGGTATTTTGTGAAAGGAGGCTTTCAGCAAACAGATTTTGACAATTGACACTCCATGAGCACCATTTGTGAAAAAACACTTTTTTGGGGCTGTAATTTGATGAAGCAGAAAGTGGAAATCAATAGGACATTGCCAAATGCATTCTTTGCCAGTGCCCCTGTCTTTCTCTCCTTCGCTCCTGTTCTGTAGTAGATAAGAGATAGGAGGAGCCCAGAACACAATATATGGATTTTTAAAAAACTAGCACAATAAAGGAAGCTACAGAATACTTTTAACTTGAGAAATATATTCAGCAGCATGTTGCACATTTGCTATGTAGCAGAACAGACTGATTTCAAGCCCAAAGGTGGGTTGGGAGTTTATATGATCCCCCAGAACTTCAGGGAGAACCTTTCTCACCAGAGCTCTTATCTTTACCTCTCGGCACTGCTAGTTTCCATGACAACCAGGCCAATATCTAGTTCAGTTTTGCAAATACTTTCCAAAGCCCATTAGGCCTAAAATCTTCTCTTTAGACTCTCAAATCTGCCTTATTCCATCCAACCTTTTTACTGCATCCTCTTCCTTTAATCTTCTCAACATGGGATGAGAAACATAAGATTTTGTAGTGGCAAATATACCTAATAGCCATACAATGACAGGAGTTAGAGAAAACAAAAGAAAAAGAGGCTAAAGTAGTTTCCAGATTACCCTAAGGTTGGCTGCCTGATTATTTCTCAGTGTCTCACCTTGTTTTAGACCCTGGCATGTTGGTTCTGTGCTTATTTGCTTGGCTCTTCTGAGTGGGGATGCTCTGAGTGGGTAAAATGAGAAATGATGATGCAATGTAGTAGCGGGAATACTGTTCTGGGAGTGGAGACCTCATCTCTGTCTCTGAATTTCTGCCTCTATGACCTTGAGCCACTGTAAAAGAAGGAATGGGACAGAGGGTCTATGGGGGAATTTCTAGCTTTATTATTTCATGACCTAGTATGAGCAGGATTCAGTCTGTCCACCTTTGAGTAAGTTGTGTTTGCCTAATTAAATATTCTTTCTTCTGGTTGGTGATTAAATAGAGTAATTCTAATCTAAAATTAAGAATATGACAGAAAAAAAATCTACTGCTGCTTAGAGAGAATGCTTGTAAGTATTCCATCCAAAGGTTTCACCTCATTCCATAGTTCTGAGTGGAAATAGAACTTTTAGGGGCATCTCTAAAGATAGAATATTTATCCTACATTAACTCTCTGCTCAGACACATGCCGGAATTTACCTGATGAATTCATTGTTGATTTAAATATTTCAAAATTGTTACATATCTAATAACTAGACCACTCATAAAAACCTTATTAAAAATGTTCTGTGAAACAATGCCATTTTCAGGAGTAGTTTGTCCAAAGTACAGAAAATTTATTTCTCCTCCTGCAATTCTGCTCACTCCCTCCTGGGTGTGCCAACATCGTAACTATCTTCAGTCACCCACCAAACTGAACACAAAAGCCAGTACAGTGAATGACCTCCTTGAGGGGCCCACCATCAGTCATTTGTACACAAAGCAGTGCACATTTGTCAGAACACTGTGAGAAGAACGTTTTCTTAAGACAACTTATAAAGCCTTTCATTTTCTTGCAGAACTCCATATATAATACATACAAACACATACACATGTAAATTGCTTTAAGTAAGACAAAGAACAACAGCAGCAACAACAAAAATCCCACCACCTGAATTCTTAGGATTAAAAGTAAAAAGTAGTAAGCAGTATTCACACACCAAAAATTACCTCCTTGGCAAAACAAGGTCTTTTGTGAAAGGTTTTCAGCAAACAGATTTTGCAGTACAAGAGAGAGTTTCATAGTAGATACAATAGAGATTAAACCTGGGGGTCCAGGAGAAGTGATGCTGTGATGGGGAAAGTTGTAGCTAGAGGACAGCTTGTGAGTGCTGGGTCCCTGGTACATGGCAGGAGGTCTTATTGAGGGCTTGTTTGCCCAAACTGTTTGTGGTGAATCCTGCTTTTTATTTTCCTCACAGTTGAGGAGTCTTGATTACTCCATATTTTGTGGTTTCTGACTTTTCAGTTGCAGTGTATTGTGACTAAGAGAGGAGATACTATGAGACAGGCAAATTATATACAAGTGTTTCAGAAAATGTGCTACCTATGGGCACTTGAAAGATGTTGTCTTAGGAAGGTCTAGATCAGTCTCTTCCTAAATCTAGACAACCTGCAGAATTTGATTGGATAAAATTTTGAGTCTCCTGCAATCTTGATACGCCATGTTCAGATGGCTTCTGCAAAGTGTCACATTTCATCAATAGAAATGCTAGGTCATTGAGAGAGAAGAAAAGTGAGTAGATACAAAAAGAGAGTGGCCTTTGGAGTGTTGGTGATAAATGGACATCTTTTTATTTTCTTAAGGTTACCTGTATTGCCTGAGAAGTAAGAGGTATTTTTGTAAGGAAGATTAAGGATTTGGCTGAATGCCTCAATTTTTCATTGCACTAGGTCCCAAGAACAGCTATTTGATTACATTTAATTCAGCTTCTCTCAGTCTTGGTTAAAACACACACACACACACACACACACACACACACACACACATACACACACACCCCTACTTAAAAATATGGTGCCTGCGAGCATTGTTTCTAAGCAAAATGAGATCTTTAAAAAATGAGCGAAAGCCTCAATAAGTAATCAGTTTTCAAACAACTGCATTAATCCAAGAAAGAAGCCATTTTATTTCTAATGTCCCCAAAGGGCAGATGTTCAACATTCTGTCACCATCTTGCAAACCTTTGCTTTGGAAGGTACTTTTGCAGTGTTACTCAATCCATTTGGAGAAAATTCAGAAAGAGGCTTATACATCAAAGTGCGGGAAAGCCAACTTAAGCTTTAGAATAAATACTCAAATCTCTTTTCATATCCGTTATTTGCTGTAATCCTTGCAAAGTAACCTCTAATAATCAGGGGAGGGGCTGGGAAAATGAAGAGGAAGGGAAACTATTGGATTTGAATGGCTGATTTAAAACAAATAAGAAAATTCCAACATTCTTAAAATATGAATTGGAGAGTAAAAGTAGGTAGAGGAAAGAAGGAAAGAGCATTCAAAATCTATATAAGCTTCTTATAATAAAAACATATCTCCCAGCAAGAATAATTCTCCACAAGGCTTACTGTAATTTAACGGGTGGGTTTCAATTACCCTCCCAGGAGAACTAGAGACTGAATCCTTGTCATTATACCTATACCCCTCATGTTTGCAAGATAGAGATACAAAATAGTACTGACCTCATAGTTTTTGTTTGATTTTTGCTTTTTGTGAAGATTAAACTTGGTTAATATATGTAGTGATTAGAATAGAACCTGGTACCTTGTCAGTGTTGTGCAAGTTTGTTGTTGTAATTGTTATTTCTCATTGTAATAGTAACTAACATTTAATGACCCCTTAACAGAGGATTTCTCAGCCTCAGCACTATTGATATTCAGGATTTAATAATTTAATCATTAATAATTATTTAATAATTTAATTAATTAAACAATTTAATTTTTTTGCTTGTTTTTGGTGGGGATGGAGGAGCTGTCATGTGCATGGCACTATTTCATTTAGTAGTTGATATGGTTAGGCTTTGTGTCCCCACCCAAATCTCATCTTGAACTGTAATCCCCATAATCCCCACCTGTAAAGGGAGAGACCAGGTGGAGGTAATTGAATCATGGGTGCAGTTTCTCCCATGTTGTTCTCATGATAGCAAGTGAGTTCTCATGAGATCTGATGGTTTTATAAGGAGCTCTCACTCCTTCACTCGGCATTTCTTCTTCCTGCCGCTTTGTGAAGAAAGTGCCTTGCTTCCCCTTTGCCTTCTGCCATGATTGTAAGTTTCCTGAGGCCTCCCCAGCCACGCTGAACTGTGAGTCAATTAAACCTCTTTCCTTTATAAGTTACCCAGCCTTGGGCAATTATTTATAACAGTATGAAAATGGACTAATATAGTAGTATTTCTGACCTCTATCATTAGCCATAAGCACTCCCCACTCCATTAAGTTGAAACAACCAAAGACATCACTAGACATTGTCAAATGTCCCTTGTAGAGGCAAAGTTGAAAACATTGCCTTAATGTATACCAGGTAGTATTCTAAGTTCTTGGCAAATGTTATCCATTTGATGGGCATTATTTTAATTTCTATTTTATAGATGCAGTAATTGAGGTAGAGAAGAGTTAGGTAATTTGCCAAGGTCATATAGTTAAAAATGGTAGAGTCAGGATTCAGATTTATACAGTCTGACATAATCTACTGTATGAAAATGTGTGTGAGCTCTTGGCAGAGCAAACAATAATAATTATTTATTACTATTTCCAAGATAGTTTCTTATTTTAATCTTGCGATATTGATAAGGCAGTAGTTGAGTTCTGGAAAACAGAGAGTAACTCTCATTCCCTGTGTCTTGGTAGTAAGGGGCTCAGCTAAAACACTTTACTAATAAATAATGATATGGATACATCAGAGCCCCTCAAGTTTTCTATTTAATTCAGCTGTCAAAATAATGTCATTTATCACAAACACTTATTGAGCATCTAAAAGTATAGACACTGCTAGAAAAGATTTTTTTAAAAAATGAAAAAGTCTTGTTTCTATAGTAGATACTTGGGAGAGTTTACCCAGTACCTGTCTGAAAATCACTCCTTTTCCTTCAATCTTCATCTTTAACCAGAGCCTGCATGTTACTATAGTGTGACCCTGCCTCTTGGGAAAACCTGTCCCAGGCTAGAGCAATGATTCTGCAACCTGAGAATTTGAATCAGGATATGAGAGAGTCTCTGGTCTCCCATTTCTGGGAATGAAGGTTTGAGAGTGAATCTTTGGGAATTAATGGTGTTAAGGTTTACATTATGTGGAGAGAGATCATCTGCAGTGACAGAGACTAAAGTTGATATGCAGAGAGGAGCAAAGATGAGAAACAGAATCTTAGAGGTTTCTAAACCCCTGGCTTCAGTTGTTTATGAGGCTAGACTGAACTCTTGATCCTCAGACAGCTGGACTGTTCAACCTATTCTGAGACATTCTGTGCCAATGAAGTCCCTTTGGACTGCTAGCAAAAAGTATCCTGTCCATTGCAACCAAGAGGGTCATAATTGATATTGCAGCTATTATCAGGAAGCTTAGAGGGCTCAGGAGGTAGTTGTTGGTGCAAACCACTGAGGGCTTTGCACACCTATCATAGACAGAGGATTTATGGAGTCCATTCATAGAGATTTGATTATTCCTGAAGCATTACAAAGGCTAGATTTGTGAAGTAATAGGCTGGATATGCAGAAGTTCAGGGAGAAAGAAATGGAGTCTTATAGGTAAGATCAACAAGATAAATTGGAGGACAGGAGAAGACATTGAGTAAGAGTCTCGAAGTAACTGGAGTGATACATGAATCAGGTAGTCAATGTTAATAGCTGTGTTCCTTTGGGAACTTGTGGTAATGTAGTAGCCAGCAAACTCTAGCCTAGCTGTAAGTAACTTGAGAGATTTTATTAATCCTTGTGTAGACAGAGAACCACACTGGAGATGAGTAATGCATTTATTCATTTAACAAATATTTATTAAGAGCCTACCACATGCAGATACTTTCCTGTTTGGATAAATTAGAAAACTAAGAAGACAAAAATCTGTATGTCCTTGATCTTACATTATAACTGGAGGAGAGATAAACAACATAGACTTGAAAGTATTAGGGAAGGAGTCAAGGAAAATTTGCAATTTTAAATAAGGTAAGTCCCTTTGAAAAGATAACATTTGTCTTCTCAAAGATGCATTTTTAACCAAACCTTTTGTAGACATCAGGAAATCTTTATCCTCAGCCCATACAGTTACAATTTTTTTTTTTTGCAATTTCAGCCCTCTCTAAACATAGCATAAATACCCATTTTTATGGCTAAAAGGGAGAAGAGGGTAGAGCTAGGAAGCTCATTACTTCAATCTTTGCCCTTTGTCCTGGAAGCCATCTCCATCTTTTCCACGTGATCTCCTGCCATTTTCACAAGCACAGAAGAGATCTATCTTGATCGTCTATACTGGAACTGGGATCCCTCCATGATTTAGGGTCAGTAGGTACAAATAACCAGAATTATTCCAATCTTGCATAACCAGCAGGAGGAAGGAAAGGAAAAAGCACAAGAGAAATGCTGAAACCCAGACTGTCATTCAGTATCTTGATCTAATACATAAGAAATGCAGGCAGGAGCTCACATATTGCTGTATATCAGTACTGTACAACAGAAGTCTCTGCCATAATAAAAGTGTTCTCTATCTGGGCTGCACAATACAGTAGCCACTATTCATAGGTGTCTGTTGAGCATTTCAAATATGGCCTGTGTGACTAAAGAACTACATTTTAATTTAAATTTATTTTAATTAATTAAAATTTCAACAGCTGCATGTGGCTAGTGGCTACTACATTGGCCAGTACAGCTTAAGCTTTTGTCACACGAGGAGTCCAGACTATTCTCCTAATCCTAATTGAAGCCACTGTAACATCATTTACCATTTATGATGAAACTTGTGGGAGCTGAATTATACTTTTAGGCAACTAGAAGCATCTTTCTGCAGAAATGAGCTCTATAATTGGTCTTCTGGATTGAGTGCTAAGAACAAATGGGCTCAATTGTGTCCCCCAGTATATGCAGCTGCTAGAAAGGAAGCCACATTTGCAGTTTGACTAACAGCAAAGTTGCACTCTCTACAGAACCCCGTTTAGGAACAAGCAGGTTCTTGGTCCCACTTCTAGTGAGAACACACTATGCCCCTTCTGGAGGTTCCTATTTGGAGAGTCCCCAAGTGTGAGGGATTTATCTGAATGGCTGTAAAGCAGAGTCTGTCTGTTCTTCCCCTGTTAAGTTGCCAAAGGCATCTCCCTAGCTTACGATAGATTCCCCTATCTCCTTTTTCCTTTCTCCTCTTCCCCTAGGAGAGATAATTGGACTGTGTGATTTCCATTAAATGTAATGTACCACATGCAGATGAAACACAATAGCAAAATGCATTAAGATCGAATCCCTTGGAAAAAATGGCCTGGGTGTTTTTCCATTTGTTAAAATTAGCTACCAAATTATTTTTGTTTTTGCACAATTAAATGCAAAGATTTCATTTACTCTTTTTAAGAGTTATTTGCATTTCATAGTCTTGTGAACAAATAATCTTTTTTAAAAAAAACAGGAGAAGCATCACATTTTCTGTTGTTTTTTTCATGTGTGTGGCATATATATATATAGAGACACACACACACACATAAAAAATACACACACAGTTTCACATACTCACCAACAGACCACATAGTGGTGCTCTAAACCTGCTGTAATCACACATAAGAGCTTCGCAGTTGTTAGATGAAAATCCAGTGAGGCTGATTGCAGTTAGAATTCTTTCTGAAATGAACTACTGATAAATTTCTCTTAAAAATGTCTTCTAGCATTCATCATTTTGCAAGACAGATCCTTTGTATATACTCAAACATGATGAGTTGAGCAAATAGCTCCAAAGGAGAAAGTCATTTGGGGAAGCCCTACACCATCCAAAAATCTGAAATAATCATTTCTTTTTCCTTCCATAACTAGCATTTTATAGGGTTTTAATTAAGTTCATGCCACAGCTCAGTGGTTAGGTTTAGGAATCACATGCTCTGGACAAATGACAAAATGAATTCAATAGTATCTATTTCAGGTTTCTTAGATAATCAACCCTTTTGTCCCATCCTCAAACCATTTTAGCTGACACTTGTATTTGGTGGCCTATGAAACAGTTCAGAATATCAGGGTCAGAATGTTCTAGTAACAAAATGTGGTATCAGGAACTAGGCAATCTACTTTATTCTTTGAAGGTGCTTGGGTTTTACCAATTATATGAAGGAAATATACACAGTGAAATTTGTAACATAGCCTACATGTAAAAGTGCAGTATGTAAAAGTGCAGCTGCTTTTTCAGCTGGCCTGAATTGTGGAGATTACCTTATATGTCAAGCCAACTGTCTTTTGTTTTTCATGACTGGCCTTAGCTATTATGACTATATCCCTGTGGGGCACTATAATTCACATGTAATTTAGTTTTGTTTATAATTTTGGAAGTGTATGATTGAGAATGACCACAGTAAACACACCCCTTTCTGGAGAGTCAGGAAATGTATGGAAACTGTACACCAGTAAACGTTGTACTTTGTGCCTTGGAAAAGCCTTTGTTTCATATTCTGTGTATTTCCAGATCAGATGGTCTATGTATCAGCAGTTTATTGCCACATTACTGTGTAGCAATTAACAACAATCAAGTGGCTTTAAAAATAAGCATTTATTTATGTTGTGAATATGCATGTATGCTGGGTGACTCTTTGGTCTTAGCTAGATTTCATGAATCAAATCTTGCTGGGCTCTTCTGTGCATCTGTAGTTAGATGCAAGTCAGCTGGCTGAAGGCTACTCTAGGATAGGACAGCTGATTTTTCTTCCACATGGTCTTACATCCTCCAGCCGACTTGTCCAGGCTTTGTTTCTGGCAGCAGCTGGCTTCCTAGAGAGGAAGAGAACAGATGCATGCAAGGCCTCTTAAAAGTGCAGGCTCAGAACTTGCACCACTCTTCTGTCACATTGTGTTCACTAGAGCAAGTCATAGTCCAGCCCAGACTCAAGGGATGGAAAAACAGACTTCACCTCCTGATGGAGGGAGAATCAGAGCCATTTTGGCAATGAATCTACCATAACATGTGTGCCCTCACAAAGGCAATAGAGAGAACTGGGCTCTAAAATTAAATTGATACCAAGCTTGTGAGAGGTCTAACTTAGTATGAGATTTAAATTCTGCCCATTGCTACCACAGCATTTGGAACACTTGAGAAAAAATAATGAGTAATTTAAAGGAAAACAATAAAACTTGACTTATTCATTATATTGCTCACCTTGATTACTAAACTAGAGCAATTTATTAACAATAAAACTTGACTTATTAATTATATTGCTCACCTTGATTACTAAACTAGAGCAATTTATTCATATCTGCACTGTATTTCATAATATCCACAGGCTAGCTCGAAACCAGTAAAGCCAAAGTATTATCCATTGAAGACAAAAATCTCTGTGATCAATTAAAACCATACAGTTGTAATAATGACTATTTATTGTGGTAAGGGCAAACCAGAAACAGAAAACCATTAAGCAAGAATATTTACAATGATAATACTCCTGGAGAAATTTTAAGAATCCCGCTGCATCAAACTTTATGTAACACAGTATGAAAGTCACATCATAACCTTTATGTACCAACTATGATAAATGGAGTGATCTTAATACAGAACAGGGTTAATCTTTGTGGCAGGTGTTAGACCTATTTGCCAATGGGTGGCTTTTATGATAATATTCATTGCCCTTCTGTTTTCAACATACAGTTATCAGAATTGCAACACAGAAGCAAAACCAAAACAGACAGCTATGGCTTTAATCAAGCCCTTTTTGTTGTTATCAGATCACAATTCTTCACACACAAGCTACTGGAGACTGGTTGGTATCAATGTGAGCTTCCACCTATTTGTTGTAATTTCTGGCTGTCTAAAATGAAGACAACTCTACGAACATCCCATTGGACACTGGTTTTCAAATGTGGAAGAAAAGTGTTTCTAATATTAACTAAGGCTGGGAGCCACACTTTAGGTAAATGTTCAAAGGGTACCATATTAATTTGATTCAGGGTTCAAGCATACTCATGTACCTGTTGTCTTATTTTTATTTTTTGTTTGTAACCACAATGTTTCTTGAATATCTAGAACACAAGCTAAAAATACAGTCAATTGTCTTTATGTATAGATAATTAACCCTTTTACTTTTCATCTAGATGCTTAGGTCCTTGGATTCAGATATGTGAGTATATTCAGTACCTAGCGTAACTTATGAATTCTTATGTGGGAAGAATTTAGAAAGATTTGCTCTCTGACAGCCCCCTTTCAAAAGTGTAATTAAAATAATACATTATGATTTGTAGGCTGTGTAGATCTAGCGTGGCAGGCATGAAGGTGATGCAACTTTTCCCTTATTATTACTCAATATTCCTACAAAAACATGAATAGGAAAAAACAACCCAAAGACAACAGCAAAACTTTTCTTCTCAGCAGCCTATGACAAAAGATGAAAAAGACTAGAAACCTAGAGGAAAAGTTTGCTTTTCATTGTTTTGGTTTATTTAGAAATGATCCGCCTGCCTTGGACTCCCAAAGTGATGGGATTATAGGCATGAGCCATTGTGCCTGGCCTGGAAAAGCTTATTTTTAAAATATTCTCTTTTCTGTTTCAATCTAAATGGGAAGGAAAGACAGAAAAATAAGTAAGCACGTTAGAGCTTTATTGTCACTGTACAAAGTTATTTTATTGAATTTATTTATTTATTTTTGAGACGAGGACTCACTCTGTCACCCAGGCTGGAGTGCAGTGGTGTGATCACAGCTCACTGCAGCCTTGACCTCCCAGGCTTAAGTGATCCTCCCACCTTAACCTCCCAAGTTGCTGGGACTACAGGTCACACCACCATGCCTGGCTAATTTTTTATTTCTTGTAGAGATGGGGTCTTGCCATGTTGCCCAGGCTGGTCCTGAACTCCTGGGGTCAAGCAATCCTCTCATTGAGGGCCCCCAAAAGTACTGGGATTACAGACATGAGCCACTGCAACCGGTCCACTATACAAAATTATGAGATTGACAACCATGCTTAACCACACGGCAGGTCCCAGAGTCTGGGACCAACAGCCAGGCTGGCAAGACACACAGCCTTTTACCTCCCAAGCAAATTGGAAGAGACTAACATCTACCCTTCTGGTATGGTATTGAGTGAACTAGACGACACCTTCTTGCAGCCTCATTGTCTAACAGATTTCTTCTTCAAACACTTCAGGTACTATCCCAAGGTTGCTGTTTCTTCCCAATTACTGGCCATTTCTGAGTTCTTCAACATATTGCTGCATATTAATGGAAGTAGACATTAACTAAGTGATTATTGTAGGCTGAAACCGAAATTGTGCCAGATACTTTTCATAAATAATTTTATTCATTTTTATAGGAGTCCTACAAAATAGTTACTGTTATTATCCACCCCTTATTATCCAGCTATAAAAATGAATAATTAAAAAGATCAAATAACTTTCCCAAGTGATTTAACAACTCTTTCAGCTAGTTAATACATTAGCTGCCTTCACCTGTATTGCTTTAAAGTATTATACAAGATACCTGGTTGCAATTGGAAATCTAACTCCATTTAAAATCAGAGAAAATGTTAGCTGATGTGGTATGACTTCTTAAATATGTTCTTTTGGCAGTGAATATGGTACAGATTTATAACACACACACAAATACACACACATGTACATGCACACACACATACATCCGTCTAAAAGTCACTGAAGAAAGATATATTCTTCCCAGCACTCATTATTATGGACTAAAGTTTAGGTATGTAAAATCTACACAACTTAAAATTTTCATGAAAAAATATATCTCTTTCTCTGTCTTTTATACTGTGCATGCATGTGTGCGTGCACACACAAACACAATTATACCACCTCTGCCTTTCAGTTTATTACTTTCCTCCCTATGACTAGGAAAGTTAAGTGAAACTGCTTTTATGTACATTTTCAAACTCTCCATTATCTTTGTACTCTTCAGTAACATGATGTATTTCTTCAGGTGAACTCTGTTCCTTTTACTGTCTTCGACTTTCAGAACTTGGAAGTTTGAGAGAAGTTGCTTTAAATATATAATATAAGACTTCAAAGTGTATTTCTAGACTTATGAATACTGTAGAAGCTTGGGTAATTAGTTTGGTTTAGTTTCTTCTTTTTCTCCTTAAACAAAACTGGTCCCCAGTAAAATGACCTTTCTCTGTCTTCCTCATAGTTCCAATACACTAAGGAATTCCTTTCAGTGAATCATACTTTTTCTCAGTTCTAAGAAAGGCTCTTGTTTTTAGATATCCTTCGTGATTTCACTTTGGCCAACTCAAATGGCCCACCATACTAAATTGAACCTCCTAGAACAGAATTTCCTCACTAAGCTGTAATAACTGAAATTTGGATGTGTTTGCAAAATAACAAATGTGTATTTTTGGAGCCAAGTTTTGAAAGGTCAATACATTGCATTTTCAAAATCTGGACTACACTGTTGTTTCTACACACTTGTTCTGGCACATTTAGTTGTTCGTAAGGATAAGCAAAATAGTTTAGTCATCTCCTTTGTTAAATTATATATGTATGTGTGTGTGTATGTGTACGTACATATGCCAAGATATTTCTAAAATGCAGTACAGAAACCTTTAGATGGAAAAATATCAAATCAAATTGTTCAATAGTCAACCTTTATTTACAGTTGGAATACAACTAGCCTCTGCTAGTGAGAAATTATTTGGTATACATAATTTGGTGGAGCAGGAAATAGGCTTATTATCTACAAACAGCTGTTGGATTGGCTGCATATTATACCAAGTTCGATTCTCTTCAATGATCAGAATATAGTTCCTCTATTATACTGTAAGCTACTTTAACTCTACTACACAAAGATCTATTAAAGAAAAATTATTATATCAACATGCATCATTTGGTGCAACAGAAATTAAGCCACTGTATTAGAATATTTTCTTACAATCAATGTTTCTTAATTTATCTCGATATTTAATTTCAGTAAATGTCTAGCTTTACCTTGCCATTTATCTAGCAACAGGGAACTACTATGACAATGTTCTAGCACAATGACATTATCACTTATATGTATATTTTTAAAAATATGTGCAGTAATGTGGAATATATTAGGAAGAAGCAAAAAATTAAATGAAGTAGCTGAGTAAATGATATTATTATTAAGATCAATATTTAGCAAGATAAAAACAAAACATAAAAATACATTGTGAAATTTGCCCAAATGGCTCCTAACACCTCTTATTTAGGTCAAATATTTTCTTGTATTCCTCCTCCTTTTTGTCTTTCTCTTGGCCACCATCAATGAGAGCTGTGCAATTTTGATGAAAATCTTCAAATAATTAAGGATGAGATCCTGAGAACTTATGTCTCATCTCATAGTAGATACATTGCACAGGCATGTAAACACACATAAATATTTATTTATTCTTGGGGGAAAAGATCAATAATTCACTTGTTTTGAATGGACAAACATATAATAGCTTCAGGGGTCCGTCAACTGGAAGGGGGACTTGAGCTTCTGCTCATGGGCAGAGAAGCCTAGAGGCTGTTGATTGTAGGATTGCTGTTGCTTGTTCCATACCTCTGGCCAATTTTGTCTTTATTTTCTTCTTCTTCTACTAATGCTATTTGATTATATTATCTTCTTTGAGGATGATGGATTTACTTTAGCATTACACAGTACATGCACAGTGGATATGTGATATTTGTGTCCTCAAATAACCCAATTTAGAGGACTAGGTAATAGATTCTAAGGAGATGTGCATGATAAGACATATACTCCACTATTGATAATTAGCTGTGAAATTTTTGAACAAGGCACTGCAGCTCTTTGGGCTTCATTTTCCTGATCCATTTCCTCAAACTGGAGAGCCCTAGTTTATTTGATATCTAAAGCCTTTTACAATGTTATCACTCTATGAGTATATGGCATACTTCTATAAAACATTAAAATATCAAAATTATACTGAGTCAATAACACTGACATTCTGATAAAGTAAGTTGTTATTTGAAGGGCCTTTCTTGCATCTTTTCAGATATAAATCTGTGTATTTACTCACGTAGAGCTACTGTAGAGGTCAGAGCAAAGTATTGTTGCTATTCCAAGGTTTTGTTTTCCATTTTTTCATATAAATTAACTATCTTTAATTATCATATATAACACTGTTTTGCTTGAAGGGTCATAGTCCATGTTTAGATGATCAGGTTGCTGTATTCTATATCTTGTGAATTTGATAGCTAGGTGTGTTCCCTTTTGACTATTAACTTATTTTTATAGATAACTGGCAGTGCACATATGAGGAATAGAATGAAAACCAGGGTTTTTGAAACCTTGTCATTTTTCATGTAGATGCTCAATCATTGCTGTTGGGTGAGATAATCTGCCAAGTTAAAATAACAGTGCAAGTAATATTGATGGGCCTATGATATGATTAATATGACTCAAGGTATTAGGACATCATAAAATAAAGAGAAAAAAAGCATCCTGAGTTAAGCCAGTCTTTTCACATGTATTCCCTTTGGAAGACTATGCTTTGAACCTTGGGCTTCTTTGATTAGATGGGAGTCATATACCAGATGTCTTGACCATGATTCATTAATACATAACTTGGGAAGAAATGTTACTGGAGCCAGTGAAATTAATATGAAGAGAAGTTTTGTTTTCTTAAATAGAGGTCTTTGGTTAATTAAGAAGCATTTCTAGAGGAGTCTACTGTTTTAGGATATTTTTTAAAAAGGTTCTTAAGTGATGAAGGTAAGTTAAGCAGAGTGAATATCATCGATTAATTATCCTTTTGTTAAGACAAAATAATGCATCACTTCTGTACTCCTGTTTCCAGCATATATAATTCCACTGTATTTATGTAATCAAGCATATCACATTACATACCTTTATAGTTTCATAATTTATCTTATATATAAAAACAATTAGAGTATAATAACAAAGACCAAAATAGTGTCTAATTATAAAAGGCTGAATTTGCTCTAATTTCAATCTCCTTCTATTTGTTTGATAATAACCATCAGAACAATTTTTGGAAAATAATTCTGTGGCTAATGACTTTGTAGGAAATTTAAGGTGAATCACCTAATAGCTTCATTAGCTCAAATCGCTGGCTAAAGCCACATTCAGATCATAAGGCTTATAGTATCTTACCCATTAATCTCAAAAGCAGTCAGTCTCTCACAAACCCCAAATACAGTTTTAAATATGATTTGGTTTATTATTTTATGTAACTTGACGACTTTTTAGCCACCATCATTTCAAGAATGATCTTTTTTTGATTGAGCAGTGTTATTAAGTTCAAAGGAAGAAACTAGCCACTGTGTTGATCTAGCCTGTGATGTGGTATGTGAGGATCTCAGGCTGTTGAGAGATGAGCACAGGCAAACTGCTGGTATACAATTTAGTTCTATTTGACTCAACTTGTCAAATATTTAAATTTGTTATTTTATTTGTAATACAATATTTATATAAAATATTTTATTCACCAAATATTTATTTGGTTTCCAGGCCTGTAAGAGATAGAAAAATATATAAATTCTACAGCATAACCTCGAATAATCTATAATCAGTTAGGGGGGATATGATGAGTCCATATGTAAAATAACAATTCAAAGTAAAGTATAAATGCTATAAGAGCAATAAAAAATCAAACTAGAGTTGAAAGGAGAGAATCATGCCTTTTAGTTGGACAGGTCAGAGATATTTCAAGGACTAATAGGATATGATAGGCAAAAATGGGGCAACATTAGGAATGGCAAAAGTGTTGTGAATCATATGTGGTCAATTAGGTTGTAATTTTGGTTTGGCAATAGTCTAGAACAGGGGTCAACAAACATTTTTTATAAAGGTCCAGATAGCAAATATTTTGGAATTTGTGAAGCATATGATCTCTGTCATAACTAGTAAGCTCTGCTTGTGTAGCATGAGAACAGTCATAGACTGTGTATATAAATAACAGTATACATATTAGTAGTAAACACAGACAATTGTATAGAAGGGTACGTTTGAAGCTAACTCACATAAATGAGTGAGTATGTCTGTATTCTAATGAAACTTTATTTATAAAAATAAGGGCAATGTAGCCTACCCTGTGGAGTGGGCTTTAGTTGCCCAACTCCTGGTTGGAGGCTCAAAGTGGGAGAGAAAATAATTTGGGCTATATTTTTAAGAATCTTGAATATCCCATTGAGGACTTTATGTTTCAGTCAGGGGTAAACAGAGAGCTATTGTTAGTTACTGAGCAACAGAAATTAAAAAAATATCATAGCTGGCTGGGCACGGTGGCTCAAGCCTGTAATCCCTTTGGGAGACTGAGGCGGGCGGTCAATGAGGTCAAGAGATCGAGACCATCCTGGCCAACATGGTGAAACCCCATCTCTACTAAAAATACAAAAATTAGCCAGGCATGGTGGTGTGCACCTATATTCCCAGCTACTCGGGAGGCTGAGGCAGGAGAATCTCTTGAACCCGGGAAGTGGAGGTTACAGTGAGCTGAGATTGTGCCACTGCACTCCAGCCTGGTGACAGAGCAAGACTCCGTCTCAAAAAAAAAAAAAAAAATATCATAGCTAACATTTATTTCCTGCTTATTATATATCAGGTACTGTTGCATGTACTTGCTAAAAATGGAATTTGAGATAAAGTTGGCTGACTAGTGGGGGGATTCCCCTTGAGTTGGCTTCTTTCTAACTACCCCTCGTTACATCATGCAACGTGAGCGAAAGGCTTATACACTGGAACTAAAGGCCATCTCTAAATCTGCTCCAAGAATCTTGTAGTTCATTAGCACAAAATAAATAAAGTGAGCATTTATGATAATCTTATTATGTGCTAGAGAATGTACTAGATACAATGGATACAGAAGTGAATAAGGCATAGGTCATGCTTCTGAGGAGCTCATAGTCTAGGAGAACATAATAAAATGTAAATAAATAATTATAATATTAAGTGGCATAGAGCAGGATGTACCAACTGAAAATGTACTAATCATAAGGGAGTGATTCCGTTTAAGGAGGTCAAGAAAAGCATTACAGAAGGGATAATATTTAAGGTGGGTATTGGAGAATATTTGAGCTTGTCTCCAAAGAACAGTGACAGTATTCCAGGAGAGTGTATAAAAACATCAAGTGTCAGAGCAGATTAAACATGGCTACTCCTTCAGTGTATTAAAGGTTTTTAACTAGGCATAAGGTTGTTAACTAGATAACTAAAAAGAAAAAAAAAGAGCAATAGCATATTACAGAGACAGTAATTGTAGGAATTAGGATTAGATAAACAATGGAAAGAGACTGGAATTATTAAAACCTAGAAGTCTGGAGAAGACGCCTGTGGGGCTGAGACTCAGATATCTGAGGAGGGGATGAGCAAGGTGGTTGATGCTGGTATCTCTGAGAGGCCCACTGTGAGGCTGGTTCTGTAAGTGGTGGAAAAATTGCAATCAAAATTCAGCTAATTTTATGAAAAAAAATTGGACTTCTGGGGCAAAGAAGCATTGCTAGGGTGATGCTTATAGGGACAGGAAGCAAATAGGAAGTAAACAGGAAGCACACAGGAAAAAAAGGAAAAAGTAATTCCTTTCTTCCTTCTCTAGTTTTGAAGTCCCCATACATTGCCACCTATTGGCTGAACTTAACAGGGAGATGCTGGTAATACAGAAATGCTATTTGCAGAATCCCAGCCTCAGCATCACAAAACTGAGTATGCAGAAGGGTGGGTTTGGAATGGAGAGTCAAAGGCTTAATAACTGGCACCTTCAGTATATATTAGAAAATTAGGCAGGTTATGTAGTTTGATGCCAGGTGAAGGGTCTGGACTTTGTCCTGTCGGCAATGGAAGCCCCACTGCAGTGGATGGGAGAATTAATATACAGCTTCATCCTGGTTTTATAGCACAGTGTATTCTCAGCACTGGCACAAGCTTGCCTAGTGTCTTCAAAATGATTTGATAATAGTAACAAGTGTTTTGTATGTCCTCAAACAGTTACCAATAATAAGTAATGCCAAAGCTTGGCGTAACAATGGCTTACTCATATGTTTTGGAGCTATTAGTGACTACAGTATTAAATTTGTTTTTACTGAAGAGAGAGATCCGGTGCTGATTCACTGACATATATGCACAATGTTTCTTCCCAATTCAGCACTTGTTCTTCTGTTTGTAAATTGAAGCTATTTTTAGTTTAGCCGTATTTTAGAAAATTGAACTTAACATTCTCTATGCAGGGAGCTCAAAGCTCAGGTTAGGCTGTGCTTTTTCTATACCAGACAGATGAATTATAAGAACAAAGGGAAGGAGAGGTGAGCAAGCCATGGCAGGAGAGTGCAGCAGAACGGAGATGTATGGTTAGTGAGTGTCCAAAAACATTTGTACTTTCTCTTGTCTTCTCCAGAAATGTTATACTGGGCCAAGAAAGACTAAAAAAGCCTTAAGAGTTAAGAATTGAGGGGAATTCAAAGGAGATCTGTTCTACATAATTCAGTGGATAGGGGTAAATCCCATTCTCACTCATTAACTTGATTTTTTTAAATACCTTGAGGACTTTGTATAATTTTAACAGGGACATTTAAAATGTGATGGGCTAGAGAAAGATTGAAACTAGTAAGTAAATTCAGAATTATTAACACAGAGATACTGATGGTCTTTATTAGTCTCAAAAGTTTGCCCTATTCTCTTCTGTGACAAATCTTCTGAAATAATTATTAATGCTTCCAAATAACTTTAAAAGAACTAAAAAATTCTGAAGCAAAGTGATTTTTTCAGTATAGAATATTTTTCTATACACAATGTGTCATCATTTAATAGACTTGATATTAATAAATTATTGCAATAGAATCTAATAACAGTGGATTCCTATGTGACAAGAGCAAATTTTCATTGAAAGCGAGAACATATAATCAGAGACAGGTTGCTTGAATTGAAGATCACCACTCTATTAGAATAAAAAATAATGAAAATGATATTTGAAAAGAAAAACACGTCAAGTAGAGGCATCCTACAAAGTATAGATTAACTTTTTAAATTTTTCTATTAACTCTTCATGCTACTGGGGAGTTAATGCACCAACATTTAGCCCTGAAATATGTGCCAGAGCTGGTTACATGACATATCTTGAAATCACAAGTAATTTGGCTTGCTTTGATTTGAATCCTATAATGTCCTGTAAACAAATGGATAGCAAAATCCATAAGCCCTAATTAAAAAGCAGCTAATGAAGCAACCACAATATTAAGCTACAGTATGAGGAGTGGTGGTGTATTAGTCCATTTTTACACTGCTAAAGAAATAACTGACTGGGTAATTTATAAAGAAAGGAGGATTAATTGGCTCATGGTTCTGCAGGCTGTACAGGGAGCATGATGCTTGCATCTGCTCAGCTTCAGGAAAGCCTTCAGGAAAATTTTCAATCATGGCAGAAGGTAAAAGGGAAGCAGGCACATCTTACCTGGCCACAGCAGACGAAAGGTGGGGGGAGGGGCTACACACTTTTAAACAACCAGGTCTTATGAGAACTCTATCATGAAAACAGCACTAGGGTGATGGTATTAAACCATTAGAAACCACCCCCATGATCCAGTCACTTCCCACCAGGCCCCATCTCCAGCATTGGGGATTGCATTACATCATGAGATTTAGATGGGGCCACAGATCCAAACCATATCAGGTTGGTAAGAGACATCAATGGGCTCTGGAATTGAGTAAGCAAATCAGAAGCAGTGTAGCTGAAACTGAGAAGGCATTCATCCATAATGTTGATAACCTCCTTGACAGTCAAAGCCAGGACCAGATAGGAGAGTGAAGCAGAAGCTTCTAGGGAACTTCAAAAGGCACTGGGTGGCAGGACTGGAACATTTGTAACTTAGTGAGACTGCATCTCTATGGGGGCCTCACAGCTGTTTCAGTATAAGCATCCCCATTTCTCAGGTCATTTCCTTGTGTTTACAGCTAGACAGTGTGAGAAACTGCATTCTCCAGTTCACTAGTATTAGTTACATATCCTGGGTAGGAAGACTGGTTAAATAACTGCTGGGCACAGGGCAACATGAAAATGTGGGGCTCCTTGTTCAAAAATGATTAAGAATATCAAGACAATGACCACAAAGCATTAATCCAAGCATGGAGTCCTTCTAAGTGTGGAGCCCTATGCAACTGCATGGGTTACATGCCCATGAAGCTGTCCCTAATGAGGATGAAGTTACGATTTGTTCATTCATTTCATTAATCCACTCATTTTAGAAGCATATATTGAGCATCTGTTATGTTAAGGCATTGTGATCAGTGCCAGAGATATAGCAGGGCACAAAACAGAGAAGTGCTCTGCTGTTATGAAATTTATATTTTGTTTCTGTGATTGGGAGTCATGTTGCAGAAGTCTTAAGACTACTACAGTCAACACAGGGTCTAATACATATGGCTTTATTATGGATGTGAACAATACTGTCTGTTTCAGCAATTATTTCTCTACATTCATCCTAAGATCTGTCATCCTAAGAACAAAAGAAAAATTCCAAACCAGGCTTCACTTTTTTGAGACCATATACCTTTACTTACCCTTTAGATATCTGATCATAGATTCCTTTTTCTATCAAAATCCCTTCTACATCTTAGAATAAGAAAGGTAACACATTCATTTGGTTTTAGTTTTCAGGTTCTTAAGAGTATTTACTTAGTTGATTAACCAACAGAGATTTTCTGAGTACTTGCTCTGTGTCTGGCACGTGGCTAGCTACTGTGGGGACCACTCAGCTAGTGTAAAGTCTTTTAAGAGGCAAGACAGAACCCCCAAAGGGGCAACATTTAGATGCAGTAATGCCCTTATTGGGCACTGACCCTGTAATAAGCTCAGTCATAAATACTGTCACCTTCTAGTCACATATTCAATCTTCATTTCAGTGAGGTAGTACTTGTTACTAAAGATTAGAGAGAAAAATAACTTTGGCGGGTGTGGTGGCTCATGCCTGTAATCCCAGAACTTTGGGAGGCCGATGAGGGCAGATCACGAGGTCAGGAGATCGAGACTGTCCTGGCTAACACGGTGAAACCCCGTCTCTACTAAAAATACAGAAAGATTGGCCGGGCGTGGTGGCGGGCGCCTGTAGCTCCAACTACTCGGGAGGCTGAGGCAGGAGAATGGCGTGAACCCAGGGGGCGGAGCTTGCAGTGAGCCGAGATCGTGCCACTGCACTCCAGCCTGGGCGACAGAGCAAGACTTCGTCTGAAAAAAAAAAAAAAAAAAAAAACTTTCTCAAGGTCACACAACTAGTAAGTGTCAAAGTAAGTGGCATATACTTAAGTGCTAGGTGGAACATCTTTTTGAGCTGGCTTCATTGGGAAAGTACTCATGAATGATGTGCCAGGATAGTTCCCCGAAGGATATTTCCCTACCCAGTCCCCTTCATCTGAGAGCTGCTTCTGCTCTTCCCATGTGGCCCTAAGACCATGCTTGTAGCAGGAGACTCTACGTACCCTTCCATGACCTCAGTTATTTGAACTAAATATATGTGCCGAATTCAACCTGGTTCCATTAGGTTGTTTCTCTTGGTTACCCGAAATCTGGACTCAATTTAATTAGCCTGTGTTGTCTGGGAAGTAATATAAACAAGGCCTAGGGCTTCCTTGTTTGCTTTTGTGCATTTGGAAGCAGAAAAGCCAGTCTGGGATAGAGACAGAGAAAAGGGGGGAAAATAGAACCTTGTTTTGACAGAAAGAAAGAGAGAAAGAGCAAGGGACAGATAGACAAACAGATGCACACCCAGAGAGAAAAGCATAGAAAGAGACACAAGAGAGATACATAGAGTCTCTCAAGCAAGGCACAGAGAGATTAATACAGACACAGAGAGACAAAAGAAAAAACACAGGAGGAGGAAAAGGAGAGGGAGTAGCCAGGGCAGGGGCTGGGGTGGGGGAGGGGGGATGGGGGGTGTAGGGGAGAAGGAGAGAGGGAGAGGGGGAGAAGTGACCTTTTCACTGATACAGACCCTGTGTACCCTATGTGACTCTACTGTCAACTATCTGTACAGTGAAGAGTACAAGATTCTAATATGGCGCCAAGGAGTTTATTTCCATACTCTCTTAACACCACAACCCATTGTCTCCACTTTACAATCTTTTCTATTCATTTTATATTAATGATGTAGCAGTGAATTCTTTTTCTTCTTTCCATATTTTTTTTTTCCGTTCCTAGATAAACCTGCACAGCTGGTATTTATTTCAGTTTCCTTTTATAGCTTGAAAAATATTTAGGCATGTTTACCACATGCGGGAATCTGGAGGCAGTTTATATATACATACATATTGACACATTTCTTTTTGAACCTGGATTATAATAAACATATTGATTTAATTTTTAAAATATTGGCTGATTAATAGACTGTAGCAATTTGAAATAACTCATTTATTTCCATCAGGCTCTTTCTGCTTCCAGTCCCAGTCCTTGAAAACCAATGCTATTTTTTGAAAGTAATATTTGGAAGATGTGATTGTGAAATCAAATGTGGAATATCTCTGCAAACTCTTTAGTTTCTATGGAAATAACTAAGTAAAATGTAATTCCCTTATCATGCACTAAAAGCTTAACTTGATTTGTGTTAAATTGACAAATGCAGTAGTGGATGCCTCTTATCAGAGGAGAGCATCATCTAGCTTGTTGTTCCATTATTGCAATCTCTGTGCTTTGCATTAAGGGTGCATTCCCTCAGATACAAGGGATAGAGTTCTTTGTCAGTTGGGAGTGGCACACGACACTTCATGGCAAAGAGTATGGGAAGCATTTGCATGGCTCTTTATCTAGTAGAATGTTGCAAGTACGGTTTCCTTTAACAGCTAGAGATGGATCCGTGTGGATCTCAGAACAATAGTGTGAGTAGAGACTGTACTTTTGGCACCATGATGTGCCTTTTGTGGGAACTCCATGTTTACTCCTTGCTTGATGAAACTCTTGTTCATCATGTCATTGTTGAAAATGCTCTGCTCTGGTCTACGGGCCTGCTTTGTAATAAACATATTGTCAAAAATTTTCAGAGGCATCCAGTTAAAGGACCAAATGTTTACAGAAGAGCAAGCAGGCCATCACCTCTACAGGGAACGAAACAATATTGCTGTGGCTTAGAGGAAACTCTGAAAGTCAAGGTGTCACATCTTGAAATAGACTGAAATAACTGACTGTTGGTAATCACACCAAAGTCAAGTGAACTTTGGAGTAGGTAATCAAAGGATAAATCCAAATAGCTCCAAAGAGACATGGAGAACAAAAATATTATATAAAAATTTGATGTACAGATTCAAGAGTCTCAAAAGAGTTTTTTGCACATAATCCCAAAGAGCCCTTTTGGTGCCATCATTATTATCTGTTGTGCTACAGTCTGGATTTCAAGAGCCAATAATGCTCTTTGGATAACTTTGAACATACTGGGTATTTGGGATCTGTTTCATTTCTACCAAATGTTACGTTTTTAGTGTTTGTCTTTCCCTCTTTGTAATAATTACCACCAACATATTTTAGAATAAAAGCCAGTTTGCTAAATTATATCTGCCTTCCCAATTGATATGAAGTATTTCAAGTATTGTTCAGAATCCACCTGTTTCTAGAAATTTTTTTCTTCTCCTTTTTGACATCAAACAGATGGTTTTGACCATACTTGGGAGGAACCAGAAGCATAAATAAAACGATGATTTTTAAAGTTAGATGTGAGAAAGAAAGGGAGAGCTCCACTGATTAGATAAAGCCTAGTCAAATCACTTTTACAGGCATCTGCAAATATTACAATTAACAATTGTTAAAAGTTGAGCAGGACTTAATTTTCCTTGTGTGGCAACCTCATAATCCAGTTCCTGTCTCCATAACTTTATATATGTTCTTCTCTCTGTCTAAAATTCTCATCCAACTCAGTTGCTCTTTTAACCTTTATTCACCTACAAAATCCATATCAATGGCTACTTCCCCTCTGAAGCCTTTCCTGAACTGTCTAAAATGATAGTCCCTCTCCTCTGAGATTGGCAATCAATTACACACAGTGTGGTTCAAATTATTAAGGATCATAGTGATCACTTTACTCCCTGAGGTCAGAAAATATTTCTTATTTGTCTTTGCCACATTAGCGCCTACAACATGTGTCACATGGCAAATGCTCAGTACGTATTTGTTAAATGAACAAACGGATTTATTACATAAATTATGGTTTGGCTATTTAACAGAAAACTTTGTAGCTATTAGAGATTGTGTGAGAAATATTTCTAATATTAAGTGATGACCACAGGTTATAAAACAATATTTGGAATATGATCCCAAATATGTTTTTATATGTGTATATGTGCACAGAAAGGGATTCCAGAAAGCTATAATTACACTAAAATATTGCAGTCTTTATTTCTTGGTAATAATATCAAAACGATTTCCTTATTTTCCAAATATTTTCGCTAAGCATGCATTTTATATGCTACAAAAAAATTAATTATAATTAGAAAAGCAGGTCATTTAATAGCATCACCTGTCCTTTTTGACAGAAAGTCCCTCAGTGTTCTTACTTGGTTGACATTTTTAATTCCATGTAGCATTTTTCTTTTCTTGATGGGCTAGTATTTAGGTATGGTGACTGTCACTACTGGCCTAGGAGCTAGTTGTACAAATAAATATCCACTTTGAATTTTCTCTAGTTTACAAATGGGTCTGCATGTAAATATAAATTACAGTCAAATATAAAGATATTCAGTCTATGAGTGCAGTTTAAACTGAGAGATGAAACACGAGAGGGCAAAGAAGAGAGGCAGATGAGGTCATGGCATCACGCAGGTATTTAACACTTCTTTGATGTTTTAATTTTCAATTTTCCAGTGTAAAAATCCTAGAATAAATAGTAGCAATCTCCATCTTTCTATTTTGTGCTATTGTTTTACCGTTGCTGCTTTGATAAAAATTGTATTCTCGCCATTTCAGAGGAGAATTAATACCTTCAAACCTCATTATTGTGCAGTTGTCCCCTAGTGGTTTTTTTGTTTGCACGTTGTAATTATGGATAGCATTAATTGCTCACAAAACTACCATTTCTCCTTTTTACTTTTGCATATATTTCAAATACCCATTATACCTCCTCCGTCTCTTATATAGTGAATCTGTTTCATTGCAGTACGACAATGCGTTTGTCTTTTGCGCTGCCCTGCACAGGGTTAGAACAATTTGTAATAATCCACACTATTATTTTGGAGCAGAGCTGACTGTGGGTTTCAGTGTAAATCTTCTCAAAGCACTTCTTGCCATAGAAGCACATTTTTTTTTTCAGAGATACTATAATTCTGGGTTGTATTTGTTGCTTCCTTTGGCAACCAAATGTCCCATCACTGCAAATTGATGGCAGTAAAATTGACCTTTATTATGGCCTTTTTATTCGCTTAACTCAGAAGGATTTACAGCATTATATTTTGTTACCACATTGACTGTTAATGGGAACTATAAAAGAATGACTGAATTCTACATATCCTTTTGATTTTCTAACAGCCTTGGCATTATTTACCAACTAGACTTTCAGATTTAAGCTTTTTCTCTTGGACGGTTCTGAAAAGGTTTTGTAAAACCAAAGCATCTTCCTTATGTGAGATGCACATTTTGCTATATACTGTCAAAATAATTAAATGCTTGTTATAAATTTGGGCACTTAAAATGACAAAGCCATTGCATGTAGAATAATGGAAGAAACAAACAAAAATCTGAAAAAAAAAAACCCTTCAAAACTACAAGGTAATTCAAACTGCTTCATCTGTAAATAATGAGAATTTAATGAGGCTCATATTCCAAAATCTCTCCTTTCTAAGTATATAAAACATTTATGTTCATACTAATTGTCTTTCCTGTTGCATTCTTAGGATAGTGTTCACAGGGGAAAGGTTAAATTTTTTAGGCTGAAAGTGTTAAGGCTCAGCCCAGGACTCCTTTCAACATGGAAGGAGGACACTTGGAGTTTGCAAATCTGCACTATAAGGGATGAGTCTCTCATGTCTAGTTATCAGAGTAAAGGAGAAGAATCATTCCTGAAGGCATGAGAGTGAATAAAACCAGGAGGGAGTTGCTGGAAGGGATGGGATAGGTTTTGTATCTTAGTTCCATGCAGCCTCTGCAATGGCCATGATAAAAACCTGTTAGAGAGGCCTGAAGTGAGAATGTTGGTGACCACAGGGAGAAATAAGTGCCAATTTCAGTCCACAGACTCTGTCTTTGCTAAAAAATCCAAATTTCCCTGTCAATCTGCTGCCATTTTAACCAGTAGTGTTGTACTAACTATCCAAAATTTTATCCAGTTTCCAAAGAGACAGGTTTTTAAAAACCTATCTTTCTTTCACTCTCTATATAATGGGATTTTATTTTCTGAATCTTTTAATTTTTAAATATAGTCTGAAGTGCACTAGATTAATACTTTTTTATGCTTTTGAATTGGTCTTTAGCTATTTCTTCTTTTTTTTAACAAGAAAGAATTGTTCTAATCTTTAGATATTTCATGTTACACACTTTATTTTTAACTTATAATTTTAGTTTTTAAAAGTCATATACTTTCATAGTTTAAAAAAATGGTCCAAACTCTTCAAAATTTAATGTTATGGAAAAATGCAAAAATCTCAAAACTCAAACAAAAAAACCAGAACAGTAGTCCACAATAAAAATTATTAAAACAATATAACAAGAGATTCACTGAGAACCATTAATCTCACCTTTTCCTCTTCTATCTCGTTTTCCAGCTCCACACACTCTGGATATAATCAGTAGCTTATATTTGTTTATCTGTATATCCAGTGGTTAATTTAACTAGCTATGTGCTAAAGAACAATTGGGCTATTTCCATACATTTGTGATTACAACCAATATTACAATGAATTGGCTTGTATAGACATTGTCATGTGTACTGTTTTATCTGTAGGATAAATTTCCAGAATTAGGATTGCTGTATCAAATGCTAAATTTATTTGTCACTCTGTTAAATATGCCCAAAAAATTGCCTTCCACTGGGTCAAATGCTAAATGCATTTGTCATTTTGTGAAATATGTCAAAAAAATTGCCCTTTCTAGGGCACTCCCACCAGCAATGCAAGAAAGTGCCCTTTTCCTACAGCCTTGCCAATGGAGTAACTTGTCAAAATGTTGGTTTTGCAAAATCAATACGTAAAAATGTATGCCAGGACAGTTTTAATTTGCATTCTTTTATTATGAATGAGGTTAGACACATTTTATATATATGTTCATATTGTTTTTAAAACTAACTGTTCATGACTTCTGCCTATATTTCTATTGGGTTGCTGGTTCTTATTGATTTCTAGAATCTCTTGAAATATAATGAATATTACATCCTTGGCTGTGATATGAATTGTTAGCATTTTTCCAATCATTTGACATATGTCTTTGCTTACACTGTTTTATTGTTGTTACTGTTGTTTTGCCAAGCATAAGTTTCAAATTTTCGTGACTTCAAATTCCTTAAAGCACATATTGTGTTTCTGGGTTACCAGGAGAAGGATTCTGTGGTGTAAGACTGCCCAGGTAGCTTTGAGAGTTTATACTTCGAGGACTCCCACCTCTGTTGCTACAGAAAAAGGGAAGGGCTCTCTTTAATATATGCACAAGCATTCGTCTCCCTGCTGCTTTTTGGAGGCTGCACAGCGTTGGGGATCAGAGCACAGACTTTGAAGCCAGACTGCTTGGGTTGAATATTGGTGAATCCGTTATTAGCTGATGATCTTGGGCAGGTGTGTACCTCAGTTTCCTCATCAGTAAATGGGCATAAAAAGAGGACCTGTATCTCGGGATAGTTGGGATTAAATGAGCTGCTATATGTACATGTGCTTAGTACAGTGCCCAGCACATTGTAAATGTTTGCCCTTGTTCTGCAATGGTGAGAAAATGCTGATGAGCCCAGTAATTTTCACCTGCCCAACGTTTGCTTTCACCAGCTACAATACCTGTTCCTGGTTCGTGAGAACCCTGGGCTCCCTTGCTTCGTACTGTCACAAGATACAGCCCTTGCCCATCAAGGGAAGAATGCAGTTTTACAAGGCATTTTTGAAAATTCTTGTAGAGATTTGCCCACATTGGGCCCCCTAGTCATTTTCTGAACCTTTTCTCCCTGTTTGCCTCACTGATAATACCCTGAGAGACCTCATTTCTGCTCCCAGCAGTCCCTCTGGTGGAGGGATCTTCTCCTTTAGGAGATGCCATTTGCTGGAGCTTTCTGAACTCTGCTCTCACTAGATCTTCTCCAGACTCCCTGGAGCATGCTCATGATGTGCAGCAAAGGTTTGCTTGTCAAATAAAACTGGAGCAATGCCAATGCACAACTTGGAGTTTGTGGGTATTTCCTGAACCCCAGCTTTACTGATAATTTGTGGTTTTCCTCACTATCTTTGGATTTCCAGGATAAACAGTAGGAGATTCTAGATGACGCTTCCACGGTGCCACACTGGAATTGGTCTTCGTTTGTTTTTCTGTGGATTTTCTTTTAAGGACTTGGATTTTAGTTTTAATTTTTTGGCATTCCTTACAGCATCAAGCATAGTGTAAAATAAATGGGTGGTTGAGTGAAGGATCTTCCATGAGAATTTCTGACTGAGGTCATGCACTTCCTCCAAATTCAGATCTGCAGCATGTGATTCTAAGGGGCCACTGGAGAGTCTGGGCACCCTGACCCTTTGCATTGAGTTCTTTCTATACTTCTGGTATTGGCAGCCTTGTCCTTGTATAGCTTCACAAAGTTCCACCACCACTACAGAACAGAAGTTCATGACCTGGAAGTGACAATAAATATTCTCTCTTAGTAGTTTATTCAGTTTTGAAAAAGAGGAACTCCCAGGACGTTTGCTAGTCTGGGAATTCACTGGGTTTCACAGCAGAATTTGCATTTTTCATTTACTTTTTATCTCCATCTACAATTTTTGATCATTTACATTGTTTTAGGCACCAGACTACCGTGCTAAATCCTTTCCATAAATAACTATTGTTCTCTTCACAGCAATCTTCCGAGAGGTAGCTATGACTATACTCATTTTATAAATAAGGAAACTGGGATGCAGAAACATTTATATAATTTTCCCAAAGCCGTATGGCTAATAAATGGCAAAGCTGGAATTTGAATTTAGGCAATCTGACTCTAGGACTCTACTGCCAACCAATACTTTATTCTTCTGCTCTGTTGTTTTGATACTTATGATAACTTAGGACTATATGAATAACTCTGCCGTTAGCCTCAAAATTGCACTTTAAATTAAACAAGTGAACAGGAGAATGAGTAGGATTCTAGAAATCCCAAGAAAGGTCTGTTTGGGTTAGGAGTAGCTGTGGCAAGTGTCACTTGGTATGCAGTTGAGAAAACTAGGCTGGCAGAGAATAGTCAGTGATGATAATAATAACTAAGAGTTGCTAAGTGCTTACTATTTGCCTGACACCTTTCTAAGAACTTTGGGCATTTACTAAGTTGACCCTGACAATAGCTGTATGAGGTGGGCTGTATTATTTCAGCCATATCAGATGAGAAATCTGAGGTCAGGGAGACTAAGTATTTTGCCCAAGGGCACAAGGCTAGTATGAAGTAGAGCTTAGTGTTTCTCAGCAATTGGCCTGGGGTGCACTCCCTCATCCACTGTGCTTTCTTTTTGTCCTGTGATGGTGAGCAAATGTGAATGAATCCATGGGCCAGGCAGTTTGCATCCACCCATAACTAGATTGTCACTGGTAAGAGATTTGGTTCATAGCCTTGACTGGAATGAAACCACTCTTTTTGTATCAAAAGAGAATGATAAACACTTAGAAAGTCACAACATAGAAATGTGTGTATTTTTAGAGAACAAGAAGTAATCTCAGAATAGTAAGATCATAATTTCAAGTAGTGTTTAGGAACTGTTTTTGTTAAAGAGCAGCTTCACCTTTCAGAAAGAGTTGCATATACAAATGATAGGGATGCGGCCACTTGAGGTATGAGACAGTATACTCATACTTTATGATCCCCAAATGTCCATAACCTTTATCTCTAAAGCATGTTCTCAGGCTTTCAACCAGTACTGATTTTCTGTTTCTACAGCAATCATTTAAAAAGGCAATATGCCTCACCAGGTGAGGTCAAGGAATATTAGCATAATTTCACTTCAGTCTTTTATTCTTTGTTGGTGTAGTTTCTAGTGATTTGTTCACACGTGACTCAGAGAATATCGGTAAAGGAAAACAAGAATCAGAAAATGGTTAATTACTAAAACAACCTGTTTCTTTCTACACTGAAGAAAGAATTTTACTCAGTGCAGGATGTCAAAGATTTTTTTTTTAAAAGAAGTATGAAGGCTGAACACATCTGTTTCTTTGTTTGCTTTAAGAATAGTATCCTTTTTTTTCTTGTTGATTTCACAAGATAAGGCAATGAAGGAATACAGAGTCTTCATAAAGTAATTCAAAATGATGACACGTTTCATCTTTCTCCATTATTGTCCTACTCTCTATTCAGCCTGCAACAATTAGAAAGAGGCTTTTGTGTGATGAGCACTCCACTTGGCCTTTGTAGATGTACAAAAGAAATATGGACTCTGTCCTAGGAGGCTTACAGTCTAAAGCTGTTCGAATTATACTTAACTAAAATGTAAAACACTCAGAATATATCCTATGATTTTTCTTTGCAAAACAAATAACCATCTAGACATGAAATTAAATTGGCTGATTTAAGAATGGCAGGTATGCATAATGCATATATATGCATGTCTGTATGTATGCATGTTGTTATTTATTGCTGAATTGCATAGGGTATTATACAGTCATAACATCAACTGTGGATAAAGGACAAATTAATTTGGGAACAATATAATAACAATTGCATCACTATGTTAAAATTTTTAAACTAGATTATTCCAATAGTTGCAAAATTGTTGTTTTCTTTGAATTTTGGCTGATATATAGAGTGTAAGTTAGGTAATATTTGTCAGTAGTTCAGATATACTGAAGATGAACTTAAATACTGAATTTCTTATATATTTCATTTTCATCTGTCAGAATGTTTTCTATCAGTTATCCTTTGTCATCTGAAACCTTGTTGTGATATTTAAGTAATCATTAATCAGCTTTTCCAACTTGTTTTAACCATGTTGCACATGTAGAAAATTGCTGGAAGATACCATTTGGCTATTGACTAGCAGAGCCATCTATTCACTCCTTTAGCTTGCAAACACATTGTTTATACATGAACGAATAGAGTCCTCCTCCTTCTCCTTTTCAGTATCTTTATCTTTGTCCCTACACCAATCCCAAGTGCTCATTCAAAGAACAACTAACAAAAAGATCTAGGATAAAATCTAATGAACAAACCAACCTTATTCTTTTTTTGGATGTGCTTATTATTATTATTATACTTTAAGTTATAGGGTACATGTGCACAACGTGCAGGTTTGTTACATAGGTATACATGTGCCATGTTGCAAACCAACCTTGTTCTTATTCAAATGGTAGCATGTTAGGTTCTATAGGAACTTGAGTGAAATATATGCGTAATCTTTTACTGCTGTAATGTATCCAAAAAAATAAAAGTAGTTAGATAATAGAACTCTTAACAAATGAACTGGAGGCAGCAATGCAAGATGAAGCTACTATGCCAGCTGTGTGACATAAATGAAGTACAGGTTCAAGCTGCTCAGAAGGTCACTGCATTATGACTTGGGGACTGCAAGGCCAGGGGCAGCCTCTCAGAGGAATAAGGGCTTAGTCTAGATTGTGAAGGAAGAGTGAGATTTGCATGAGAATTATTTTCATTTAATTTAGGCAAAAGATTAAGTTATGATTTATGCTTGTAGATGAGTCCGTCTAAATACAATTTCCAGTCCTTTAAATGTTCATATGCATTCTTTGTCCAGCCATACCAGCTTCCAAACAATATTGAATCAAAAGAAAGTTTCAATCTTTCTGCTCTTGCATTATTGAATACTTTGAATATTCCCCAGGCCTACTCTTTCTGAAAACACTTTCCTACCATATGCAACTGTCTGAGAAAAATCTACTTGTATGCAGTAGATTGCTGTTATTCATTATTCATTACAACATTATTTAGTTGAACAACCTACCAAAGAAAACTTGGTTCTGTACGGGGAAATGTACAAACTCAGAGAACTAAATTATTTTACTATAAATGCTTTAAAAGGAGCAAGCTTTATGGTCCTCATTATTTGGTCTGTGCTGAGGAAACTAGTTGTCTCCAATGGAAAATAAGCCACAAAGGACAGAAGCTATGTGATCCAGTGTATTCAATAAAAGTTGGAGATGTAGATTCTGCCAGCGATGCACTAAATGGATAAGGAAAGATCATTAAAGGTTTTACAGTTCTCAGTCAAATAATAAGCATTTATTGGGTAGTTACTGTTTGCCTAGGACTGTTTTAATTTCTGGAAACACATATTTTATCATAGAATATGATTGACATAGTGTATTGCTTTCTGACTTTCCTTAGCATGTTGGGGTGAACAACTTCTTTTTTATGACTGTCCCTGGAAACATGCTGTTGCTTGTTTCTCCTTACTGCAGGAGGAAATCTTGGGCAGATCCTTTAGCTTCTCTGTGTACTCTCAGGTAATGAAGTGTCCAGTTCTGTCTAATATCAAAACTTCAAGCCATCATCCAATATTAAATGTCTTCCATCTCTCAGCTCCCTTCACTGTCTTTCTCACCCCACCTGCTGCTCCCCTGAGATGTTCTTCTACCTCCTGTTGGCCCCCTGAGTTGGGTGCATCCGAAGGGCCACTATTCTCTCAAGATGGTCTGATCTGTTCCATGGAAAATTCATGCGTCCTTTACCTTGATGATTCAGGATGAGTAGACCACCATAAATTAGCCACCTCTCCTTGTTCTAACATCAGAGCATCTTTAATGTAGCATTACTAGTTCCTGGATTTCTCAAAGGCGAGGAGACCCACATACAGTGCTGAGCAGTTCTCTTGAAATATTCCTCACTTGGCTCACCTTGCCCTCTGACAGGGGGCAGGACCTCATGAAACACTGACAGTTCTTCCCATAGACCTATTTTCTACCTGCCTTTTTTAAAAGGATTGGATTATTAAATAGTCTAATTGTAGATAAGGAACTAATGGTTACAGGGTTAGTTTTGAATCTCTTAGCATGTGTTTTATAGAAGGGCTTGTGGCTCAATTTAGGATCCGGGAGTACCTGGCATGTGCTTTATTGTTCTTGCTCTTTGGGCCAGAACAACAACAAAATACATTGCGTTTAGCATTCTTCTACACAGTTTACATTTTCTCTCAGGTTGATGGCTACTACCTTTATAAGTTAAATCTTTATAATTCCTTCCTAATGAGATGGAACATGACCATGGAAATATTTTGTACCAAAGTTCATTATATTTGTTATGTTATAATAAATACTTAATTCCTGTCTAATGTAAATATATTAGACAGTTTTCTATTACAAAGAGACAAATGTACCATATTATTGATCATCTGTGAAAAGTGTTTGTCATTAACTTATTACCTTGGGGATATTTTTAAAAAGTCATCAAACTTAATGTGTGTTTCATGTAAAATGTGACATGTTAATCATTAGTAAGAAATTACTTTTGAAAGAAATTGCTGTGGGGAGAATACTCTGAATATGAAGTTTTTAATTTATATTTTCATTCATATTTTACATTCATGTTATAAAATATTTGATTAGAAGCAACCTGTGCCACATATAACAATCTTCACATCTGTTCACTTAAATATTTTAGAAATGAAACCTTCCAACTGGTTCTGCAAATCTTCCAAAGAAATCCATTTCTTTTTAATCTGAACACTTTGTTAAAAATATGCAAATGCTGTATCTTCCAATTAGTTTTTCAGTAGAACTGACTGATATCAAAGAAGATAAAAATTTACAAGATGAATTTCTCAAATATGAAATTGGTGGTTAGGATTTAAAAATGTGTCAGGATTCAGTAAGCATATCCAAAGGGGGCTTCTGTCTTGCCTCTGTGTATCTTTGTAAGGTGTGGAGGTGTGTTTTCCAAGCTGAGACAGCCATTGTAGCTAATATCCAAATAAGATGAGTTTTGAATCAGACTTTTGAATCGCTGTCTCCCAAAATGTTAAACTAACATTTTTGAATTAATAAAATATTGAATTCATGTTTCTTTCACTAAAAATGTTAATGATAATTTTAAGTGGCTGCAGAAGGTTTTTGAACTGATAATGAAATAACTTACTTAAAATCATGATTAACTGTATATCACTGTTTCAAAGCTTTTTTATATGTTATACATTGGTATAATATTAGTACAGTCATTTGTGGATAAAGGAAACATATAAATAAATGAATGTATATGCAAGCATTGGTGTATGTGCCCAATTTTCATGATGTGGCACATAATAAGAAAACATTTGAAGAGCCCTGGTCTTCATTAGCTGGAGAGACTGCTCTGAAATGTAAGCTCATGTAACTCTCCATGTAATTCTCTGTGGCTCCCCACTGCTTCCAGGATAGATGCAAACTCCTTAGCATGACACACATGGTTTTTCATGCCCCGACTTCTGCTTATTTTTTCTACCATTGTCTCTGGCCTCGTTCTCCCTAGATCCTTCCTTCTCAACATACTGAACAATTTGTAGTTCTCTAAACTGACAATACTCTCTCATATCCCTCCTGTCTCCATGTTTTTGCAAATGTTCCTGTCTCAACCTGAAACTCACACCTGTATCTTAACACCCCTGCCTCCCTCATACTCCCAGGGTCTTCCTGTAACAGATTAATGTTTATACATTCCTCAACGTGTGCTCACTTTTCCCAATTCTAATATGGCACCTATCACCCTACATACATAAAACCTTTTGCTCGTGTTCCTTTCTCACTAGATTGCAAGTCCCTGTAGAAGCAATATATGTGTTGAGCCTTTGTATCTCTGGAACCTTGACTGCATATATTAATATTTTGTAATAATAAACATTTGTTGATTATTTACTATGGGTCAGGCACTGTTAAGTGGTTGTACTTTAGGTTGGATTAGGTAAGCCTCACAATTGCTCTAGGAAACACATTTTTATTAACTCCATTTTACAGGTGCTGAAACTGAGGCACAGAGAGGATAAATAACTTAGCTGAGGAAACACTGATATTAAGTGGCAGAAGTGGAGTTTAAACTGGGCATTTTAGCTCCAGGGGCATGTCCTTAGTAAGTCTAACCATAACAGGCTGAATAGTGGCCCCCAAAAGATATATTCAAGCCTATGCCCTGGTACCTGTGAATGTGAACTTATTTGGAAATAGGGTCTTTGCAGATATAATTAATGTAAGGTTCTTGAGATGAGATCATCCTGAAATCAGGGTGGGCCATAGACCCAATGAAGAGTGCTTTCATATGAGAAAGAGAAGAAGATATAGAGAGATTCAAAGAAGGCTGTGTGGAGATGGAGGCAAAGATTGGAGTGATGCTGCCACAAGCCAAGGAGTGCCAGGAGCCACCAGAAGCTGGAAAAAGCATGGAAGAGTTCTTCTCCACAAGAGCTTTGCGGGGAGGATCTTTTAGGATTGAAAAATGGGTGTCGGGATTCAGTAAGCACAGTCGAAAGGGGTGTATTAGTCCATTTTCACACTGCCATAAAGAACTACGTGAGACTAGATAATTTATAAAGGAAAAAGGTTTAATTGACTGACAATTCTGCATGGCTGGAGAGGCTTTAAGAAACTTACAATCATGGGGGAAGGTGAAGAAGAAGCAAGACACATTGGGGTCCAACATGGCGGCAGGAGAGAGAGAGTGAGCAAGGGGGGAAATGTCAAGCACTTTTAAACCATCAGATCTCATGAGAACTCACTCACTATTACAAGAACAGAATGGGGGAAACTGCCCCCATGATTTAATCACCTCCACCATGTTCCTCCCTCAACACATGGGGATTACAATTCAAGATGAGATTTGGGTGGGGACACAGAGCCAAACCATATCAGGGAGCTTCTGCCTTGGCTCCATGTATCTTTATGAGATGTGGAGGTATGCTTTTCAAGCTAAGACAGCCATTGTAACTAATATCCAAATAAAGAGCTTTGGGGACCCTGGCCCTGCTGACATGTTGATTTTGAACTTCTGGTCTCCATAACTGCAAGAAAATAAATTTCTCTTGTTAGAGGCCACCAAGTTTGTGGTAATTTGTTATGGTAGCCTGAGGAGACTAATATGCCAATTTATTTTGCTTTTTAAAGCCATTCAATAAATATTTTTGAATGAATGAATGAATGAATGAATGGTGAATGAAAGCAATTTTTGACTGTCTCATGTTCCAGGCACTATGGCAGACATCAAAAATAGAAAGATTATAAAAACTCACTCACTTTTTCCCTCAATGATCTTACTGTCCACTATCTTCTGAGTCATTCTCTTAGGCTACTACTTTCCTGGTTGAGCTTTCTGTTATCTTTTGCCTCGTCCAATACAAGAGCCTGCTAATGCCTCTCTTTGTCTTTCTTTTCTTCTCTGCAAATTACCTTCAATATTTCTGCTAGAGTTATTTTTCTAAAAATTCTTTCCTATATTTAAAATAAGAAGGTCTGAAATTGTTAGCATATAATTCAAGGCCCCTTTAATCTGGTATTTCCATGACACCTCTTCCTACCTGTCTGCAGGCATCCTTGACAATTACTACATAAATCTAGTGCCCACCTGTATAAGCCACCCTCAGCTTGGACTTTGATCGCCACAATTGCCTTCTAACTGGCCTCCTACCTTGTATGTGCAGACATTAATTCATGCCACGTTTCCTCTACCTGAAATCTTCTAGTAGGTTCCATCTCACTCAGAGTAAAGTCCTAGTCCTTTTTTAGGACCTACAAGCTCCTCCTCCTAAATAACCCTTAGTTCTCTCTGCTCTAATACTCTAGCCTTCCAGGATGTCCTGAGACAGTCACACTCGGAGACTTTTCACTGCTGTTTCTTTGCCTATAAGTTTCAGAGAAATTCCCTGTATTAGTTCATCTCATGCTGCTATAAGGACATAACTGAAAATGGGTAATGTATAAAGGAAAGTTTTAATTGAATCAGAGTTCTGCAGGGCTGGGGAAGCCTCAGGAAACTTACAATCATGGCAGAAAGGGAAGCAAACACATCCTTCTTCACATGGTGGCAGCAAGAAGAAGTGCAGAGCAAAGTGGGGGAAAAGCCCCTTATAAAACCATCAGATCTCATGAGAACTCAGTCCCTATCAGGAGAATAACATGGAGGTAACTGCACCCATGATTCAATTACCTCCCACTGTGTCCCTACCATGACACATGGGGATAATGGGAACTACAGTTCAAGAAGAGATTTGGATGGGGACACAGTCAAACTATATTATTCTGCCCCTGGCCCCTCCTAAATCTCATGTCCTCACATTTCAAAACACAATCATGCCCTTCCAACAGTCCCCCAGTTCATTCCAGCATTAACTCAAAAGTCCAAGTCCAAAGTCTTATCTGAGACAAGGCAAGTCCCTTCCACCATTGAGCCTGTAAAATCAAAAGCAAGGTAGTTACTTAGTAGATACAATGGGGGAAGAGGCATTTGGTAAATACACCCATTCCAAATGGGAGAAATTGGCCAAAACAAAGGGGCTACAGGCCCCATGTAAGTGCAAAATCCAGTAAGGCAGTTATTAAACCTTAAAGTTCCAAAATGGTCACCTTTGACCCCATGTCTTACATCCAGGTCATGCTGATGCAAGAGGTGGCCTCCCACTGCCTTGGGCAGCTCCGCCCCTGTGGCTTTGCAGGGTACAGCCCCCTCTTCTGGCTGCTTTCATCAGCTGGTGTTGAGTGTCAGTGGCTTTTGCAGGCACACGGTGGATGCTGTCAGTTGATCTATCATTCCAGGGTCTGGAGGATAATGGCCCTCTTTTCACTGCACCACTAGGCAGTGCCCCAGTGGGGACTTTGTGTGGGGGTTCTAATCCCACATTTCCCTTCTGCACTGCCCTAGCAGAGGTTCTCCATGAGGGCTCTGCCCCTGCGCAAACTTCTGCCTGAACATGCCGACATTTCCATACATCCTCTAAAATCTAGGTGGAGGTTCTCAAACATCAAATCTTGACTTCTGTGTACCTGCAGGCTCAACACCACATGGAAGCTGTCAAGGCTTGGGGCTTGCACCCTCTAAAGTCACAGCTCAAGCTGTATGTCGGCGCCTTTTAGCCATGGCTGGTGCAGCTGGCATGGAGGGCACTAAGACCTGAGACAGCACACAGCAGGGGGACCTGGACCTGGAAAACCATGTCTTCTTCCTAGGCTGGGGCCTATGATAGCAGGGGCTGCCATGAAGTTCTCTGACATGCTCTGGAGACATTATCCCCATTGTCTCGGTGATTAGCATTTGGCCCCTCATTACTTATGCAAATTTCCTTTGCAGGCTTGAATTTCTCCCCAGAAAGTGGGTTTTTGTTTTCTATTGCATTGTCAGGCTGCAAATTTTTCTTTTTTCTTTTTTTTTTTTTTTTTTTGAGACGGAGTCTCGCTCTGTCGCCCAGGCTGGAGTGCAGTGGCGGGATCTCGGCTCACTGCAAGCTCCGCCTCCTGGGTTCACGCCATTCTCCTGCCTCAGCCTCCCAAGTAGCTGGGACTACAGGCGCCCGCCACTATGCCCGGCTAATTTTTTGTATTTTTAGTAGAGACGGGGTTTCACCGTTTTAGCCGGGATGGTCTCGATCTCCTGACCTCGTGATCCGCCCGCCTCGGCCTCCCAAAATGCTGGGATTACAGGCGTGAGCCACCGCGCCCGGCCCAAATTTTTCAAACTTTCATATTCTGCTTCCTCTTGAACACTTTGCTGCTTAGAAATTTCTTCTGCCAGATACTCTAATAAATTATCTCTCAAGTTCAAAGTTCCACAGATCTCTAAGGGAGGAGCAAAATGCCACCAGTCCCTTTGCATAGCAAGAGTGACCTTTACTCCAGTTCCCAACAAGTTCCTCATCTCCATCTGAGACCACCTCAGCCTTGACTTTATTGTCCATTCACTATCAGCATTTTGGTCAAAGCCATTCAATAAGTCCAGGAAGTTCCAAACTTTCCCACATGTTCTTGTCTTCTGAGCTCTCCGGATCTCTAGGAAGTTCCAAACTTTCCCACATTTTCCTATCTTCTTCTGAGCCCTCCAAACTGTTCCAACTTCTGCCAGTTACCCAGTTCCAAAGTCGCTTCTACATTTTCTGGTATCTTTACAGCAGCACCCCACTCTACCAGTACCAATTTATTGTATTAGTCTGTTCTCATATTGCTATAAGGACATACCTTAGACAGGGTAATTTATAAAGGAAAGAGGTTTAATTGACTCACAGTTCTGCAGGGTTGGGGCAGCCTCAGGAAACTTACAATTATGGTGGAAAGGGAAGCAAACACGTCCTTCTTCATGTGGCAGCAGCAAGGAGAAGTGCAGAGTGAAAGCAGGGAAAACCCCTTATAACCATCAGATCTTGTGAGAACTCATTCACTATCATGAGAACAGCATGAAAGTAACTGCCCACATGATTCAATTACCTCCTACTGGGTCCCTCCCATGACACATGGGGATTATGAGAACTACAGTTCAAGATGATAGTTGGGTGAGGACACAGACAAACCATGTGATTCCCCTAGCCACTTACTCATGTCTTTTGTATCTTTACTCAAAATTCACCCTCTCAGAGAGGTTTCTCTGGCCTTTCTATCTAAAATTTCAACATCCCATCCCCATGGCAATTTATATCCTCCTTTTCTGCTTACTTTTTTGTCGGCACTTACCACTATCTAACATACTGTATATTTTACTTACTATCTGTTTTCTGTCTACCCCTCAAAAATGTCAGCTCCATAAAGGCAGGAGTTTGTGTGTGTTTTGTTCATGGTTATGTCCCCAAAGCCTAGAACATGGCCTGGCGCATGGCAAGGGGCAATGAATATTTGTTGGATGAATCATCTACTTGATGTTTTTAATAGAGCAAGTTTCATTGTAACTCTGAGAATTCCTCAGCAAAACTCTGTGCATAATAGAAGAGTATATCTAAAGAGGAAAGGGCTGAGTCCTAGACCCCTAGATGTCCCCAGCTCTGATGGGATGGGCATGCTGTAGATGCTGAGGATGAGTCAGATGGGCAGAATTCTGCTACCCCAGTGTATGCCAACCAACAATGGGGGTGGTCTGGCAGGAAGGTCTAGGGATATGTGCTTCCTGATGTCTGGTGAAGTGTAGCAGCAGGGAACCCAGGACCAGCAGGTGGTATTCAGAAAGGCAGGATTCACAGGCAGTTGGCACCAGGGAAATCTGTCAGCAGATGGCAGCATTCACTCCACTGGGTTGAGACTTGGGGCACCATGGGCTCTGGGTAAAGAGAGCAGTACAAGGCTGAATGCTAATTCCAAAGGGTCTATGTAACTGGCTGGGCTGAACCAGATGACTGGCTGGTTACAAACCTAGGGATCTAAATAAGCATTAGGAATGCATTAGGAACTCTGTTCTAAAGCCTGTGATGCTTTGAGGGGTCATGAGTTCAGGGTAAAGTTCTGTTATCATTCCTAAGGGAGCAAGGCCAAAACCAATAGGAAAGAAGTTTGAATGTTGAGTCCTAGTGTGTGGGACTCAATTGTTTGGTCTAAATCCCAGAGGTTACAGGATAAAGAATAAAAGCGGGCTGGGAGAAAAAGGATGACAGTTAGGGAGTAGACAGTACCTGGCACTTAGTGCATTCTGCTTCTTCATCATACAATGCTTTCTTGATCATTCTATTTCTAACTAAATGAAGTTCATATGACAAAAGTAGGTCCAATAAGACCCACCATTATAATTTTGCTTGCCAAGAAATAGATTTTAAAATTGACTTTCAGATCCTTTTGATGGACATGGATGGTATAATTTTCCTCAGGCTCTAACTCTCTTGAATTTCTCATATTTATATCGCCTGGCTGGCCCTGAAGGCATTTCATTTTTCTACCTTTAATTATTTTTCTCTCCCTCCAAGTCCCAGCCCCAAGCCTTTTCTGCCTTCTCTCTCTCAGAATTAATTGCTCTCATTACTTATTATTACAACTTTATTTAGCAGGTTGTATTGTTCTTTGCAATGTGAATACCTGTTTATGTACTTGTCTTCTGCTTAAGATCAAACATTTCAAGTGAGGAACTAGGTGTGAGTCATCTTGTGTTTCTTCGGTGTTTAATACAGAATCTTGAACTTGGAAATGCTTAATAAATTTTTCAATTAGATTTATTACTCAGTAATCTTTGGTTATCCTGAAAAAACAAGAGTTCTTCGGAAAGTTACCAGTTTATCCATTTTTGCATCACATTTGTTATTTATGTCATCATTAAAGTTAATCACAGAGAAAAAAATCAATTTTAAAATGCTCAATTCAATCTGTCTGCTCGTGATTCAAATAACTGAATCATACTGGTTAAGGTCAAATGATTAAGCTAATTGGATTGGATGACCACCTCTTAATTGAGCAATCCCTTTCTCACCAACAACCTTCAAATAGCTGATGCAATCAATTATGTGAAGGTACAGATAATTGCTACATAAAGTGACTGCAAAATTAGACAAACTATATTTTGGGACTTGCATAGATATGGTTCTAGATTTACTCACTATTTTCTATTGTTTAAGGAGGACTTGGGGAATGGCATAGGCATAGAAAAGAAGGGTGTATTGACAGAGAAACTTTGCCCTGGTCCTAAATGTCTGCTAGCCTGGTGCTGGAATGAGTATGTAAGAGGTTTCTGAAATAAAAGAAAAAAAATCTGTCTGCATTGATTGCAAGGTAAACCTACAAATCAGAGGGAATGCCCCCAGGGGGCAGCTTTGATCTGCTCTCTGCTCTATGATGGGGTGGGGATGGTGTGGGTTATGCTCCTGAGTCTGCACTTGCTGCAGCTTTGCTCTCTAAATCTAGTCTTTTCACTTACATTGTTCTGGTGACAAGTAAATGAGCCACCTTATTAACTGCAAGAGTTACACTAAGAGAAAGACTGACTTATTAGTTAATAGGATGGAGAACAATGGTATGTGTCAGTTACCATCACCCAAATCATTCAAGTTTTATTGAACCACTGATGACTCCCAACACCACTTTGGTTGCTTTAAATTAAGCAAGGAAAAAAAAAAAAAACCCTTAGAAATGTGAAGTCACATTGTCATCTTCCAAAGTGTCAGCACATAATATTCTGCGTGACAAACTCTCAATTTTTTATCCAATGAATGGATAAACTGCAAATATTTTTATTTGTTTGGGGGATGCATCATACCTTTTCTATTAAAAGTTTTTCTACTTAAGTATGATAGGCTTAGATTGGTAATAAAATAAATTCAAATTCTCTGAGCTCATCTGCCATCTGAACATGTGTTAGGTAACAGGGAAACCAGCCTGGGATTAACACAGTGTGGCAATCCCATATTAAGGCATAGACAGTTGATTGTGTTCTTTTCATTCAAGTATGCCATGGTTAGCTAAGTTTTTAAATGTGTTTTATTACTATTTCTGTACAATTTTCATCAAGGTAACATTCTCTAGTGGGGAAAATTGTAGCTGCTCCTTTAATTGACATCTTGAAACATAATTTTACATTCCTGGCTAAAACAGACAAGGGTAACGTATTCCATTTCACTTATTTCCTTTGGATTTATTGGCTCTCTTCTGCCCTCAGGGATCTATATGAAATCTAGGCAACTGTAGTTACAAGGCTTTGGGGAGAAATCAGCAGTTGCAATGGTGATAATCACACAGTAAATAAAAGCAGAATTTGCCTTTTATGTAAATTTTGATTTGTTGTATGTGAATAAAGGTTTGAAGTAAGAGCCAGGAAATCAGTTTCAAAGGTGACAGCAGCTGCTGGGACTTTTATTGTTCTAGGGGTTAATTCCATGTCTTTTGTACCAAAGTGGGACTACATTTAATTGAGAAAACACTATAAAATATTCTTTTATTGGAGGTCCTCAGATTTAGAAGCTGGGATAGATCTTGAAGATTTTCTAACTCAACTCCTTATTTTCAAATGAGCTTAAAATGACACTGAAAATAGTTTCTCAAAGTTACATGTATTAGAGAATATCAGGACTGCACTGGATGTCTTGACTCCAAGTCCAGTTTCATTTTCTCCAGACTATGTTAAGAGATCCTGCTATATTTCTCCTCAAAAAGAAATATATAAGGTCCAAGTCTAAAGGTAAGTTGCCCTTGAATAAGCAGACATTAGGTCAGAGGACCAATCCAGCAGTTCTATTCCCACCCCGCTTTCACTCCTGTGATAGTATCTGAGCGCACTGACTGTCTACCCCTAGCGAGCTGGGTAGTTTGCTTTTTTTTTTTTTTTTTTTTTTTTTTTTTTTTTTTTTTGAGACAGAGTCTCACTCTGTTGCCCAGGCTGAAGGGCAGTGGCGTGATCTCGGCTCCCTGCAGGTTGCACCTCCCAGGTTCACGCCATTCTCCTGCCTCAGTCTCCCGAGTAGCTGGGACTACAGGCGCCCACGACCACTCCCGGCTACTTTTTTGTATTTTTAGTAGAGATGGGGTTTCTCCGTGTTAGCCAGGATGGTCTCGATCTCTTGACCTCGTGATCCGCCTGCCCTCCCAAAGTGCTGGGACCACAGGCGTGAGCCACCGCAATAGGTCCTTGTTCCTATGAAGCTTCCCTTTAGGAAACACTGTCTTGAGGGAGAAGATGGGGATTCTAGGGGTACCACCTTTCCCCAGATTATGTGGAAATGCTGCCGGACTTTCAGATCTTGAAGTCCTATACCTGCCCTTCCCTTGGCCATACCTTCTGCTTTGCAATCTTCTGTGCCTAGGGCATTAGCATTAAAAAAAAAAAAAATCACTTCTAAGAGTTGTAGAGATAGAATCTGGAAGGTTTGCAAACCTTCTCCTTCTGGACTGCTTATTCTGCCAACTTCCCTTAACTCTTTTGGCTGGTGTAGCCATTTGACTTTTCTGCTGGGCAGGTAGTAGTAATTTGGGGGGCCCATAATTAGATTCCAGCAGCTCAATTCCCTGGTTCATTTACCCTGAGCCACCTTCAAATTGAATTGGTATTTTCTCAACGCCAACCCAAGCAGGAGTGGATCCTGGGGAATTACACAGAAATAACAGCCTTCTTCTCCCCTTCCCCTGTTTCTGACTCATTCGCCTGCCCTTTTGTGCCTCTCTTCCATTATGCCTTCGCAACCACATGCTCTGCGCCTTCTGCTTAAGCTGTCTGAGCTCGTTTCCTCCAAGAACCATCGTGATATACAACACGTACAGACCCAGGGCCAGATGAATGGTTTTCCATTAGAAGTACACTGTGCCATCTGGGGCACCTGGGAAGATAATGCCACAAAGACGCCCCCATCTTTCAAACGCTCAGAAGGGAAGATTTGTACCGCTCTGCCTCGCTCGCCTCTACTGCTGCAGTATAACGTGCTGCTCCTCGGTTCTGAAACCTGCATTTTCTCTCTTATTCTCTGCAGTGTCTCAGTGTGCTGTGTAGCTTGGGGTGGGCAGTCTTAAAATGGGATTCTGTATGCACCAAAAGGTAAAACACAATGACAATGCAAACTGTCTACACAGATAAAAGGATTTCCCTCAATTAAAGCAATCAGGTGAAATATTTGCCTATAAAAAGGTCTTAAAGAACAAGAAGGCTATTTAAAAAGAGCAGGGTCCTCCACTGGGCCACAAAATTAGTGTTTTCTTATTTCAGCACATTAGTTATTTCTTCTGTGATGGAAAGTGATTGGTAGGGAGAAATCTTGGTTGCTACATAAGCTTTCTTAACCAATTTCTTTTGTGTGTGTGCCTGTGTGCACCTCTATTTCTTTTGAAACCTGTTAAGACAATGCGGTTTCCTTAAAAAAAAAAAAAACCTTGATTAGTATTCTGCATAAGGTGCAGCCTTCATTGCAGTAGATACACAAAATCTATCTTCACTTTCACCACCTGTCACCTGAGAATTTTAGAATGATCTAGCTTTGAGATTGCAGGAAGCAGCCTTTCTGATTCTCATCTTTACTTGCCACCTGCCCCACCCCCTCCTTTTTGTCATTGGCACTGCATCTACAGTGAACTCCGGTCCAGTTTTATTCCTTTGTCAAATGCTTTTATTCACGGGAAACTGAAGGAACATGTTTACTAGGGATAGAAATAGAAACACAATAAAAACCAGTTTGATAGATGATCTAGCCTATTCTCCACACATCCCTGTTGTTTTATTGATTTACAGAACACAAAGACTAATCCAAATTTACATTGCTTGTATTTCCCCTGATCTCAAAGGAGTTGTTCCCCTTTGCTCAGATGAACCAAGCCAATTTTTTCTTTGTATCCAGTAGCCTCTGTGACAGTCAAATAGCCTGTCAACTAATCAATTTATGCTGCAAAAACTAATTTTTACTTTAAACAAACACCCTAACATTGTGTTGACACAATTAAATGATTTCTGCGTTACACCATATATCTAACACACACCCTAGGGAGCAGGTAAGAGCTACAGCTGAAATCACACACACGTGCTCCTGCATCAAATTAAATATTTTCCCCTTAATCCTACCACCAGCAGCTGTTAGGTACTGTGGCTTATTGCATATGGCCTACATAATGAGACCGATCCAGGCGGTTCCGGCTTCTCCACCGAATGCTGAGTAGCTCTCTTCTCCCCAAGGACACTAAGAGTTACTGCTATTGAAAGTTCTCATGCCAATGAAGAGCCTCAGCATACATGTTTGGAGATGAGGAAAGAAAGTATTTAAAGCTGGGGCTTCTACCTTGATTAAAATAAAAGGGATTGGCACTCTCCAGTGACTTGGAGCTGGCAAATTCCCCAGAGTTATGGCGAGATGGAGAGGGAGTAAAGGGAGGTATGGTGAGAAAGGAAATCTTTGCTCTCTTCAAAGCCTGTCAAAAAATTAGGTCAACATAATTTTATATTTTAATGAAATAACTTGAGGGTAAGCCTGAGACTTGGAGGCCACTAATACTTTTATGCTACAGTGGGTTGTCATGCTTGACGTAATGTCTGGCTCTGTCTAAGAAGTATGGAAGCTAATGTTCTCCATGGCTAATCGGCCTTTAGCTGCTCCTGTCCTTTTAAATTTTCAGTAGCTGGAGCATCAATATGGATGTTCCTATCTCGAACAGTATAAACACAGTGCAGGCTGCACATCATCATTTCAATTGTCAAAACAGATGAAAGGATTTCTGATACTCCAATTAAACTAACCTGGAAAAATCATTTTAAAATATGCTCCATAAAATAACCTGAATGTTAAAACACCAGAACCCTCCAACTGTTTCCTCTGGCTGCATCATTAGCATTCCCCCTCCCTCCTCAGTCCTTATCTGATTTGATTACTTTTAGAATGAATTCAGTTTAGGACATGAAAGCTGAGGAAGCTAAATTGGAAGAATAATGGCTTGGCATTTTATGTCATTTGGTTGAAATTGCAGGTGTGGGAGTCAGTCCTCCTCCTCCAACTCGTGCTTGGCTATTTCCCCTTTAATTTTTCGAATTTGAAATGGATTGCTGGTTCCAAATTATACCACACTTAAGGGACTTGCAAAGAATGCTTGTGATTTAGGATCCTACATTATTGCCTTGATGAAAAATTATGCAGACACACTCACGGTCCTACAAGAAAACTACTTCTTGTAAAACAAGAGTATTTGACAAACACCAGGAAGCTGAAGATGATAAAACACATTCTAAGCTCCTTTTGTTATTAATCAAGAAAGGGTATTGTGTTAATGACTGCCCAAGATGCTGAATGGGAGTCAGTACAAGAGGGTATGTAATAGAGGATGATGATGGCCAGAAAGAGTAATCTGTTGTCCGGATGACTGTGATGAAACCCTCTCATTTCTAGCCACATGGATTAAGAGATAGTTTCTAAATACCAGGATTGTAATTACTTTCAATTACCCGAAGTAACTTGCATTATAACCAACAGTATTTTAAAATAGAAGGGGCATCTTTAATGAATGGGTAATACTCATCTTGCTTTGCTTAAAAGAGATGTATAAATCTTTGCTTAAAAGAGATGTATAAATTTCAAGGGTTTTTGCTTTTTTACTCTGACTTTAGCTCATCTTTTTTTTTTTTTTTTTGAGACGGATTCTTGCTCTGTCACCAGGCTGGAGTGCAGTGGCACAATCTCGGCTCACTGCAAACTCTGCCTCCTGGGTTCAAGTGATTCCCCTGCCTCAGCCTCCCGAGTAGCTGGGACTACAGGCATGCACCACCACGCCTGGCTAATTTTGTATTTTTAGTAGAGACAGGGTTTCTCTATGTTGGTCAGGCTGGTATCAAACTCCTGATCTCAGGTGATCCTCCTGCCTTGGCCTCCCAAAGTGCTGGGATTATAGGTGTGAGCCACTGTGCCCAGCCTAGCTCATCTATTTTAATATTAATTTGTACCTGTAAGATTGATACACTAGAAAATGTTATATTTTGATAGTTCAGAAGCAAATTTGACGTTGAAATTGTACAAGTTACAAATTAGTCACTTAACCCTGCATAGTCTCTTCAAGCAGCCGTGTTCACCCTGCCCCACATCATGTGTGTTAAACATATCAAAGATGTGGTCAAAAAAATTAGAAGTGTGTTGTTTAATTTCAAAACATGGCCCAGAATATGGCCTATCTTAGTGAATTTGCTGAGTACACTTGAAAAGAATGTGTATTCTGCTGTTTATAGATAGGGTATTCCATGAGACAAATTAAATAAAGTGGTCTGATAATGTTTCTCAGGCCTTCCATATCCTTGGTGATTATGGATCTCTGTACTATCATTTACATGTGGGATGCAAGAGGAGTGTTTATGTCTCTAAGTATAATTGTGGACTTGTCTATTTTTCCTTTTAGTTCTATTGGTTTTTGCTTCATATATTTCAAGTCCTCTGTTGTTAGGTGCATACACATTTAGATTTGTTGTGTCTTCTTAGTGAATCAATCTTCTTATTGTTATGTAATGCATATCTTTATACCTGGCAATATTCCTTACCCTGAAATCTACATTTTCTCACATTATAGTCAGAGCAGCTTTGTTTTGGTGAGTGTTTACATGGTATCTTTTTCTGTACTGTTACTTTCACTATTTAACCGTAATTAAAGTGACATTTTGTAGTAGAAGGCATATTTTTTTTTTCAAATTCAGTCTGGCAATCTCTGTTTCATAATTGTTGCATTTAGATAATTTACATTCAAAGTCATTATTGATATATTTAGATATAAGTTTATCCTTTAAAAATTTTTTTCAGTTTGTTCGTTTTGAATTTTGTTTGTTTTTTTATCTCTTTAATATTCTCTTTCGGGTTACCTGAATATTTTTTTAAGTATTCCTTTTTAATTCATCCGTTAGCTTTTTGACTAAATCTTTTTGTATTAAGTTTTAGCTATTGCTCCAGGGATTAATGTGTGTATCTAATTTTCTAGTGTACTTATAGTTAATATTTTACTACTTCAAGTAAAATATGGAAGGCTTACAGCCATATATGTCCCATTTAACCTCCTTTAGGTTATAGTTATCATGCATGTTACATCTGCAGACATTAAACCATTCTCCCTCAATGTTATACTTTTTTGTTTCAGAAGTCACACAATAAAGAACATAATAGGAGAAAAAGAGTGTATTTACCCAAATATTTACCATTTCTGTTATTTTTCCTTCATTCCTATAGTTCCAAGTTTTCCCTCTGATACCATGTCTCTTCAGTTGACAAACTTCTCTTAACATTCATAGCAGGTTTGCTGGTAACAAATTCTCTTGGTTTTCCTTAACCTCAGAATGTTTTTATTTCACTTTCATTCCAGAAGGATATTTTCACCACTGATTTCTAGCAGTCATGATTTCGGATGAGAAATCTGCAGTTATTCTACCATTTATTCTCTGTACGTAACGTGTTTTCTTCTACTTTTTTCTTTTTGTGGCAGGGTCTTGCTCTGTCACGCAGGCGGGAGTGCAGTGGTGCGATCTCGGCTCACTGCAGCCTTCACCTCCCGAGTTCAAGTGAGTCTCCTTCCTCAGCCCCCAAGTAGCTGAGACTACAGGCATGTACCACCACACCCAGCTTGGTATTTTTAGTAGAGATGGGGGTCTCGCCATGTTGCCCAGGCTGCTCTTGAACTCCTGGCCTCAAGTGATCTGCCCACCTCAGCCTCCCAAAGTGTGGGATTGCAGGCATGATCCTCCATGCTCGGCCTTCCTCTGGCTACTTTTAAAAATGTTTCTTATCTTTGGTTTTCCTCTGTTTGATTGTGAAGTGACTGGGCATAATTTTCTTTGAGTTTATCCTATTTGGGATTCATTGAGCTTCTCGAATCTGTAGGTTTGTACCAGCATTTTACTTTCATATAATTCGGAAAAGTGTTTTTTATGGTGCTTGCAAATTTCTCTCTAAGTTTGTAGTTACATAAGAATAAAAAAATTATAAATAAGCATGCAATAGAATGGATATTATTATAGGCAGATGGTAGCCGTTGAGCACACAATACTGTTGAGAAGGGAATTCCATTAAATCAAAGAAAACAGTGATACATAAGTAAGAAAAATAACTTGAGTTATGTCATAAAATTTATGAAAAACTGAACAAGTTGATAAGATTTTGTGAGGTAACAGTATAAATAAGGATGAGACTACTGAGTCCTTATGTTCTTAGTACCATAAATGTGAGATCAGACAAGAACTCAGTTGGAGATTGACCAAAGGATACAGCTGAGTCCAAAGTGCAAATGCATCACTCTTGATTACTGGTATACGACAAGGTATACCAGTCGCATACACATTATGACATCATAATGTGAAGGAAAATGCAAATGAAATAAATAATAGTTATAGTTGGCATCATACATGGTTTAGATATTCTACCTTATAAAAGTCTGGAGATAATATGGGAAGGAATTATGCAACTGACAAAAAATGAGATTATGTGAACTAGTTTAAGGAATACATACAAGGGTTAACTGAGGTTGTATGCTTAAGAATCTCTGAGTGGGGTAAGTGTCTTGTATTTTCCACTGACTTTTGTGATATAGAATATAAATTAACCAACTGAGAGTTTTGAATCCATCATAATTCATGGAATACCAATGAAATTATTACAAAGAGGAAAACTCTAGAGGGAACAAGGTGGATAATTAAAAAACAGATGCCATTAATTGAGCTTTTACTATGTTCCAGGCTGTAGGCCAGAAGCATTACACAGATGGTTTTATCCAGTTCTTCTAACAATTGCATGAGACATGTATTGCTATTGTTCACCTTTAAAAAAAATGAGGACACTGGGGCAAGGAATGTAATTTACCTATCACAGTCCACCTACAAGGTGGTAGGGACAGATAAGAACCTGAGTCTGCTTCCAGAATATATGCCTTTAATCACTAGGTAATAGTACCTTTACAGCTACTGTGGACTTCCTCATCAGGATAAGAAATTAATACTATAGTCCTGACATTTAATTTTAAAAATTGGCAGAGATAAAAGATATACTTGTTGGGGACTTTAATTACTGGAATGTCCTTTACTGGATATCTCCATAGAGTAAAAGCACAACAAATTATGAGACATACTTAATTGCTGACAAATATCATCTCCCATAAAATGATGTGGAAAAAACTTCTTTTCTGAATCTAAATTGGTTGATTGAATGGAAGTTACAGAAATCTTGGGAGAAGTAAACCAGTTCAACTTAGAGTTTATAATCTCAAGACAGAAAGCTAGATATAGAAAATTGTATACACTAGATTCTTTCAAGAGAGGTTTCAAAACATTCAGAGAAAATATTAGAATGGATTCATAAGTTCTCAAATGGACACTGAATCAAGAAAATAAAACATTTTTAAAAACTTAATTTGACTATAATGTTTATATTTTTAAGGAGGGTCAAGAGAACTATCTTAAAAAGTCACCATCTAATTAGTTCTGATTTGAAAAGGAACAAAGAATGTTAAAGACTAAAAGGTGGCAAAGACACAAGTAGTCAGAACAAAGGAGATAAAGTTTCAAGGCTGGGCGAGGTGGCGCATGCCTGTAATCCCAGCACTTTAAGAGGCCGAGGTGGGCGGATCATGAGGTCCAAGAGATGGAGACAATCCTGGCCAACATGGTCTCTACTAAAAATACAAAAATTAGCTGGGCATTGTGGTGCGCGCCTGTAGTCCTAGGTAATCTGGAGGGTGAGGCAGGAGAATCGTTTGAACCCCAGGGGAGGCGGAGGTTGCAGTGAGCAGAGATCGCGCCCACTGCACTCCAGCTTGGGGACGGAGCGAAAAATGTCTCCAAAAAAAAAAAAAAAAAAAAAAGATTAAAATAAGCAGAGATTTACAAAACTTTGAAGGAAAAATTGAAGCACAACATGGAAGGCTGGGTTTACCTCAGGGTACCAAGGCAGAAAATTAATGATTAAATGAAAGGATTCCCACTTATTTTGTTAGTTTTGCTTTCTCTGACAAGGAGAATTATCTCTGAAAAAGAGCAATTGGGAACCCCAAGGAAGTAAAGAAATTATATTTTATATTTGGATACTTAATAAAAATGCCAGACATTGTACTGTATGCTATGCTTTTCTGTTTAGTTATTCTGTTTAAACTCTCATGTACATGTACAAGGCCTAAAAGTTAAAAATTATTACGCCCGCATTTCACAAATGAGGAAATGGAGGCTTAAGTAACTTGCCCAATATCTCAGAGCAAGTGAAAATTTAAGTTAATTAATCAATAACATCAACACTGGTGCATAAAAAATGCATAAAAGTGTTGTATCTACAAAGGTGTTCAAAGTGAATTCAAGCTAGCAATTTTATACGTAATCATTGATAATGGAAAAAGTGTCAGAGACCTGAAGATGAGGAAGTATACTTTTCAAGTTTTAAAAAATAAAGAAGAGAAGAGAAAAATACATAAAAAATTCACAGAATTTGTCTTTAGTCTTATGCAAGTTTAAAAAATTTATAGTTGTGAAGATGTTAGGTACAGAGTTAAAGGATCATCAAGACCAGCATAAATTCACTACGGAAAGTTATGTCAGATAAACCAATTTCTCTTTGTATTAGTCTGTTTTCACACTGCTGATGAAGACATACTGAGACTGGGCAATTTACAAGAGAAAGAGGTTTAATTGGACTTACAGTTCCAGGTGACTGGGGTGGCCTCACAATCATAGCAGAAGACAAGGAGGAGCAAGTCGTATCTTACATGGGTGGCGGCAGGCATCCAGCTTGTGCAGGAAAACTCCCCCTTATAATAACCATCAGATCTCGGGAGACTTATTCACTATCATGAGAACAGCATGAGAAAGACCTGTGCCCATGATTCAATTACCTCACACCAGGCCCCTCCCACAACATGTGGGAATTCAAGATAAGATTTGGGCGGGGACATGGCCAAACAATATACACTTTCAGACTTATTAGGCTGTAATATTGGATAACTGATTATAAGTAACATATTCTTCAGTAGCAGAACAATGGGTTAGGTCTTCCACACTATTCCTTGGTGCAATAAAGAAAAAATGGAGAAAATACTAGCACAATTAAAAGTATCATAAATGTATTGGTAACATATCAAAGGGATACTGGTTAGCCAATCTATTTCAGCCCTGAAGAACCATTTATTATGCACTTGTCATGTCTTCTATTCTAAATTTGTGATTGGGTGAAACTATGAAAGCTGAAAGATATAAAATGAATATTTTGGATGACTGAGTCAAGATCTAAAATAATAACATTTACCATTTAATGAGGGCCTACAGTTTATGAGGCAGTGTTCCAGGGGCTGGAGATTGATTGGAGATAATGTACAAATCTTCAGATTTCTCCACATTTCAGGATAATTTGACAGAAGGTAGTGGTAAGTAAGTTCTTTGTCTTGAGACTCTGTACCTTCCAAGGTTTCACCATCTATGCTTTCCCCTCCTATCCCACTTGTCTCTCTCTCTCTCTCGTGGTATCCATCACTGTTCCTTTCCAATATTGGAGGGCTCAAGTATACTCTTCTCTATTCTCACTCTCAAGGAAACTTACCAATTCTCATGACTTCATATATATATATATATATATGTCTTTGAGTTTCCAGATTTATATTTCCAGCCTAGACTATTTTTCCTCCTGTATTCCTGGCCTGTATTTTCTACTTCCTACTTGATATTACCATTTAATTGTTTAACAGGCATTCTAACTTAATACATGTAAAACAGAATTTTTAATGCCAAGTCTCCACTTATTATCAAATTTCTCCTCCTGTAGTATTTCCTAATTCACTAAGTGGCACTTCTGTTCTTCCAATTGTCTCTCAAAAGATAACTCCTAAATAATTGACATTTTGTCTCCTATTAACAAAGCAAAGTGAGAGTAGTGAGAGTAGTTTGTCAGCATCACACAACCAGTAATAAGCAGCATCAGGATCAAATCTGGGCTGGTTTGATGCCCACCAGATGTTTCTAGTCCCAAATTAGGTTATATTTAAACTCTGTGCTTCTATTGGCAAAATAAATTATATATATATAAAAAATTATATGGATCTACCATTCTGGTGTCTGGAGGACAGTGGCCCTCTTTTCACAGTTCCACTAGGTAGTGCCTTAGTGGGGACTTTGTGTGAGTGTTCCAACCCCATATTTCCTTTCCACACTGCCCTAGCAGAGGTTGTCCATGAGGGCTCTTCCTCTGCAGCAAAGTTCTTTATATATATATATATAAAGAAAGTGTGATTTTGCAGTAGCAACCCTTGGTAGAGTGGTTTAATCTCAATGTCATTCTGTGGGAGGTCGCTGCTGACATGAGATACTCTAATTCTGGGCTGTGTTGGTTGAAAAGTAGTCCCTAGTTCTATGGAGTTTTCAGTATACTATGCTCTATACTTATAAAAACAAACTTCCAATATTCTATTTTATTCTGGAGACAACATATTTAGAAAGAGATGACAAGAGTCATTCAATGAGAAGGTGCCAGGATGATTAGGAAGTTAAAGTCACAACTAAAGAAGTCTTAAAGGAACTGGGGAATATTTGGCCTGAAGAGAAGATGGCCTGGGTGACACAATTTTTATCTCTGTATTTCAATTTTATTCAATAAACACTTAATGAAACCCTACTATGTGTCGGTTGAACACTGTAATAAGTACCAACATACAAAGATTGAAAAGCACGGTCCTTGCCTTTCATTATCATAGAATAGGTATGGAAGTTACAGAGGGAATAGAAAGAGTTGTCCTTTAGATTGAGCCAAAATCTAATGGAATTACTCAAGGATGAAATGAGCTAGCCTTTTGCCACAGCTAAAGATATTTAAGCACATGCTAGAAGTATACCTGGTACAGGAAGAAGGCTACGGAGTTAAATTAACCATCATATATGTGACTGAACTGCATGACCTTTAAGCACTTCCAACCTTGAGATGCTATGATTCTTTTATCTGTGCTATCCCTGTACCATAAATAATTGAGAGATACTGCAACAAACTGCATGCACATGGCACATGTAAATCATCCACTTGCTTAGGTAAGACTTGTCCTTCCTATTTTAATCTCACATCACTTAGTGTGTCTTTCTTCTGTCTTAGAGAAAATTACAGAAAGCATAAGCCAAAACAGGAACACCTATCAGAGCTGTGAATAGGGGTGGGGTCAAACTTATGAATGTCTGTATGTGTTTATTTTTTGCTTCATTTTTGGTACCCTGATTGCATCAAATAGATCCACATAAAACTATATAGATAAAGGATAAACATAATGTGTTTGGAAAACATCTTATTTTTGAGAATAGGCCATGTGACAGTAAGTTAAGGACTAGTATAATTTTAGCTTTTAATGCTATGCCCCTGAAAAATCACTTTGCTCAAATTAAACCCAACAGTGCTCATTTTCTGATCATGGCCATTTTTCGTGTTCTCATCATTTTGGCAGAGGGTGAGTCTATTTCTCTTATAAATTTTACAAGCAAAGACATTTCTGTAAGTTGATTTGATCAGGTGGGAAAAAAGCATAACAGAAGAAGGGCTTTGGAAAGAGTGTGGCAGGATTTGATCAGTTTCCATGGTTTCTGAAGAACAAAGAAATGCTCAGATTTGAAGTTTTGAGAAAAATGGTAAAGGCAAGAAGAGAAGGGCAGGAAACTGATTAAGTCAAAGTACATCTTGAACTCTTCTGAATATGATTATTCCCATATTCCATAGTAATTTCAGATCCTAGTATGCTTTATTTCACAAGGCATTTTGAAATGGATGTATTACTTTTGAAATGGTCACTAAATGAATTAGTCCATTCTCATGCTGTTATGAAGAAATACCCAAGACTGGGTAATTTATAAAGGAAAGAGGTTTAGTAGACTCACAGTTCTGTGTGGCTGGGGAGGCCTCAGGAAATGTATAATCTTGGTGGAAAGGGAAGCAAACACATCCTTCTTCACATGGTGGCAGGAGAGAGAAGTGCCAAGTGAATGGGGAAGCCCCTAAGAAAACCATCAGATCTTCTGAGAGCTCACTCACTCTCACAAGAACAGCATGGGGGAACCACCCCCATTCAATTATCTCCACATTGTCCTGGTCTTGACATGTGGGGATTATTACAATTCAAGGTGAGATTTGGGTAGGGACACAGATCCAAAACATATCATTTTGCCTCTGGCCCCTCCCAAATCTCATGTCATAACATTTCAAAACACAATTATGCCCTTCCAACAGTCTCCTAAACTTGTTAACTCATTTCAGCATTAACCCAAAAGTCCAAGTCCAAAGTCTCACCTGAGACAAGGTAAGTTCCTTCCATTTATGAGGCTGTAAAATCAAAAGCAAGTTAGTTCCTTACTGGATACAATGGGATTACAGGTATTAGGTAAATACACTCATTCAAAATGGGAGATATTGGCCAAAACAAAGGGGCTACAGACCCCATGCAAGTCCAAAATCCAATAAAACACTCATTAAACCTTAAAGTTCCAAAATGATCACCTTTGACTCCATATCTCACACCCAGGGCACAATGCTGCAAGAGGTGGGCTCCCACAGCCTTGGGTAGCTCTGTCCTGGTGGCTTTGCAGGGTACAGCCCCCATTGTGGATGTTGTCATGGGCTGGCATTGAGTGTTTGTGGCTTTTCCAGGCACTTGGTGCAAGCTGTCAGTGGATCTACCATTCTGGGGTCTGGAGGACAGTGGCCCTCTTTTCACAGTTCCACTAGGTAGTGCCTCAATGGGGACTTTGTGTGAGGGTTCCAACCCCACATTTCCTTTCCACACTGCCCTAGCAGAGGTTCTCCATGAGGGCTCTTCCTCTGCAGCAAAGTTCTGCCTGGACATGCAAGTGTTTTCATACATCCTCTGAAATCTAGGCAGAGGTTCCCAAACATCAAATCGTGACTTCTGTGCACCCACAGGCTCAACACCACAGGGAAGCTGCCAAGGCTTGGGGCTTGTATCCTCTGAAGCCACAGCTTGAGCTGTACCTTGGCCCCTTTTAGCCATGGCTGGAGCTGAATCAGCTGGCACACAGGGCACCATGTCCCCAGGCTGTATATAGCAAGGGGGCCCTGGGCCTGGCCCACAAAACCATTATTTTTTCTGCTAGGCCTCCAGGCCTGTGACAGGAAGGGCTGCCATGAAGGTCTCTGACATGCCCTGGAGACATTTTCCCCATTGTCTTGATGATTAATATTCAGCTCCTGGTTACTTATGCAAGTTTCTGCAGCTTGCTTGAATTTCTCTTCAGAAAATGGGTTTTTCTTTTCTATCACATGGTCAGCCTGCAAATTTTTCAAACTTTTATTCTCTGCTTCCTCTTGAACACTTTACCACTATACCCTAAATCTTCTCTCTCAAGTTCAAAGTTCCACAGAACTCTAGGGCAGGGGCAAAATGCTGCCAGTATCTTTGCTAGAGCATAACAAAGGTGACCTTTACTCCAGTTGCCAACAAGTTCTTCATCTCCATCTGAGACCATCTCAACCTGGACTTCACTGTCTATATCACTACCAGCATTTTGGTCAAAGCCATTCAACAAGTCTCTAGGAAGTTCCAAACTTTCCCACATCTTCCAGTCTCCTGAGCCCTCCAAGTCTCTAGGAAGTTCCAAAGTTTCCCACATTTTCCTGTCTTCTTCTGAGCCCTCCAAATGGTTCCAGCCTCTGCCTGTTACCCAGTTCCAAAGTCACTTCCACGTTTTTAGGTATCTTTACAGCAGCACATCACTCTCTGTAGTACCAATTTACTATATTAGTCCATTCTCATGTTGCTTTGAAGAAATACCCGAGACTGAGTAATTTATAAAGGAAAGAGGTTTAATTGACTCACAGTTCTGCATGGCTGCAGAGGCCTCAGGAAACACAATCATGGTGGAAGGGGAAGCAAACATGTCCTTTTTTACATGGTGGCAGAAAGGAGAAATGCTGTGCAAAGGGGGAAGCCCTTTATAAAACCATCAGATCTGGTGAGAACTCACTCACTATCATGAGAACAGCATGGGGGAAACCGCCCCCCTGATTCAATTATCTCCACCTGGTTCCGCCTTTGACACGTGGGGATTACTACAATTCAGGGTGAGATATGGGTGGGGGCACAGAGTCAAACCATATCAAAGTTGAAGGAGGGAATAGAACTGCAGTATAGAACACACCAAGCTATTTTGACAATGCTTTATAATTGGCCAATGGCCAAGGGCAAATATATATGCATTGAGCAACTTCTATATGCTACTATATGCAGTTTCATATAATCCATACCAATTCTTTGAAGTTGATATTGCTACTGTAGTTTTACACATGAAAACCAATAATCTTAAATAGCATGTCAAGCCTCATTCAGATTCTAAATCTGTCATTCCCCAAGGTTCATGATGGCAAATTATGGCATAGATTGAGAGTCAATTTAATTTTGCAACTAATCTGATTACTTGAGCATTTTACTGCTCCTGAGACATAGGCAAACAGGGCTGGCCATGTTCCTGCAAAGATAATGAAACAAAAAATATGGCCAACAAGTCAAACTGACTGTCCCTCAAGAGTATTTAGAGAGCCTACTGCTTAGTCTTACCTCAAGAGTATTCCGGATTCGGGTCTAGCCTGTGGGCTAACAATACTATTCTTGAATTGAGGGTGGAACGGGTGAATGGGGTTATTGGCTAGATTGGACTGGGAAGGAAAATAGAGCAAATGAACTAAGAGCTTCTTAGGAGGAAATTGGATTTGGATTTAGGCCAAAACTGATAGAGAGAAATGGCTACATAGCTCTCAGGGCCCAGTACAAAATGAAAATATGAAACTCCTTGTTCAAATTGCAGGAAAAAAAATGCCACTAAAAGTAGAAATGCAAAGCTTTTTCCTTTTTTCTGTGGTCTATGTCTCATCTTATCATGGTGTTTTTTAAGTTGCCACTTAATGTTGTTCTAAGTAAAAAATAAAAATTAAAATGTTAAATTATTAGCATGAATTTTACCATTCATCTTTATATTGTGTAATGCCAGTTTTAAATGGAAATATGAGAGCTTTCAATTCATATAGAGAATCACTGAAATTATACAAATCATATGTTCATATGTATTTTGTTCTTGCCAGAACAGTGAAAATGCTGCACAGAACTAGCTCAACTGTTTTTATTTCACTTCTTGCTTTGCTCACATTCTACCAATACTTCCTACTTTGCACTACTGATGAGTAAGAGAGCAGAAAAGAAAAGGGACTATTTTATAAGGGAATAATTATCTTTCCTTCTAAATCATTATTTTTTAGTGTAAGTTATTAGCTAATATAGGGAAGAAACATGAGTAAAAAAGGATATAAGTTTCCCCGGTGCATTTATGTTTTTTAAAACACCACTGTCTTCTTTCTGTGTTCAAAGCAAGTTCTCTCTGACAGAGATTATGGCTATCAGCACCCCTTTTTACTCAGTTATAGATGTATTGCCCTGACCTTGTGCTTACTTTGAGTCTCACTGAACTCTCATGCATTATGGATCTACTGAAATTTTATACTCACGGGACACCAAGAATGCTACATGCTAATGGGGATGGAAAGGATTGGTAGTGCGCATGGATATTCTGTGTTATCTTTTGCTCCTGCATGTGCACCATTAGTTCATGGAACTTCACTCACCCATGTTCAAAGATAAAATCATTAAGAATGTCAAGACAGCAACAATAGAGCATTAAACTGAGCACAGGGCCCTTCTGAGCACAGGACCACGTAGGACTGTGCAGGTTGTGCCCTCATAAAGCTGGCCTTCTCCATGGAAAGACATAGAAAGGAAGCTGGGACTTCTAGTATCTACCAAGAAGGAATAGGCCCTGTAAAGTCTATCCCAGTAATAACAACTGAAGACCTGTTAGAAGACACACGAAAGACAACTACCTAATGACAGAAATGTAAACAATAGCAGGTGAATTGGAGCAGAAAACAGAACATGGAAAACTATTAAGGTGGTGGGAGTCTGAGCTGCCCCTCGCCCCTTATTCCGTTCTCTCCCAGCTTTGGCCCAAGGGCAGGACAAATCAGGGAACTGTGCTTGGGTGCAAGCAACAAAATTTTTGGGGGAATCCTGTCTTTCTGACCAGAGGACTAGGAATGGGGATTCCTATGAGCCTGAGAGAATGGGGAAGATCTTTGTTGTTGTTTCTCCCCCTCTTTTCTCTCTCCTGGCCTGCCCTAAAACCAGCTCCAGTGACAGACATGTACTGCTGAGGTGGCAGTGGCAGCCAGGCAGACACCTAAAAAAGGAAAAACCTGCATTTCTGGATTGGCTTAGGTAGGAGAATATCCTTCTTTGTAGGAAAGGAATGCACACTAAATTATCCTAGGGTGATGGGGACATCATGTTGGCAATTGACTCAATCTGTATTTATTACTACATCTATTTATCTGTATAAGAAAAAATCTGATTTCACATGGATGCATCCAATCCAATACCACAGGGCTTTTTCTTTCTTTTCTTTTTTTTTTTTTTTTTGAGACGGAGTCTCGCTCTGTCGCCCAGGCTGGAGTGCAGTGGCGGGATCTCGGCTCACTGCAAGCTCCGCCTCCCGGGTTCACGCCATTCTCCTGCCTCAGCCTCACAAGTAGCTGGGACTACAGACGCCCACCACTACGCCCGGCTAATTTTTTGTATTTTTAGTAGAGACGGGGTTTCACCGTTTTAGCCGGGATGGTCTCGATCTCCCCACAGGGCTTTTTCTAGTGTTCTTTCTTTGTAACTCCTTTCCTCATTAGTGAGGAACCTGGTTCCCATTCACCCTTACATAGTCAATCTTTTGATCAATCCCTCTGTGTGTAATGCACTGCTTACCTTGCTCAGTATGTGACATTTTGCTATGTTCCAGATCCTGCACCTGGACACCCTCCTCACCCCACTCAGGCTCTGATGCCCATGATGATCGCTCTCCCCCACCTTCCCCTTTCTTATTTCCAAGGCCTCTAATGCATAGCTTTGGGCCATCGTGGCTTCCCTCATTACTATCCCAGATGGTCCAACTGAACGGCTTTCATATTAAATTTTCCAGAAAAGGAGGAAACAAAGAAGAACTTTAATTTTCTTAATTTTTAATGCTCTCTAGTTCACTTCTGTCCTCAGGAGCATTAGTATCCATTCATACAGGCATTTAATTTGAATACCTTTATATAGTCTTGCTATTTACTGTAACATTGCACATAACTAGCAAAGTGCCCAACGTATGATAGGCATTGAAAAATAGTATTAATTCAATTAATGTTGCCATGGCCTGTTAACTAGCCCTGGAGTTTCATGTTAACCTCTGCTTCATGTTGAAGTTTCTAAACTGTATGATTTATACTTGGATAATAATCATAGCAAATATATAGTTTGCTATGTGCTTCGGATTCTCCTAAATGCTTTCCATAAATTAACTTATTTAATATGCACAAAGGCTTATGAGATATGTCATATTATTATCCCTATTTTATAAATAAATTTGTAAGGCACGAAGAGGCTCCATAAGTTGCCCAGTACCATATATAGCTAGCGATTGGTGGGGATGGGATTTGAACCCAGCCAATGTAGCCCAGGAGTCCATGTTCTTAACAACTGTGTGAGTAACTTTGGTTTTGATTTTCCCCTTCAGCCCAAATTTCTCACCTGGTAACACATTGTTATTAGCTTGGCTTGTTTATCTATTACTCTTTCTATTCACACACTATCTTTTGAATATGATTTTTTTCGACATTAGTACTGATGCTGGACATTAATTTCATATGGTTCCAGGATTATGATCTCTCATCTGCATTCAGTACTTAACCTCTGGTTTGGATAAAACTCAGGGTAGCTCTGGGTTTTCTGGGATGGCAGAATTCTTTGCAGTAACAGCCAGTACTTACCCTGTCAACCCAGAGGCTTTTCTGCCCTCTAGAGGCCACTGCAGGAAGTGGGATATGTGTGTGGATATCCTCTTTAGGGCCATATTGAGTGGGGCTTACTAACCCTTCCTTCTAATGAGCTTTATAACCAAAAGGGAATACATTTCAACTGTTATTTTAACCAGAGTATCAGATCATCAAATCTTAGTGACACCATATTCTTTACTCCTTTATCTTTCTTAAAATCTACTTACCATTACTTAGGGCTTCAAGATTGGTTGCAACTCTTTCTCAAGTATTTTTTCATCTAAAATAATTAGATATTCTTAACTCTAGTGTTCTTTTCTTCAGGGTCATACATGATTCCTTCCACAGTAGCTGGCTGCATAGTTACATCTGGGAGTGTTCCCCTATGTTTATTTTAAAGTTATTTTGATGAGTTTAACTGGGAATCCCCCCGTTTCTTCATAAGACACTGTCTCTCAGCTCATTTTCCCTGGGCAATGTGTACACTTCAGTTTCTCCATAAGACACTGTTTCTCAGCTCATTTTCCTGGGGTGAAATCAGGGACCCCACATGCTACACATAGCTCATTAGAGCTACAATCTCTTTAGCCCCAAACCTATTGTTTTTAATGTGTATATTTTCCTTTCGACTGGAGTCAAAACTCCAGTCATTATTTGGAATTAGGAATGAATGAAACTCTGATTCCTCTCAGACTTTCATTGTCATGCCTCAGACTTATGAGTTCTTAGGAGTTTGTCCTAAGTCTTCTCTGGAAGTGTCAATTGACTTCCATGTAGGATTGGGTACCAAATACACAATTGGAAGTAGGTCAGAAATCTCATTGCTACATACCAGATTTATGGGCTGGCACAAAACAAACCATTTAATTCTTCAAAACTTGGTTTTCTTTAACAACTACTATGTTTTTCTACCAAGGCTATTAGCAGTTTTTAGAATTCTTATTATTCTGAGTACCTTCTTCAATACATGAGCACATGCTGGGGGAGATACTTCTCTTTACCCTATGCCTGGTCAGGGTGTACCATGTGGGGTCCTTAATCACAGGCTATGGAACACATCGCCCAGGGAAAATGAGCTGGCAGACAATGTCTTATGGAGAAAGTGAATTAAAATCAAGAGAGACCATCAGACCGATTTGTCAGCCTGAGAAGGGTAGGCAGAGTGGGAGAAGGCAGATCACAGCTGAGTTGGGAGTGAGAAGGTTCAGAGCAGAGGGTGGGAGTGATTGTCTGAGCCAGTGGGGATTTTTGTCAGGAGCTAACGGGCCCCTCAGATAAAGACAGGATGGCTGCTGTTAGAGCTGCTGACCCCGTCTGGGCACATGTCACTTCTGTGGTGATGTCCTCGCTTTCCTTTCTGTGGTCGCATTGCTCTACTCTTCAGTCTCATGAGTGATTTCCCTCCATTTTCTCATCGTGGTGGCATGTAGTACGAGCACTTGAAACAAACTTTTGTATTTTTCTTCTTCTTTAAAAGAGTACTTGCTGTGTAATCCCTAACAGCTTCTTTGAGAACTCCAACCACCTGTACTCCCCACAGGATGCAGCTTATAAAGGTTCACCCTCTGGCTCCCTTGCTTCATCCACCGCCTTCATCCTGAATCACTTGCCCTGACCCATTTCCCACTCACACCCATCTTCTGACATTGTTTGTTTCCAATTTTTCATTTCCCGTCTGATCGTTCCCCTCAGGTCTCAGTACTACTTTTGCAGCTACAAACTTTGCTTCTCTTCTTGACTATGTTTTTGTTTTCCTCCAGCATCACTGCCTCCAGCAGTAAACAGTCTACCTGGTTGGTTCATCCCCAGAGACTGTCCACTAGCATAGCTTTTGTGGTCCCGTGCTCTTAAACTCTCTCGAGCTCTCCAAGTGGGTCTCAGCAACCTCTGTTCTATGGAGAAACTTCTCATTCTCTCACATTAGTAGGAGTATAGAAAAGGGACTCTTCAGATAGAGGCATCAGCGATAGGATTTACCACTCTCATGTTGTTCGCCTCTGGCAAGATGACAAACATAGCACACCTTCTGCAGCATACTAGAATTGACTCCTTGGACTTCTATATCTTCAGATTGTCAAATGGAATTATTGTTCTTTATGGCCTTTCCTGCTGGCTCCCTTACTGTACTTGCAGAAAACTGGCTGTGTAGTAGAATTTCCCTATATCCCTACTCTCATGAAAAGTTAGCTTTAAAAAATTCTTTTTCATAATGTCACTCCGTTCCTTTTTCTATTATGCAGGGGCAATTTAGGGGGACACATTTCAGAAAGTCACCACAATTATCTTTAGCCTGCTGTTGCATTTCAGCAGGCCTTACATTGTCTTTCTTCAGCAGACAATGAAAAGAACCTGAATAATCTTGGAAAAGTATAGATAATTCACAGTCTTTAGTTTCCCTTTAACTTTAGGAATTTTTTCCAACTCATTTCCTGCCTTAATGGTTAATAAGAAACCAAAAAGAATTACTTGAATTTTATTTTACTTCCTTTCTCATTCATAATAGTCGATAGCAAGAGAGAGAAGATGAATATGTGAATTTATCCAAGAAAATTTATTAGGTATCTCCTACATACTAGGCACAGTGCTAAGTAATGGCTTCATAGAGATGGAAGAACAGTATCTATTTTCCAGGAGTTCATGGCCTAGTCGGGGAAGGGAACTTACACACATTGTAATTTAACATACATACTGAGAGAAGACTATTTTAAGTGCATCAAGGATAGATAAGGAACACTTAAAAACTTCTTGGGAGAGAAGAAAGGTAGAGAACGCTTCCAAGAGAGGTGATGATGCCTGAGCTAAGTGATTTAAGAATTAGAAGAGATTTACCAAATATAAATTGACAAAATTGATGGGAGCATGGAGGCAAGAGAAATGGAAGACTGCGCTGGGTTTGCTGGAAATTTGGCATGGCTGAAGCATAGGGAATGTGAAGATGCTGAAAAGGAGTGAGGATGGGAAGGAAAGCTGAGGCTCAATTGTGGAGGGTCTCACATATCTTCCTAAGGAATCTGAACTGTAGCAGAATGTGCTGGAAAGCCACTGAGGGCATTTCAGCAGGAGAAGGCCATTATGATGTTCATGCATTTGAAGATAATTTTTGCTCCAATTTGGCTGATGGTTTAGAACAGGGCAAAAGTATAGGTAGGAAGATGATGACTACATTAATTTTGGGAAGAGTTATGAAGTCCAAACTAAGGCAGCAGCAAAGGAAGTTGGAAGAAAAGATATTCGGGAGATTAAGGCAATAAATTGACAGGTCTTGGCTTCATTCTGCCTGTGTGAGGTTAATAGAAATTGAGAAATATAGAATAATTCCCAGTTTTATATTTTCCTGCTTAAGTAACTGGATGGATTTCATAATAATGAAGGAATCGTAATTTTTAAAAGTAGCTGACATTTATTGAGTACTTTCTATGTGCTAAGGTATAGTAATACATATATTATTAGCTATATTAGGTATATTATCTCACTTCACTATAGCAGTATCTACTATTAAGTGCATTTTACCAATAGGATAATGGAGGAATGGAAAAGACAAACATTTTCCCCAGGATTGAGCAATAAGTGGCCAAAGTGGGATTTGGATGCTGGTGTGTGAACCTCCAGAACTTTGATATTGAAACACTATTCTCTTCTGTCCACAGGAGTTGGATTTGATTTGGGGCAAAGATGGTGAATTCTGTTGTGGGCATTCAGTGGATTTCCAGGAGGCACTTGTGAGATGGGTTTGAAGGTCTAGTGAGTAATCTGATTGAGAGACAGATATCTAGAAAATGAGACAAATAGACAACCAGGACTCCAATGAAGTATCCAAAATGGGACCTGACTTGCTCCTGAGTTAGTTCCTTGGCTTTGGTTACTCCACTAAAGAAGGAGGACATGCTCATCTTCAGAAGGACCAGGCTGAACTACCACAGCCCTTAGCCTAAACCTATCTCTCCACCTGCTTCAGTGACAGGAGTGGGTTAAATTTGTTCTACACTTTCCTTTCCTTATGATAATTCTTATCATGAGAACACATTAATCTTGTGGCATTTTCTGTTTTCATTACAATCTTTGTCACACAAGTAGAGCATCAGAATGTTAATGCCTCATATCTTCAGTGAAGAATAGTAGAATTCTCCACTGCTTTGACCTTTCCAACGTTCTGCATTTCGATTGGGTCTGGAAGTTGATGATTAATGATAATTACAATAATTACACCAAGGGACTCAAAACATAAATTACCAAATGTTCAAAGGAAGCCACTTGAAACCTTTAATAGAATCTTGAACAATCTCTGTCCAAATGTTCCCACTTCCTCCTCCAGCACCTCCATCAGACATCCCTCAGTGAGTAGGTTGGGAGAGATTTAGCCTAGGTTGCAGCCAGAAAAATAAAAGAGCTGTGATTTGTGAGCCATGCTTTAGTTATATGAAGGGGGAAAAAAGAAATCAATTTTTAAATCAATAGAATGGTCCTTCACCCAAACAGCTTTGCTTAACAAAGAGTGAGCATTCCATAAAACAAGACTTCGCTTTTGATTCAGATCATTAACTACAATTCCCATTAGGCGGGAGGTGCCACAGGGAAAGGGGATATTTACTTGTCTCCTCTGCTCTGGTTTCTTGGCTTTAATTTTAGGGAGGTGTAGCTTTCCAGTATGAAAGTGTTAGCGTTCTATGCCACCTTTGCACCTTGACTCGCAGAGGACTCCCGAACTGAACACTGAAGTCAGCTCAAGCATATTCTGTGTGAGTCTTTGCAAGGAGCAAGATGCAGATTCCTTGAGGGTTTTATTTATTTCCTTTTTTTTAAAAAAAAAGAAGTAGTAAGAGACACTGAATGAAGCTTTCATTTTGAGACCCCTGGTTATTTTCTTCTTGCTGCAGTAAATTCTACATTATGTTGAGACAATAGTGCACCATATAGGGTATTTCAATCTCTATCAAAAAGGTTGCTATGTTGCCAGGTTTCCAAAGGGAAGAATTAATGATGACAAGATGTCCGACAGTGGGTCACTACAGAGCATATTTTTATATGATTGTGGAATAGAAAGGTTCACCTCTTGCTGCAATTTTACCACACTTACACATAGGCATCGTATCTACTTTTGATTGCATCAGTTCATGTTATGGTATCAGCTAATTCTAATTAGCGTTATCCAGACTCTAACATCTGGAAGCTATGCACTGAGAGTGTCATGAGGAGGTAGAAGAATGCCTAGGGGAAGTCATGGAAAGTCCCGATGGTGTCATTCCCTAGACGTATATAGGACACCGTGAGTTTTCACTGAGGCCGGGGTTGACAGAAACTGAGTACTACAAGTGATAGCCTTTCAACATGCAAAATGCAGATTTCTGGAGTTTTATTTTTAGTAAAAAGTACTAAGAGGTATACAGTCCAGGACAGGGTCTTTTGGCAAGTAGACAGGTGGCTCTCCCTCTTGCTTTTGTTCCGGGATCTGCAGGAGCCTGGTAGCACTATCAGTGTTCTCAGAGGCACACCTCTATGGTGGCTCTCAAGTCCAGGTAGGCTGACCCCTAGTTCAACAGCCTCTAATGATTGTGGTGCTTTGGAATGTGTTTTCTTTTCCTGGAAGATCCCACTGGATCTAGGAGGTCACTAATGATCTTGGAGTACACATACTAGAGAGTTTCAAGTAGTACTTAAGTTTTAAGAGTATTTTATATTTGTGAATAACTTGGTACTGAGTACGTGTACATGTGATGTGTGTGTTGCATTCATGCATATTTCTACTCATCTTAAAATTTCCCCCTTTGAGGGAAGCCATACTTTTTTTCAGTCCTATATTACACCCCAGAGGATAGAGGTTTGAGATACGTGGTTTAGTCCATGATGGCAACTGGAGAATAACCATTTGAGGTAAGTTTCATCGTCATTGTTACCATCATTGTTACAAAGCAAAGGCTTTGGTAGCCGAAACAGAATGTCAGAAGAGTAAACTTGAACGCAGCCTGACAGCCTAATCAGTTAGTGAATTAATCCAGAACCATTTGTTACGTTACTTTCTTCAAATGGAGTTATGCTTTTTTTTCTTCTTTTGAGTATCTTATTCTGCAGAGATGTTCAGAGGCTATAAACATGAACTCAAGAGAATCTAAACTGTGACAGTTGATCTTGTAACCTGGGCAGTTTCTACTGCATTAAATTGCATCCTGATTATTTGGAAAGCACAATGCTTTTGATCAGCTATTGAGGTCATGCTTGTGGGGTCAAGTATCTCATTACACTTGTATTTTCTTCCAAATGGATTTGTACCTTTATTTTATTCTGCTGCTTGTTTTTCTGGGCTACTATTGCAGCTTATTATTGCAGTCTTAAAAAATAATGTATTCTCACTCCCATAAGTTAAAAAAAATCATTAAAAAAGGTGGTTCCAATAAAAAAGTTAATAGACTTTATTTCCCTTTTATGTGAACGTGTGTATGTGTGTGTGTGTGTGTGTATGTGTGTATATGTGAAGAAAGTTAATACATATATATATCTAAAAAGCTCATAGTGATTGAAGGCAGGTCTTTATGTTGTCTTAGCAAAGTGAAGAGAATGAGGGTTCAGGTTTCACAAGAAAGAAAAGTGTCAACACCAAGAAGAAAATATGGCAATATTAAGCAATATGCAAAGAGTCAATGCAAATGTTAAAAGTCAGTTGCTGTTTGGGGGTTGCCAAATGAGTTTGAAAACCTACCTAACTTATAAGGTTCTGTAAGTGCCTCAGTTAGCCTTGATTTTTATAAATAGTCACAGTTGTTCTAAGCCCTGTCTCCTGTTAGTAATATTGGTCAATTCATATGTGTCCAGTGGGAAGTACATTAATTTAGATTCCCTAAACATTCGCTGGTCTCTAGATGGAGTAGGACCAATATTAAAATCATTAAGCCATTCATTCCACAAACATATATAGAGCATGTTGAGGCCTGATGCTGGATGTCAGAAGATTCCCTCAGCAAACTTAAGGTGCTCTGTTAGAGGAAATAAACATTGTGACAAAGAATAAAAAGCCCCCAGTGGAGTGGGGCCTAGAGAATGCATGCTTTTTTTCCTTTGTGATCATTATTGTGCCCAAGACTTTGGTCTGCTATGGAGTCTAGATTCTTACTTGTGACTGGCCGTTTTTGGGTTTGTCTTTCTTTTGACTTTCCTCCTTTTGCTTCTGGATTAATTTCTTTTTCTTCAGTTACTACATGTTTCTATCTAGACCCACTTGGTTTCCTGACTTTATACTCCAATCACACCAGCTTCAAACCTCACCTTTTTTCTCTTCATCTTTTTATTTTTTGAGATGGAGTCTCGCTCTGTTGCCCAGGCTGGAGTTCAATGGTGCAATCTCGGCTCACTGCAATCTCTGCCTCCCGGGTTCAAGCGATTCTCCTGCCTCAGCCTTCCAAGTAGCTGGGATTACAGGTGCCCACCACCACACCTGGCTAATTTTTGTATTTTTAGTAGAAAAAGGGTTTCGCCATGTCAGCCAGGCTAATCTCGAACTCCTAACCTCAGGTGATCCACTGGCCTCGGCCTCCCAAAGTGCAAGGATTACAGGCGTGAGCCACCGTACCTGGCCATCTCTTCATCTTAATATGTGGATATGTGTCCTGAGATTCAGTGGGAATACAACCAAGGCCCTCATCTCAAGGAGCAATAGACTGGTGCTTTCATCATGCAACAGAATAGGCTAATATTTTAAATGAGGCAGAAACAGCATGGCCTGAGTGCCTTCAGTAGTTCTGAGGTCATCTCAATTTGAAACAAGTGATAAGATTCAGTAGCTCCTTCTGTCATCGCCTATGTACACATCTTACAGTCAGTGCTGATAGTGCTTGGGCTTGGCCACGGCCCATTGCTGGGCATAAACTAAGTTAAATGGAACAAAAAGATGAACTAGCTTTCAATACTGGCTCTCTGCAACTCTGCTTTTACTTTCTTGCCCATATCCTGCAGGGTGTGATAATCACTTGCTCATCGACTGGTGCCAGGTTGGAAGCTATTGTAATCAATTAAGGTCATGAGGATTCTATTTGTGTTCCATGGCAGCAGCCTCAGGATGATACCCTACCATCATGAAATAGTTAATTCAGCTGTCAAATCGGCCCCACCTAAACCTGAGATAAACTGGCTTATTTTGCCTCTTGGTCTTTTATTTCAAAAGGTACTAGGGTATCAACCATTTTAAAATGATCACCATATGTGTACGCCAGTGTCATGTTTATATATAGAATATACACATTTACCAGTGTTGTAACATTTAACATTTGCAGAAGTTATGTATGCATTTTGTGAAAAGCTGTAGTTGTGGACTCTATAATAAATATAAAATAATCACCACTAGTGAATCCTCCAGGTCCAAATCACTCAATTCAGGGAACACCTTCCAGGATCTGGGTTCTTTCTTGCTGCCCTCCATAGTTTGTAAAGCTAACATTGACTGTCCAGATTCATATATATTAATATTTCTCATGGATGAGGTTCCTGATAGCTTACACCTTCCATGGCATTCTTTAGTAACAATATTCACTTTGTGATTCTTCCAAAGGCTGAAAACTGAAAACATTGAGCAAACTGAAAAATCAAAGCAAAAGACCCTCATACACTTGATCATCACTCACTGGCTGGGTGTATGTGTCAGAACTCTTTACTACTCTGATTTTTCTCCTGTGCCTTTTGGGCAGAAACCTCACCTTGTTTGCATCTTTTGGAGCACCTAGTACACTGCCCGAGCTCCATAAATAATTAATTTCACCAATAATAATGGGAAGCAGAGGCGTCCAAGAGTCTTCCTTCTCCCTGTACTGTGAAACTGGTGTGATGGTATTTTGACTATCAAAACAATGATTAAGCAGCTTTGGCACACTTTATATTTGGGCTAAATGTGATTTTACTAATGCACCATCTCATTCTTCCCTCCCCCAACACTCGTATTTTAATGATTTCTAATTAATATTGTAATATTTCTTGAATAATTCATGTTTTTAAACAAGAAAGCCTGGCATAAATTTATGCCAATCTGTTTGTGTATCGCAGTGCTGTGCTTAACAAACAAACACAGTCTGCTTCTCTTGGAGACTGGGGAAAGGGGAACAGAGAAGGGAAGCCCCAGAGTGCTGAACTGGGATTCACATTTCTCTTCAAAAGGAAAAGCCCTCTTTGCTTGCTTTCTAAGGGTCAGAGGCAGGCACCTTTTGTCTTTGCTATCACCCTTTATCATTTCATCTTTTCTCCTGACAGGTGCCCGAGGCCCTCAAGCTGCCCTTCATTACCCTGCACCCTGCTCGAGTTGCTCTCCAGATGTTCCCTGAATGCCCCATCTCACTCCCATCCCATCCCAAACTAATCTTTTAGCCTCTCTGGACATTGCTTAGGGATAGACGCAGACTATAATCTGATCAGCTAGTCAGGACGAAGTGGATAACAACTGGGGGTGGGTATATTCATTTAGCCAACAAATATTTAATGAGCACCTGCTGTTTGCCTGGAATGGTGCAAAGCCTGAGGCCACAAAGATGGATTAGTTATTGGGGAGTATTGGCCAAATAACATGATTGCTCCTTTACAGGGGCTTCTGAGGAGTCCATTTGGGGTCCTCTGGCAGGTTAGAGGGGGATTTCTTTAAAGGAAGGAAGATCTTTGTGCCTCCAACTGGATAGCTGCCGATTCTGCCTGCATAGTTTGGACCACAGTCGTGATATGGTGAAAAGTCATGGATGGGTTTTTTGATTTTTAATTTTTTCAGGGAAAAAGCCCCAACAAGTTAGGAAATAGAGGAAAGGCTTCAGAATAAAAGCTTGGCCCATCCTGACTCCACGTGGTGGTGATCTCCTTTGTTTGGGGCTAAACTCACGTTCTCTTCAATTAAACATAAAATTACTCAGAGGCTTAGAAGCAGGAACTCTTTTTCATACAGCACTTTCTCTTTTTCTCAGGTTTAAGAAACCTGCTGCTTTAGAGAGGCTGTTTTTATGTGACATCTGCTGTCAAGTGACTTCAAGTTCCATCATCCCCCCATCCTTCCTTGAGGCTGGAGAAGAGACTTTAATATCTATCATTTCTGTCTGCATTAAGGCACTACTAATGCTGTGTTGACCCTGCTGCTGGGGCCGTTAATGTGTGTCACTGTTAATTAGCAGCCAATGGAATACCCAAGCTAGTGACATGGTTCACTGAGATGGATGTGGTTGTTTTGATTGCATTGCTATTGCTAGGCTAACTATCATTTGTACTAACGATTTCCAAGTAGGTAGCAAAAGAGTAGGAGGGAAATGACTTAATTTGATTTTTCCCTCTACTATCTCTAAGAGCAATTTCAGTTGTGAAAACACTCTGCAGAAGCAACAGCTCCCAAATTCTTTGCAGTCTTCGGAAAGATAGATTATTAACTGACCGTATCAAGATAGGGAGTGTTGGTGATTATGTATACAGTATAATCTTTCCAGAATGGGGATAGCATACCTGCCCTCTGATGTATTGCTAATGGCCTCTATGGACACAATCATCCTGCAAACAAGAGGTGTCATCTATGGCTGTTGCCGGTCCTAATGACCCTGAAAAATGGAAAGAAGAGTTGAAAGTACAAAGTGGTGGGAGTATGCAGCTGGTAGGAAGAAGAGACATTTGGCTTGTTTTTGCCCAAAGGGTATAGGAAAGCAGGATGGAATTTAGAGGTAGATGCTGAAATCTTTATGAGGGATGTTGAGCCTCTTAATAACTTCACAAGTTTTCAGAATGCACACTTGCCATTTTGTCTGCTTCAGTGTCCCCTTGATGCTTGAGTATACTGTTGCTGAATCTCACAGTAATACTGCCACATTTCCCAACCCCTAGGTCCAGGATTAAGAATGGACATCTGCTTACAACTAGATTGGAACCAGAAGTTTATGTTTCTAAGCACAGTACCACTTCAACAGTAATGGGCAATTTTTATGCATGTCCCTATCAGTCCATTTCCTTTCCTCAGCCTTTTCATTCAAGGATCCTTCCAAACTTCTCTCTGTCCTCCATCTTTGTCCTGTCTCCTTCTTTCCCATGTCCAGCAACTTAGTTGTATCGGAAGAATATTCTCAGGTTCTACCCAACTGTTTAGAAACATCTCAGTTTGTACCCATCTTCCATTTGTTCAAGACTATTATTGCCTCCAGTATTTGAGAATCCTTAGAGTTAGAGAATCCTCTCTTACTTCCTCTGGGCTGTGCCCCTTTTGCCATGTCTTCCTCTCCTTGGTCTTCAATCTTCCCAGCTTTACTGATATGTGGCTCTTAAGTTTCTCCTATTATAAAAGAAAAACCTTAATTTTACCTTGCATTTTTCTTGAGCTAGAAACCTATATTTCCCCTTACCTTCCTAGAAACATTTTTTGAAATAACGATCTACAATAAATAACTCCACTTCTCACTTTGCATTAATTCCTCAAACAATTAGAAATAGGCTTCATCTCTGTCTCTGTAGCTCCACTAAACTGCTCAGCAAATACCACAAACAACCTCTTTGTGACCAGAGCCAGTGATGTTTGGTTCTCACCTTACATGGCTTCTCTGTAGAATTTGACTCAGTTAGCCACTCCCCATCTCTTGAGATTCTTTCTTCATTTGGTTTCCATGACAATTCTCTCTCTCTTGGGTTATTCGCTTGCATCTCTGGTGGCCCCTTCTTAGTCTTGTTTTTGGAAAGTTTGTTGTATACTTTATCACTTAGATGTTGGAGTCCTTGAGGGCTTCCTCCCCTGCTCTCTTGTCTTTTTAACCCACGTGGCCCTTTCAAGAAGATATTATTCACAGCTTTAGGTCCCACATACAAGATGACATTGTCCTCCTTTTCCACTCTCCTTTTTAAAATTTTTGGCTCAGTGTTTCTTAGCATTTTATTCTAAAAGCATGAGAGTTTTCTCTGGAGCCCCCAAATCTTCTGTAAGTATACTCAAAACCAAAACAAACACCTTTTTCTCAGAGCCCCAAATCTAATCTTTCTTCTGTATTCTCCGCCCAGGGATTGACAAACATCTACCTGGTTGCCCAAGCTAGAAAGCTGGCCCTATCTTATCTCTTGCCCTCATTCATCAGGCCCAGTGTATAAGTAACTTCTGTTGACTCTGTGTTTCATCATAACCCTCACTGTCACAGTTTTAATTATTTGCCTCCTCCTCAAATTCTAAAATTCTTCCTAGTTTCTCACAAGATAAATAGCTTTTTGGTTCTTCGCACCTCTCCAACTCCATTGCCGACCCCTATTCCATCCTCATTGCATGCTCCACCAAGCTACATGCAGCTCCGGGACTCTGCCATACCCTTTCCTGCCTCCATGCTTTCGTACATGCTGGATCCTTTCCCTGAAGCATCCCTTTTCTGGCTAGCTCCTGTTCTTCCACATTGCGACTAAAATGCTAGCTCCTCTTTGTGGCCAGAGTCATGCATTTTTAAGCACTCTGTGGCCCCATAGGAAAAATTGCCTGTTCTTTCTGCATTTTTTTTCTCAAACTTGATGGTTATTGTTTTTTGTTTTGTTTTGCTTTGCACTTCTTTCCACCAACTGGACTCTTAAGCATCTTGTAGGAATAAATCTTTTTAATATGTATACCACCTGCTCACTGCCTAGAACAGAGTCAATGCTAAATAAATGTTTGTTGATGTGACATAACTGTTCCATCCCTCACTCAAGGCTATTCTGTTTTCTTCAGCACTGAATTCGCATTTTATTAAAATAAGAACAAGAACACCTACAGTTCTAGATTCAGAAAGCTGGATTGTAGTTGTGTCCTTGTAACTTAAAAGATGTGTTACCTCGGATCTTTATGGTCCTAAGATAGGGGCTAATATAAGATCAAGGATTTAAAATTGTGCTCTGAGGAGACCAGGATTTCTTGAAGGCAAGAGGGAGGATGAGGATGAGGGACTCTGTGCCTTCCTTACTTCTTTGTTTCAAAGAGGAGCTTCACTTTCATCAGTTTTATATATTGTGATCTCATGTAGAATTTTCTTTAAACCATAGATTCCACTGCTAAAATATAATTTGGAAACCACTTCACAGGGTTATCTCTAATTCTCTTCTGACTGAAAAAATGTCTGTGGATCTGTGAGCTGCATAGTAATATTGGCCTGACAAAGCATATCTCCCAGCAGCACAATGGAAATGCATTACATAATCTTTGTATAAACATTCAATTTTGCACTTTCTGCAGAGAAGAGAGAGGGAATGGGGATAGAGAGGGGAGCAAAGAAGAGGAAAAGAGGAACTAGGAGGCCAGTGGAAAGGAGGGCAAAGAAAATGCAAAGGTGAATTAACTACAGGCAGAGGAGTCCACTGCTCTATTCCACAATCAGAAACCATGGAGAGAGCATGCACCTCAGAGTGCAGGTGAGCTAAGAGCCTGGAATCTGCTGTTTCCAGAAGTCTTCCAAGAGTGAGCATCTAACAGTGCTCAGTTGAAGTCTAATATTCAAAGGTACACATTTTTCATGCAACACAGGCCCAAAATGTAAGCCAACTTAATTTGGTGTTTAATTAAAGAAAAGAGGCTTCAGTTCCAGAGCTGGAGGACAAACTGTGTTGGACTTCAAAATACACTGCCGTTCTTTAAAATGATGCTGTATCTGTGTTTTATGTGCAATGTAAGGGGTGTTCAATTTTCCACTTAGAACTGAATATAACATACAACTCCACTATATGACATGTCTGAAATTCTCGGGTTCTGTGATTTTTCTGTGTTATCATAAATCATCCTTAATCTCTTCTATGCAGGAACTATTTTACATGCAAACTATAACAATTTTTATTCATTTGGCATAATAATGATTAGTATAAACAATGTAGAATGTGCTGGAATCCACGGAGGAGGTGCATAAATCGTGAGACCAAGAAAAGACTGCAGACAGCACTCATAGTGTCAGCTCTGATTTACATTATCACATTTAAATGCAAGAAGGAATGTTGACTCTAAAGAAAATCAAATACATTAAAACAAAGCTCTTTGCATTTTTAGAGCCATAGACAAAACAAGCCTGAAATCTATATCCTATTTAAGTCTCCTTGATAGAAAATATAGAAATTCTGCCTAATCATGGCACTGGGGAAAAGAGGAATAAATCCAGATACTGAGGGGGAGAAAAAGAAATGCTAAATAATGGCTTTATAATACAGAAATCTTTCTATTCAAGAAGTGCATTTTAAAATCCCATTGAAAATGCCATATAAAGTTGAATTGCCCTTGGATTGTTCACTTTGAAAAATAATATGGAGGATGGCTGCAATTTTAGGATGGGAAATCATCTGTTTTTTAGAAACCTAATTTTATAGCCCAACTCTACTGGGGACTTTTCTGAGGTTTCTACCATCCTTTAACAAACTTATATGTTGTTGTCAGTTCCATTTATGGCACTTTTCTATTAACACTGTTCTTGGAAAATCAAGAATGGCTAAATAATAACAGATTTGAAATGTATTGTTTTGCTCTGTAAAAAATTGTTACAGGGTGAGAGAGATTCAGCATAAACTTTCATTAGAGCAGTCTATGTTTATCATTCTAAAGTAATGTTAACATGCTTCAAGCCCTAAATTAAATCAAGTGAAGACCTGTCAGAAGCAGCAAACCAATGAATGTATTTCTTGCAATGCATAAATTCAATTTCACTTGAAAACATTATAGCACATTGGAAAATTATTTCCCTTGTTTCTTTAATTGGCAATAGTCTCATTCCTGAGCCTTGCTTTGCCCAGACAAATCTAATGTGACATAAAAGATCTGATTTGGAAAACAAAGAAGAACCCATATATGTAAGCTGGAGTACACATTGTAGTTGGTGTTCACAAGTCATTACCCATGATTTCTCGTAATGAAGGTGAGTTAGTGTCTCATGAGCAGATAGACCCTGTTTTAAGGTGTATGGAATTCCTTATGGGAATGAGGGTCAGGACATATAATCCTTTCTCTCTCCTTCCTCTGAGGCTTTGCACATGACATCACTCCATTTGGAACATCATCTATCCTTTGTTTCCTCAAACCTTGCCTTTGCTTTCTTCAATATCTTAATAATGACGTAGGTTGTGGGGAAGCCTTCCAAATTATTTTCCAATTTATGTTCCTTCTTCTTTCTAGTCCTTTGCACCTTCCTGTTTTCTTAGAATGTGAAGTTCTTTTAAAATCAATCTCTGTTGGGTTGCTGGGTATATTTGGATTGTTATGCCCCTTATTTTATGTTTATTATTATGTTTGTGCTGGAACCTCTATATTGTTTTCCAGAATGGCTGTCCTAATTTACATTCCCACCAACAGTGTACATGGGTTCCCTTTTCTACGCATCCTTGCCAGCACTTATCTTTTGTCTTTTTGATGTGTGTGAGGTGATATCTCATCGTGATTTTAATTTGTATTTCCCCAGTGGTTATTGATTTTGAGCACCTTTTCATATGTCTGTGGCCATTTGTATGTATTCTTGGGAGAAATGTCTATCCAGGTCTTTTGTCCACTTTTAAATCAGGTCGTTTTTCTCTATTGGGTTGTTTGAGTTCCTCACGTGTTTTGGATATTATCTTTTATTAGATTTGTAAGTATTTTTTCCCATTTCAAGGCTGCCTTTTCACTCTGTGAGTTGTTTCCCTTGTGGTACAGAGATTTTTTAGTTTGATGTAGTCTCACTTATTTATTTTTGTTTTTGTTGCCTGTGCTTTTGGTATCATATCCAAAACATCATTGTCAAAGTTAATATCAAGAAGATTTTTCCTTGTGTTTTCTTCTAGGAGTTTTACAGCATCAAGTCTTCTGTTTAAGTCTTTAATCCATTTTGAGTTGCTTCTTGTTCATCCTGTAAGATAAGGGACAATTTCATTCTTTTGCATGTAGATATCCAGTTTTCCAAACACCAATTATTGAAGAGCCTATCTTTTCCTCATCCTTATGTATATTTTTGTCCTCCTTGTCAAAGATCAGTTAATTGTAAGTATGTAGATTTATTTATTTCAGAGTTCTCTATGCTTTTCCATTGGTCAATATGTCTGTTTTTATGCCTGTACCATACTGTTTTGATTAACTGTATCACCATAGAATCAGGAAGTGTGATGCCTCTGGGTTTGTTCTTCTTTCTCAAGATTGCTTTGCCGTTTGGGGGCCTTTTGCAGTTCCATGTAAACTTTAAGGTTTTACTATTTCTTTTTTAAAAATTGGCATCTTGTTAATTCTTTTAAAACTTCGGGTGATTATTTGGAAGAATCCAGAAAATAAAATCAACCCATTTTTAATTTTTTGAGTTTAATTTTTCTCTTTTAAGAAAAAAGACAGTCCTTATTTTTTAGAGCAGTTTTAGGTTCACAGCAAAGCAGAATGTATGGAGATTTCATACACAGCAAAGCAGAATGTATGGAAAATGCAGGAGATACCTCCTGCCCCACATATGCACACCCCTACCCCCGCCATCAAAATACTGCACCAGAGTGGCACATTTGTTGCAACCTATGACCCTATATTGACACATCATCGGTCTAGTTTTAAATGAAGGACGTTTCTTTTTTTCTTTTTAAGGTATTATTACATGAGAATAGATTCTTGAAAATGTAGAGATCTCATTATGGTTACCTAAGTGATCCAATTTGAACTTTTCCAGGATTTAAAATGAAAGAGAAGCCAAAGAATCTAAGTCAGAGCTCCCAAGACATATTTAGGAGTTTTCCTTAGGAAGGTTGGTCATGTTTGAGGAGCAGGGTAAAGGGAGAGTCTTTGGATTAGAAAGGGTGGAAGATGGGATACAGCATGCTGTGCATGGCTTCTGTTCAATAGAGATGGCAATCTAAGATCACATGTGCAGTGCTGTGTTTAACTGTGGGCATTAAGCTTTAAAAGGAATGTTGACTAGTTCCCCATACAATGTTCTAGTTTGCATTTGGAGCACAGAATACAATATTTTAAAGAGGGTGATATGGTTTGGCTCTGTGTCCCCATCGAAATCTCATCTTGTAGTTCCCATAATTCCCACATGTTGTGGAAGGGACCTGGTGGGAGTTGACTGAATCACAGGGGCAGGCCTTTCCCATGCTATTCTCATCTTAGTGAATGGGTCTCAGAAGATGGTTTTAAAAATGGGAATTTCTCTGTACAAGCTCTCTCTTTGCCTGCTGCCATCCATATAAGACATGACTTGCTCCTCCATGCCTTTCACCTTCTGCCATGATTGTGAGGTCTCCCCAGTCATGTGGAGTTGTAAGTCCAATAAACCTCTTTCTTTTGTAAATTGCCCAGTCTCCGGTAAGTGTTTATCAGCGGTGTGAAAATGGACTAATACAGAGGGCTTTTCCCCACAAGTGTCTGGGTGTGTATGTTGGGCTACGTAGTGAATGGGAAGAACCAAATCAAAGAAGTTCAGGAGGTGAAAATGATATCTCTGGCTTGTATGTGCTCTAGTTTTAACACTATATGGGGAAAAGAAAAATCTGCTACCAATGTCATCGAAAAAATCTGGAAAGATGTTTAAAAAGAATTAAGATTGGGGAACAGGTATAATTGTCTTCAATTATTAAAAAGATTATGATATAAAAGGATTAGCCTGTCCTGCGGTCTTTGAAGTAGAATAAGGAACACTCTATGAAAGTTAAGCTAGGTAGCTCACACTGTTAAAAGTGGAAGAGAAGCCTTGTAACACAGTAAATTTGTTTCTCCGACATTTACTCAGAGTCTGAGTGAACACCTGCCCTTATAATGGGAGCAATGCTGGATTAGGCTCTGAGAGTCAGGGTTTTAGGGCCCTGTGGCACCTGGGCATAGTCCTGCCCTTAACATTAACACCTTGGTCGGCAGTCATTAAACCTGCCAATACTCAGCTTAGTCATCTGTAAAATATAAAAAGTACCACCTATGTCTCCAGACTCTGTGAAGACAGAATATGATAATATATAGAAATTTGAAAGCACATTATGACTTTTAAAACTGTACTAGGCTAAATAGATATCAGATATTATTAAATGAAGATGAATGTAATTTTCTCTTGATTTCAAGTTTTGACTGTAAGTGTAAACTACACATTAGATTTTGAAGACTTAGTACAGAAAATGTAAACTAATTATCTTTATGTCAATGTTGAATGGTATGTTGAGTATGTTGAGTTGAAATGTATTATTAAAATTAATTTACTTGTTTATTTTTACATTTAATGTGGCTAATAGAAACTTTAAAATTACAAGTGGGCTCAGTTTTGTGGTTTATATTATATTTCTGTTAGAAAGTACTGGGCTAGATGTCAGGAATCAGGCAAGCCAATGTAATCTTCAGAGATTATTTTTGTTCCAGATACAGCTCAGATTCTGGTGAAGCTAATCTTTTAAGTACATTTTGGAGAGAATTTTTCTGAAAATCTCATTTGGTCTTCTGATCTCAAGCTGTACCCAGTATCTCAGATTTTTTTCTAAACAATGCTGTTGCTTAATTTTGAGAACTCTATCACTCCCCAAAGTAGCTATAGACTAGACCAGTGCTTCTCAAATTTGGCATGCATAGAAGTCATGGGGGCAGAAGGAGGCCTTGTTTAATATAGAATCTGAGTGAGTTAGTCTGGGAAGGGGCTTGAGATGATGCCAAGGCTACAGATCTGGAAAATACACATGAAGAAGCAAGGCCTAGAACACATTAGGTCCATCAGACATACAAATTTGGGAAGAAGGGAAATGAGGTGATTTTCATAAACCATCAGAAGGAACCCTCTATCTTTAATTAACTTACTCTTCTTTCTCCTCTCAGATTGAGCTGTATCTATAGAAGGTGAAATGAACAGGCCATAGCACAACTAATCTGCTCAATTCCAGTGTTGCAAAGATTGATGGATACTGTTGAGTGATCAATTTGGTCATGACACTGGGTATCAGTCATGAGCATGACTGAAATGAATGGAATCACTTTACTCCAATCTGGTTTGCTTTCATTGTGTAAACTTAGCTGATCTTGAGGTTTGGGGTCAGGGAAATCAGTGCTACACCTAAGTCTACTAACCTTCTTGGGAAAATTTATTAAATTATAAATTTATAAAGTTTATTCATGCATATTAGTTATTATAAGGGACAATCAATCAATTTGCCTGCCTTACTGATGTTCTCTTCTCAAAGGTATGCTTACTTTCTGTTGAAGTTAGAAAAGTCACATTTTAATGTTTATAAAAGTTAAATTTTATTATTAGATAATAAAATATATCGCCAAATTAATTTGTGAAATCAACTCAAGGAAAGAATTACTAAGATTTAATAAAAAATGTTTGGAACAGTTATACAATGTTTTGAATAAGTTTATAATCTCCCAAAATGGTTACTTTGAAGAAAAAGCCCTACGTGATTTTATAATTTTAAAAATATTTTAGAATAATCTCATTACTTATGTCTCGATTTATACTTCTTTAGAACATTTTTGCAGTGTGGATATGAGGCATAGTCAATCATGTCAAATCTAATAAATAAATTCTGCATGACTGGGGTTTTTGAGGTTTCCTGGATGGAAACTTTAATTCCTGTGACCTTGAGTCTCATTTTCCATCACTCATAACGTCAAATTACTTTACTGTTGATTCCTTTTCTTGTTATTCCTGCAGTAGCCTCCTTATTTTAATTCAGATCTGGTTCAAAACATTGGCTGCCACTTTGACCTACACTGACATTTCAAAGGCTGCAGAATAATTAGTGAAATAAAAACCTCATAATTACTTTCTAACACACACCCACACAAAGCCTTTTGTTGAGCTGGCAGAATGGATTGAGATTTTTGTTGTGTTGTGTTTTGTTCTAAATGATTGAGCATGGAACTAAAGTGAAATGACAGACATTTCTTGAATGCACAAAATGATCTGAAAGCTAAGATACTCAATGTTTCACATAACAATATTGAAATCTTACTAAGAATCAACTTCATTTAGTATCTGATTTTAAACCTTAAACTCTGACAAAAAGAAGTATTTCTTTGGAAATAATTTGATAGCATATGATACCATATTAATAGCAGCAATCTTTTTTTTAATTGTTGATGGCTTTTGAATTGGTTGGAAATGACTAAACTCAGAATTCTTCTGATCCAGACATTAAGATGGCTCTAACTGTGAGTTTAACTATCCTAGGAAAATGTTTTCTACAGCATAGATAGGATAAATATGTTGGTATTGCACCTGCTCTTTCCTTTAAATCTGATTTGTTCACTGGGCTTAGGCGTGTGCATGGGGATCTACACATATTTAATGTAAGCAAGTGAGATCTTGTACCTAGTTTCCTCAGTCAAAAGAAGAGAAAATTAGCTGGTTCCTGTTGATTGTGTACGAAGTCCAGTGTGAAAGATTCACCATTGGGTCTTTGTGATCTATACATTTTTTTCTGTAGAAAAAATTAACTTTGAATGCTGGGCATTATCTTACATAAAGCTTTTTTTAAATTTTTTTTCTTTGTTTTGTTTCTGTTTTTGAGACAGAGTCTCACTTTTTTGCCCAGGCTCGAGTGCAGTAGCATGATCTCAGCTCACTGTAACCTTGACCTCCCAGGTTCAAGTGATTCTCCTGCCTCAGCATCCTGAGTAGCTGGGATTACAGGCACTTTTCCCACCCAGTTAATTTTTGTATTTTTAGTAGAGGCAGGGTTTCCCTATATTGGCCAGTCTGGTATTGAGCTCCTGACCTCAAGTGATCCACCTGCCTCAGCCTCCCAAAGTGCTGGGATTACAGGCATGAGCTACTGCATCTGGCTTATAAAAAACCTTTTAGAGTACTACTCATTTGTAAGTCAGACACTGTTTGTCCTGATGAGATTCTTTGCAGTACAGGTGTTATTTTGTCTGTTTTGTTTTGATTATTTTTATTGCTGTTATTTTATTGTTTGCAGAGTCTATAATAATAGCTAACACAATCTATATGTTGAATAAACATACTCTTTTCTAAACAAAACAAAACATGATCTAAAGTGGTACTTCTCAAACTTTTTGATCTCATTTACACTGTAATAATGACTAAGGACCCTGAGATGTTTTGTATGTCTGTTATGTTTACTGATCTCAGAAATTAAAATTGAAAAATTTAAAAATATATCTAGTAATTAGAAACAAAAACAGCATATCACATGTTAACAAAATAATGTATTTTATTAAAAATAACCATATTTTTGAAACAAACAAATAGTGAGAAGAGTATCATTGGTGTTTACATTTTGCAAATTTCCTAAATACCTAACTTGTTGGAAGACGAATGAAGATATTATAGCTCACGTAGCCTCTCGAAAATTCCACTGCATAGGACAGTGAGATCAAAAAAGACAACTTTATGTCACAAAATATTATTACAAAAATAGTTTTGAGTTTGTGGACTCTCTGAAAATGTCTTAAGGTCCCTCAAAGGTCCTTACACCATACGTTGAGAACTGCTAGTTTAAAGATGAAAGCGAGAGTATGGCTGAACAATTCTTTATTAAATAAGGAAGATGTAAAGTGGTTCCTCAAATGGAAAAAGAAAAGTTCCTTTAAGAATCTGAAGGGTGTGCTTCACAGATCTCATTAAACAATAGGGCTTCACTGATTATTAAGTGTTGGCCCATAGCAGCTTTCCAAGAATCTTAAGCTAGAGAAGGGCTTGTTTGTGGGTGTAGATTTTGTCTAGTGAAGTGCAGCCAATATGAAGCTTTATAGGAAGCCCATAGGTTTTTAAAAGAATTATATTGGGGTAAACACTGTCACTTCGAATTAAAAGTTACAGAGAATACAAAATAAAAAAAAAGGCCCTTGGATCTCTAAATTGCTGTAGGCAGGAAAGAGGCTGAGAAAATTATTCAGCTGCAAACACTGACCATTTATCATGGAAAAGGAAGGATGACTCAGAGGATGGAATAAAGAGGCCAGAGGACAGAACCAAGAGCTTTGAAGAATCATTTCCAGAGAATAGGGCCCCGTCCTAATTAAGAAACTGCCAACACATCTGGCTGGATTTTAGAATTTCTATAAACCAGTGATTCCTATGTGCCTTCTGTTTTCTTTTTTTAAAATTGTATCTACAGCAGTTATCTTATGTTTCTCCCTTTGTTGTATGGTGTGTGTGTTTGTGCACACGTGCCTGCAAGCAGGTATCTTGTTTCTTTCATTCACAAGTCTTGACATTGAAAGGCAATCTGCTCAAAGAGTAGAGGAACCACAGCTAAAAGCCTCATCTATATCTGGACCTTATGAATCATTGGAGACTATGGGGAAGAATGTGATAGTCAGCCTGCAAGTTTTCTTTCAATGATAACTGCCACTTGGTCTTCATGCCCTTATGCAGCCTCCTCTCACATTTAATTAGGACTGGTCCTGTGTGACCAATAGAATATGGTGGAAGTGATTGTATGTCTTCTGAGGCTAGGTTATGAAAGGCACTGAAGCCTTAGGCTTGGTCTCTTTCTCACTCTGTGTGAAGCTAACTGCCCTGTTGACAGGCCTATGTGGAGAGGAACTGAGGTTCTGGGTGATAGCTAGCAGCAACCTGCCAGTCTTGTGAGCAAAGTAGACTTGGGAAGTAGATCATTCAGCTCAAGCCTTCAGTTGATTGTGGCTCAACCCAATAGCTGACTGAACCTGATGAGATACCCTGAGCTGGGATTCCTCAGCTGAGCTGCTCTTAAATTCCTGAAAGATAATAAATAATTATTGTTATTTTAGGACATTAAATTTCAGCATGATCTTTTAATGTAGTAATAGGTGATTTATATATAGGTCAGACAGGAAGGGTCTTTCTGTAATGTATTATAGAACATGAAGCAGGAATTTTGAGGACAATGGTTGTGATTCACACACAGTAGCATAGAACTTGAAGGGAATACCTTGTATTTTTCTCCACGAAGAATCAAGGCTCTTTTCTAGTCCTATGAATATCCAGGAGTATTAATCTTTCCAAGCCTTTTGAACTTTTAAAAACTGGGACTTAATTTATTAATCTTAAAAATAAAAGATATCGACTATGATTTCAAAGGATCCCTTAAAATTTGAAAATACCAGATTTTGTAAATCTACTTCAACACATCAAAAAAAAAAATCTTGTTAGAAAACTTCTAGCATTTTTCCCCCCTTGGCAGATTTGGTATAATTTCTACCAATTTAAATGAACTACCATTTCTTATGTCATTTCTTCATCTATCATTAGTTGAAACCTTCTACCCAACTTCATTATATGTAAGTGTAGAGTTTTTTTCTTCCAGTTAAGAGTTAAAAATATACCATGTCACTGAATTTATTTTTAACTTGAAAAAGACAGCTTGACATTTCAGTTTCACATTAGCAATAGCCTTGCATTTTGCTTTTTATTGTTTGAAAATATATTTCAAACCAACAAAATGTGGTAGAAAATATGTGTCAACTAAATGTAGATACAGATAAAAGTATCAGTCATGAAATTGTATAAGGATTTTTTGTTGAAAAGATGTGTAATTAATTCTGGCATCATTATGGTATTAATATTTATAATCAACTGGCAGATTTATTTCAATTTATTCATAGTGTTTATTATGTGTGCTATGTTTTTACTCAATAATTGGTAAATTCTAAAGGTAATTTGGGTATTTAAAAATTTTTTCCTTAATATAGCAAAGAAAGGTAATGAAGAGGAACTACTGTCTTTTCATATTAAGATCTCTTTAATTCAGCAATAAATATTCACCAAAGTGCATGCTATCTTGAGATAAGGTCACTTTGACCATCTATTCCATTAAAAATATGTTTATTTTACTTACAGGTGTCATCCATTAGGACAGGCAATTGACGTTTTGGCTAGTGGCCTTTGTCAAGGAAATAAAACTTACTTTTAATGGAATGGAAGTTTCTAAATGACCCAATCTCAAGAAGCATGCACTTTTGTGAATATTTATTTATTATAAACTAGTCAGCTGAAAATGCAATTTGCACTGCTGAAGGCGATCTGGTTATTTATGAATAGTAATATCACCCATGTTCATCTAATTAGAAAAAGAATCTTTGAAAATCATGCAGGCATTCAACAATATCTTTAATTTTTGCTCTCATTTATCTTTTACTTTCTTTCTTGATGCTTTTTTAAACACTTGTATCTTCTCCCTTTTTAATGTATTCAATTTTGTTGCCTCTCATATTGTCCCTCTCTACTTTTTCTCTCTTCATTAAATTAAAATCATTCTTTTTTTCTTCTAGAAAAAACTCAAGAGGCTACAGCATAAGCACAGTTTTCTTTTGCCTTTGCTTTTCCTCTTCCCTTTTCTCCTGCCTCCCAACTTCTTCCCATTTTCAATGTCAGACAAGCATCTTACCCAGTTACTCCAGGGAAGGCAAAATGACCACACCTTTTCAAGAGTAGCCCGCCTCACAGACAAAGACATATGGGGCAATATCTTAGCAAAAAAATAAATAAATAAATAAATAAAGGGAGAAACCAATTATTATTCTGCAACCCTCAGCTCATTAACATTTTAATCTTAATATTTCACATGCCATTTGACTTTGATGACAATGTGTCAACACAACAACCAGAATTAGATTTTTCCCTGCTGCTTAAAATCAAACTAAGTAGCTCACCTACAAAGTTCTTCCTTAATAGCAATTGAGTAGAAATCTTATGATTTGTGTATACTGGCTAATGAATTTGTGGCCAATGGCTACTTCTAGTCCTGTAAAATCCCCCAAATTGACTTTATGCAGTCTACTTAAGGTACAAAGGCTATGGTAACAAAAAAAAAAATCCCTTGATTTCAGTGGCATAATTATAACCTATTTTTTATTAGCATAATGGATACTGATTTCTTTTGCACCATGGGTTGGCTGAAGGTTTTTATCCACTACAGTTACTCAGGGACCCAAGCCAATGGAGGTTCCTTGGCATGTGCTTATGTAACTCTGTGGCATGTGGTACATAGTGCACTGGCTCTTGTATCTTTCACCCAGGGCGACACATTATTACTTCTGTTCATATTTCATTGGCCAGAGAGTCATACACCCTCACCTAACTTCAAATGGATTAAAAAAGTGCAGTCCTATCGTGAGTCTGAAAAGAGCTGAGAACAGAAACATTTATGCATGGCCCCATTCACTACATGGGACTCTAACATACTCATAGAGTCACTAGAATTGTGGATTATGGGTTTAAATGTAACCATACCATCAGAAGACCAGTTCTTTTACTTAGCTTCGCCTTGGGTTATGGATGCTGAATTATATGTCATTACGTTGTAGTGGCTGGAAGAGAGCAGCTAGGGATGGTTCAAAGTGAGACACTGTCAGTCTATGAAGTCACCATAAGCTGGGACTCATTTTTGCTTTTAAGCTGAACCTTTGTGTTTGGATCAAATTATTCTAACTCACCTTGTTTAATTCTTAGGTTATTTCTTTTGTTTTTGGCAATCTCATGAAAAACATAACAAATTCATACGGTTCAAGGGAAAGAAATAGGTAAAATAGAAACCCAATCTCTAAGCTATAAAACCATCAGATAAAATGGTACTTCACATTTCTTGGTAAAATTGCTTTCAGTACTTTATAAACTATTATAGAAAATTGATTTTTTCTTTTATTCATTTGGATAGCACTGACAGCCAGTGAGCATATTATTTTTGTAAATTTATATATTGTAGCAATCAAATCATGAGACAAAAAATTTTATCTCAGGTTTTTAAACACAAAAATTTATATCATTTGTGAAATGTCATTATTTTTAAAATCTACTTTTTTTTTTTTTTTGAGACAGAGTCTTGCTCTATTGCCCAGGCTAGAGCGCAGTGGTGCAGTCTTGGCTCAATGCAACCTCCGCCTCCTGAGTTCAAGAAATTCTCCAACCTCAGCCTCCCAAGTAGCTGGGATTACAAGCATGTGCCACCACACCCAGATAATCTTTGTATTTTCTGTGGAGGTGGGGGGTTTCACCATGTTGCCCAGGCTGATCTTGAACCCCTGGCCTCAAGTGATCCGCTCACCTAGGCCTCCCAAAGTGCTGGCATTGTAGGTGTGTGCCACTGTGTCCAGCCTTAAAATCTTTCTGATATGTATACTTATTGTTTTTGTTTCATCTCATTATATTGGACAGAACTTCCAAAATCATTGACATAAATATGAACTATTAAACATATTTACTTGGTCTTGATTTTTTAAATTTATTTTTATTTTTTGTTGGTACATAGTAGGTGTTTATGAGGTACATGAGATATTTTGGTACAGTCATGCAGTCCATAATAATCACATCATGGAGAATTGAGAATCCATCCCCATTTTATCCCTGTGTTATAAACAATCCAATTACAATTTTAGTAATTTAAAAAATAAATTATTATGGACTATAGCTGCCCCATTGTGCTATCAAATACTAGGTCTTATACCTTCTTTCTAACTATTTTTTTTGTATCCATTAACAATCCTCACATCCTCTTGCCACACCCCACTACCCTTCCAAGCCTCTGTAACCATCCTTCTATTCTCTATTTCAGTGAGTTCAACTGTTTTCATTTTTACATCCCACAAATAAATGGGAACGTGGGATATTTGTCTTTCTGTGCCTGGCTTATTTTACTTAACATAACGGCCTCCAGTTCCACTCCTGTTGTTGCAAATGACAGGCTGTTATCCTTTTTTATGGCTGAATAGTACTCCATTATGTATAAGTACCACATTTTCTTCATCCATTCATCTGTTGATGGACACAGGTTGCTTTTAAATCTTGGCTATTGTGAACAGTGCTGCAACAAACATAGCAGTGCAGCTATCTCTTCAATATACTCATTTTCTTTCTTTGAGGTATATACCCAGCTGTAGAATTGCTGGATCCACATCCTCTCCAGCAATTGTTATTTTCTGACTTTTAGTTAAAAGCCATTTTTAACTGGTGTGAGATGGTATCTCATTGTAGTTTTGATTTGCGTTCCTCTGATAATCAGTGATGTTAAGCATCTTTTCATATGCCTGCTTGCCATTTGTATGTCTTCTTCAGAGAAATGTCTATTCAAATCCTTTGCCCATTTTAATTGAATTATTAGATATTTTTCTATAGAGTTGTTTGAGCTCCTTATATATTCTGGTTGTTGATCCTTTGTCAGATGGGTAGTTTGCAAATATTTTCTCACTTTCTGTGGATTGTGTGTTCACTTTGTTGACTGTTTCTTTTGCAGGGCAGAAGCTTTTTAACTTGATGTGATCCCACTTGTCCATTTTTGCATTGGTTGCTTGTGCTTGTGGGGTATTGCTCAAGAAATATTTTCCCAGACCAATGTCCTGTAAAGTTTCCTCAATGTTTTCATGTAGTAGTTTCATAGTTTGATGTCTTAAAGTCTTTAATCAATTTTGATTTTATTTTTGGATAAGGTGAGAGATAGAGGTCTGGTTTCATTCTTCTGCATATGGATATCCAGTTTTACCTGAACCATTCATTAAACAGACTGCCATTTGCCCAAAGTATGTTCTTCACATGTTTGTTGAAAATGAATTCACTTTAGATGTATAGATTTATTTCTGGGTCGTCTGTTCTGTTCCTTTGGTCTACATGTCTGTTTTTATGCCAGTACCATGCCATTTTGGTCAGGTAATGTGATTCCCCCAGTTTTGTTCTGTTTGCTCAGGATGGGTTTGGTTATTCTGGGTCTTTTGTAATTCCATATGAATTTTAGAATTGTTTTTTTCTATTTCTGTGAGGAACATCATTAGTATTTTGATAGAGATTGCATTTTGAATCTGTAAGTTGTTTTGAATAGTATGGATATTTTAATATTAATTCTTCCAATCCATGAACATAGAATCTCTCTCCATTTTTTGGTGTTCTCCTTAATTTCTTTCATCAGTGTTTTATAGTTTTCATTGTAGATATCTTTCATTTCTTTGGTTAATTCCCAGGTATTAAGTTTTATTGAAGGCTATTGTAAATGGGATTACTGTTTAAATTTCTTGTTCAGATTGTTCACTTTGACATACAGAAATGCTACTGATTTTTGTATGTTGATTTTTTATCCTGTAACTTTACTAAATTTGTTTATCAGTTCTAGCAGTTTTTTTTTGGTGGAATCTTTAGATTTTAGCAAATATAAGATTGTATCATTTATAAACAAGGATAATTTGGCTTCTTCTTTTCCAATTTGGATACCCCTTATTTATTTCTCCTGTCTGATTGCTCTAGCTAGGACTGCCAGTACTATGTTGAATAATAGTGGTAACAGTGAGCATCCTTGTGTTCCAGATCTTAGAGGAAAGGATTTCAGTTTTTTGTCATTCACTATGATACTAGACGTGAGACTGTCATGTATAGCTTTAATTGTGTTGAGGTATATTCCTTCTATAACCAGTTTTTTGAAGGCTTTTATCATGAAGGGATGTTCAATTTTATCAAATTCTTTCTTCAGCATCAATTGAAATGATCATATGGTTTTTGTCCTTCATTCTGTTGATATGATATATCACATTGATGATCTGCACATGTTGAAACATACTTGCATTCCTGGGATAAATCCCACCTAGTTAGGATGAATGATCTTTTCAATGTATTGTTGAATTTGGTTTGCTAGTAGCTAGTTGAGATATTGGCATGTTGTTTTCTTTTTTGATGTATCTTTGTCTGGTTTTGGTATCATAGTAAGACTGGCCTCATAGAATGAATTTAGAACTTTTCTCTCCTCCACTATGTTTCAGAATAGTTTGAGTAGAATTAGTATTAGTTCTTCCTTAAATATTTGGTAGAATTTAGCAGTGAAGCCATTGGGTCCTGGGCTTTTCTTTACTGGGAGACATTTTCTGATGGCGTCAGTCTTGCTACTTGTTATTGGTCTGTTCAGGTTTTGGATTTCTTCATGGTTTAATTTTGGCAGGTTGTATATGTCTAGGAACTTATGCATTTCTTCTAGATTTTCCAATTTATTGGCATAGAGTTGCTTATAGGTAGCCACTAATTGAGATCTCAATTTCAAATTTATTTATTTCAGCTCTGGTCTCTATTATTTTTCTTCTGTTAATTTTGGGTTCAGTCTGCTCATGCTTTTCTAGTTCTGTAAGATGCTTCTTTAGGTTATTTGTTAGAAGTTTTTCCTTTTTTGACCTAGGTACTTAAAGCTATAATTTTCCCTCTTAGTGCTGCTTTTGATATATTCCATAGATTTTGGTATGTTATGTTTACATTATAATTTGTTTCAAGAAATGTTTTAATTTTCTTATTAATTTCTTCATTGACCCACTTGTTATTTAGGAGCATATTGTCTAATTTTCATGAATTTATATAGTTTCCAAAATTCCTGTTCTTATTGATTTCTAGTTTTATTCCATGGCGATCAGAGAAGATGCTTGATAGTATTTCAATTTTTTGAATGTTTAAGATTTGTTTTGTGACCTGACATATGGTCTATCTTTGAAAATGACATGTGCTGAGGAAAATAATGTATATTATTCACCTGTTGAATGAAATGTTCTGTAAATATCTATTAGGTGTATTTGTTTCATAGTGTAGATTAAGTTTGATGTTTCTTTGTTGATTTTCTGTTTGGGAGATCTATCCATTGCTTAAAATGGGATGTTCAAGTCTCCAGCTATTATTTTATTGGCGTCTATCTCTCTCTTTAGCTCTAAGAATATTTGCTTTATAAATCTAGGTGTTCCAGTGTTCAATGTATAAATATTTACAACCAGTATATCTTCTTGGTGAATTGACTCCTTTATCATTATATAAAAACCTTCTTTGTCTCTTCTTAGTTTTTGTCTTGCAATCTATTTTGTCTGATATAAGTACTGTTACTCCTACTCTTTTCTTGTTTCCATTGGCATGAAATCTTTTTCTACCCCTTTATTTTCAGTCTGTGTGTATCTTTATAGGTGAAGTCTGTTTCTTGTAAGCAACAGATCATTTGGTCTTTTTTTTAAATCTATTCAACCACTCTATGTCTTTTGATTAGAGAGTTTAGTCCATTTATAACCAATGCTATTATGATAAATAGAGATCCTTCCTCCTTTTCATTATTTGCTTTCTTCTTGTTTTGCTGTCTTCTCTATTTTCCTTTCTTCCTGTCTTCTTTTTAGTGAAGGTGATTTTCTTTGGTGGTATTTGTTAATTTCCCTTGCTTTTCATTTGTGTGCGTGTGTATCTGTTGTATGCTTTTCAATTTGAGGTTACCATGAGGCTGGCAAGTACTATCTTATAACTCATTATTTTAAACTGATAACAATTTAACACTTATTGAGTAAACAAACACACAAAAAGGAAACTAATAAAAACTCTACACCTTAACTTTGTCCCTCTGCTTTTTAATTTTTTTGTTGTTTCTCTGTCTGAGTGTACTCTCTATGTATAGAAAAGTTGCTGTAGTTATTATTCTCAATTGGTTCATTATTTAGTCTTTCTACTCAAGTCAAGAATACACACCACAATTACAGTGTTATATTATTTTGTGTTTTTCTGTGTGCTTACCACCATTACTAGTGAGTTTTTTAACTTCAGATGATTTCTTCTTGATTATTAATCTCCTTTTCTTTCAGATTGAAAAACCTCCTTTAGCATTTTTTTTTTTTTTTGTAGGACAGCTCTGGTATTGATAAAATCCTCAGCTTTTGTTGTCTGGGAAGGTCTTTATTTCTTCTTCATGCTTAAAGGATATTTTCACCTGATATACTATTTTAGGGTAAAAATGTTTTTCCTTCAGCACTTTAAATACGTCATGCCACTCTCTCCTGGCCTGTAGGGTTTCTGCTGAAAAGTCTGCTGCCAGATATATTGGAGCTCCATTGTATTGTAATTGTTTCTTTTCTCTTGCTGCTTTTAGGATCCTTCTTTATCCTTAACTTTTGGGAGTTTGATTATTAAATGCCTTGAGGTAATCTTCTTTGGGTTAAATCTGCTTGGTTCTATAACCTTCTCATACTTGAATGTTGATATCTTTCTCTAGGTTTGGGAAATTCTCTGATATTATCCTGTTGAATAAACTTTCTACCCCTATCTCTTTCTCTACCTCCTCTTTAAAGGGCCAATAACTCTTAGATTTGTCATTTTGGGGGTATTTTCTAGATATTGTAGGTGTACTTTATTGTTTTTTATTCTTTTTTCTTTTCCTCCTTTGACTGGGTATTTCCAAATAGCCTATCTTCAAGCTCACTAATTCTTTCTTCTGCTTAATCTATTTTGCTATGTGAGACTCTGATGCATTTTTCAGCATGGCTAATTGCATTTTTCAACTCTAGAATTTCTGCTTGATTCTTTTTCATTGTTTCAGTCTCTTTGTTAAATTTATGTGCTAGAATTCTGAATTCCTTATCTGTATTACCTTGAATATTTTTGAGTTTCCTCAAATAATTTTCCTCAAAGTATTTTGAAGTCTCTGTTTCTCCAGGGTTTGTGCCTGGTGCCTTATTTGGTTCATTTGGTAAGGTCTTGTTTTCCTGGATGGTGTTGATGCTTGTAGATGTTCATTGGTATATGGGCATTGAAGAGTTAAGTCTTTATTTTAGCCTCCACCTTCTGGGCTTGTTTGTGCCTGTCCTTCTTTGGAAAGCTTTCCAGGTATTTGAAGAGACTTGGACCACAAGCCCAATAAGGCTGTGGTTTTTGAAGTCTCATAGAGGTACTGCCTTAGTGGTCTTGGATAAGATCTGGTAGAATTATCTGGACTACCAGGCAGAGATGCTTGTATTTTCCCATTTTTGCAAACAAACCTAGTCTCTCTTTCTTTGTGCTGAGCCACCTGGAACTTGGGAGTGTGGTGATGCAAGCACCCTTGTGGTCACCACTAGTGGGACTGCACTGAGTCACACCTGAAGCCAGAACGGCACTGGGCCTTGCCCAAGGCCCTTCCCTAACTGGTGGTGAGCTCTCCAAAGCTCAAGGTATGTCCACAATCTCTGTCCAGGAGCCAGAGATTGGAGTCAAAAGCCTTGGCCATTTACCTGATGTTCTATTCTATTACATCTAAGGTAATACTCAAACCACAATACAAAGTCTTTCCCACTCTTCCCCTTTCCACAGGCAGAGAAGCCTCTACCTATGGCTACCACCATCACCACCAGACCATGAGGGTTCTGCCAGGCCATACCAATGGTCTCTTAGAGCCCAAGGAATCTTGCCTCAGGTTGTGGGTTAATGCCGCCAGGCCTGGTACTTACCCTTCAGGGCAGTGGGCTCCCCTCTGTCCCAGGGCAGGTCCAGAAATGCTATCCAATAACCTAGTCCTAGGCTTGAGGATCCCAAGAGCCTACTTGTTGCTCTGCCCCACTGTGGTTGAGCTGGTACCTAGGGTGCAAGAAAAAGTCCCCTTTAGTTTTCCCTCTGCTTTTCTCAAACAGGAATCTTTCACCATTGCCACCACAGCTGGGAATGTGCTGGGTCACACCTGAAGCCAGCATGTTTCAGAGCCTAAGGCCCAGAGCGTACTCCCTGGGTATTTCTTCTGGTTATTCAGGGCCCAAGAGCTCTTTAGTCACCAGTTGATGAATTCTTCCAGGACCGGGGTCTTTCTCTTCAAGATAGCAAGTTCCCTTTTGGCCAAAGTTATGTCTAGAACTGTTGCCAGGAGCTAGGACCTTGAATGGGGACCTGACAACTCTTCCTGGTGCCCTATTTTACTGTGGCTAAACTGTTACCCAAAATGTAAGACAAAATCCTTTTACTCTTCACTCTCCTCTCCTTAAGCTGAAGGAAGGAGTCACTTTCATTTCTGTGAGCTTCACTGCCTAGGCATGGGGAGGGATGGCATCAGCGCTTCATTAGCTACCCTGGCAGGTGTCTCCCTAGGTTACATGCCTCCCTAGACACTGGCTCTAAGCCCAGCCTTGCATTAGGAGTTGCCTGGAAATTTCGGTCCTTGTGTCCTAGATTGCCTTTCGTGTTTACTTAGAACCCCAGAGCACTTCAGCTTGTAGTCATGAAGCTTGCAAGAAACTCAAGTTCTAACTGCTGGGGTGGGTGACTCTCCTCTGGCTAGGGCTGGTCCAAATACTTTCTCCACGGTTGGCACTGGCTGCACCCAGCGTGGCTTTATTCTTTACTCTGACAGGGCAGCACTGAAATGCAATGTAAAAAGTTCCCCAGTAACTGTGCTCTCCCAAAGTGCACAGATTCTCTGTCCATGCCACACAGCTGCTTCAAGGGGATAGGGAAAGAATGGCACTAGTGATTTGAGACCGTCTCTCTTCCCCTCTTCAATGACTCTTTTGTTATAAAAAGTTAAAACCAGGTACTATTATTATTGCTTACCTGATTTTTGGTTCTTGTGACAGTTGCTAAAATTTGGTGTTTCTAGCGGAGTGGCAAACAATGTAGGCCTCTAGTCCACCATCTTGTTCCCCCTACTTTTGATTTTAATGGAAATAATGGAAATGTTGCTAGCATTTTCTCAAGAGGAGTATTGTAGTCTTTTTTCCTATTTTCCTTCATTTTTGAATGCTTTAAAGTATCAGTAATGTATACTTCATTCTATTAAATGTTTAATAAGGCATTTGGTTTGTCTTATTTTTGCCATGGAATTGATAGACTTTTAATTTTTTAAGTCTTTATCACATCTTTTTGTTTTTGCCTTCCTTTTGTTTCTTATTAACTCTCATTTTATTTTTGTTTTTACTTTCAATTGGGATTGTGCTGTTGAATGTTTCAGAATTTCACTTACTCATATTTTATTCAGGATATTTATTTATACCTTATTTTCTGCAATCTTGGTAAGATCGTAATATTGGGGAGCCATACTTGAAAACTTGTGAGAAACAATATATTATGTAAGGCCAGTTTATTAATGCAGTTTCTATTATAAATAAAATATAGAGAGAGACAAACAAACTTGAAAGTAGTTCTCTACAGCCAGGTGGACACTAGTTTCTGCCAATATCCTTTCTATTTGGAAATAATATAATCCTTAAGAGAAAATGCATCTTTAACTTTAGAATTATTCCAAAATGATCCTTGGTGCTCAGAGTATGAAGATACCTTCCAAAAGTATGTAGACCTCCTAGTAGGAACTGTTTTCTCAGTTTAAGTTTGGAATTGGTCTATAAAGAAAGTAAGCCACAGTTTTAATTTTCTTCTAACAGATATGCTAATTAGCGTATTTAATTTAAAATCTCATCTTGGTAATATTCATGACCAGAAATTAGTCAATTACCAGGTATTCCGTAAGCTCTCTTTGCCAGCAGTATGCTAGGTGGTAGATAGGAAACCGAGAGGCCAGTGAAAGGAAGTTCTTCCTCATCCCAAATCAAGAAATCATCTAATAGCAGATACTTCTGAGAAAGAACAGGGACTAATGTCAGTACTTTGACAAGAGCTCTAGAGTAATTAGGAAGAAAGACAGGTTTCAAAGACCACTGGGAATCCTTAGGAAGACCGATCATATAAAAACAGATTTTAAGCCGCCTCCCTATTTCAAATAAAGAACAAATAGTAGAGCTATAGGATCTTTGAATTAACAGGGCAGTTGTTCTTCAGCTTTATTGCACATTAGAATTAGCTGAGGGACTTGTAAAATTCTGATTCCAAGACCTCATCACAAATCAATTCATTTAGAATCTCTGTTGGTGGGACCCAGGCATCAGTAGTTTTAAAGCTTCCCAGCTGATTCCAAAGTGGAGGCAAGTTTGAAAAACACTGTGTTAGGATTACTTATCAACTATACCACATCATATTGGGGGTGGAGAAAGGTTGCTTTTACAAATTACCCTTGCCTTGGCATCATCTAAGATTGTGTGAATCAGAATCCCTAGATCTATGTCTGAGTCCCTCAAAGAATCAGTTTGAATAGTTAAAAGAGCAGGTTTGCTATCTAGAGACCACATTGTAAATACACTTATAATTAACTGAGATTCTCACAGGAGCCAACTTTTCTGGTAAGTGCTTGGAAATAATAATGAATTCCCTTTTAAGGTATTATTAATTCTTTTGTATAATATATTTCCATATGGATGATCTCACGTGATGACTACAATTGTTTGCTGAGGTAGTCAACACAAGGATTAGTAGTATCATTTGCACAGGTGGTAAGAAATCAAGACCATTAGTTGTATAAGATCATTCTTATTAGTTGTATAAGATCATTGAAGACATGCACTAAGGTTTTCTATCCTCTAGGTCACTACCACATTAATGCATGTATGATTGTGTAACTTCTGGTTTTCTATCATATGACAGGATCATAATCTACCATATATGCTAAGATTTGACAAGGTTCCTAGAACATGGACAAACTTGTGGCGCTTAGGTACAATCTCTCTTTTTGATCATACAGGGAGATTATGTGTCTTATTTATTTATGTATTTATTTATTTTTAGATAGGTCTCTCTATGTTGTTGCCTAAACTGGTGTTGAATGGCTGAGCTCAAGCATTCCTTCTACATCAGCCTCTAGAGTAGCTGGGATTACAGGAATGCACCATGGCACTCAATTTATGTGTCTTTATTTAATCCTGTATTTCTGTGCACTGGGAATCAGTTGATACACAGTAGTAGCTTCACAATCATTGGTCTTAGCGTGACATATAAGGGTCAAAATAAACTTATTGATAATGGCTACTTCTTCTGTGCAAGAGATTGTGGTAAAACTTTTCTGTTTTCCATGATTATTCATTCCTAAATATAATATTATGAGGAAGTATTATCACACCATTTTACAGTGGAAGAAATTGATGCTCAGAGAGGTATTATGTCCTTCTTCAAGATCATTAGATATTGGTGGGAAAGGGATTCAAATCCAGGTCTGTTCAATGCCAAGCTTGTCTTCCAACCATCATGTAAACAACTTCCATATATTGCTAGCACTTAGATAAGAAGCTCGACTCACTGGGAGAAATTACCTGCATGTCTTTGTCTAGTGGCTAAGGAGAAAGTAGCCACTATAATTGAATTGTTATGATTTCATAGTCAGGGCCCATGTCTTCTTATATATCTGTTTGTCTTCATGTATTCTTATGTAGAGTATGATACAGTAAGTACTCAGTAAGGCAGTGTTCCCAAACTTTGATGTATATCAGGATCACTTGGAGAGCTGATTCAGCACACAAAAGCCCAGGCTTGCTGAAATAGGGTGAGGCCAGGGTCTTTGTATTTTTACCAAGTTCTTCAGGTGACTCTGCTACCCACCAAAGTCTGAGAACAACTATATGAGGTCAATGAATCACTCATGGAAGTATCATTAGTTCTAGGAAGTGATGCAGAGCTGCAGGTAAAATACGTGGTGGTAAATATATAACTGTATACAGATGTGAATATATGTGTCTCTCTCTATATATATAAAATATTACAATCAAGCCTTTCTTAACCTGTGCCCCATGGGACACAAGTTCTGGGTGTATTTAATGTGTAGGCTGTAAATAAAATGTGTGGCAGATTGATTTGAGAAATACTACAGGCTGGGCCTCCTTCATGAATATTTATAATTGTCAATAGAGTAAAAAAGGCTTTGAGAATTCCTAAGCTAAGAATGCAAGTTTTTTATTTGATTAATTTTTAGTAACCATGTAAACTTACAAAATTTTTTACTAACCCAGACTTATTTGAACTTGTTTTTTTACTTCATATCTAATAACATCCCAGGGCACCAGTTTGAGAAGCATCAGTATAATAACAAAACAATTTAAAGATGTATGAAACACAATTTAAGAAAACTCCCTTTTAAAATATATAGTCATTCTTTTTAAACACAGAAATGTGAAAATGTAATGAAATACTGAAATATTAGTGAAAAGAAACTGTGAGGAACATATAATAAAGGGATATGTTAAAATAATAAATATTTTAATGAGATGTGTAGTTGTGATGCTGTGACAAGATGCATAAGATAGAACAGGATAGTAATATGTGTATGTTCCAGGATTGTAATGAGATTCATGAAGAGTTCTATGTAATAAGATGTATGTGTTAAAACGCTGTAATGAGGTGACTTCGTGAGCTGGTTTAATGAGCCATGACTCAGGAAGTGTCCTGTAAGATGGGCATCCTTCAGGGCTGAAATGAGATGGGTGAAAGAAAAAGTGTAATGAGCTGGTCACATAAAGGAGAAGCAGGATAATTAGATGCATAAAGGAAGGACGGGAGAGTATATAAATTTTCAAAATATGTAAGATATAATGGGAACTAGGTTTTAATGTAATAAGATACAGAAATGAAATGACAATGAGATACAAAAACGGAATTGTGTAATGAGATATGTAAGGACTATGTAATGAGATGTGCATGTTTAAGGGTTTTGTAATGAGATGCAAGATGGGAAGGTGTAATGAGATGAGCACGTTAAATAATCTAATGAGGGGCATGAAGGAAATGATGTCATGTCACATGAAAATTGAAGAAAGTAATGAGATGTGCATTTTTAAGTACTGTAATAAAATGCATAAAAGAAACTAAGGAGAATGAAGAGATACAGAGATCAAATCTTGTTATTATAATGTGAAAGAAGAACAAAAAGTAATGAGAGAAGATGTCTCATACCCATCATTTCTAGGACCATTCTCTTCCACAAACTTATTCTGACCTGGACAAACATTTTTTTCTGTCCAACTACATACTAAGCACTTTCTGTGGGAATATAAAGACTCACATGATTCCCATCAAGGGCTCACGGATACATGCAAGTATATACAAAATAAGGCAATGTATTATAAATGTTAATAAAATAGTACAAAATTTCAGAGAAGAGAGATTATTTTGGGTCAACATATTTTACACATCACTAGAAACAGATGTTCCCTTGTGTTCTTTTCAAGTTTTATAATTCCACTATTATTCATTTCTTTATTCCTCTGATCCCTGGATTTTTTCCCTGTACTATCTATTCTTGCATAAGTAGATCTTACTTAAAAAAAAATCTGGTTAAATATCCCATTCTCAAATACTGTATTTTAATCTGACTCCAACTTAAAAAGCAAAAGACAACAAAAATAAACTTTTACAATATTTTACACATTTCTTACACATTACATACATATTACATAGGTACAATGAAATACATCACAATATAACATGTTTTTCTGGGTAATGAATATTAAGTATCATCTAACTGGGTGCTCTTTCTAGTGAGAGTTAGATCTGATTCAGTTTTATTCACCAACCAGGTCTAAAACTTTCACACAGTAGGTTCTTAGTAAGTAATTCTTGAGTAATTGGTAGGACATAGACCCTAGCAGACCTTATTCATGAGAATGCAAATAAAATTAGTAAATGGATTCCTAAGATTGATCCAGTTTGAATAAAGTTGCAACGGTCCCCCTACTTCAAGAGAAGCCTTCCTTCCAAAATCAGAATTCTTCCATATGAAAGAAATACCTTCATTCATGAGTTTGTTGAGGGGATTTGGTTTCACCGTAAAGACATTAACCCCTGTATATGCGTGCCCTGCCTTGTTTTTCACCAGACAGCTGTTTGCTTCATTTAAAAGCACTTCAGTATATTCAGGAACTCAAGTGCTATTTTAATCAGTCTTGGAAGGAAATAACAGAGCGATTCATTACTGAGCTCATCAACCTGAGAAACTATTGTTTCAGATGTCATTCTTGAGTATTCTTCATTATGAAATGGCCTTCACATTATAACAAGCCTAGATGGAACTGCATTGATCTAACTTTTAATTTTATTTTATGTGTCCTATATTGAGTCCCCCTGGGAGGTGAATCTTTCTCAATTATTTATAAACTGGATACAGCTGTGAAGTGCACAGTGCAGTAATCCCAATCATTTATATGGGATTTTTTTTCCCACAGGTTATGCATATGATGAAATAACATTCATAACTGATCAAAGCTCCAGAGACAGCCACATATCACAATACATGAAACATATTTACTTGTCAGATGGAAGAGAAAATCCACCCTTACTCCATCAGGGTATTGGCCTTCTGTTTTCTCTCCAGGATTCTCTCAGCAAAAACCTGCTTGCCAGCTTGGTATTCATGAGTTCAAAATTCCTCTGTGTGTCTGAGGTATTGATTGTTTTTCAAATTGTTTCTCAGGTTTTTCTCTCTATCCTCATTCTCCTTGACCTTTATGTTAATTCTGAGGACACTTATCAAATGCTTCTACCAACTCTTCCAAACAGGCCTTTGCTCTCTTGCTCTGGTCAGGTTTCTCTTTGTTTCTGCTATAGAGTGGGATATTTCCTTTCATTACATCGAATAGCAGGAATAGCAGCTGCAGAATTTAAAGTTTTGTGAACTGTATTTTTCCCATGGTCTTTTTGCTTTTTTTGTCCAATCTTGACCCCTTAACTTATTCCAGACATCCATAGATATGGGACAGTTTGACTATTTCAGTCTCTGTACTTCCTGCTACTAGAATGTTCAGAGAAAACTGCAAAATTGTTGGACAAGGGCTATTCCTCCTATTATCATGGATGACATCCTATCTTCTCACTTGCCAACAACCAACATGCCTGGTCTATTTAAATAAGAAGCTACACTTGCTCATCTGCCCTCCAAACCCCAAATACATTAGTTTGTAGTTTTTAGAGAACAATTTTATTCTAGAAGAAGACAGAACACATGAGTTAATTTAAGAGAAATTAAGCATGGGTTAATTTAAGAGAAAAAAAACCATTCAACTGGCTTGGACTCTTATATTCTACACTGAATGTTAGAAAAAAGGTAAAATTATACTAAGAAGAGGGATCAATAGATTATAAGTTAAGAGTCATAGACCCAGCCAAGATATTCACATGTTAGAGTGAAAGAAAAGTATTTGTGAATAGAGAATATATCACTTACACACACATACAATATGATGAACATACTCAAAAAAAATTCTAAATAAGTAACACATGACTCAAATCTGACTCCTCAAAATTGGAAAAGATGAAATACAAAAAACAAAGACATATAGAATCAGTCTCTCCCTTTCTTTCCCTCTCTCTCACTCTTTAGCCCTCTCTGTAAATGGATAACAATAAGTAATGGGATATAGTTAAGTCAAAAAATGATTCTTAAAATATAAAGACATAGTACAGGGGAATAAAGTTGAACTAAAAGTACAAAACTATCTTAGCATAACCTAGGATATGAGATAAAGTGGGTTTAAAAAAATGCTTTAAAGTTCTCATCCTTTTGGCATGAGAGAGGAAAATGGGAGAAAATTTAGCAACTTTGTGAGAAGAAATAGTTAATAGTATATTATTATTAATAGAAAATCATGTATTTGAATGTGAGAATTTGAAAATAAGTTAAATGCTAGAGAAAAGAAAATGTATAGCACTTACATATTGTAAAGGTGAGAGAGGAATAGTTATAATTTTAAAAACCTAGACAAAAAAGAAAGAAAAACAAAATGTTAAACAGTAAGTATCAAGGTAGAAGGAATAAAATAAAGCACATCACTGGGTGTACTAAATGTGAGGCTGCTAATTTCAACTAATATAAGATGGATACCATAATATTGTGTTGCTCGTCAAAATACAGTTATGTATGGTTTATAAGAACTACACAGACGGTTGAAAAATAATGGAATGGCCTAAGAGATACTAAGAAATGCAAAACAAAAACAAACAAACAAAACAACAACAAAAAAACCTAAGGATTTACTATGAATATTACACAGGGTGAAATCTAAGAATAAAAAAGACTAAACTGAATAAAGAGAGATTATGTGATCCCAAGAGCTGTAATTTATAAGAAAGGTATGTCAGTCGTAAATCTTTTAGGACCAAAAACAGTACATCTAAACTTATAAAGTGAAAATCATCAGCAACACAAAAATTTGATTAATACACTTTTTTAGTAGGACACTTTAATTGAAGTCTTTTATACTAAATAGGAGAAATTTATTAACAAAAAGTAAAAACAGAATTAAATAATACAGTCACTAAGGCTATTTTATATTTATCTTGAAATCCTTTAAAATGGAAAATATAATTGTGTTATGTGTCCTTAGACATTATACAAAAATCTACAATGTATTTGGCACAAAGAAAGCCTTAACACATTATAAAAGAGAAGAGACATGGCAGGGGATTTTTTTGATAATAGTCTAGTAAAATTTCACAAAGTAAAAATATGACTAAAGAATTTACTCGTTGAAAAATTAAGCCTTTTATATAGCCTTTTATCCAAGAGGGTACCAAAACTAAAATTCTAAATCATTTACACAGCAATGAAATGAAAACATGCCATGAGAAAACTTACAAGACACAGAAAAGCTCAATCAGAGGAAAACGTATAGTATTAAATGCCTTCATAACTTAAGAACAATGGCTGAAAATAAAAACATTGAGAAAAAAATGCTTGTGATTTTAATTAGCAAAAACTATGAAGCATGTATATAAAATGTCTAAAAACTGAAAAGGAAAGGATATAATTATAGCTGTGAAAGAAATGATATGAATTATGTGAATCCTTAATAGCATGGAATTTGAAAACCTACAAGAAATATACTTTCAATTGTTCCAAGAAGTAGAAAATGTGAAAGAGCAATTATCATAGAAGAAATTGGAAAGGTAATTATCTAAAATTTAAAAATAAAATAAACACAAGACAGACACCAAGATTGTTTCACAGCTAAGGTCTACCAGCCCTTTAAAAATTAAATACTTCTGATGTTAACTAAATCAGAAACTTCCCCAAATTGATTTTATGAAAGGAGAAGAATCTTAATTCAAAATATTGTAATGATAGCACAGAAACTCTGTATTCAGACTGAACCTATTAATACAGAGGAAAATTTCTCTATGTAATACAGTATGATCAAGAAAAATTCATCAGAATATCAATACAAAAACACAATATAAAAAAGTGTGGTAATTTGAGTAATGCAAAGATAGTTCAATATCAGAAAATCTTCCAAGGAAATTCACCTTTTCCACACATTAAAGGAGAAAAAATCATGTAAATAGGTAAAAGAGCATTGTTAAGATTCTGCAGAAAGATCTAAAATAAATTCTAAGTAAAATTACCTTGAAAGGAAGCTTATTTTACATTATCTTAAACATAATAATTTATGAAACAAATTAACAAACAGCAAAATCCTAAAGTGAAACTCTAATGCCATCCTATTAAAAACATGCAGAATACACAATGCTCATTCTTGTAAATGTTGCTCAATACCGTTTGGCATGTTTGACAAATACAATTGCTGCCAGCATCTTCAAATGTTCTAAGGGCTTCTGTATGTGAAAATAATTTACTACTATTATCATTTAATTTAATGCTAAATGTATTATACTTATGAATTTAGGTAATAAAATCCATCTAAAACTTTAAACAATACTTTTATAATATAATGTAGTAATTAAAAATTATATAAGCTTGTCCACCAACTTTTCCTAAATATTTTTAAGTTAGAAGACAGAGTTAAATTTCCAACTCTATTTAAATGCTTCAATTCTTAAGTACAGACAGAACAGAGTATTTCGATATCAATTATAAAACTTACTATTATAAGGTACTTAACATACAACCAAAGTATTGATGCTATTTACTGACTGTCTTCTTTATTAGTTTTATAGTGTTTGTGATCAGATGCCTAATTACTTGCAGGAAGCACACGTTCCACTCTGCTGCTTCATCCATGTTTTACAGGGGGCTACTCCCACATAGAGATGTTCACATTATTTATGGCTGCCTGTGGGTGAATTTGTCTCATTCTGTGGCTCAGTATCATGAAGCCCACTTGCCAATAGATTTAAGCCATATTTTCAAATATTAGTCATATTTTGTTTTCCATGTGCTTGAACCTTTCTTGACCATTTTTTTTTTAATTTTTTTATTATTATACTTTAAGTTCTGGGGTACATGTGCACAACTTGCAGGTTTGTTACATAGGTATACATGTGCCATGTTGGTTTGCTGCACCCTTCAACTCGTTATTTACATTAGGTATTTCTCCTAATGCTATCACTCCCCCAACCCCCGACTTTTCAATGGTCGCCATTCTAACTGGAGTGAGATGGTATCTCACTGTGGTTTTGATTTTCATTTCTCTAATGACCAGTGATGATGAGCATTTTTTCATATGTCTGTTGGCTGCATAAATGTCTTTTTTGAGAAGTGTCTGTTCATATCCTTATCCCACTTATTGTTGGGGTTGTTTGTTCGTTTCTTGGAAATTTGTTTCTTTGTAGATTCTGGAGATGAGCCCTTTGTCAGATGGATAGATGGCAACAATTTTCTCCCATTCTGTAGGTTGCCTGCTCACTCTGATGATAGTTTGTTTTCCTGGGCAGAAGCTCTTTAGTTTAATTAGATCCCATTTGTCTATTTTGGCTTTTGTTGCCATTGCTTTGGTGTTTTAGTCATGAAGTCTTTGCCCATGCCTATGTCCTGAATGGTATTGCCTAGGTTTTCGTCTAGGGTTTTTATGATTTTAGGTCTTACATTTCAGTCTTTAATCCATCTCGAGTTAACTTTTGTATAAGGTCTAAGGAAGGAGTCCAGTTTCAGCTTTCTAGATATGACTAGCCAGTTTTCCCAGCACCATTTATTAAATAGGGAATCCTTTCCCCATTGTTTGTTTTTGTCAGATTCGTCAAAGATCAGATGGTTTCAGATGTTTGGTGTTATTTCTGAGGCCTCTATTCTGTTCCATTGGTCTATATATCTATTTTAGTACCAGTACCAGGCTGTTTTGGTTACTGTAGCCTTGTAGTATAGTTTGAAGTCAGGTAGCGAGATGTCTCCAGCTTTGTTCTTTTTCTTAGGATTGTCTTGGCTATACGGGCTCTTTTTTGGTTCCATATGAAATATAAGGTAGTTTTTACCAGTTCTGTGAAGAAAGTCAGTGGTAGCTTGATGAGAATAGCATTGAATCTATAAATTACTTTGGGCAGCATGGCCATTTTCATGATATTGATTCTTCCTACCCATAAGCATGGAATGTTTTTCCATTTGTTTGTGCCCTCTCTTATGTCCTTCAGCAGTGGTTTGTAGTTCTCCTTGAAGAGGTCCTTCACATCCCTTGTAAGTTGTATTCTTAGGTATTTTATTCTCTATGTAGCAATTATGAATGGGAGTTCACTCATGATTTGGCTCTCTGTTTGTTATTGTTGTATAGCAATGCTTGTGATTTTTGCACATTGATTTTTGTATTCTGACACTTTGCTGAAGTTGCTTATCAGCTTAAGGAGATTTGGGAATGAGACAATGGGGTTTTCTAAATATACAAACATGTCACCTACAAACAGAGACAATTTGACTTCCTCTTTATCCTAATTGAATATGCTTTATTTCTTTCTCTTGCCTGATTGCTCTGGCCAGAACTTCCAATACTATGTTGGATAGGAGTGGTGAGAGAGGACATCCTTTTCTTGTGCTGGTTTTCAAAGGAAATGCTTCCATTTTTTTTCCCATTCAGTATGATATTGGGTGTGGTTTTGTCATAAACAGCTCTAATTATTTTGAGATATGTTCCATCAATACCTAGTTTATTGAGAGTGTTTAGCATGAAGGGGTGTTGAATTTTGTCGAAGGCCTTTCCTGCATATTGAGATAATCATGTTGTTTTTGTCGTTGGTTCTGTTTATGTGATGGATTATGTTTATTGATTTGTGTATGTTGAACCAGACTTGCATCCCAGAGATGAAGCCGATGTGGTCATGGTGGATAAGCTTTTTGATGTGCTGCTGGATTCAGTTTGTGAGTAGTTTATTGAGGATTTTTGCATCGATGTTCATCAGGGATATTTGCCTAAAATTCTCTTTTCTTTGTTGTGTCTCTGCCAGGCTTTGGTATCAGGATGAGGCTGGCCTCATAAGATGAGTTAGGGAGGATTCCCTCTTTTTTTCTGTTGCTTGGAATAGTTTCAGAAGGTATGGTACCAGCTCCACTTTGTACCTCTGGTAGAATTTGGCTGTGAATCCATGTGGTCCTGGACTGTTTTTGGTTGGTAGGCTATTAATTATTGTCTCAATTTTAGAACATATTATTGGTCTATTCGGAGACTCGACTTCTTCCTGGTTGAGTCATAGGAGGCTGTATGTGTCCAGGAATTTATCCATTTCTTCTAGATTTTCTAGTTTATTTGCCTAGAGGTGTTTATAGTATCCTATGATGGTAGTTGGTATTTCTGTGAGATAGGTGGTGATATCCCCTTTATCATTTTTTATTGCATCTATTTGATTCTTCTCTCTTTTCTTCTTTATTAGTCTTGCTATTTGTTGGTCTATTTTGTTGATCTTTTCAAAAAATCAGCTCCTGGATTCATTGACTTTTTGAAGGATTTCTTGTGTATCTATCTCTTCAGTTCTGCTCTGATCTTAGTTATTTCTTGTCTTCTGCTGGCTTTTGAATTTATTTGCTATTGCTTCTCTAGTTCTTTTAATTGTGATGTTAGGTTGTCGATTTTAGATCTTTTCTGCTTTCTCCTGTGGGCCTTTAGTGCTATAAATTTCCCTCTAAACATTGCTTTAGCTGTGTCCCAGAGATTCTGGTACATTGTGTCTTTGTTCTCATTGGTTTCAAAGAACTTATTTATTTCTGCCTTTACCCAGTCATCATTCAGGAGCAGATTGTACAGTTTCCATGTAGTTGTATGGTTTTGAGTGAGTTTCTTAACCCTGATTTCTAATTTGATTGCACTGTGGTCTGAGACACAGTTTGTTGTGATTTCTCTTCTTTTACATTTGCTGAGGAGTGTTTTACTTCCAATTATGTGGTCAGTTTTAGAGTAAGTGCAATATGTTGCTGAGATTAATGTATATTCTGTTGATTTGGGGTGGAGAGTTCTGTAGATGTCTATTAGGTCCACTTGGTCCAGAGCTGAGTTTAAGTCCTGGATATTCTTGTTAATTTTCTGTCTCATTGATCTAATATTGACAGTGGGGTGTTAAAGTCTCCCATTATTATTGTGTGGGAGTCTAAGTCTATTTGTAGGTCTCTAAGAACTTGCTTTATGAATCTAGGTGCTCCTGTATTGGGTGCATACATATTTAGGGTAGTTAGCTCTTGTTGTTGAATTGATCCCTTTACCATTATGTAATGGCCTTCTTTGTCTCTTTTGATCTTTGTTTGTTTAAAGTCTGTTTTATCAGAGACTAGGATTGCAACCTCTGCTTTTTTTTTCTTTCCATTTGCTTGGTAAATCTTCCTCCATCTTTTTATTTTGAGCCTATGTGTGTCTTTGCACGTGAGGTGGGTCTCCTGAATATAGCACACTGATGGGTCTTGACTCTTTATCCAATTTGCCAGTCTGTGTCTTTTAATTGGGACATTTATCCCATTTACATTTAAGGTTAATATTGTTATGTGTGAATTTGATCCTGTCATTATAATGCTAGCTGGTTATTTTGCCCATTAGTTGATACAGTTTCTTCATAGCATCAATGGTCTTTACAATTTGGCATGTTTTTGCAGTGGCTGGTATCAGTTTTCCTTTCCATGTTTAGTGCTTCCTTCAGGAGCTCATGTAAGGCAGGCCTGGTGGTGACAAAATCTCTCAGCATTTACTTGTCTGTAAAGGATTTTATTTCTCCTTCACTTATGAAGCTTAGTTTGGCTGGATATGAAATTCTGGGTTGAAAATTCTTTTCTTTAAGAATGTTGAATATTGGCCCCCACTCTCTTCTGGCTTGTACAGTTTCTGCTGAGAGATCCACTGTTAGTCTGATGGGCTTCTCTTTGTGGGTAACCTGACCTTTCTTAGTGGCTGCCCTTAACATTTTTCCCTTCATTTCAACCTTGGTGAATCTGTCAATTATGTGTCTTGGGGTTGCTCTTCTCAAGGAATATCTTTGTGGTGTTCTCTGTATTTCCTGAATTTGAATGTTGGCCTGCCTTGCTAGTTTGGGGAAGTTCTCCCGGAAAATATCCTGAAGAGTGTTTTCCTACTTGGTTCCATTCTCCCCATCGCTTTCAGGTACACCAATCAAACGTAGATTTGGTCTTTTCACATAGTCCCATATTTCTTGGAGGCTTTGTTGGTTTCTTTTCCCTCTTTTTTCTCTAATCTTGTCTTTTCTCTTTATTTCATTAATTTGATCTTTAATCACTGATATCTTTTCTTCTGCTTGATCAAATCAGCTACTGAAGCTTGTGCGTGTGTCCCGAAGTTCTCATGCTGTGTTTTGCAGCTCTATCAGGTCATTTATGTTATTTTGTACACTGTTTATTCATGTTAGCCGTTCTTCTAACCTTTTTTCAAGGTTTTTAGCTGCCTTGCAATGGGTTAGAACATGCTCCTTTAGCTCAGAGATGTTTGTTATTACCGATCTTCTGAAGCCTACTTCTGTCAACTCATCACACTCATTCTCCGTCCAGTTTTGTTCCCTTGCTGGCGAGGAGCTGCGATCCTTTGGAAGCAAAGAGGCGTTCTGGTTTTTGGAATTTTCAGCTTTTCTGTTCTGGTTTTTCTCCATCTTTATGGTTTTATCTACCTTTGGTCTTTGATGTTGGTGACGTACGGATGGAGTTTTGGTGTGGATGTCCTTTCTGTTGATGTTAATGCTATTCCTTTTTGTTTGTTAGTTTTCCTTCCAACAGTGAGGCCCCTCAGTTGCAGGTCTGTTGGAGTTTGCTGAAGATCCACTCCAGACCCTGTTTGCCTGTGTATCACCAATAGAGGCTGCAGAACAGCAAATATTGCTGCCCGATCCTTCCTCTGGAAGCTTCGTACCAGAGGGGCACCTGCCAGATGCCAGCCAGAGCTCTCCTGTGTGAGGTGTCTTTCAGCCCCTACTGGGAAGTGTTTCCCAGTCAGGCTACATGGGGGTAAGGGACCCACTTGAGGAGGCTGTCTGTCTGTTATCAGAGCTCGAACGCCATGCTGGGAGAACCACTGCTCTCTTCAGAGCTGTCAGGCAGGGACGTTTAATTCTGCAGAAGCTGTGCCCACAGGTGTCCCTTCTCCCAGGTGCTCCATCCAAGGGAGATGAGGGTTTTATCTATGAGTCCCCGACTGGGGCTGCTGCATTTTGTTCAGATATGCCCACAGAGGTGGAATCTAGAGAGGCAGTCAGCCTTGCTGAGCTGCAGTGGGCTCCGCCCAGTTCAAGCTTCCCTGCAGTTTTGTTTACACTGTGAGCATAAAACCACCTACTCAAGCCTCAGCAATGGCAGACGCCCCTCCCCTCCACCATGCTCCAGCATCCCACGATGATCTCAGACTGCTGCACTTGCAGTGAGAATTCCAAGACAATGGATCTTAGCTTGCTGGGCTCCGTGGGCATGGGACCCACTGAGCCAGGCACCGGAGGGAATCTCCTGGTCTGCTGATTGTGAAGATCATGGGAAAAGTGCAGTATTAGGGCAGGAGTGTACCTTTCCTCCCAGTACAGTCTCTCAAGTCTTCCCTTGGCTGGGAAAGGGAAATCCCCTGACCCCTTGCACTTCCCAGTTGAGACGATGCCCTGCCCCGCTTTGGCTCACCCTCCATGGGCTGCACCCACTGTCCAGCCAGTCTCAGTGAGATGAACCAGGTACCTCAGTTGGCAATGCAGAAATCACCCATCTTCTGCACCAAACTCACTGGGAGCTGAAGACTGGAGCTGTTCCTATTCGGCCATCTTGGAAGCTGTCTGACCATCTTTTAATTAGTTCACAACCTGAGATGTTGTAGATGTCATATTTATTGGATCCTTTATTAGAGACAGAAAGCATATAGGCAAATCCAAACCAACGTGAAATGTAAATAACAACAGCAATAGTAATATCTAATTTTGAGGATTAGAAAAGATAGAATTAAAATACTTAAAAAAGTATGTAGTTTATGAAGGACTTTAAGTCGTTGGACTTAAAATGTTAAAATTGTACAATCTAAGTGTATTATTTGGGAGGGGATAATTTACTGCTTAAAACTAGAGATCATTAAATTGGTATGTTAACATGTCAAGGTAAATACATAAAGAATAGAAGCAGAATGTTTAACTTCCAAACTAATGTAGATATTTTAAGAAGACAAGAACAAAAAGGAAACTCAATCTTTCTAAAAGAATGTAGGAAATAAGAAAAAAAAGAAGCATAAAAAAAGTGAAACAAATAATCTGATAGGAGTTAATCCAAGCAAATAGGTCATCAAGGTAAATGTAAAATTTTTTCAGGTAAAAGACAAAATTTTCAGACTGAGTAAAAGTCTTACAAAATCTAGGTTTATGCCCTTTAAGAACAAATAAAGATTGCAAATTTACAAGACAGATATGCCAGACAAATACTATTCACAAAAAGCTGTTTGTTCATTTTAATCTCAGATAAAATAGACTTTAGGACCAAAAAATGTATTATTGGAAATAAATAGAATCATTACATATTGATAAGCTATTCATTCACCAGGACGATTCAGCAAGTCTAAAATTGTATATAATGGGTGTCTTTAAAATATATAAATTTGATTAAATTATAAGAAAACAATAAGTCCATATTACATTGAAAGATTATAATTCTCTCATTTATTTATGAATAGAGCAGCCCCAAATCAGTAAGAGTGGAAATTATTTTAATTATAAAATCAAGAGGGTTGAACAGGGGAATTGTGTCTCATGCAACCTTAATGACAAGGCTCAAGTGGGAATGACAACCCAGCTCTCTAAGCCATACATGCTATTGTTGGAAGGACTACCTCTCTTTTATTGATCTACTGTGCTATATATGCTGGGGTTTTGTTGTTTTCTTTTCTTGTTTTTGTAACTGGCATTTATCCCCACTTCTCTTTGTGCTTCTGTTGGTTTTCAGAGAAAGTTAGTGTGGCAAGCATATTTCCTAAAATTCCTTGCTCTAAGATTTCCAGATTAGATTCTGCCATGAGAAGTAGCCCTCTGACATTTTGAAAAGAGGAGTAGCACAGGAGTTTACTGCTCTGGATATAGTGATGGTGAGTGGGCTTTGGCAGACAAGAGAGGCATCTGAGCTTTCTGTGAATCACCCACCTCAGGGTTGCAGGAAGCTAAAATAATCGCGACATTTTCATTCATTTCTACAGTATTTTAATTTCCTAAACATTAGCAATAATTTTATTTGACCTTTAATCTGTCAGGCCTTCTAACTGTTTTGGTGGTGTGTAATTCCCTATATTACATTTCCTCTTGCTCTAAATACCTAAAAACTACTAAAAGGAGCAATAATTTTTTTCTAATGGAATCAACAAGAGTGTCTGCCTTAGTAATTTGTCTTCACTAAAGTCCACATTTTATAATTTGCATGTATGTACATATAACTACAACTAATGATTTGATAATGTACATTTTTTCCAAGAACACATGAATCATTTATGAAAACTGAACATGTATTAGTTCAGGAAGCAAGTTTCAAAAGTATAAAAAATATCATATACATCAGTTCTCTGACCACAATACAACTAGATTAGAAATTCATGATAAAATATTTGACAATATAACTACATATTTAAAACATCTTTCTAAGGCCAAGCACAATGGTGCAAGCCTGTAATTCTAGCACTTTGGGAGGCTGAGGCAGGTGGGTCACTTGAGGTCGGGAGTTCAAGACCAGCCTGACCAACATGATGAAATGCCATCTCTACTAAAAATACGAAAATTAGCTGGGTGTGGTGGCATATGCCTGTAATCCCAGCTACCTGGGTGGCTGAGGAAGAAGAATCACTTCAGCCCAGGAGGTGGAGGCTGCAGTGAGCCGAGACCGCACCACTGTACTACAGCTTGGTCAATGGAGTGAGACTGTCTCGAAAAAAAACAACCAACAAAACAAACAAAAAAACCCCTATCTTTCTAAATAAATAATGGCTCCAAGAAAAACATAATGGAAATTAGAAAGCAGTAATCACTGTGAATAGAGTATATATCAAAATATGTTAAGATGAATCTGAAGTGTTACTGTATACATATTTAAATGGTAATAACGCTATATAAATAATTTTATACAAATAAGTTGATGTGATAGACTAAAGCTTCCTTGATGTTTGTATCAAAATATCTATGTCTATTACTTTTAATCCTGGTAGGGATCTGTGATGATTTTATCAATAGAATATGGAGAGATAATGGGACGCTTGTTGCTGGACTCAGACTTTAGGAGACTGGCAGCTTCCATTTCCTGTCCGTTGGAACACTTATGCTTGGAACCTATCCATCTTGCTTTATTGAATCCAAGCAGTTCCATGGAGATGCCCACATGGAGAATAACTGAAGCCTCAGTCCAACAGTAAGGCTCAGGTCCCAGCAGGGAGCTTACCAGCCATGTGAGTGAGCCATCTTGGAAGTGAGCCACTCGGCTTCAGTAGCCTCCCCTGCTAATGCCATGTAGAGCAGAAAAAAGCCTTTCAACTAAACCCTACCCAAATTGCAGATTAGTGAGCACAATAAATTATTATGTGATTTTAATCCACTAGGTTTTGGGGTGGTTTGTTACATAGCAGTTATGGAAGAGTAAAGAACTTGATGAAATTGATAATTCCATAGAAAAATATAATTTTCCAAAATGTACTCAAGATACAGTAGAAAGCCAAAATAGTCTCTAATGCTATTAAATAAATCACACCAGAAGTTAAAATCTTTCATAAAGAACAAATGAAAATTGAGGTAGTTATACAGATGCCTTTGCCTTTTACCAAATAGTAGACAGACCACTTCAATTTTATACAAACTCCTCTGAAGAATAGAAAAAGGGGAGATATGTTGCTGCTTATTTTATTAGGCAGGTATTATTTGATTATTAACCAAATGTAGTATGAAAAAAATCATAGACCAATATCACTCATAGTCATATATATAATAGTTCTAAAGGAAATATTTGCAAACCAACAAAGTGTATTAAAGTGCTAGTAAATCATGACCATGTTTTTTTTTATCTCAGAAACAAAAAAATTGTTTAGAAAGGAAAATTTAGAAATAGTCATCAAATTAATAAATTAATTACATACAAAATTAATTAAGGTGGAAAGTCACCTTGCTTGATCTGAAGCGAAAAAAACAAAAACAATACAAAACAAAAAATGCTGAAAATTACTCAACATCCATTTAAAACAAAACAAAAAATCACTCCAGAACACCAAGCAGAGAAGGATTTCCTTAACTTGATAAACTGTATCGAAGGTATCAAATAAGTTTTATTTATTTAAATATAATTGGTTCATTTGGGATCAGACTGTATAGTTTTTCCAATTTTCCAAAACATTACCCTATTGTCCAATACTATTCATGAATAGTTTTTTTAATATAATTTATGAAGTTTCTATGATTTGCATATTTTTCTGGCACTCTCTAAACTTTTTTTGGTTAACCGCTTGTTTTAATATGTGTCAGGAATATACTTCCAACATTCCTTTTAATTTTTTTATAGAAATTTCCTTATGAACTTTAGAATTAGACTGCCTGACCCAACAAAACAAAACAATCTTTATTTTTATTAGGATCACAATAACTATACTGACTAAACTGAGTAAAATGATACTTTTATGATATTGAGTCTTCATATAAAAGAATATGCCATCCTTTTTTGTTTATTTTAAAATATTCTTCATAAGCTATGTAGAGTTTTTCCATGTCCCCTTTCTTGCCAAATTCTCTGTTATTATTCAGTCTACTTCCAGTTTTCTCTATCCACTCTACTTAGCCTGGCAGAGAAAATGTGTATGTATTCTCTGCAAATATACGCTAAGTAGAATAAGCAGAAATCAACATTTCTTTTTGTTGCACCAATCAATCAATACTCTCTCATTACAATATAAATCAATCAATTTTTATTATATTTACCTTTACATTTTTCCTTTTGAGTATCATTACAGATGGATCTTTTTTATTTTTTATATACCTTAAGTTCTGGGATACATGTGCAGAATGTGCAGGTTTGTTACATAGGTATACACGTGCCATGGTGGTTTGCTGCACACATCAACCCATCGTCTACATTAGGTATTTCTCCTAATGCTATTTCTCCCCTTGCCCCCCACCCCTCGACAAGCCCTGGTGTGTGATGTTCCCCATTCTGTGTCCATATGTTCTCATTGTTCAACTCCCACTCATGAGTGAGAACATGCGGTGTTTGGTTTTCTGTTCCTGTGTTAGTTTGCTGAGAATGATGGTTTCCATCTTCATCTATGTCCCTGCAAAGGACATGAACTCATTCCTTTTTATAGCTGCATAGTATTCCATGGTGTATATGTGCCACATTTTCTTTATCCAGTCTATCATGGATGGGCATTTGGGTTGGTTCCAACTCTTTGCTATTGTGAACAGTGCCACAATAAACATATGTGTGCATGTGTATTTATAGTAGAATGATTTATAATCCTTTGGGTATATACCCAGTAATGTGATTGCTGGGTCAAATGGTATTTCTAGTTCTAGATCCTTGAGGAATCACCACACTGTTTTCCACAAAGGTTGAACTGATTTACACTCCCACCAACAGTGTAAAAGAATTCCTATTTCTCCACATCCTCTCCAGCATCTGTTCTTTCCTGACTTTTTAATAATTGCCATTCTAACTGGCATGAGATGGTATCTCATTGTGGTTTTGATTTGCATTTCTCTAATGACCAGTGATGATGAACTTTTTTTCATACATTTTTTTGTCTGCATAAATGTCTTCTTTTGGGAACTGTCTGTTCATATCCTTCACCTACTTTTGAAGTAGGCGAGTTTTTTTCTTGTAAATTTGTTTAAGTTCCTTGTAGATTCTGGATATTAGCCCTTTGTCAGATGGATAGATTGCAAAAACTTTCTCTTATTCTGTAGGTTGCCTGTTCACTCTGATGATAGTATCTTTTGCTGTGCAGAAGCTCTTTAGTTTAATTCGATCCTATTTGTCAATTTTGGCTTTTGTTGCCATTGCTTTTAGTCTTTTATTCATGAAGTCTTTACCCATGCCTATGTCCTGAATGGTATTGCCTGGGATTTCTTCTAGGGTTTTTATGCTTTAAGTCTTACATTTAAATCTTTAATCCATCTTGAGTTAATTTTTGTTTAAGGTGTAAGGAAGGGGTCCAGTTTCAGTTTTCTGCATATGGCTAGCCAGTTTTCCCAACACCATTTGTTAAATAGGGAATCCTTTCCCCATTGCTTCTTTTTGTCAGGTTTGTCAAATGTCAGATGGTTGTAGATGTTTGGTGTTATTTCTGAGGCCTCTGTTCTGTTCCATTGGTCTATATATCTGTTTTGGTACTGGTACCATGCTATTTTGGTTACTGCAGCCTCGTAGTGTAGTTTGAAGTCAGGTAGTATGATGCCTCCAGCTTTGTTCTTTTTGCTTAGGATTGTCTTGGCTATACGGGCTCTTTTTCACTTCCATATGAAATTTAAAGTAGTTTTTTCTAATTCTGTGAAGAAAGTCAATGGTAGCTTGATGGGAATAGCATTAAATCTATAAATTACTTTGGGCAGTATGGTCATTTTCATGATATTGATTCGTCCTATCCATGAGCATGGAATGTTTTTCCATTTATTTGTGTCTCCTCTTATTTCCTGCAGCAGTAGTTTGTAGTTCTCCTGGAAGACGTCTTTCATATCCCTTGTAAGTTGTATTCCTAGGTATTTTATTCTCTTTGTAGCAATTGTGAATGGGAGTTCACTCATGATTTGGTTCTCTGTTTGTCTGTTATTGGTGTATAGGAATGTTTGTGATTTTTGCACATTGATTTTGTATCCTGAAACTTTGCTGAAGTTGCTTATCAGCTTAAGGAGTTTTTGGGCTCAGACAATGGGGTTTTCTAAATATACAATCATGTCATCTGCAAACAGAGATAATCTGACTTCCTTGCTTCCTATTTAAATACCTTTATTTGTTTCTCTTGCCTGATTGCACTGGCCAGAACTTCCAATGCTATGTTGAATAGGAGTGGTGAGAGAGGGCATCCTTGTCTTGTGCTGGTTTTTAAAGGGAATGCTTCCAGCTTTTGCACATTTGGTATGATATTGGCTGTGGGTTTGTCATAAATAGCACTTATTATTTTGAGATATGTTCTATCAATACCTAGTTTATTGAGAGTTTTTAGCATGAAGTGGTGTTGAATTTTGTCAAAGGCCTTCTCTGCATCTATTGAGACAATCAGGTGGTTTTTGTCATTGGTTGTGTTTATGTGATGGATTATGTTTATAGATTTGCATATGTTGAATGAGCCTTGCATTCCAGGGATGAAACCGACTTGATCGTGGTGGATAAACTTTTTGATGTGCTGCTGGATTCGGTTTGCCAGTGTTTTATTGAGGATTTTTGCATTGATGTTCATCAGGGATATCAGCCTGAAATTTTCTTTTTTTGTTGTGTCTCTGCCAGGCTTTGGTATCAGGATGATGCTGGCCTCATAAAAGAGAGTTAGGTAGGAGTCCCTCTTTTTCTGTTGTTTGGAATAGTTTCAGAAAGCATGTTACAAGCTCCTCTTTGTACCTCTGGTAGAATTGGACTGTGAATCCATCTGGTCCTGAGCTTTTTTAAATTGGTATGCTATTAATTACTGCCTCAATTTCAGAACTTGTTATTGGTCTATTCAGAGATTCGAATTCTTCCTGGTTTAGTCATGGGAGGGTGTATGTATGCAGGATGTTTTTTCTTCTAGATTTTCTAGTTTATTTGCATAGAGGTATTTATAGTATCCTCTGATGGCAATTTGTATTTCTGTGGGATCAGTAGTGATATCCCCTCTATCATTTTTTATTGTGTCTATTTGATTCTTCTTGTTTTCTTTATTAGTATGGCTAGCATCTATCTATTTTGTTAATCTTTTCAAAACCCAGCTCCTGGATTCATTGACTTTTTGAAGGATTTTTCATGTCTCTATCTCCTTCAGATCTGCTCTGATCTTAATTATTTATTGTCTTCTACCTTTTGAATTCATTTAACCTTGCTTCTCCAGTTCTTTTAGTTGTGATGCTAGATTGTCAATTTTAGAACTTTCCCGCTTTCTCCTGTGGGCATTTAGTGCTATAAATTTCCCTCTAAACACTGCTTTGGCTGTGTCCCAGAGATTCTGGTACATTTTGTCTTTTTTCTCATTGGTTTCAAAGAACTTATTTATTTCTGCCTTAATTTTGTTATTTACCCGGTAGTTATTCAGGAGCAGCTTGTTCAGTTCCATTGGTTGTGCGGTTTTGAGTGAGTTTCTTAATCTTGATTTCTAATTTGATTGCACTGTGGTCTGAGAGAGTGTTTATTATTATTTCCATTTTTTGCATTTGCTGAGGAGTGTTTTCCTTCCAATTATGTGGTCAATTTTAGAGTAAGTGCAATGTGGTGCTGAGAAGAATGTATATTCTGTTGATTTTGGGTGGAGAGTTCTGTCGATGTTTATTAGGTCCACTTGGTCCAGAGCTGAGCTTGAGTCCTGAATATCCTTGTTAATTTTCTGTCTCATGGATCTGTCTAATATTGACAGTGGGGTGTAAATATCTCCCACTATTATTGTGTAGGAGTCTAAGTCTCTTTGTAGGTATCTAAGAACTTGCTTTATGAATCTGGGTGCTCCTGTATTAGGTGTATATATATTTAAGATAATTAGCTCTTATTGCATTGATAGATGGATTTTTTTCCCCTTCAAATATAACTTGTTCCAGTCAACCTGAATTTCTGCTTTCCTTCTTATGCCCATGTTGTTCTAACTGGCCAGTGCAAACTCCTTTAGACATTCCTTTGTGTTTTCAGCACTACCTCAGGCATTTTTAAAACATCCTTGTTTTCCAGCAGTAACATTTTCTAGGCACATCTTGCTTTTTCTTGTTTTTTTTTTTTAGAACAGGATTGGTTCTAATGAAAAATATTATCAAGGATCAAAATCTAAGTCCTAGAGGAACAAAGCAACTTGTTCCACATCGATATTTTGGTTGGTGATGTGACTCCTCTGCTAGTGATTGGCCATGAACTGTCTTTCTTTGTTAAGGTCCTTTTTTAGTCTATGATGATATATAAAGTTTATATGGTTTAACTGTAGCATTGCTAAATCCTTTTATAGTACTTCTAATATAATAATGTATTTATTTTCCCCATAATATTTGTTTATACCTTTACCTCCTCATCCAAGTTGCAATTTTGCTGCTCTCCATAGTGTTGCCCACCAAGACTGCACTACAGTGATTACAATAAGACAACAAAATGGAAATAATTTCAATAACTACTATGAAAAAGTTACAATTATATTTTATTCTAGTGGTATAATTAGATAGCTCAAAAAGCAATAAGTTAAGAAAACTAGTAGGTTTAATATAGGAATTTGATAAGGTAGCTGAATATAAAGTTAACAGGCAGGAATTATTAGCTTTATCCTTACTGGCAAGAGCAAGCTAGAAATAGAAATGTGAAAATAGTCCATTTTCAATAGTGGCAAACCATGTGATAAAGGACTTATTTAAAGAAAACTTCAAAATTATATTATAACATATAAAACAAGATCTAAATAAAGTGCAAAGACATAATACAATTATAAATAGTAAATGTTATGGCTTTTCTATTTTTAACCTTTGAATTATAGGTGATATTTAACTTCATATGAAATAATATACAACTGAGTATAACTAAAATACATGAAAAAGAATAAGTATGGGTTTTCCTATTAGATATTAAATTATACTATCATTATACTGTACCAATCACAGTTTGTTGCCATAATGATGCATGAGACACCCTAAAACTCAGGGACTTATAGCAGCAAGCACTTCTTCTTCTAGGCATGTATTTGTAGGTTGCTAGAATCTCTTTGTTTCATGTTTCATATTATCTGAGCTTGGATCTGGGTTTCAGTCTGTTGTCAGATCTACTTCAAGTCTTTACATTCTTGGATCAGCAGCAATCAGGTCACGTTCTTCTCATGGTGGTTCACAGAAGGACAAAGATTTTGCCTTGAAACTAGTACTTCTGCCAATGTTCTCTTGGCCAAAAAGTTACATGCTCAGGCCCAACATCTTTGTATACACTGTCATTAATCTGCAACAACTCTCTAAATTTGAATAATGCTATCACCATTTTAAATTTGATAAAACATCCATAGAAAGATAAGTAATTTGCCCAAGATCTCATAGCTGGAGATCTGAACTGATGACAGACTCTCAGTTCTCTTTACTTCACCACACTGCCTTCCCCTAATTCTACTTGTTTTCGATATTGTCTCTGTCTTTTCTTCTAGAGAAGTTGTTCTCAGGCTATGTGACTATAAGAAATATTTTCTAACATCAAACAATATTTTCAGACCAGCATCAGATAGTAGTTATATTTTTGTCTTCATAATTACTGATAAAATATGTAATTAAAATACGTTCATGAATTCAATAAATCATAAATTAATTTTAAATTAATTCATATTTGATTATTCTTATGGAAGCTACAGGTATTTGAAAACTGTAGTGATAAATGCAAGCATATTTTCTTATCATTTGAAAATGCCTAGAATGCATATGGATCTGAAAATTCCTAAAGATAGTTTGGGGTCTCCCTGATAATCCACAATCTCAACTGGAAATTACTGTTCTGTAAGATGTTAACATCTGTTCTCCTAAGTTTTCAACCTCCAGTTTGCAAAGGCTGACTCTCACTTTAATCTTTATTAATATTTGACTTATTAATTTGTTCAGTTCTCATTCTCCTTTTGCATTCATTGTATGGTTACAGCAGCTAAGTAGTCTGCTCAAGACAATAAAACAGGTGATATTGGATCCAACTATCTGTGTTCGTGAGCACTTATTGGTCCTGGAGAAACCATTGAGCACAGTTGCTCTTACAGTTTTGTTTTTTTTTCTTCCCTCACCTCCCAACTTTGAGGCAACACTCAAACTACTATCTTCCACTTAGCCAACTTCTTAGCAATTTATTTCAGAAAAGTGTTATCTCTCTGTGCCTTTAGGCCCTGACTTATTTCCCTGGTCCATCCTATTTATTTACCACCATCTCTACCAGCTCAATCCTAATTATATAGGTGTCTGTTCTTTGTATAATCTGGGCTTTAGACAAAGGCAGGAAGTAGCAAGGGAGTTCTAACCTAGTGTTGGTTAAACTTTGGTATGGAATCATGCCTCCAGTTTGTTCTGTAATTCTAGCCCAATTGATCCCTTTTGGACTCTTGTTCAATGGACTTTCTATTATTTTCAGACTTTTCTTTTGAGTCATACAGTTTTCCTTTAGGAACCCGTGCGTGTAAGAAGACCTCATATCAGGGCTTCTAAACCCAAGTTCCACCACCTCCACTGTCATTTGGCTGTGTAAGCCAACTCACAATACTAGGAGTCTGCTTTTGTCCCCATTCTGATTAGGTTCCAGAAGCCAATCTATTTTCCCTTCTCTCACTATTCAGTCTCATATTCATACACACACAGCTGACCTGCCTTGCTTTGTGTTTGCCAGTCTCTTCTCCAGCTGCTGGGAAATAAGTTTCTAAGCTATATCTGCTTGTCAGGAAACTTGTGCTGCTGCCATTTTATCTTAGACTTCCATTCCATTTACCCAAATGATGAATGAAGAAATTCTAATAAAATAAATCAACACACAAAAGAAAAATGCTCTGGAAGTTGTCACAATCCTGGAAAATTGTTGGTTATAGTCTTGGAAAATCATACCTAATATCTCAATATGAGGGGGCCTCTCTGCAAAGCAGCAATTGTCAATAGTAGGTAAGAGTAGGATTTTTCCAACATAGCCTATATGGGTCAATGAAAAGAGATTGAAGAACAGTAGGTTCTTAAAAGACTTGTATCTAAGATGGGGAATTTATGAAGACTCAATCAATAAATCCAAGGTGGGGCCAAAAAAATAAATCCAAGTATGAACAAGCCATAAAAATCCAGGTTGTCAGATTCAAGGCAATCAGATAAAAAATGGAATTTAGGTATAAAGTCAGCATCTAAAAGCTAAGATAGTATATTAATGGGGGTCATGAGTAAATGAGCTGATGTGGGAAATTGTTAAGATTCATTTTATTTTATTTAATTTTTTGAGACAGAGTCTCGCTCTGCTGCCCAGGCTGGAGTGCAGTGGCACGATCTCCGTTCACTGCAAACTCTGCTTCCTGGGTTTAAGTGATACTCTTGCCCCAACCTCCAGAGTAGCTGGGGTTACGAGTGCCACCATGCCCAGCTAATTTTTGTATTTTTAATAGAGATGGGGCTTTGCCATGTTGCTCATGCTGTTCTTGAACTCCTGTTCTCAAATGATCTGCCCACTCTGGCCTCTCAAAATGCTGGGATCAAAAGTGTGAGCTACTACACCCAACTGGAAATGGTTAAGATTCTTATAGAGCCCAGATAGTGGACAGGTATGGCAGTGCTTCAATATGTTCAGTGGTCATGGATGAATGTATATGCACAGTAGCCAAAAAGTGTATTAGGAAATGCCAAGCTTGCCAATGTAGGTGCTACCAACACCTACCAACACCTGATCTGCTTTTGAGAGTGGATCCAGTGTCAGAAACTGTATTATGTCTGGTTGTGGGTAAATTGCTATGTTTCACTCCTAAATTCTGAGATATGATTTCAATTTTTTGACTGTAACCCATAGCAAGAAATATATTTTCTGTTCCTCCACCATATCTCTCTGTGCATTGTGTATGTGTGTGTGTGATGTGTATATCTATATCTATGTATCTATATAACAAAAACAAGTTTATCAAAATATTGCCATTTATATAAGAAATTATTGATATATTTACTTAATGAGCATTTTTTTCTTTTTATAAAATCTGATTGTGATTTGATAAATGACTTCAGTATTGACTAGTGGGAAAAGATCTTTAGGTTAAAAAACATCGGTGTATGACTTATTAGAAGTAAAGGAGACATATTTGTGCAGATGAAACTTCCTCTTTTCTTACTATTTATTGACAAATACCATTTCCAGAGCATCTTTCTTTTAAGTGTTGATTTCTTTTTTAGAATTTCTTTTATGGCTCAGATCTGAAACCTGTATTTTCTTTGGTGACTTATACTTTCAAATTTAAGATGTATATTTTATCTACTCAGTTATCAATGATTTTATATTTTCTGAATCATATGTTAACACTTCTAAGCCACTATTACAACTATTAAGAGTTGTAATTTTAACTTATAAATTATCAACTTCAAAACAACTGTTACTGCTTTAGATGTTTTAGGGAAATGTAGTAAACCTACTTCAATTCCATCATAGAGAATCTTACTTCCCTTAACTCACATTAACAATCTCTTTTGTAGGTAAATAAATGACAAACAAAATAATGGAGAATGATCTAACATCTGGCTGAATATTTGTTTACAAGTGCTCATTGATGGAGTTAATTCAAGCAAGGTTTCTAATGTTTTACCAGAAATATTTTTAGTTAGTACTAGTCAGAATAACTTAGTGCTAGTAAATTTATTGATTGAAGATATAGATAATATGCTAATTAAAGTATTAGCTGGGACAGAACTGGCAATAATTTATCATGTTTTTCATAACATGATTAATATTAAAATCTGATAAGTGGACTTAAAGCTTAAAAATTATGAATATAAAGTCCTACATTTAGGTTTAACCAATTAAAAGCCTAAATACAGAACTTATTGGTGGCTAGTTACAATATAATAGATAATGGCAGGCTACAACTCCTGTTATAACTGAAAAGAGAAAAAGCAGAGTATTCATAAAATTTATATTTTTGCAGACATAGGAGAGCTTAAGAAGAAAAGATAAAAGGGCTAAAAATATGGAGATGGAAAAGCTTTCTTTCATGAGCTTATGTCAAGATATATTATTTGTCATGCTTGGATATGGACGGTGGATGTGCTTGCCGTAGGGAGAGGATTCAACTAGAGGAGATAGAAACCAGCAGTTTCTGATGGCCACATTAGCTGGTATTGAGAGGTGAAGCTGGCTGGCCTTCTGGGTCAGGTGGGGACTTGGAGAACTTTTCTGTCTAGCTAGAGGATTGTAAATGCACCAATCAGCACTCTGTGTCTACCTAAAGGATTGTAAACGCACCAATCAGCATTCTGTAAAAATTCACCAATCAGCGCTCTGTGTCCAGCTAAAGGATTGTAAACACATCAATCAGCACTCTGTAAAATGGACCAATCAGCACTCTGTAAAACGGAGCAATCAGCACTCTGTAAAATGGACCAATCAGCGCTTTGTAAAATCGACCAATCAGCAGGATGTGGGCGGGGCCAAATAAGGGAATAAAAGCTGCCCACCTGAGCTTGCAGGGACAACTTGCTCCTGTCTGCTTCCACGTTGTGGTGGCTTTGTTGTTTTGCTCTTCACAATAAATCTTGCTGCTGTTCACTCTTTGGGTCCACACTACCTTTATGAGCTGTAACATTCACTGCAGAGGTCTGTGGCTTCACTACTGAAGTCAGCGAGACCATGAACCCACCTGGAGGAATAAACAACTCTGGATGTACCACCTTTAAGAGCTGTAACACTCACTGTGAAGGTCCGCAGCTTCACTCCTGAAGTCAGCGAGATCAAAAACCCACCAGAAGGTAGAAACTCTGGCACCATCTTTAAGAACTGTAGCACTCACCACAAGGGTCCGTGGCTTAATTCTTCAAGTCACTGAGACCAAGAACCCACAGGAAGGAATAAATGCCCAACACAGTATGAGAGACTGAAAAGTAGGGGGATGCCAAATTCATGACATGTTTTCTCTACAGGATATTTGTTGAGTGATAGGGTATTATAAGGATCATGGGGGACGAGAGAAGAGAGATAGAGTAGAATAAAATTTCCGAGAGCTTCATGATGCTTAGGAAGAAAATTCCCAATAGAGGGAGAAGCACGCCACAAACAGAAGTCAAATCTTTTTCTGTAACACTTGAAACTAGACGTGGAAAGATTTTAACTAAAAACAAAATGAAATAAAACAGCTTTGACTAAACTCAATTCCTGATAGAATTATTGTGGTCAGCCCCTCAACTCATCTGCCCAATGCAAGCAAAAGTAAACCCTCTTTTGGAGAAAATTATATCCCTATTTGATTTTTTTATTTATGATATCTAGTATATAATAAAAAATTAAAAGATATGCAAAGAAGCACAAAATATGTCCAATAATTAAGGAAAAATGTCCTAAATAGAAGTAGATATACACATATGTAAATATTCAGCTGACAAAGACTATAAAATGACTGGTATAAATAGGTTAAAGAAATAGAAGACAAAACTGACAAAAAGAGAGTTTTATTAAATAATTGAAAGCTATAAAAAGAGTCTTCTATAATTAAAATATTTAATACTTTAAATTTTAGCATCAGCTTGGGTAAGGCAAAAGACATGAGTATGGAACTTAAGAACCAGTCAATACAGTGTTCAAACTGAAGCACAGGGACAAAACAACTAAAAATCACAAAATACAAAGCATAAAAGTCATAAAGGATACAGACAGATAGACAATGTTTTCACACATATGTAGCTAGAGTATCATAAGAGATAAGAAAGAGAATGGCAGAGAGGCAATATGTGAAAAGATAATAGTTAAGAACTTTCCAAAATAGGTACAAGACATCAACCCACAGATCCAAGAATCACAGTAAACATGCCAGCAGGATACATGGAAAGAAAACTGCTGAAAACTTCATAATCAAACTGCTGCAAACCAAAAATAAATAGAAATTCTCAAAAACAGAGAAAAAAGTCACATTATCTTCACAAAGCAGTAATAAAACTTACATTTTTCCCCCACACAGTATGAAAGCCAAAAAATGACAGAATAACATCTTTATGGTGATGAAAAGGAATTAAACTAGGTATCCACAACAGAAAAAAACATTCAAAAATGTTTAGAAACATGGTAGATGGTTGATGATCTAGAAAAGCAGAGGGCATTTAGGACTTGCCTACCACTTGAAATTCTGGAGAAGGCTTCCTGTTAGGTATAGAACATGAAAACATACTGTGGTAGCCGAAGTGCAGTAGAAATGCAGTAGTGTTGTCATCAGGCAGAGAGATTGCCTGGGATAGCACTCATTTTTTCCTACAGCTTGTGTTTAGGAGGGTGGACATCCAGAAGTTCTGGTGTTTCTTCAGAATGAGGGGCATGGAGATTTATGCAGTGGACCAGAGAAACCTAGGGTTAAGCTATAGTAAGGTACAAATAGGGTTGCCACAGAAATCTCCACAATAACACACACCTGAGGAAGGAACAATAAATCATTGATGAACACACCACATCACACCACACATAACGAAAAGAACACTGAAGATTAGTGTGCACGTCAAAACCTCCCTTTGGTATATTACACCAATGAAGCCCTCTTTTTGTTGCAACCCATGACACCTTTCTCTTTGTATACATCATTCTATTTCCTCTCATGTACATTTTATCATGGTGGACCATTTTACATCTTTTAATCTTTTTCTTCAAATAGCTCATAATGCTCCTTCAATATTTATGATACACAGTCTTTCCCTTCTATCTCAATCTATGTTATTCATTTTACATACTGGTTTACATAAATATTTATCTGTATGAATGTGTTAGCTACAAAAGACTAGATAGTCTAAGTTCCATTGCAAATAGCCTCCACATGTCAGTTACTTTGAAAATCAAGTCTGTTTCTCAGTTATAGAAAATCTGTATCAGATCTAAGTTACTCCTAGGGCTTGTGCCCCCTATATAGTGACTCAGCAATCCTTGCTGCTGTAATTGTGTGGCTTTGTCTTCTCAAAATGAGGCTTCCTGCATGACTGCTTTAGCAGAGTGAATCGCTCAGGGCTTTTCACTGCCTCAGCTCACATTTCATTGGCCAGAACTAATCAAATGACCATATATAACTGCAAGGTGTTGAGATGAAAGGAAAGGAGAATGCATAGTGGTGACAACAATGATTCTCAGCATGTCTACATATGCATATCTCATTATTGTGCTTTTAAACTTAATCTCGTTAAATCACTCTGACATATAATTCACTTCATTCTTTAGGACTTTTTACAATAATCTCAGATTGGCTTGTTTGTTTGAAAAAAATATGAAAATATGAATTTGGTAAGTTTCACAAATGGGACTTACTACCACCTTTATTTTCCCAGCTCTTGTATCTTGTGTTCTTCCACTGAAGGCATTTGACTTACTATAGAAAATGGACAGTCATCTCCAGTATTATCGGACTCACCTTCTCCCTTTTCTGAGTCTTCTGTTTTTAGATGGTGCTCAAGCAAAAGGCTGTGCCACTATTGATCATTCCTATGTGTTCACTGAAGTATTTCTATATATGTATATAAATTTTTATACAAATATACAATAAATATAATAAATATATTATGTATATATATGAAGATACATATATCTGCAACAAATATGTATGGGGCACCTACTGAGTGTCATGTTCTAGTTATAAGTACAATATATTTTATATTATTGAGAAGACTGGGAAGGAAAATGGAAGGTTACAGTTTTAAATATGGTAGTCATGGAAGCCATCCCTGAGAAGTGACATCTGAAGAAAGTAAAGGAGTAAACAAGAGGGCTTTCTTGTGGGGAAGAAACATTTCAGGAGGCAGGAACAGCAAGTAGAAAGTCCCTGAGGTAGATTGTGTGTGCTTGATCTTCTCAAGGAACAATAAATGAGCAAATGTGACAGGAGCAGAATGAACACTATGTGTGTGTTAGGTGTAGGATGTGGAGAGTGAGGCCAAAGGCAAAGTTACAGGACCAATGGATTAGTATACCTGCTCCACAGTAACAGCACATTACACTGAGACAGCAGTGTTTGCAACAGAGAACCTTTAAAGATGACAGGCTGCCGAGCAAGCAGATGGAAGGAGACTCTCAAATCCATCTCCTTGAGGAATTCTGGGCTGGGATTTTTAAGAGGATCATGGTGGGTGAGGGTTTGGAAAATTATGGTTGTTGATTGGTTGGGGTAAGGGGAGTGAAATCATCAGGATATGGAAACTGTGTTCTTTGGTGAGTCAGTTTCTTGTGGGGTTTCTGAGACCAGCTGGCATTCGTGGGGTCCTTCAGACCAGCTGAGTCAGTACTTTCATCAATATTCAGGACCTGAAGGAATATCTCAAAAGGGAAGCTTAATGTTTCATAATGTTTAAGTTGTTATCTATAGAGTAGTTAAGGGTAATTGTAATTTAAGGTCTACCTGACTCTAGGCACCAGACAACTATGAGGAAGCAGGCCAGAGACCAGGCTGACCTTGTGATTAATGCTCAGTGTGCTGCAAGCTTGGTTTGTTTTTATTTTTTACCCTCCTCTTCCCCCTGATTAATTTTATAAAGTTCATAGGAGCAGCTTCAGAAACACAGGGCAGATACAGTAAGAGGCTTGTGTGAAATCATGATCATTGGCTTTTTCTAAGGGTTAGATAGAAACTCTGGAAGGTTTTGAAGTGACATAATGTGACTTAAATTTTAACAGGATCATTCTGACTTGTGTGGAAAATAGAACAGAATCCAGGACAGAAGCTGATTCAACAGTTAGAAAGCAATTGAAATAATAGTTGGATATGGTGGTGGTTTAGATCAACTATGAGTACTGGAGCTGGTAACTATTGAATTCTTCAATATTTGAAAGTAGGGCTGGTGAATATATTGATCTATGGATGTGGAGCATGAGAAACAGAAGGAATTTGGAGGAATTGGCCTGAATAATAAGAACAATGGAAAGACCATGTTGAGGGTAGGGAAGGGATTAGAAATTCAGTCTTGAGCTTGTTAACTTTGCGATGCCTATTACACAACCACTGAGAGGCAGTTGAATACAGGAGTTGGAATTCGTAGGAGAGGTCCTAACTGGAGATACGTATTTGGACACTGTCAGCATATGATTGATTTAAAAGTCATGATATTAGATCATTCTATAAGGGGATTATTTTAGATAGAAAATATACTATACTTACCCAAGACCTAGGTTTTGAAGCCACTTTAGTAGTCTTTAGTAGTGTTAAGAGGTCTAGGAGATAAAGAGGAACCAGCCAGGAGAAAAAGGAAAAGAAAGGGACTGTGTTGAAAAGAAGGTGCTTCAAAGAGGATACAGTGATAAACTTTGGCACATGTTGCTGATATGCAGGTTAAATAGGGACTGAAAGTTGACCATTAGCTTTAACTACCTGGAGGCCATTCATGATGATGAGAAGCAGGACCACAGTGGTTGTGCAGGTTATACCTTGTATGAAGATAACCAGCTAAATGGGTAAGTGGTGGTCATGTGCTCCCTGCGTCCTGCTACAGCTATTCAGAGAGCACAGCTATTTGTAATTCATCCATCCAGAGGAGGACAATTTTCTAATTTATACAGAGGCATAGTATCTGCTGTCTGAGGCCCTATGGACAATCTTTGATCCAAGTTTCCAGACCAAATCTTGTTTGGAGTAAGTTCAAAAAAGGGCAGGGGAGGAATTGAAGACACTAAGTAGGGACAATTCTAATCAATAAAGAATCGTAGCCAATAAACAGTACGCGAAAAATGAGTTGGTAAATGAAAAGGATGTGGAATAAAGGACATTTTATTATTATCATTGTGAAAATAGGAAATTTAATAATATATTTGAATACTGGTGGGAAAGATTCAGTGCAGAAGGGTGCTGTGTACTTGCTTCCTACAGATGTTTCTTGACTTATGATGGGGTTACATCTTGATAAACACAATGTAAATTGAAAATATCTTAAGTCAAAAATGTATGCAATACACCTCACCTGCCAAACATGATAGCTTAGCCTGGCCTAATTTAAATGTGCTCAGTACACTTGCATTGGCCTACGGTTAGGCAAATCATCTAACACGAAGTCTATTTTAATAAAGCACTGAATACTGTACACAGATGGACATTTTGTAGACATCATGGGATGGGAAAACACAAAAGACAATATCCAAAAACTGCTGTCAACAATGTATACTGTAGAATATCAGTTGTTTACTGTTGTCACTGATGGAACTGTGGTTCATTCTGCTCGTCAGACTCATGAGAGAGTATTGTACCACATGTCATTAGCCCAGGAAAAGATCTGAATTCAAAATTTGAGGTACAATTACAACTAAATGTACATCACTTTTGCACCACTGTAAAGCTGAAAAACCTAAGTCAAACCATCATTAGTTGAGGGTCCTCTGTACTGGATACTTTATATCTTATCTCAACTGCTACTTGGAAAGGTAAGAAAAAAAGAGCAGAAAGATTAAAACCATATCCAAGGCTACACACTTGTTTGTACACTGCTGTATTCCCTGTGCCTAGAAAATGCCCAGCACATAGTAGGCAGTCAATTAATATTTGGTGATATGAACTAAGATTTGAACTCACATAATTTAATTCCCAATCCTGAACCTTTAACTGTTGGACATTGGTACTCTTTTCATAAATGTCTATCTATGTAGCAGCAGTTTATCTGCATTTCTTTTGTCAAGAGATGGAGGAGAGGGCACATTTATTCACAAGACTAATCCCCTGAGGACCAGGAACATGCTTATTCATGTCTGGATGTAGCCTAATACAATGTCTAGCACAATTTAAGTATTCAATATAGATCAAGGATTTGTACATTTCAAAGCCACTTGATTGTGTGAGATGTATTTACATTTATTTTCATTCAATAAATTTAAATTTAAAATATTTTTAAAATGCTGATGTTTTAGTGATTATAAATAATAATGTTCATTATAGAAAATGTAGAAAAGTAGTAAAGCAGTTTAGCTGTAATCTTTTTTTTTTTTTTTTTTTTTTGAGACAGAGTCTCGCTCAATCGCCCAGGCTGGAGTGCAGTGGCGCGATCTCGGCTCACTGCAAGCTCCGCCTCCCGGGTTCACGCCATTCTCCTGCCTCAGCCTCCGGAGTAGCTGGGACCACAGGCACCCACCACCACGCCCGGCTAAATTTTTTTTTGTATTTTTAGTAGAGACGGGGTTTCACCGTGTTAGCCAGGATGGTCTCCATCTCCTGACCTTGTGATCTGCCCGCCTCGGCCTCCCAAAGCGCTGGGATTACAGGCGTGAGCCACCGCGCCCGGCCACGCTAATCTTATTGTTAAGAGAAAATCATTTTCAATCAATTTGGTGCATCTTCTTTCACCCAATAATTTTAACTTCATTGTTCTGGAAGTCATTGCAAAAATAGTGATATTGCTTTTGCACATACAAGGTGCGTTATCTTACTTAAACTTCACAACCAATCTATGAAGAAGGAATTAGTGTTGCAGTGTTTCATAAATAAGAAAAATGAGGTTCAGAGACATTGAGCCACTTGCTCAAGGCTGCAGGTACAGTGATATTAATGCCCTGTAATTCACCCCTCTGATTTCAAGTGCTGTTAAATCTAATTTTCTCTCAGACTGATAAGGGTTTGTTCCACTTTTAAGTGTCTGTCACACGCCCTTTCACAATAAAACATTCTTCTTGAAAGCCTTCATTGATTGAGCCCCTTGAAGATTCAGGGACTTGCTTTGCCTCTGCTCTCTGATTTAAGCAGTCTCCTTTGTAAACATGGGCCTGTCGCCCTCTTTCACATTTCTCAAGGAAAAAATGCTTAATTTGGATTCTCTATTTATTTTATTAATATTTTTTCTTTCACAGAACCTGATACAAATTCTTGACACAATGGAAGTACTAAAAAAAATAATGGTCTCATTTGGTAAATTAATTCATGCCTGGAGCTTAATCTTCATGCTGCATTTTGAGTCTACTTACTCTCTTTCTGCCATTGGGGGTCAGCGTAGGGTGAGGTAAAACAGAGAGAAAGAATTTTTGAGGAGCTCCCTTTCTGTTGAACGACGTCTTTTAAGGTTTTATAGGAAAAAATAAACAGCACTTTGAAGGCAGAAAGCAGAAGGCAGAGGTAGAGACTGTTGTTAGGCATGGCTTGGGCATTTAATGCATTGTGTGGATAATGACAATGGTCAGTTGTTAGCAGCATCAGTGGTTCTTGCATTGGACCATTGTTAGGCTTATTTGCTGTAAGTGATCCCTGCTGTGTTAAAAAGGCAAATAAATATCCCAGTTTCATTTTAATATTATTTTTGCTAGGGAAGAGAGAATCATTTTTTGAGATACCCAGCTTTTGCACAGCCTGCCACAGTTACTATTACCATCATTTGTTACACTGGCTTTAAAAAACAAAACAAAAAATTCCTATATTCAGTGTGTCTCTTCAGAACCTATTTTATTTTTAACATTCAGTTATGGCTCTTTGCTGATCTTTTGTACTGCTGCTGTGTTGGCATTAGCTTTGCTATTTATGATTTCTGCATTTCCATTATGATGCTTACATGTTCTGTATTTCACTGCAAAAAAATATATATTTGACCTGTTCTAAAAACCCTGCTCATTTAAATCCAAATCTTTCTGTGGCTGTTTTTGCATGTGTCTTCCAAATCTTGGTGACCAAATCCAGACCCAGGAAGGGAAGAGTTTCCACCTCATTTTAGTCTATTAAAGCGGAGTGTTCAGCATGCCTTCTCAGGTCTCCAAAAGGGCAGCAATCAATTTTGGGGAAATACTAAACCATTTTTCACTTTTATGAACCACTGAAATCTATTTGCATATTAGGTGAAATCACTGGAGTACATTCCTGCCCCATTTTGTGTATGTCTTCAGATTGTCCAGCTGTGATCATGTGTACGTTGGGGAATACATATACTCCTCTGCCTAAAGCAAAAGACCAATGTCTTTATTAAGCATAAAGATCAGGGTTCAAAGCTCAGCTCCACTACTTACTAACTTGGACTTCTGTTGTAGAGAGAAAACGTTCATGTTTCTGCATTGCTTTGACTTCACATGGAGCCCTTTCTTCTTTTACTGCAGGCTCCCGCATTGCAGTCTTTCTACCTGGGACCACTGTCTACACATTGACTCCCTCTCTGCTAGAGGGTAATGATGGGATGATATGGTAAGTTCTACTCTTTCCTGCCATTGCTTGTCACACCTAAAAACCAATATATATTCTTATTAATTTCAAGTACTTTTTTGTGCACAGATATGTTTGTACTAGGCCAGTGGTTTTCAACCAGGTTGATTTTTGCTCACAAGGAGACATTGGCAATTTTTGATTGTCACGCTGAGGTAAAGGAGGTAATACTTAGAGATAGAAGCCAAGGATGCTACATGCAACAAGACACAGGAGAGCCCCTCACAAGAATTATCTGGTCCAAAATGTCAGTAGTGCCAAGGTTAAGAAATTCTGTGCTGAGCACTGAATATAAAAATTATATGAAGCATAGACATTTCATCAAATAAAGCACAAAAACAGATTTTATAGGTGATAGAGCATATAAGACAATACTGACAAAGATACAGAGGACATAAAATACATTATACTAAGACTGGAGTGGGAAAAGATGTCAGAAAATTTTCACTGAAGAGAATGCTTTGTCTGAGACTAGAAGAATGACCGGAAATTTTCCTTGGTGAGCAGGAATGGAATAAAGAGTGCATTGTAGGCCAAAGAAGTGAATGAAGCAAACGCTGGAAGGCAGGTGAGCAAATCAAATTTTGAGAACAATGTAGGGAGAAGGCATGGCATGAGCGGCTATGGGAAATCCTGTCATGGGAGGACATCATATACAATTTTAAGTCATTGCTACCTTTTCAAGAAAGAATACTTTGCAGCAATGTGGGGGAGGGGGTCTAAATTGAATATTTGGAGATTGGAGCCAGGAATCCAATTAAGAAGTTATTTCAATAGCCCGGTAAGAAATGATGGGGCTGGAGAGAACCTGTGCTGAACTGTCAGCTAATGGATGAACATGATGAACATCCAAGGGCATGGAAATTTTCTTTGAAACCCTCTCCTCCACAGACTAATCTAGAAATTAACTAGATCATTTTCTTTTGGGTCAAAGAAATAGTTACTAGAAGGAGGCTGTAAAGCATGCAGTGAAGGGACAGTTTGCTCTTGTTCAGCTGATTGTACTATTTCTCTTTAAACTAGAACTGTGAATCCAAAAGTTTATTATGGCTCTTTGTTCATCATATTCTGAATTGACTTCCCAGCTTTTGGCAAGGGGGTTGAGTGAATGATGGTGTCATTCAATGAGAAAGGAAGTGAATGCAGACAAGGGGCAGTTGTGGGGGAAGACGGTGTGTTCACTGGAAACGTTTCTGTGGGACATTTAGGGAGAGATACTGTTGGGCACACAGAGAGAGACTGTGTCAGTGATATTAGATTTGGAAACCACAATCTAAGAGGTAATAAATGAATGCAAGATCAAGCAAGAAAAATATATATGGCAATATAAGAAACTAATTTAAGATAGACTACTGAATAGTGGCTATTTTGGGGCCAGAAGAATCAGAACTGCCATTGAAGAACATGGAGAAAGGTGGTAAAGAAAGAAAAGAGTGGTATATTAGTCCGTTCTCACGCTGTGTAAAGAATACTACCTGATACTGGGTAATTATAAAGGAAAGAGGTTTAATTGACTCACAGTTCTGCATGGCTGAGGAGTTTTCAAGAAACTTATAAACCTGATGGAAGGTGAAGGGGAAGCAGGCACCTTCTTCATAAGGTGGCAGGAGGGAGTGCCCAAGCAGGTGAAATGCCAGGTGCTTATAAAACCACCAGATCTCATGAGAATTCAGTATCCTGAGAACAGCGTGGGGGAAACTGCCCCCATAATCCAATCACCTCCCACTAGGTCTCTCCCTCAACACTTGGGGGTTAAAATTCAAGATGAGATTTAGGTGGTGACACAAAGCCTAACCATATTAAGTGGTAGCAAGGAAATAAAAAGAGATGAATCTTTTAACCTTTGCTTATGCCAGGGAAGTGAATTTTGGGTGGGAGAGATTATTAAATTTTTAATATATTTCTATACTCTGACTTGCTATAATAAGTACGTACTAAAAAGATATGCTCTAACTTTATCAGAGTATAACTTACATAAAATGTATCCTTTCAAGTGAATAATTTGATGCTCTTTGACAATTTTTTTCACCCATGTAATCTCACTCTAATCAAAACATAAACTATTCTGTCATCCTAAAAAGTTCACTTGTGATTCATTGAAATAAGGGCTCCTGGCTGAATTTCCTGGGAGTTTGTCCTACAGGTTTTAGACTTAACCCACAACCACATGAGCCAATTCCTTAAAAAATAAATGTCTTTGTATATAATATAAATATAATTGTAAGTTTGCTTGTCTTTTCAACTCTGTTATTAGTTATATACACATTTAGAATTGTTATGTTTGATGAATCAATATTTCTGTTAAGAAATGTTCTTCTTTTATAGTATTTCTTTTCCTGAATTCTAATTAGTCTGCTAATAACATAGCTACATCTACCTTATGATTAATGTTTGGATGGTATATCTTTTTATATTCCTTTATATTTAACATATTTTGTTTCTTTATAGTTCCATGTAATTCTTTTAGACAGTTGAATTAGGGTTCTCTTAGAGGGACTGAACTAACAGCGTGTGTGTGTGTGTGTGTGTGTGTGTATATATATATGTAGTATGTGTATGTATCTATATAGTGTGTATATGTATACACTATTAGTGTGTGTATATATAGTATATATATATACTATTAGCATGTGTGTATATGTATATACACTACTAGTATATATATATATATATTAGTATAAACTCCCATATATATGGGAGTTTATTAAGTATTAACTTACATGATCACAAGGTCCCACAATAGGCTGTCTGCAAGCTGAGGAGCAAGGAGAGCCAGTCTAAATCCCCAAACTGAAGAATTTGAAATCCAGTGTTCAAGGGCAGGAAACAACCAGCATGAGAGAAAGATGTAAGCTGGGAGGCTAGGCCAGTCTCTCTCCCTTTCATGTTTTTCTGCCTACTTTATATTCGCTGGAAGCTGATTAGATTTTGCCCACCAGATTAAGGGTGGATTTGCCTTCCCCAGACCTTTGACTCAAATGTTAATCTCTTTTTGCAACACCCACACAGACACACCCAGGATTAATACTTTGTATCCCTCAATGCAATCAAGTTGCCACTCAGTACTAAGCATCACAGCAGTATAGAGTTGCATGTTTCATTTTTTTAAATCGAATCTGATACTCTCTGCCTTTGAACTGGGATATGTAGACAATAACAGTCAATCATATGATTATTGATATGGCTAGGTTTACATCTACCATTTTGCTATTTATTTTAAATTTGTTCCATCTGCTCTTTGTCCTTCATTTCTGTTTTCTTTTGGAATAATTGAGTATTTTAAAATATAATTTTATCTGCTTTGTTGAGTTATTAACTATGACAATATTTTTTATTTTGTTATCGTAGTGATTGCTTTAGGGTTCCTGGTATACATCTTTAACTTAACACAGCTTACCTTCAAGTGGTGTTATACAATTTCATGTACAGTATACGATCTTTACACTAGCACACTTTCATTTTCCTTCTCCCAGCCACTGTGCTACTGTTCTCATTTATTTTACTTTTATGTAGGTTATACATACAATACTACATTGTGACTATTATCTAAACAGGGAATTATCTTTTAAAGATCTATCTATCTATCTATCTATCATCTATCATCTATCTGTCTATATTTATTTATTTATTTATTTATTCTTCCCAACTTTTATTTTAGGTTCAGGGGGTATATGTGCAAGTTTCTTACCTGGGTAAATTACATGTTGTGGGGGTTTGGTATACAGATTATTTTATCACTCAGGTAACAAGCGTAATAGCCAATAGGTAGTTTTTTAATCCTCACCCTTCTCCCACCCTCCACCCTCAAATAGGCCCCAGTGGCTATTGTTGCCATTTTTGTGTCTGTGTGTATTTAATGTTTAGCTCCCCCTTATACGTGAGAACATGCAGTATTTGGTTTTCTGTTCTTGTGTTAATTTGCTTAGGAAAATGGCCTCCAGCTCCATCCACATTGCTGCAAAGGCATAATTTCATTCTTTTCTTATGGCTGTGTAGTATCACACAGTGCATATGTACCACATTTTCATTATCCAATCCAAAATTGATGGGCATCTGGGTTGATCCCATGTCTGTGCTATCATAGATAGTGCTGCAATGAACTGTGCGTGTGTCTTTATGGTAGAGCGATTTATATTCCTTTGGATATATACCCAGTAATGAGATTGCTAGGTTGAATGGGATTTCTGTTTTAAGTTATTTGAGAAATCTTCAAACTGCTTTGCACAGTAGCTGAACTAATTCACATTCTCACCAGCAGTGCATAAACATTCCGTTTTCTCCACAATCTTGCCAGTATCTGTTATATTTTTTGACATTTTAATAATAGCCATTCTGTGGGTGAAAATATTTGCAAACTATGCATCTGACAAAGGTCTAGTATCCAGCACATCTATAAAGAACTTAAACAAATTTACAAGAGAAAAACAAACAACTCTATGAAAAAGTGGGCAAAGGACATGAACAGACATTTCTCAAAAAGATACATATGGCCGACAAGCATATGAAAAAAGCAAAATATCACTGATTATTAGAGAAATGCTACCATATCACACCAGTCAGAATGGCTATTAGTAAAAGACAAGAAACAACAGATGCTGATGAGGTTGCAAAGAAAAAGAAACTCTTATACACGATTGGTGGGAATGTAAATTAGTTCAACCGTCATGGAAAGCAGTGTGGCAATTCCTCAAAGAGCTAAAAGCAGAACTACCATTCAAATAAGCAATCCCATTACCTATATTCCAGAGGAACATGAATCATTTTACTATAAAGATACATACACACAAAATGTTCATCGCAGCACTATCCACAATAGCAAAAACATGAAATCAACCTGAATGCCTATCAATGACAGATTGGATAAAGAAAATGTGGTACATATACACTGTGGAATACTATGAAGCCATAAAAAAGAACGAGATCTTGTCTTTTGCAGGAACATGGATAGAACTGGAGGCTATTATCTTTAGCAAACTAATGCAGGAACACAACACTAACTGCCGCATGTTCTCACTTAAGTGGGAGCTAAATAAGAACTTACGAACACAAAGAAGGAAACAACAGCCATTGGGGTCTACCTGAGAGTGAAGGAATGGAGGAGGGAGAGAAGCAGAAAAGATAACTGTTGGGTACCGGGCTTAATACCTGGGTGATGAAATAATCTGTACAACAAACCCCCATGACACAAGTTTACCTATGTAACAAACCTTCACAGGTACCCCCAAACCTAAAATAAAAGTTTGAAAAACAATAGCCATTCTGACTGGTGTGAGATGGTGTCTTATTTTGATTTTCATCTTCATTTCCCTGATTAGTGATGTTGAGCGTTTTTTCATATGTTTGTTGGCCACTTGTATGTCTTATTTTGCAAAGTCCCGGTTCATGTCCTTTGCCCACTTTTGAATGGGGTTATTTGTTTTTTGATTGATGAATTATTTAGGTTCCTTATAGATTCTGGATACTTGGCCTTTGTTGGTTACATAATTTGGGAATATTTTTTTCCCATTCTGTAGGTTGTCTGTTTACTCTGTTGATAGTTTGTTTTGCTGTGCAGAAGCTCTTTAGTTTAATTAGGTCCCATTTGTCAGCTTTTGTTTTTGTTGTGATTGCTTTTGGAGACTTTGTTATAAAATCTTTGCTGGGTCCTATGTTCAGAATGGTGTTTCCTAGTTGAACACTTTACCATTATGTAATGCCCTTCTTTGTCTTTTTTGATCATTATTGCTTTAAAGTCTGTTTTGTCTGAAATTAGATTAGCAATCCCTGCTCTTTTTTGTTTTCCATTTTGTGGGTAGATTTTTCTCTAACCCTTTACTTTGAGCATATGACCCATCTCACATGCATGCCACCCATAGGAGGCATGTTTGTATAGCATACAGTTGGGTTTTGCTTCTTTATTCAGCTTGCCACCCTGTATTTTAAGTGGGGTGTATGTCCAAGGTTAATATTGATATTTGTGGATTTGATCCTGTTATCATGTTTTACCAGGTTGCTATGCAGGCATGATTGTGTAGTTGCTTCATAGTGTCAATGGTCTATGTACTTAAGAGTTTTTGTGGTGGCTGGTAATGGTCTTTTGCTTCCATGTTTAGCACTCTCTGAAGGACCTCTTACAAAGCAGGTCTGGTGGTAATAAATTCTCTTAGCATTTGCTTCTCTGAAGAGGATTTTCTTTCTCCTTCACTTATGAAGCTCAGTTTGGCTGGATATAAAATTCATAATTGAAACTTCTTCCTTTTAAGAAGGCAAAATATAGGCCCCCAGTATCTTCTGGCCTGTAGAATTTCTGCTGAAATGTCCACTGTTAACCTAATAGGATTTGTTTTGTAAGTGACCTAACCTTTCTCTCTAGCTGCCTTTACTATTTTTTCTTATATGTCGTCCTTGGTGAATCTGATTACAATGTATTTTGAGGATAGTTGTCTTATATAATACCTCACAGGGGTTTTCTCAGTTTCCTGAATTTGAATGTTGACCTTTCTAGTAAGGTTGGAGACATTTTCATAATCAATATTGTCAAATATATTTCCCAAGTTGCTTGCTTGCTTTCTGCTTCTTTCAGGATGCCAATGAGTCATGGGTTTGTTCTCTTTACATAATCTCATATTTCTTGGAGATTTTGTTCATTATTTTTTCTTTATTTTTGTCTGACTCAATTGTTTTGAAGGACTGGTCTTCAAGCTCTGAGATTCTTTCCTCAGCTTGGTTTATTCTGCTATTAGTACTTCTGATTGTAATGTAAAATTCTTGTAGTGAGTTTTTCAGCTCTATCAAATTACTTCCTTCCTTCCTTCCTTTGTTCCTTCCTTCCTTCTTCCTTTTTTCCTCTCTCCCTCTCTCTCTCCCTCCTTCTCTACTTCTCTCCCTCCCTCTCTTCCTCCTTCTTTACTTCCCTCTCCTTCCTTCCTTTCTTTTTCTTCCTTCTTTCTTTCTCTCTTTTTCCTTTCTTTCTTTTCTTTTCTTTTTTCTTCTTTCATGTCTTTTTCTTCTTTCTTTTTCTTTCTTTTCTTCTTTCTTTCCTTCCTTCCTTCCTTTCTCTTTATTTTCTTTTTTCTTGTCTTTTCTTTTTTTCTCCTTCCTTTCTTCCTTCTTTCCTGCCTTCTTTTTTTTTTTTTTTGAGACAGAGTCTCTCTCTGTCAGCCAGGCTGAAGTGCAGTGACACAATCTCAGCTCACTGCAACATCCACCTCCTGGGTTCAAGAAATTCTCCTGCCTCAGCCTCCTGATTAGCTGGGACTACAAGCATGTGCCACCATGCCCAGTTACTTTTTGTAGTTTTAGTGGAGACAGGTTTTCGCCATGTTGGCCAGGCTGGTTTCAAACTCCTGACCTCAAGTGATCTGCCTGCCTCAGCCTCCCAAAGTGCTGGGATTACAGTCATGAGCCACTGTGCACAGCCTTCTTTCTTAAAATGGTTATTTTATCTTTCAGATCTTGTATTATTTGACTGGATTCCTTACATTCCTTGGATTGGGTTTTGACCCTCTGAATCTCAATGATCTCTTGTTGTTATCCAGATTCTGAATTCTATGTCTGTCATTTTAGCGATTTCAGTGTGATTAAGAACCATTGCTGGGAGTAGAATAGTTGTTTGGAGGTAAGAAGACTCTGGCTTTTTGAGTTGCCAAATTCTCGCACTGTTTTATTATGTATGTATGTATGTATGTATGTATGTATGTATGTATGTATGTATTTATTTATTTTTTCATATGTGTGGGCTGATGTTCCTTTAATCTTTGAAGGTGCTGTCCTTTGGATGGGGTTTTTTGCTTTTATATTCTTTGATGCCTTGAGATAGGAGAATAGAGTCTAGAGGCAGGGCAATTCACACTGCCTTTCTAGAACTAAATCAAAAGGAAAACCCCAACTTTCCATGCTCAAGTAACAAAAGGACCAGAGGCTATTCCTTTTCAATCCCCTCCCTGATTTTTCTGCATGGCAGATGAAAAATTGAAAGTATTCCCTCCCACAACCAATCAGATTGGTCATAGGCCTAGTCTTTATTTGCACAGGAATGTAAATTTGTAACTTCACTTCAGCCTCTGTTTGGCCCCCTCTTGCAAATCAGATGTTTGCATAGGGTGGAACTTTGTAACGTCACTTCAGCCTATGATTGATCACTTTCCATAACCAATCCGACTGGTTGTGGGCCACTCCTTCATTGACATAGGGTATAAACTAAGTACCCAATGGGAAATCTTTAGAGGGTATTTAAACCCCATAAAATTCTGTAACCAGGACTCTTGAGCCGCTTACTGGAGCCCACTCCCACTCTGTGGAGTGTACTTGCATTTCAATAAATCTCTGCTGTCATTACTTCATTTATTCCTTGCTTTGTGTGTTTTGTCCAATTCTTTGTTCAAAACACCAAGAACCTGGATGACTTGTAGTCCAAGGCCCTCCACTGATAACAGTTTGATGGTGGTATAGTTGGGTTCTGTCAACTGGCTTTGTTTCTGGATAATTTCAGGGGGCCAATGCTCAGTTCACCACTTCCAAGCTGCATGTTCTAACCCTGGGTGACTGATACCAGGCCCACGGCTTTGTTCTCTGGCCACTTGGGGTTAAGTGCCTGCTGTGCTGGAGGTCTTTTCAACCTGCTGAGGTCTTCCCAACCTTCTGGCAATCCCAATCTGATGGAGGATGCTGTAAAAAGCACTTATTTGGGGCAGTGTCAGCTGGGTCCACACACATGAGTGTGCATTAGGACAGCAAGGACTGAACATGTACATGCATGCCAGTGGCAGTAATGTGGCAAAGTGTGTGTGTGTGTGTGTTTGTGCATGTGTGCATGTGTTTGTGCATGTGTGTGTGGACCGGTGGTGGGATACTGCACGTAGGCCTGCAGGAGCAAGGCAGTGGCATCTATATGTGTGCACTCATCCTGATGCTTTTAAAGATATTTAAAGAGAAAAATCTTGTAGATTTATAGAAGAAAATCACATGGAACTATCATTTCCAGTCCCTTCATTTCTTTGTGTAGGTTTATATTTCTATAGGTTATTATGTACCTTTTGCATGAACACTTCCTTTAAAATTTCTTATAGTGCAAATCTGATGGTGATAAATTCTTTCAGATTTTATATTTCTGGAAAACTTTTTACTTTATTTTTATTTTAGGATATTTTTGCTGGATATAAAATTATAGATTGGTAGAATTTTTTTCTTTAATTTCAGTACCTTAAAAATTTAAAGTACTGACATTTCCTCCACTGTCTCTTTACTTGTATTGTTTCCAACAGGAAATCTGCTGTCATGGTCATTCATGACTCTATCTTTCTTTGTGTAATATACCTACCTTCTTCCCCTACACTGGCACTTTAAAAATATTCCATTACATCTGAGTCTTGAGCAATTTGGTTCTGATGCGTCTTAATACAGTTTTTATCATATTTCTTGTACTTGAGATTCATTGAGCTGTTTGGATCTATGGGTTGATAGTTTTTCTCAAATTTGGAAATATTTCAGCCATTCTTTCTTCCAATATTTTTTCTCTTCCTCCCTTTTAGAAATTTCAATAACACATATATTATGGCACTTGATGCTCTCTTACAGCTCATTGTTCATTTATACTTTGTTTAATCTGTGTTTTATTTTGAATATGTTCTATTACTATGTGTTCAAGTTCATCAGCCTTTTTTTTTGCAATGGCTAATCTTCCATTAATCTCATGGAGTGTAATTTTATCTCATATATTATCATTTTTATCTACAAAAGTTTAATTCTGATCTTTTTTATGGCTTTCATACTACCACTTGACTTTTTGGACATATATAATTGTTAAAATAACCATTTTAATATCATCTGCTAATTTGTGTCACATCTCTGTTGGTTTCTATTGAGTATTCTCTTCATTATGGGTTATGTTTTTCTTTTTTTTTTTTTTTTTGCATGCCTCATTTTGACTGGAAGTTGGTCATTGTGAATTATACATTATTAGTTGTTGAATAATGAGAGCTTTCAGTCTGCCTGACATGAATAGGCACTATTTTTAGCCCTCTCTGGGTGCCTTGCATTGTTGCCTCTAATTTTGGGGTGTTTTCTTTCCTAGCCTCAGGTAGTTTACTCATACATATGTACTAACTAGAACTCTACTGAATAGCTAAGCATGGTAATGGTCAAATTTTCAAATTCCTTGGTCCTTTCCAGGGGATTTAGAGGACTTTAAAACTATTTTCTGATATGGAATGATTACTGATACTTTAGATGATCAGGAAAAAGGCTCTGATGTCACTTCCTACCCCTTGTGTCACTTACATTCACTTATTTATATTGGGTGGAAAGATCTCTTTGAATAAAATAAATGTCTTAAACCTGATCACTAATGAATTTCAAGTGTATGCTCACATATCAAATAGACTGCTATAACTCTAATGAAGGCCTTTTCAGGAGAGAAAATAGGACCCTTGAGATAGATTTCATTATAAAGAGGAGTCAAATAGTGAGCCAGAAAAAGTGGGTTGAAGGGAGAAAGGCAGTAGTGATTCTGATATAGCTAGATGGCAGGTACCAGAAATCATTTAAATTCAGCCATACATGGGATGAGAAATGAGGCGGTGGTGGGGCATACCTGGGAGAAAATAGTTATACATATGTACAAGTTGAAAAAACTGAATTGAACTCAGAACACTCAGATATCTTTGTTGGAAACACATTGTAAAGAAATATAAAAGAGAGCTTCCAGACGGTCCCTCACCATATCATCTTTGCTCAGGTGAATGAGTGGACAGCTGTATTACAATAGCTCAGTAAGCAGCTTGATCAAGTAGCACTTTTTCATGTCAAATGGGCCTAAGAACTGCAAAGTGACCCAACAAGACTAGTGACAATGCTGGTGATGCCTTTGGCCACCATCTTGGTACAGTAGTGGGGAGCAGTGGTGACAGCAGCAGTGGTGCTAAAGTTTAAGGCAGTCTATCAGCTGAAAGCAGCAGCAAGACCAGACAGCTAGATGTGAGTGGCTGTGGGACTAACAGAGCCTAGGATGCAAAGTTTTACTAGCTGTAATAGTGAATAAAAGTTATTGATGGCCGCTACAAGGCTTTGTAGTTCTGTGGCCTAATTAAAGAGCTCACTCCCACCCCCACCTATACTCTAATCTGTTAAGTGTAATGCAGAACAAGGTTTCTTCTTCTCAGTTCTAAAGGCAATGATGAAGATTTCTGCAGGAATAGATTTAGGGGTAAAATTCCAGCCTTGAATGGCTCCATAATAGGACTGTGATGCCTGGGCTGCAGGATCACTACTAGGAAGTAGTTAAATTCAATGACCATCAACACAGATTTATGGATACATGTCAGAACTGTTGGAGATTCTCAGAAGTATTGGGGTAAGGAAGCTTTGTAAAAGATCCAAACCTCCTTCAGCAGCTAGGGGCACTGAAATTTGAATTCAGACATTAATGGCAGTACATCTATATTCACTGTAAAGTCCCCCAGCAAGCCTAATGGCAATGCTCAAGTATTGAGCTATATAGTTTAATTATATAATGAGATGCTTTAATAAGTTAGATAAATCTTGATTGAGGCCGGTTTTGTACAAGTCATTGTGATAGATCTCATAAATAATTAATGAGTTAATTCATGGTCCCATCTGAAACAAGTGTTCATAATTTTGTAGAAGGGAGTAGATGAGTGTAAAATATCCATAGTATAAGGTAGAATACAAAATGAAATCAATGTATTTGTTTTCCAAGGACTAACTATGTGCAGGCATTTAATTACATCCTTAGGATTTGGTTTCAACAAGGCAGGTGATGCGGGAAGTTCAAAGTCTTGAGGAGGAAGCTGTTTAATCTATTTCTTGATTCAAAATTGCTTTGGGGAGGAGGTAGGATCTGAGCCAGGACTTGAATGGTAGATAGTATTTTGAATAGCACAGATGAGGAAATGAGAGCATTTCAGGGAGAGGAAGTCATGAGAGCATGAAGTGGAAAAGTGTAGACATTTTGCAGGTTGAATAGATTACTGGGTTATACATAGGGGAGTTGTCAAAGGCAAGGCTAAAAAGGTAGGTTGAGGGACACAGTAAGGATTTCATTGACAATTAAAGGCAATAAAGCCATTGAGTATTTTGGAGCAGAGAAATAATAGGATTATCAGCCTCTGCATTATTTCCCTAGTTCCACAAGATTGTACCTACTGAACTTCCTCCTTGACAACAAACCCTGCCCAAGTTCTCAACAGCCTAAGTAAAAAGCAGGCAGTATTTAAACAGACTCAGCATTTTTATCTTTAAACCACTGGAATGAGGCATTGATCACCCTCTATGACCTCTGGAGTTACCTGTCATTCCCATTTTTATTTCTAATGCATCACATTGGGAAACTGATTATTCCTCTTGGAGTCTCTGGTGTTGTATATGGTCTGAATCCTGACTAGCTCACCATGCCCTTGAAACACTATGGACATTGTGATTTTTCCCAATAACTGTGGTGTCCTGTCTATGTTTTTGGTCATCCGTGTCATGCCAATTTATATTTTTCTTCCTCTTTTTCCTATTGTGTTTGGTAAAGAATCATTCATCTTTGGGTCAGATTCATAAAATGTAAAAATAAAGAATATTAATTTGGCATCAGTGTAAGGGTTGGTTTGATATGAAGAGTGATAGCTGGGAAAGTAATATGGAAATACAAGCAGAAGGTAAAAAGAGTCTGGGCCAGGCATGGTGGCTGATGCCTGTAATCCCAGCACTTTGGGATGCCAAGGCGGTGTGACTAACCTGGCCAATGTGGTGAAACCCCATTTCTACTAAAAATACAAAAATTAGCCAGGGCTGGTGGCACACACCTGCAATCCCAGCTGCTCAGGAGGCCGAGGCAGGAGAATAGCTTGAGTCTGGGAGGCAGAAGTTGCAGTGAGCTGAGATTGCACCATTGCACTCCAGCCTAGGTGACTGTGTTAGACTCAATAAATAAATAAATAAAGGTAATAAGGGTCTGAACTATGGCACCATCCAAAAGAAGAAAAAGATGGGAAGAAATAGCAAGTAATGAGAGTGGCACATAGAAGACGCTGTTGCTGAGTTAATAAAAAGAAATGAGAAGTATGTGGAGGGAGGGTGATTCAGGGTTTGGTAACAAAGTGTAGGGGATGGTGAGGGAGAAGTTACAAGTGACTTGGAGTTCTATACTTGGGCAACTAGAAGAGGAGTGATGTGATCAATCAGACCAAGTTCTACTCATTCAGAGATATGTAGCTCAGAAAAGAAATGAATTTTGAGAGTCATGTAATGGGGCTTGGCTTGAACCACTCTCGGCTCAAATAAGTGAGAAACTAAAGGGTGTACAATGGAACATATTGGGCTTGATAATAAAATTGTTTAAGCAAAAGAAAAGCCTGAAGGAATATGGGACTACATCTGTGAAGATGACAGGTAGCATATATAATAATTTGGGAATCTCAGATTTTTATGTTATAGCTAAAGCCAATGTGATCCTATTGGGTACCATGTTCACTATCTGGGTGATGGGATCATTATAGAAGCCCAACTCAGCATCACACAGTATGCCCTTATAACAGACTGCACATGTACTGCCTGAAGCTAAAATAAAAATAAAAATTTAAAAAAGAAAGATAATAAAAGGTCTGGGGGCAAAAAGCTGGGGCATGCCTGCTTTTAGTCATGTATATTACAGAAAGAGCTAGAAAAGTGGTCAGGATGAGTGGCAAGGACTCACTGGTTGAGTGAGAACAGGAAGAGGGAAGCATTCCCAATAAACACTTAATCTAAGTAAAGGCAGTGTGTTTGCTAAGCAGAGTAGTTTCAATTCGTTACTGGTTTCTCGGTGTGTCTTCTCCCCTGCCTTGGCCAGAATCTTCTAATACCTTCTTATACAGAAATTCTGTAGCCATCACTCTCTGGCTTCCACAATCCCCAAATAGTCAATTATATTTTAGATGACACAAAATTGCAATTTCAGTAGGCCAAAAATTATTGAACATTTGAAATTTTGTATGGTTCAACCTAATACTACAGTGGTTTTCCAATGAAGACACGCACAGGAGATCCTTCAGGCAAGTAAACGTTTTTGGTTATCAAACCTCACTTGGGTCGTCTATGCTGAAAAACTGAGCTGAACTACTTGTAGATTCTAAGAACTTGTTTTTCATGAGAGAACAAAGCACTGCCCTAGCTTAAGTGTGTCTTTAACTGGCTCCATTTTTTGCTGTCCATTACACACTGTCCTATATTTCAAGACATCATGCTTCTTGTCTTGAGCTCTCAGGTGGTCAGGGTTCTAGTGGTATGTGTGGCAAATGAGGGATCCATACAGGTTGAGTGTAGTGTAGACTGGACCTGGACGACCATCACTCCAGCTGGACCATCTCTGGGAAAATTATTGTTTGGAAAGAAAGGGAAATCTTCTCCAGATATAATAGAAAGAACTACCAGCCTAACACCTAAGTGCATGTGGGGGCTGGGTGATCTGCTCTGTTGACTTAGTTGGCTTAGATCCCAGACAACTTCTGAATGCTCAGACAATGACATTCAGGGAGCTGCAATGCTTCCTATAGATCATTCTGTGAAACAGAATGTAACAGCCTGCCCATCTTCCAAGATGTACCATAAGAGCAGTTCCCCTCTCTCTCTTTTCCTTTTCTGAGCCAGATAGCACCTCTTTCTAGATTGACAGGATAGCTTATCTTCTTTCTAATTTTGTAAGATATTTAGTAAGTACCCAGATACCTTCTTGTTTGTCTTCTCCATAACACTTCACCATTCCTCAGGTTCTTTTGCAACAGATCTTGTTGAACCTTTATAACCAAAGTTAACCAAAAAATAAATTTCTTTCTCCTTGAAGGAAAGCATCACTTAACTTTAAATTTAAACTTCTGCAGCAAAGGGAGGAAGGAAAAGTTAAATTTCCAATTCTGAACCATTTATAACCTGTCATAATAGGTTGTCTCTAAATGGTGGTATCATGTCTTCATAACTCTGTGAAAAAGAGTGGTTTGAGATGAGTTGTCTTGCACGCATGACAGCTGCATAGCTAGAAAAGTTTTTTTTATAAAGTCTTACTAAGCAAGGAACAAAAGGTTCCTTGCTTGTGGTAAGCTATGTTTATCATGTAAAGTTTGGAAAGATTCTGATCTGCTTATTGAAGGGATTTGTCATTTTTTTGTTGTTGCTTCTTTTGTCTGATTGACCATTAGTTGATGTCTTCTGAAATAAATGGAAATTTTCAAAATTACAGTACTTAAAAAAATTGCTGGGTATTTTTTACTGCAAAACTGACAAAATACAAGCCATTTTGTAAGTACTCATTCTCTAAAGAAATGTATGGGCCTGGGGATTTGGACTACAAGGGCTGACAGACAATTTTTTTCCATCTACCACCCTGAATTTAAATATACCTACCATGATGTGTTTCCTTAGATGGAGGAGAGAAAAAGTGGCATTTTATTTCTGGCCAATTATCTGAAAGAAAAGGCAGGATTTCTACAGAGGAAAATAATGTCTGCTTTGTACATTACGAAGAATGGAGATTTAAGCAGTTTAGCTATACTGCTTGTTGTCTTGGGGCAAAGGAAAGTAGATAGCTAAAGTTTTGTTGGAAAGGAAGGTGGCCCTTATATTTTTCTATTCCTTCTCTGACTCACTCATTCCTCTAAAATGCACACATACATGCTACCAGGCCACTTGTATGTTTCTCTCAGCCAGGTGGGAGGATTCAGTGCCTGTTATGGAGTAAATATTTGTGTCTTCCCTAAATTTCATATGTTGAAATTTCATATGGGGATGTAGATTTCAACATCCCCAATTTGATAGTATTGTGAGGAGAGACCTTTGAGAGGTAATTAAGCTATCAGGGTGGAGACCTCACAAATGGGATTAATGCTCTTATAAGAGGCCAGAGAGCTAACTTGCACTTTTCCTATTATGTGAGGATATGATTAGAAGCTGGTTAGTCTGCAACACAGAAGACAACTTTTACCAAGAACCCTACCGTGCTGGAACTCTAAACTCAGATGTTCGGCCTCCAGAACTCTTAGAAATAAATTTCTGTTGCTTATAAACCATCCAATCTATGGTAATTTGCTATAGCAACTTGAATTGACCTAGAGCCTTTTGTGGGAAGTCAGATATGCAGTGTTCATTACTATTAGCACAAGAAATGGATTCTAATCCACCCAGAGTGATCCTGATGGTAGCTGGCTGACTTCAGAGCAACTGGTCGTTGGGCAAAGGTGACCATCTGAAACCACTCAGATGCTTGCATGATGCTTGCTGTCTTTCTATCTGCCCTTGTTAGTCATGGTATTCACACTCTGAGGTTTTTCCCAGATATTCTCTGTGTGACTGAAAGTTATGCACCCTTTTTAAAATAACATTTCTGGTTTCTTCGTAGTCCTCAAATATTTCTTCCCTCAGGAGGAAGGGAGGAAAAGATGGAGTTGGAGACACCGAGGGAAGACAATTGAAGAAGACATGTCCACACCTGAAACTTAACCAAGCTTAGTGTCATTACTAAAACATCAATTAAGTTTCATAGCTGAAACAGGCCATAGGAATCCAATAAACCATATATATTAAGGCCATTGTATTAGTCTGCTTTCATACCACTATAAAGAACTGCCTAAGACTGAGTAATGTATAAAGGAAAGAGGTTTAATTGACTCACAGTTCGGCATGGCTGGGGAGGCCTCTGGAAACTTAGAGCCATGGCAGAAGGCAAAGGGGAACCAAGGCACCTTCTTCACAAGGCAGCAGGAAGGAGAAGTGCCAAGAGAAGGGGGAAGAGCCCCTTATAAAACCACCAGGTCTCATGAGAACTCACTCACTATCATCAGAACAGCATAGGGGAGACTGCTCCCATGATTCGGTTACCTCCAACTGGTCTCTTCCTTGACGTGGGGATTATGGGAATTGCAATTCAAAATGAGATTTGGGTAGGGACACAAAGTCTAGCCATATCAGCCAACAAGGGGACAGATTTCCGAAATAGATTTTTTCTGGAGGTAGGGGAGATCTGTGATCAATCAATAACCCATTTCTCATAAGAAAACTTTATTTTTTTTTTGAGATAGGGTCTCACTCTGCCACTTAGGCTGAAATGCAGTGGTGCACACACGGGCTCAGGTAATTCTCCCAACTCAGCCTCTGGAGTAGCTGGGAAAGCAGGTACATGCCACCATATTTTGTATTTTTTGTAGAGATAGGGTTTCACCATTTTGCCCAGGCTGGTCTCAAACTCCTGAACTCAAGCGATCTGTCTGGGATTACAAGCATGAACTCCTGTACCCAGCAGTTTTTTTTTCTTTTTAATACAAGCAAGTGGCTTTTTTTTTTTTTTTCTAACATTCACATATTCTCATGGGAAGCTGAATTCCAAGTATTTAACAATTATCTTCTGAGTTTACAAATGGACCTTCCTGAAAATCAACTAAATAATCCTTTAGAAGCCAAAAAAAGGAGAGGGTAGCAAAATGTAACTTTTTGTTGTAAAAAGTAGCTTCTGCCAAATTAAATGAATCTGCACAACTGGAGGTATGACCCTACTTAGGGGAGATATATTAGATTCATTCAGCTTGTGTCACAGCCATCAAGCAATAGCAACCTGGCAACATCTCTGCTGGTGCCTTACTTTGGCATACATCCTTCTGGAACCCCTAGAGGTCCTCTCTTCTCTATATGGACATTATTAATGTCAGAGCTAAACTTTAATCTTAAAATGAAGTGGACATTTCAGGTTGCTCATATAATCCTAATATTTATGGCTTCTCTCCTGTCTTGAAATTTTCTCTTTTAAACAGAATGTGGTATTTCTGTGTGTGTATGTGTGTGTTGGAGAAGGGAGAGGCAATAGCTGGGGAAAGTAGTCCCTTTCTTTGTTTCAGGATGTTGGTAGTCACTGGTTATTTATCTCTGAATACTGTGGTTCATGAGGAAGATTTTTAAAATAAGAAAAAAAAAATAGCACTTGAAGATGCTATAGAAAATTCCTAGTCTGCATAAAGCTGAACAAACCAAGGAAACCAGAGGTTAGGATTCTTGCCTAGTATCTTGCCTATTGTTCATTGCTGAGCCACTATGAAACAGCAGCCTGTTTTCTCCCAGAAATCTCAACGATTTTTTTTTAACTCTAGTATGCTACCTGAATAATGGTAAGAAAAATGAGAGCTGGCTGCACTACTGTGGATTAAATGATCTCAGGCAAAACACTTAGCTTCTCTGAGCTTACATTTGCATCCATAAGATGGAAATCATAGCAACTATCTTAATGATTTCTTGGCATTCTATCTTCATATTCTGTGAAGATGGAATGAGATGACGTGAGTGATGCTTTTTTGAAGAATTTATAATGCTTTGCAGATATTAGAATCTCTTGCTTCAATGAAACCTTCTTGTTTTCTGTATTTTGGAAGTAGGGTGGTGTCTGTGCTTAAGCTTTTGAAACAGACTCTGACAATATTGTGTAAGAAACACCAAAGTTGTATGTTGGTTCTAATTCATACTCCAGAGTGTTTGTGTAGGGGTAAAAGTCTCAATCCAGCCTTGCTACAGTGTGAAGATGGGCAATTACAATGGGGTGTGTCACTAAAAATAAAATTTTATCTAAAAATATAGAGTGAGGAAAACACAGGTCTCCATTTTTCTTGGCTAGATGAGGTGAGTGTTCTCCTGCCTGTGAGTTTTCTTAAAGCCATGTTTTTTAATGGCTATCCCTGCAGCAGCAGCCAGCTGTGACAGCAGACACCGACATGTTCCAGATGTGGAATGCTATGCAGAAGCACCAGAGGGCAAGTTTTACGCACCAGGGAAAGGGATGCAGTAAAATGATTTGAAAACATTTTAATTTATTCACCTTTACCTTGAGCATTCCAAAATGCAGGGTTCTCTACTTGCATATAGAGTCAAAATCCAGCAACAGACTATAACCCTCAAATTCTAAATCAATATGGCGATACGCAATACAATAGCTTCCCCACATCCCTGGGTGTACTTTTTGCAGTTTCTTTCAGCTACCACTGTCAATTGTGGTCCAAAGATAGGGGAGTACAGTAAAATAAGATATTTTAAGAGAGAGAAGGAGACCACGTTCACATAACTTTTATTACAGCACATTGTTATAATTGTTCTGTTTTATTATTTTTGTTGTTAATCACTTACTGTGCCTAATTTAATAATTAATTATTTTTTTTTTGAGACAGGGTCTCACTCTGTCACCCAGGCTAGAGTGCAGTGGTGTGATCTCGGCTCACTACAACCTCCACCTCCCAGCTGTGCCTAATTTATAAATTAAATTTTATCATTTGTATGCATGTAAAGGAAAATGCATACTGTATATAGGGTTCAGTACTGTCTGTGGTTTTAGGCACTCACCAGGGGTCTTGGAACATATGCCCCGAGGATCAGGGAGAATTACTATACAAGCAAAAGGAGGAGGAGAAGGGAATCTTTCCAGCAATCATCTTTTATACTTTTCACAGCAACTATCTCATACGAAAGTCTTGTGATATGTGCTATTTGTTTACATCTAAACAAGCAGTATGGCATTCCATCTATGAAATGCTTTAGTGAATTATAAACAAGGAAGGAATAGAAAGGCCAGTGGAGTTCTATTGTGGCCATCAGATAATATGTAAAATATTTGCATATATTGGCTCTATTAGAAAGTCTCAAATATGGAAGATTATTTGGAGGAGGTGAATACTATGTGTTATAAGAAAACATTCAGGAAAACAGTGGAGGGGGAAGCAATACCATTAAAAAGAAATAGAATCAGGAAAACAATATTACCGTGTTCTTCTTCCTAAATTTAGACTACCATAGCTGAATATGAACAGAAAACAGAAAAGATGGTATGCAGAAGGCAGGCGTTTGTCCTAATATCCTGGTGCATTCGATATAAGAAAGCACCAGCTACATGCCATAAGATCTAATTACCAAGAATTGCCTTTCATGCCCCACAGCAATCATTTTGATGACAGGCTTCTCTGCACTGTAAAACAAAATGGGGATTCTGTGCTGTATAAACTGCCTCAGCGCTTCCTTTCCTTCCTCTGCTATCGGCCTCCCCATCTCATTTATTTTCCACACATTAATGGTAGCAGTCACCTTGAGCTGGTGATGCAGAGTAATTTTCACAGAAACCTTGATCAGAAACCATAAATCAGCCTGATGTGCTTTTATGGTCTAATAACATTCAGGTTGCTCCTACAGGCCTGTATGTAAAACTGCATTGCAGTGAATCCTTTGAGTTTTTTTTCTTTTTCTCTCTGGCTGTGCTCTTACTCTCCTTCTCATGCACACTCTCTCTCTCTCCTTCCCTCTCTTCTCTTCTCACCATCTCTCTAGGCACATATGTATGCATGTTCACCTACGTCACATGGATACAGTTCATTTTAACAAAACCACACTAAAATGGCATTATACATGCTCCCTCACGGTGGCAGGGGTGTCACATTCTTTCAGGAGGATAAAATGATGCATTTGTTAGAGTCTCAGTGGTTTGTCGTAACAAATGAACTGTCTCTGACCAAAAACTAAAATGATATAACTGTTTTAGGCACCGTTGAGTCTGTCAAATGATTCAATTATTTTTCCTTGTTAGGACAATTGCATGCTGCATACATATTGGCCCTTTCCCTATTCCTCAGAGCTACACTGTGGCTTGGTTGACTTCAGGCTGAGTTGAATCTGACTCTGGCCTATGATCTGCAGCGCCACAGACCACCTGATGGTCTTGCACTCCCACTCTACTCCCTTGGAGAATGAAGCAATATAGTATGGAAAGGGATTTAGTGGAGTGGCAGGAAGCAGATGGATGGCTTTGAGGTGAGGGGAGGAGTGAAGACTGGGTAAATGTGTCAGGGAAGCAGTGATGAGAGCAGTGGGGTTGACAGCTTAGCAGAGACTGTTGAGATGAGGTGCTGAGCCTGTCACTGGGGACAGCAATGCTGGGGCTTGTGAGGAAGCCCTGGTGTCTAATTGTACTGGTGTAGGACTAGGGGTGGAATCAGCACATGTATCTGAGTTAACCATATTGATCATCCACCCCAGCCTGCCCCAACAATCTAAACAGATCCATGCACATCAGCTCAAGAGCTAACAACAGAAAATGCAAAGCAGCTCAGGCCCAATCCATACCACGTTTACCTACCTGTGACCCTGCCAGCTAGACATCCCCTAGGTGGATGCCCTGCCTGGAGCATGCAGCAACTTATATTTAGAATAAATACCTTGCATCCATGTTCTGTATAGAATAGAAGTACCTGCAACAGAAGACAGGGTCACTCCTGCATTGCTGTTTGGTAAATTAGTGCAAGAAATTAACAAAGATCATTTGACTCAATATTGGAGAATGTTTAGTTTGGCTTTGGAAGTGAGAAAAGCTGGTAACAATTTCTGATATTTCATGGTAGACCTACATAAATTCCAACATTCTTAACCGGTGCTTCATGAATATACCAAGGGAAAAAAGTACCCTGGGGCATTAATCAAACTTTCCAAGATACTACTCCTTGCTCAGTTAAAAGATACATGTCCAATTATTTATACATATATTTATTTTTTTGTCTACTAACATTGCTTGTGTGTGTGTGTACACACACTCATTTGGTGTAATAATATAGCAAGCATTTGTGAGGATACTCAAAAGGCCAATGTAAGGATAATTGCAGAGCACGGATCTTGGCTTCATCTGTAGGGCTCTTTGTTTGCAACTGTAGATCATGATGTCTAACTCCCTCGCTCACATGCAAAGGTGCTCAGTCTCGGCAGCAGTAGCCACAGTCTCATTTGTTAGAATTCATTTCCTGTAGTTAGAAAGTTTTTTCATCACCAATATCTCAGGGAGCTTCTACCAGTCCTGTACCCTGAATCTGCAGTAACAGCTCAGTGTTGAATTTTCAGAAATTGACAGGGAATTTCTCCTTTTGCGATAGCCTGGGCTTTTCAGTATTGCAGTAGCAAAGACTACATGTGAAAAGGAAATGGGGGTGAGCAAAATTCCTTTCTCTCCATAGTGTCCACTGCCCTTCGATTCACAGCCCAGCATTTGTTGTCTGTTTAGGAACTATTTCTAAACCCTCCTAGCTGGAGGCAATGTACACCAGACCAGTGGGATGGGAGCAATAAAGAAGAAATGCAGTAAAGAACAAATTCTTTTCAGATTAGCTGATTGGCAGTTGTGAATAATGCAGCTCCAGCACTAAAGCAAGAAAGAGCAGCCTCAACCTTGGCACTCATTATTTAGCTGTAAGCCTTTTTTGCTAGGAACATTTTTCTCTTTCAAGTCTTAAACTAGGTTAACTCCTTATGATCCAGCTATTCGTCCAAAAAAGTGAACTCTAAAGACCCTTTGTTGAAACTTCCAAGTCCTGGATGTGAATTGATAGCAAGAAACCACGGCATCCTCAAGCAACTTTCTTACCTGCACTGAAATTATGACAGAAAAAACTTACCCAGTGAGTTAAATAGCATGCGTTCTACATCAGACCTGACAGGCATTAAAAAAAAAAAAAATCAGGCACATATGTAGTTTATATGTATGGCTACATAAAGAATTCAGGCCATTAAAAAGCGGGAAGGGAAAATGTGAAATGATCATTTGGTGATTCTAAAGCTCTCTCCATTCTTGGCAGTTATGAGAACACAGTCAATCAGAAAGACTTTCTTAAATCCTCTGGCCTAGATCAGATTAATAATAGGCTGGATTTATTTCAAATTGTTATAAAATAAACTAAACAGAAATTATCCTTTTTTATTATTCTTATGATTCAGCAATATGTTTGTGTTATTGTTAATTGTAAATGTTGACTATGACATTTATTGAGAGACAGGAATTTTTTAAAATCATTTGTCTCTTCACATATTTTCCTTGTTTTATTGAAATATTTCTTTAGATATTTTAAACCAAATATTTTTAAGTCCCAAAGATTATAATCTTTAAATATTGCTGCTATTTCTTATTATAAAAATCAATACATTTTTAAATAAAATACTAAATGGCTAAATATAGAATTTGTCTGAAAAATTTGCTCTGTCAGACCCTATGATTGTCAAAAATAAGTGATTAACTAGTTTCAGCGCTATTAGTGGCAGTATTTGGGGAAGGAATTAATGGGTCCTTAGTGGCATAACCCCTTCTACTGTTCATTTTCTTTCTTGCATCCTAGGTTGTGAATCTTTATGAGAAGGAATACTGTTTCAGTCATCTGCACAATCACCTCAACCTTTCTTAAAACTTGACTCATATTTGGTGATCAATATGCAAGTTTTGAATAAGCATACACATAAATAATATAGAACAGGTGATTAACAGCCTGGGTAATATACTATGTATTCTTAAAATATGCTGATTTTCTTAATTATACAATAATATATTTCTAGATATCTTTATACTAACGGCCATTTGAAAAAAAAATTAATCTTTTCCAAAATGATTTGCATATACTTGGATCAGGTTCTTGCCTTATAGGGTTGTTGGAAGTTAAAAAGCTCCACTCCTGTGAGCTAATATCAAATATTGGAGATGGGTATGTACTTATTATTTTTTAGTCTGTAGCTAAAGAGTAGGACATTATGTAAGTCTCAATGGTCTGTCAGTGAATAATTATTGAACACTTAGTGTATAACCTAAATTTCCCAATTTATAAAGAATGTCAGAGCCATGACACAATTGACTTAAACTCTTTTTTTTTTTTTTTGATACAGATACATCTGTGTCTTTAATCATTTCGGTTGGTCTTCTATAGGTGCTTCCAATGCAAATGTAGGTAGAACATTTCTTGCTTGGCTTACCCTCTGAGACCCTGGCTTTAATTGTGTCCCATCAATTAATCTTCTACTCCAATTCTTGATGAAACTGACAATTCAAAATGCTAAGACTTTCCCCCTCTTTCCTCTCTGTACTTTGGTGGCAGTAGTTGTTCCGCCTCTCCACCATGCCATGTTATGCTCCTATCTTTTCTTGATAACATTCTAACCATCCTTATAGGCCCATCTTAAATAATATCGCCCCCAAGAAAGCTGTTCCTGTCCCCTCAGCTAAATGTTCTCCATCCCTTGCTTGAAGCTCCAAAAATGTTTCATTACACACTTACAGCTCACATGCATGGGCCTGTGGTACAGTCATGGTAGGTGTTTGATCTTTTCAACATTAATTGTCAATGTTATCTTTTACATATTTGTCTATATCTACACAGACAGGGAAGTGAAAGGTGGCTTATGATGTAATTCTTATGCCTGTTGATGCACATTTTCTATGTGTTTACTGATACCCACAAAACCTAAACTTTTGCTTTTATTAAAATGATCTTACAATAGTTTTATTTTTCTCTTCTGACCTTTCTCAAGACAGAAAATCTGTTTAGTTCATCTTGATTTATTTATTTATTTATTTATTTTTTCTGGAGCAGGTAGCACAGAGTCTTATATAGATCTGAGATTCTATAAAGATTTAAGTTTAAATAAATTGAATATAATTTATGTAGAAAGCATAAGGTGGAACAGAGAAGACATTAGTGTTTTATTTACACATTATTTACCAAGCACCCACTATAGTGGTTAAAGATACAGAAATACATGGAATATAGCCTTTTCTCTCCAGAAACTTACTGTCTCATAGAAGAAAGCAGACTGATAATTATAGGCAGTTACAATTCAATGTAAATATTACAGTGGTAGGGATAATCACAGTCTTTTTTTTTATTATTATACTGTAAGTTCTAGGATACATGTGCACAATGTGCAGGTTAGTTACATATGTATACATGTGCCATGTTGATGTGCTGCACCCATTAACCTGTCATTTAACATTAGGTATATCTCCTAATGCTATCCCTCCCCCCTTCCCCCACCCCGGATAATCACAGTCTTATGGGAGCTCATAGAAGAACAACTATGGGAAAGGTTTGTAATTTGTTCCTCTCTTCCAAACCTTCTAAAGGTGCTTCAGGCTTGTAAAAAAGAAAAAAACAGAAATACTAGGTAATTATGAAAAAAGTACAATAAAACTAATAAGAGAAATAACAAAGAGGATGAGTGAGAGAAGTATAACCCAGAGAGGCTTGTGCACGTTAAGTACATATATGGGGGAGGAGCAAGCCTGGAGTACTGAAAGGCAAACTTCTACAGAAGCATCCTAGAAGGAAACTCTTCCCCCAGAACTCAGCAAGGCATTGCAAGCAGGGCAGCTACCACACTGTGATTTTGCATCCCTGGTGTCAATATTTTCATTAGTTGCCAGTAACAACTCAGAGTTGTACAATCTGTGCTCTGTTAAGTGTTGACATGGAGCTTTCAAATTCTATCTGGAAAAAGAAAATCCCTTCATTTCTTCAATTTTCATCCTAATTACATGTGGCGGTTTGTTTAGCTTAATTTCTATAGCAGCCACAGCAAATTCAGTCCCTTGCCCAACGTTCACAAATAGTGTCACTTAATAAATACTTGCTGAAAAAATAAATGAATGAATGTGAAGATGAGACGTGTCAGCCTATTAAAAAGGTTTTAATATTTTTCACCTCAGGACAGTTTAGGTTATAGGATAAAGGAATTCAGTGTCCTTTATAATTCACCAATAGTCATTATTATCCCAGGCAAGTGAGCATGTGGACATGTGTCAGGATGAATCAGGCCATATTTTAATAGTTAGTTCCGGTAGATCAAAGTGGAATGGATTTATTTCAAGAGGCTCAAAAAAACCTCATTTTGAAGGCTGTAATGAAAAGTAAAGATGATAAAGAACACTGTTTTTCATGATAAGGAAAATTCTGCCTTTCAAGAGAGACATCATAATTTCTTCTAATTATAAGAAAAATGTTGCTGCCTTGAGTGCTCTCATTCATGTGTACAGCCAAAGGGATTTTCTGCATAAAAGAATAATTAGGTTCTATCCCTTCATACTAAAAAAAATCAGCTATCTTACTTTTCTTTTATACCTTTACCCCCCTCATATTCTTTGACCTCTACTCTGCTGAATCTTTTATATGTCATACAAGGAAGTTTTAGAGGGGCTTTGATTTCTCCAATTCCTTTGGTGGCTGGCAGTGTTTGCTGTGCTGAATTTGGAAGTGCCTAATTTGGGAGTTCTGCTCGTGTTAGGCTAAAAACTGATCAGATTTCATTTTATGTGTGAAGATCATTTTCAGTCTGTAGATTTAAACATTCTATTTGCCTGAAATACATTCTAAATAATGCACTGTGGGCTTTTATTTAGGAAAGTTTTTAAACAACTTAGTTTTAAAGACAAAGAATGTTCTAGAAAGGCTCACCTTTTAAACCATTTAAATAGAAAAGAGATGCTAGGGATGTTGATGGGCTGGAGCCACCCGGCAGTTCTGAGATAGTGATTTCAGATTACATCTGGAGTTACTGAATTTTAAAGGAAGGTGTATAAGGAAGATAGCAGAGCACAATTAGAACTTATCATTGACCTGATTCGTGTGGTCCATAATTCTCAATTGCATAGATAACTGCTGTGAGAGGGAAGATGTGTACCTGCAATGAAATAAATTCAAACCAAAATGCCAGCAAAGTAGAAAGAAGGATTGCTCCAACTCATAGTGAATAAGAATATTGTTTGAACCTTCTGAGAGATTACAATTTTTTTGACTTAGAAATGGAATATGATCATTGGCTTTCAAATGGAAAGATCAATGATAAATATGGATGGGAACGAAGTCTTAAAAATTGAATTTTTCTAAGAAAGTTTAGTGGCTTTTTTGAAATAATGACAATAGCCACTACATATTGAGTGCTAATTCTGGGTTGGACTTGATTTTAGGGATTTAAGAATACTATCTGCACTTCCTACAGTGGCCCCAGAAAGTGGATAAACTGAAGGGGAAGAGAGAGAGGGGGGTGGGGGTAAAGTGACTGATTCATCCAAGATCACATGGTCAGAAACTGGTGGTCAGACCTCACACCCAAGCTGTTTCATATCATTATGCTATCCAGCTTGGCACTGAAAGAAAACCAGGACTGACTCTTTCTCTTATAGGGTTTTGTTACATGAGCTAAATACTAATGTATAGACATGAAGTAACAGGCTTACTTGTGCATAATGACTCTTTGCTGTCTATGGTCAGTAGATCATTAGTAGACTGAGTCACCACATCTAGCTCAATCAGAAAGACACACAGTGCACTTGTTTGGTGAGGGGTGTGACATAGTTTGGATGTTTGTCCCCTCCAAATCTCATGTTGAAATATGATCCCCAATATTGGAGGTGGAGTCTGATGGGAGGTGTTTAGGTCATGGGGACAGATCCCTCACGAATGGCTTGGTGCCATCCCCTTGGTGATGAGTAAATTCTCGCTCTATTGGTTCATACAGAGTAGGTTGTTTAAAAGAGCTTGGCACCTCCTCCTCTCTCTCTTGCTCCCTCTCTCATCATGTGACATGTCTGCTCCCTCTTCACCTTTTGCCATGTGTAAAACTTTCCTGAGGCCTCACCAGAAACTAACCAGATGCTGGTGCCGTGCTTGTATAGCCTGCAGAACCATGAGCCAAATAAACCTTTTTTCTTTATAAATTACCCAGTCTCAGACATTCCTTTATAGCAATGCAAAGCAGATTAACACCGTGTGAACTCCAGTCAATGGTTTGGGAAAAGAAGGTCTTTGGCTCTTTCTTTCATAGCTGGCCTTTACAATTTTTTATTCTCTATTTCACTGATTTTTTTTCTTATTAAGTTAAGAGTTATCTATAGAGTTTCAGGGGCTATTCCTATCATATCAGAAGAGGCAAAAGAAATTGCTTTGTACATGAAAAAGTGCAGTACTCTCCTAGGTGAGAAGGTAATAGTCTTAATGTGCTTGTGTGCTATGCTCAGCATGGCAGTGCAGCAGGGCAGTGGAGAGTAGGGACTGGAGATCTAGAGCAGGCTGAGTTGCCCTGACTACATGCATGACTTTAGACAAGTTATTTAACCTCCATGAGCCTCAGTTTCCTCACCTGTAAAATGGAGATGACGATTAAAAATAGTGCCTTTCTCATATACATATATGGAGGATTAAATGAGTATTTCATATACTTAAAATGCTGAGAACAGTGAGGACACATAGTAAATCGCACATAAATATAGATGAGTATTTCAGGTCCATTATCTCATTGAATCTGCACCATATCCCTGTGTAAAATGTCATATATATATATATATATATATGTGTGTGTGTGTGTGTGTGTGTGTGTTTATTTTATAGGTTAGTAAATGAGTCTGAGAGAGATTAACTCATCCATAGTCATTTAACTCAAAAGTATTTAAATGTGGGCGGTTGGAGTCCTAGCCAATTTGATCCTAAGCCTAGTTGAGATATGAACCCAGGCTTGTGTGATATATGATTTTATTCTTTATATTTCCAGCTGAGAATAATTTTTCATTTATATTTTTAATATAGCGTATATATTATATACATATCCACACACATACATATATTATTATTACACATATATATAAAAGAAATATCAGGAGACTTGTATCCTGACCCTATGACAGGTACGAGTCATGCCTCAGAGCTTCCAGCCTTACCCAATGTCACAGAGTTCCTTGTCCTCTAATCCAAACCTTTCATAGTGTGCCAGTTAAATGTACACTCTCTGGTCCCAGATTGCCTGGATCTGTATCCCAGCTCTTCAACTTACTATGATATTGGGAAACTCATTTAACTTCTCCATGCGTTAGCTTATTTATTTACAAAACAGAAATAGTACCAATAACCTTTGTCTTAGAATGTGATTGTTGAGTTTATGTATTTAAAGCACTTGAATTGGTATATATTAAATAGTATGAAGTGCTTATTATTATTACTACTCAATGATTTCAGATTAATGGTTTAAGAAGGCTTGGTTGACTATACTAAGACCGCTAAAACAATGACATGAATGAAAGAAGAATGAAAGAATGTTCCCATGGGTAGTATCTGAAAGATTATAAAAGAATGGGGAAGACTTAATTCGTTTTTGTTTGTTTGTTTTCAGAGACAGAGTCTTGCTCTGTCACCCAGGCTGAAAGGCAGTAGTGCAATCTTGGTTCACTGGAACCTTCATCTCCCAGGCTGAAGCGATTCTTATGTCTCAGCCTCCCAAGTAGCTGGGACTACAGGCGTGTGTGCATGGCTAATTTTGGTATTTCTAGTAGAGACAGGGTTTCACCATGTTTGCCAGGCTGGGCTCAAACTCCTGGCCTCAAATGATTTGCCTGCCTGGACTTCCCAAAGTGTTGGGATTTTAGGCATGAACTACCATGCTCAGCTGGAGAAGACTTAATTCTGATAGGGTAAGAATAACATACATTCTTTCATAGTTAAGAATTGTCATTTATTTTAAAAGTCTTGAGTATCTCCTCCCTTTATCATCATTTAAAATATCAAACAACTGACTTGAAACAATATATATATTAGATTTTTATCTAGTATATTTGAGAGAAATTTCAAGATTTTCTATAGCTAACCAAAGAGGTGATTATTAGTTGAGAGTTGAGGAATGTTAACGTATCTAAGGGAAACCTATACATTCTATATTTGGAGTTGCCTAAAGATTGTTCTCTGGACTTGGCTACCTATAAACTCTAGACCAATGAAACAAAACATATTCCATGCTTTTCTCTTTACCTCTTCTTTTGCCTAGTAGTTTTGCTTTTGTGTGTGTGTGTGTGTGTGTAATTTTCTAGCTTTTTAAATAGTCTAACATCCTCCTTTCCTTGTTTAAGTCAGAAAATTGGAATATAATCCTAATTTTTTTCTCCCCCTCACCTGCCACATCCAATCAGTGATCAAGTCTTCTCCTCTAATAAAGCTTGACTTTCTGCAGCTTCTCCATTCCCACTGTCATTACTTTATATTAGGGTCTCATTACTTCTCACCTGGGTCATTGCAATAATCATTCCTCCCCCAGCATTCTTTTTGACCCCAGTGTTGCTCTGTTCCAAAAGATATCCAAGGTAAATTTTATTCTTATTATGTGAAACCCAGTACTCAAAATATTTCAATAGCAAGACTTCCATACATGGCTCTTCCTACCTACTTTTCCATCTCTGGACCTACCCTTGCTTCTTCTTCCCTCTCTCCCACCATTTCCCATCCTCAAGCAAATGCAAATCAATTGTATTGAAGTCCTGATAATTTCTCAAATGTGTCAATACCTTTGCCTCTGTCATTGCTGCTCCTTCTGCCTGGAATTATCCTCAGAACCTCCCCTTCCACTCATATATGATCACCTGGATAACCCCTTCCAATCATCCTTCAAAACCCAACATACCATCACATTTTCTAAGATTTCCCTGATGTTCTCAGCCTTAACTGCCTACACATCTCCTACAAACTCACAAATCTTTATCACTCTATACCATGGTTATTTATTTGACTATCTTCACTCGAGGCTGCAAACTTCTGAAAGTCAAGAATTAGATATTTTTTCTCTACATCCTCGAGCCAAGAACATCTTTCAATGAAAAAGGGCTCAGTAAATATCTGTATACTAATTAAAACCCATAGTAATAACGAATTTAATCTTCTTGAGTCTCTTTGTAAGTGGAACAACTGTTTTCTAGGCAAGTCAAATAATTAAATTGGAATAAATATTTTTCTGGTTTCAAGTTTGGAATGTCTAATATGTCAACATACCAATATCAAAAAGGAAAGTTTGTGACTATCTCCTATGAGTAAAGTATAATGCTTGAGAGAATATTTTGTATTTTTAAAAAAACTTTCTAGTTTTCAAAGTGCTGTTACATGCGTTATTGAGGTTCATAACTGTGAAGTAAGTAACACAGGTATTATTATCCTCATTTTACAAATGAGAAAACTGAAGCCCAAAAAGAGAGCTGGCATACATAAAATCACTCACACAGAAGTAAGGTAATTTGAAAACCATTTTAGGACTCTAAAAATATAAACATTTAAGCATTTACTACATGCAGTTGTTATTTCCACTGTATCATACTCCTCTCACATTATTTACAATCAAGCTGGGGAAAATATAGAAAGAAGTAAAATGCATTAATTTATTGAGAACTACCAGGAACTTTATGTGCATGTTCTCATTCTGTCTTCAAAATAGCCATGGAAGGTTGGAATTATTAATCCATTTTACAGATACAAAAAAAAATGAGGTTCAGAAAGAGTAACTTGTTAAGGGTTGCAAAATTATTAAGTGGTAGAGTCAAATTTTGCACTGAGATTTGTCTGATTCCCAAGTCCAAATATGCTTAATATGGAAAGAAAGTGCCAAGAAGGCTAAGGAAGCATGACAGTCTTTAGACTAATTGAGAATGGCATTATATCCAATGAGTCTGATCTGGTATATGGAAGGGACTGAACACTAGGAGTTTTCTGGGAAGAGGTTGAAATAAGCTTCATCCCAGAAGATGGGTGGATTGAAGCAGAACTCCTGTTACTAGCTAGTGGAAAAGGAACAGTGTCTAGTCTTCTCTAAAAAGGGACTTGTTAAGCAAGGTCTTACAGATTTTCTGTGCACTAATGAAATGGTCTTAGGGTTTGAAACAAGGCTGCCGTCCTAGCAGGAAACTGAAATTAGAAACAGGTGCTGGAACGGAAGACAAATCATACACAGAGAGAATGGAAGAAGATGCAGGTCAATTTCCTGTGATGGGAACCTCCTTCTCTGAACATCTCTTAAGCTTTCTATTATCATCATTCTTCATGGTGAAATTATCAACTCTAGGATTTCCTTCACCATCTCTATGTTGATGACTCCCAAATGTCTCTAGTTCTAAGTTATCTCTTGAGTCCCAGACTCTTATCACCACTGCATTCTAGACAGCTCCACTTGGATGTTCTGAAGATGCCTTCACAGTAAATATTCACAAAGTTAAACTTATATACCACCTTCCAGAAAGCCTAATTTTCATGTAATCTCTAGTTCAGTAAAATGCATTGCACTTACTCATTTGCCTAGGCAAGAAACTTGAGTGTTATCCTTTACTTTCACATTTCATTAACATCTCTCTGTCCTTACCCAATCAATTTCAAAATCTTATGATTCTGCCTCCTTATTAGCGCCTGAAACTGTCTCATTCCCGCTCCTTCTCCTTTAATACTTCTAGATGATTGCCTTCAGGCATGCTTATCTCTATACCATGATCCACAATGAACTTAGAGAGGTATTTGTAATATGTCCATCTGGTCATGTCATTTTTGTGCTTGAAACCTTCCATTGGTTTCATGTTGCCCTAAGAATAAAGGCTGACCTCTTTGCTGTGGAATAGAAGGATCTTTCTAATTTGGCCTCTGTCAGCCTTTCTAACCTCACAACTTACTTCCAGACCACAGCATTAATCCATGCCCTTTATGCTCCAGTAAAATATTTTAAAGTCCCAAAAAGTCTTCTCTGACCCCTGTCTCCCCCAGGATTTGATATGTATCCTTTGCACCTCTTGTGATATTTACCTGAACATAGCACTTATTGAAATTGTTTAAAGTTTTTCTACTCAATGAACTGTAAACTCATTAAGAGAAGGAACGATGTGCTTTTGACTGTTGTTTCCCAAGCACCTCTCAAGGCAGTTGGCACATTAACGTGATCAACCAATATTAGTTGAGTAAATGAAATGAGTCCCGGGGGACTCACACTAGCTTGAGGGTCATGGGCCAATTCCAAACTCACTGTCTGTAGGGGGATAATGAGTCTGATGATAGACACGGTTCTCACTGGCTCAGGGCCTTAGAGAGATTGAATCTGTAACTTGGAGATGCTCAGTACCAGCAGTTGGCCAAAGCTATAGCAGAAAGCCATTTTAGTGCTCTAAAATATTCAGGCACAGCTCATTTTCCACCAAAAGCTGATATCTCTCTCCTAACTTTAGACTTTAATTTCTTTGATCTTATCCCTAGAAAAACTAAAGCAGAGACTTGACTTCTTCTTTGGGTCCTGGTCTATGTGAATCTTACAAGCTTGGACTTCCCTTGGCTGTTTCATCTTCATAAGCCTCATTTGTAATGAGTAATTTCATGGGCTGAAATAAAGGAAAAGATGATACTATCAGATAAAATGAAATAAGTTTACAGATCTTACAGTAAACTTTAGACTTTTATTCCTTTGTTCTTATTCCCAGAAAAACTAAAACAGAGACTTTCCCTCTTCTTTGAGTCCTGGTCTATGTGAACTTTACAAACTTGGACTTCACTTGGCTGTTTCATCTTCGTAAGCTTCATTTATAATACATAATTTCATGGGCTGAAATAAAGGAAAAGATAATGCAAACAGATAAAATAAGTTTATCGCTCTTGCAGTATTTATTTTATTCTATTTATTTCATATCTGTTTATATTGATACCAAATAGTGAATTAGTAGATTCACAGAAAAATAACAGATTCATATTTCTAGTTTATTTGTGGGCCACATATCCCAAACCCTGGTTTAGTAAGGATAAAAGCATCATGGAGAAAATCCACCCATTGGCACACGGGGTAGATTCTGTGTTTCCTTTTTTGCCATATAATCCCTTGGCTGTTCCTTTGATCAGCAGTGCAAATCCTAATTAAGGTTTCATCTGATAATTTGATTTCATGATAAAGATCTATTCTCAGTCAGGAGCTTTGCCTCTTTAAATTCCCGAGGTTAATGAAAATCACTAATCCAATGGATAAACAGGCAATGGAAAAGTCAAATCATAACTTTCATGTTTTCAGAAATACTGTGATTTAAGGGTTTTTGGAGACTCTTCTGATGAAGCAAGATTAAGATGCAAATTTTACTGAGAGGGAAGAGAAAACTTCCTAAGTAGGAAAGGAAATTATGAAAATGACATTGCTGTCTTCAAAGTACAGTAATTTCTAGTGCCACAAATCTCCCAGGTGTTGAGGTAGTTCCCCTCCAAATGACAGGAGAGGGCAAGAAGGTGAAGTTGAACCTTGTAGAATAAGAATAATGCAAATAATTCTGAGAATGAAACCTAGACCCTTGCTTCCCATCCACTTGTCATGTGACCCCTGAGTTTCTGAGCAGATCCCCTCAACTCTGAGTTTGATCAATGACGAGTTCATCAAGAAAAGGTCACATTCTTTTATCGAGAAATGAACAATGAACAAACTAGGGAAGTAAATTGATGGATTTTTCTTTTTAGAATCCTATTAGTTCTGGGAAAATTCCAAAAGACTTTTATAACATTCCCCAAATGGCCAGAGCTAATAGCAGAGTTCAGCATATTAACATTCAGAGGAATGAATCCATATTTATTTCATGAAATTTAATTATATACTAGAAGAAAAAAGAACCAAGAGGGACATAAAAGAGATAATACCAATGTATTGAGAAAATAAGCAAAAGAACATTTTCTGGGAGACAGAAAGAAAGAGGATAAAACAGAAGCTAAGCTTAAATATACCCATGACCAGTTGCTTTGAATATTACTGGGAAGCACTGGGAAGACCAAATGAATTTAAGAAAATGTGTTCTATACATTTTCCTTTCATTTTACTAAAACATTGAAAATCATTGAAACACATGTTTGCCTTATGCCATCTAAGAAATTACCTGTCAAGAAAAACACACATGGAACACATTTACACAAACATATCCTCAAAATCTAGATTAAAAAGTAAATACATCTGCATTTGTCTGTTTTACCCTGGAAAGTCACTGGTTCTAATTTTTCTCTTCGTGTGTGTGTGTGTGTGTGTGTGTGTGTATACATATATAATTTCCAACTCATTTATGTGAAAACTTTTTTTTTGAGCAGTGGAGTTGGGAAATAGGATATGGAGTATACTTTTTATTTAGAATTATAGAAAGATCAGTAATGATGGCAAAGTTGCTGCCTGCTGCAAGCCCTTGGGTGCATTTTATGACAGAGGTTCGTGGCTGGAGGCTATTTTCAAGTAAATGTAAATCATCAGTCATTGAAAAATCTAGTACTAATTGAGCCTCTTGTCATAATGCTCAGCTAAGAATCTCCCTGCTTTCTCATTTAAAAACAGTGGCTCTTTCCTAGCCAAGTAAAGAAGGGAAACTATCAGGGAAACATGACATGACCCAATAATGAAAAGAAATTTATTCTCCATTTTTCAAGCTGAAGAAATAGCTTTGACTCTGACCTGAAAACAAGGTATATATGTATTGGGCTGGGGCAGTGGTGGTGGATATTGATACCTGTATACCTTTTTGAACCAAGCACTCAGTGCTCTCTCTTTTGGGGAGAGAAAGCCACAGCAACATTTATTCACATAACACATCCAGAAGTTTAACTTATCCTCCTTTTAAAAAGTGGTTTGCCTGTTTTTCTCTATCAGACATAGTCCAGGCTCCATCTAAATCTAAATGGCTTAAATCATGTACAGTGGACTCTAAATAGAGTACATCTAAATGTAAAGTGGTTACAGGAATAAAACAATTGGGTTTTATAATAGACTCTTTATTTCAATCCAGAAGTAAACAACTCTTGTGTAAATAACTGCTCCATGGGAACCAGTCTCCCCACCCTTGAATAAAACAGCTTAAGGTTTAGAACCAAGAATATTTGCAGATTGAATAACTTTTATAAAATTCAAATGATCAATACAATTACTGTGTATTGATATTGAAATGAAATGAAAAGTGTTTATTTAAATTTTTCTATGGACAAGGCATTTTGCTAGGGTAAGATAAGAAGATTCAGCGTAGATTCAATGACATCAGCCTTCTAATAATGCAAATATCTGTTGTAAGGAAAATACTATTCCCAATTGCAGTAACCATACAAATATATATATGTGTGTGTGTATATATATATATATATACACACACACATATATATACACATACACATGAGATAGCAAATAAATGGATAGAAGCACCTATACATATATACATAAAAGCTATGTAACTGAGAGGCAGTGTGGTATAGTGGTTAAGCATACAGATTTGAACCGTACTACCTATGTGTGGATATTAGCTCAAAGACTTTCTTATGTGACCCTTAGGCAAGTTATTTAACCTTTGAGCATCTCAGTTTCATCATCTGTATTGTGTCTGATATACAGATGATGAAACAAGAGTGTTATGATGCATAAATAAGTTAATCCATGTGAAGTGCTTATTGCAGTGCCTGGGAAATGTAAATGCTCCAAGTATCTGCCAATATGATTATTATAAAAGTCACAACAAATATTAAATATATACACATAGATAACATATATATATATATATATATATATATATATATATATACTATTTACAAGAACACTTATGATAATATACCTGTTTTCCAGTTAGTTAAATCTAATTAGAAAAGAGATGCTATAAAGTTATTGGCATTAAAGTGGAGAAATCTAAATTTAAAAATGAAATACTACTAACAGTTAAACATGGTGGACTGAACTCTTGCATTTATCTTTGCATCTTTCCAAAACCCCATTAAAATGAGTATAAACTATTTTTAAAAAATTGTTAACCAATGAAAACAGAGAAATGGAAGGTGTCTCTATAAGTGAACCAGCAACAGCATTCTTGCTTGTGCTGTAGAACCTCAGGAAAACTCCAGAACTAGGAGCACTATGGACATAGGAAAAGAGTAAAACTGGCCAAAAATATTGTTACCCGAAAGGTGTCCCAATCCAGATCCCAAGAGGGATTCTTGGACCTTGCACAAGAAAGAATTCAGGACAAGTCGGTAAAGTGAAAATAAATTTATTGAGAAAGTAAGGGGTAAGGGGATAAAGAATGGCTACTCCATTCCCCAACAGCCCCAAGCTGTTGGTTGGTCATTTTAATGGTTATTTCTTGAATATATGCTAAACAAGAGGTGGATTTTCATGTATCCTCTTTTTAGACCATATAGGGTAACTTCCTGACATTGCCATGGTATTTGTAAACTGTCATGGTGCTGGTGGGAGTATAGCAGTGAGGATGACCAGAGGTCACTCTCATTGCCATTTTGGTTTGGTGAGTTTTAGCTGCCTTCTTTACTGGAGCAAGGTCTTTATGACCTGTATCTTGTGCTGACCTCCTGTCTCATCCTGTGACTTAGAATGACTTAACCTCCTGGGAATGCAGCTCAGCAGGTCTCAGCCTTATTTTACCCAGCCCCTATTCAAGATGGAGTTGCTCTGGCTCAAGAGCCTCTGACATATCCCCCCTTCCTTTTATAAGAGAACCCTTAATCCTAACAGTTGCAGAGGGACGAAGATCCATCTTCTGTAACTTCTTCATGCTGAATAGGGGTGATGACATTCCTGCCTAACTATTAGCATCTCTTCTATTCAGGGTAAAGAGTAGCTTAGTCAGAAAGCATCAGTATGCTGAGGGGCCATTCATAACTCTGAGTTCCAGCAGAAGGTGATATCTGGAAGATTAATAAGTATTTAAGAGAACATTCAGTAAGCTTATTCTGCATTCCTACACAAAGAGTAAAACAGCAATGTATTCCACAACAGTAAAGCAAAATAAGTAATATTATGCCAAGTAAACTAAATTAGAAGGCTTCTCATGAACTGGGCAACTGTTGGAACCAAGTTGATATGGGGTTGCCAGCTGATTCCAATAGAATTAGAATGCTGATCCAGATTTTTACATTACCCATTCCTCTTGTTTCTTCTGAGCTGCAGCCAGAGATCAGAGATCACTGGTTGTTTCACAGGAATAGGCAGTCAGTCTAAATTGCAGAAACAAACTTTAAAACAACTGATGATACTAGAATCTAATAATAGGTATACCATAGTTCTTGAAACAATTTTTCTCTCTCTGGTCTCCAATTTTTACTAAAGACAAATCATGCTAATACTGATTTACTTTATTACCCTTGGTCTGATTATTTGTATAAAGTGCAGCAAGAATAATTGTTTTTCACATAGGCATTTTAAATTGGCTTTGATGGAACTTTGTTCCACAGAAGGAGTTTCAGATAAAGCTTTTTTTAAAGCTGAGACCAGCCATAAGTTCGTACCATCAAATACCTATGAATTGAGTAAATTTCTCTCTTCTTAAGGTCCCAAGATAACTTGGGGCTCCTGGGCCTGTGAGAAAGTGACATTCTTTACTTACCACAGATTAGGAACCCTGCACAGGGACTGTGCTGTATAGACAAGGGATGAGGCCAGTTTTCCCAAGGGGCTTTTATTGGCTCTACAAGTCAAGTTTTATTCCTTAAAGGAAAGCATATCATTCCAGCCAAAGCCTTGGTAAAATAACCATTTCAATTGTGCCCTGTTGCAAAAGAAAACAGATTCTTATTGCATTTATGCAAATATTGCCATAAATTAAGAATACTCACAAAAAGTTTCCAAATTCTGGAGAAATTAAGTAGACAGAAACAAATATTCTCCAAATTTTGTTTATAGGAATATACTTTACTCAATTGTTAAAAGCTGTAAACAGCTCAAAAGAAAAGTTTCCTTGACTCTGAAAAACAAAACAATGGATCAGCAACATTTTAACCAAAGCAAAAAAATATTACTTCAGTCTTCTATCTGTTTAGTCAATATAGTTAACTCCTTTTCTGCTTGACATTCATGAACATTTCAGCTCTCCATGAGAGTCCTGAAAGTTTTTTCCCCATTTTGATGTTACAATTTCCAAAGTTATCAGAAATCTGCATTTAAGAATACCTGTTAGAGTTCTATAGTTGATTATAAAACCATCTTTTAAAGAGGATTGAAACAAGACAACAATTGTTTCTAGATGATAAGAAGTCTTAGGATAGCCTCTCTTAAAGCCACAATTGATATGGAAATTTTCGTTACTTTTGTGGCACACATAATTTATTATAATTATAATTATTACTGATAATGTACACTAAGTCATATCAGAATTATAGTAGTTACCCATAATTTTGGAACACATACCAATAATATATTTATATAAATACAGCCCAAAGAAAGCCAAATACCATTTCTTATTTGACAATGCTTCCTGTATGATTTTTATACCAAATAAGCCAAATTTTACCTTTACATTAGTACTATTAATGTTAATCCTAATTCTTAATAAAACCTTATAAACCAATCTATTTAACCTTACTCACTTTGAACATAAGGTAAGATTCTTATAAACCTTTTATAACACTTTACAATTTTTGTTAAAGAACAGATAAATGCTCTAAGAAAAACCTGTTGTGCTTTTATTCCAATGTTCAATTTATGGAAAAACTGAATAACACCTCTTTTACTTTAGCCAATATGTGCACACACAGAATTTCTTTTACAAGCTTATTTTTTCACAAACCTTACACAATTTTCTCAAAGCTTCAGCTTATCTAACTTAAAACAATCCTTTAACCCTTGAAACTTAGGCAAGAAATCCACATTCCTGTGCCTTCTTATAATCTTTTACCAAAAACACATTTCACTTTTCTTACACACCTTGCATGTAAAACTGTTTTTTAAGTAGTCTCAATTACATATTATAATGTTAACTCTTAGTGACTTTTACTTTTGGTGAAAACCTTGGTAAGTCAGCGATTTTAATTATGAACCAGGTGTGGAGCCTAGGACCCAGATGGAAGTGCAGATAACATCTCACTGTTTCCAGCATAGCTAGGAGGCATGGCTAACTCCACATGTCCCAGGCCTTACCTAGCTGCAAAGCAGGCAAGCTGTATGGTTAAGAGTCATAGTGGCATATTATGAAGCATGTAGGAAGCCTGACAACCCTCAAATTGTACAGCATTTCTTGCATAAATTCCTTTCACAAATTCTTTCATGACTTACACAGACAGTATACAATGTGCTTGGACTTTCTGACTTGACCTAAATATCTTTTTAAGCAACCAGTCATTTTACTTTAGAAATAGAATTTACCATACATGATCCTTTCTTATATAAGGATCTTTATAACCTTCTTTGCATAGCTAGGAGATATGGCTAATTCCACATGTCCCTAGGCCTTATCTAGAATCTAATGGCTTCAAGATAAGTAAAATGAACAATTTTCAAAAGTCAAAGAAGCAGTTTATCATGATAAAGCATTTAGCCTACGTTATATCTGACCTGCACAATTTAGACCAAATGTTTACATTTTTGAAGAAATTTTTATTTTACTAATAATCTTTAAAACTGTTTTTATTTCCCAAAGATTACTAAAAGTCACATGAACTAAAAGGGATTACACTTTCTACTCTTCTGACAAAATATTTTGTTTAAGCTCTTATTATTAAGCCAATTAATCAAAACTCTTTCATATTACACACAACACATATAAATACACCGACAGAAAGAAGACCCTGTAGTTGTAAGGCTTATCACTTGCAAATTTTTATGTTTCTCTTTAAAGCATGCACTTCCTAGGGTCTAATAAGCAGGCACAGCTGGAACTGACCAGTTCGCTGGGCCATTCTGAACAACAAGCTTACGAGGTCCTAGGCTCACATTTTATCTTAAGGTATCCCTCTTTATGACAGAGCAATACAGAAAGACACACAAAGTACACTAGATTCACTACAGCTCAAGATGAGTCTCATGAATCCTTCTTCCCATTAATCAAAACTTTACAGAGGTGATAAACAATGATTTTTGCCATTCATTCAACCAGTTTGCAGAGAGAGAGAGAGAGACAGACAGAGAGAGAGAGAGACACCAGAAGTTTGGTAAGAAATTTTTACTATGCCAGGCTTCTGGGTTCCCCTTCCCTGAGCAAACCTGGTAACCCAGCAAGCTGTATCACAGCCCTGGGTGCCAAGCCACAACACAAAGGAAAATTATGTTTTTCTTTTTGGCCAGAGCAAAATATGTGTGACAAAACATAGACATTAGCCACTCTGCTTAGCCCTCAATATCACATTGGCAAGGCTCAAACTTGTCCCCAGTTGGGCTCAGTCATTGGTAATCCAACCTCTGACCAGGAGTCTCAGCTTGTGTTCTCTGGGCAAGATGGTCACCCTGAGTAATAGAAAAGATAAGAAAGGGAAATGATCAAGAGAAAGGCAATGCCTGTTGCTGGGTGGGGAAGGCGAAGAGCTCAGGGAGGCCAGAGAAAGACCCACCCATTGCAGTGACACTGAAAAGTTCGGGCAGCCACTTTTAGGTAGCCACTTTTAGGTAGTGACACTGAAAAGTTCAGGCAGCCATCAGCTTCAAGTTTCCCCCTCTGAGGAGGAAAAACTCCCCATGTCCCATGGTCCTGTATATGCTTAATCCTGTCACTCACAGCTGTCAAAAAAGAGTGCAAAGGGAGATTATTCCAAAGAGCAGAGCAGTTAACATCCTGTAGTGCCAAACCTGTTCTTAGCTGAGAGGGACTTTACTGAGAGAGACCTCTAACCTTCCTAGGATGGGCCTCAAACCCAAGTTTGATCAAGTGTCCTTGCCTTTTATTGAGAGGACTCTTTAACCCTCTCTGTATTAGGAAAGACTCTAACTCCCCTAAGTTGGGCCTCTAATCCAATCCCATCCTTTACCCGGGTATATGCACCCCACTTACCCAAAGTCAGCCTATTGGTGCAGGCAGACGATTTTCCTTTGGGTCGGGGAATCTCTTCAGTATCATCCCTTCAGGGTTCACCAGAAAGATGTTACCAGAAAGGGGTCCTAATACAGATCCCAAGAGAGGGTTCTCAGATCTCACACAATAAATCATTTGAGGCAAATCCATATAGTAAAGTGAAAGGAAGTTAATTAAGGAAGCAAAGGTATAGCAGCCCTTAGGGTTGCTGATTGCCCATTTTTATGGTTATGTCTTTTTAGAGATAAGATCTTGCTATGTTTACCCGGCTGGTCTTCAACTTCTGGCCTAAAGTGATCCTCCTGCCTCTGCCTCACAAAGCACTGGGATTATAGGCATGAGCCATGTGCCCAGCATTTTATGGTTATTTCGTGATTATATTCTAAATAGGGTGGATTATTCATTCCTCCCCTTTTTAGACCATATAGTGTAACATCCTGATATTTGTAAACTGTCATGGCACTGGAGGGAGTGTAACAGTGGGGATGCACAGATGTCACTCTCATTGCCCTCTTGGTTTTGGTGAGTTTTAGCTGGCTTCTTTACTGCAGCAAGATCTTTATGACCTGTATCTTGTGCCAAGCTCCTATCTCATCCTGTGACTTAGAATGCCTTAACCTCCTGGGAATGCATCCCAGCAGGTCTCAGCCTTATTTTACCCAGCCCTTATTCAAGATGGAGCTGCTCTTGTTCAAACACCTCTGACAGTATGTATAAAGAGCCTTGGAGCTCCCCTTTTTCCTCCCCAACTCTTGCAAACAGGTGACTAGCACTTCCCTCTATCTCCCCCATGACAGATACATAAGATACGCACACACACACACACACACACACAACAAGAGTTTTGGCTGGAAAATTGAACCAAAGAAACCCTGGACTTACCAGTATCAAGCACACAGAAATAGAAACTGAAAACAGGGGTCAAATCAGTCTCTATATCAAATCATTAGCTTCCTAGCTTCCTAGCCCCCGACACTGAATCATACCCTCAGCACCCAGAGTCCTGCTCCCTGGCTTACACCCATAGGTAGGAAGCTGTAGGATTTCTCATTGATAAAGTGCAATTGAAGATAATACTGTTCGGAAGTCCACTAATTAAATGACCACATTCAGTTGGTGGAAACCTCTAAAGGAACACACGGAAATTTCCATCTGCCTTTAGTGCCTTACTTTTAAATATGAAGGGGGAGCCAGGCTTTCATTGTAGAATAAAGCCTCTATGACATACAAGAGAAAAGAACACAGACAAGCATCAAGAAAACTTGGATAAAATAGACATAAGAAGTTGAAAAAAGTATAAATATTCTGAGAATAATAAAAAATTCATTTATAAAAGAGTTAATTGTGAAATTTGGATACCAAGAAGACAAAACAATAAATTAAACAGAAAACAAGGCAATTATGGAGTTGGAATCTGAGGATTAGTAGTAAATATATTCATCTGGCATCTCTCTTCCTGGGATACCAAAAATCATTGTTTTCTGCTGGAAAACACACACCCTTTCTTTCCCCTCACCCTCCATGCATATGGCCAAAAAAGTGAGAATGTAGAAATCTGAAGACAGACATCTGCCCTAAAGTTTCTGGAGAGTCAAAGACACTCTTACATGTACCTCCAAACGAATAACTTACATCCTAAGGCAGTAGTAGAAAGACATTTTAAAATGATGAGAACTTTAGTAGAATTTCTTTTTGCAAATGACAGAAACCTAAGTCATGAAGCAAAGACGGGAATGCTTTAGGGATTAAGTGAGGGACTAACGTGGGGCTCCCAATAACCCATGTGCATAGCAATTCCTAGAAAATGAGTGGCAGGAAATGTTAGATGTTCATTGATACGGCAAAACAGGGAGGTACAATTTTCTGTTTAAAACAAGATCATAGCTTTGCCGAAGTGAGAGCTTTCAAGTAACGTGAGTAATTCAGGTGTCATTAAAATAACAATAGCTAAAACTGATGTATTTGACATTGCTTACTTTATTCTTGTTGAGGAACATTGACTTTAATCAATTTTTTTTCATATAAATTGTAAAGGAAATATTGCACCAGAGAAGTTAAACAGGTAGAGAAGACATTATTGGAAGACTATTCCAATAGGGAAAAGGGACTATTGTAATTGGGAAGAGAGGTGGAACTCAACTCCACTGAAACAAAAGGCAGGAGCATTTTTAAGTGCTGGAGGGTGTTAGTGGGGAGGCAAGACAATGTGATAAAACCATCTGAGTTCGCTAATTGACACTTATTGAAGTTAGGCTCTTATCCTCCCACAGAGACTGAGACATAGGGACTCTTTCTTTATGATTGCATTTCAAAGGGATGGCTCCCAGGTCCACAACATTTCTGGATGGTAAAACTGGCAAGAGACTGGGACAAGATTTACATCTAAAAGGTTCAAAGAAAGACTTTATAATTACAAGTTTTCTAAAGTAAATGCTTTAAGAAAGAGGAGGTCAGGGGCCTATAGTCAGGAAGAAACCAATCTGTAGTGTAGTCAAGCTGAGGTGAATGTGAAGGCCATTTTAGTGAAACTTACATGTAGAGACGTAATAATTCTCTTTATTATAAATAAAATAGAAAAAGCATGGCATTTTGAGTCAAAATGATGAGGAATTCAAATTCTGGATCTTATTTCACCAGTCGTGTGAATTCCCATATAGTAGTCATGAACACAAATGTGCTAAATTAAATAATATACGTAGAGTGTTTGGCACAGTTCCAGAAACAAAGTAAGAATTCAATAAATGTTACGGTTTGCTATTATGAAAGAGACCCTGAAAATTAAATTCAGATAACGTTTCTGGGGTCTTCTGATATGATGCACTGGAAAGAACACAATTTTCCCTTTGCAGCATTTCCACAATAAATGCATAACCTGATTCTGATTATGAGAAAATATCCCACAAACCCAGATTGAGGGGCATTTTACACAATAACTGACTTTTACTCTCAGAAGTTATCCATGTCATTAGAAAAAGGAGAAACTCTCTTACAAATTAAAGTAGCCTAAAGAGACATGATATGATCTCGGATACAACATATGATCTGATATTTTCTTTTGCTATAAAGGATATTACTGTGACAATTGGCAAAATCTGAAAAAGATCAGCAGATTGGCTAAAATAGTAGTACTTTGCCAGGCTAAATTGTCTGATTTGGATAAATTATATGGCAATTAAGAGAATAAGCTTACTTTTAGGAAGTATACACTGAGTATTCAGGAGTAAAGAGGCTTCCTGTCTACAACACATTCTCAAAAGGTTCAGAAAGGAATAATATGCATATGTAGAAAGAGAGGAAGAGTAAATTGTAGAGAAAATATAACATTTGGGGGCTATGGGTGAAGGATACATAAGGGTTTTTTATACAATTTGTGGTAACAGAATAATTCCTCCTCCCAAAAAATGTGTTAATCCTCAGAACCCACAAATATCTTAATCTGCCTGGCAAAACAGACTTTGCAGATGTAAATAAGTTAAGGATTTTGAGGTGGCGAGATTGTCCTGAGTTATCCAGATAGGCCCAGTGTAATCACAAACATTCTTACAAGTGAAAGATGATGCAGGAGAGTCAGAGTCACAGAGAGATGTGAAGATGCCATAAAGGTGCCACGAACCAGGAAGTGCAAGTGCTTCTAGAAGATGCTAAAGGCAAGTGAAGGGATTTTTCTCAAGAGCCTCCAGAAGGAAGGCAGCCCTGCTGACACCTTGATTTTAACCCATTAAAACTAAATTTGCGATGTTTCAAGCCACACATTTGTGGTTGATACAACAGCAATAGAAAAGTAATACACTATTCTTGCAGGGTTTCTATAAGTCTGAAATTATTTCAAAGCAAGTTTTAAAAAAGTTCCTGGGGGATTTTTTTTTTTAAAAGTCTTCTTTCAGGGGTTTTGTTCTAAATGTTCAGAGATGGAATTTTAGTTAAAATTGTGAAATAGCCATAAAAACTAAAGGTAATTACACCAGACTCTAAGTAGGTATAACCAGGCTCTATTCACTAAAAGTCTACATTAACATGTACCACTGAGAATGTTTAGTAACTATTTTTAACTAATTTTAATAAAAGCCAGCATGCCAAAGATTATGGACAATGAATATTAGCATTCTAATTAGCATAACAGAAGTATTTATAACTATCTTATTATATATTATTTCTTTCAAAAGAGAAATTAATTGGAATAAAGTTCTCTTTTGTTATTATCTGATCCTTCCTCCCAACCAAAACGCCATTATATTTTGGACAATCATTCAAAACTTTATTCTTCAGCCCCAATTAAAACAAAGAGTAATATTTAACCTTTTATATTCAACCAAATAGGGGAGATAAGGTAATCAAAACTGCACAGGTAAATACTAAAGGGATCAATGGACACGGACACAAGGCTGAAATATAATTGTTTCACTGTGTTAAAAAGTGTAATGACTCAGAAGTTGCGGGTAAATTGTTGGTATTAACTGAGCAAGACTTCTTTAAAATGTCAGTTTTGATCTATGACTTGAAGTAGATGAAGAGTATGGTTTAGCATTTAATAAGCTAGTAAATTGGTAAAATTTATATAGGTCAGGAAAAAGTTTGAGAGGTAGCTGAAAGAACTGAGTGTAGGAGAAGACAAGATCTTTTAGGGTTTTTATAGGCACATACCAAAAGATAAAAATAAATATGAGGTGTGATTGATGCCAAAAAAAAAAAAAAAAGACTTAAAAGCTCAAAGTTAGGATTGAGTTAGAGTTCAATGGGAATTAAAATCCTAGAGAATATTTTAGCTTCTGAAATCATGTTGAAGTATTGACTGCATTATGCTCTTTAATTTATAGTAAAGGTCTAAATGGCTTATTTGTCATTTTGCTGTTACTTCCCAATGCCACAGCTAATTACCTATTAATTACAGGGGACTGAAATAAAAGTATTTACCAAATTGGGTTTGTGCTGAATTGTCGGCAAGAGAAACAGGCTACAATTTCTTTCTTTAATTAATACTTAAACTCTATTATGTTAAAACCTGGACAGGCTCTGTGAGTTCATTTGTGCTGCTATAAAAGAATATCACAGACTGGGTAATATATAAAGAAGATAAATTTCTTTCTTATTTCTTCCAGCTCTGGAGGCTGGGAAGTTGAAGGTTGAGGTCTCCACCTCTGGTGAGAGCCTTCTTGCTGTGTCATCTCATGGCAGAAGGAAGAGAAAGCAGGAGAGAGCGAGATGGCACTGAGTTGCTTTTATAACAAGCCCACTCTTGCAGAAACTAACCCACTGCCTCAATAACGACACGAATCCATTCATGGGGGCTCTGCCTTGATGACCCAATCACCTATTTATTAGGCCTCACCTCCCAACACTGTTGCATTGGGTATTAAGTTTCCAGCATACCGGCCGGGCACAGTGGCTCATGCCTGTAATCCCAGCACTTTGGGAGGCCGAGATGGGCAGATCACGAAGTCAGGAGATCAAGACCATCCTGGCTAACATGGTGAAACACTGTCTCTATTAAAAATATAAACAAAAAATACAAAAAAAAAAAAAAATTAGCCAGGCATGGTGGCAGGCGCCTGTAGTCCCAGCTACTTGGGAGGCTGAGGCAGGAGAATGGCGTGAACCCGGGAGGCAGAGCTTGCAGTGAGCCGGGATCGCGCCACTGCACTCCAGCCTGGGCGACAGAGCGAGACTCCATCTCAAAAAAAGTTGCCAGCATACCAACTTCAGGGGATGCGTTCAGACCATAGCAGGCTCTCAACAGTGCCAGAGACCTCCGAAAATAACCCTGTCCCTGAAGAGCAAGTTTGAAAAGGAACATTTCAACTTTCTATGGGGATGTTTGAGTCTTTGTTGGTTTAGGCTAGACCCTTGATATTATTTAAACATGGTTTATTGTACATAATTAGATTCTAATTTCTGGAGAGAGAGACATTTATTTTCAGCACTGAATTGGTAATTCGAGTGAGGGTAGTTTTAAATCCAGTGTGAGCGTTATTCATGCTGTATACTAACATACTTTAGAGGTAATTGTTTCTACTGCTTTTTAGGACACAGCTTGATGAATAAAATAAATTTGGAAAAGGAGAGACACAAAATGCAGAAATATAGACCATTAAAAAGCTTATAAACCCACAACAAATACTTTAATTACATTGGATGAATGTAAATCATGAATGCCGAGCAGCTGGATGCTATGAAAATGTAAATGCAAACTAATCAGTGGAAGTAGAATAAAGCTGGAAGCCCTATAAATCAAAATATCCATTGGGGAAAATAGGGGCTGCCATCAGGCATTTTTACATAACTACATCCTGGACATTTCAGCACATATATACACATATGGAAGATAATAGAAAGATTTTGGATTGGGCATCAGCCTTAAAATGACCCTATGGATTCTTATTTTCGTAATGTACTTGCTTGAAATATGTGCCTGATTTGATTTTTATGAAGCCACTAGCCACTGTAGCTGTTTTAATGATTTGGCTGGACCTGAAATTTAAAAATTGAGTTTTCCTGGTGGTATTCTTAACAGTATGTGAGGTGAACAAAGGGGAGAAATGGGTTTGAGAATATTCTTGATCTCATTAGCCAACCTACAATAAATGTTAGTTGAGAAAGTAATCTAAGTAAATATGAAGGTTACCAAAATTCTTGTTAGTCTTTCTTGTGTCATTTTAACTTTCAAAACAACTTCCAATTTTTTAAAACCCAAATGAGTTCTCCACTCTGAGCCACTCTCTTCAAAATTTTGATTTCCTCAGCTTTTTAACTGAAACCTTCACCTCTCCACTGTTGGCATAAAACTCCATTTCTCTATCTCCTCTACCAGTTTTCTTGTTGCAACCAAACCTATCAGTTCTTCCTATCAGTCCCTCAGCCCTGGATGGCCATCTATAACACAGGAGAATCAAATAGCAAAACCTGTTAGATTTCTGCCTTAAAACATCCAGCACAACAAAAATCTTTCTCTGCATTTCTGCAAGTACTTAGACCACCTAGTGATTCTCAAACTTGGCTATACATTAGAGTCACCTGGGGAACTTCTAAAACTAGGGATGCTTGGATCCCTTCCACTAGTGATCTTGTTATTAACCAGTCTGTTGTAGGGCCTGGGAGTTAAACATGTATTTTTGAAACTCCCTGTGTAATTCTGTTGTGCACCAGAATTAAGAAAAGTGCCCTGGGTCTTGTATATTACAGCCATGCTTATGAAAATTATCTGTTTGAGGAGCTTGCAGAGAAGAGAACCTTCATTTCATTCTGATTGACCCAAGAGGCTCTCTCCCGTTCAGAGGGAAAAAAATCTCTATCTTTGTCTGAGACCCAACTCTTGATCTTTGTTTGTCATCTTGAAAAGCAAGCTTTTGTTACAGTAGGTAGCTAGTTGGGTGTGAGCCGGGCAGGGGAGGGCTACCCTCTACACACACCAGAAGGTGATGATCAGGCTGTTAACACTCTCTGTAAAGTAATGATTGGTCACAGCTGGTACCAGCGAACTGCAGTCTCCTACTAGATAGAAAACACCTGAAACTGTTGATAAGCCGCTTCTCAATAAGATCTCAGGAGTTTGGAGAAGTAATGCAAGACTCCAGAAGTATGCCAATGTATGAAAACCCCAAGTCTAGAGGTCAAACTAGGCACTTGTCTTTCAAGTTGCTTGCTTGGCCTTCTTCCAAGTGTACTTTCCTTCCTTTCATTCTTGCTCTAAAGCTTTTTTGTAAACTACCTCTCCTGCTCTAAAACTTGCCTCAGTCTCTCCTTCTGCCTTATGTCCCTCAAATTCTTTCTTCTGTGGAGTGTGGGGGGCAAGAATTGAGGATGCTGTAGACCCGTACAAATACGGAATTGCCATCGCTAACACTTTGACTCCTCCTCTTAAAATGATTTTTTCTTTCCTGCTATGCTCATCTTTAGACAGTTCCTGTAGACTCAATCATAGATGCTATCACAATCCATGCCTACTAAATTCATCTCAGTATCTACAGACACCTACTAGCACAATGGTCTTAGGAACCTTGTTTCCTCTGAATCACTTAGTTCATAAATGTTAGTAAGGATACATGAATTGGGAATGCTTTTCATCCCTCTTTCCTTTCAGTCCTAGCCATTAGGGTGTCAAAGTTTTTATTTAATAGCCAGGTGAATGCCTAATAACTCTCTAAATGCTAAGCTGCTGATACATTTTGTTGGACTAAGAAGCTTACTCCTAAGATTATGAGATCTTTCTTATTATTTTGAATCTAAGTGTTTATTTAACATTGGATATTAGCAGAAAGCTTCCTCTTCTAGGGGCTAAGATGAAAATGTAGGTAAAAGAAAAAGCATCTAGCTATAAGGGAAAGCCAGGGTATTCATTTTGAAACATAATAAAACATCCAGCACACTTGGACATGTAATAGATATTTCTATCAAAGAATGTAGAGGCATTGCTAAAACAGAAAATAATCCTTTGACCCCAAGATATGAGCCTTAAAATAAAATTAGTCCTGAAAGAGGCCTTAATATTATCTGATTCAGTGACTTTTTTTTTTTTTCAATTGGCTCCACTAAGCTTTAGGGATTCCAGGACCCTCCTTCTGGGACCTCTGGAGGAGGGGGCACCCAGGAGTAGCTAACGGGGTTCTAGATTCCCAGCCCTCTGTTTCAGTCAGAGTTGTTCAAAGTTGAACTTTAAGATCTAAACATTGAGGTATCCTTTAAAAAGAATCTGGAAGACCTTCATTAAAGAGTGACAAGCTTAACTACCAAGAAAATTAGAAAACAAATCACTGTGCAAGGAGCTGTAGAAAACCTTGAGGGACTTTGCAGCACATGGCACACATAGTTCAACATCTCAAAGGAAATGATTCTGCTTCAGTAAGGGGAGAACCGCTTGTCAACTGAAGTAAGAGAACAATAGAGAAGCAAGAAAGATCTCTTGGTTTACCAAGTCCCCACTACTTTCTGATTGAGGAATCAAGGGGGTCTTCTACTTAGATTAAATCATAAAAGGGGTTTGATTTTTAGCTCTGTCAATACAAAGAAACCTTAGAGAACAAAACTTTACCTAGAAATATTTTCTTCTTGTAACTTATAGGAACTACACCAACTTGGCTTTTATCCTTTCCTGCTACAATAAGAATAAGCCATGGCATAAATATAAGATATGAGGGTTCTAAGTGATGCTTGTGAGACATCGCCTATATCAGGGATCAGCAAACTTTTCCTTTAAAAGACCAGAGAGTAAGTATTTCAGCTTTGCAGGCTGAGTAATCTCTATAGCAACTTTACAGTAGAAGAGTGAACGTAGCCATTGACAATAAGGAAGAGATTAGGCATGGCAGAATTTGGCTCATGGCCTATAGTTTGTTGACCTCTAATGCACACAACAGGGCTGTTTTGTTCATTAAACTTTTCCATTTTATGCTCCAGTGAATACACAGCTGGCACCAATATTTTATAGAGGAACATGCCTCATAAATCCATAAATTTCTGACTTGCTTACCATGAGCAAGCTTAGATATGCCAGGTACGTGCTGCCTAAAACACACCATAAGTAAGGATTCACCATTAGTAAATACTACCAGGAAATTTGATTAGCATATTTGCAAAAATATTTGACACATCACTTTTTTCTCTCCCTTCTCTGACCCTCCTCCTTTGCCATTCCCTCTTAATTTTCTTCCTCCCCATGTGGTCCCAGGGTCAGGGTGGATTGAAGATCAGCTAATAATTCTTTCCTATCCTGCTACACTGTGAGCTCTGTAAAAACCAGAGTTTTTATTTACTAAAAAAAGTGATTCATCTGGGATATGTGTCAGTTCCATTCAAAAGATAACACTGTTTCTTCCAGAGTAGAAGGGATATAATGTAATCAACTTTCTAACAAGTAGCTGGTTGGCCTCGTTGAGGGATAGTGTCATATCTAGAGATCAGTGTCAGATTTTGTTGTGGTCAGGTTGGACATTTGGCAGCTGCTAACTCATCCTTGATGACTGGGAGGCCATGCTGTTTGGCCCATTAGAACTTCATTTATGCAAACAACATGTCAGCACTGGAGTGGCTGATGGCAGAAGCTGGCTAATATTGTTGGGCAAGCCAGTCTTCTGTCTACCTGGCTGTTTATTGCCTCTTCCATGGGCATGTTAAATCTTACATCAGAGGAGAGTGCTTCACTTTTGATAAACTCTCCCTTATCTAACTTTACGTTCTGCCTTTGTTGATCTAGCAATCTCAAGATTCAATCCCATTTTATGCTTTCTTAGCTCTTGTTGATACACGCTGCTTGGATCCTGCAACTTCTTCAGATTACAGTCCCATTCCTACCTTAGCCAGCCCAGTGATTCCCTGGCTATTGTTGTGACTTAACCATAGTTATTGGTTTGGTGGCAAGGAGATAAGGTGGAGATAGATCCTGAGGTTGGGAGAGGTGTGTCACATTTTCATTAAAGACAGAGATCTCAGCATCTTTTTTAAGGAAGAGGGGGAAGAATGCTAGACTTTAAGGGAGAAGATTGGGCCACTTCTGCAGTCTCAGAGGATTCAAGGGATTCTGGGGGTTCAAGATATTTGAGTACATTGATTAGCTAGTCCTACATCAAGCCTCAGCGCCTCACTGTTTCCAATCAGTGCCTTAATTTTGCCATAGCAGACTTGCTAGGGCTGAAAATTCAGCCTTCTTTGAGCACTGTTACCTTTATAGTTGATCCTAAACTTAGCCAAGGGTTATCTGCCCTTTGGCTGCAAGAGATAAAAGTTAATTTATAGAATTCCCAGAAGACCCTCTGATTTTAACACTTTGTCTTAAATTGGTGCTTAATCACCCTCAGGTTTTCTTTGTTTTTCAATGATATGGCATCAGCAACAGCTGTTTAAATTCTAGTGTCCTTATGATTACCTCCCCTGAACCTCTCTAGTACTTGAGCCATTGCAGCTGCTAATGCATTTCCTTACACAGCTATACAATCTGAGTTTAGCACTGGTGAAAATTTTAACTGAGTCATTACAGCATGTCAGAGAACATCAGACTTGACCTACTATCAAAGATAAAAATCATTCTTGTCAGACTCACCAGGTAGGTGATCCAGCTTCAAAATGTTTCATTGGTGTACTCTTGGCATCACTGTTCTCATGTCTCCAGTCAGGTTTCCCAGCTAAAAAATTGTGAGATGAAGGATTGTATGCAGTAAACAGATTGGTCATGCTTTTGGCAACAATACCTGTGAGGGAGTGAAAGATTCAGGTTTGGGAGAAGTTGAACAGCAATAGAATAATAACAAATTCTTAGCTGATTCCATGGGGAAATTCTGGCACTGGAACAGCTGTTCTTAGTTTTCTCAGATTGTGGAAAGAGAGTCAAACCTTTGTACCCTTGCACCATTCAGTAGTCAGTGAGGGAGGGGATATAAGGGATATAACCTTAGGTTAGGCAGTTCTCTTTGAGGAAAGCTTTTGGTCGCGGGGGTTTTCAACTGTGAGCCATCGGGAGGCTAAGTCTTAGCAGCTAAGAGGAATGAGTTCTTTGATCCTGAATATAGAGGTAAGTTGTGAACCTCAGCATCTAATTAAGTCAGTAGTAGTGTAAATGAAAAGGGGGTATATTTGGGGTATAACTTGGGAATTATAAATAATACAGTTCAGACACTGGGCTTGAGGAATTAGGGAGAGGAAAGGGTATAATGTGCTAGACTTTCAAGTTGAGTGGACTTGAAAATCCTAGAACAAAAATCTATAATTAAATCAAAAAGCCTACAGAACAGGCTTTTCTCTAATGGTTTCCAGACCAAAATATTCCAAACAACTATGTCAAACATCTAGTCGGTAGGATGCTTTCAAGATTTTCCAACTCTTCTCTGTCACCCTTCAATTGCCGCTTCATTGTTTTTGCCCTTTTATTCTGTTACATAACACCAGTTCCTATCTAACCCCCAAAACCCAAAGCCATGCAAATCATGACTATGCTTTCTAGCTTCCTCTCACACAGTCACTTAACAATTGCTGCTGATTCTACTTTGTACATCTTTCTTAAACCTAAGCTCTCTTCCCCAACTCTTGTCTCCACATCAGTGCAGACTCTTCATTTCTTACTGAGATTATTTCAAATGTTTTTTTGTTCCCAATCTTCTTTCCTCCAATTCATTTTCCATTCTTCTTCTAGTGATTTTTTTTCCAACTAAAAATATGCCATTCTCCTTGCTTAAAATTATTTGGCAGGTTCCCATTACCTAAACAAAACATCCAAACTTCCTGGCATTGCATACAGGACTCTTTATCATCTCACCCCTGACTGCCTTTATCATCTCACCCCGACTGCCTTTCCCTAACAATTTTCCACTCAGCTCCAATAACACTCTACACATTGGATTTGAACGTGATGACTTGAAACAGGTTTGTACTGAAGTATGTCTGAGTTCTGCCAGGAGTTTTTAAAGATAATTAATTGTCTTCGTCTGCAAGAAAATTCGCCCTTGAAACAAACGTGAAAAGTGCACAGAACATTTGTATCCTACAGTCAATGAGTTTCTGAAATAATCAGAATTGTATTCTAGGAGCAAGAGATGAAACATAGTACAATGACTGCAAACCTACCGATCTCTTGGAATTTAATTTTGTGAACTTGATTTTATAGACAAGAAAGCAAAAACCTTTCAAATCATTTTTATAAAAGAAAATAGACTTTACTTACTTCTGCAGTAAAAAAAAAAAAAATAGACAGTGGGGAGGAGTAGGAAGATATGTTTGAAGCATCTTTCCAGTCCTCTTTAGGGCCTAGATGAATTTTGAAATTCAAAATATCTCCTTTTGAATATTATTTCCTCTTGTGGGATGTGCTCTGCCTCTTAAATGCATGAAATAATGTAAAAAAGTAAGTCTATCACATGTACAGGCCGGATAGGCTGCAGAATATTGGAAGTTTGTAATCATTTTTCATTACTAAAATTTACATTAAAAATCTTATTAGATAACATTAGCAATATTTCAGTACAGAATCTTAGAGAAAATCATTTGAGTCTTTGAGTTTATTTTCATGGATCTATACATAAATATTCCTCAATGAATTGCTATCTGACCACTTCTGCTTCTCCAAAAATGGTTGGGCCATAGGACAGGAGAATCTGAACATCGAAATGTATTCTTTATTCAATTCTGGGCACATTTTTACAATCTTTGAATGCATTTTTTAAAAATTCTAGTTATTTTCTTAAGTGGTGGGATATTAACATACACTGAAAGCTACTTGATGGGAGACTGGAGGTTCGTTTCACAATATCCTTCACAGACAATATTACATTGCCTTGAGCATAGTAGATGTTCAATAAATAATAAATTCGTATAGATTCAAGTTTAATTATATTTCACAATGTTCTGTAGGAGATTTTTGACATTTGGATCCGCTGCAAAGCTGATCCTTCTATTCATGCAGTGCTATTATTCTTATCCCTGTGGATGCACAGAAAATATGACAACATATTTGGTATCTTTACAATTTCCCCTTAAAGTCAAAATTAGAATTCATTGTGTTGCCAAAAAAGTTCTTCCTTTAAAAAAATATAGTATTTCTACTTTATTGATAACTTGACAGGCTGCATGAAATCAAAGAAATAGAACTATGCAATGGTATTTGAAGAAGCCCACTCAAAGAAAATTTCTATTCAAACAAGCACCCAGATTACCTAAGTAAAGATACTGAAATAGTGCATACACTTACATAACAAACCACAGATGATGATAATTGAGGACCAGTGGTTCAGGAGAATGTGTCTGGCCATTCTCTGCCTGTAGATAGATCCAAGGTGCTGATTAGGCTTCATGAAAGACAGCCGTTCTCCTTGAATCTTTCCTTTAACCTTAATTATGCTCCTTCAACTTGCATTTTCACTGTATTTGACTAGACAATGACAATCTAAGCACATTTTCACAAAATGCGCAATTTCCATAGAAATTGAAAGTGCACTTGTAAATTTAAAGTTCAGCTTCTTGCTGATCATTTGATACTCTATTTCCCACATAAAGTGTCCCACTTGCTTGCGGGGCTGAGAATGACTATACTGAGACCCAAATCCCTCTTATTATAAGAAATGACTCAGTTACTTGGAAAAATACCACTAAAACCTTTACTTCTTTGTGTTCTTTTTATAAAATGACCTCTATGAAATTGAGTTTTTCTTAAGTTTTATGCTCTGTACTTTGAAAGACCATGTGTAATTAAGAGTAAATTAAAACATGACAATTTTTAAAAGAACATAGCTTATTAAGGTCATGTATTAAAAATAGCATTTCAGAGAACTTAGACATTCACACTGAATTCTCTAGAATAGGTTGCCTAAGAAAAAAGGTCTAAATTATCTGGATTTTCTTAAAAATTATTTTGCTTATAAACATAGCCATTCTTTTGCCATGACGTGGCCACCTCATTTTCTCATCTTCTCCTTACTAGATCATATCCAGTATAGATTTAGAAATATCCATTTTTAGAATAGACTTAGAAATATCTATTAATGTAAGAAACGTGTACTTTTAATGTGCAAGTCTAACACATTAACTGTCACTGACTATGACACAAAACCTGAAATACAGTTATCTTAGAAAATATACTGTAACTTTCCACATAAAACAGATTATTCCAGCAAAGTGTCCAGAGGTCCTTGGTTCCATCTCTGAGGCAATTCTTTAATATAGTTCTAAGAAGAGCATTAATTACTCATTAGGTATTTACTAAGCATTTATTCTAAACTAGGGACCATTCATAGAAGTGGATAAGACAGATGGAGTTCACATTTAATTGAAGATGGTGACTAGGTGGAACGAGATGATAAACATGACCCTTGTAGGTTGAGATATTATATAAACTAAAACAAGATAGTGTGTTAGAGTAAAAAGATGTTCGTCTTCGATTGCTGCCCAGCCAATCAACCCACACTTAGTGGGTTAAAACAGCCACAGTCATTTATTTTACTCACTAATTGCAATGTGGTCAAGACTTGACTGGCACATCACATTCCCACTCTAAATGATGTCAGTTGAGGTGCCTTTACTTGCATGGATTGCAGTTTGATACTGGCTGTTGGTAGTTCCTCTCCATGTGAGCCTCTTTACAGCATTACTTTGGCTTCCTCATTGCATGGCAGCTGGGTCTAGGAGCACGTGTTCCAAGAGGTAAGATGGGGAATCCATGAGTCTCTGATAGCCAGAGGCTGTAACCTAGAAAGGCATTGAATAGCAGTTTCAACTGGCTAAGCACTCGGGAGTCTGCCCTGATTCAACGGAAGGGGTTAGACCCACCTCTTGATGGAAAGAATGGCAAATGATTTAAGTTAATCTTTAGTTTATTACAGACAGCAACTGAAGGAAGTGGTCAGAAGAGAATTCTTTGAGAAGTTGACATTTCAGCTGAGATCTGAGGAGGAAAATGAAGCTTGAGGATAAAACTCATTAAACATTCAGTAATAACTATTGAATCCCTCTCACTCACAAGGCACTTTTAAACACATCAGGTATACACGTGTAAATACAGTTTTGTATTTCTCCTGGCATGCTTATATTCAAATGACAAAGTAAAACATACACATGTAAAAGAGTAATGATAAGGCAATGTAGTAAGTGTGCCAAAGTGTTAAGTATAAAGGTATGAGATTATAGAGAAAGGAATTTTTAAATCTGCTTGGAGAAGTCAGAGATGGCTTCTTAGAGGAGGTAAATTCTGAGTTATATTTTGAAAGGTAAATTTATCAGATAGAGAAGATAAAGAGAAAGGTCAATTTTGGGAAGGGATGAGTATTTGCAGAGATGAGGCACAGGGGAAAATGGAAACTGCGTGTAAACTAAAATGGCTTGTTTAGAGGCTCAGTTATGAAGAGTGTCTGCAGCTGAGGCTGAAATGGAGGCTGTGGCTAGATCATAAAGGAACCTCAACATGTAAAGTGTAATGTGCCTGCTAAAGATTTAGGATTTTATCCTGCAGGTTAATGAAGAGCCATAGGAGTTTCAAATTCTAGTTTTATTTTGTCATTGGAATCAATACAGCAAATATAATTATAACTAAGAATTTAAAATGTCTGATTTTCTTCTATTTTTATGTTGAGTTCTCAGCTGCAACCACCGCCCCTGGAACCAAAATATTTGAGTTAGAATCCTGGCACCATGACTTTCTTGGTGTGACCTTGGACAAGTCACTTAATTTCTGTGTCTCAATTTCCTCCTCTGTAGGACAGGAACAATAATAGTCCCTTTTCTTGTCGATTTATTGTAAGAATTTAAGGAAATCATTGTATGTAAAGTGTTTAGATAGACCAGCACTTGGCTTGCAGTAAACACTTAGTGCTCTTCTTACTACACTGGTAGTTTCCTTTTGTGAGACTGTGCTGCACCGACCTCCTTACCCACTCCTTGAAGTTAAGGCAAAGTCTGCTGGAGGACCTATACCACTGAAATGGTCACCCCATGCTTCTGGGATTAAAATTACCATTGTAAAGAGTCAATTATAAATACAAATTAGAACATTTATCTATCTCTACCACATTTAACATAAACAAAGATGCTGTTTTGCCCTTTAGTAAACCTTCTGGGATGAATTATATTTTTCCAAACACCAACTCAATTTAAGCACAGCTGGTGAAATAGACAAAGAAGTAGCCAAAAAAGTCTTGTTTTTCTTTCCCTTACCTGCCCTCTTAATACTTCTTCCTCAATCCAAGTCACCTCCTATCCCTTTCTCCTGTTTCTCTGCCCCACTGCCAAGACTCCTTCCACCCCTTTCTCATGTGTATTTCCTTTCTTAGACCTAGTTAAAATCTATTAATATCTTCAAATTAAAAAAAAGATGCCCACTGGTCCTATAGTCAGTTTCTAATTGATAGCAACTATTTTAACTTGAAGCTAAACTCTCTGTTGCCAAGTGATACTTTTATTGTGAAGAAATCCTCATATGAAAGAGAACTTTCTTATAAAATAACCAACTTTAAAAAATGAAAAGGCATTAAAAATCCATTTCAACCCAACCATTTCAAGTAAATGCTGACCACTAGGCTGAACTTGTGGCTAGTTTGCTGGTCATGGTTTGTGACCAGAAAGGGCTCTAAAATAATCCATGATCTTTCCTTACTAATAGTCTCCAGTGCACATTTCTGCTGAAATGGGTGGCACACTTGCCAGAGGTGATATTCCAGGGCTGTGGCGTGCATCAGAGCTTCTCTTTTGAGGGCAGTGGCTTTTTGTTTCTCCTTGTGTTTGTATGTGTTTGTGCATGCATGCAGTTCTCAATCTCCACGAGCCCATTGCCCTCTGACACATGCAGCAGCTGATTGGTATGGTTAGCTAGTAGCGGCTGTTTTATAGAGTATACAATGTGTAGCAGCCGGCAGGAGTCAGATGATAAGAGAAAAAGGCATCAAAAGCCAATGCCATCTGTATGGAGATTCAAATCATGAATTTCACCTCATTTTTTTGAAACTAGAGGCTCTATATAATGTTTTTATAGTTATATAACACTAATTAAATGCCAACTGTAAAGTAGGCTCTGAATGGAATATTAAGAAGAAGTGACAGTCTCTGCCCGGTGGGTTGGCAACTTAAATAAGGCAAACAAAACAGTAAGTAAATTGCAAGGGGAATAGCTCACATGGATAGAAGGTCGTATTAACTGATTCCTCTTTTCACCATGAGTCCTTACACTTTTCAGACTGTTTTTTCCCCACCCTCCATCAGTCACCTCCATGGTATGTGTGTGCACTCCAACCTCACTCCTTGTATATTGCATAGCGAACAAGTGCTTCAGAAGAAAGTGGCACTATTCAAGCCTGCTGGGTCTTGAAGTGCTGACATCAGCTTTCTAGGGAACACATTTTGTATTGATAAATGTCAAACCCCAAAGAACAAATTTAATTTCAGGCAAGTCCAAATTTGACTTTCCCAGACAGTGGCACAGCACCTAACATCACCAAAGAGTGTGCAGATGGAGCCTAATTATGACAGTATAGGTGTTTAATAATACTGGAAAGATTTAAAGGCACTATACTTATTGCTTATCATTAGTCATTTTGAAAATTTGTGTTGTTGTTTTTAGTTAAATCTCCCTTCGTGTTTGTTTGTTTGAATTTGAGATGTTTGTTCAAGCAGAACTGGCACATTTATTTAATGCAAAGCAAACTGACTCGTCATATTTATTATTTAGATCAATAAAAGGACACCCTATATACTTTTTGCCAAAGGGCACAAGTACAAATCTTGAAACACTGGAGTCAGCAGCATTACAAAAATCCTATTTCAAAACCAATTCCCTCAAAATAGCCCCCTCTCAAAGATCACCAGTTTGGAAAGTTATGCCCTAGGCTTTACAGGTCACTTGACTGAAGTTCTACCAAATTGAAAGGGAATTCCATAAGCAAATGAAAAGGTAAGACCTAAACTAGGGGTGGTTGTTTGGATATGAATATTTAATACTTTCCAGGAATGAGGGAACTTGGTTACATCTTGAAACACAGCTTTCAAAACTGTTACCTGTATAATTAATGGGCTTTCCAAGGCTTGTCTGTAAATCCCTGGTAGTGGTTACGGTGGTAGGTATGGGAACTAGCAAGTTATGCTGAATTAGCTTAATGTCTAATACATCAAATTAGACCTCTTTTGGGGCATGAAAAATTAACACAGAAAACATTACATCTGAAACAAAGAAACCAAAAAGTAGCCAACACTGGAAAAAGGGAGCAGAAGATGGTAGGGACTCCCTGTCCTTGTGCACGGGGTTCTTACAGGAATGTTAAATTATGATCACAGGTTTTTCTTTACTGCACCTCAGGCATATGTCACATGTAAGAGTTATAATCAAGGGCCATGGAGGTGACCCTTTCCACCCCTTATATTTTCAGTTCCATGACCCTCTTAAGTCACTTGCTTCCTTGACCATTCTGTAGCATTTTTTTTTCTGACTTGAAATAGAATTCCACAGTGCCATTTCTTTACCAATAACTGCCTCATCCTTAAAAACATATGTTCACATTTCTCTCCTTCAACTTGCTCTCCCCTTTATTCCTTTTGGGAGTGTGCCTCAGCCTCAAGACCTCTTTTCCTTGACTCTTGCTTGGGCTTCCTTTCTCATTTCTACCTGTCTGCAAAACTACTCATTCCCTGCGGATTTTCCCTCAGCACCTTAAACATGCCTAAGCTTGCTTATCTCATAGACAAAAAAATCCTCTCAATATTATGCACATCCCCAGGTGTTACATTTCCCATCCTTCCCAAACTAGTATCTTGAAAGAGTCACCTACATGTAATATATCTACCTTCCTCCCTCTTTCAACCATTTCCATGCTCCACTGGAATTGTTCTCTGGCCAAAGTCATTGACATTTTTTAGAGACTAAGAGGCATTCATCTGAAAGTTTTCTACCTTATGCTGATAGCTCTGCTGTTCTATTTGATGTGGTCTGCATATCGGCATCATCAGTGTCTGTGGAAGTAGTAAGCAGCCCTATTAAAAGGAGAACTAACTGCAAACACTAGGGCCTCTGGAAGGCTCTCCTGGCTCTCTCCTGGACAGGTGACCCTCCCTGGACACCACATTCTGTTCACCTGCCCAGCCTTCAGACCAGCTCCTCTCTACTGCTCTGCTGGCTCTGCATAGGTCACAACCTTCATTTTAACCATCATGGCATTTTATTTTTTATTATTAACTTTTTAGACAGGGACTCACTCTGTCACCCAGGCTGGAGTGTGGTGGTACAAACTTGGCTCACTGCAACCTCTGCCTCTTGGGCTTAAGCAATCCTACCCCATCAGCCTCCTGAGTAGCTTGGACTACAGGTGTGTACCATCATGCCCAGCTTATTTTTATAATTTTTGGAGACCGGGTTTTGCCACATTGCCCAGGCTGGTCTCGAACTCCTGAGCTCAAGCAATACACTCACTTCAGCCTCCCAAAATGTTGGGATTACAGGAGTGAGCCACCATGTCTGGCCAATAGCATTTAATATACCTTCATCTATCTCAATTTTCTCCCTTTTTAGCTTTCATTGATATCTTTAGTTTTGTTTTGCTTCATTCTTCCTTGGTTGCATCTCTTTATCAGGATAACTTCTAAATATAATGTATAAAGAAAAATTTGCATATTGTAAAAAAATTAATCTTGATAAATACTAAAATTGTCAATGAAATACAAATGTGTCAAGATGTTCACACTATAAGAAGCTTAGAGGAATTGAAACCTACTGAGGGAATAACATATTCATGTCTCTCTCATGCCCCATTGAGACCAAGTCTACTTAGTAGAATCATATCACTATTTACATTATTGTCCCTCCCTACTGTTTTCTTCCTTTTTCTTGACTATGTACATGGAATTTTTGTTTGATAATTGGATTGGTTTCAAACTTACAGAGAAGTTGCAATTATAGTATTTTTTTTCTGAATGACAGAGTAAATTGTTCACATGATACTTCATTATCCTCGTGCTTTGTTTCATACAAACCAAGGCATTCTCCTACATAACCACAATATGGCCATCAATATCAATAAATTGTGATAGCATCATATTGTAGCCTCTGTGGGTATCACTGTTTCCTCATATGGTCAATTAAATATAACTTCTGTTTGGAAAACATAAATTATAGCAGAATATAGAAAGCTTCTGACCAATCAATAATAAGGATCATAAGAACTCATTATAACTGGAGTCATAGTAAAGCTTAGGAAAAGGATGAAAACTAATTCCACAAGAACTAGTAAAAAATAAACTGATCTAAATATAAAAAACTATCAACTAGGCCCTCACTTTACATATTTTAAACATTTTTAGTAATTTGTAGATGCTATAGTAGATACTATAGAAGCTTTGAGTTTTAGTATTTTTGTCCATTTTTCTCTCAGACTTCAAATTGTTTAAGATTCTGTTATTTCAATTATGTCTATTTTGGCTAATTATTCTGAGTTTCAAAATTTTGTCTTTTCTTTAAATAGATTGCTTTATGCTAGTAGATCTCAACCCAGGGTAATTTTGACCCATCCCCCGGGTTGCCTAGAGATTTTGCAATGTGTGAAGATGTTTTTGGATGTTACAGCATTTGGATGTAGAGACCAGAGATGTTATGGAACATCTTCCAGTACACAGAACAGTCTCCTGCAACAGAGAATTATCCAGTCCACAATGTCAGTAATGCTGAGGTTCAAAAATCTTGCTCTAAAGCAAATTGGTTCAAACTGAAGATTTTTCAACCTCAATGAAACATATTGATAAATACCTCTGAGGTACAACTTTTTAGTGCATTTTCTTTTTTTCTTTTTTCTTTTTTTTTTCTTTTTTTTTTTTTTTTTGAGATGGAGTCTCGCTCTGTCGCCCAGGCTGGAGTGCAGTGGCGTGATTTCAGCTCACTCCAAGTTCCGCCTCCCAGGTTCACGCCATTCTCCTGTCTCAGCCTCCTGAGTAGCTGGGACTACAGGCGCCCGCCACCATGTCTGGCTAATTTTTTGTATTTTTAGTAGAGACGGGGTTTCACCGTTAGCCAGGATGGTCTTGATCTCCTGACCTCGCGATCCACCCGCCTCGGCCTCCCAATTTAGTGCATTTTCAAGTGAATTTTACTGGTTTCTAAATCTTTTTTTTTTTTTTTTAAATTGCTTAGCGTTCAGGTTCGTGTAACTTCTGTTGGCCAAAGCTCAGAACTCACAGGTGGGACCCATGTGGAAGAGTAGAAATCTACAGCTAGACCCAGTAAGACATGGTAGGGTTTACATCTACTTTTTGGTTGAAGTCAAAAAATATATAGATTCTGGAATCAGGGTGAGGCCAGTCCTCAAAAGTAGACTGTGCTTCTATCAAGGAAATTTTTTAACTTGTACTTATATAAGAGGCAAAAGAATGGAACAGGTATAGGTTTTCAGATGTCACTAACAATAATAAAGTCTATCAAACTGTCATACTTCTGTAAAGACAAAGACCCCAAACACCCAGAGCAAATATTTCCCCATGGAACGGTTACCATTAGCAACTACATCCTGTTGCTAGGCAAGCTCAGGTCAGTTCTGGGAGTGAGTTAGTACCCTCCAGTCACAAGAAGCGTGGGAAAGATGTGCAGCACCCTCATCACGACCCATGAAGCATATTTCGGTACCCATTGGTTTGTCACAGCATAGGTGAGAGGAGATGTGTTAGAGCTCCCCAACTAATTATATTATTTGTGCTTTTTAAATATGAGCTGGCTTTGAGGACATCACAAAGTTGTTTTACAGAGTATTTTGTTGGATGAAACTAAATTTGAATGCTGAATTTAAAGCCACCATGAGGAATCATTTTTCATTTATCAAATAGCTAAGATATATTTTTAAAAATGAAAAGCTTGAGAAGTCAGTATGGAAAAGTAAGAAACTTCATCCACAGCATTATAACCCCCAAGGCAAACTGTGACTTGGATGATCAATAACCGTTTCCTTGGGGGGCAAATAAAATTTTACTAGCAGTGGCCAAGCAGAGTAAGCCTGTATATAATATAATCTGTCTTCATGTTACTAATGGGGAAGCTATTTTGAAACAATATGATAGGCTGGGTCAGATTGTCAAAAGCCCGGCATAATTTTCTTTCTTTCATTGCTTTCCTTCCCCAGGCAGGGACCCTGGCTTGCCCCTGAGCCCCGGGAGTGCTCTGGGTAGGGGGTAAAGCCATTTACAAGAATTTTCAAAGATCACATATAAAATGTAAAATAGGATATTTTAAAATTTAACAGTTTGTAGAGGGGTGCTACAATTATGAATGATTTTAACTTTTCTCATTTTACTTGAGTTTTCTAAATATTCTCTAATAAATATGCATTATTACATTGTTTAAACAAATTGCCTCCTGTATATCACTTTCTCTTAGAGCCCTCCAACCCTCAGGCAATAGAACTAATATACTTGAGCTAAAGGGCTAGTAGATTAACCCTCCCAGCAACTCTTTTATTGTAACTGAAACCTTATTGTCCTGACAAAAGAAGAAATTCTAAAAATGCTAGACATAACAGGAGCTGTCAAGAAATAGGATAACTCTCATGTCCCTGAAATATTCCACACTATATGCACCATCTACCAAAGTTTGTTCTATTCTGGAGAGATCTTTCTCTCTTTCTCAAATATGTGTCTACACGCACACCCTACAAACAGAATGAAATGAGAGAGAGAACGAGGGAGGGAGGGAGAGAGACCCCGAGATTCTCCGGCTTTTAACTAGGCAGCAGAGTGTCAGAAAGCAGTACTGCTTGGATAAACATTGAAGCACATGTCCTGTGATTCTTATGACAATCTTTTAAATTAAACACACCTAACCCAGGAATCCGTCATTTGCTGGTTATTACTTCTTTATCTTGGAACACAGATTCTTAAACCGGACTTTTTGGATCTCCTTAATAGGTCCATGAGGGGTCAGGATGTCCACAAACCACTGAAATTACAGGTTAAGTAACAACTTTGTGCTATAACAACACGTTTTATCTTCTACCATATATATATATATATATAAACTTATTCACTAAGAATTTTATCTAATAAAAGGCAATCTGTGACAATCTAGAAAAGGAATCTAGATTAAGTAATCCATACAGTGAGTTCTTTTTTTTTTTTTTTTTTCCTTTTTTAAGAGACAGGGTCTCTGTCACCCAGTTTGGAGTGCAGCAGTGCCATCATAGCTCACTGCAGCCTTGAACTCCTGGGCTCAAGCCATCTCTGGAGTTGGTAGGGACTACAGGAGTGTGTCATCATGCCTGGCTAACTTTTAAAAAATTTTTTGTATAATTGGGGTTTTACTATGTTGCCCAGACTGGTCTTAAATTCTGGCCTGAAGCAATCCTCCTGCCTCAGTCTTCGAACAACCTGGAACTACAGGTACACCGCCATTCCTATAGCATATCCACTCCAGAGACCTGCAAGATATTTTGTGTTCCCCCTCATAGCAATATAGATGAATCCTAACCTAGAGAGACAATAAGATTATTAAATGAGAAATCTAAGGGATACAGAGAGGTGGGTCTAGCCAGGGTTCTCCCTAATCAGACCAGCCATTTCTGGATGGAACCACTGCCAAGAACACCTTAGGACTTCCTTGCAGTTAGTTCTGTTAACACTATACTTTATTCTTCATAAACCAGCCAGATTTATCCTCAGAAATGCAACTCTGATCTTACCCCTCAGTTTAAAATACTTTAATGACCACCCATTGCCTTAGAATTAAATACAAATTCTTTAATTCATCTTTAAAAAAAATGGCCTCCAAGGTCTGACTGCATTTTCACTGTCACCTTACCCCTTTTTGCCCATATCAGGCTTCCCAATTAGCTCCCAAGATACACCCTGCTCATTCATGTCTTGATGCTTGCTTCCCTGGCTGGTGATGGCCAGCGTGATAAGAGCAGTAATTGAGGTACATATCAGCCTATGAGTATACAGAGAAGGGAGACGACTGACTGCATGGAGAAGCTGAGAGAAGAATCAGAAACCAGGTAGCGCTGTCAAATTTTTTTTTACATAGCATAAGGACTTAGGGTCAGAGCAGTTAAAAATACTTTTCATACATTCGACATTTATTTAACAAATACTTTTCAAGTGCTGCAAATGTGCCAATACTAATCTAGGTCCTGGAGATATAATGAACAACAAGCAGTCTGTGACCTTACATATCTAACATTGTAGGGTAGAGACAAACAGTAAACAAAGAAGCAAACATATACAAAGCATAAGGCAAGGAGTGAAATTGTTATGAAGAGAAAAAAACTGGATAATAGAAGTAATAAAGTAACGTGTGAGAAAGGCGATTGTGTTAGACAGAATGTCAGGGAAGGTGTCTTGAGAGGTCCTATTTGAAGGAAAATCTGAATGAAGAGAAGGATGGAGCCATAAAACTATCTCAGGAGATTGTTCAAAGACATGGCATCTTCAGCTATTCTGAGCCTAATTGTCCTTGGCAGGTTGAAGAGCAGGGGCAACAGGGAGTGAGAGGAAGAGAGTGGTAGATCAAGTTTGGACAGGTGGCCAGGGTCAGATCTTTTAGGGCCATATATTCCTTGGTAAGAACTTTAGATTTTATTCTAAGGATGAAGAGAGCCAGTGGAGCATTTTAAGAAGTGGTATGTCTTGTTCTGACTTGTCATCTGTGAACACAGCTTACTGAAGGCAGACCTTGTACTAGAGCTAGGATGTGTGTATGCCCAGATTTTCCAGGCGCAGTCCCCATTTACACATATTGTCCTGGTGTAATTAGTAAAAGCACCCCCTTTCACTCTCAGTGGTGTCCTAGTATGGACTATAAATCGTATGTTTGCCCTGTCTAGCACCCAAGTGTCCCCTTTCCCTGGCTAGTGATTTTTCTGCTGCACTGTATAGTGCATCTTAATCTGTTTGGCACCAAAATTTCAGTCTGTTGGGAGATTTATTTTAAAAGAAGGAATCCATTTCTACCATTTCTAAATATACAATGTAAAATTATGAAAATAAGATACGCTTTAGAACTTTGGGCTAATTTGTATGGAATGAACTTGTTCTGTAAGGTGAAGTATATTTACTACGAGTAGTAGATGGACTCTGCATACATCTTGACCATCGCGCCTTATTCAATGGAGGCTTTGGCCAGGAAGAATCAGTCCTAAATAAAATTATGACTATAATATGCAGAAATAAAGTCATTATCTGCCCCTGAATGCAGAGACCACATCAAATTGCACTGTTTGTCCTTCAGAGCCAGGCACATTGGTAGGCACAGAACAAGCCTTGACTTAATATTTTTTAATAAATGGCCAAACAACGTGAATAATGTCAGATGCTGGAATTTAAAGATACCATGGAAGGTTTCAACACCAATCTTATTAGGCTGGCACAGTACAATAACTAGAGGGTTAAAATGTATGATTTTTTGCGTTCTATTTTAATGAAATGTATCTTATATAACATTGTTTTTGTACTCAGTGTTTTTTTTCCTTAAATGTGATTAATCTTTCAATTTACAGTTGATAACAGTTAATTAACCATAATTCCTAGACATAAAGGTAACTGATATAAAATTCCTCATAGTGTTGGCATTTTATTTATGTGAAATTATTATGACACTCTAATTTCAATCCTGGTTGTTACATGTGTGTGTCTGCTTAATGGTTAAATGAATTAAATGGAATAGTAGGTTATGGAGGCATCTGAATGGTACTTTGATATATATGATCACAAATTTAATCAAATGTAAAATGCAATAACCTAATGTGGGTTTTTACAGATAGACTCTAAAGTATCATTGTTTTTCCTTATATTGGTATTTCCTGGCTTTTCTTGGATTGCAAACTTTCCTCTACGTTTTCTAGAAGTAAAAGGGACCTTGCCAGATGAGGTTCTCAAAGAATTTTGGAACCACTTTCCACTGAACACACCACTGCAGTTTTCTTTCAATTTCCCTAGTTTTTCTTAATTAATGTCACTGACGCTTGTTCAGAATGAAACATGTTTTCTTTGCGTGGACTCTTAAGATAAACAGAACACCACCGCCACCCTGGGCAAATTTATCCTTCTTTGTATAAGCTTAGTATACACCTTTTATGCTAAACTCCAGTTTAAAGTCCCAACCTGGGCTAATTATCTGTAACATTAGATTTAGAAATTTATGATTTTCCTCTTGAGACAAGACATTTTTTCTCTGCCTGTTTCAAAGTCCAGGTCTCAGGTTAAAGACAGCAGCCATCCTGCTCCCCATCTTGCAGACCTGCTTTCTACAGGAAAGTGCTGTTTAGCACTCAGGACTGCCCATTTTGTTGATATAATACAATGTGTTTTTCTGAGCTTCCAAATAGAATACATCTGTTCTGTGAAAATGGAAAGAACTCTTGGTGTGCAGAGCAGACTCTTTGGTACTGCTTCAGGCTATGACAGGAAAAGCCGCAAGCCTGTGTGCTGAAGCCAGGGCCCTGTGTTCAAGCTTGACTCTCCCCGCAGCTGGCTGTATGACCTCGAATGAGCTGTCTGAGCTCTCAAATTGTTTTGGTTTCCTTACTTCTAAAAGAATTGCAACGGATGATCTGTTAGGTCTTTTCTGGCTCTAAAATTTTGTTAATGCTCTATTTAGTATAGAAATAGAGGTCTTTCTTGTGGTTTATATCTGACCTGGTGCTTTAAACCTTTTTGCCTTGCAGCCGATTCTCTATAAAGTTAAATGTTCATTCTTGCGTATGCCATGGTTTATTAGAAATGACTGTCAGGAAATGTAGAGAATCCTATATTTAACATCTCAGAATTGGATACTAGTTTGATATAAATAGCAAGTTGTTATCTGAGTAGATTACAATGGATTTACTATCAAGCAAATTAAATCACTGGGGACAGACGTGTTTTTAGAATTGTCTGAGACAATCAATCTGTAAGCGGAAAATTTTTGGTACCTGCCAAGCTGTCCTGTATAATTCAAAAATATGTCACCCAAATATTTCCTTTTCTGTGGCCGGTAGAGAATGTTAGCAGGAAAGGCATGATCACAGAGGAGCAAGCTTATGCTAATTGAAATTGTACGCTACAGGCTTTCTGGAGATTATGAAGCAATTGGAAGAATGAGAAAGAGTGAGTAGAAAAGTTACACAGGAAGCAACAGGATAACAAAGGATGCAGGAAGGAGATGAGGGGGAAGGAAATAATTTAATACTGTGTGGCCAATGAAGTGTCTGAGTTTTATATAAAGAGAAAAGAGGAGAAAGCCAGAGAAGGGAAATGACCAAAATCATGAGCAAGAAAGATGATCTGAACTCATTAGAATGGAAGAAAAATGGTGATGTGGAGGCAGCCTGTGATAAAAATGGTAGTTTTTAAAATCAGTGGTAATGCATAGATGTAAGAGATTAGGAATATGCATATTGAGAAATCAATGGAAAAAAACAATTATTTTTTCCCAAATGTTTTCCCGGTGGGATTTGGATAATTACATTATACTACTGACAATATTCAGGTCTTTATATTAAAGACACAGCAAGGATGTCAACATATAAATTTTGGGGGAACACAACTGAGCCTTAACCATGACTCTGGTTATATCATTTTAACTAAAATGCGTATTAGTGAAATCATGCAAAATTAGACTGAAATTCTTCTAGTATTAAATAGATGTCATCATATTGAAACATTACTATTAAATCATGTCTATGAATTTAAGGTTTATTTATTTATTTTTTTTATTTTTTATTTTTTTTTTTAATTTATTTTATTTTTTTTTTTTTTTGAGACGGAGTCTCGCTCTGTCGCCCAGGCTGGAGTGCAGTGGCGGGATCTCGGCTCACTGCAAGCTCCGCCTCCCGGGTTCACGCCATTCTCCTGCCTCAGCCTCCCGAGTAGCTGGGACTACAGGCGCCCGCCACTACGCCCAGCTAATTTTTTGTATTTTTAGTAGAGACGGGGTTTCACCGTTTTAGCCGGGATGGTCTCGATCTCCTGACCTCGTGATCCGCTCGCCTCGGCCTCCCAAAGTGCTGGGATTACAGGCGTGAGCCACCGCGCCCGGCCCGAATTTAAGGTTTATAATCTGATATAGGAATTTGTTTTGAGGAAAAGATATGTCAAAGGACATTTATTTTGCTTTATCAGCATTCATTTCTCTCTTTCTCAGGTGAATACTTGGGTAATTTGTATCCTGGTCAACCATCTGATTTTGGGAAGCCTACTAACATATTGCCTGCTCCATTGGTGTAAGCAATCGACACATTCCACAATCTACCTTATTCCTATTACTATATCAAGTGGTCCAGGACTGGGACTAATTTCTAGAAGAAGAGAAAATAGAAAGCAAACAAACAAAAACTCTTCCCTAGAAATTAGTGCAGCAGTAAAGATTTTTTTATCTCTGGTTGTGAAGATGTGAGTTGTGGCCCCAGAATTTTTGATGAGTATATCTGTCCCAGGTTAGATTTGCCGAAAGATGACTTTAAACTGGAGTTTAGCATAAAAGGTGTATACTAAGCTTTTTTTCTTTTACCCTTCCTTCATTCAAAAAAAAAAAAAAAAAAAAAAACAGCAAAACTTAGCCAAGTAGAACCTCTTTATTCATTGTCTCAGAGAAAATACGCTATCCCTAACCAGAATCACCCCTAAGAAAGCATGTTTGGTAGACCACGAGATAGCAAACATACTCTGCAAGGATCAGACAGTGAATATTTTAGGCTTTCCAGGTTGGATTAGTTTTCTTTTGCTGCCGTGATAACATTACCATATAATTAATGGCTTAAAACAATACAAGTTTATTATCTTACATTTCTGGAGGTCAGAAGTCCTAAAATGAAAATGTTGGCAGGGCGGTGCTTTTTCTGGAGATCTTAAGAGAAAGTCTATTTTCTTCCCTCTTCCAACTCCCCACCTGCATTCCTTGGAATGTGACCCCTTCTTCTGGTGTTTGAAAACAGCTAGAGTATCTTCAAATCGCTCTCCTTCTCTGACCTTGACATTAGGCCCACTCAGATAATCTTCCCATCTCAATCCTTAGTCACCTCTGCAAAGTATCTTTACCATTTAATAGATTCACAAGTTCTGGGAATTAGGACATGGAAATCTTTGGAGGCTACCACATGAGCCCTTTGGTCTCTTGTTGCAACTACTCAATTCTCTTTATAAAGGAACAACAGCCACAGACAATATGTAAATCAATGACAGTAGCTGTAATCCAATAAATCCATATTTACAAAAACAGCATAAGCCAAATTTATCCCTTGGGCCACAGTTTTCCCACGCTTGGGGTAGGGGTAGATTGATTTTTTTTTTTTTAAGACATTGTAGATACTTTGAGTAGAAAATTGTAATACAGAGAAGTAGAGGCACCAGGAGTGGTGTCTCACCCCTGTAATCCCAGCACTTTGGGAGGTCGAGGCAGGTGGAGCACTTGAGGTCAGGAGTTTGAGACCAGCCTGGCCCATGTGGCGAAACCTCGTCTCTACCAAAAATACAAAAATTAGCTGGGCATGGTGGCGGATGCCTGTAATCCCAGCTACTTGGGAGGCTGAGGCAGGAGAACAGCTTGAACCCAGGAGGCGGAGGTTGTAGTGAGCCAAGATCACACCACTGTACTCCAGCCTAGGCAACAGAAGAGAGGAATCCCAGAAGCCCTGCCTTTACTTATGCACCTACCCTCAGCTAATGCTAAAAACAGTGGTCTATTCTTTCCATTTGCCTCCCAAATCCCACATAAGAGCTTCTTATGATGGAACATAACCAAAGGCCTTTTGGTAAGGGAGCCTAAGGAACATAATTTCCAAGGGTTTAGCTCCTTTATGGAAGAGTTCAGAAGGGTTTGTGTAGTTTTCAGTGAGCGATGCCATGATATTGTATCCGGAATTGGTGGGTTCTTGGTCTTGCTGACTTCAAGAATGAAGCTGGAGACCCTCGCAGTGAGTGTTACAGTTCTTAAAGATGGTGTGTCCGGAGTTTGTTCCTTCAGATGTTCAGATGTGTCTGGAGTTTCTTCCTTCTGGGGGGTTTGTGGTCTTGCTGACTTCAGGAGTGAAGCTGCAGACCTTTGCAGTGAGTGCTACAGCTCTTAAAGGCGATGCGTCTGGAGTTGTTTGTTCCTTCTAGTGAGTTAGTGGTCTTGCTGGCCTCAGGAGTGAAGCTGCAAACCTTCCCGGTGAGTGTTACAGCTCATAAAGGCGGCGTGGACCGAAAGAGTGAGCATCAAGATTTATTGCGAAGAGCTAAAGAAGAAAGCTTCCACGATCTGGAAGGGGACCCCAGCGGGTTACCGTGGCTGGCTAGGGTGGCCTGCTTTTATTCCCTTATCTGGCCCCACCCACATCCTATGGATTGGTCCATTTTACAGAGAGCTGATTGGTCTGTTTACAGACCGCTGATTGGTTCATTTTGACAGAGTGCTGATTGGTACACTTACAATCCTTTAGCTAGACAGAGTGCTGATTGGTGCGTTTACAATCCTTTAGACACAAAAGTTCTCCAAGTCCCCACCAGATTAGCTAGACAAAGTGCTGACTGGTATGTTTACAAACCTTTAGCTAGACACAGAGTGCTGATTGGTGCGTTTACAATTCTTTAGCTAGACACAGAGTGCTGATTGGTGCATTTACAATCCTTTAGCTAGACACAAAAGTTCTTTGAGTCCCCACCAGATTAGCTGGACACAGAGCGCTGATTGGTGTGTTTACAAACCTTTAGACACAGAGGGCTGATTGGTACATTTACAAACCTCTAGCTAGACACAGTGCTGATTGGTGTGTTTACAATCCTTTAGCTAGACAGAAAAGTTCTCCAAGTCCCCACCCGACCCAGAAGCCCAGCTGCCTTCACCTCTCAGTGGCACTTTCTGCGGGACTTTGCGGCACCTAGCCCGGGCACTCTGGCAGCCCAGAGGGAGCTTGACACCCGATCAAGCCCAGCAGGCGTCTGCCTGCTGCATCGAGTGCAGGGCCCTCAGAGCCCGCACCCACCGGGAACCTGTGCCGGCCCGTAAGCGCCGTCCCGTGCAGTCCCAGCTCCCGCCTGTGCCTCTCCCTCCACACCTCCCTACTAGCAGAGGGAGCTGGCTCTGCCTTGGTTATCCCCAGGGAGGGTTGCTAGCACGTTGTCACCTTTCAATATGGCAGATAGACAAGAGAAATATGTGTTGAAACATGGATGGGGTTCTTTCTGTCAGAGAATATTTCCCAGTTCCAGTGTGGCTGATTATAAATTACTAGTGTATGAATGTGTCTGCTTTTGTTTGTCTGCGTCTTGTTTTTACTGCTGGACATATGTAGCCTGCTACTCAGGCTCTGAGTTAAGTCCTAGCTGGATCCCTACCCTGCCTATACCCTCTTTCCATCTATGTGACCTTGGACAAATTGTCTTAACTTTCTCTGCCTTTGTTGTCTCAGGCTTTTAAACACTAAAATATTTGTGACAGTATCTAACATATGGTTTAGATAGGAGGGGAATGAGATAATATATGTAAAGTGCCTGGTACAAAGTTAATGCTAAATAAACACTGTTTACCCTTCATCACCTCCTGAGACCAAATATCTTAGATAATTTTAAGTAAAGAACTGGTTGTTCATTAGGTGTTCTTACTGGGAAAACTTCCAACACCAACTTTATCGAGCAAATATATAAGGTTTATGACTGTGGCAACGATATAAGAAGCAACCATTTATTACTTACTCCTGTATCTCTAGCTATAGAAGGGGAAGTATCTTTAGTTGTAGAAGGTGAATGACCACTAAAACTTATAAGTTCTGGTGGACAAAACTTCAACCTTTTTTCTCTTCCCTCCGCTGACTCCCCTTGCATCTGACTTCCCTTTCTTGCTCTTATTCATCCCACCCCATGAAGGAAATCATCTCTCCTCAGGTACTGTGGCTCACTTATTTCTCCTGATATCCATGTATATTAGTCAGGGTCTTCCAGAGAAACTGAGCCAATAGAAAGTGTGTGTGTGTGTGTGTGTGTGTGTAAAAAATGAGATTACCGAATTCCTTATAATAAATTATAATTATTTTATGATTATGGAGGCTGAGAAGTCCCATGTTCTGTAATTTGCAAGAAGACCCTGGAAAGCCAGTGATGTCAATACCAGTTTGAGTCTGAAGGCTTGATAACTGGAAAGTAGGTGATGTAATATCTAGTCTGGGGGCAGAGACCAATATATCAGTTCAAGCAATAAGGCAGAAAGAGAATTCAACTTTCATTCAATTTTTCAGTCTATTCAGACTCTCAACCTGTTGGATGATGCTGACCCCATTGGGGGAGGGCCATCTGATTTACTCAGTGTACCAATTCAAATGCTAACCTCTTCTGGAAATGCCCTTGCAGACACACCCAGAAATAGTGTTTACCAGATACCTGGGCATTCTGTAGCCCAGTCAAGTTGATACATAAAATTAACCACATCATGTGAAGTGATAAATAGAACCACAGAACCAGGTTAGCATGAATATACAGTTCTGTGGACCTAGCCATCTCTGAGAGGGGGAAAAATATATCTCGTTTTATCTTCAGGTTCCTGACACATTCTCTGATCAAGCTTTACCATCAATAATACTGAAGTCTGATTTTCCATTTGCTTCAGCCCTTTTGTTTAGATCCTGTAATCAGGACTCGGAGGGTTGTTGGGGAGAAATAAATGATGGGATTTATGCACCAAATCCTACTCTATACCTTAAAAAATGGGTTTGAGACATTTTATTTTTATTTATCTTTGGTAAATAATTTTATTTAGAAGTTTCTTAACATGAAGCTAACAAAGCATGCTTTACTTTCTGCTTATTATTCCGAGATAGATAAAACTTCACCCAAACTAGTTTCCTTAAGATATGTATATACCCTTTAAAGAAGGCATATGCCTTTATAATTTAATAATTTGGTTAATAAGTTTTTGTAGAGAATTTAAATTACTTAAGAGATAGAAGAGATGAGGTATAGCATGCAAGATAGGACTTTTACTTTTCTGGCACATTACATATTGTGCCAGTGGAAGTTTGTACTTTTATAAATGAGAAAAACTGAATATATGTAACTTCCTTAAGGGGGTCACACAGCTAATTGTAATAATGTCTAAGAACTGGCCAGTGACAGAAACTTAATGAATGAATACTCACCTTTGCCATTTTTAGTCCTTGTCCTGCATCCGGCTCTTTATCATCATGGTTGGATTGGGCAGAGAGAGCTCCTGCACACATACATGACCAGGAGCTCCTGACGGCCCTCATGCATAAAGGAACTCTGCAGTGAGTTGGGAATCAGTGGTACTGCTAAGCTAAGAAACCCTCCACTGCAGATCATCCCAGAGGCAAGAGCAAGTGAAGAATATGCTGTCAGCTCCTGGCATTTTTCCCTTTAGAAGAAACTGAGTGCTGGTTAATAGAGGCCAGAGGTCTCTGTGGCCTTTGGATGAATTCAGGGTTCAATCACTGAGCACTAGAAGGGAGAAGACCAGGCCTAAGTGGGGGGAGTAGTAAAACCTCTCCTATGAAGCAGAAAATCGGCTGGAATAACCCACTTATAATAAACTGGGATTAACAAAAGCCTAGCTGACTCAGAATTATTGTGAGTGTTCTGTTAAACCAACAGACAGATGAGCCTTATCTATGGGCATATATACAAGTATATACTGCCTATAAGAGGATATTTACAAGGCTTACCTTTTATTTTCTGATTTATTTGCCTTTAATACCTAGTTTGGTTTCAGTAAGAACCACCACAAACAAAAGCATTGAGAAAAATTAAAATTCATACTGCTAGGCATTTATAAAACCTAACTTTCAAGGCTGGGCGCAGTGGCTCGTGCCTGTAATCCAAGCACTTTGGGAGTCCAAGGCAGGCAGATCATGAGGTCAAGAGATCGAGACCATCCTGGCCAACACGGTGAAGTCCCATCTCTACTAAAAACACGAAAAATTAGCCAGGCGTGGTGGCGCATGCCTGTAGTCCCAGCTACTTGGAAGTCTGAGGCAGGAAAATCACTTGAACCCTGGAAGCAGAGGTTGCAGTGAGCTGAGATTGTGCTACTGCATTCTACCCTGGTGACAGCGAGACTCAGTCTCTAAATAAATAAATAAATAAACCCTACCTTTCACTCTCAAACATTGAATTGAAGGTATGGTTAAAGTTTTTTCCCCAAAACTTCTAATATCTAAACTCGAGGTCTCATATTTTAACTAATTAGAACGCCAAATTAGGCATCAGCAAGTACGAATTTCAGAATCCTAGACTGAAACTATCATTAACATTCTGTAAATTAGAGTCTCAGGTTCCTCATGAGAAATATATAATCTGCTTTATAAAGTTACTTGTGAAAAGGCCAAATTATATAGTAACTGTAATGACATTTTGAGAATCTCCAAAGTGTTATTAAAATATAGAATATATCATTTTAGAAATCCGTTTCATCTTTCCTTGTACATAACATTGGAGTAATGACAGGGAGTATAATCCATGAAGGAGTTATTCTGAGGGTGACTTCTGGTTCAGACTGCAAACTCAGGAGTGACTCAAGAACACACTTCACATGGATTGAGAATAGCATAAGAGACTACGAACAGATGCAAAAGCAAACTATTTGTGTTTACTTGGAGAAAGGTGACTACTGGATGCCACAAGTTGTGATATTAAGCTTGATTTTATTCAGCATCTTTATTAATCATCCAGAAGATGAGCAAAACAGCACATTAATTAATTCTGCAGATGGTGATAAACAGGGAGACATTTCAGGGTCTATTGTGGGCAAAGGAACAATATGAAAAGACTGGATTTAGAAGGAGGCAGAGCAAGACACTAATGAGTATTTGTTTTGGTGCAATAAAGACTTGAAATACACCTAGAATAGAATATGAAAATGCTGCTGAAGGCCTTGAACAGTGTGATAGAAAACAATTAGTGGTGATAAGGATACAAATTAAAATATTATTGGCAGCAAAAAGAGCTGTTCTACTGAATTCCCATTTTGTTTGTCGTGTCATGTCATCACTTTGCTTGACATCCAGGTGGAATTCACTTCACAGATGAGGCATGCCAGACGAGATCAGAATCTGCAAACTGTGATGTGAGACTGAGAGTGTAAAAGAACCACACTTGGATATCCTCTCAAATATGCATTCTAAGGCTGATGTCAGTAAGGTACTTACCACTGGCTTGCTAAGTCCTGGACCTCTTATTTCCAGGGCCTTGGGTCACAGTTTACTCTGCATAAAGTTACCACTAGAATCATATTCCTCTAACAGAATTCAACATGCCATTTCCCTGTTGAATGAGCTAACATACAGCAGGTCCTCCAATACTGTCATTTAATTCAATGTCATTTGGTTATAACATTAAGGGGAAAAAAAATGGATTCCCTGCTAGGGTCACTGTCAAGTTTGCACATTTTCCCCATGTCTGAAGAGTTTTCTGTGGGTACTTGAGTTTCTTTCCACATCCAAAGATGCACACGTTAGGTTAATTGCGGTGTCTAAATGGTCCCCGTCTGAGTGAGTGTGGTGTGGTTGTGAGTGTGTCCTGCAATGGGATGACATCCGCTCCAGGGTTGATTCCCACCTTGTGCCCTGAGCTGCTGAGAAGGGCCCTGACCACCTGCCATCCTGAACTTGGAATAAGCATTTTGAATGAATGAATGAATGAATACAAATTGTCGTAAAATGAAAATTTGTAACGTATATAATCAAATGCATCACAGTAAGTGATTCGGTAGGAAAGTGCTCAACAAGCCCCTATAAGATTGTTTTGAACATGTTTTGATATGGTGGTAGGAGATGCACTTTACCCCTTTACTTTCTCTTTTCAAACATTCATTTCTTGAATTAACCCACCACCATGACTGTTGTAACTCACTGATGCACCAAAAATTGGGCAGATAATTTTTATTAATCTTTCTTAAATGTAGGCATAGTTCATTTATTTCAGCATTTAATAGAATTGTTGTAGGTCTTTATTTAGAAGTTTGGTAATGTTTTTGTTACCAGAAATATGCCATAGGAACTTAACTCTTTTCTTACATCAATTAGCCTATGGTAAAATTGGTCTTGGTATATGTCATTTTCTTTAAAGCTGCAGTTTCCAAGAACCTATCTATGATGATAAATGAGGACTTACTGTATAGGTGGTTAAATATCTCTGAATTAAGACCCTTGCTTGCATTCTTACCATTTTTCCTCTTTTTTCGTTTTTAAGATGGTCATTGGGTTCTAAATAAAGTTGACTGTCCCTCAGAATAGCTTTATATAAATTTTTAACTTTTGATATGTCTTCTCACCTGATTTTCTTTCCATCTCTCTCCATTTATATCAGGCAAAGTCTCAAGAAGAAATAGATGGCATGTTAAAAATAGACTATTTCAAAAGGGGATTTATTACAAAGGGATTATTTATAGAGGTATCAGTTTAGGGGAACCACATATTTGACACAGCAACCTAGGGTTTAATGAGTCAACATCAGATGTTAGGCCCTCTGGGTCCAAAGGCGTGTGGAAGTTACCAGAACCTGGAAGAAGTTATGGAGAGTTGGCAGCCTTGAAAAGGAACAGTGACATTTAATCCAGGGACACATAGCCAGCTAGAGACGATACTATTGGGAAGGAATGAGAGATACCTTCATCTCACTCTCCTCCCTCCATCCAATCACTTTTGGGGACTCTCCATTGACTCAATCAACTAAAAGTCAAAGAGATTGGAAACTTATTCATGTGGCCCATATAGGTCACCCTCCCATGGCAGATAAGAGTGTAGAAGGGCACAGAGGTGTATGTGGAGGGGCAAATGGAAGACTTCCAACACGACATTTTTACATAGAACTTTGAAAAGATGAAAGGTTTGGGATGAAGCCATAGGCATGTGAGCCACCCTGAGTATATTCTAGCCTCTTCTTGTTTGAGAATATAGTCAATAGGACATATAAATAGTAATTGATTGACCAAAGTATACCTTGTTTTATTATAACAAACTTGAAACCAAAAGTTCTATCATAATTTTTAAAAGATTATGAAATACATGGTAGATACAAGAGCATATATGCAATGACTAGGTAAGTTATAAAGAATAATAACAAATGTATACCCAAGCATCCATAACAAATCTTACATAGATAATTATTCTTACAGTAAAATCCCCCTGTGTGCTATTTATGGCAATATCCTTCAATCTACTGCAGAGAAAAACATTTGCTCTGTTTTATGTTTATGGCTCACTGCAGCCTTGAAATTCTGGACTCAAGTGATCCACCCACCTCAGCCTCCTGAGTAGCTAGGACTACAGGCACATGCCACCATTCCCAGCTAATTTTTAATTTTTTTTTTTTTTTTTTGTAGAGACAGGGTCTCACTTTTTGAACTCCTAGCTTCAAGTAATCCTCCCACCACAGCTTCCCAAAGTGGTGGGATTACAGGCACGGGCCACCGCTCCCAGCTTATATAGACTCTTTTACCCCTATATGATGTACATTTAATATTGCCAACTTCTGAAATGTATACAAATGGTATCATACTAGATATGCCCTAATATGATTTGTTTTTTATCATTTAACATTGTATTTCTAAGATTCATCCATGTTATTGTACACTGTTCATTTATTTTCACAGTCAGAGTTCTTTATCACATGAATATTTTATAATTATTCTCCTTGCTGGACATATGTTTTATAATTGTTGCTGCTGAAAATATGGCCACTATGCATATTCTTATTTGTTTCTTGGCACCTAGTACCAAAGACATATCTAAGACCTATGAGACTAGGTCAGGGCATATGTGTATTTTCAGCTTTACTAGATAATTCCATGATTTTGTATGAATTTACTCTCCCAAGAGCAGTATTTAAGAGTTTCTATTGATTCTCATTCTTACCAACTTTTGTTACTCATTTAAAAAAGAAAAAGTTGTGAGCTTATGTGAGAGAGTATCCCATTGTGGTTTCAGTTTTCAGGTCCATGATTGGTAATGAGTTTGAGCAGCTTTTAATGCTTATTGACTATATTTTTTTCCTTCTGTGGGAAATATTTGAGCTATATGTTTTGCCCTTTATTTGGAGATTGTTTTTCATTTTTAATGTTTGTAGAATTTCTTTATATGTTCTGGACATGAAACTTTTGGTAGGGGTTGTGTTGTAAATATAGTCTCCTAGGTTGCATATGTACAACTTTGTTTCCTTTGAGAATCAGAAAGTCTTAATCTTATTATACCTAAATTTTTGGATTTTTTCTTTTGTGGTTTACATTTTTGCTGAAGGAATCCTTCTCTTTCTTGAAAAGATAAAGGTAATGTTCTTTACTTTTTCAAAAATTTTACCTTTTAAAGTATTTAATCCATTATGTACATCTCATTCAAGAAATGTTTTTGTTACTGCACTCCAGCCTGGGCGACAGAGCGAGACACCGTCTCAAAAAAAAAAAAAAAAAAAAAAAAGTTTTTGTTATTATCAGCCATTCATCTATACAAATTTTAAAATTCTTTACTTTTAAGTTCAGCAGTACATGTGCAGTTTTGTTATATAGGTAAATTATGTGTCACTGGAGATTTCTGTACATTCTTATTGAGATTGGTTGAAAGTGCATTCAATCTTTAGATCATATTGACAAGAACTTAGGACATCCTTAGGATATTTTGTCTGCTTATCCATTCACATAGCATGTTTCTTCTTCATATATTCTTTTATTTCTTTCAATAAAGCATTATATCTTTCTCTTTTTTGTATATTTTTTTTTGTTATTTGTTTGTTTTTTGAGACAGGGTCTTGCTCTGTTGTCCAGGCTGGAGTGCAGTGATACAATCATGGCTCACTGCAGCCTCAACCTCCTGAGCTCAAGGGATCCTCCCATCCCCATCCTCCTTAGTAGCTAGCACCACAGGTATGCACCACCACACCCTGCTAACTTTTGTGGATTTTTTGTTGTTGTTGTTTGTTTTTTTTGGTAGAGATGGGTTTTTGCCACATTGCCCAGGTTGGTCTCAAACTCCTGGGGTCAAACAATCCTCCTGCTTTGGCCTCCCAAAGTGGTGGGATTACAGACATAAGCCATTGTATCTGACCTATATTTTTCTTGTAAACAATATTATTTTTTAGATTTACTTCTAAGTATCTTATACATACATATTTTTGCTGTTGTAAATTTATCCTTTACACATTTTTATATTTTCTAATCCTGGTGGATAGAAGTGCAATTGACTTTTTCCTCCCTTTTTTGGTCTTTTATTTAGCAAATTTGCTAATCTTATTAGTGTAGTTATTTTGTTTGTAAACTATTTGACGTTTTTGATGTAGGTAAAACATCTGTTAATGGTGCTTTTGTTTTATTTCATTCCAATGAATAAAGTTTTGTTTCTTTTATTCCAATCCCTATGTCTTTATTGCTTTTTCTTACCTTATGATGCTATCTAGGAGCTTCAGTATGTTGTATAGATGAGGCAGTCATGGACATCCTCATCTTTCTCCTGAAGTTAAATGGACCATTTCTCAAATTGTTCACCATCAGGTAGAATGTGTGCTGTCAATAAGGAATAATACTTTGAAGCTAGAATTTTGTTACTAACCAGATCATTTTAATGTCGGTTCAGGAATCACTTTTGTTGAGAACATTGACAGTTAATGTTACAGAAATTGATGCTACACAGGCCTAAAATTAAGCTTATGATGACCTAATAGTCAAACAGATTTAGAAGTAAACTGGGAGAACAGAATATCTTTTTTCCTTTTCTCTCTTCAACTTCCCCCTTCTTCGTCTCCTAGGACCCTGACCCACCACACCCCATTATAATTAACCCAAATATCTAGAGCTGCCGTTGTTTGATATGATGAAGATTGTGGGAGCAATAACCTTGAGGGTAAAATATCAGGGGTTTGGCTTTGATGTGTTTAATTAGAACTCCTTTTTAAAAATGACCATCTGGTGATGATGAATAGGCAGCTGATTGCAGACTCTAGAGTTCAGGGTAGAGGTCCAGGCTAAGGACTGAAATCTGGGAGCCCTCACTCTAAGTAGGAAGTAGTTAAGCCATAATCCTAGGTGGAATCACTTAGGAGTGAGTGGAAACAGAGGAGAGAGAACCAAGGACTGAGAACTGGGAACTCTTATATTTTAAGATTGGGAATATGAAGAGAAACAAAGGAGACAAAGAACTGTCAGTGAAGAAAGACAACACAGAATGTCTGGTTGTTCTGAAGGCAAGTGCCACAGCTGTATCAAGGAGGAAGGTGCAATCACCTGTGTCAAAAGATGGTGTTAGGTCCAGAAAGAGTATTGAACTGAACACTACATTTTACAAGGTCATTAGTAATCTTTGCATGATTTGATGAAATAGTTGATGACAGATTCAATCAAGAAAAAGAAGATGGGACATTATTCCATATATAATTGTGTGACCTAATGTCTTCACTTAAGAATACTTTATAAGCAGTTTCTTTGTGCTTCTATGTTGTCAGTTTTAATAAAAGAATAGTAGTCTTATGTGTAGATGTGTCATAGTGCATGTAATTAACTCCATATGTTTAGATATAGATGGTTTCCTTCATTTTTTTCTGCTTCTAAAAGCACACTTAAAAACGTAAATGTTGTAAAATACATTTTCTATTTATGTAATTCTATATTTATTTCATTAGGTTAAATGGCTACAGGAAGACTTCCTGGCTCAAAAATACATGCAACATATGCTATATCATAGCATATGAAAGCATGTGATGCTATGATATTTCACAAAAGCAATACAAATAGCTAATGAAATTAAATACTATGTTTATATACTATCAATCCAATAAATGCAAATTAAACCTGTTGAGGTTTAATCAGAATTTTGAGAGCTATTCTAAGGCTCCCTGCTTAAGTGAAAGTAGTTGAGAGTTAAATCTGGTTAATATGTCTTTTTTTTCTTTTATTCAATAGTTTTTTGAGTGATTACGATATGCTTGACCCTGGGGAGACAATGGCTGTAAGACAAACATAATCCTATTGAACTACAGCCTTATAACGCCCTGCATTTCCTTAGCTAGTAAACAGTGTAGAAAATCATTTAGTCTTTATCTCCTCTTCTGCCAGTTGATAAGTAGGATTTATGCAATTTTTGGTGTTTAACTGATCTCTTGATGTTAGATAAGGACCATTTATACCAGGGATTCAAATAGAGCTTTGATTGAGCTGGAAAATTATTTTGAGGTTAAGTAGTCTTGTCCCTTCTATTACTCCTGATAATTACCCTACCATTTATCATTGGATATGAATTTTTACATTTTGAGGACAGGGTTTGGGGGATGAATGTCAGAATCATAAAATGCTCCAACATGGAGGGTTAGGCTTTTATATTTGTTGGTAGTTATTGGGGATTGGTGGGGCTGCAGGGGTGTTTATTAAAGAAATGGTTTAAAACATAATGTAAACCCCTTGGACAATGTCTGAAATATACAATCTACTCCTATGAGAACAAAAGACAAAAGAGGAGTAAATAAAAACTCTCCAAATTCTGCAAGGCAGATGGGTTTCTGTCCTCTCTGTTACTAAAAGAATCAAATGGGTTAAAGATGGAGTGTTTGGTTCTTATAACAAAAACAAAGATACCACCACACTAGTGAAGAAAGAGAGAGGAAAAATCATGTATGGTTGGAAGGGTGCAGGGAATAGGAGCTGCATGTGCTGCTGGTGGGAACATCAATTGGTGCCTCTCTGGAGGGTAATTCAGCAATAAGTTTTTAGAGCCTTAAAATGTTCCATTCCTTGTAATTTATCCTGGGGAGATATTTGGAAGAATTCTCAAAGATTTATGTATTGTGGTATTTATTACAGTGTTATTTATAAGAATAAAGAGTTGAAAACAATATATAAAAGTCCACCAATAGGCACTTGGTAAAATAAATTAAGATATATATATATGTGATTTATTACTATGCAGCACTTTATAATCATATTTCCAAAGACGATTTGATGGCATGAGGGAAATATTCACAATATAATGCTAAATTGAAACTGTCAGATACAAACAAACAGCATTAAATAGCAACCACTTATTGAACATTAATTTTGCACTAGGATGTATATTTAGGGCTTTATAAACACTTCATTTAATAATCCTCCAAATCTGGAGGATAGCTATTGCTATACTCAGTTTACACATTATAAATTTGAGATTAGAGAGTTAAGCTGCATTTCAAGACCAAACTGTCCAAGTAAATAGAGCAGCCCCAAATATGCAAGGACATTTGGGTGAAAATGTGTGTGTCTGAAAATCGGAGAAACTTTATCTGTTTCAAATGTAAGGAATAGAGAAAGTAAGGCTGTATTTTGGAGAATGTTACATCCCTCAAAATACTTTAATCTGGTGGGTGATAAAGATACCTTCAAAGATTTTAAGTAAGGGAGTGAAATGATCAGATTTCTTCTGAAGAATGATAACTGAAGAACAATACCAAGGATGGGACTGCAGTAGGGTACTTGGCAATCATATAAACACCAGTTGCTAAAGGTCTAGCGTCTGGGGAGTAATTGTGAAGATGGAGAGCAAGGGGCATATTAGAAACACATTGTGGGTAAAGAATTAACTAGACTCTAAGGTAAGGTGTTAAGTTCTAAGCTACAGGAAGGGGAGAAGACAGTAATAACTAGTTTCAGGCTGCTCTGTCTGTGGAGTAGACATTCTTTTATTTCCTTGCCTTTTTAAGAGAATAATGTCAGTGGCTATAGGCAAAGAAATATCTAATGATATAGGATACCCCAGGGAACGTTCGTATGTAGAACAGATGACCCCGTGTTTCGTTTTGAAGATATTTTATGTGAGGAACCACTTTAACTACACAATCCAGAAGCAAATGGTTTTGGAGTTCCGGGCAAAAACTGTTGAAAATATATATTTGACGGTTATTTGCCAATAAATGTTATTTAAAGCCATGGGAGTTAATGATATTTTCAACAAGGATATAGAAAGGTTCTCAACTGGGCATGGATAAGTGTATCAGAATTGCCTAGAAATAAATTCTAAATTACATATTCCAGCATTATCCACTTCAGAGATTCCATCACGTATTCCACTTTTTAATGGGGGATGGAGATAGTCTGGTTTGAAGGGGTACATAGGGCTGAGCTCATATTTTTTAAAACTGCTAAACACAAAAATATGTACTAAATATAAATTTATTAAATAAATGAGTAATTTATGGATGCGATTAGAATTCTTGAAGCAATACCACCTGAATGAAGTGTTGAGGTTAAGCTAACTCTGATCATGTACTTAACTGGTGATGGGACAAATCAGGAGAGATTTCCTTTGTAGGAGCAATAAGGCCTGAAAGCACTTATTACTTAGTATGCCTGAACTTGCATGTGGTTTGCATTTCAATGTCATATTTATAATTAGGTATTGAATCTTTGAATTTATTTTCCCTCAGGAATAGTTTTCCAGGCAAACTAAAAAGAGCCAGATTCATCCCCAGTATGTCCTAAATAGTGTGCGTTTTTAAGGAAAACTAGTACCAAATCATATTTAGGTAATATTGCTATAATAATTAAACAAAACAAACCATGAAAAGCAAACGGGATAGACTGAATTATATAAGAAGTATTCCTGAGTTAAGAAGATGAAGGCTAGAGAAAAATGAGTCATAATGGATGAGCTACTAAACAAAAGAGATGAGAGTGAGGTTAAATAACTCCTCAAGTGGTCCACTAGGTAAATATTTCAGCCCAGAACATCTTAGGTGCTCTCCAGAGAGGTGTCAGTTACAGGAATGAAGGAATCAGATGTTGGCTGCAGTCATCTCCTCATATGAAACATTTGCAGATATCCCTAATTCACAAAGGTTAATATTATAAAGAAACACCTTTTTTCAGACACAGAGGGACCATCAGAATAATAAAAAGTACATAGAAGTCCATTATTGTATACATCTCGCCCATTTAAGCTATTGTTGGTTTTAATGTGACAGTTAATTATCATGTATTTTCTATGTTATATGTAAGAGTTATAGTGAATTGTAAGACTTGTAATTTATTTGCTTTATTATAGCTTCTAAATCATCCTCACGGGAGAAAAGAATTTTGATGGCAAATTTGGAGGGCAAACTTTTGTGGAGTCATATTTGACCATATTAAAAAAAAAGATGATTTTTGGCATTAAGAGAGTTTTGTCATTTAAAAAGGCAGTCTATTTTAAGCAGGCCAGACTAAAACTGAATAAAAATACAGTGGAATATAATTTATACTTGAGTCATTTCGGTGGGGTAGGGGATAATCAGCTTAGTCCAGTTAGATCCTAGAACAGGAAATGAACTTCTAAGGGCACTGTTGCAACATTTCATGCATCGGTTGATGAATGAGAATCTGGACTTCATCTGTGTAATGAAGATAGAGATTAGTGGACGGATAAAAGACACAGTTTGGTGATAGAATTAACTATACTCAAAGACACCCCTTCCAAATCTAGCTTTAGACACAAACACACCCCACTGCTAGCTAGACTTCGCTCTTTCCTGTGTGAATCAGAATGAGCATAGCCTCAGGTTTAGTGCATAGAAGGTTCTTAAGGTACTTGGGCACATTCCAAAGGCAGACATCAGGTTTTCACAATTGCTCTTCCAATCTGAACTCTCCCATGAGGGTCAGGTACTGAAGCTGAATACAGTACACCTGGAGCTCTGCCGGTGTATGTTCTGGTACCCTGTCTTGGGCTGCCAATGAGGGTTTCGAGGAGAAGGATAGAAAGTGAATCTTCTCTGGGCTACATGAAGCGAGGAGATGTGAAACCTAGTGTTGGAAAATGTTTGGAGTAGACTTTCATTGTTTTCTTAGGGCTCTAGCATGGATTCTTCTATTTCCTACTATGAAAAGAAATAGTGAACTTTGTGAGGTAAACTTTGTGAGATTAAAATTGGTACTATATAACATGTTTTTTGATGCTCTCTTCCTCAGGGCCAGGAACTAGTTAAAGTACTTTGGCTAGTCCTTGGCCTTTCTGAGAGCATCCTGAATTCTAAGCTCCAAGTTCTATGTTTTGGGCAGGGTATGGGGTAGCAGGCATTCTCCTGTTCAGCTTGTTAAACCATAAAATGGCATAAAGATTTAGGAGGGAAGTTTGGTTTTATGTATCAATAGCCTTAAAAAATATGCAAACCCTCTAATCTGGCAAGGTCTCTTGTAGACTTCATGTGGCTTCTTATCTGACACCAAGGTTTTGGTACAAAAGATTAATGCACCTGAACTGCACCTGAGGGAACTGTTGAGAAGACCTTGATGCTGTTTGTCACTGTTCCCCTAGCTATTTCATTGACCCTCAGCCCCTTCTGGCTAGAGGTCCATAATTCAGCCATCTCCTAGCAGACCTAGGCCCTCCAACTCACCTTGACTTTCTGACACTGGTCTTGCTCAGGTCCCTAATTCAGAGTGCAATTCTTATTTGTCAATCTTGTGGTTATATCAATGTTTTAATTATAAGAAGACATTTGTTTTTCATGGAGGCAGAGTTTTCTCCAGCTTTCTGTTTCTACATCTCATTGGAGTTTGTAGTCCCAGCCTCTTGCCCATATTCTCCAAACCCTGTTGGCCTGGAGATCTATTAATGCTTTCAACAGTCACTTGGCATACACATTGCCTGAGGATATTATTAATATGCAGGTGTATCATTCAGTAGCTTTGGGGTGGGGCCCAGGTAATGTTGTGATGTTAACCTGCAAATCAAACTTTGAGTAGCAAGGAATTAGACTGCTTTTGCTATATGTTATTTTCATACAAATGATATATTCAACAGTATAAGCAGCCATAAAATAAACATCAGCCTACATGCCCAATCATTAATATGACTTGAAGCTTATTTTTGTTGCATTTAAAAGGAAATCTGTGCCCATTATAGAAAAGTGACCATGTGGGAGACCTGAAAATAGGTGTAAGTGGGGTTGTAAGGAATAGGTCCACATGTTTAGTTTTCGCAATAGAAAAATTTCAGGGCAAATAGAATTTCTGTGGACTTGATTTTTATAGTAATCAAAAAACTGTACTCTGCCTTATGTGGACAGGAACAAAAAGGTCTTTTCTTGCCTTCCATAGTATAACATTACCACAGTTCTGAATTATCTGAGAGTATCTTTGCATAAGGGAAGGATTTGGACTTCCTAAGAGGCCTGTACAGCATACTTTGGCACCCTTCCTCCAAGAATGTCAATATTCTCTGCAAACTTTGGCTGAATCATCATCATTGCAGCCCACACGATAGGCATCTGAACATCTCGCAGTATCTTCTTTTAAGTGCATAAAGGGACTTTAAATTGGGGCATGGAATGTCATGACTCGGGGAAGAGTGTCAAATAAAGCTTTTTCAAAAGGGAACATTGAGCCCAATATCTAACAGAGGAGACAGAAATAAGGGGGTGTCAAGGCTTTTTCAAAAGGGAACATTGTGCCCAATACCTGAAGAGATAGAAAAGTATTTTTCTGCTCAACGTGACTAAATGCTCTTTACTGGTTGACAGAGAAAGTGAAAATTTTTACAGTGCTTTGAAGCACGACTCACTCATAGCCTCAAGGTGTAGGCATTTCCACAGGAATGGATTGGAGGCTGTGGCTATTGTATACCCCTGCATGCTTTCACAATAGTTTTTCATTTTCCTATTTTGTGTATTCTAAGAACCTAGTCTTAACTCCTTAGGTAACCCTGAAAGCTACTTAAGAGTCTAGTTTTCTTGAAGAATAAGATCTCCAATTCTAGATAAGTGTTTATTTGCCTGAATGTGTTATACACTTGAATTTAGTCAATATTCTCTACAGGAAACAAAGAGTTTCTCTCCTTCAAGTGCTAAAGGGCACCATGTTGAACTATCCAGAGGACAAGTTGTTTATACGTTATCTTGACATGTTTTGTCATCTCTGGTAACCTTGTGTATGTTTTCTGTCAATAGAATATACATTTTAAGAGGTGAGAAAATGGTGTTTGTAACTGCACTTTGAATCCAGAATGAATTCAAATATATTAATAAATGACATTGACAATCACCAATATTAAGGATATTTGGAATAGCTAATCTCCAGTTTATGAATAATAAGTTATCTTGGTTTTAATAATTTACTTAAATATTTTCCCTCTATTCTTTATCTGTAAAGTTGCAAGATCTTTCTACCTCCCCTTAGATGATTACTAGTTATACTCTTAGAGGGCAGATATAAGTTAATGAGCTCCAAGGGAGGGGACAAGAAAGCAAGAACAAAAACAGCATATTGCCTTCAAGACTATTAATGTCCCTTTGTGGAGGATGGCAACAACTAATGTCTGGCAAGAGCAGTGGAGGAAGAAATTGCTGCAGGTTCAGGTGGGAGAGTGAGTCACCTTGAGGCTGGCACTGCTGATGAGGTTCGGAGAATAATCTTTCCATTAGGAGTAGAATCCTCCTTTGAGGATGGGGGTGTTATTAATGTCCAGTACTTGAAATGTTTGATTTACTTCTGTGTACTACAAGAAAAGAAAGCATTAAAACCCCACACATCACAGATCCACAGAGAATTTCTGTAAATGCATTGAACCTCAAAGATATTAGGAAATTTTAGAATCGTGGAGCATTTCTTTTCCGTGTGGGGACATATATTACAGCACAGAGATATAAGTTACTGAAATAGACAGATAAATTGCAGGTAAGTATATAGGGTAGGTAGATATATGTCACCAACTGTGATTTTTAGTAGAATAATATTAAATATTCACTTGCCCTATACTGTGCCACTTCGAAAAGTTATCGTTTATGGAAAAATTGTAGATATTACCATAGCTAAATAGTCATTTCTAATATCTTTATAAGCACAGAAAATATCTAGTAGACTTTATACATAATAATAGTGTGATTTTCATAGGGCTAGATTTAAAATTGTGTGCCTATCTTAAATGCCAAGTCATTGTAATGAGGTATTAGCTTGCTGTTGCTTAAATTTGTATATTTTATTCTTACTCACTTTTAAATACCTTTTCTTAATCCCTTATTTTTGGCTCATTTGATATGATTATCATTCCAATTTCTTGCCTCCTGAATAATAGATTCTAAATCATTCTCATCTGGTCTTTGATTCCTTATTAAAAGTCCTGAAGCCTAACAGCTAATGATGCTGTTGATGCATGGCAATGCTGCATTTAATCAAGGATTTTTTTCATTATTGCACAATATCCCTCTTACCTCATCAAAGATAATTTGTCTTTCTATTGCATTTCTTTTTGGTATTTAAGAAGTTTGGAATCGTAGTTCATAGGTTCAAGCCCCTAAAATGACCTTATGCCTAATAGGTGTTTTCACTTCTAATTGGTATAATTTTATGACTGACACTACTTTATTGAGGAGGCATTGGGCATTATATATGTATTTTATATATATATATATATGTATATATACACACACACATATATATACACACATATATATACACGTATATATATATATATATATACACACACACATACACACACACACAGTCGTTATGTCCCTCCAGTCTTTAGTAATTGGATTTTTTTAGTCAAAAAAAGTATGCATAGGAGGCAAGTCATTTCAGACCCAGGCTGCCCAGTGCTTTTGAAAGCTATAACAATTCTATGTATTTCATGACCATATTTATTTTCCCAAGGAGCTAATCACTTAAAATATCCCAGATCCTCAATGTGAGATAGCTGCCATTTGGTTTCAAAGTAGTCAAATGGGTGTTGAAATTGGTCTTATTGTACCAGTTAGCATAGTTGGACAGTAGTTTAAAGAAAACCTGTGGTCAGCTGTATAGCTTAAATGTACAAGAGAAATTTGCAATGCATTTGTAGTGTTGATGCCTTATTTATTTCATGATAAATCACTCCATAATAACATTCTAGAGAGCATGAAGGATGTTCATTAAATATTAGTATGTGCAAAATCCATGGTTTATATTTAGCTAACTTAAAAATACCCTGATCATCTATGAGGACATATTGAGCTCTCAACGCTAATACAAACAAATTTATTGATTCAACCTGAGTTTCCTTGTTCTGTTCCCAGATTTGAACGGCACAAGTGTGTGCTCAGGTCACAGGGAGGACCATGCCACAATGTGAATAAGGGAAGGAAAGTTCATTTGATTACTGAAAAAAATAATTGACCAAGGCACATTTTCTACTTACTGTTAAAAAGGCATCATACTTTCTTATGAAGAAAATGAAAGAGCTGACACCACTTTATACTTGCAAATGGCAGATATCAAAAAGGCATAAAGTATGAAAGAGGCAAGAGATTATTGGTAGCTTAAAGAACTTATTAACAAACCTTGCTGATACATTTGCTGCAGAACGATTATTAAAAAGGAGAAAAACAATTAAACAAATACCACTGCTTAGATGTAAATTCTCAGTCCAATGTGCCTTTCTCCAATGGTTTACTAAAGAAAACCAATAGAAAATTAACAAAATTAGGCTATGCAAAAACTTTTTAAAAATGAAGTAGTTCTACATGCAAGGCCTGCAGCTAACCAAGTTGATAATAATTACACATTTAAAGAATATGAACAATCCAAATGTAGGCTGGTTTACACAAAAGGTAGACTGCTAGAAGTGCCCATTTATTTTAAATACTATCTAGGGAAGAACAACAGTGACTCCGGGCACTAGATAAGAGTACACTACAGGGCAGGTCACCTGGTTTTATTCACCCAGTAAAATTATCTATTAAGATTCTCTTCTCTATTTTCTGATTTCATCTGTACCAGTCAACCTACTGGTTACTAATAGACTTCCCAGATTCTTAAATACTGCTCTGGCTAAGAGCAAAAAAGAAGATTTCTGATTAAAAATAAATATTCTATTTTAAATTTCTATCTCCTAGAATATTGTTTTCCTTTCTTTCATCGAACAAATATTTTTAGTGACAACTATGTGCCAGGAATTTTGCTACTTGTCAAAGATTTAGCAGTAATCAACAAGAAATATGGTCACTGCCAGTTTTCCAGTGGGTGAGAGAGATAGTTATGATCCTGTTTCTCCATGCCGCTCCTGCCAACATTCCTTCAGGAAATCTCTGTTATCTTTATTTTCAACATGTGTCAATAAACTGATTACATCTCAATGTCTTTTCTGCATCTACCTCGCTCTGAGCCACTCATCTCACACGTGGATTTTGGCAATAGTTTCCTAGCAGGTCTGTTTTTAGTCTTCCCACCTTCCTGCATGGCCTATTTTCAGCTGAGCAGCAACAGTGATGCCTTCAGAATGAGGGTCAGACCACATTAGTTTCCTACTGAAAATTCTGCAATGGCTTCCATTTTACTGAGAGCAAAAGCTTGTGTCTTTGCCCTGCCCCATCCTCCGGCTTCATCTTTTCATCCCTTCTCTTTGCTTACTCTACTCCAGCCACAGCAGCTTCCCGGCCCTTCCACAGACCATATACACTCAAACCTCAGGACCTTTGCAAGGGCTGTTCTTCATGACTTGAATGATCTTCACCCAGAAATTGCTCCAAGTTTTTCTCAAATGTTACATTCTTAATGAGGCCTTCCCTGACCATACTAATTTAAAATTACAATCCACTTATACTTTTTATTCTGCTCTATTTTATTTTCTATTTAAAAAGCACTAACATACTATATAATTTTCTTATCACTTGGATTATTTATTTTCTTCTCCCTCACTGCAATGTTAGCTCTTTAATGGGAGAGGTTTCATTCGTTGATATATCCAACAGCATGCTTGGCACATAGTAGGTGTTGAATAAATAGTTTGAATGCTTAATGAATGAGCCAAGTAAAATAAATGTATACTTAAAAATCATGATGATAATAATAATTAACATATTGCTCACTATTTGCTGGCATTATTTTAAATGCTTTACATATAAATTTCTCTAAAATTACCTTATTTTATCCTCAAAACAATCCTATGCGACAGGTAGATATTGTTATCTCTATTTTTTGTTTTTGTTTTTGAGACAGAGTCTTGCTCTGTCACCCAGGCCAAACTGCCGTGGCATGACCATGGCTCACTGCAGCCTCAACCTCCTGGGCTCAAGCAATCCTCCCACCTCGGCCTCCAAAATAGCTGGGACTACAGTGGTGCTCTATAATTCCAGACTAATTTTTTTTTTTGTTTGGTAGAGATGGAGTTTCCCCATGTTGCCCAGGCTGTCTCCAATTCTTGGACTCATGATCCACCTGTCTCTGCCTCCCTAAGTGCTGGGATTACAGGTATGAGCCACTACACCTGTTATTTCTATTTTAAATATGAAGCAACTGAGACATAGAAAGGTTGAAAGCTTGCCCAAGTCATATGCTAATAAATGGTAGAGTTGGGGTTCAAAGGCAGGCATCTAGGCTCGCAAAGAGTCCACAGTCTTTACTGTGACTCTCTCCTACCTTCCTATTGTCATGAAGTTAGCAGTGTGAAGAAAAGACTTATCTAGCAGGGGATCTGGATCTGGTTTGATGAGAAAGATGAGTATCATTTAGTTGTTAGGAAGAAGAACCAGTCTTTCTAGGTCAGCTCAGCTTTGGAGACCTGAGATGAGGGGAACTTTTCAAGTTGAGGATTCTTTCATGGCACAGTCAGCTAATGCCACCCAGTCAGTGAGTTTCTTAAGAGCCACACCGTCTCTTTTCTACAATGTGGTGCTCCAAAAAGATGAAATTATTTTGTAGTATGGTTGGTTACTGATCATCTTGTGTAAAGAATTCCTCACATTGGACTACATAAATTAAGAGTAATGTCACTTAACTTTTCAAATTATAGCACAACGCTTATTTCGAAAAGGCAAAATTGAGGGAAATTTTGTACATTTTGTTAAGTGGACTGCGGAGGGTGCTGTTAATGAGCTTGAGTACGATCCCTTGTGACTGAGTGGGCTTTACCAGCAATAGAAATAGACTAATTGGTTCCTGGAGGTTGCTTTGACTGCCCTGGTGAAACCTCAGCTGCACTATTCTGAGAAGTAACAGCATGGGGTAGTGGGTAGACACTCATTTATAATTCCGTGCTTAGTTACAGTTGGGGAAAGTAACTGGAGCATGCATATATCGAGAGCCTGAGGTGAGTGTGGAGTCTAGTTTCCTCTACCCAGCGCCCACCTCACTTCTGCTTCTCTCCATTTTCATGGAACCCTTATAAGCATTCACTGTGGTTTTAGGCCATTCTCCCACAGGCATAAGAAGATAACCACAGAGGGTTTCTAAGAACTATATTACAACCAGCTCTCCTAAATATCCCGTTCTATGGCTTTTCAGATGTCAAGCAAGTGATTTAATACTAATATATTTAAGAACCACTGGCAGAAAAATTTACTCTTTATTGCATCTCACATAGAGCAGCTGTTCAGGCACATTTCTGGGCATCTTCCTCAACAAAATGGAAATTCAAATATAGGGACTAAAATTGGTATCATGTGTTTCAGTCAGGATCTTATAAAGTTTTTGGTAAGACTCTTATTTAATACTTATCTTTTAAAAATATCTTTAGAAAAAATATTGCGGGTACTAATTGTTAATATTATTTAAGGATCCATGTTTTACAAACTGATGATTATTATTAGGCTGGTAAGATCAAGAATTTAAACTCAATTTACCTTACAAGGCTTATTTCTGTTTGGCATCCTAATGAATTCTCTGCTCCAGCAAAACAGGTCCAGTTGCTGTCTCCTGAAATATGAATTGCACTTTTTAAACTCATACCAATTTCCTGCCTAGAAAGCCACTTCTTCCCATCTCTGCCTCTTAAAATTCCATCTCTGAAGACCTTCTCTTATCAGTCCGATAGAAAGTGAGGGTCTCATGCATTTTCTATGCTGATTGTGACACTGATAAAATCCTTCATTCATTTATTCAAGAAATATTTTTTATGCACAGTATTTTTCAATACTGGCATAGATCTAGAGACAGCAATGAAGAAAATGAAGTTAGTCTTGCAGTTACAAAATATATAGAAATAGATATATTAGTTTATAGATATATTAAAAAGCACAGAAATAAGAATATATAAGCACAGAATAAGTAAGTTAATATATATATTAGTTAAATAAGCACAGAAATATAGAAAAAAATGTGATAAGACTTGTATTGGAAAACTAGAGTGTGCTATGAAAAAAATAATATTAAATAAAACAAGAATGTGAGAAGACACTCCTGAGTAAGTGACATTTTAAGGTCTGATGAATGAGTAAAAGTAATTCAGGCTAGGAATAGAAGGAAAAATTTTCAAGGCAGAGATAATTGCATTTGCAAAATCTGAGGTAGGAAATGTCTTGGTGTATTCCAGGAACTGAAAGAAAGTTGATGTGTCTTTTAGTTATATATGCACCTTTCTTATCTCTTCTAGATGGATGAGAACTTGTTTTTCATTTCTTTATACTCCATAATGATTAACATAGTGTTTTTTTATTATTATTATTTTTAATTATTATTATTATACTTTAAGTTTTAGGGTACATGTGCACAATGTGCATGTTAGTTACATATGTATACAAGTGACATGCTGGTGCGCTGCACCCACTAACTCGTCATCTAGCATTAGGTGTATCTCCCAATGCTATCCCTACCCCCTCCCCCCACCCCACAACAGTCCCCAGAGTGTGATGTTCCCCTTCCTGTGTCCATGTGTACTCATTGTTCAGTTCCCACCTATGAGTGAGAATATGCGGTGTTTGGTTTTTTGTTCTTGCAATAGTTTATGGAGAATGATGATTTCCAACTCATCTATGTCCCTACAAAGGACATGAACTCATCATTTTTTATGGCTGCATAGTATTCCATGGTGTATATGTGCCACATTTTCTTAATCCAGTCTATTATTGTTGGACATTTGGGTTGGTTCCAATTCTTTCTATTGAGAATAGTGCCGCAATAAACATACGTGTGTATGTGTCTTTATAGCAGCATGATTTATAGTCCTTTGGGTATATACCCAGTAATGGGATGGCTGGGTCAAATGGTATTTCTAGTTCTAGATCCCTGAGGAATCACCACACTGACTTCCACAATGGTTGAACTAGTTTATAGTCCCACCAACAGTGTAAAAGCGTTCCTATTTCTCCACATCCTCTCCAGCATCTGTTGTTTCCTGACTTTTTAATGATTGCCATTCTAACTGGTGTGAGATGATATCTCATTGTGGTTTTGATTTGCATTTCTCTGATGGCCAGTGATGGTGAGCATTTTTTCATGTGTTTTTTGGCTGCATAAATGTCTTCTTTTGAGAAGTGTCTGTTCATGTCCTTTGCCCACTTTTTGATGGGGTTGTTTGTTTTTTTCTTGTAAATTTGTTTGAGTTCATTGTAGATTCTGGATATTAGCCCTTTGTCAGATAAGTAGGTGGCGAAAATTTTCTCCCACATAGTGTTTTATACATAATAGTTGCTCAAAATAAAGTGCTAGAGGACTTCTGCTTCCAGTAACTGGAGTTAGCTGATATTAATGTTACATCCCTTTGTAAATAATTATAAAAACTGGACAAAATATAAGAGACAACTGATTTCAGGCATTGGAAACAGAGCAGCCCTATCATCCTTGAGATATAGAAACCTGTGAAATGGGCTTTGTTAACCCCCCAAATTTATGCCTGAGACAATTTCTGGAACTTTGCAGTAGGGAGATGGATTCCAAGTAGAAAGCAGAGTCTTCTGGAGCTGAAGTGATAGAGATAAGAATTTGAGGGAACTGGAAGGGCAGATATAAAAATGAGGCTTCTGTGGGGAGAAGACAGCCCAGAAATTTGTATGAGGGTTTATCTGTGACCTTGGTTGAGAGCTAGGGTGCTTATGCATGGGCATTAAGTCCAAAAGGCCTAGCAGAGTGACTTCTAGAGGGAGCTAAGAGCAGTACAGAGGTGCTAGAGGATGCACAGGGCTAAAAGATGTCATGACGAATTCTGACCCAGTTGGGGTGGAGAGACCTCACTGAAGAACTCAGGCATTTGATTAAGATTCCAGAAACATGATGTCCTAGGGGGATGAAAATACCCTAGATCTAATGAGAAAACTGAAATCAATCTACCCTACAAAGCACAGAACCAACACCAATAGATGTAAGACAATCTATCCATAAATTAACTGTCTGATAAAACAAAACTTAACAAGATTAAAATAAAAACAACATAAATCAGACTCCCTGCAAAGTAACATGTACAATAAAAAAAAACTACCAGACAGGAGAATAAGCAGGAGAATATTACCCATAATCCAGAAAAAAAGCACCCAATAAAAAATGTCAAAAATCACAGATTTTAGAGATAATGTATACGGATTTTTGAAAGAGTTATTATAAACCCATGCAAAAATTTAAAGAAAAATATGGACAAATTTCAGCAAAGAAATAGAAAATATAAAAATAAATTAAAAATTTAAAACTCAAATTATTTGAGATAAAAAAATTACTGAGTGGTTTAGAAAAAGATTAGACACTGCAGAAGAAAGGGTCAATAACATCCAAATTGAATTTGGGAGAGAAAAATAAATACTTGAAATATTAACAGCACTTTAATGGCCTGTGAGAAAATATTGAGCAAATATAATTAGAGTCCCCAAAAATGATTAAGAATGCATCAGAATAAAAAATTGAGTAAGTGAATGAAAATTCTCCAAATTTGATGAAAAACAATACCACACAGATTCAAGAAGTTCAATGAACTCCAAGAACCATAAGTCAGATAAACAACATCTAAGTACATCATAGTCAGTTAAAAAGGGATATTAACAACTTTGTGCCAATAGAAGACACTTTGACAAGTTAGATGAAATAGACAAAATTTTAGAACAACAGAAACTCCCCCAAACTGACATAAGAATAAATAGAAAATCCGAATAATCCTATGCCTATTAAATAAATATAATTCATAAATAAAAACTTTCCTATAAGAAAAACCTTAAGGTCCAGATAGCTTCACTGGTGAATTCTATCATATATTTAATAATGATTAATATCAAGTTTACACAAACTATTTTAGAAACAGGAAGAGGTGGCAACATTTCCTATATTTTTTCATATGGCCAGCATAACCATGTAACTATAATAAATAAGGGCATGAATAAAAAATAAAATTATAGAACAACATGTATTATGAAATACTTATAAAAATGTTAAATGTTAGCAAATCCAACATTATATAAAAAGAACATATAATCAAATGGAATTTATCTCAAAATTGTAAGATTGTGACAAATTAAAAAAAGATTCATATTGTTAAGAAATTTATATAATTGTCTTAATTGAGACAAAAAATTGACATATAACCATCATTTATGACAAACTCTCACCAAACTAGGCATGGGAAAACACTTCATAAATATATAAATGATATCTGTGAAAAACATCCAGCTAACATTATATTTAGTATTGATATACTTTTTCCTTAATATCAACAACAAGGCAAGGGTTTCACTCTTATCACTTCTAATAAATGCTCTACTAAAGCTTCTACAATAAGCAATAAGGCAAAGAAAAAGAAATGATATAAAGATTTGAACAAAAGAAATAAATTGTCTATTCATAGATGACATGATTACATGATTGTAGAAAATCCTGTGAAACCAGAAAAAGATACTATGACTAATGAAAGAATTTAGAAATATTTTAAGAAAAAAGGCCAATACGGAGAAATCAATTGATTTTTATATATTAGCAATAAATAATTGGAAAAATAACATTAGTAAGCCATTTAGTAGCATGAAAAAGCATACTTTATATACTTAGGAATAGACTTAACAAAAGACATTAAGTAAAACTTTGTTGAGAGAAAACTTTAAAAAGACTTAAATAATAAAGAAAAATGGCATGTCCATGAATTGGAAAACTCAATATTTTCATTCTTTCAAAATTAATCGATATATTCAAGGCAATTGCAATAAAAATCTTAACACAGACATTGAAAAGCTGATTCTAAAACTTACGTAGAATAAAATATCTAGAATAGACAAAGCAATCCCCCCAAAAGGAAAGAAACTTGGAGGTATTGCATTATTTAATTTCAAGAATTACTGTCAAGTGACAATAATTGAGACATCGTGGCACTTGAATATGAATTAGCAAATAGATCAACAGAACTAAATAGTTCACGCAGAAATAAGCACCTCCCTATATGGTCAGATGATGCTAATGCAGTTTATTGGGGGAAAAGAAAATCTTTTCAACAAATAGTATTGCAGTAACTAGAAAAACTAAGGAAAACAGTGAACTTTGTTCCCTACCTCACAACATATACAAAAATTAAAAGCTAAAACTATAAAGTTTCTACCACAAGAGGTAGAAGAGTTAATATGGTAATTTAGGGCTAGGTGAATATTTTTTAGCCAGGTTACAATGAGCTCTAAATATTGAACTAAAAAAGATAAATTGTGGCCAGGAGCAGTGGCTCACTGTTGTAATCCCAGGTCTTTGGGAGGCCAAGGTGGGAAGCCGAGAGTTTGAGACCAGCTTGGGCCACATAGCGAAACCTCTTCTCTGTAAAATTTTCAACATTAATTGGGCATGATGTTGTGTACCTATAGTCCTAGCTGCTTGAGAGGTTAAGGCAGAAGGATTGCTTCAGCCTAGAAGTTCAAGGCGTCAGTAAGCTCTGATTGTACCACTGCACTCTAGCCAGGATAAAAAAAAATTGAACTTAAATTAAAAATCTTTACTCAACAGATATTATAAAGAAAATGGAAAATAAGAGATAGATGGAGGAATATATTCACAATCCCTGTATTTCATAAAAAGTTATCTCCAGAATATATTAACTACTCTTAACAACGAATAAAAAGCAAACAACAAAATTAAAAATAGGCAAAGGTCTTGAACATTTCTCAAAATAAGACGTATAAATTGACAAAAGTACTGCATGAAAATGTGCCCAATGTCCTTAGTCACTGGACACATTTAAACCATAATATTATACTATTTTACTCCAAACAAAATGTCTCAAAACAAAAATAATGACAATATATTATATGTTGGCAAGGTTGTGGAGAAATAGAATTTTTATGTATTGCCAGTGGGAGTGAGTGCGAATTGGTATGATTTTTTAAAAATTGGTGAATTCTTATAAAATTAAACATATGCCTACCATATGACTTAGCTTTTCCACTTTTTGATATTGTATTACTTTCATATTGCTGCTAAAACAAACTATCACAACCTTAGTGGCTTAAGACAAAGTGGTTATCTTGCAATTCTGAAAAAAGAAGTTTGAAATGGGTCCTCTTTGGCTAAACCAAGGTGTCAACAGGGCTGCATTCCTCTCTTGATACTCTGGGGGAAAATTCATTTTTGTGCCTTTTCCAGCCTTTAGAGGCAGCTCACATTTCTTTGCTTGTGGCTCCCTTCCATCTTCAAGGCTAACACTGGTCAGTCAAGTCTTTTTCACATCACATCACTGTGACACACAGTCTTCTACCTCCCTCATTCACATTTAAAGATGCTTGTATCCAGGAACACCTGGATAATACACGATTAGCTACTTATTTTGAAGTTAGCTGATTAGCAATTAATTCTACCTGCTACCTGAATTCCCCTTAGTTACAGCTAATATATGCGCAGCTTCTAGAAACTTAATGTGGACATCTTTGAGAGGCCATTATTTTGTCTACCGCAGGTATTTATCTAAAAGAATGAAAAATATGTGCTCATGATACACTTGCACAAGTTTGGTTGAAACATCTTTATTCATAATATCCTAAAACAAGAAACAACTCTAATGTTTACCATTAGGGGAATGGATGACCAAATTGCAATGAAATATTGAAATGGGAAACTCTTTAAGAAAAAAAATGTTAGAGATTTAACAAATTAATCATTCCCCAAAACATTACATTGAGTAAAAGAAGCGAGACACACAAAAGAGTAAATACTATGTAATTCCTTTTCATGGCATTTGAGAACAGCAAAACGATCTATCATTAGAGAAAGAAAATTACTAGTGTTTTTAGGGGGCAAAATTGGCTAGAAATGGGAATGAGGGAAATTGCTGAGGTAAGTAATGGAAATATTTTATTTTTGGTTGAAGTTGTGGTTACAGGTAGGGTGTGTGTGTGTTTGTGTGTGTGTGTGTGTATATATATGTAAAAAACATGTATATAAAATCTGCATCTGTGTGAATTTTACTCTATTCAAAAAATGTAAACATTGGAGTAATATATGTAATAAATGAACAATCCACGTGTATTTCTGTAATTAAGCAATCAAAACAAAAAGAAATGGTAATGGTCAAAACATGACTGTTGCTTGTTTCTATGAACTTACAAGTTTAATTTTTAAAAATAGACCTTTCGTGTTCAAATTTAATGTCTAAACATTGGGAGTAAATTTGAACATGAAAATTCTACCTTTTTATCTTGTTAGAGATACTTTAGAGCTTTTAAAAATATAAATCAGATATAATTTTTGAAAATTTGAGGGGAAAAAATCTTTATGAAATATTCCATGCAACAATGAGGTTACATTTGTATGTATAAAATGAGGTCAGGGACCTTAGTGGTCATGACTACATAGATTAGGAAGGTTCTCCAAAGACTCCTGTGCTGCCACTTTGCAGTTAGTGTCCCATGGTGATTTGGAGCATTACTGGCTCTCTTATTGTAGATCTCTCCCTCAAGGACTGAGGTTTAAGTCCCTGGGGCTAGGATACAAGGCAATCTGAATGACAGATATAGTGTTATGATTAGAATTGCCCCCTCAGCCTCCAGAGCTTTGATCTTAGAAAAATCTAATGTGTCTTGGTGCTGTCTACTCTTTTGATTGTTTTACCCTCAAGAGTCTCCTCAGCAGTTTTTGAAAATAGACTGTCAGATGACCATTTGTTATGTGTTTGAATCTAAGGTAAATGCAGTCTAACTTGACCAGTTGGAACCACTGCTACATATAAAAGATTTTTTACAAGATTGCTGGTTGTCTTAGTCCATTTTGTACTACTGTAACAGAATACCTGAGACTGGGTAATTTATAAAGAACAGAGATATATTCTCGTTCTGGAGGCTTGGAAGTCCAAGGTCGAGAGGCCCATATGGTGAGGGCCTTCTTGCTGCATGATCTCATGGCCAAAGGCAGAATGGCAAGAGAACACATGCTATAACAGGAATTAATCTGTTCTCTGGTCTGCTGTCATGACCAAATCACCTCTTAAAGATCCTGCCTCTCAACACTGTAGCATTGAGGATGACGTTTCCAATACATAAACTTTGGGGGAAAAATTCAAACCATAGCACTAGACCATCAAGAAAGCCAACTGTAGTAAGATGAGTTAATTAGTAGAGTGTCTTCTGTAAAGTAGAAGATTAATAAACTTTTTTTTGCTGTAATATGCCAAGAGAGCTTGGTATTGATATTCTCTCCAGCTGCAGTTCCTTGGTTAGGGTGCTGATTCAGAGATGGCAAAAATGCTCCAGAAATGCGGTATTCCTGGATATATTACTTTAGCTAGTTTACTGAAGAGTCCATGAAATTAAGGCACTGGTTAGTCAGCATTAAAACACCCCAAAATAAAATCATAAATAAATGGTTTGGGTGAAGAGAGAAATGTTGAAAAAAATAAAGTTCTCATCAAATTCAAGAGTAAGTATCATGCATGCAAGACAGTGCCTCATAACAAGTATGATATGAAAGGTATCAGGCATATACCAATTTGGGTGACTACTGATGCAGAAGCAAAACTGAGCCACATGACTGCACAGTGCAGAAACACGGAGGGGGTTGCAGTATTGGAGAATCAACATAAGCAACATTAAAATATCTGAGAATGAAGGAGGAGGTTACATGAGGAAGAAAATTTATAGTGAAATTGGCCATTAGCACCACCACCATTTGCTGCATATTAGAAAGGCTGGCAGAGAAGAAATGCTGATATACAGGGATTTATGTATTTTTTTAGGAATTTACTTTACCTTTCTACCAATCTTAGATATAATCATCCTTCAAAAGTTTGCTCAAGTTATTTTTCTTTGAGAAGTCTTTTCTAGCTATGACTCCAGCTAGTTTGTTAGCTTGTTTTTTTATTTGCTCTTACTGAATGTGGGACACAGTGATATCCAAATCCTTCCCCTAGACCAGAGGAAGCTACACTTCTAAACCTCACCTTGTTACCTGGAGGCCTGCAATGCAGTGGAGGAGGAACAAGGCTGACCTATGAATGCAGATCACAGAAATGAGAAGTCATTATGGAACAAAAAGAAAAACAGTATGCCTTGCAGGCAGCCATGAAATCCCCGGTGGGGAAGTGCCTTCAGTGCAAATAAAATTCAGGTATAAGAGTAACAGGCCATTGCAAAGGTTCAGAGCAAGTGAGTAGGAGTCAAGATTAGCAATTACTAAGTCACCAGGCACATTAGCCTACAACCTATGTGTATTAGTCTATTCTCACACTGCTATAGAGAAGAAAAGTGGTTTAATTGACTCAGTTCCACAGGCTGTAGAGGAGGCATGGCTGGGTAGGCCTCAGGAAACTTACAATCATGGTGGAAGGTGAAGGAGAAGCACACATATGTTCACATGGTGGCAGGAGAGAGAGAGAGAGCACTAAGGGGGAAGTGCTACACACATTTAAGCAACCAAATCTCAAGAGAACGAACTCACTATCATGAGAACAGCAAAGAGCAAATTCACCCACATGATCAAATCACCTCCCAAGAGGTCCCTCCTCCAACATTGGGAAATACAATTCAATGTCAAATTTGGGTGGGGACACAGAGTTATATCATTCCACCCTGGCCCCTCCCAAATCTCATGTCCTTCTCACATTTCAAAACACAATCATGCCTTTCCAACAGTCCCCCAAAATCTTAACTCATTCCAGCAATAACTTCAAGTCCAAAGTCTCATCTGAGACAAGGCAAGTCCCTTCTGTCTATGAGCCTGTAAAACAAAAAACAAGTTAGTTACTTCCAAGATACGATGGTGGGAATACAGGTGTTGGGTAAGTGGTCCCATACCAAATGGAAGAAATTGGCCAAAAAAAGGGGCTATATAGGCTCCATGCAGGTCCACAGCCCAGCAGGGCAGTCATTAAATCTTTAAGCTTCAACATAATCTCCTTTGACTTCATGTCTCACATCCAGGCCACACTGACACAGAGGTGGGGTCCCAAGGTCTTGGGATGTTTCACCCCTGTGGTTCTGCAGGGTACAGCCCCTGCAGCTGCATTAACAGGCTGGCATTGAGTGCCTGCAGTTTTTCCAGACACATGGTGTAAGCTGTCAATAGAACTATCATTCTGGAGTCTGGAGGACAGTGGCCCTCTTTTCACAACTTCATTAGGCAGTGCCTCAGTAGGGACTCTGTACGGCGGCTCCAACCCCACATTTCCCCTCTGCACTGACCTTTTAGAGGTTCTTTGTGAGAGCTCTGCCCCTGCCACAGACTTCTGCCTGGACATCCAGGTGTTTCCACACATTCTCTGAAATTTAAGCAGAGGCTCTCAAACCTCAGCTCTTGCCCTCTGAACACCTGCAGGCCCAACACCACATGGAAGCCACCAAGACTTGGGGTTTGCACCCTCTGAAGCAATGCCTAAGCTGTACCTTGGGCCCTTTTAGCTACAACTGGAGCTGGAACAGCTGGGGTATAGGGCATCATGTCTGAAGGCTTCACAAAGTAGCAAGGCTCTGGCCTGGCCCACAGAACTATTTTTCTCTCCTAGGCCTCCAGGCCTGTGATGGGAGGGGCTCTCATGAAGGTCTCTGAAATGCCCTGGAGTTATTTTCCCCATTATCTTGGCTATTAACATTTGGCTCTTCTTTACTTATGCAAATTTCTGCAGCCTTGAATTCCTCTCCAGAAAATGGGTTTTTCTTTTCTGCTGCATGATTGGGCAGCATGTTTTCCAAACTTTTATACTCTGCTTCTCTTTGAAATATAAGTTCTAGTTTCAGATCATTTCTTTGTTTATGTAAATGAGTGTAGGCTTTTAGAAGGAGGCAGGCCACATCTTGAATGCTTTGCTGCTTAGAAATTTCTTCTGCCAGATATCCTAAATCATCTCTCAAGTTCAAAGTTCAACAGATCTCTAGAGCAGGGATACAATGCTGCCAGTCTCTTTCCTAAAGAATAGCAAGAGTGACCTTTACTCCAGTTCTCTCTAAGTTCTTCATCACCATCTGAGACCACCTCAGCCTGGACTTCACTGTCATATCACTATCAGCATTTTGGTCATTCAACAAGTATCTAGGAAGTTTCAAACTTTTATCTTCCTGTCTTTTTCTGATCCTTTCAAACTGTTCCAACCTCTGCCCATTACCCAGTTCGAGTCACTTCCACATTTTCAAGTATCTTTATAGCCATGCCCCTCCTCTCTGGTACCAATTTTCTATATTAGTCTGTTCTCACACTGCTATAAAGAAGTAACAGATTGGATAATTTATGCAGAAAAGAGGTTTAATTGACTCACAGTTCCACAGGCTGTACAAGAGGCATGGCTGGGAAGGTCTCAAGATACTTACAATCATGGCGGAAGGCAAAGGGGAAGCAACCATATCTTCACATGGTAGGAGAGATCAAAGGGAGAAGTGCTACACAATTCTTAACCAGATCTGATGAGAACTCTGTTATGAGACAGCACTAGGGACATGGTGCTAAACCAGTAGAAACCAGCACCATGATCAAATCATCTCCCACCAGGTCCCTCCGACAACATTCAGCATTACAATTTGACATGACATTTGGGTGGGAACACAGAGCCAAACCATATCACTATTCAAGCGTAGTGTTTTGTGACTCATAAACCTCTTCACAGTTATATATACTGCCATAAACCTTTCCACAGTTATATATACAGTCACAAAACTTTTTAAAATTTTTTGAAACTATTTCATCAATATTCAACTCCTAGGAAGTTCCAAACTTTCCAACATGTTCTTGTCTTCTGAGCCCTCCAAGTCTCTAGGAAGTTCCAAACTTTCCTATCTTTTCCTATCTTCTAAGCCCTCCAAACTGTTCCAACCTCTGCCTGTTACCCAGTTCCAAAGTTGCTTCCACATTTTCAGGTGTCTTCACAGCAGCACCTCACTCTACTGGTACAAATTTACTATATTAATTCTTTCCCAGGCTACTAATAAAAGCATACCTGATACTGGGTAATTTATAAAGGAAATAGGTTTAATTGACTCACGGGTCTACATGGCTGGGGAGGCCTCACAATTATGGCTGGACGCAAAGGGTAAGCAAGACACATCTTACATGGCAACAGGTGAGAGAGTGTGTTCAGGGGAACTCCCTTTATTAAACCATCAGATCTCATGGGACTTATTAACTATCATGAGAACAGCATCGGAAAGACCCACCCCCATGATTCAATTACCTCTCACCAGGTCCCTCCCAAGATACATGGAAATTATGGGAGCTGCAATTGAAGACGAGATTTGGGTGGGGACACAGCCAAACCATATCATCAACTGTACCATCTGACAGGATTCCAATGTAGAAAGAGCTGGAGGGGAATGAGGATACCACTCTTGTGTAGATTACTTAATGGAGACAGGGTGCCTAATGGCTGCATATAAAAAATGTCAACCTTCCCCCAAGGCATAGAAGGGACATAATTCCCTTTTTGCTCCTGTAGTTTAGCAAGTTCACTGTATGGTGAACTTTATATATACATAAAGTGGAGGAAAGAGACTCTAACCATTTTACCAAGGACTGATGGTGTGAGGTGGAGTTGAAGACAGATAAAATGATACAAAGATAGAGGCAGAAACTGGTAATGGGGAATCAGAGATGGGGAGAATGAAATATATATATAGATAAATATATATAATCTATATAAAAATATATATAAATATATAATCTATATAAATATATATAAATATATGTAAATAATTCTATATATATAGATATTTATATATTTTTATATATATATATATATATATATTCAGTTAAAGAATGAGAGAAGGAGCTTTGATTTTTTAGTGGTTTGGGCACAGTAACCAAGTGGGGAATAGAGTGGCAGGGAGCTTTCACTCTCCTTTTATAGTTGCCATCAACTGTGTCTTCATATGCCTCATTTTTTAATTTGGACAAAGGATTTGTTACTCTTAAATAAAATGCTACCCAGTTGCAGTTTCAAGGCAAGATCCGCAAGCCTATCTTTCAACCAGATTGTCCCTTAATGCCTTCCTAGACAGTTTCTGGTTTCTGTTTAAGGACAAAGAAAGCTGGAAAGAGTGTTGCTCCTACCCTCACAGTTAAAAAAACAAAAGTGAAAATAAGCTGCAAATTCATGACTTTTCTCAAATCTATGGGAGAAAGAGGAGCAGGGCAATCAACTGGCTCCAAATCCAGGGAGACTCTCCACTCTGCTTGCCATGCTATTCCCTCCACTGACCAACCAACAAGCTACCAGTAACCAGTAACAGCCAAATTCTCTTGAGAGACCTACAAAAGATTCTCTTTGAGGAATAGCACAACGTTCAAAGAGAAGACCTGAAGCTGAGGGTGAAGCAGATACTGCTCCTCAGCCCCAAGCACAGTCACTACAGGAGTTAGATGGCTGTGGTGCTCTGAAGGTAACCATAGCAATAAAAATAAATAAAAATAATAAAACCTTAAACCCAGTCAACCTCCAAAATAGAAACACTCAAATACCCACATTAAATCCCTATCAGAAAGATATGCTTATTTCCAGGCATAAAAAATTTTCCTCATTCTCCAGTGTCTGGCTTTCACAAAATGTGATACAAAAGTACATAGAAAATCAGTAAAGATATAGAAGATCTAAAGAATGCCGTCAAACAACTAGACCTAATTCACATTTATATAACACTCTGCCCAACAGCAGAATATATTTTGTTTACAAGGAAACATGAAATAGTCTCCAAGATATATCATATTCTGGGTCATAACAAACTTAAACAAGTTTAGATAATATAAATCATGCAAAGTATATGCTTGGACTATAGTCAAATACGTGGTGTATTTTATTAAATATAATCCATAATACAATTAAACTAGAAGTGTAAATAGCAGAAAAAATCTAGAAAAGCATTAAATATTTGGAAGACAAACAATATGCCTATAAATGCCCCAAGGGTTAATGGGAAAGTCTCCATGGAAATTTAAAAATATCTGAGTTGATTAAAAGTAAAAAATAAAATTTGTCAAAATGTGAGGGATGCAACTGGAGCAGTATTTAGAAGGAAATATATAGCATAAATACTTAGAAAAGAAGAAAGATCTCAAATCAACCATTATGAAAAACAAGTTTCTTAAATACCAGAAAAAGACAAACTAAATTCAAAGAAAGCAGAAAGAGAAGAAAAATAATGAATATAAGAATAAAAGTTAATAAAGGAAAATATATCACTTCAATAGATACAGAAATAGTATTTGATAAAATCCACCATCAATTTATGATGAAAACTCTCAGCAAATTGGGAATAGAAGAAAATTTTCTTAACATTAAAAGTGGGACCTACCAAAAAATCTACAGTTAACATTGAACGGTGAAAGACCAAATGCTTTACCCCTAAGAGCGTTTCAATAAGAAAATGAAATATTACTCTTTCAACACTGCCATTCAACATTGTGCTGGAAGCTCCAGCCAGTGAAATCATGCAAAGAAAGTGGGGGAGTTGGTGGAGGGTTGAGAGGAGGAGGCAGGAAAATTGGAAAAAAGAAAACTGTCTCTATTTATAGATAACAGGACAATCCCAGTGAATTTACAAATCTTCTCAAACTAGAAAGTGAGTTAACAAGATTGCAAGATAAAAAGCTCAATAGGCTGGGCTCAGTGGCTCATGCCTGTAATCCCAGCACTTTGGAAGGCCAAGGTGGGTGGATCGTTTGAGGTCAGAAGTTCAAGGCCAGCTTAGTCAACATGGTGAAATCCCCTCTCTACTAAAATTAGCTGGACATGATGGCACACGCCTGTAGTCCCAGCTACTGGGGAGGCTGAGGCAGGAGAATCACTTGAACTGGGAGGTGGAGGTTGCAGTGAGCCGAGATTGTGCCATTGTACTCCAGCCTGGGTGACAGAGCAAGACTCCATCTCTCTCTCCCTCTCTCTCTCTCTCTCTCACACACACACCTCAATATAAAACTATCAATTTTTTATATATTGGTAATGAAGGATTGAAATTCAAAATTTTTAAAAATACACATTTAAACAACCCCACCACCAATGGAGTACTTAGCTATAAATCTAACAACATATATGTAGAATTTGTATATTGAAAAATAAAATACACTGATAGGATTTTTTTAAAGATCCCAAAATCAGATATATTTTGTTCATGGATTGTAAGACTCAATATTTTAAATCTGTATTTTCAAATTTGATCTACTGTTTTAATGCAATCTTATTTAAAACCAAAGCAGCCTTTTAAAAATATATATTGACAAGCTGATTCTATAATTTATATGGAAAGAAAAAGAATAGCCAAAATATTTTTTTAATAAAGAGGAATTTTGAGAACTCACATTGCCTGATTTCTTATTTATTTATTAATTATATTTTAAGTTCTAGGGTACATGTGCACAATGTGCAGGTTTGTTACATATGTATACATGTGCCATGTTGCTGTGATGCACCCATTAACTTGTCATTTACATTAGGTATTTCTCCTAATGCTATCCCTCCCCCATCCCCCTACTCCATGACAGGCCCTGGTGTGTGATGTTCCCCACCCTGTGTCCAAGTGTTCTCATTGTTCAATTCCCACCTATGAGTGAGAACATGTGGTGTTTGGTTTTCTGTCCTTGTGATAGTTTGCTCAGAATGATGGTTTCCAACTTCATCCATGTCCCTGCAAAGGACATAAACTCATCCTTTTTTATGGCTGCATAGTATTCCATGGTGTATATGTGCCACGTTTTCTTTATCCAGTCAATCACTGATGGACATTTGGGTTGGTTCCAAGTCTTTGCTATTGTGAATAGTGCTGCAATAAACATACGTGTGCATGTGTCTTTATAGTAGCGTGATTTATAATCCTTCAGGTATATACCCAGTAATGGGATGGCTGGGTCAAATGGTATTTCTAGTTCTAGATCCTTGAGGAATTGTCACACTATCTTCTACAATGGTCAAACTAGTTTACACTCCCACCAACAGTGTAAAAGTGTTCCTATCTCTCCACATCCTCTCCAGCACCTGTTGTTTTCTGACTTTTTAATGATCGCCATTCTAACTGGTGTGAGATGGTATCTCATTGTGGTTTTGATTTGCATTTCTCTGATGGCCAATGATAATGAGCATTTTTTCATGTGTCTGTTGGCTGCATAAAGGTCATCTTTTGAGAAGTGTCTGTTCATATCCTTCACCCACTTTTTGATGGAGTTGTTTTATTTTTTTCTTGTAAATGTGTTTCAGTTCTTTGTAGATTCTGGATATTAGCCCTTTGTCAGATGGGTAGATTGCAAAAATTTTCTCCCATTCTGTAGATTGCCTGTTCACTGTGATGGTAGTTTCTTTTGCTGTGCAGAAACTCTTTAGTTTAATTAGATCCCATTTGTCAATTTTGGTTTTTGTTGCCATTGCTTTTGGTGTTTTAGTCATGAAGTGCTTGTCCATGCCTATGTCCTGAATGGTATTGCCTAGGTTTTCTTCTAGGATTTTTATGGTTTTAGGTCTAACATTTAAGTCTTTAATCCATCTTGAATTAATTTTTGTACAAGGTGTAAAGAAGGGATCCAGGTTCAGCTTTCTATATATGGCTACCCAGTTTTCCCAGCACTATTTAGTAAATAGGGAATCCTTTCCCCATAGCTTGTTTTTGTCAGGTTGGTCAAAGATCAGATGGTTGTAGATGTGGTATTATTTCTGAGGGCTTTGTTCTGTTCCATTGGTCTATCTGTTTTGGTACCGGTACCATGCTGTTTTGGTTACTGTAGCCTTGTAGTATAGTTTGAAGTCAGGTAGCATGATGCCTCCAGCTTTGTTCTTTTGGCTTAGGGTTGTCTTGGTAATGCGGGCTCTTTTTTGATTCCATATGAACTTAAAAGTAGTTTTTTCCAATTCTGTGAAGAAAGTCATTGGTAGCTTGATGGGGATGGCATTGAATCTATAAATTACCTTGGGCAGTATGGCCATTTACATGATATTGATTCTTTGTATCAATATCATGGAATTGCATGGAAGAGCATGGACTGTTCTTCCCTTTGTTTGTGTCCTCTTTTATTTCGTTGAGCCGTGGTTTGTAGTTCTTGAAGAGGTCCTTCACATCCCTTGTAACATGGATTCCTAGGCATTTTATTCTCTTTGAAGTAATTTTGAATGGAGGTTCACTCATGATTTGGCTCTCTGTTTGTCTGTTATTGGTGCATAGGAATGCTTGTGATTTTTGCACATTGATTTTGTATCCTGAGACTTTGCTGAAGTTGCTTATCAGCTTAAGGAGATTTGGGGCTGAGACGATGGGGTTTTCTAAATATACGATTATGTCATCTGCAAACAGGGACAATTTGACTTCCTCTTTTCCTAATTGAATACCCTTTATTTCTTTCTCCTGCCTGATTGCTCTGGCCAGAACTTCCAACACTATGTTGAATAGGAGGGGTAAGAGAGGGCATCCCTGTCTTGTGCCAGTTTTCAAAGGGAATGCTTCCAGTTTTTGCCCATTCAGTATGATATTGGCTGTGGGTTTGTCATAAATAGCTCTTATTATTTTGAGATATGTCCCATCAATACCTAGTTGATTGAGAGTTTTTAGCATGAAGGGCCATTGAATTTTCTTGAAGGCCTTTTCTGCATCTATTGAGATAATCATGTGGTTTTTGTCTTTGGTTCTGTTTATATGCTGGATTACATTTATTGATTTGAGGGTGTTGAACCAGCCTTGCATCCCAGGGATAAAGCCCACTTGATCATGGTGGATAAGCTTTTTGATGTGCTGCTGGATTCAGTTTGCCAGTATTTTATTGAGGATTTTTACATTGATGTCCATCAGGGATATTGGTGAATCTGATAATTGTGTGTCTTAGGGTTGCTCTTGTCGAGGAGTATCTTTGTGACATTCTCTGTATTTCCTGAATTTGAATGTTGGCCTGCCTTGCTAGGCTGGGGAAGTTCTCCTGGATAATATCCTGCAGAGTGTTTTCCAACTTGGTTCCATTCTCCCCATCACTTTCAGGTACACCAATCAGACGTAGATTTGGTCTTTTCACATAGTCCCATATTTCTTGGAGGCTTTGTATGTTTCTTTTTACTCTTTTTTTCTATAAACTTCTCTTCTCGCTTCATCTCATTCATTTGATCTTCAATCACTGATACCCTTTCTTCCACTTGATTGAATCGGCTACTGAAGCTTGTGCATGCATCATGTAGTTCTCGTGCCATGGTTTTCAGCTCCATCAGGTCATTTAAGGTCTTTTCTATGCTGTTTATTCAGTTAGCTATTTGTCTAATCTCTTTCAAGGTTTTTAGCTTCCTTGCGATGGGTTCGAACATCCTCCTTTAGCTCAGAGAAATTTGTTATTACTGATCTTCTGAAGCTTACTTCTGTCAGCTCGTCAAAGTCATTCTCCGTCCGGCTTTGTTCTGTTGCTGACGAGGAGCTGTGATCCTTTGGAGGCGAAGGGGTGCTCTGATTTTTAGAATTTTCAGCTTTTCTGCTCTGGTTTCTCTCCATCTTTGTGGTTTTATCTACTTTTGGTCTTTGATGATGGTGACCTACAGATGGGGTTTTGGTGTGGATGTCCTTTTTATTGATGTTGATCCTATTCCTTTCTGTTTGTTAGTTTTCCTTCTAACAGGTCCGTCAGCTGCAGGTCTGTTGGAGTTTGCTGGAGGTCCACTCCAGACCCTGTTTGTCTGGGTATCAGCAGCAGAGCCTGCAGAAGAGCAACTATTGCAGAACAGCAAATGTTGCTGCCTGATCCTTCCTCTGGAAGCTTTGTCTCTCAGGGGCACCCAGCTGTATGAGGTGTCAGTTGGCCCCTACTGGGAGGTGTCTCCCAGTTAGGCTACTCGGGGGTCAGGGACGCACTTGAGGAGGCAGTCTGTTCATTCTCAGATCTCAAACTCCATGCTGGGAGAACAGCTGTTCCCTTCAAAGCTCAGTGGGAAATGCAGAAATCACCCGTCTTCTGCGTTGCTCACACTGGGAGCTGTAGACTAGAGCTGTTCCTATTCGGCCATCTTGGAACCTCCTCACATTGCCTGATTTCAAGGCATATTATAGAGCTACAATAAGGTATTGCTTAGACAATAGAGTCATAGATCAATGAAACAGAAGACTCCAGGAATAGATGCACACAAATATAGTCAATTGATTTTGAACAAAAGTTCAATGCAATTCAGTAGAGAAGGGGTAGTCTCTTTAAAAAGTTACATTAAAAAAATTGGTCATCCATATGCAAAAATATAAACTTCAATCTATATGAAAATTAATTGAATTATAGGCCTAAATTTAACATGTAAAATTACCAAACTTTAAGAAGAAAATCTTGAGTGGGAGGGCTTTTAGATATGACTGTAAAGGAATGATCCCAAAAACAAAGAGATGGTAAATTCTACCTTGTCAAAATGAAAATATATTGTTGTATGAAAGACATAGTTAAGAGAATAAGAACACAAAGTGCCAGTGAGAGAATTTTTTTGCAAATTATATATCTGACAAAGATCTTATTTCCAGAATATATAAAGATCTCTCAAAACTCAAGAATAAGAAAACAAAAAACTCATTTAATTGCCCAAAAGATTGGAACAGACACTTTATCAAAGAAGACATATAGATGTTAGCTAAGGACATAAACGATGTATCATTAAGGAAGTGTTAATTAAATGCAAATTAAAACTCAATGGGATACAACTACACACCTATTAGAATGCCTGGCATAATAATAATAAGTGTTTAAAAGGCAATAAGTGCTGGTGAGGATGTACAGCAACTGGTGCTCCCATACACTGCAGGGGGAAATGCAAAATATTGCCACTTTAGAAAACAGTTTGACATTTACTTGTAAACTTAAAAATACATTTGTTATATGACCTAGCATAACTTTCCTAAGTATTTATTCAACAGCACTGACAACTTATTTTTACGTAAAAATCTTTACATGGGTGTTTAATGTCAGCTTTATTCAACAGCACCAATAAGTGAAAACAACTCAGTTATGCCTCATTCAACCAGTCAATGCATGAACTAGCTGTGGTACATTTATACAACTGTATACTACTCTGCAATTAAAAGAAATAAACATTTTTCTCATACAACAATATAGACCGAACCTAAACTCACTTTATTAGGTGAAAGAACCCAGACTTCAAAAGCTACATAATGCATTAATCCATTTATATGGCACTTTGGAACCAAAGACAGATCAATGTGCCAGGGATTGGAAGATGAACAAAGGAGTTAAGAAATGAAGGGTAACACACGGGAATATTTAAGGCGATGGAACTATTCCATCTAGAACTATGGTGGAGGATATATGACTTCGTGCATTTGTCAAAACCCATAGACATGTATTCCACAAAGAACAAATTTTATTATATGTAAGTTTTAAAGAATCAACCAGGATGAGAAGGGAAAGATGAAATGCAGACTGTGACAAATGAAACAAACTACATTACAAATGAATAAAGAGGGCAAGGAATAAATGAACTCAAGTAAGTAATTTTAGAAAAAAAGTGATTTAACTAGATACTACAAAAAGAAATTTGTTTTGAGACAAGTTCTTATTCTGTCACCCAGGCTAGAGTGCAGCGACATGATCATGGAGCCTCTACTTCCTCAGCTCAAGTGATCTTCCCACTCTGGCCTCCAGAGTAACTGGGACTACAGGCATGTGCCACCACACCCAACTTATTTTTGTATTTTTTGTAAAGACAGGGTTTCGCCTTGTTGCCCAGGCTGGTCTCAAACCCCTGGGTTCAAGCAATCCTCCCACCATAGGCCTCCAAAATTCTGGGATTACAGACGTGAGTCACTGTGGCCGGTCCAGAAATAGTTTTATACTACTATTGAACTCTAGTTGGTAAATTTGTTTCTCCCAGAAGTGTAGTTTATCAATTCTGAGACTATACATTTACTAGGCTGAAACAAATCAGTAAATAGCTGTGATAACCAGATCTATATTTCTCTAGAAGAAAGAAGTTACAAATAAGGAAGAAATGCAAGTAGGAGCCCTGTGGTTCTGGATTGGAGTCAAAGGTATCCGTATGAACTCATGATGGCTTAGATTGGCACAACCTGAGCAACATAATAAATAATAATATTGGATTATAACCCCAAGAATAATGTAGGTACCCATGAGTTCATATGACTATCAGTAGAAAGCTGAATAAATAAATAGAAGAGAAGCAATACTACAATAATTGCTGCAAGCAAGATTCACTAATTGCTGCTAAAACTAGTGAGTGAAAATTTATACAGAAACAGGAATATTGTATCTCCCTCCAGATATTTGTTAATTATGAGGCATACCCCCATATTGATTAATTGCAAATGGAAAAATAGTAGCTTTATAGTGAATAAACCTGGCAGATACCACTTTATCTGAGTGATCAAAGTTAATATTAACAGTAATATATGTTGACGTTATGTACCTTCTGAGAGGGGCACATCACTTCTATGCTATCCTTCACAGTACTGTACTGCATAAGCTCAATTTAATCATGAGAAAACATCAGACAAATCCAAATTGAAGGTCATTCTACAAAAGTATCAAGGTCATGAATTGATAAGAAAATAATGAACTGTCACAGATTAGAGATCAAGGAGAAATGACAACTAAATTCAGTGCAGGACCCTGGACTGGATCTCAAAACAGAAAAGGGACATAGATGAAAAAACTGGTAAAATACAAATAAAGTCTTAAGTTTAATTAATAGTATTGCACCAATGTTAATTTCTTAGCTTTGATAATTGTTCAGTGGTTACATAAGAATAAATAAAATAGGTGAAGGGAATTCCAGATACTGTCTGTATTTTAGTCCTTCATAGTTTTTCTAATTTTAAAATGATATCTAAAGAAAAAAAATGACAAGAAATCTACATACTATAATCCTAGAGATGCCATTTAAATATATACAACATAAAAGTATACAAAATTGTTTAACATTCTGAATTTTGCACTTCAAAAATCAATCAGCTTATTTCTATAATTTCCATTTTTTAATGATGAGATAAAAGGAAAGGTTTTAAAATAAGATTTATAAACTATTCAAATAACAGATTGTGGGGGTGTAGTTTTTATTCAACAAAATGAAAAGCCAAATTAGATATAATTGTCACCAGATTTTTTTCTCTCTTTAATTTTTAAACTACTAGAGGCATCTTTCTATGCTGAGCAGAATTTTGAACAGATAAATGTTAACTTATGAAACTGGTTCATGTGAATATCACATTGAGGCAAATTTGCAGTTATTGTTTTTATACTTCTCCCTAACTTGGACTTCAGCATTGGCATGTCTTATGTCTTTTTGTTTGTTTTTGTCTCAATCTGTCACCCAGGCTGGAGTGCAGTAGCACCATTTCGGGTCACTGCGACCTTCCCAGCCTCCCAGGCTTGAGACTCTTAGGCACAAGCGATTCTCTTGCCTCAGCCACCAAGTAGCTGGGACTACAGGTGCATGCCACCAAACCTGGCTAATTTTTGCATTTTTTGTAGAGACAGGGTTTTGCTGTATTGCCGAGGCTGGTCTTGAACTCCTGGCCTCAAGCAATCCTTCCACCTTGGCATCTCAAAGTGCTGGGATTACAGGTGCGAGCAACCGCACCCAGCCCAGCATTCCTTATGTCTTTTTTATCTATCCAATTGTTCATCCTGGGTATAAATTAAATAATATGTAACTAAGAATAAAATCAACATAACTAAGAATTATGATGGTCCCAACATTAAATGAAAGTTCGACTGTCATCAGCAACCTCATTTTATTTGGGCTTATTAACTGCTATGAATTCTCATTTCATAAGTATTCAGAGGTTCTCCAATTATTCCTTTTTTAAATAAAATAAAATATATTCTTTGTTTGATTCAAAAATACACACACATTATAACAGATGGCATCTGGATGTTTGCAAACTGTTTGAAAAACACCAGCCTGGTTAGTAGATAAAAAATCAGCCATTTTGAACTCTCAGCTTCTTAAAGAAAATCCATTTTCTAACATTGAAAATAGTTTTAACTACAGATAACAAGACAAAAACCCCAAAGTAAGATGATTCTAGAGTTTATTTCACTTAATGAAAACCTTAAAATCCCAGGTTCTTTATATATTTCTTTTGCCACATTTTCCGGAAGCATTTCCAGACATAATATTGTCCAAAGAAGTCTATTCCTCTGTGTCACCTTTTAAAACTGAAGAAATCTTTTCAGACGTTTCTCCCCATCCGGTTGACATCCTTTCTTGTCTCATTGGCCAGAATTATGTCACTTTTCCACTCCTAAACAAGTTACTGGCAGTAAACCAATATGCTAATCTAGGATTGACTCCTTAATTGAGAATATAGTCACTTTCCCTGAAAGCTGGATCCTTAGATAAAGCTAGTTTGTGTTGACAAGAAAGACTGGGTTAATGGGCATTGAGTGGGCAGCCTACTGTGTCTACTGAAAGTATCCTGTGGAAGGAATTTGAGTTTACAAAATTCTCCAGGCACGGGGAGTGTATAAGTAATAAGCAAAATTCAGTGTTTTGAGAGCTTTGAGAGAACTATATCTAATACTCTATGAATGTACCCAAACTAGGAAGACTTGGGAGTTTATGTCATCAGAAATAGCTGCCTGGAAAAGGTAACGCATGGAGTGGATGGGGCTGGAGGGTTGTGGGATTGGAGCAGCAGAGACGGGGGAGATCATGAAGGGCCTCCTATTTTACACAAAGGAATTCATGAGCTACGCTGGAGTAGATTGAAGGCAGCTGAAGGATTTTAAACACATAAGGGACATTATGAGATTTGCTTTTAAGAAAAACTGCACTGTGCAGCAAGGACAGACTGCTCCCCCCTCTGACATTTTATGCTCTTTATTATCTGATCTTATTTAGCACTTAGCATTCACGTTCTGATATGAGCTAGTTTTCCTGTGTGAAATAAATGGAATCTTATCTCCTAAACTACATTATAAATTCTAAGAAGGCAGAAATGAACGGCTATTCAGTCGCATGCCTCTCAATACATAGTAGAGTGACTCGCATCTAGAAAGTGCTCATTTTGTTGTCCTTTGTTAACTACTTCCTTCTCATTCCATCTACAAAGCTGCACTAACCACAACTCTGGATGTCAATGAAGTACATTTGATAAAGTTAGGAGCTGGACTCAGCCAGATTAGGGTTTGTACCTCAGGTTCCTCATAGGTAAAACTGGTCATCATTGTAAAACAGATCATCATCCCTTTATTTCAGAGTTTTAAGAATTACACATCTTTCAGGTACAGTATCTGCATGTCAAGGACTGGATGAATAAAGATTTATCTTGCTTACTTCTTTAATTATATCCTCCCTAATTGGAATATAACCTCTGTGACAACAAGGACTTTGCTTGTCTGGCTCATTGTAGTATTTAAGGGCAAAGAGCAGAGACTGACACATAATAACACTCAATAAAATATCTGAATTATTAATTGAAGGAAAGGCTGCAGAAATGACTCTCTATACAATATTTAAAGATAATGGCACATTGAAGTGAGACTTGGGCAAATAGACAATGATCTTAGGCCTTTAATTTGGTAATCCTAGATGAAATAAAATTATTAAAGGTCATTTTATTTTTATTTATGTAAGCAGGAAAAAGCCTTAGGTGCCTATGTTATTTTCTAAATACCCCTGAATATTGACTCAACTAATTACCCCTCCTTTGATCCCACAATGTCTATGCATCTTCCTCCTCCACTTTGTTTCTGCAAGGATCTACAAGACTAGAGCCCGAGCCATTCAGCTCCTCGTCTCCTGGTCTACATAAATGTGCAGAAAATTAGAAGAGCATTCTGTAGAATAGAACAGTGACTCTCAAACCTGGCTACATATAAGAATCACCTCGTAGACTTTTAAAATAAAATACCCTTGCTCCACTTAATATAAAAATCTCTGAGGTAGAGTTCTAAAAATGTTTTCATATGATTTTATTTATTTTGTTACATTTTAAGTTCTGGGGTATGTGTGCAGAACGTGCAGGTTTGTTACATAGGTGTACACATGCCATGCTGATTTGCTGCACCCCTCAACCAGTCATCTACATTAGGTATTTCTCCTAATGCTATCCCTCCCCCAGGCCCCCACACCCCTGACAGGCCCCAGTGTGTGATGTTCCCCTCTCTATGTCCATGCGTTCTCATTGTTCACCTCCCACTTGTGAGTGAGAACATGCGGTGTTTGGTTTCTGTTCTTGTGTTAGTTTGCTGAGAATGATGTTTTCCAGCTTCATCCATGTCCCTGCAAAGGACATGAATTCATCCTTTCTATGGCTGATAGTATTACATGGTGTATATGTGCCACATTTTCTTTATCCAGTCTATCATGGATGGGCATTTGGGTTGGTTCCAACTCTTTGCTATTGTGAACAGTGCTGCAATAAACATACATGTGCATGTGTTTTTATAGTAGAATGATTTATAATCCTTTGGGTATATAGCCAGTAATGGGATTGCTAGGTCAAATGGTATTTCTGGTTCTAGATCCTTGAGGAATCACCACACTGTGTTCCACAATGGTTGAACTAATTTACACTCCCAACAGTGTAAAAGTGTTCCTATTTCTCCACATCCTCTCCAGCATCTGGTGTTTCCTGACTTTTTAATGATCACCATTCTAACTGGTGTGAGATGGTATCTCATTGTGGTTTTGATTTGCATTTCTCTAATGACCAGTGATGATGAGCATTTTTTTTTTTTTACATTTGTGGGCTGCATAGATATCTTATTTTGAGAAGTGTCTGTTTATATCCTTTGCCCACTTTTTGATGGGGTTATTTTTTTATTATAAATTTGCTTAAGTTCTTTGTAGATTCTGGATATTAGCCCTTTGTCAGAGGAGTAGATTGCAAAAATTTTCTCCTATTCTGTAGGTTGCCTGTTCACCCTGATGATAGTTTCTTTTGCTGTGCAGAAGCTCTTTAGTTTAATTAGATCTCATTTGTCAATTTTGGCTTCTGTTGGCATTGCTTTTGGTGTTTTAGTCATGAAGTCTTTGCTCTTGCCTATGTCCTGAATGGTATTTCCTAGGTTTTCTTCTAGGTTTTCTTCTAGGGTTTTAGGTCTTACAGTTAAATCTTTAATCCATCTTGAGTTAATTTTTGTGTAAGGTGTAAGGAAGGGTCTCAGTTTCAGTTTTCTGCATATGGCTAGCCAGTTTTCCCAACAGCATTTATTAAATAGGAAATCCTTTCCCCATAGCTTGTTTGTGTCAAGTTTGTCAAAGATCAGATGGTTGTAGATATGTAGTGTTATTTCTGAGGCTTCTGTTTCTGTTCCATTGGTCTGTACATCTGTTTTGGTACGAGTATCATGCTGTTTTGATTACTGTAGCCTTGTAGTATAGTTTGAAGTCAGGTTGTGTGATGCCTCTGGCTTTGTTTTTTTTTGCTTAGGATTGTCTTGGCTATGCAGGCTCTTTTTTGCTTCCATATGAAATTTAGTTTTTTCTAATTCTGTGAAGAAAGTCAATGGTATTTTGATGGGGATAGCACTGAATCTATAAATTACTTTGGGCAGTATGGCCATTTTCACGATACTGATTCTTCCTAATCATGACCACAGAATGTTTTCCCATTTGTTTGTGTTCCCTCTTATTTCCTTGAGCAGTGGTTTGTAGTTGTCCTTGAAGAGGTCCTTCACATCCCTTGTAAGTTGAATTCATAGGGTTAAAAATTCTCTTTGTAGCAATTGTGAATGGGAGTTCACTTGTGATTTGGCTTTCCATTATTGGTGTATAGGAATGCTTATGATTTTTGCACATTGATTTTGTATCCTGAGACTTTGCTGAAGTTGCTTATTAGATTAAGGAGATTTGGGGCTGAGAAGATGGGGTTTTCTAAATATACAATCATGTCAGTTGCAAACAGAGACAATTTGACTTCCTCTCTTCCTATTTAAATACCCTTATTTCTCTCTCTTGTCTGATTGCCCTGGGCAGAACTTCCAATACTATGTTGAATAGGAGGGGTGAAAGAGGGCATCCTTATCTTGTGCCGATTTTCAAAGGCAATGCTTCCAGCTTTTGTCCATTCAGTATGATACTGGCTGTGGGTTTGTCATAGATAGCTCTTATTATTTTGAGATATGTTACATCAGTACCTAGTTCATTGAGAGTTTTTAGCATGAAGGGGTGTTGAATTTTATCGAAGGCCTTTTCTGCATCTCTTGAGATAATCATGTAGTTTTTGTCGTTGGTTCTGTTTATGTGATGGATTATGTTTATTGATTTGCATATGTTGAACCAGCCTTGCATCCCAGGGATGTAACCGACTTGGTCATGGTGGATAAGCTTTTTGATGTGCTGCTGGATTCGGTTTGCCAGAATTTTATTGAGGATTTTTGCATCAATATTCATCAGGGATATTGGCCTGAAATTTTCTTTTATGTTGTGTCTCTGCCAGGTTTTGGTATCAGGATGATGCTGGCCTCATAAAATGAGTTAGGGAGGATTCCCTCTTTTTCTATTGTTTGGAATAGTTTCAGAAGGATTGGTACCATCTCCTCTTTGTTGTACCCGTGGTAGAATTCAGCTGTGAATTGGTCTGGTCCTGGACTTTTTTTGTTGGTAGGCTATTAATTACTGCCTCAATTTCAGAACTTATTGTTGGTCTATTCAGGGATTTAACTTCTTCCTGGTTTAGACTTAGGAGAATGTGTATGTCCAGGAATGTTTTAATGTTTTAATGAGCATCCAGAGTTTAGAACCATAGGAATAATGTTTTCCAAAGCATTTGGTTTATGTATAATTTTAAATATACCCCAATACATCATTTTTGGTAGACAGGCATGCACAAAGTATATTTTTACTTTCTATTTAAATATAGTAAACATAAAGGTAATTACACATCTCAAAAATTTTCCAAACAAACATACCCATGTAACACTAGTGAGATCATAAATATAACATACTGGGCATCCCAGAAGCCCCCTCATGCCCCCTTAATTAACCCCCCCCCTTTTCACTCACTACCCCCTCCAATGGTAGCCACTATCCTGATGTTAATTAGCCTGAATTTATTTTGCTTGTTTTTACTTTCTATAAATAAAATAATACAGTATGTATTATTTTGTTTCTGGTTCAAGATGCCTTTTTTAAGTAAGAAATGATGTAGTCCAGATCACTTGGTTTAATAATCTCATTTAAATCCAATAAAATCCAGAAAAATGTTGAAAAGTTGTAGAGACATAGTAAGGAAGAATGATTTACAGCAGGTGCTAGGTTGTATGAATTTGTGTTTATACTCTTGCTTTTCTGCTTGTAGGTGTTGTGACCCTGGGCAATTATTTAGCTCTCTAGGCCTCAGCTTATTAATCTGTAAAAGATGGTTAATAATAGTGCTATATCATGGGATTGTTTGAGGTTTATATAGAGCAATATGTGTAAAGTATTGAGCACTCTGTTGGAGTAGAGGAAGCTTTAGTAACTGTTAACATTTATTATTTGTGATTACTTAAGAAAGATTAAGTGAAAGTCATTAACCTCACATTAAAAATAGGAATATAATCTTAGAAATCGGAGGCCAGTGCATACACAGAGTGTAGTTTGAAGTTAGCCATGGATTAGGTAAACTTCTCAGAATACTGTTGCAGGCAAGATAGGGAAATTGGTCTTAATGACATCTCTTCTAAAAAAAATAGTATTGGGTTCCAAATCATGGACTGTATCAAAATCACCTGTGTGTGTGTTCTATAATAAACAAACATGTCCTGGCTCTAGTCCCACCATAAACCAAATGAATTAGAATTACTCGAGGTGTTCTACGGGAATTTACACTTTGAACAAGCTCCCTTCATGACTCTGATTCACTTCCAAACTTTAAATACTGATCTGTACTGCATAGTTCCAAAGAGCAAGTGCTCCATCCTGGATGTTGTTAAAGCTTCAATGATTAATTTAGCGCTTGGTATGTAATCTTTTCTCAATAAATGTGCATTTGCTGAACTGTGAAAGAGATGTCTGAAACTCTTAATGCATATCATTCTGCTATCCAACATTATCATCAGCAATTTGAAAGAAAACACTGATGGCATGCTTAACAGATCTACTAATGTCAGAAAAGAGGGAGTATATAAATGGCAAATATAAGGAAAATACAAATGTGGGTAGATACACTTAAATTTTTTAAAATGTCATCACTAATCAGCATTTCATGTAAAATGGAACTAAGGATTTAGTTGGATACATTACCAACAAAATAAATGCTATCTTCAAATGCGTTAATAAATGGGGCATAGCTTGCTATTTGCCTATTTAGGGGTCAGTCAATAATAAGGCAAAATCTGTCCCATTCTTGTTTATATAAATAAACTTGTATTGGAACACAGTATATTTATTCACCTATATATTGGTTATGGCTGCTTTCTCACTACAATGGTAAAGTTGCATATTTGTGATTGAGACCATATAGCTGAAATAATTTACTATATGTCCCTTTTTTTAGAAAAAAAAAAAAGAATATACTTTAAGTTTTGGGATACATGTGCAGAACATGCCGGTTTGTTACATAGGTATACATGTGCCATGCTGGTTTGCCACACTTATCAACCCGTCATCTACATTAGGTATTTCTCCTAATGCTATCCCTCCCCTAGCCCTCCACCCCCGACAGGCCTTAGTGTGTGATGTTCCTCTCCCTGTGTCCACGTGTTATTTTTGTTCAACTCCCACTTACGAGTGAGAACATGCGGTGTTTGGTTTTCTGTTCTTGTGTTAGTTTGCTGAGAGTGATGGTTCCCAGCTTCATCCATGTCCCTGCAAAGGACATGAACTCATCCTTTTCTATGGCTGCATGGTATTCCATGGTGTATATGTGCCACATTTTCTTTATCCAGTCTATCATGGATGGGCATTTGGGTTGGTTCCAACTCTTTGCTATTGTGAACCGTGCTGCAATAAACATACATGTGCATGTGTTTCTATAGTAGAATGATGTATAATCCTTTGGGTATATACCCAGTAATGGGATTGCTGGGTCAAATGGTATTTCTGGTTCTAGATCCTTGAGGAATCACCACACTGTCTTCCACAATGGTTGAACTAATTTACACTCCCACCAGCAGTGTAAAAACATTCCTACTTCTCCACATCCTCTCCAGTACTATCTGCCCTTTTACAGAAAAAGCTTGTCAAACTCTAGCCTCTTCCATGTCTCATTCTCTGCATCTTTCTTAATAATAGGAGCTCCAAGTATTTTGTGGGCATATGGATACCTAGGTTAAAGATTACATTTCTTGGCATCCTTTCTATCAGGCATTTCATGTGACTACATTCTGGCCAATGAAATATAGACCTGATGGCTGAAGCTATAGCAGCCGTCTTGATCCATGCTTTGAAAGCATAGGTTTGGCAGTCTGGACCTGGAAGGGACCAAAGTCCTTAGGTGCCTGATGGCTTTGTGGAACCACTGTACCAGCCCTTCCTGCTAGCTTCAAGACTTTTTTTTGTACATAAAGGAAAACAATATTGGGTGTTTGATCCACTGTTCATTTGGGTGTTCTGGTACTTACCTTTGCACCTATTCTAACTGATACAGATGTATAATGTCCAGATCTTAGAATTGATTGTGCTGGTTCAAGCACATAGGGGATATTTTTTGCCTTTTAATGTCAGAGAACTCTCCATCATTAGAAGATTTTAAGAAGATCTAGAATACCACCTGTCAGACAAGTGAGGCAGAGTTCCCTGAATTGGATGGAGGTTAAACTACATGACCTCTAAGATTTTAAGTTAGGTATTCCTGGACCACATTTTTCCTTATTAATGGAAAGTGTTAAATGGGTTCTTAGTTCAAGCACTTAAAATGATTAAAGTAACCAGCCAGAAAGCCAAGCTGCCAAAATGGAAAGTGCAGAGGGAGTAAAATATCAGTACAATTCTAACTTTCTATTTGCAGAAAAGCAATGATTCAAATGGTACATTAGGCTCTCGTTGAGGAAAACATTGACACTATAGCAGATGACAAAACCTCCTGTCCAATAAATTGGAGATACCCATTTCCATAGAATTTCTGGGACAAGTGAACAATATCATTATGCCATATGGATGATTCTTTTCTGCATAAAATGTGTTTTATTGTATTTTATGTTTTGATAGAACTATAGTTAAATTAAGCTCAGCATGAACACAGATAATCTATAAATAAATTGATGTATCCTATATTAACTAAACATAAAGAAATAGGAAATTATTTGACTAGTAAAGAATAATAGTAAAGGATTGTGTGACTTTGGCACAAACATACCTTCCTTCTTTTGTTGATGCCCCTTTATTTTTATTTTTGCAGGATTTATTGTAAATATAATTTCTTCAGTCTTCCTGCCATAACCCAGCAGGACAAACCCCATTTTCTCATTATTTGTCCTCATAGTATCATGTATTTGCTTTTCAGAGTAGTTATTGCAAATATAATTAATTGATTATTTGATCCCCTGCTAGCAGACTGTAAGCACCTTGTGCACTGTGGCAATGTTCGTCTCAATCTCTTTGTATCCCCAGACCCTAAAGCAGTGCCTGGCAAAGAAAGACAGTCAATAAAAACTTGTCGAATGATGATGATGCAATTAGGAAATATAATTCCGTTCTTTATTATACACTATATCCATGTTGTGATGCAGGTTCAGTTTTCTTAATTTCAAACAACCAGAGTCAGAATTAGCCTTCTTGAAAGAAAAAATGTGCATCTTAACTAAGAGCAACAGCCACATCAACAACAGAAAACAAGATATCCTAGTAAACATCTTAGAAACCCTTTCTATGTTTGGGGACTTCCCCAACTAATGAGATTGCTTCCCACAAGTGAAGCTCACAATGGCAGACACTGAAGCTTAGGAGTAGATAATTGACCTAGATTGAGTGATCTGATTAATAAGCTTTTTTAAAAATCCAAGAAATAAAGGCAGCTTTTGTTGCTTGGATTAAGAACACAAATTAAAATTTGATACCAGAAGTGGGCTAGTCCACAGCAGAAGGAAAAAGGTTTGAAGTGATGAGAATGGAAAGAATAAAGACTAGGAATGGGCTCAAAACCTGAATTTCTTCTCATTAAGTTTCATCAACCTACTGCCATTGATGAATTTTCATTTTTCAGTAACACCAGCTAATCAAACCTTAACTCTTTGGGGGGCCAGCCAAGTGGAGGGTGTCAAATTGATTGCATGTGACATATTTAACTATTAAAGGAGCTTCAGTTTTTCCATATTGGAACAAATAGCTATATTGGTTTGGACTTTCTTGCCCAGCCTATCCTGCTTTTTCCAATAACAATCCATGAAATTACTGAATGCCCTATCCCACACAATGATATCATTTATAGAATTAATTATTACTTACAGTTATGCCTAAGACATAATTAAGGCAATAAAATAATTGTCATTGACTTTACTAGTCTTACCACTTACTGCTTCATCCAGAAACAACTGGTTGCATAAAGCAGTATGATGTCTTATTAAAGTATATTTTACAATATTAGCTACAGACAACTTACAAGACTGATGTATCATCTTACAAAGTGATATATACTCTGAACCAAAACCAAATACCCTTACTTCTTTTCTTCTAAAGTCAATATTTAGAAGGCCCCAAATCAGTGTGTGGGAATATAAGGTATTTCTTTTTAAACAGAGTATCTTTGAAAGAAGGACCTGAAGCCGGGTGTGGTGGCTTACATGTGTAATCCCAGCACTTTGGGAGACCAAGGCAGGTGGATCACCTGAGGTCAGGAGTTGAAGACCAGCCTGACCAACATGGAGAGACCCCATCTCTACTAAAATACAAAATTAGCTGGGCGTGGTGGCACCTGCCTGTAATCCCAGCTACTCGGGAGGCTGAGGTAGGAGAATCGCTTGAACCCAGGAGGTGGATGTTGCAGTGAGCTGAGATCGCACCATTGCACTCCAGTCTGGGCAACAAGAGTGAAACTCCATTTAAAAAAAAAAAAAAAAAAAACGTGAGAAGGACCTGTATGAAAGCTTGTGTACGTTATTTGTTTGCTGAGTGAACTTGGGATCAGGAAAGAATAACAGAAGGAATGAATTAGAATGAATGTGGCAAACCAATACAAGGATGCGTTTTTAAGTCAGTCACCACTGTGGGCAAAAAGTACTTAAACTTGCAGTACATTCTAAGAAGCCTTATGAAATACATCTCAGAAGTGGCTCCTGGGGACAAAAATTATGGAAACTTTTATTCATGGGCTTCCACTCCTACTGGAAAAAGGTGATTTAAGAGTTTTGACTCACCCTTCTGGACTCCACATGAATGAGTGCTGAATAGACTCCTGTATTGTCTGTAACATAGCATCAGAGATGCTCTGGTACAAGAAACAAGAGGGACATGACACAGACTCAAGATGAAGGGTTCCATGTTGTGTCTACTCAAAGCCCACTGAAGCCTGTGTGGAACTGGTCACCACTGCAGGGGCTTGAGTGAGAGTTGGGCTTGAGTGAGAGTTAGGCCTGAGAGAATTTGAAGGGCACACTAGGAATGTTTGACAGAGTTACTGTCTCAGATTCATTTAACAACCCATGGGTCTCAAAAATATTTGTTCCCAGGTCTATGACTCTGAGTTTGGATGTCTTGGAAATCTTAGTACTAAGGAAGAAATGCTTCTGTTAGGGGTCACAACAATATCTCAACTGAATTGGAATCACCATCATCAATTTTAGAAAAATGAGTGTGAGTTCTTGTTCTTGTGCTTTCTTGTGTTTTTCTCTTTTCGTTTCATCGATCCAGATATTTTAGATGTAGTATGTTAATGATGGGTAACATTACAATTTAATCTACAGATTATACATTATTGAGAGAGGATTGCAACAGAACTATAGAAATAATTAGCCAGAGTCCTGGCCTTGGTGCTGAATGAAGTGACTGAGGAAAATATGGGCCATTATCGGCTATTAGAAAAGACTATTTTTGAATTACAAGGGACAATTGCATTGTAGGTTAGGCGGGATTTTTTATTTAATATTTGTGAATTTGAAAAATTACTTTGGTGTTGGTCACACAAATGAATAGATTGTAGACATAGTGAAATTCTGTTTGCTGCCATGCCTGTGGATTCTCCTTCCTATTTGTGGGAAATTCTCTGCTGTATGAGTCCGTTGGGATGCAGAGTCTCTTTCTCAGTAAGCTAAATAAAAATGCCATGAGCTTGCTTTTTCAGCCTCCCTTCCAAGATATGGGCTGCTTATCTAGATTCTGCCAGAATTTTCTTTTGCTCTAGATATAGAATACAGGATCAAGGTTCTTTTCAATTAACTACAATTAAGATTCCTTACTGATACACACATTAACATTAAGTTGGGGAAATAAGACAAGTTCTACTCTGATTGACTATATATATAGGATTTATATATACATATATAGAGTTTATAGATATAGGTCATTTTATATATGTAGTTTATATGTGAAAAACAGATCTGTTAATTAGCTTGACTGTAGTATTCATGTCATTATATATGTATATCAAAACATCATGTTTTATATCTTAAACATATACAATAAATATATTTTTAAAAGCAGGCCATTTCCTGTATGAACTTCGTTAATGAAAAGAACCACATACCTGGGAGCATAAATTAGTACAGCGATTTTGGAAAATAGTATGGAGATTTCTCTTAAAACTAAAAATAGAACTACCATACTATCCAGCAATCCCACTATCGGATATTTATACAAAGAAAAACCAGTATATCAAAGGGATACCTGTACCCTTATGTTTATTGAAGCACTGTTCACAATAGCTAAGATACGGGATCAACCTAAGTGTCCATCAACTGATGAATGAATAAAAATGTGGTATATACCACTGACCCCAGAAATACAAATAACCATCAGAATATTATGAACACCTCTATGCACATAAACTAGAGAATCTAGAAGAAATGGATAAATTCCTGGACACATACACCCTCCCAAGACTGAGCTAGGATGAAACTGAATCCCTCAACAGGCCAATGATGAGCTCTAAAATTGAATCAGTAATAAAGACCCTACCAACCAAAAAAACAAGAAGTCCCAGGACCACATGGATTCACAGCTTAATTCTACCAGACATACAAAGAAGAGCTGATACTATTCTTACTGAAACTATTCCAAAAATTGAGGAAGAGGGACTCCTCCCTAAGTCATTCTATAAGGCCAGCATCATCCTAGTACAAATACCTAGCCAGAGACACAACAACCAAAAAAAAAAAAAATTCAGGCCAATATCCTTGATGAACATAGGAACATAGATGCAAAACTCCTCAACAAAGTACTGGCACAGTGAATCCAGCAGCACATTTAAAAGCTGAAGTTGTAATTCAACACAATCAAATAGGCTTTATCCCTGGGATGCAAGCTTTGTTCAACATACACGAATCAATAAATGTGATTCATCACACAAACATAACTAATGACAAAACCCCACATGATTATCTAAATAGATGCAGAGAGGACTTTCAATAAAAGTCAACACTCTTTCATATTAAAAACTCTCAATAAACTAGATATTGAAGGAACATATCTCAAAATAATGAGAGCTGTCTATGACAAATCCACAGCCAACATCATACTGAATGGGCAAAAGTTGGAAGTGTTCCCCTTTAAAACTGGCATAAGACAAGGATGCCCTCTCTCACCACTCCTATTTAACATAGTATTGGAAATCCTGACCAGAGCAATCAGGCAAGAAAAAGAAATAAAGAGCATCTAAATAGGAAGAGAGGAAGTCAAACTGTACCTGTTTGCAAACAACATGATCCTATATCTAGAAAACCCCATAGTCTCAGCCCAAAACTTTTTAGTTGATAAACAACTTTAGGAAAATCTCCAGATACAAAAATCAATGTACAAAAATCACTAGCATTCTTATATACCAACAGTAGTCAAGCTGAGAGCTGAATCAGGAATACAATTGTATTCACAATGGCACAAAAATAAAATAAAATACTTAGGAATACAGATAACCAGGGAGGTGAAAGATCTCTGCAGTGAGAATTACAAAATTCTCCTCAAATCATAGATGAAACAAACAAATGGAAAAACATTCCATGCTCATGGATAGGAAGAATCAATATCATTTTTTAATGGTGATACTGCCCAAAGCAATTTATAGATTCAATGCCCTTCCTATTAAACCACCAATGAAATTCATCACAGAACTAGAAAAAACTATTTTAAAATTTATATAGAACCAAAAAAGAGCCCAGATAGCCAAGGCAATCCTAAGCCAAAAGAACAAAGCTGGAGGCATCACCAGTCTCCCTCCCAACTGCTTTCATGGGCTGGTGTTGAGTGTCTGTGCCTTTTCTAAGCATACAGTGCAAACTATACTACCTGACTTCAAACTATATTACAGGGCCACAGTAACCCAAAGAGCATGGTACTGGTACAAAAACAGACACATAGACCAATGGAACAGAATAGAGAGCACAGAAACAAGGCTGTACACCTACAACTATCTGATCGTTGACAAAGCTGACAAAACGAAGCAATGGGGAAAGGGTACTCTATTCAGTAAATGATACTGGGATAACTGCCTAGCCAAGTGCAATGATTGAAACTGGACCCCTATTTATACCAAATACAAAAATCAACTCAATATGGATTAAAGACTTATGTGTAAACCCCAAAACTATAAAAATCCTGGAAAGCAACCTAGGTAATACCATCCTAGACATAGACACAGGCAATGATTTCATGATGAAGATGCCAAAAGCAATTGCAACAAAAGCAAAAATTGACAAATGGCATCTAATTAAAGACATTCTGCACTGCAAAAGAAACTGTCAACAGAGTAAACACACAACCTACAGAATGAGAAACTTTTTGCAAACTGTGTATTAGTCCACATTTTTGCTGCTGATAAAGATATACCCAAGACTGGACAATTTATAAAAAGAAAGAGGTTTAATGGACTTACAGTTCCACATGGCTAGGAAGGCTGCACAATCATGGCAGAAGGTGAAAGGCACTTCTCACATGGCAACGGCGACAGAGAGAGCTTGTGTAGGGAAACTCCTGTTTTTGAAACCATTATATCTTGTGACACTTATTTACTATCCCAAGAACACAGGAAAGAACTGCCCTCATGATTCAATTACCTCCCACCAGTTCCTCACATGACACATGGGAATTATGGGAGTTACAATTCAAGATGAGATTTGGGTGGGGATACCATCAAACCATATCATTCAGCACCCGACCCCTCCCAAATATCATGTCCTCACCTTTCAAAACCAGTCACACCTTCCCAACAGTCCCCCAAAGTCTTAACTCATTTTAGCATCAACTGCAAAGTTCACAATCTAAAGTCTTAGATGAAGCAAGTCCCTTATACCTATGTTCCTGTAAAATCAAAAGTTACTTTTTTTCTGGATACAATGGGAATACAGGCATTGGGTAAATACAGCCATTCCAAATGGGAGAAATTGGCCAAAACAAAGGGACTACAGGCCCCAAGCAAGTTCAGAATCCAGAGGGGCGCTCAAATCTTAAAGCTCCAAAATCATCTCCTTTGACTCTATGTCTCACATCCAGGTCACAGTGATGCAAAAGGTGGGTTCCTATGGTCTCTGGCAGCTCCACCCCTGTGGCTTTGCTGGGTATAGTCTCCCTCCCAGCTGCTTCCATGGGCTGGTGTTGAGTGTCTGTTCCTTTTCCAGGCATACAGTGTAAGCTGTCGGTGGATCTACCATGCTGGGATCTGGAGGATGGTAGCCCTCTTCTCACAGCTCTATCAGGTGGTGCCCCAGTAGGGATTCTGTGTGGGAGCTCCAACCTCACATTTCCCTTCTGCACCACCCTAGCTGAGGTTCTCCAGGAGGGCCCTCCCCCTGCAGCAAACTTCTGCCTGGGAATCCAGGTGTTTCCAAACATCTTCTGAAATCTAGGTGGAGGTTTCCAAACCCCAGTTCTTGACTTCTGTGCACTTGCAGGCTCAACACCATGTGGAAGCGGACAAGACTTGTGCCTTGTACCCTCTGAAGCCATAGCCCAGGCTCTTCATTGGCCCTTTTCAGCCATGGCTGGAGCAGTTGGGATGCAGGGTACCAAGTCCCTAGGCTGTACACAGCACAGGGACACTGGCCCAGCCCACAAAACCATTTTTTCCTTCTAGACCTCCTGGCCCATGATGGGAGGGGCTGCCGTGAAGATCTCTGACATGCCCTGGAGACATTCTCCCCATTGTCTTGGGGATTAACATTTAGCTACTTGTTATTTATGCAAATTTCTACAGCTGGCTTATATTTTTCCTCAGAAAATGGGGTTTTCTATCCTATTGTCAGGCTGCAAATTTTCTGAACTTTTCTGCTCTGCTTCCCTGATAAAACTGAATGCCTTTAACAGCACCCAAGTCACTTCTTGAATGCTTTGCTTCTTAGAACTTTCTTCTGACAGATACCATAAACTATTTCTCTCAAGTTCAAAGTTCCACAAATCTCTAGAGCAGGGGCAAAATGCTGCCAGTCTTTTTGCTAAAATATAACAAGTCACCTTTGCTCTAGTTCCCAACAAGTTCCTCATTTCCATCTGAGACCACCTCAACCTGGACTTTATTGTCCATATTGCTATCAACATTTTGGACAAAGCTATTCAACAAGTCTCTAGGAAGTTCCAAACGTTCTCATATTTTTCTGTCTTCTTAGCCCTCCACACTGTTCCAACCTTTGCCTGTTACCCAGTTCCAAAGTTGCTTCCACATTTTCAGGTATCTTTTCAGCAGCATCCCACTCTACTGGTACCAATTTACTGTATTAGTCTGTTTTCATGCTGCTGATAAATAAGTACCCAAGATTGGGCAATTTGCAAAAAGGAAATAGGTTTGATGGGCTTACAGTTCCACATGGTTAGGGAAGCCTCACAATCATGGCAGAAGGTGAAAGACACTTCTTATGTGGCAACCATGAGAGAGAGCTTGTGCAGGGAAATTCCTGTTTTAAAAACCATCAGGTTTCCTGAGACTTATTTACTATCAAGAGAAAGCATGGGAAAGACCCACCCCCATGATTCAATTACCTCCCACTCACCAGGTTTCTCACACAATACATGGGAATTGTGGGAATTACAATTCAAGATGAGATTTGGGTGGGGGCATAGCCAAACCATCTCACTATAGATCTGACAAACGTCTAATATCCAGTATCTATAAGGAAGTTAAATTTGGAAGAGAAAAACAACCTCATTAAAACTTGGGCAAAGGACACAAACAGACACTTTTCAAAAGAAGACATACATGTGGCCAAGAAGCATATGAAGAAAAAAAGCTCAACATCACTGATAGAGAAATGCAAATCAAAAATACAATGAGATACCATCTTATACCAGTCAGAACAGCTATTATTTAAAAGTCAAAAAATAACAGATGCTGGAGAGGTTGCAGAGAAAAAAGAATGCTTATACACTTGGTAGGAGTGTACATTATTTGTTCAACCATTGTGGAACGCAGTGTGGTGATTCCTCAAAGAAGTAAACACAGAACTACCATTTAACCCAGCAATCTCGTTACTAGGTATATACCCAAAGGAATATAAATTGTTCTATCAACACATGCACATCTATGTTAATTCCAGCACTATTCACAATAGCAAAGACATGGAATCAACCTAAATGCCCATCAATGCTAGACTGGATAAAGAAAATGTGGTACATATACAGTATGGAAAACTGTGCAGCCATAAAAAGAATGAGATCATGTCCTTCACAGAAGGACATAAAGCTGGAGGCCATTATCCCTAGCAAACTAATGCAGGAACAGAAAACCAAACACTGCATGTTCTCATTTATAAGTGGGAGTTAAATGATGAGAACACATGGACACATAGAGAGGAACAACACACACTGGGGCCTTTTGGAGGGAGGGTACAGGATCAGGAAAAATAACTAATGGGTACTAGGCTTAATACCTGGGTGAAGAAATAATCTGTACAACAAACTCCCTCTGAACTTAAAATAAAAATGTGGTGTACACACACACACACACACACACACACACACACACACACACAATGAAATACTCTTTGGCCATAAAAAAGAATGAAATCCTGTTATTTGTGGCAACATGGGTGGAAATGGAGGTCGTTACGTTACAGAAATAAGCCAACCCCACAGAAAGGCAAATATTGCCTGTTCTCACTCGTATGCAACCTCTCTAGCATCTGTTATTTTTTGGCTTTTTAATAATAGCCATTCTGACTGGTGTGAAATGGTATCGCATTATAGTTTTGATTTGCATTTCTTTAATAATCAGTGATGTTGAGCTTTTCCTCATATGCTTGTCAGCCACATGTATGTCTTCTTTTGAAAAGTGTTCATGACCTGTTGATGATCATGTGTGTCATGTTCATATGTGGGAGTCAAAAATGTTCTCTTATGGAGATACAGAGTAAAATGATACTTACCAGAGGCTGGAAAGGGTGAGTGTGTTGGGGTGGGGAACAAAGAGAGGTTAGTTAGTCGGCATAAATATATAGTTAGAAATAATTTCTTATGTATAATAGCAGAATCTGGTAACTATAGTTAACAATAATATATTGTATATTTAAAAGGAGCTGAAAAAGAGTACCTGAAATATTTCCAACACATAGAAATGATAAATGTTCCAGGTGATGGAAATTCTAAACACTGTAACTTGATCACTACACATTCTATGCATTTAAGAAAATAGCATATGCTCCCCTTAAATATATAAAAATGTGTATCAATTAACCCACATGCCAACCATATAGGAAAAAAAATTAAAAGAAAATCTAAGGACAATGTTCTAACTTGTTCTCTCTCTCTTTTTTAACAGAAAGCTTATAATACTGCTACTTTGACTTGCTTTTTCTAATTTTATCTACAACTAACTTTTTAATAGCTTAATAATAATTATTGTTACAATTATCTTTTCACCCATCTTTTTGTGGAAAGTAAGAGGTCAAGAATATCTCTAGAGGAAAAGGAAAGATGAAGGGAATTACCCTGTAACAGTTAAGCACAGTCTGGACATAGTCCATAAACATTTTCCAGATTTTAATTTGGATTTATTCTCTATGTCTAGGTGCATTAGTGTTATTTTGGAGGATTCAGGATTTTAAACCTTCTTCATACTTTTTATAGGAAATCTCAATTGATTGAAGGGAAATGTCACTCTAAGTGTACAGGTATCTATGTTAGTAACTGAACATCATTTTTCACCATCATGCTGGAAGTAAATGTAATTAATGCTATGCTTCACCTCCAAATTTCCAGGACGGAGGCATTCAATACTCTTAGCTACTGACAGCACACAGCTATACTCCTGGGATTGCCCTCAGACAGAGGGAGCTATGACACCCAAAGTTACCCCCTCCCTCCCTGGACACCACACATCTAGTGAATGGTTGATGCAGGGTACAAAGACCCACTCTCTTGCCTTGACTGGGAACATTTAACATTCATTGAGAGGCCATTTGTGTCCTGGCTCCTGTGGGATTGACTGAGGCCTTGGTAACAACTGCACCATGCTTCACCTTCTCCCTCAGCTCTCCTGCATTCTTTACTTCCATGTCTCTTTCTTTCTTTTTCTTTCTTCCCTCCCTCCCTCCCTCCCTTCTTTCCTTCTTTCCTTCTTTCCTTCATTCATTCTTATCTCTTCCTTTCTCTTTCTCTCCTTCCTCCCTTCTCTCTCTCTCTCTCTCTCTCAGAGGCTCACTCTGTCACCCAGGCTGAAGTGCAGTGGTCTAACCACAGCACACTTCGGTCTCGACCTCCTGGGCACAAGCCATCCTCCCACCTCAGTCTCCAGAGAAGCTGGGACCACAGGCGTGTGCCACCATACTCAGCTTATTTTTTTTAATATAGAGAAGGGGTCTCACTATGTTGCCCAGGTTGCTTTTAGACTCCTGGGCTCAAGCGATCTTCCTACCTCAGCCTCCCAAAGTGCTGGGATAACAGGCATGAACCACCATACCTGGTTCATGTTCTTTTGCACACTTCTCAATAACTTTTTAACTCAATCTGTTTCTCATTCTACAGTAGAGCCTGCATTATAACCATGTCCACAAAATGGAGAGATAGACTGGTAAACCTTTTCTCCATGATGCCACTGCTCTGTACAGGGAGAAACTTTGTGGTCCATGGACCATGAGGGATCTCATCATGTGGGCTGAGGTTCAGACTCTCAGGTGTTAAATACATGATAGTTAGAAGCATAAAAACTTAGAATATAGTGAAGGTGAAAGAAAAGGAAAAGTTAAAGTAGGTCTCTCACAAGAACTGGGATTTCTATTTTCTTTGCAAAGAGAATTGCTTTGTAGGAGTTTTTTGTTGTTGTTTCTAGCAGAAAAGTAACTAAAATAAATGTTTTCAGAAATGTGAATGTAGTAGTGATGGTTCCAAGAATTAAAACTGCTTTGAGAATGAAACAGTAAATTGCTTCTGGGTCAAAGGCCAGATTAATAATCCATAGACTGTTGCTTTTGGAAAGAATTTGTTATAACAACAAAGAAGGAAAGTCCTAAGATAGTAGGAGTGGTCTGGGTTAGACTATGGTTGAGCTGTAATGGTTAGAGGGATAAGAGCTAGATGGTGAAGGAGCTTTTCAGAGATATTGTGACATTTGGCAAAGCCTGGTTGTGAGCCTGGTTGTGGAGCAAGATCCTGAACTGGGAAGAGCATATTTCCCCTTTCCTCTGAATGGAATACAGCTCACCAATGATGGGCAGCTGTAGACAAGGGTTTTGGCTTTTTGTTTTTTTGCCACAGTAGCCTCTCATTAGACGAAACTCTAAATAGAAAAATTACTGGAGTTTTCTTCTCTCTGTCCTCCTTTCTTAGCTTTTATAGCTCAGTGGTTAAAACTACTGACCTGGAATAAATATACGTGTGCATGTGTCTTTATAGCAGCATGATTTATAATCCTTTGGGTATATACCCAATAATGGGATGGCTGGGTCAAATGGTATTTCTAGTTCTAGATCCTTGAGGAATCACCACACTGACTTCCACAATGGTTGAACCAGTTTGCAGTCCCACCAACAGTGTAAACGTGTTTCTATTTCTCCACATCCTCTCCAGCAGGTATTGTTTCCTGACTTTTTAATGATCTGGGCCATTCTAACTGGTGTGAGATGGTATCTCATTGTGGTTTTGATTTGCATTTCTCTGATGGCCATGTATACACCATGGAATACTACACAGCCATAAAAATGATGAGTTCCTGTCCTTTGTAGGAACATGGATGAAGCTGGAAACCATCATTCTCAGCAAACTATCGCAAGGACAAAAAACCAAACACTGCATGTTCTCACTTATAGGTGGGAATTGAACAATGAGAACATGTGGACACAAGAAGGGGAACATCACGCATTGGGGACTGTTGTGGGGTTGGGGGAGAGGGGAGGGATAGCATTAGGAGATATACCTAATGTAAATGATGAGTTAATGCGTGCAGCACACCAACATGGCACATGTATACATACGTAACAAACCTGCACGTTGTGCACATGTACCCTAGAACTTAAAGTATAAAAAAAAAACAAAAACAAAACAAAACAAACAAAAAAAACTACTGACCTGGGAGCCAGAGTGCCCAGGACGTCTTGGCTCCACTGCTTGCTTACTTAGCCACTGTGTGATTTTGATCATGTCCCTCTCCATGCCTCAATACCTTCCTCTGGTAAAATGGGAGCAGTTATAGTATCAGACCTACCTTGTGAGTTTGTTTTAGTGATTTAATAATTTCTACATATAAGGCACTTCCTGCCTGGCTCATACTAAGCACTTAATACATGTTAGCTAGTCATTATTACTATTGTTATATTAACATTTTTTCAATTTTCAATATTTTGGAGGGTTATATAGATATTTACTGTCCATACATGAATAATAATTTTTGCCTTCTAATTCTCGTACCTGTTGTTACAGTTTCCTTATCACATTTGCTCTGTTATAAATACCCATAAAATAGTTGCATGATAAAAATAGCATCGTGTTTGATTAGCTGTAAGTAACAAAGATGATTCAAACAACTGAAAGGTAAGAAACGAAGGGGATAGTGAAGTGTTGTTAATTTGGGTGAAATGTGTCAATAAACTTTAAAAAGGAGAATAAGGAAGTAAGTAGGAAGAAGCATGGCTGAAAAAATTTTAGATATTTCTCTGAAAATAATTGAGAGGAAAAAAATAGAAAGGACTTCAAGCCTTCAAACCTGCAGCAAGAATATCTAATTGTTATATGTTTAATAGGAACTAAAATCGATTAAATTCAGTCATCTAAAAAGAGATGAGAAAAAAGGACATTAAATTAGACTTCATGGTGTGTAGTTTTAAGTATGTGGTTTCAAGATAAATTAAGGATTATTTCAATTGTACATTAAATAATCTGTACTCTAGTTATATTAGAAATATGATAATTAACATTAGCAGTATTCTTTCATAACTTCCAAAGCGTTTTACATAGATTGCTTTGTACATTTTGTGTGGAATAGTAAATATAAGAATGCTTTTTGCTTGTGTAGCACATAAACTATCCCATTTGATACTTCCACTCCATACATTTCCTCTTAATTTATTCTACTTATGCATCATTAAAGCTTTTGAACTTGTACTTATCTGGACACAATATGCTGCTTCACACTTTCTTTGGTAATCCACCTGTCTGGAGGATTTCTAATTCATCCTTCAAACCCTTGTTACTGCAAGGCGTGGTCTTTATCTGCTGGATGTGTAAATTTGTTTATGTGCGTGGGGATCAATGTAAGTCATCAAGAGAGCAGAAATTGGTAATACCACCTTTACTTGGTTCCATGAGATCAACTAGGAAGCTTTGGACTTCCTGTGGATCATTCCTTGCAATACCCAATGTCCTCCAATAAGCCAAATCCACATTCACAGGTAGAAAATTCACTGCTGAAAAAGAAGAGCAGCTTTTCTTGGGGCACTTAGTTTAGCCAGGAAGCCCAATTTTGATAAGTTATGCAGATACTTAATGGTCAGTGAACTGAATTTTTTTTAAATTTCATGAAAACTTAATACATTTAACATTACTTAAATTTAATGATAGCAAAGAACCTACAGTAAATCTAAAAACACTGTCTAAACTTTGTTTCTTCAACAAAATACATGTTATTTTTCATAAAATTTTTCCAAAAATATTATTCGTAGCTTGAGTTTATTCTTGTTTAAATTATATATTTCTTAAATAGGTTAAGTTTCCAAGGAGTAAAATTGAGTCAGGAGTCCCATGGGAAGGAGAAAAGATTATGTTTACATAAAGATCAAAAAATGTGAAACTTTTTTAGTTTGTGAAGAACAGCTTTTAAAACTTATGTTTATTTTTAGGAGGATTTTCCATAATAAATTGAGAAATGTTGATCTCTAAAATATACATAAAAGAGGTAAACGATATTCAGAGTAACAAACAAATACGTCATGGAGAACTGATTAAAAATTGTATTAATTATAAATCCAAAATAACATACTCATAATTCAAGTATCATCAGTCTTTCTAAATTACCAGACCACTGAAGTTTGGGTTTCCTTTTCAGGAGACTCTGAGACATACATTTCCATCAAGTATGCAGATTCAGGCTTCATTTTAGCTTGCTTCATTCACATTTGGACTATGGCTTTCTTACATATGTTTATTTTTCCTTAGAATTTTAATTGTCTTACTGACAGAAAAGTCATATGCCTTCCTCTTTTTATATTAATCATAATCATTTTAATCATAAAATTTATGTGATGGCATCATTTATTGTTGAACATATTCTTCATAAAGCCTACTGACTTTTGGTTCGAATTTGTACCAACTTAATTTATGAATTTACACCTGTGTCAGTTTCATTTATAAACCATGAATCATAGTCTAACCTCTGTCTCTTCTCCATGTAACTCAAAGAAAAGGATAATTTTCTGTTTTGTCTAAAACAATCAGAATAACCTTATTCTTCTTGCCCGTGATTGGTTTAGGGATATGTGTGTCAGACAATTGTGGCCAATGAGAAATAAAGCTAAATCTGCAAAGACTTCTGGGATAGTTTTATTTACTGATTAAAAGCAGAGAGAGGGAGTGGGTGAAGAAAAAGAGTTTTGTTTTTGTTTTTTTTTTCTGCTGAACTTGCTCATATTTAAATGTGATATCTGAACTGCACTGGCCATTTTGTGATCCCGAGGTGAGCTTTTCAGAAAGTGGCAACATAAAAAGTTGAAAAGAACTTAGCTACTTGGTGACAAAATGGAACCAATGAATTAACCAACTCTGGTGTTTCCCGAACTCAGGATGTTGTGATTTCTTAGATTATTTTAAAAAATTGTTTAAACCAGTTGAATTAGGGCTTTATGGTGCTTGTAGCTGAGAACATTCCATCTAATTTGCAGACAATTCAGAATTTCTTTCTATCAGAATTCTAGGTTTATTCTCCAACTCTGTCTCTTATGTCTTGCTTTTTCTTTAATTTCTTTGTTTCACCTAAATTTTTTAAAAGTATGTATTTTTCTCTGAGTATGTGTGACCTATATTTCCTGGTTCATTGTATGTTTGAATATATATTTTATATATATTATAAATTTATATCTTATATATGTTATAGTTACCTTCATGCCTGATTGATATTTTAAATGGACATACTATTTTGTTTTAAGTTATTTTCCTGCAAAACTTTGAAGGCAATGCTCTGCTGACCTCCAACTTCCAATGTTGCTGGTAACACACCTCCTGCAACCTTGATTTTCATTCATGTGTGAATAAGCTGGACAATCTTGAGATTTTTTTCTCTAGATTCTTATAGTTTTGAAATTTCACAAGACACTTCATTTGCTCTCTTTCATTTTGTTCCTTTGTACCAGGAATCTCTTTTAATCTAAGAACAAGTATATTCAGCTTAGAGAAATTTCATACTATTCCTCTGATTGTATTCTAATTTCAATTTGCTATTGGAAGTCTGGTTAGATAGATTATCCTACCTTCCATATCTCTTAACATTTTCCCTTTTTCTTTTTTATCTCTTTTATTCATTATTTTTATCTTATTCCATATTTTCTTGTACTATGTTCCTCAACTTTATCTTTCTAATAAATAATGTTATAATAATAAATACACACAATGATTACCTATGTGCTAGATTAATGTATTATAGAATATTCCCAACAACTTCAAGTGGTAGAAACTAATATAACTCCATTTTAAAGATAAGGAAAGTGAAGTGTAGAGAGCTTAAGTGACTGTCCAATGTGACACAGCTACTACGTGACCAACTCTGGATAAATGTAGAGATTATGACCACAGATTTGTATTTTTAAGAGTTATTCCATTCTGGTTCACTATCTGCCAGCAAAGGCGTTGTGTAGGAGACATGGAGATCATCATTTAAGAGGTTAAGCAAGATACTGCTCCTAGTTGTCTCAGTACTTCCTCAGAGAGTCTTACTGAAGTCAGTGGTTCATGACTACCACACAGAATGGGAAGACTGCCAGGTAAGAGAAATCTAGAATTGTAGTTCCTGCTTTTTATTAAGCTAAGGAGGAGCAATCACAGTACTCAGAAGCTTCCCTATTAACATATTGGGAATTTGTTGTTATATCACTGGTACAGTTTGGCTGTGTCCCCACCCAAATCTCATCTTGAATTGTAGCTTGCATAATCCCCACAAGTCGTAGGAGGGACCTTGTGGGAGGTAATTGAATCATGGTGGCAGGTTTTTTTTTCCATGTTGTTCTGGTGGTAGAGAATAAGTCTCCTGAGATCTGATGATTTTATAAAGGGGAGTTCCCCTACACACTCTCTCACCTGCTGCTATGTAAGACTTGCCTTGGTTCCTCCTTCACTTTCCGCCATGATTGTGAGGCTTTCCTAGCCATATGGAACTGTGAGTCCATTAAATCTCTTTTACTTTATAAATTACCCAGCTTCGGGTATTTATTCGTACATAGTAGTATAAAAATAGACTAATAAAATCACTGTTGGATTCTTTCAAATTCTTCCAAATCACTAGGTTGTAACAGTCTAGGCTATTGCTTACCACATGTTTGCTATAGGTCTTTGCTTTCTTTCTTTTCTCCTTTTAATCCTAAGACTTTTTTCTAGGAAGCATCCTTATTCTCTGTGATAACTTTTTCCTATATGTGTTTTGAGTTGCAGTCAGTAACAACTCATCTGCTTTCTAGTTTCTATACATTACCTACACTGTTCTGCTCATTTCAAGAAGTGTTTATCATTGTTAGAACTGTTATGAATTTATTAATCTTTGTATAATTGTATTGTCATTTAGGTAGGAGTAGTGGAGAATGGGGAGATGAATGTGCTTGGCTATGCATTTCCAACCATGTGTGATAACCTAAATTCCTATTATTCCTGAAATACTGATTCAAACACTCATCCATTCTTTTGAAAAAACTTTTGGACCCTGGAGTATGGAATAAGGAAAATCTTTCCAGGAAACTCACTTCTAACATTATTTATGAGAAAGAAATAGACAAATTTACAAACTCGGCACAAAACTAGTGCATATGCTCCTGGAATGCAAACTCCAGGAAAGTACATCTGCCTCTGCTGGATGTATGGTCCACTTATGACAGTACACTCTACACAACAGAAATTCTATCCTTCTACTTTGAGTGAAAGAAGCAATGCTGAGTTCTTGGCTTAAAACACAATTGCATTTGGCAGCACATATATCATTAAATCATTTTTTTTAAAATTTGGCCATTTTACTTTATTAGTCTTTATTACTTCAGGCAGCACTTTTAGAATGATGATTCATCTCTTCCCTATATAAGAAAAAGTAGAGATCAAATCCAGTAAATAAAATATCTGAACCATCAACAAAAAAGAAAGAATATGTGTCACTACAACCACCATTGGCTTTGATGTATTCTTACTGGAAATGTTACCACAATCTTTGGCTCACTTTTAATCAATTACATTTCCCCCTAGCATGTCAAATGCTTTAATTTAGTTTTTGGCATTTAATATACTGGAAAAGCCATTTATTTCTATTTCTATGTATGCCCCTGAATCCATAAACATTATCCTTTAAATAACATTACTTTTGAATCCAAATTAAGGATACTGTCAAGCATAGTTAGACCACTTCATTTGAATTGTTCCCAGATATTGTGTTGGGAATTATAATCCAACTTGATGGAGGAAGATCTTGGATGATAGGCAGTAATTGTGGCAGGTTGCAGAGATTCTTTTTCACTTACCTCAAGGATGCTGAGAAAATTGTTCACCAGCTGTCCTACCCAATGTTGACTCTACATATTGGCCAAAGGGAGCTATCACCTGAATTAATAGCTGGGATATTAGTCTTTGTTAGACTGGGAGGATGTTGTTGCTGCTGCTTTTTGCCAGAATGCAGATACTTTGACACTCAAAACTCTTTGTTTGCCAGATTCCAAGTAGTGAGGAAATTTTTATATTGCTTTATTTTTTTTTCTGTTGTGTAGACCACAGGTAATTTCACCAACTAGAAACGTGAATGAATTGTTTGCTCCATTAGTGGTCTCCATCAGTTCAGCGCCAGTGACATTTAGGCAGAAAGACCATTTGTCTCCTGATCTTTCCATTTCTAGTCCTCAAAAGAGTAAGGCTTCAGTATGAATAAAAATAGTGAGTTCAAAACATAAAGCAACTGCTGCAATAATCTTAATAACAAAAAAACCACTGTCACTTTACACTTCATCTCTTTGCATTACTTTTTGAAATATAAATTTCTTATGGGTTCATTTCCTCAAATATCACTCTTTAATCTATTTTTATTCCTCATGTTAAAATAATATAATATGTAATATGGCAATCTTCATCACAGGATGATTTTTGATTATATTTTGCTGCCTTGTCAAAACCATTTCTTTAGTTCCCTTTGTCAGATTGAGAGTGAGGTATTTTCTCTGCAGCAAAACTGTGTGTAGTTTAAGAACCTCAGAGTAAATTTTTCTAACTATGGACTGATATTTAGATTGAAGCTTCCTTAATGCTGTATGATAATGTTTGCCTTATATATGCATATTTTCTTTGCCCATTCTTGTCTATTGCTACCCTGTACTTAAAATTACATTTTAGTTTACCTAAGCCTATATGATACTTTGTGCAGATATTCACACCTATTCATTATTTTCTCCATAAATATTAATTTTATATATGTATAGAAAGAACCCTTAGGGATTGGAAATAATAATTATTTTTTCACTAATGGATCTCCTGCATTTACTGGTATAAAATATTTGGATAATTACACTATTAGAACTAAAATTCCTGCTTGTCTTAATTTTTGTACTATAAATAGAATGTCTGCAAGAATGCCATTGGAGACAATTTTATCTCAAAAAATAAATACTGAGGAAAATGACTACAGAAAACACAAATGTAATAATATTGTTAATAATAGCAATAAACATATACACTATAGCTTGAGCAACAGGGGGGTTGGCTTTTGCAGCAATATTTGATTAATCGGTTTTTTTTTCTTCCAACTGGAAAAGAAAGTGATAGAGGAAGTGTGTAAGACAATTTTTTCTTTTTTCATAATGAGCCAATCTAAGAAACAAAAGCCACCTTTTTCCAAAGTATGCAATTACGAGTATTTAAAGTTGCCATACTGTGTGTCAATATCTTTTCCTCTGTCTCACCTGGGAGTCAGACAATTTGCAGTAACTCATATCTAGGACCTATGTACATGGCATAAATCTGTTTATAAATCTGTTTATTGGTTTGTTGATTTGTGCCTTGTTCCAGAAAGGATTAAAAAAAAAACTTAAAAAGACACACATAAGATGCAATTAGATGGTATACATTAGGAATAAGACAGTAAAGAAAAACATAAAATAGAGCCAGGCATTAGGTTAAAAATTCATGACAAAATCACACAGTTCATGTTAGTGGGTTTATGGCAATTATTGAGGATCCTCCATAGGAGATTCTGAAATGAAAGATCTATTTTTTTATTTATGTACTTATTTTTTACATATTGAAGGTGTAATATAAAAAAAGAATGCTTTTTTTGTAACTTGAAAATCTTGGATTCAAGTTTCAGTTTTACAATTGTTAAAAGAAAAACCTTAGATAAAGGTAACAAAGTTTAATTGAGCAAAGAATGATTCACGAATCAGGCAGCACCCGAACCAGAATAGGTTTAGAGAGACTCTGTCTGTGCTGTGTGGTCAAAGAAAATTTATGGACTGAAAAAGAAGAGTGATGTACAGAAAACAGAAGTGAGCTACAGAGAACAGCTGGATTGGTCACAGCTCAGCGTTTGTCTTATTTGGACATGGTTTCAACATTTGCCTGCCTTTGATTGGCCGAAACTCAGTGATTGGTAAAAGAGTATATTACAGCATGTTTACACATCCAGTTAGGTTACAGAGCACTATATATGGGGAAACCTTCAGGCCAAACTTAAAATATGTAAGAAGGCAGCTTTTGGCTAAAGTTAACACCACCCAAGGAAATGGAGGAAGTTGTAAAGCAGTCAAGAAAGCGTAGTTTTCTATGTCTCTTTTAAATAGCTTATGTTTTGAAAACCTGAGACACATATTTTAATTGAAATGAATATTTTAAACACATCAATTCAAAGGGTAAAATTATGAGGGTGATGCCCAAAAAGTAAAAATCCTTCAAAAATAAAGTTCAAGAATAATATACTTTGAAATGTTAACAGTTTTTACTTTGGGTGAAGTGTATCTCCTACAATGAAGATGCATTAATTTGTAACAAGAGAAAGCTAATATTTTTTTGAAAATGAAAAAGTAAACATAGATTTGGCATCCAGATGATATAGAATACATAATAAACACAAATACATACATACCACATACACAAACTCAATAATAATAAAATCACATGCAGTATAGCATAAACAAAGATGAAATTTGTACATATATTTTATCTTTTATGAATTTTCAGGTCACCTCTGTTCATTATTGTAAGATTTATTATCCCCATTTTATAGTTGGACTCATCGAACTGCCTGCTCAATTTTTCAACTCAGATACCTAGTAGAAATCTCAAACTGAAAGTATGTTCAAAAGTGAACATTTAATATTTGCCCTTCTCCCCAAATGGTTTAACCCACGAACTTCTACATCTCAATTGATCTGACTCCATTGTAAGTTGTTTAGCCAAAAATCTTAGTTATTCTTGACTCTTTTCTTTATTTCCATTCCACATTTAATCTACAAGAAAATCTCATTGGCTCTACCATGAAAATATAGCCATATTTTGACCACTTCCCATTACTTTTATTACTATCACTTTAACCTAAACCATCGTCATCTCTTACCAGATTCACATAATATACTTTCCTAATAGGTACCCTTGCTCCTATCTTTGCCTGCACAATGTAATCTCGACAGAGCAATCAGAATGATCCTTTCAAAATGCAAGTCAGATTATGTCACTCCTTTACTCGGGATGTGTGAAAAACTTGCAGTTTCTCCTGTTTTACTGAATGGAGTCCTACAATGAACTAAAAACCTTCCAAGCTCTTCCTTCTGTCCTCTTTATTTCTCTGACCTCATTTTCTCTTTCTTCCTTGCTCATTCTATTCCAGACACACCTGACTCTTTGCTCTTTATTGAACAGCACAGGCCTCAGGGCCTTTGCATAGGATGAGATTTCCTTTGCTGAGGTTGCGTGTTGCCCAGGTAGATATGTGGCAAACTCCTTTATCTCCTTTAGGTCTTTTCTTAAATACTGCCTTTGTAAAGAGGCCTAACAACCAAAGTTAGAATTGCAACCTGTCCTGACTCCCTCATCCCCTTTACTCTATTTTTTAAAATCACACTTGCCAACATATAGTATGTTATATAATTTACTTATTATTTACTTTGTATATTTTGAAATGTCTAGGTGTCTGTTTCCTCCCTCTAGATTGTAAGGCTTTTCTTTGTTCATTGATGCATTTCAAGCATGGAGTTGGCTCTTACTCAATTTTGCTGAATTTTTATTATGTAAAAATAAAAAAATATTTTATTATGTAGAGACAGGTTTAAATAGCTCTTATTTCAAGTCCCTTCAATATTTTAACTGTTCTATAAGGTTATAATTAGTACCTTAAGAGAGGTACAAATAATGGAGAATTATGTTCAGTAGGGTGAAGTCAAGAAATGTTACCTGAAGGAATGACTGACCTTGGAGGATGGAATGAACTCCAAGTTAAAGTGAGGGAAATGGCATTCCAATAACAAGGAAAAGAATGAGTAGAAGCGTAAATGGAACTGTTCAGGAGATGTGTCTAAGAAGCAGTTCATGGGCTGGCTGGATAGATCAGAGTACAGGGGGGATAAAAGACTACTGGGAAATAAGGCACCAATGGTTGGCTGCTGCTTGCTCTGGGGAGCCTTGGGTGCTAGGGTGATAACTTAGCATTTCATTTAGTAGTCACTGGAAAGCCTTTTGACATTTTCAAGCAAGGGGGTGACACGATTAAAGATAAGGTTTAGAAAGATTAATATGTTGGTTGAGAGTAGGATACATTAGAGTTTGAAAAGGATAGGTGGGGAGTGAGTTAGAAAGCTATAATGGTTGTCCAAGTGAGGAGTAATGAGGGCTTCTGTGAGGACTGTGTAAGTGAAAGTGGAAAGAAGGGGAGTGATATGACCTTGTGAAGGCACAATGAATAGAAGGAAGTGGAAGGAATATAAATTGGCAAATAGTATAAGGAGTGCTAGAAGAGTGGCTAAACATGAAGACAAAGGTTTTAAACTAGAGTGACTGAGCAAATAGAAAATTAGAAGGAGCTAGTTTAGGAGGATCTGTTATGTCCTCTTTCTAGATGCTGCACTCAAACTATTGAGAGCTCAGGTTGGCAAAAAAATAAAAAATAAATAAGCCCTCCATTTGACCTGGAGGGCAGCAATCCTTCCAGCATTCTTCTATTTCTCCATTCACTTATATAAGTGTTTCATCCACTTATATACTGTGAATAGAAAACTGTCTTTTACAAAATTGTTTTCAAGCACTGGTATAGTTCACTGGGTATACAAGATGCAAATTTTACACTCTAATATATAGGAAAATGTTTCTAGGGGATTTGCATGCTTTGTGTGTGTGTGTCTGTGTGTGTGTGTGTGTGTGTGTGTGTGTGTTTCTTAATGCATTGTAGTTGAATGTATCAACCCCAAACTCTGTTACTAACAGCACTTGTTCCTAAGGTGTATTAACTCAGCTGTAGTAGCCTTCTCCTTGATGCCTCTTTTTATTACCTTGTTCCACCTCAGCTAGGTCAGGACAGGACTACAAAAATACCTTAATTGCTACGATGATGGGAACTGAATTAATCTATAGCAGATGAACGAGGATAATGAAATCATTTTCTTTTCTCTCAATGGTCTATGCAGCATCATCTCTTCTGATACACTTCAGTGTCTGACCTTTTTAACTGACAGGATGTTCACTGCTGAGGCTTTTTAAAGACATCTATCTCTCCACAGAAAAATGGAAGCCAGACATCCAAGACCGACTTATATTTGTCTGTGAATCAAGCTGTCATTTTTGTTCTGCCAGAGTCTGTTATCACGTCTGGACAAGTAATTATTCTCTAGGTTAGGTTCTTACAACCTTGAATTTTTAGGAAAGTCCTTGAGACTGAAAGCAGTCACTCTCTTACTGCTACAGTTCATGCATACTGGTGAGTTATGTGGTGGCTTGGCAGCTATTACTGCGATTAAGCATTTAGTCTATTAAGCACACAATTCTTTTAACTTTGCGAGCTTCTAGCCTCCATCTGTTTCCCTTATTTATTAAAATCCCTATTTAGTTCTCCTGCTGCATTTAGGCAACTAGTAGTACATTCCCTAAAGAGTAAGTGTAAGCTGGGACACCGAAGGACATGATGGAGCAAGAACAATTCGCAAGCTTCTTTAAGTTCCTTGTGTAGCCCAGCTGGAATCATGAAGTGGCAAAAAAGGGGGTTTCCAACTTTCTTCTTTCTCTACTGGAAACAAAGGAAAACTGTTACTTGTTGCAAAATGAAGCATGGGCACAGCAAAGTCAGGTGGAGTCGGTGACAAAGAACAGGAAGTCACGGATTCATTTGCAGATGTTGGAAACACACTTCAGTACTAGGAAAATGAAATCAAATTCAGAGTGATGCAGCTCACTTAAGTTGCTAAGCATTCCATATCAACTGAGAATTCAAGGGTTTCCAATGAAAAACCTTAGGTCAGATTTCAGGGGAAAAATTCCTCAGTGAGAGATTTAATAATGTATAAAGAGGCCTGCACCTCCTACAGAATTCTGTTTGAAATAGAGAATTTCTAAAATACAATTCTCATTACCTACTTCTTGGAAGAGAAAGCATTTGCAGGCAGTTAGTCACTCAGTCACAGATACATTGTAGTGTGAATTTAAGTGTGGTAGTTTGATAATATTTCCACTACATTTTGAAAAGACCTTCCTCCTTTATCATGCTAACTTTTCCTTAGAAAGTCACATTCATAGGCAGAAGCTCCCTCTACCCCTTCCTGCTTTCCAGCCCCAGTGACCCTGCTCCTGAGGATGTCATGATCAGTAGGAACTGGCGCATTATCCAGAAATTTAATCTTTAAAATGTCATCAATAATATAAGGTCACGGCCCAGCACCCAAAACAAAGATTAGAAGGGACAGGATTGAGAGTGAGAGTGGGGGGCTCAGTCCACGTTGTAGATTGCTAAGAATGAAAAGGAAGGCATGTTTCCCAGTTACGAGGAATGACAGCACAGGCAAAAGGGCTGCATAGATCCTGGTGCACATCTTCATCTCCAAGTGATATGTGACCTTGACCTCTCACCTTCTCTTCATATTTCAGGATGAATGACAGCCATTTCTTCTCTTGTCATTTATGCATGAAAGGCCCAAATAATCTGTATTATTAGATAAAACACTATTAAAACAAAATATAACATCACTAGTTTTTCCCATATGGATGTCAGAAAGGCACTAAATTTGAGAAAATTAGTCTGCTTCTAAGAATTGCACTTTCTTTTCTAAAATCTGCTTCCCTCTTTAGCCTAGGAACTAGCTATTTTGTGTTGAGATAGCCTCATCTGAACACTTTATAATAAAACAAAGAATATAGGACACTCAATTCATTAAAAAGATTCACACGAAACATGACTAATATTATGAGTATCTTTATAAATGTACGTATTTGACAGCAATTATTCAGTGATACCAGTATGACACAGGTACATACTTATCAGCACTTCCTGGCCCCAAGGTTGCATCACTTGTGTGGCATTTGTTGCATGGCTGACTTGTGTCCCTCATTTCTACTTTTCCTTATGCCTCTTTCACTTAGGACTAGAGCAAGAACAACTGCCCCTTCATTGGTTTTATTCTTAGTCTTGGGACATACAGAGCAGTGATTTTCAATGCTTTGCCATTTGTTTGCCAATCAATTATTGAGTTTCCAATATTAACAGACTCTCATTATTTCTCATAAGTAATCTTTGTCTACCAATATGTCCAACCAAAACAAGGAGGAAATTCTAAGAGCAAACCTGTTTTCTGTACCATGTAATCTAAACAATTTGGGGAAAGAAACAATTTTTAGTTGTCTTTTAGGCTTAAATTGTGTGAGATTAAAAGAATTCTTCTTTATCTTCTTGTTCTATAAGCTTGTGGTTAAATTTTTTCTAAATATTGGACTCTGAAGGCCTTAATTATTCAGAAAGAATTCAATTTCTTTAGGAAATTATCTTCCTCCTTCTTTTAGGAATCTGAGCTTTGCCAAACAGCAACAATAAATAAGAAATAGGGTGTCTTTTTGAAGCAATTGGGAAAGCCAGAGTGCCATCTTTCAACTTGCAGTGTGCATTACCAAATGGGAACTGTTTTCTACAAAACATAAAAGGTTATTTTCCATGTGTTACTTGGCTTAGTGCTTGAAAAAAAAACCATTTTGTATTTAGAAAAAAAATTATTAATTGAACTCCACAGCGTGTCTCATCTAATACTCAGGAAAATGCTCTATTTTTGAATAAGGGCTGGGGAGTGTAGCAGTTGTACATGAGATCGATATAAACAAACATGCACCTTGAGATACCATATACCGGTTGGCATTACAGCAATAATGAAACTGTAATATAAGCTTCAGGACAGATTTCTCTAATAGGCAACTTCAAAAAATATTTTTGCAGTTGAAAGCTGTTTTCAGAAAACTGGAGGCAGAAAATAAATGTTATTCCAAGGTCATTATGCCCAAGTTCTGCTCTCAATTTGGGTGCTGTTTTCTTTCTTTTTAAACTCTTTCTCTGAAATATGGGGATGTCTAGGATTCAGTTGTTTTAGGACATAGGCAAACCTGATACATCTACTCTGTTTCATGCCGTGTGTTTGTAGTGAGATTTGAGCCCAATGTCCTCAAAAAGTGTTTCACTTGAGCTGTCTGGATTCAAGGAAGCACTTTTAACATACATCACTGACTTTTATTTAAAGCTGTATATTATAGTGGCTGCTACCTAAGACTACTGTGTAACCATCGCCCTTGGTTTGTGAAAGGACATGTCTGTCTTTGCTCTTGATCATACCATCTGCCCACAGAAGGAAAATTTCCAGGCCAGTAATTATGTTTTGCAATATCCACATTTTTACCATCCCCACTCCATAGAAGCCAAAAATCTACTGTTATACCACAGAGATGACTGTTTACAATTCCGTTCTTTCCACTGGGGATTGAGCCCTTGGCAGGTGGTGGCTACTTAGAGAGGCTGACATTTGGGATTTCCCTTGCCAAGGCAGAGTCAGGTTCAAAAGGGCTAGGGAAGTTCTTGACCTAACAGCAGCGACTGATCCTACCAGTGTGGACGTTGCAATAATGCCAAGCAAGCAATCCGTACAGAAATGCCTTTCTTATCTTTTACAACATTACCACTGTGCTGAAGTGATGACTCCTGAAGGAAGCTGAAAACATTTTCTAGACAGTGCTCCCCTGAATACAAGAATACTTCAGAATGCCACCCCCTGCAACTTAAAACCCAGCTCCAAACAAATAGCTCAAATCAAGTTAGAGGAAGTTAGTCAATATCTCTCTCTCCATGACACCGGGGATTTTCTGGTAAGTCATAATTCAATCCTTCGTTAGAGGGAAGAAAAAAAATGTAAATTGAAAATATCTCAGCCAAGCCATTCCCAGCAGCAATAACCGAACTCTCTGCTGGCTAAACAAGAGGCCACCAGACTGCTATCAGAACCTGTTTGCTCTCAGTTTAGACCACAATTAATTTAAAATTTCTGCTTCCAAAGTAAAGTAAGGGAATACAATAATCCCAATTTACTTTTTTAATAAAAAGCTTAAGTGGAAAGAGCCCACTGGGAATGGTCAGCCCGGGCCAAGGTAATTCTCATCATGAGGAGAGGCGCCCGTTTAAAATGCACAGTCACAGGGCAGCTGGCGTCTCTTCCCAGAATGCTTCCTCTGGACTTAAGTGGGTTCTTTTATCTGTTTTTCTCTTTTTGGTTTTTAAAAAAGTAAAGTTGGACTTGCAAACACTAGCAACAATTTCCTTAGAAAAGCAATTCTGAAAAATCAGGAGTCCCTGTTCAAAGAATGCTCTCCAAAAGCTATCGGGGGCAGAGGAATTAAGGAGCAGATCGTAAAACAAAATACATCAAACATATAAAGCATCCAAGTAGGAGGCTTTGGATCTCCATGAACAGTTGGACACATCAGCCATAGCAGAGCAGTACTGGGCAATTGGATATATGCAGAGAAATGGGGGCAGGCATCCAAGAGGCCTTGCTCAAGAAGGTGGTCGGGGTCAGCAAGAACCAAGCATGGGTCACAGATGGCATCTGAGAAGGTACAGATTTCTCCTGGGAATCTACTATCTGCGCTAACTAATGAGAGCAAAACAGGGTCCTTCTCTGCAGCACCAGAGCTAGTGTAGCAGGCTAATTATTCAGGTTTGTTCTTAGGCATAGCAAATGGGAAATAGGCAGAGCTAATGAAACTTGGTGCAAGATGGAGGCATTGTCACAAAAACAAGTTCCCCAATGAAATCCTAATGCCTATATTTAATGGGTAGAATTTTTATTTGACCCTTCTGTGGATGATGACAATCACATCCCTTGTTTCTATGCCCACAGAGTTTACGGTTTCTTTTCCCATCCTTCTGCCCATACTCAGTCTCCTTCACTCTGTACTCCCATATGGCCATGTTTCAGTGTTTCCAAGAGATCTCTCAGTGGCTATCATTCTTTCACATGCTCCACTCCTCTATAGGTTTATTAGCAATAAATAAGTGACTGTCTAATCAATTCCCCCCCCCTTTTGAAAGCATTATACTTACATAACCAATGATCTGCCAGAAATCTTCACCTGCATCCTAAAGGCACTTGAAATTAATCATCATATCTAAAATTAAACTTATACTCTTCAATCTTTCCCCCATACTTCCTGGGCGAACTTGCCTTTCTCCTTCATTTCTCTGTACAGTTTTCACATTGTCATCTGCTATGGACAGAGTCATGTCTCCCCTTAATTTGTATGTTGAGGCCGTAAACGCTCAAGGTGATGGTATTTAGAGATGGAGCCTTTGAGATGCTACTGGGTTCCATGAAGTCAAAAGGATAAGGTTTTCATGATAGTGATATGAGATAATCACTTACAAAAAGAGATATGAGAGACCCTGCTGTCTCTCCCTGCATGGGCACAAAGAGGAGTTCATGTGATGGTACAAGTGGCGCCATCTACAAACCAAGAGAATTGGCCTCAGAAAAAAACCTTGGTCTTAAACTCCTGGCCTCAAAAACTGAGAAATAAATTTTTGTTGTTTAAGGCACTCAATCTGGTATTTTTGTATGGCAGCCCAAGCTGACTAATACACCATCTTCAGTCACCTGGGATAGAGAGCAAATATTAATTTCAGTTTATTTTGTCTCACTTACCTTCCATATTCAATCAACTTCTAAATTATTGACTCTTCCTCTCTGATTTTTAAATATGTCCTCTTTCCTCCGACTCCACTGCTTCTTCTTTAATTCAGGTCATTTTATATATATATATATACACATACACACACACACATACATATATATGTGTGTGTGTATATATATACATATATATGTGTGTGTATATATATACATATATATGTGTGTGTATATATATACATATATGTGTGTGTATATGTGTATATATGTATATGTGTATATATGTATGTATATATGTGTATACATGTATATATGTATGTATATATGTGTATATATGTATGTATATATGTATATATGTGTATATATATGTATGTATGTTACATATGTTAAGGACACAGTAACATACAGAATATCACAATGATATTAAATTAAGAATTAACAACAATTAATATTAGAAATTAAACATTTCTACATTTGGAAATTGAAAACACTAGCAATGAACTAACAAAGTAATCACAGTAAAATTACATGTTTTAAAGTTAACAAAAATAAAGGGATTACAAATTAAAAGTTGTGGGAGTCATCTATTAAAATTTATTTAAAATAATTATAATATTTTAAATATAGTCAGCAGAATGGGAAGGAATATGATGTTTGGGGACGTACAATTAATCTGGTATTATAAGATGATATGGCAGAAGATAAAATTAGAAAATAAGACAGTTTTCTGTCTGGTGATCAGACAAGGAAGTTTTTGTTGTCATTGTTTTAAAGAACACAGAATTATTCAGATTTTACCCTAAAGCTGTTGGTAAGACATTGAAGTGCATTACATGGTCAAACTTGCATTTTGAAAAGATCAGTCTGTTACCATTATGGAAGACTGAGAAGTATGTACATGGATTGGGGGCAGTGTAAAGGAGAGCAGTCAGAAGGCAGAGAGATAATTTATGAGGCTATCAAAATAGTCCAGATAAATATAATAAGTCCTGAATTTGGCCACTCACAGTGATTCATGCCTGTAATCCCAGCACTTTGGGATGCCAAGGTGGGTGGATCCGTGAGGTCAGGAGTTTAAGACCAGCCTGGGCAACATAACAAAACCCGAATCTACTAAAAATACAAAAATTAGCCAGGCATGGTGGCAGTGCCTATAATCCCAGCTACTTGGAGGCTTAGGCACAAGAATCGTTTGAACCTGGGAGACAGAGGCAGAGGTTGCAGTGAGCCGACATCACACTACTGAACTCCAGGCTGGGTGACAGAGCGAGACTCCATCTCAAAAAAAAAAAAGTATATATGTGTGTGTATACATGGGTGTATATATGTATACACGCACACACATATAATATCTGTGTATATATAATATATAATATTGTATGTATTATATATAACATATATATTTATGTTTTATATAATATTAATAGCAAAAATAAATCTATACAACAAACCCCTGTTACGTGAATTTACCTATATAACAAATCAGCACATGCACCTCTGAATCTATTTTGTTTTCTTTTGTATATATATTCTTTTACTTCTATTAATACCTTTTGTGCTACTAGGAAAAGTTCAATATTTTCTTTGAAGTTGTAATTTTTTTTCCTCTGAATTAAAGTTTCATCTTTTTGAAGGTTTATATTTAATAGAAGTTTTCATCATTTTGTGTTTGTGTTGTTATTGTTTTGTATTTAGTTTTAGATTTCCTGCCTGCCTTTTTTCCATATCTTTACACAAAATTTTTCAACTTTGTAGTAGTCTCTAACCTCACCTGTCTTACCTGGGGTTCAGACATAGGTTTTAAAAATAATTTTTCAGGATTCCTTATGTATAATATTTATGTTATCACAGGTAAAATTACTTGCCTACTCTTCCATTTAGTAGAGAAGATATTTTTATTTTTATTTATTTTTATTCTTTATTTTTTTTGAGGCAGAGTCTTGCTCTGTCCCCCAGGCTGGAGTGCAGTGGTGGGATCTCAGTTCACTGCAAGCTCCACCTCCCGGATTCATGCCATTCTAGCCAGGATGGTTTCCATCTCCTGACCTTGTGATCTGTCCGCCTCGGCCTCCCAAAGTGCTGGGATTACAGGCATGAGCCACTGCGCCTGGCCCGAGAAGATATTTTTAAATAATTTTTCTGATCATAAAACTTAATAATACATGTTTGTTGTCAAAATATAAAAATTTACTAAGAAGAAACAAAAAACTCAAATTCTACCATACAGATATAGCTACTTCTAACTATGTTTTTGTAATTTTCTGAGCATACCCATCCACTTACATAATTTTTTATTTGGTGTTTCAATGTATAGTGTTATGTAAGCATTATTCAAGACATCTAATCTCTTTTTAACTTTTAAGTTCAGGGGTGCATTTACAAGATTGTTACATAGGTAAACTTGTGTCATGGGGGCTTGTTGTACAGATTATTTCATCACCCAGATATTAAGCCTTGTACCCATTAGTTATTTTTTCCTGATCCTCTCCCTCCTGCCACCTTTCACCCTCTGAAAGGCCCTAGTGTGTGCTGTTCCCCTCTATGTGTCTATGTGTTCTCATCATTTAGCTCCCACTTACAAGTGGGAACATGTATTTGGTTTTCTGTTTCTGCATTAGTTTGCTAAGGATAATCGCCTCCAGCTCCATCCATGTCCCTGCAAAGGACATGATCTTGTTCTTATTTATGGCTGCATAGTATTCCATGGTGTATAGGTACCACATTTTCTTTATCCAGTCTAGCATTCATAGACATTTACATTTATTTCATGTCTTTACTATTGTGACTAGTGCTGTAATGAACACACATATGCACGTTTCTTTGTAATAGAATAATATTATTTTTTTTTTGAGACAGAGTCTTGCTGTCACCAGGCTGGAGTGCAGTGGCACAATCTCAGCTCACTGCAACCTAGGGTCACTGCAACTTCTGCCTCCCAGGTTCGAGTGATTCTCCTGACTCAGCCTCCTGAGTTGCTGGGACTACAGGCAAGTGCCACCACACCCAGCTAATTTTTGTATTTTTAGTAGCGACGGGGTTTCACCATGTTGGCCAGGATGGTCTTGATCTCTTGACCCTGTGATCCACCCGCCTGGGCCTCAAGTGCTGGGATTACAGGTGTGAGTTTCTATTCCTTTGGGTATATACCCAGCAATGGGATTGATGTGTTGAATGGTATTTCTGATTAGGTTTTTGAGTGTATATTAGTTTAGCCATTGTGGAAGATAGGGCAACATTTAATCTTTTTTGAAAATATAATTTTAAAATACATATAACATTAAAAGCTGGAGGCACCATAATCTATAGAGCCTTTGCTCTATTGTTGGATATTTAGATTACTTCAATTTCCATATGGCTGTTAAAAAGTGCTGTCAGTTGCTGCACATAATTGCATATATATCCTTTTCATATGTTTAATTACCTGTTTAAAATTATTTTCAAGTAGAATTTCTGTTTTAAAGATGGACACTTTAAACCTAATTTTTATATTGTCAAAGTTCCACAGAGAAATGTCATACTACTATATACTTTCATCAATACTACAGACTGTTCCAATAGCAACATATTTTATAACTTGCTTCCAATGCTATTGAATTAAGTACTGTTCATTCTGTTCTATTTTTTCTTATTTCTGTGGCTTAGAAGGGGCAAAGAAAGAATTGTTCAGGAAACATTGAAATATTGAAATGGTTACACTGATATTTCTTTTGATTTTATATTAAAGAAAATTAATTTATATCCTGCTCTTACTGTCTGTATTCCCCCATAAAAATGTAAAGAAGCACATTAGATGACATTAGATGAGAGTCGAATACATACCAATTCCTAAGAGCCAGCAACACTTGATGCTATAATTTACTTAGGACTTCTTTTTTTTTTATTTTTGTATGGGCTAAGACTATAAGACTGTCTATCAAAACTAAGACTTTCCTAGACCTGTGTACATATCAGTATACCATAATGAATATTTTTGTCTTTTTTTAACAGTAATGGGAAGAGTTGATTATATAAATACCTGTTTTATGTGATTTTGATCAAGGGGTTGAACAAACAGATGAAACATTCTTCTTTTTTGCTATAAATACTCTTTCTTTTTCACAAGCAAAGTGAACCTGGGTAAGAGCTATCTTGAAATGTGCTGACCTTGGCACTATCCAATTTTGGATTAGTGTCTGGCATTATATACGTCTAAACAACCTAGACTTGGGAGTATATGCTGACGTCTGACAATTGTTTCATTTATTTTGAGGTCACAGAATCTGTGGGTAAGGTTTGATTTCACCAGAAAGAAATGGAGATAAATATCTACTTTAAAACATCTAGAGAACCAATCAACCCAATAACGTGTAGTGGTGACCTTAGCCAGAGATGAGGCAAAAAAAAATATTCCTGAGTCTTGGGATTTGGGTAGGTTCAGAGCTAGAAGTGGACATGCTCCACTGTTGCTGGGACTTGGGGAGAAACTCTTCTTAGTTAGAGGTCAAATACCAGAGAGAAATGTCGGATATTTACACAATAAAGGGCAATGTGGAGTCCTTATGTTATTCTCTGGTAGTTCTTATCTTTTCATGTGTTGAATTCTACAAAAACAAAAAAGTCCTATGAAATGTTACCACCCCCTCAATGTGGTCTGCAGGGGATTAAAGTTAAGGCCTGACCCATGTTTAGAACAAAACAATACAGGAGAGAGAAGCAGCCTGCAGTGTATCAATTCATGGTGGCCAAGACAGTTCACAGGATCCAGGAGTCCAGAGCCAGAGAGCAGGATTAGGATCCATAGTGCAATGGGTATGAATTTATAAACATGCCCCAGGAGGTTCCAGAAATAATTAGAAAGAAAATCATAGCAGAAAAAAATGTGTCTAAAGTCAAATTAGGTGAAGATTTATGGTGTTAAGAGATGAGTATAAAAAGAAAGTGTGACCCAATACTTAGTGTAATCTTGAATAATCTGTTTAATTCTCACATACTATTACAGTAAACTTAATCTCCCACACTTTGTTTTCAGTATAAATAGTAATCTTACTTCTTTTCACTTTTTTAAGCCCTTTTAGGATTATCTGTGTAGAGTTACCAGATTAACTATTATGATTAACCAAATTCAATGACATGATTGATTTAGCTGAATTATATCTCATGGTAGAGACATATTTGATCAGTTGTTTTGGAGTGGTAAAAAGACAATTAATTCTACCTTAGGTCTCTACTTGCCAAATTAAAACATGCAGGTTACTCAATGTTTTCTTCAAATAAAATTAACAAACCCTTTATATCTTCCCCTGGGTTTTTACTAAATTATTTAAAACTCCTCATCAAAAATGTTCAGTTGTGAAAATTAAATTTGACCACTACATTCTAAGGAGTGGTCTGGCTAGCTCTGAATACAAGGAATCACCACTTTCTGGATCTATTTGAGATCAGCAAGTAAAAATAATAATCATCATCATCAAAGTTTGTATATTTAGAAGCTTAGATTGTTCATAGAAGAAAAATGTCATATATGAGACTTCAGTAGTCAGTTTCCTAGCATGCCAAAGATAAACAAGATAAAGGAAAAAAATGCTATCTTGATTCATCACTAAGAAGGCAATAAAAATATTACTTCACACATGTATTGAAAGTATTTAAGTAAAATATATCTGATATATACAACACACTGATGGAGTAAAGGTTGTTCATGAGGATCGAGCCTGTCTACCTTCCTTGGAAGCAAAAATTGAAGAGATTATTTTTTTTCTTTCCTAAAGCTCTTTTCATTGCAACAGAACAAACAAAAAGAAATTTAGCTTGTTTCTTGATCATTTCTTTGGTTGTAAAAAGAGAGAGCATTAGGTGAATTATATCCTCAATAAAAGACTCTGCCATAGGGTGAAACCAGCATCTTCATTATGAAAACAGTTGTAAGGGAAGACAATACAATCATTGAGAGAAAATGAAGTTTCACCTTCCCAAAAAAATTTTTTTAAAAAATAAAAATAAAGTATGTATTAGCTTTGCAAAAGATGGTCTCATGGTCTTGAAAGACGCCTCTCATTATTGTGTTTCCGTGAACACACAATTTCCAAAGGCAACTTACTAATGTTTCCATATTTGATTAAGATTAGATTTAAATTTGTTTTAAGATTTAGAACAAAATATGCTCATTCACTTTCAAGTTATAAAAAATGTTAGATAATAACATTTCATTTTTTTAAAAATCTACCTCCTATGTGCTACTTTAGCTCAAATGTTAAAATTTTAAATAGCATTTATGACAAGATTATCATTCTTAGCAAAGCAAGAAAATTAACTTGGGTTAAAGGCTTTAGCTTTTTCAAGGGTTGTCAGAATTTCAGCAGGAACTGGATTCTTGTACAAGATGGTCCAGGAAAAACACAGCCACTCTAAATGACATTCTTTTTTCCTCACCTTTTGTATGAGAGTCAAGAAAGGATATGGCCAAATCATAACAACTCTTCAGATCCTTCTTAGGCCCCATGTTGTATATAAAGATTTTGAGATTCAGTGATAACAGCAGAGGAATAAATGTAGGATGAGAGACAGAGTGAATTGAATTCATTGTTTTCTACAAGAATAAACATAAGGATGAAAATACAGACCAAAGGACCATTATCTGTCAATTCAATGTGGTTTCCATGGATATTCTAACAAACCAGTGACATTTCCAAACAAAAGTATGGAGTGGGTAAAAACTTCCACAACAGTGGCCCTCTCCTTCTGGAAGATAAATATTGTCCTCTTTGTATGTCCCACTTCCAGACTTTATGCTAGTCTCTCCTTTCTATTTCATATTTTAAGATACAAATGGAAAACAAATGAATAAACAAACTTCTACACTCAGGTCAAACAGTCCTTATGTAGACAATGTAAATACCAGTAAATGCCATATTCTCCACCATTCTCAAGTTTATGTTAACTGAAACCACCCAGCTAGAGATGAAACACAAATAGAGGCCCCAAGCTGATGAGCCTAATTAGAAGAAGGAGTTAAAATTTTACAATGTTAGAATATTATCTTGCAGGAAGACTCTTTTTATTACCATGAAATCCACACTAAATTTAAGATGCTTCTCTCAGCCTCTATATCTCCTTAAAGGAACTCTTTTCTTGTTCAAAATCACACTTAGAGAGTAGAATTAGTCAGATTCCCCAGGGAGATGAAATAGGTCTTCTGATTAATGTTTTGTTTGGGTGTATATCACTTACCCGAAACAGAAAGGCTTGTTGTGGAATTGAAATGTCTTTGATGTAGGCTGTTTACTGTCATGTTCACACTTTCCCAGGAGACTCTAAAGTGGCTCTGCTGTTGATGGTTGCCTTGCTCGCTAAGGAGAGACCTGTTAATCAACTATCAGAATCAGTCTTAATGTTAATTTTTGTTGGACCATGGATTGACAGAACAATTGGTGGTGACATGAGTTAAAATGAATCTGTTGCCTGCACCCAAAACTAAATACGTCTGTTTAAAAAAAAGTGAAAATGTTAAATAGAGCACAGGAAAGAAAAAGAAAAAAAAAACATGAACTCTCAAGAATTAATTGAAGACGTTCTTCCTAAGAAAGCTAAAGATCAATTGAAATGATACAGGGAAACTAGCTTCCAGAGAAAATGGATGTTTACTGAGAATCCCAGGTATTAGATAGCAATGCTCTATAATCAGCAAAAAACTGAAATCACACTAGTTCATAGAGCTCTAGGCTTGAATGGCACAGAATATGCAATTTTGCAGCAGGAACTCCAAATGCCAATATTACCTTCATTCAGAGACTTGAACCAAGTGATACAGTAAAGTTTCTATTTGTTTTGGAAACATATTTCAAATGCTTCAGAGTTTTTCTTTAACCATTTTTTTAAATGCATGAATTTGGTTCTGATTTGTATATGGGATAAGATGTAGTTCATGATTAAAACATTAAGTATTGAATTTGTTTTTAGTTTGCTTCAAAAGTCTTTCTAGTTTGATCTAACTTGGAGTTTAAACTTTTCTAGGCAAAATATTGCTTCAGTATACTGATTCTAAGCAGGTAGATGGCTGACCACAAAGAGATACTTGGAGGAAGTGTGAGCCTAATAGACCATTCTAACTGTGAGTAACGGATTCTGTTAATTATATTCCATTAGATCAAGTACATACAGTATGATCAATGGTATGCCAACTAAGCAAAGACTTAATTCCAAAATCAGGTGGTGAGGATGTGGAGGAATTGGAATCCTCAGGCCCTGTTGGTGAGAATATAATGGTGCAGTTGCTGTGGAAAACAGTATGACAGTTCCTCAAGAAGTTAAAAATAGAATTACCATATGATCCGGATATGCCACTTCTGGGTATATAGTCAGCAAAAATGAAAGTCAGGACTGGAAAAGAGATTTTTACACTTATGTCCATAGCATATTATTTATAATAGTCAAAAGATGGAAAAAACCGAAGTGTCAAATGTAAACCATTGACTAATAGATAAAATTATGCATATATATATGTATATATGCAATTGAATATTATTCAACCCTAAAAAAGAAGGAAATTCTGACATGTGTTACAACATGGATGAACCTTGACATTGTGCTAAGTAAAATAAACCAATCACATGAGGAAAAATACTGAAAATTTAATTTGTATGAGGTACTTAGAGCAAACTCATAGAAATAGTAAGTAGGTGGTTGTCAGGGGCTAGCGGAAAAGGGATATGGAATTTAGTAGGTAAAGAGTTTCAGTTTTGCAAGATGAAAAGAGGTCTGTGGATTGACGGTGATTTATATAGCACAGCAGTATGAATATACTTAATGCCACTGACCTGTATACTTAAAAATAGGTAAGATGGTCAATTTTACCTGATGTTCTACCACAATTGAAATTGGAAAAAGTTATTCAGATGAAATTATGAAAGAAATTTTTGTTCCATGTTTTATTTGTGTCATTACCATAAAATATTTCTAAGAGATGAAGAAAAAATAACTTTCTAAGAAAATATTGAAGCCCTGTGTATTAGACTCAATTACTTTTTAAAAAAGTAATTAACTTTTAACTTCACAGATGTGCAACATCGAGCAGAATAAATATCTGATCAGCTTAAACTAATTTTTTAAGAATCATTCAATTACTTATCACAATATAAGATACATGTTGTCATTATTGTTGTGGGTACTGAACTCTCATCATACAGCAGAAAGTGAGAAAATATATTTTAAACAAGATATCTCAAAGTAGGGCCTACTTAGGTGTTATACCTTTGGGGTGAATTTAAAAAGTTGTATTTCAAATGCTCTGATCATGAATGGGAATACTGAAGTGTTGGCATCTTTTGAAAACCTATTTCATTTTTTATTTTTTATTTTTTTATTTTTTTTGGGGGGGTGTTATTTTATTTTATTATTATTATACTTTAAGTTTTAGGGTACATGTGCACATTGTGCAGGTTAGTTACATATGTATACATGTGCCATGCTGGTGTGCTGCACCCATTAACTCGTCATTTAGCATTAGGTATATCTCCTAAAGCTATCCCTCCCCCCTTCCCCCCACCCCACAACAGTCCCCAGAGTGTGATGTTCCCCTTCCTGTGTTCATGTGTTCTCATTGTTCAATTCCCACCTATGAGTGAGAATATGCGGTGTTTGGTTTTTTGTTCTTGTGATAGTTTACTGAGAATGATGATTTCCAATTTCATCCATGTCCCTACAAAGGACATGAACTCATCATTTTTTATGGCTGCATAGTATTCCATGGTGTATATGTGACACATTTTCTTAATCCAGTCTATCATTGTTGGACATTTGGGTTGGTTCCAAGTCTCTGCTATTGTCAATAGTGCCACAATAAACATACGTGTGCATGTGTCTTTATAGCAGCATGATTTATAGTCCTTTGGGTATATACCCAGTAATGGGATGGCTGGGTCAAATGGTATTTCTAGTTCTAGATCCCTGAGAAATCACCACACTGACTTCCACAATGGTTGAACTAGTTTACAGTCCCACCAACAGTGTAAAAGTGTTCCTATTTCTCCACATCCTCTCCAGCAACTGTTGTTTCCTTACTTTTTAATGATCACCATTCTAACTGGTGTGAGATGGTATCTCATTGTGGTTCTGATTTGCATTTCTCTGATGGCCAGTGATGGTGAGCATTTTTTCATGTGTTTTTTGGCTGCATAAATGTCTTCTTTTGAGAAGTGTCTGTTCATGTCCTTCGCCCACTTTTTGATGGGGTTGTTTGTTTTTTTCTTGTAAATTTGTTTGAGTTCATTGTAGATTCTGGATATTAGCCCTTTGTCAGATGAGTAGGTTGTGAAAATTTTCTCCCATTTTGTAGGTTGCCTGTTCACTCTGATGGTAGTTTCTTTTGCTGTGCAGAAGCTCTTGAGTTTAATTAGATCTCATTTGTCAATTTTGTCTTTTGTTGCCATTGCTTTTGGTGTTTTAGACATGAAGTCCTTGCCCATGCCTATGTCCTGAATGGTAATGCCTAGGTTTTCTTCTAGGGTTTTTATGGTTTTAGGTCTAACGTTTAAGTCTTTAATCCATCTTGATTTAATTTTTGTATAAGGTGTAAGGAAGGGATCCAGTTTCAGCTTTCTACATATGGCTAGCCAGTTTTCCCAGCACCATTTATTAAATAGGGAATCCTTTCCCCATTGCTGGTTTTTCTCAGGTTTATCAAAGATCAGATAGTTGTAGGTATGCGGCATTATTTCTGAGGGCTCCGTTCTGTTCCATTGATCTATATCTCTGTTTTGGTACCAGTACCATGCTGTTTTGATTACTTTAGCCTTGTAGTATAGTTTGAAGTCAGGTAGCGTGATGCCTCCAGCTTTGTTCTTATGGCTTAGGATTGACTTGGCAATGTAGGCTCTTTTTTGGTTCCATATGAACTTTAAAGTAGTTTTTTCCAATTCTGTGAAGAAAGTCATTGGTAGCTTGATGGGGATGGCATTGAATCTATAAATTACCTTGGGCAGTATGGCCATTTTCACAATATTGATTATTCCTACCCATGAGCATGGAATGTTCTCCATTTGTTTGTATCCTCTTTTATTTCGTTGAGCAGTGGTTTGTAGTTCTCCTTGAAGAGGTCCTTCACATCCCTTGTAAGTTGGATTCCTAGGTATTTTATTCTCTTTGAAGCAATTATGAATGGGAGTTCGCTCATGATTTGGCTCTCTGTTTGTCTGTTGTTGGTGTATAAGAATGCTTGTGATTTTTGTACATTGATTTTGTATCATGAGACTGCTGAAGTTGCTTATCAGCTTAAGGAGATTTTGGGCTGAGACAATGGGGTTTTCTAGATATACAATCATGTCATCTGCAAACAGGGACAATTTGACTTCCTCTTTTCCTAATTGAATACCCTTTATTTCCTTCTCCTGCCTAATTGCCCTGGCCAGAACATCCAACACTCTGTTGAATAGGAATGGTGAGAGAGGGCATCCCTGTCTTGTGCCAGTTTTCAAAGGGAATGCTTCCAGTTTTTGCCCATTCAGTATGATATTGGCTGTGGGTTTGTCATAGATAGCTCTTATTGTTTTGAGATACGTCTCATCAATACCTAATTTATTGAGAGTTTTTAGCATGAAGGGTTGTTGAATTTTGTCAAAGGCTTTTTCTGCATCTATTGAGATAATCGTGTGGTTTTTGTCTTTGGTTCTGTTTATATGCTGGATTACATTTATTGATTTGCGTATATTGAACCAGCCTTGAATCCCAGGGATGAAGCCCACTTGATCATGATAGATAAGCTTTTTGATGTGCTGCTGGTTTCGGTTTGCCAGTATTTTATTGAGGATTTTTGCATCAATGTTCATCAAGGATATTGGTCTAAAATTCTCTTTTTTGGTTGTGTCTCTGCCCGGCTTTGGTATCAGGATGATGCTGGCCTCATAAAATGAGTTAGGGAGGATTCCTTCTTTTTCTATTGATTGGAATAGTTTCAGAAGGAATGGTACCAGTTCCTCCTTGTACCTCTGGTAGAATTCGGCTGTGAATCCGTCTGGTCCTGGACTTTTTTTGGTTGGTAAGCTATTGATTATTGCCACAATTTCAGATCCTGTTATTGGTCTATTCAGAGATTCAACTCCTTCCTGGTTTAGTCTTGGGAGAGTGTATGTGTCGAGGAATTTATCCATTTCTTCTAGATTTTCTATTTTATTTACATGGAGGTGTTTGTAGTATTCTCTGATGGTAGTTTGTATTTCTGTGGGATTGGTGGTGATATCCCCTTTATCATTTTTTATTGCGTCTATTTGATTCTTCTCTCTTTTCTCCTTTATTAATCTTGCTAGTGGTCTATCAATTTTATTGATCCTTTCAAAAAACCAGCTCCTGGATTCATTGATTTTTTGAAGGGTTTTTTGTGTCTCTATTTCCTTCAGTTCAGCTCTGATTTTAGTTATTTCTTGCCTTCTGCTAGCTTTTGAATGTGTTTGCTCTTGCTTTTCTAGTTCTTTTAATTGTGATGTTAGGGTGACAATTTTGGATCTTTCTTGCTTCCTCGTGGGCATTTAGTGCTATAAATTTCCCTCTACACACTGCTTTGAATGTGTCCCAGAGATTCTGGTATGTTGTGTCTTTGTTCTCATTGGTTTCAAAGAACATCTTTATTTCTGCCTTCATTTCGTTTTGTACCCAGTAGTCATTCAGGAGCAGGTTGTTCAGTTTCCATGTAGTTGAGCGGTTTTGAGTGAGTTTCTTAAACCTGAGTTCTAGTTTGATTGCACTGTGGTCTGAGAGATAGTTTGTTACAATTTCTGTTCTTTTACATTTGCTGAGGAGATCTTTACTTCCAAGTATGTGGTCAATTTTGGAATAGGTGTGGTGTGGTGCTGAAAGAAATGTATATTCTGTTGATTTGCAATGGAGAGTTCTGTAGATGTCTATTAGGTCCGCTTGGTGCAGAGATGAGTTCAATTCCTGGATATCCTTGTTAACTTTCTGTCTCATTGATCTGTCTAATGTTGACAGTGGGGTGTTAAAGTCTCCCACTATTATTGTGTGAGAGTCTAAGTCTCTTTATAGGTCACTCAGGATCTGCTTTATGAATCTGGGTCCTCCTGTATTGGGTGCATATATATTTAGGACAGTTAGCTCTTCTTGTTGAATTGATCCCTTTACCATTATGTAATGGCCGCCTTTGTCTCTTTTGATCTTTGTTGGTTTAAAGTCTGTTTTACCAGAGACTAGGATTGCAACCCCTGCCTTTTTTTGTTTTCCATTTGCTTGGTAGATCTTCCTCCATCCTTTTATTTTGAGCCTATGTGTGTCTCTGCATGTGAGATGGGTTTCCTAAATATAGCACACTGATGGGTCTTGACTCTTTATCCAATTTGCCAGTCTGTGTCTTTTAATTGGAGCATTTAGTTCATTTACATTTAAAGTTAATAATATTATGTGTGAATTTGATCCTGTCATTATGATGTTAGCTGGTGATTTTGCTCGTTAGTTGATGCAGTTTCTTCCTAGTCTCAATGGTCTTTACAATTTGGCATGATTTTGCAGTGGCTGGTCCTGGTTGTTCCTTTCCACGTTTACTGCTTCCTTGAGGAGCTCTTTTAGGGCAGGCCTGGTGGTGACAATATCTCTCAGCATTTGCTTGTCTGTAAAGTATTTTATTTCTCCTTCACTTATGAAGCTTAGTTTGGCTGGATAGGAAATTCTGGGTTGAAAATTCTTTTATTTAAGAATGTTGAATATTGGCCCCCATTCTCTTCTGGCTTGTAGAGTTTCTGCAGAGAGATCTGCTGTTAGTCTGATGGGCTTCCTTTTGTGGGTAACCTGACCTTTCTCTCTGGCTGCCCTTTACATTTTTTCCTTCATTTCAACTTTGGTGAATCTGACAATTATGTGTTTTGGAGTTGCTCTTCTCGAGGAGTATCTTTGTGGCGTTCTCTGTATTTCCTGAATCTGGATGTTGGCCTGCCTTGCTAGATTGGGGAAGTTCTCCTGGATAATATCCTGCAGAGTGTTTTCCAACTTGGTTCCATTCTCCCCATCACTTTCAGGTACACCAATCAGACGTAGATTTGGTCTTTTCACATAGTCCCATATTTCTTGGAGGCTTTGTTCGTTTCTTTTTATTCTTTCTTCTCTAAACTTCTCTTCTTGCTTCATTTCATTCATTTCATCTTCCATCACTGTTACCCTTTCTTCCAGTTGATCGCATCAGCTCCTGAGGCTTGTGCATTCTTCACGTAGTTCTCGAGCCTTGGCTTTCAGCTCCATCAGCTCCTTTAAGCACTTCTCTGTATTAGTTATTCTAGTTATACATTCGTCTAAATTTTTTTCAAAGTTTTCAACTTCTTTGCCTTTGGTTTGGATTTCTTCCTGTAGCTCAGAGTAGTTTGATCATCTGAAGCCTTCTTCTCTCAACTAGTCAAAGTCATTCTCCGTCCAGCTTTGTTCTGTTGCTGGTGAGGAACTGCATTCCTTTGGAGGAGGAGAGGTGCTCTGATTTTTAGAGTTTCCTGTTTTTCTGCTCTGTTTTTTTCCCCATCTTTGTGGTTTTATCTACTTTTGGTCTTTGATGATGGTGATGTACAGATGGGTTTTTGGTGTGGATGTCCTTTCTGTTTGTTCGTTTTCCTTCTAACAGACAGGACCCTCAGCTGCAGGTCTTTTGGAGTTTGCTAGAGGTCCACTCCAGACCCTGTTTGCCTGGGTACCAGCAGCGGTGGCTGCAGAACAGCGGATTTTCGTGAACCGCGAATGCTGCTGTCAGATCATTCCTCTGGAAGTTTTGTCTCAGAGGAGTACCCAGCCGTGTGAGGTGTCAGTCTGTCCCTATTGGGGGGTGCCTCCCAGTTAGGCTGCTCGGGGGTCAGGGGTCAGGGACCCACTTGAGGAGGCAGTCTGCCCGTTCTCAGATCTCCAGCTGCATGCTGGGAGAACCACTGCTCTCTTCAAAGCTGTCAGACAGGAACATTTAAGTCTGCAGAGGTTACTGTTGTCTTTTTGTTTGTCTGTGCCCTGCCCCCAGAGATGAAGCCTACAGAGGCAGGCAGGCCTCCTTGAGCTGTGGTGGGCTCCACCCAGTTCGAACTTCCTGCCTGCTTTGTTTACCTAAGCAAGCCTGGGCAATGGCAGGTGCCCCTCCCTCAGCCTCGCTGCCACCTTGCAGTTTGATCTCAGACTGCTGGGCTAGCAATCAGCGAGACTGTGGGCATAGGACTCTCTGAGCCAGGTGCGGGATATAATCTCCTGGTGCGCTTACGCCCGTCAGAGAAGTGCAGTATTAGGGTGGGAGTGACCTGATTTTCCAGGTGCTGTCTGTCACCCCTTTCTTTGACCAGGAAAGGGAACTCCCTGACCCGTTGCACTTCCCGAGTGAGGCAATGCCTTGCCCTGCTTCGGCTCCTGCATGGTGTGCTGCACCCATTGTCCTGTGCGCTCTGTCTGGCACTCCCTAGTGAGATGAACCTGGTACCTCAGATGGAAATGCATAAATCACCCGTCTTCTGCATTGCTCATGCTGGGAGCTGTAGACCGGCGCTGTTCCTATTCGGCCATCTTGGCTCCACCCCCTATTTCATTTTTTAAACCGCTTTTTTGAGGTATGTGTACATAAAATACAACTATTGTAATTGTACAAATTTAATTATTTTTAGTATATTTGAACAATTATGCAACCATCACAACAACTTCATATTAGTTCACACTTTCCCAGGAGACTCTGAAGTGGCTCTGCTGTTGACCGTTGCCTTGCTCACTAAGGAGAGACCAGTTAATCAACTATCAGAATCAGTCTTATTGTTAATTTTTGTTGGATCGTGGATTGACAGAACAATTGGTGGTGACATGAATTAAAATGAATCTGTTGCCTGCACCCAAAACTAAATACCTCTGTTTAAAACAAAAAAGTGAAAATGTTAAACATACAGAGCACAGGAAAGAAAAAAAAAAAAGCATGAACTCTCAAGAATTAATTGAAGATGTTATTCCTAAGAAAGCTAAAGATCAATTGAAATGATACAGTTAAACTAGCTTCTAGTTTCGTGACACCATAGTGTTCCTTTACCTCTGTCTGTTGTCAATTCACGTGATCACCCCCAGGGTTAGGCAAGCAGAGGTCTGCTTTCCTTCTCCATAGTTTGCCTTTTCTGGAAATTCCATGTAAACATAATTATATAATATGTGGTCTTTTGTGTCTGGCTTCTTTCGCTTAGCATAATGTTTTGAGGTTCATCCATGTTTCAGTAGTCCATTCTTTTGTATTACAGAATAGTATTCCATTGTAAGAATATACCACACTGCACTTATACACTTTGACCAGCATTTAAGTGTTTCTAGTTTATTATTATGCAGAATGAAGTTATTGTTCACATTCAAGTCTTGGACAAAAGTTGTCACTTTCTTTGGGTAGATACTGATGCATGGAATTGATGGGTGATATGGTTTGGATCTGTGTCTCCCCATATTTCGTGTTCAATTGTAATCGTTAATGTTGGAGATGGGGCCTAGTGTGAGGTGATTAAATGTTGGGGGTAGATTTCTCAATAACGGTCTAGCACCATCCTTCTGGTGCTGTTCTTACGATAGTGAGGAGTTCTCTTGAGATCTGGTTGTTTAAAAGTATCTGGCACCTCCCTCCTTGTTCTCTCTTGTTCCTGTTCTGATCATACAACATTGCCTGCTCTGCCATTGACTTCTACCATTATTGTAAGCTTCCTGAGGCCTCCCTAGAAGCCAAACAGATGGTCAGCATCATGTTTCCTATAAAGCCTACAGAACCATGAGCCAATTAAGTCTCTTTTCTCTATGAATTATTCAGTCTCAGGTATTTTCTTAAAGCAATGCAAGAATGGCCTAATACAATGGATCATATGATAGTTTTGTGTTTAACTTACGAAATTTACAAGCTGTCTTCTACAATGTGTTTACCATATTTTTTTTTCTGAAATAATCTAACACTTTTATTTTATTTTATTTTTATTATACTTTAAGTTTTAGGGTACATGTGCACATTGTGCAGGTTAGTTACATATGTATACATGTGCCATGCTGGTGTGCTGCACCCACTAACTCATCATCTAGCATTAGGTATATCTCCCAATGCTATCCCTCCCCCCTCCCCCTACCCCACCACAGTCCCCAGAGTGTGATATTCCCCTTCCTGTGTCCATGTGATCTCATTGTTCAATTCCCACCTATGAGTGAGAATATGCGGTGTTTGGTTTTTTGTTCTTGTGATAGTTTACTGAGAATGATGATTTCCAATTTCATCCATGTCCCTACAAAGGACATGAACTCATCATTTTTTATGGCTGCATAGTATTCCATGGTGTATATGTGACACATTTTCTTAATCCAGTCTATAATTGTTGGACATTTGGGTTGGTTCCAAGTCTTTGCTATTGTGAATAATGCCGCAATAAACATACGTGTGCATGTGTCTTTATAGCAGCATGATTTATAGTCCTTTGGGTATATACCCAGTAATGGGATGGCTGGGTCAAATGGTATTTCTAGTTCTAGATCCCTGAGGAATCGCCACACTGACTTCCACAAGGGTTGAACTAGTTTACAGTCCCACCAACAGTGTAAAAGTGTTCCTATTTCTCCACATCCTCTCCAGCACCTGTTGTTTCCTGACTTTTTAATGATTGCCGTTCTAACTGGTGTGAGATGATATCTCATAGTGGTTTTGATTTGTATTTCTCTGATGGCCAGTGATGGTGAGCATTTTTTCATGTGTTTTTTGGCTGCATAAATGTCTTCTTTTGAGAAGTGTCTGTTCATGTCCTTCGCCCACTTTTTGATGGGGTTGTTTGTCTTTTTCTTGTAAATTTGTTTGAGTTCATTGTAGATTCTGGATATTAGCCCTTTGTCAGATGAGTAGGTTGCGAAAATTTTCTCCCATTTTGTAGGTTGCCTGTTCACTCTGATGGTAGTTTCTTTTGCTGTGCAGAAGCTCTTGAGTTTAATTAGATCCCATTTGTCAATTTTGTCTTTTGTTGCCATTGCTTTTGGTGTTTTAGACATGAAGTCCTTACCCATGCCTATGTCCTGAATGGTAATGCCTAGGTTTTCTTCTAGGGTTTTTATGGTTTTAGGTCTAACGTTTAAATCTTTAATCCATCTTGAATTGGTTTTTGTATAAGGTGTAAGGAAGGGATCCAGTTTCAGCTTTCTACATATGGCCAGCCAGTTTTCCCAGCACCGTTTATTAAATAGGGAATCCTTTCCCCATTGCTTGTTTTTCTCAGGTTTGTCAAAGATCAGATAGTTGTAGGTAAGCGGTGTTATTTCTGAGGGCTCTGTTCTGTTCCATTGATCTATATCTCTGTTTTGGTACCAGTACCATGCTGTTTTGGTTACTGTTGCCTTGTAGTATAGTTTGAAGTGAGGTAGTGTGATGCCTCCAGCTTTGTTCTTTTGGCTTAGGATTGACTTGGCGATGCGGGCTCTTTTTTGGTTCCATATGAACTTTAAAGTAGTTTTTTCCAATTCTGTGAAGAAAGTCATTGGTAGCTTGATGGGGATGGCATTGAATCTATAAATTACCTTGGGCAGTATGGCCATTTTCACGATATTGATTCCTCCTACCCATGAGCGTGGAATGTTCTTCCATTTGTTTGTATCCTCTTTTATTTCCTTGAGCAGTTCTTTGTAGTTCTCCTTGAAGAGGTCCTTCACATCCCTTGTAAGTTGGATTCCTAGGTATTTTATTCTCTTTGAAGCAATTGTGAATGGGAGTTCACTCATGATTTGGCTCTCTGTTTGTCTGTTGTTGGTGTATAAGAATGCTTGTGATTTTTGTACATTGATTTTGTATCCTGAGACTTTGCTGAAGTTGCTTATCAGCTTAAGGAGATTTTGGGCTGAGACAATGGGGTTTTCTAGATATACAATCATGTCATCTGCAAACAGGGACAATTTGACTTCCTCTTTTCCTAATTGAATACCCTTTATTTCCTTCTCCTGCCTAATTGCCTCGGCCAGAACATCCAACACTATGTTGAATAGGAGTGGTGAGAGAGGGCATCCCTGTCTTGTGCCAGTTTTCAAAGGGAATGCTTCCAGTTTTTGCCCATTCAGTACGATATTGGCTGTGGGTTTGTCATAGATAGCTCTTATTATTTTGAGATACGTCCCATCAATACCTAATTTATTGAGAGTTTTTAGCATGAAGGGTTGTTGAATTTTGTCAAAGTCTTTTTCTGCATCTATTGAGATAATCATGTGGTTTTTGTCTTTGGTTCTGTTTATATGCTGGATTACATTTATTGATTTGCATATATTGAACCAGCCTTGCATCCCAGCGATGAAGCCCACTTGATCACGGTGGATAAGCTTTTTGATGTGCTACTGGATTTGGTTTGCCAGTATTTTATTGAGGATTTTTGCATCAATGTTCATCAAGGATATTGGTCTAAAATTCTCTTTTTTGGTTGTGTCTCTGCTCGGCTTTGGTATCAGAATGATGCTCACCTCATAAAATGAGTTAGAGAGGATTCCTTCTTTTTCTATTGATTGGAATAGTTTCAGAAGGAATGGTACCAGTTCCCCCTTGTACCTCTGGTAGAATTCGGCTGTGAATCCATCTGGTACTGGACTCTTTTTGGTTGGTAAACTATTGATTATTGCCACAATTTCAGCTCCTGTTATTGGTCTATTCAGAGATTCAACTCCTTCCTGGTTTAGTCTTGGGAGAGTGTATGAGGAATTTATCCATTTCTTCTAGATTTTCGATTTTATTTGTGTAGAGCTGTTTGTAGTATTCTCTGATGGTAGTTTGTATTTCTGTGGGATTGGTGGTGATATCCCCTTTATCATTTTTTATTGTGTCTATTTGATTCTTCTCTCTTTTTCTGTTTATTAGTCTTGCTAGCGGTCTATCAATTTTGTTGATCCTTTCAAAAAACCAGCTCCTGGATTCATTGATATTTTGAAGGGTTTTTTGTGTCTCTATTTCCTTCAGTTCAGCTCTGATTTTAGTTATTTCTTGCCTTCTGCTAGCTTTTGAATGTGTTTGCTCTTGCTTTTCTAGTTATTTTAATTGTGATGTTAGGGTGTCAATTTTGGATCTTTCCTGCTTTCTCTTGTGCACATTTAGTGCTATAAATTTCCCTCTACACACTGCTTTGAATGCGTCCCAGAGATTCTGGTATGTTGTGTCTTTGTTCTCATTGGTTTCAAAGAACATCTTTATTTCTGCCTTCATTTCGTTATGTACCCAGTAGTCATTCAGGAGCAGGTTGTTCAGTTTCCATGTAGTTGAGTGGCTTTGAGTGAGAGTCTTAATCCTGAGTTCTAGTTTGATTGCACTGTGGTCTGAGAGATAGTTTGTTATAATTTCTGTTCTTTTACATTTGCTGAGGAGAGCTTTACTTCCAAGTATGTGGTCAATTTTGGAATAGGTGTGGTGTGGTGCTGAAAAAAATGTATATTCTGTTGATTTTTGGTGGAGAGTTCTGTAGATGTCTATTAGGTCCGCTTGGTGCAGAGCTGAGTTCAATTCTTGGGTATCCTTGTTAACTTTCTGTCTCATTGATCTGTCTAATGTTGACAGTGGGGTGTTAAAGTCTCCCATTATTAATGTGTGGGAGTCTAAGTCTCTTTGTAGGTCACTCAGGACTTGCTTTATGAATCTGGGTGCTCCTGTATTGGGTGCATATATATTTAGGATAGTTAGCTCTTGTTGAATTGATCCCTTTACCATTATGTAATGGCCTTCTTTGTCTCTTTTGATCTTTGTTGGTTTAAAGTCTGTTTTATCAGAGACTAGGATTGCAACCCCTGCCTTTTTTTGTTTTCCATTTGCTTGGTAGATCTTCCTCCATCCTTTTATTTTGAGCCTATGTGTGTCTCTGCACGTGAGATGGGTTTCCTGAATACAGCACACTGATGGGTCTTGACTCTTTATCCAATTTGCCAGTCTGTGTCTTTTAATTGGAGAATTTAGTCAATTTGCATTTAAAGTTAATATTGTTATGTGTGAATTTAATCCTGTCATTATGATGTTAGCTGGTGATTTTGCTCATTAGTTGATGCAGTTTCTTCCTAGTCTCAATGGTCTTTACATTTTGGCATGATTTTGCAGCGGCTCGTACCGGTTGTTCCTTTCCATGTTTAGCGCTTCCTTCAGGAGCTCTTTTAGAGCAGGCCTGGTGGTGACAAAATCTCTCAGCACTTGCTTGTCTGTAAAGTATTTTATTTCTCCTTCACTTATGAAGCTTAGTTTGGCTGGATAGGAAATTCTGGGTTGAAAATTCTTTTCTTTAAGAATGTTGAATATTGGCCCCCATTCTCTTCTGGCTTGTAGGGTTTCTGCAGAGAGATCCGCTGTTAGTCTGATGGGCTTTCCTTTGAGGGTAACCCGACCTTTCTCTCTGGCTGCCCTTAACATTTTTTCCTTCATTTCAACTTTGGTGAATCTGACAATTATGTGTCTTGGAGTTGCTCTTCTCGAGGAGTATCTTTGTGGCGTTCTCTGTATTTCCTGAATCTGGATGTTGGCCTGCCTTGCTAGATTGGGGAAGTTCTCCTGGATAATATCCTGCAGAGTGTTTTCCAACTTGGTTCCATTCTCCCCATCACTTTCAGGTACACCAATCAGACGTAGATTTGGTCTTTTCACATAGTCCCATATTTCTTGGAGGCTTTGCTCATTTCTTTTTATTCTTTTTTCTCTAAACTTCCCTTCTCACTTCATTTCATTCATTTCATCTTCCATTGCTGATACCCTTTCTTCCAGTTGATCGCATCAACTCCTGAGGCTTCTGCATTCTTCACGTAGTTCTCGAGCCTTGGTTTTCAGCTCCATCAGCTCCTTTAAGCACTTCTCTGTATTGGTTATTCTAGTTATACATTCTTCTAAACTTTTTTCAAAGTTTTCAACTTCTTTGCCTTTGGTCTGAATGTCCTCCCATAGCTCAAAGTAATTTGATCGTCTGAAGCCTTCTCTCAGCTCATCAAAGTCATTCTCCACCCAGCTTTGTTCTGTTGCTGGTGAGGAACTGCGTTCCTTTGGAGGAGGAGAGGCGCTCTGCGTTTTAGAGTTTCCAGTTTTTCTGTTCTGTTTTTTCCCCATCTTTGTGGTTTTATCTACTTTTGGTCTTTGATGATGGTGATGTACAGATGGGTTTTCGGTGTGGATGTCCTTTCTGTTTGTTAGTTTTCCTTCTAACAGACAGGACCCTCAGCTGCAGGTCTGTTGGAATACCCTGCCGTGTGAGGTGTCAGTGTGCCCCTGCTGGGGGGTGCCTCCCAGTTAGGCTGCTCGGGGGTCAGGGGTCAGGGACCCACTTGAGGAGGCAGTCTGCAGGTTCTGAGATCTCCAGCTGCATGCTGGGAGAACCACTGCTCTCTTCAAAGCTGTCAGACAGGGACATTTAAGTCTGCAGAGGTTACTGCTGTCTTTTTGTTTGTCTGTGCCCTGACCCCAGAGGTGGAGCCTACAGTGGCAGGCAGGCCTCCTTGAGCTGTAGTGGGCTCCACCCAGTTCGAGCTTCCAGGCTGCTTTGTTTACCTAAGCAAACCTGGGCAATGGCGGGCGCCCCTCCCCCATCCTCGCTGCCGCCTTGCAGTTTGATCTCAGACTGCTGTGCTAGCAATCAGCGAGATTCCGTGGGCGTAGGACCCTCCGAGCCAGGTGTGAGATATAGTCTCGTGGTACACCATTTTTTAAGCTGGTCTGAAAAGCGCAGTATTCGGGTGGGGTGACCCAATTTTCCAGGTGCGTCCGTCACCCCTTTCTTTGACTGGGAAAGGGAACTCCCTGACCCCTTGCGCTTCCCAGGTGAGGCAGTGCCTCACCCTGCTTTGGCTCCTGCACGGTGCGCGGACCCACTGGCCTGCGCCCACTGTCTGGCACTCCCTAGTGAGATGAACCCAGTACCTCAGATGGAAATGCAGAAACCACCCGTCTTCTGCGTCGCTCACGCTGGGAGCTGTAGACCCGTGCTGTTCCTATTCGGCCATCTTGGCTGTGTATACCATATTTCATTCCACTTTAATGTTTCTTCATATTCCTACCAATGATTGGTATTATCAGGCTTTTTGATTATAGCCATTCTGATGACTGTGTAGCTCACTGAAATTTTAATTTACATTTCTCTAATGACTGACGACATTGAGCATATTTTAATGAGATTATTGGCTTTTTAATATTTCCTTTGATAAAAACTTTTGCCAATTTTCAATTGGATTGTCTTCTTATTAATGAGCTATAAGTGTTCTGTAAATATTTATGATTAAATCCTTAATCAGATATATGATTTGCAAGTATTTTCTTCCTGTCCGTGGCTTGTTATTTTATTTTTAACAACATCACCAAAAGTTTTCTTTTTTATGAAGTCTAATTTGTTACTTTTTTATTTCATGAAATGTGCTCTGTGTGTCTTATCTAAGAAACATTTGCCAAACCCAAGATCACTGATATTTTTTTCTTATGATTTCTCTGAAAGTTTTATAATTTAAGCTCTTAACACTTAGGTCTATAACACATTTTCACATTTTTAGCTGATTTTTATGTAGGACGTGAGGTAAAGGTGTGAGTTCATTTTTGCAGACGAATATTCAATTGTTCTAGCACCATTTGTTGAATAAACTATCCTTTCATCATTGAATTGTCTTTGCGCCTCTGTCAAAAATCAACTGATTATAAACTTGGGGGTTTTCTTCTCCTGCCTATCCTTAAGCAAATACCACGTTGTTTTGATTACTATAGCTTTAGAGTTTGTTTTGAAATGGAATGGTATAAGTTATCCTATGCTGTTCATTCTAAAAATTGTTTTAACTATACTAAGTCTTTCATGTTCAATCTATAGATAAATTTGAGGAGAACTGCCATCTTAATAATATGGAGTCTTCCAGTCTGTCAGTATGGAATTTTTCTCCACTGATCTTTCTTAATGTGTCTTCCAAAGTTTTGTGATTTACCATGTACAGGTCTCGTATTTCTTTTGTTATATTTATTCTTAAATGTTTTGTTATTTTTATATTATGAATAAACAACTTTCTTAGTTTTACATGCAAATTTTTTGTTGCTAGTATGTACAAATAGAAGTGACTTTTACATTGATCTTTTATCCTTTGATTTTTAAAAACATTTATTAGTTCAATTATGTTTTTGGTACATATCTTAGAATTTTCTATATGTAACAGTATATGGCCTTTGAATAAAAACTGTTTCGCTTCTTCTTTTCAAATGTCTGTGACTTTAATTGCTTTTTCTTACCTGAATACATGGGCTAGAACCTTCTGTGTGTTAATAATAGACATTCTGGCCTTGTTTATGATCTAAAAGAAAACATTGTCTTGCACAGTTAAGTATAGTATTAGTTGCAGTTTTTCATGAATACTGTTTAGCAGATTGAGGATCTTTCCTTCTAACATTTTTGAGTTTTTATCATAAATAGGTGCTGAATTTTGCATTTTCTCTGTTCTTATTAATATCAATAATTCTACTAATTGGTTTTGAATGATAAACGAACCTTACATTCCTGGGATAAATCCCACTTGATCATCGTGTATAATCCATTGTTTATGTTTCTGGAATGTTTGTTAAAATTTATTAAGGGCTATTGCATCTGTATTTATAAAGAATATTGACCTATAGTTTTATTGTGATGGGTTTGTATGGCATCATTTTGAGAGAGATATTAGACTCATTGATTTGGAAAGTATTTCCTTTTTTTTTTCTGAGTTTGAGTAGGATTATTTCTTCTGCAAATATTAAATAATTCACCTGTGAAACCACTTAGTCTTGGATTTTTCTCTGTTGAAACATCTTTAATTACTAATTACTAACTCAGTTTCTTCTTTTTTAATTAAAAAATATATTTAGGAGGTACAAGTGCAGATTTCTTACATTTATGCATTGCAGAGTGGTAAGGTCTGGGCTTTTAGTTTACCCATCACCCAGATAGTGAATACTCTACCCAATAGGTAATTTTTCAGTCCTCACATCTCCACCCACCCTCCCAGCTTTTCATAGTCTCCAGTGTCTATTATTCCACTTTGTATGTCCATGTGTAGTCATTGTTTAGCTCCCACTTATAAGTGAGAACATACAGCATTTGACTTTGTTTCTGTAACTCAGTTTTTTTATAAATCCTTCATGTCTCTGTGGATTTTCTATTTCTTCTTGAGTTAGTTTTGGTAATTTGTGTCTTTCTAGGCACTTGTCCATTTTATTAAATATCTACATGGTCTAATTTGTCTACATTAACAAGTTATGATATTCCTTTGTGATTATTTTAATTTCTCTATGTTAACAGTGATGTTCCCCATGTTATCCCTGATTTTTGTCATTTGTCATTTGGTCATTTCTGTTTTCCTTGGTCTCTAAAGCTAAAGTTTTACCTATTTAATTGATTTTTTTAAGGAATCACATCTAGGTGTCATTGATTCTCTGTTGCTCTGATTTCTATTTCATTGATTTTACTCTGGCCTTTATTATATCCTTCCTTCTGATTACTTTGGGTTTCTCTGGTTTTTCAAAGTGGAATAGATTATTGATTTGAGATTTGTATTCTTTTCAAACATAGGCCTTTGAAGCTATAAATTTGCCTTTGTGACCTTGAAAATAATGTGTATTGTGCTATTGTTAGGTGAAGTGTTTTATAAATGTGAATTAGGTCGAGTTAGTGTTGTCCAAGCCTTTTATATCTTTCCTGATTTTCTGTCTAGTTGTTCTAGCAATTATTGACAGGTACTAAAATCTCTAACTATAATTTTTTGATTTATCTATCTCTTCTTTTTATCCTGTTAGACTTTGCTTCCTGTATTCTGGGGCTTTTGAAAATTAACATGGCCATTATATTTATCTTATAATTACAATTTGCAAAAACTATATATATGTGTGTATATATATATATATCCTTTTACTTTCAATCTTTGTCTTTGAATTTAAAGTATGTCCCTTGTAAAGAGTATATCACTGGGCCTGCTATTTTGTTTAGTTTTACAGTCTGTCTATTGATTGGTGTTTATCCCATTCACACTTAATGTCATTGGTACATGAATTTACATCTGCCATTTTGTTATTCATTTTCTTTAACAGTCTCATATTTGTTTCTTCATTCTTCTTTCATTTCTTTTGTATTAAATACTATTCTGTGTATCCTTTTAGTTTCTCTGTCAATTTTTTAAATGACATGTTTCAAAGTTATTTCTTAGAAGCTGCTCAAGGGGTTACAATATATATCTTAATTTATCAATATCTATCTCATACTGAAACTCCTTAAATTCAGTTAAATATAGCAATCTTGCTACGTTATACCTTCATTTCTTCCCCATTACTTTTTGCTAGTTTGTACATATATTTTTGCTAGAAATATAGATTTAGAAGAGGAAACACATATTACTTAATGTTTTCGATTTATTCACATACTTCCCATATATTGTGCTCTTCCTTTCTTCTCATGGACTTGGGTTACCACATCCTTTTCTTTCACCTTTTCAGTGCTGCTAACAATAAAGTCTCTCAGCTTTTGTTTATCTAGGAATGTATTGTTTTCATATTCATTTTTGAAGGATAGCTTCACTTAATATAAAATGCTTGACTGACAGTTTTTTTTTAATTCAGCACTTTGAATATGTCATTTCACACCTAATGTTTCCTATTGTTTCAAATAGGAAGTCAGCAATTTATGCTATTGTTGCTCTCTGTACATGAAGAGTCACTTTTCTCCTGTTGCTTTCTAGAGTTTTTGTTTGTTTTTGGCTTTCACTAGTTCAACTATGATGTGTCTAGGTGTGAAGTTCTTTGTTTTGTTCTGCATGGGATTTGTTAAACTATTTGGATCTGTTGGTTAATTTTTTAAAATTCAAATCTATAAAGTTAGAATTATTTTCTTTTTTTTTTTTTTTTTTTTGCTCCCTTTCATTTGTGGCCCTCCTAGGACTCCATTACAAATATATTTATATATGTAATACTTTCTACAGATTTCTGTGACTTTCTTCATCTGTCTCTCTGTATTTAAGATTACATAATTCCTATTAATCTGTCTTCCAGTTCATTCTTTCTCTTGCTGCTATATACAATCTGTCATTAATCTGATTTAGTAAAATGTTATTTCAGTCATTGTGCTTTCAACTTTATAATTTTATTCAGTTCTTTTCTATAGTTAATATTTATTGATATTCTCTATTTGAGTCATTATCATTATATATTTCTTTATTTTTTAAATTCTTTGGTTATATCTATAATAGCTGCTGTGAAGTGTTTTTTTGTTTGTTTGTTTGTTTTTATTTTTTGAGACAGAGTCTCACTCTGTTGTGCAAGCTGGAGTGCAGTGGTATGATCACAGCTCACCACAGCCATGACCTTCCAGGTTCTGGTGATCCTCCCACCTCTGCCTCCCAAGTAGCTAGGACTACAGGTGTGTACCACCATGCCTGGCTAATTTTTTGTATTTTATGTACAGTCAGGGTTTCATCATGTGCCCAGGGTGGTCTCAAACTCCTGGACTCAAGCGATCTGCCTGTCTCAGCCTCCCAAGACGCTGGGATGAGGCGTGAGCCACCATGCCTGGCCAGAAGTTTTAATTGCTAAATTCATCATTACCCACTCTGAGAGAATTTATACAGACTTCTTTTCATGTTTTCCACATATGTCATACTTTTCTGTTACTTTACCTGATAGTTAATTTTATGTGTTAATTTGCTGGGTTATGATGTCTGGATGTTTAGTCGAGCATTATTCTGGATGTTTCTGTAAAGATGTTTTTGAATGAAATTGAGGTTTAAGTCAGCGGACTTTGGGTAAAATAACTTACCATCCACAGTTTGGGTGGACCTCATCCGGTCAGTTGAAGGCCTTAATAGGACAAAGACTGATCTCCCTGAGAAAGAAGGAATTCTGCCAGCAGACTGCCTTTGCACTTGAACTGCAATTCTTTCTGGAGTCTCCAGCCTGCCAGCCTACACCATCATATTGTGGATTCACTAAGGCTCCATAATTGCAGAAGCCAATTTCTTAAAATAAGTCTCTCTGTATATTTACACATCCTGTTGGTTTTGATTCTCAGGAGAATCCTAATATAATTTGCATATCTCATAATTTTTTGTTGAAAACTAGATTATATGATATATGTAGTAATTCTGGAATCTTGTTTTGTTTGTTTTATTAATTTGACTAGATTTAGTCTGTGGAATCTGTTTCCTCCACACTGTGGCATCGATATCTCTGCTCAATTTTTAAAATGCTATTCTTATTTTTAAGCTTGGTTTTCTAGGGTTGCTCCTGTTTTATCATAGTTTAGAGGTCAGCCAATGATTAATCACAGGTTTTGCTTAAACATCTTGAGACTGCGTAAGGCTTCCAACCTCCGCCAATGGATGTGTGAGTCAGTCAGAGAGCAAATTCAATGTTATGATAACACGACTTGGTTTTCCTAACTACACTTCATATCAAGTCATCCCCCTCTAGCAGCAATGCTGCTAGTTTTCATGGCTAGCCCCATCCTGGTTACATTAACTGTGCCAGAGTTATAGAATCTTTCTGTTCTTATACAAAGTTAAGCAGTTTTTCTTGAATAAATGCTTCTAAATTTATTGCTTGCCAATGGTTAATTTCCAGATAACTAAAATGGTTATGGCAATTTGGTCCAGTTTTATGAAAGTTTTTCTGGAAGAGGGCTGGCTGATTTCTCTACTATTGCTTGAAGCTTCACTCTGAAAATCTATTTATTATGAATCTGCATCTTTCATGTATAACATGCATCTCATTCAAGTTTGAATCAGCACTTTTGACTTCCTTCAATCTACTTTCTGCTCTGATCACTCAACAGCAAATGTCACAGAGGTCCATTCTTAGCTCTGGTCTTTCAATGTTAACTCTGGCCTATATGAAGTTGTAGAAAGCAAACTTGTCACATTTGCTGAGATCCCATGGTGTAAAATGGAAACTAATTATATAGATGACAAAAATCAGAATTTTATCAACTGGTTAAATAGCAATAAGGATTAACATGAAAACAAGTGTTTAGGTTCTGAATTGCACAAGTATCGTTGACTGGTTTGCAGCCTCTCTGCATTACTTCTTTCTCCTATATATCTTCCTAACCACCCAATCAGGGAAATCATTTAATGCCTAGGTTCAGGTTTATTTCCTGACTATCCATATGATGTTTAAGCTTTCATGTCAGGTAAATGTTCATGAGTGTGTCTATTTCCTTGCTTGCTTCATATATTAGGCACTCAGCGAATAGAAGTTTTATTATTGCGAACCAAGTGTTTTTGGATTCCTCCTCTACTTCCTCATGCTTTGTAAAAATTCTAAGCATCTGTCTGTAGAATCACAATTTTTCTCTGCTCTGTTGTTAAGAAAACGAGGAGAAATGCTGGCTTCTCCTTATCTTTCATTCCTTATATCCATTCACTTCGCTATCTTATATTAGTTATTTTATCTATAAAATATTACTTCTTGAATTTCTGTTTCCACTAACCTAACCAGGCTCACACCACCTTATACCTATATTATCACAATCACTTTGTAATGCTCACCTGACATTGGTCAGAACATGCAGTGGAGTTTTCAGGGATAGGCAAGAATGAGCAATTCAAGTTCTTTTCTTTTGATTTACTCTTGAAGCAGCTATAAAGCAGGAGGCAATGTATATGAAAAAGACAAAAATGCAAATGCTTGGTCACAGTTTTTGGATTTTCTTGGTATCTTGTGGAAGCATGTTCAAATTGCATTCTTGGCATCCCACATGGTTTGAAACATCCATCAGGACAAAGAGTTCAAGAATAATGGTATCGCTGTCTTTTAGAACTCAGTTATATCGGCACCCAGAAGTGAAGTATTTTTATCATATAATACTATAATTCTGCTCCTCGGTTTGCCTGATATTCAAACAAAGGGCTTGGAAATTCTTGCTCTGTTTGTAGACATTATCTATATTCAATGCCCCCTATTCTTTTTCCATTCACTCCTAGCCTCTTGCTAATCTAGCTTTTGTCTCCAATATTCTGTTCCAAATATATCCCCTTTTTAAATTTTCAATTAACTCCACATTGTTAAATCTTATGGCCAAATTTCTGTCTTCACCTTATTTATGCCACCTAAGAATTTGACATAGTATCTCCTTCCATCCTCCTTATTTGTGCCACCTAAAAATTTGACTCAGTATCTCATTCCATCCTCCTTGATATGTGGTCAATTAGCTGCCAAGATGCAGGTGCTGCTGATCTTCTATTTGCTCTTCCCAAGGCACACTTGATTCATCTCCCTTCTCCTGTCTGGCCCTGTGAGGCTAACCTGCATGGATTACATCAGTAGGATCTTGTGCCTTCTGGCTTTCAGTGACATCCAGTCAATAGGAAGCCCTAGTAAGACATGAGAGGGAGAAGAATGAAGTCAGGTATGTATTTTCTTGACTCCCTCCCTTGAAGGTTGCCTTGAGCTGATTATATGCCTTCTCTCACAGTAGTGAAATCTACCAGACTCCCTCAATTTATAATCAACTCTACCCGACTGTCTCCCTCAATTTATAATAAACTCCCTCCTTGACTCATGAAGTCTAGAGACAACTAGCATTGGGACACTTTACTATTGCCAGTGATTTCCTGAGCCCACACCTTTGTAAACAATTTTCACTACCTCTATTTCCACTGGTATCACTCTACTCCAAGCCTCCTATTTTATGTGGATTATAGCACTAACCTCATCACCTGTTTCAATTTGTGACCTCTTAACTCTATCCATGAGTGTATTCTCAACACAGCAGCCAGAGTAACCCTTTGGAAATCTAAGTTAATATCATGTACCCCTCTGTTTCAAAGCCTTTTAGGAAAATTTATTAAAAGTTCAAACCAAAGTTCTTATTGCTTTCTGAAAGCCTTACATTCCCTGGCTTTTTTAACCCCTGTGATTTGATTTTGAAGGGGTGGCCTGCCCTCCACACCTGTGGGTGTTTCTTGTCAGGTGGGACGAGAGACTGAGAAAAGAAAGAGACAAAGTATAGAGAAAGAAAAGTGGGCCCAGGGGACCAGCGCTCAGTATATGGAGGACCCGCGCCGGCACCAGTCTCTGAGTTCCCTCAGTATTTATTGATCGTTATTTCTACCATCTCGGAGAGGGGGATGTGGCAGGACAATAGGGTAATAGTGGGGAGAAGGTCAGCAGGAAAACATGTGAATAAATGTCTGTGTATCATAAACAAGGTTAAGAAAAAGGTGTTGTGCTTTGATGTGCACATACATAAACATCTTGATACATTAAAGAGCAGTATTGCCGCCAGCATGTCTCACCTCCAGCCCTAAGGCGGTTTTCTCCTATCTCAGTAGATGGAATATACAATTGGGCTTTACACCGAGACATTCCATTGTCCAGGGACAAGCAGGAGACAGATGCCTTCCTCTTATCTCAACTGCAAAGAGGCCTTCCTCTTCTACTAATCCTCCTCAGCACAGACCCTTATATATGTACATATATGTATGTGTATGTATATATAGATATATGTATATATATAGACATATGTGTATTTATACATATTGCCTTTGTTATTTGTAATATATATACACATATATGTATTTATAAGTGCGTATATACATATTGTCTTTCCAATCAGCTTATAAGCTTCTCAATGGTAATTATGCCATGCAATTTTTTGGTGACTTCTGAATGTCATATAGAGAATGTTCAAAAATATTGTGAAATTAAATAGAATTTGAAATTTTTTCTTTTAACAATAATTAATATAACTTTAATTCATTCAAACATACTCAAAATACTTTCTCAAATATAAGATCAAATTTTGCTAAATTTATGTGACTTTGTATTTGCTTTTGATATAAAATTCATTATATGCTTGCCTTGAAAACTTCTCATACATTTGTTCTGAAACTTTAAAAAAAAGATAGATTTTTTGAGGTGTTTAGATTTGAATAAAATGTTAGAAATTTATAAAGACTAAGGTCCTCAGAAAATATGTCATGTGCATGCTCTGGGTCAATCACGTATTTGCAAACTACATACGGATACAGAATAATATCTAAGAATTCTTGTCTTGAATAAATTACCTGCTCATTAATGTTCTAAAAGTGATTCCACATGTGTATTGGGATATGGAGTCACTTGTCCAATTTGTGTTTATTTCCTAACTGGGTTAATATATTGATTCCACATGATTTGGGAGGCTGGTGATTTTTCTTACAACGTCTATATTACTTTAATAACAAATCTCTATTTAACAATAAAATATTATTTTATAATATCATTATATATATGAGTCTGATAGGCTCTGGGAGAAGGCATTCAGAAACATTATCTCCAAGTTATTGTACTGCCCACTGAATTTGATTCTTTACCATCTTTGTTTCTAAAGCATAAAGGAATAAAAAAGAAGTGGGAGAGATGAAAGGACAAAATTACAGGTGGGCTATATTGACCAGCACTATAGAGCATATGTCTCTTTTCTGTAATTTAGATTTCTATCCTTTTCTTGATTGATATTTTGTTTACCATTTGATCATTCCAGAATTGATCACTTCATTTTATTAATCCCTTTCAGTTCTCATTCAAATTGCTTAAGAACATGAGAGTGTCTTAATCTCCTGTTTAAAAAAGTGTGGTTGGTTTAATTTTTAATATTTTCATATTCTAACCATCTGATACCTAAGTGAAAATTTAGTTTCTATTGTTTTGAAAACAATATTTTAGAATAGATTATTTAGAACCATGTAATTTTCTTCCCAACCCTCATTCTAGGTCATATGTTCAAAATGTTATTGCTATTTGGCAAGTGCCCAGAGTCACACTACTTGAGACTCCTACCTGGTCTACCTCCCGTCCCTAGTCATTTCACCCTGCTTTCCGAGCCCAACCCCACAACCTCTTGCCTGTTCCTCTCTGTCTCTTCTCTGCTCTCAACCTCTCTTTCAGACCTCCTATACTTCTCCTTTCCAGACTTCAACAAAGTTCACATAAAAGAGACACAGGGCTGAGAGAACACATAAGTGAACTCCTTTCAAAACTAAGTACAAATGCCAAAGCTCTCTCTTTTTAGTTTATTCAGCAGCAATATAACGCAGTGGCTAAAAGCACGGACTCTAAAGTTTGGGTTTGTGTCTTGTCTTTGCCTCTGTTATTGGAATCTTGGTTCATAATTTCTAAGAGCTCAGTTTTCTTAATTGGAAAATGAAGATAATAAAAGTCCCCTACACAAGTCTGCATGAGGATTCAATATATTAGTATTTGTGTTAATATATAAATACTTAATTTTAACATATAACACATAAGTACTTAGAATAATACTTGGCCCATAGTAAGTGCCACTTCTGCTATTACTATGTAATTATCAGCGTGTTAGTACACTATTACTATCACTATAGCTACGCTATAGATACATACATTTTAGCTGATACTATTATTATTAAGCTTGTTCACAATAATGAAGGGGAGACTATTCATGGAAAATCATGCTAGATTATGTTCTCTGTTATAGAAATATTTTTTAAAAAAACTTACGAACAATCTCTCCTTGATCTTTAAGCACATATATGGAGTCTACTAGGACAAAACAGGGCTACAAAGCATATTTTTTATTAATCCTAATAATTTGTTACAAACTCTTGATTGCTTCTTCTGTTCTTTGTTAAAATTTTTTTAATTGGCTTTTATCTTTGAGGAAACATTCCAACATCTCCAAATCTATAATTTTACTGTGGTCTGCAGTTGTAACTAAGCAGACTTAAAAGCAAAAAAAAGATAGCAAGTACATAGAGGGAGAGATGCCAAAACTATAGACAATTTAAGTCTTCTGGAATTTTCACTCTTCACAGTTTGCCACAGTCATGTGAGAAATCAGTGTCTTCCTTTCCAATCGCATTATTATCACTGGGTCTTTTTCATTACTTTTGCAATTTGGGGCATCTAGGCTGCAAAATTAAGAGATTATTTTCTCTCAAAACTGAATAGATAACAAAATAAAAACATAGACATGTATAAATTGTACACTTCAGTATTTACGGATTGAGATGTCAATCACAATATTAGAGATATAAGAAGGGACAATTACAATAATTTTACCATCAAAGCATCTACTCACATTCATTTTGTACCAATAAAGGTTAGGCTCTGTGCTAGTCAATGCTGTGGTGGATAAAAATAGGTATCATTCACTTTATCATTGTCTTAGGCATTACACTAGGTGCTGGGGAGAAAAAAATGAATAAGACACAGTGCAGGTCTTCATAGCCTGGTGGGAGAAAAAGACATAGCTATCAAGTATCTCCAGCTTAGTTATCAGAAAAAAAAATAACACATGTAAAAGGCTTGGCTTGAATTTCATTACCAAAAATCTAAGGCTTGCAGACTATCATGAGCAAAGCTTGAGTGAGAGAAACTAGACCTGAAAGAGTACATTCTTTGTGTTTGCATTTCAATAAAGTTCAAAATGAGACAGAACCAAGCTATGGTGTTAGTAATAAGGAAAGCGTCTCCCCCTTGCAGGGGGTGGTGATTGGAAGGGAGCACAAGGGAGGCTTCTGTGATGCTGAGCTGAGAATAGTTATTCAGTTTCTTGATATGGGTGCTGCTTATATGAGGTTGTTCACTTTGAGAAAAAACACTTATGATTTTTACACTTCTCAGTGTGCATGTTATACTTCAATTAAAAAAAAATCTCATGACTGGTTAGAATTCCAAAAGGATTCTTCTGATATTCTGCCAAATGTCTAGAGAGAGGCATAATAGTATCCTCTTGTTTTTCTCTTTCTCCAGGACCCCTGCATTTCCTCAGGGCTAGCCTTGTGTCTTCCTGGGCTAACTCAAATATAACAGATAGTCATGTCTTTAGGGTCCACCGAATATATATTAGCATGCATGTTTCATTAACATTGGCTTCACAGACTTGATTGGAGGCTTTTGAAGCATATAGAAAAGTGGTTTACACTGGGATCACGCATGGAACTTTAAATGTGATAGGTATCATTGTTCATAGACACGTTCTTTGTCCACCTTTATGGATTTTCCTGCATCTAGGTCTAGATTCTCCCCTTTTTTTCATTCTGACTTTTCTTCTCTATATTCTCTTCCCTCTGTATCAGGTGCTCCTTGTGCACTTCTATCCTCTCTCATTTACCTGACTCCAGCCGTCACTGCAGGGAAATGCTCTTTGTAGGCTTTGACTCACTTCATTCTGGCAGCATCTCACCCCAGTCACACACACCAAATGTTGCATGAGGCTCTTCTGATTCTGTGGCCTGGGATGCCAGGAGAAGCCTGCACACATGCAGGACCCGAGAGTGCAGGAGTTAACATCTGACACAATCCTCAACCAATAGAGAACTGATGGATGTTACTCCTTGTCAGTCTTCAAGCGGACAATCCTGAGAGACATTTTATATGTTTCTCAGAACTTCCCGGAGTGATTGACATGCTGTTGTTACAGCAGTGATGGACTGAACAACACCCCTCCTTTTCTTCTTACCTGTTTCTGTTATTGATTTCTTATTCCTGCTCACTGCGATTAACTTTCACATAAACTATCTTATTAAAATCTTTGACTGAGGCATTGCTTTCTGGGGGCCATGGTTAGGACCAATTGGTACTAAAAAGTAGATGTGCAGGATAGGATTCCAGAGCGGATGGAAATAAGAGCCTTATTGGGAGCAGACAGTGGGATGAAGATGAAGCCTAGGCATGTTGTGGCATCACAATTAGTAAGTTTCTCACTTTTGGCGGAATAGGATGAGGCTGGGTGAAGGGTGAAGCACTGGGGGATTCAGGGGCTCTAACAGTGCTTTGGGGGCAGTAGTAATTTGAAGGATTCAGGAATTTACTGGCCGCTATTTACAATTTTAGAAGATTGAGCCTATACAGAGAGTTAAATTACCAACTCTCAAATTAAGGCCTTCAAGGTAGCATCTAGAAAAACTGTCATATCCTGCAGCCACAGAGCAGATTTTACTTATAACCAGACCAAGGAGCTTCAAAGGAAAGTCCAGCCTCGAAAAGTTTCCTGTGCTTTGTCTACTGGGCCTCAACCAGTCTCTTTCCCATCATTGCAGTGCTTACACAGTGGGCTGTGAAAGCAGAGACCAAGGTGGAAGCTATGCATGGCTCTAGAAATGTGTACTCCCTCTTCCCAAGGCTGACATAGCTACTACACTTCTGAATACCCAACCTGTCAACCTCAGAGATTGATGACGATTCTCCTATGTAAGATCATCCTGAAGAGACTAGTCAGCCACTTGGATGTCTTTCCACCCTGGAGGAGGCAGCAAGAGTTTATCCAGGAATTGATAGGGACTCCAGATCTGCTTTCATTTCCTTGCTCAAAGTTCCTTTACCCCCAACATCATCTAAGAGCACAAACAGTGCCTTATTCATTGGCATGCATTTTTTTCACAATATTGTCTCCAAACGAAGGATTCATTTTATAGCTATGGATATGTGACCATGGAATTCTGTGGCCCTCATATAAATATATGCATGCAATCCACAGAAGCAGTCAGCTTAATAGAATAAGACTAGTCTATTCAAATATTTGCTAGCTGCTAGCTTGGAAACAAAACCTTGCAGTGTTAGAGTACTACATCAGTGTGCTATTTCCTCAAAAGCTAGAACACCTAGGTTGATAAACTAGCACTGGAAAAAAGGATTGGCCCCTCTTGCCACCATTTCCAATGACCCATTTGTGGATTTTGGGCTTTCAAATTTAAGCTACATACTTTGAACCTTAAATGTCCACATTCCCCAATATGACTCCTTGCACCACGGGATAGACTAACAAGGAGTAACATTTATCCATCAACTCCCTTTTTGTTGAGGATTATAGTAATAGGTGTTAACTTTCATGCATTTATAGGCTTTGCATGTGTGTAGGCCTAGCAGACTTCCCCTAGAATCTCATGCCATAGTTTGTTTTCTATTGGACACAAAATTTCTACTGAGCTTGAAGCTATGACTATTGGCAGATCACTTTAGGATCCTCATGTCAGTGGACTAGAAGACAAAGAAAGAAGCTCCTAATTAATTTGAGGGGATAGGGTGTTGTTATATTAATGGCAACAGAAAGGAGGATATCTGGAACTCAAGGTATTAACTGAAGCATTTCTTGGCATTTGTATGCCCAGTGATAATAGTGAATAGGCAATTGAAATAATTCTCAATAAGGGCAAAACTAATGACGGCTCAGACCCTTCAGTAGTGAAAGTCTGCATCACCTCCATAGGCAAGCAGCCAGATTAGCTGAAAGCGTAGCATGAGAGAAATTTAAAATAGGTGATAAAGACAAGAGATGATAAAGATCAATTAAGACTTGGTGATCAATTGCATTGGAAAAGGGGGAGAATTGTGTCTTGTTTCCCAAACTGCCCTCTACTAAGTGATTTGAAGGTCAGAACCAAGACGACTCAATTAAAGATTGGACTTAAAGGCAGGAACACAGCAAAGAGTAAACTGTATCATGACTCTTGTTCACTAACTCACATTTTCTTGACCTCGTCTCTGATTCCAGTTATAGCTCCATCAAATTAACTCTGTGTAAGCTTCAATATAGCTTGAACTGACAGTATCTTTTCTCAAGCATGCACCAAAATATCTTTCAAGCCTTCATTGACTCTGCACCATGGGATGCTGATGGAGCCTATTTAGGGCATATGCAAGCACACCTGAAATGTGAGGGTATTCATGCCCTCTGGGCAATGCTCTACCAATGGGGGATGGAGGATGATCAATTAATTCTTATTGTTTTTTTTTTCCATCTTCAGGTGGAAATTTGAGATGCAGCAATATATTGGTTTTTCTTCCTTCCTAGTTTCAATCTCTGTGGTCCCTTATTCCTGCTCCCTGGAACCACCTTTCAATAAACTCCTTGTATCTAAGTTTCTGACTCAGGTTCTACATTTGGTATTAAAAACATACTTTCTTCCTCTCATTCCATTTAAAGCATTTTCCTCCTTTTCTGATGTCTTGGTACCGGCCACATCTCTGCCCAGAGGATCTCACTTGTCTCCAGAAGGCTTTTGAAATTATATTTTCCAAATACAGAAATGTCTCTCCTGAAGCAGAATTCAAGCATCTCTTTTTGTTTATTTACTGGCTGATTTTCCTTAGCCTACAACTGTGCTCAAGTTATTCCTATCTAAAATATCCATGCACACATACATACCTACCAACATCAATTCTAAAACAAAACAAAGTCACAAAGGGCACAAAAACTATTCATTTGACTTTATGTCTCTCTTCTCAAAATAATAATGACATTTGTTGAGTGTTTACTATATGCCAGGTGCTATTTTAGCCAATTACATATAACATCTCGTTTTATTTTCACAAATCCTTGGGAGATGTTATTACTATCCCAAATTGTAAAGACAAAAAGCTGTGGTTCCTTGATGTTAGGTAACTTTCTCAAGGTCTAATCTTAAATGTGCAAGCATGGATTAAAACGCAGGTCTACGCAGTTCTCTGCCTCTGGAGTATGCATAATTACCTAGTACATCAGGGTTGCCTTAAGAACATGGATACTGTTTTCAACTCTTCACTTCTCACTTTCCTCTCGATTCACTACAATGACTTCCCATTGAAATAGCGTTTGCTAGGGTCACCAATATGCCCCCAACATGCAAAATCCAATGGATGCTGTTTATCCCTAGTCTTATCTAGACGTCTGTAGTGTTTGATAAAATTGATTAGTTCCTCACCTTCTTAATTTTTCCAGACTTGTATCTCTTACTGTTTGTTTATGATCTTTTTCATAGGTTTTTCTTTTTCTCACATTTTAAGTATTATGATTACAAGCTTCAGTGCTCAACATTTCTTTTCATTTTATAATCTCTCTTTGGGTGACTGCAACTACTTTCTTACATTGACCTCTTAACTGCATTTACAAAAACCAAAGTTTTACCTGAGTTTTCTACAACTAATTTGTGTAAAATTTAAATAATCATTGTCTCCTAAAGTTATTTTTTTTCTCTTTCACCTTAGTCATCTCCTTGTTAAAAGCAGAAATTTGGAATCTTTCTTGAGGTCTGTAGGAAAGTTGTTTCAGATTGTCCATTTTCCCAAATATTATCAACTTTAGGGGACAAAGCCAGATGTCCTTAGAGAAACCTTAACTCAGTCAAAGTCTTAATTGCAGGAGCTAAGACGTAACTGAATACTTTATGCTCAGTGAGCAATAAGAATGACTTCAATGGGATATGACGCGATGCTTTAGACTTACTTTGCAGGTGATTGTCAAAATACAGTTATTTTGGAAGTTGAGAAAAAAAATCTCCCAGGGAAAAGGAGATTTCTGTTAGTCTCTAACTGCATGCTATCATTTTTACTAAATAGTGGTATTTTTTATTAAAACATTTTCTCATGGTCTGCTGCCACCTAAAAGCTTTGAACTGTGGATATATAGAAAAAATCTGTTCTGACTTGCCTTAGCCTTGGGACCAATCTTAATAGAATATGCAGCAGTGTTTATTTGCAAGCTGATTATGAAACTTGTTTTCATTTAAACTCTTCTTGATTTATTAACCTCATTTAGAATTTTAGAGTTTTAGATTCTTTGCAACTGATTAAAACAAAGTGCTGTTGTCCTTCCAAGAATAGAAACTGTTCCTTCCTTCTCTTCCATGTGGAAGTCAGTTTTTTGAGACCATGTTTGTTTTTATCTTGATATCTCTATGGTGCGAACAGCTTTACTTTGACAACTGCTAACCATTTGAAGTAAGGACAATGAAGACAGCCACAAAAGCTTTCTGGAATTACCAAATGCATGTCCCTTTCTGTATTGTCTTTGTCAGCCTTGTCTACTAGTCAAATAGCAGTTTAAAAAAAGTTAAATTATTCCACCTAAGAAGAAAAGCATACCTATAAACTCTTATGAATAAAATCAGATTAAACTAATTATTTGGATGGCAGAATTGTTTTTCATGTGCTGCAACTCATCTCTTCCTGGGGCATTTCACACTACATGGGAACACATGGACCTAATGACAAGGTCTTCTTTATGTGGCCCCAACGAAGATGTGTTTGGATTGCAATATAGACCTTGTGTTGTTCTGCGTGTTCTTCGTGCTATGTTGACTGCAAAGGCATTACAGTTACCTGATTATTCATATTATTAGGATTAATATTATTTTTAAAGAATAAAACAGTCTCATTGGCTTAATGAAATGCTAACACTTGCTTATTTCATTGGCATGTGTATACAATAATTTTAAATATATATATATACACACATATATATGTATATGTATAATCAGTGATTGCCCTTGTAACTGAAGCAAAGAGTATCAGAATGAGGTGATGTGAAGTTATTTTCATACTTACAGTCTTACTAAATTGATATTAAGAATTTGGTTCTTATTTTACCTGCTATGCTCATTCCATACTATATCGCTATTTTCAAATATCATTCCCATAAAACAGTTGTTGACTTTTAAATCTTTTTTTCTGCTCATAAGCAGAAGATACAAATAACTTACATGGCCAATATTTTTTAAATGTAGACTAGAAGTATTTTTAAGCAAGGATCATTTAGTCTAACCCCATAAGAAAAATTAAGGACTTAAATTATTAAATTTTCCTGTGACATCCTAATCAACACTTTGTGCTTTAGTTGTAGAAGAAAAACCTCTCTTTATCTCTGTTTGATAAATACTCTAAAATGCAATGTCTATACACACAGTTTGATTCTTCAATTACTTTTCCTCCACACTGAAAAACCATCTAACACTATTTAATGGTCTCTCCTAGAGCACTTCATGATTCAGAGTCTTCCAGCTGTGACAAATCAAAAGGCACCTATATATTCTTTGGGGTTTTTATTTGCAAAAATGTCAAAAATTCAATTTAGTTTGGATTTTGATGTGCATTAATCTTCACAACCTTTTATGCATCAATTAACTGGTAAAAGTTACCAGGGCATCTCTTCACTGAATGTGTCATGAAGGCCTTTAGTCTTTTTTTTTTTTTTTTTTTTTTCCTTGTATACATTCTTTGCTGTTTTCACTGTGAAATACTTGGGTTTTTCATTCTGGAAACGTGATTTATGTAAAAACAAGTTTAGCTGGGTTTTCTAAAAGTGTATGCTCTCTACCCAGCATGGCTTTGGTGAGACAGGGTCATAGTGGGAGCCCTTACAACAGAGCTTAAGGGAAGTATATGTGTGTGTGTCTGTGTTTGTGTGTATGTGTGTCTGTATTTATTATTTATAACTTATAGAACTGGAACAACTTCAGAAGGCATGAGCCCCAACCCTCTCACTTTGCAGACGAGAAAAATGCAGCAAAATTAAGTTGGGTGTTTTGTAAGATCAGCCAGTTAAGAGCATATTTAAGACCAAAAAACTCAGCGATTTTAAGCCCTTCTAGAATATCACAGTACCATTGTCACTTTAAGACAGGGTTTGTGTTTAGAGGTTATAATCCAATTTTACCCACCTTCTTTACCTGCGCTGAGTGCCTCCAGATCTTTCAATGAAGGTGATGGCAAAATCACAATGAGTTTTGTCCAACCTAATAACTTTAGTCTTGCTAGCAAGAATGAGGTGATTCCTAATTGTGAGAAAAATTTGGAGCTGCCTCAGCCCCACTGAAAGGAATGAACATCCTATTAATTTTATATCACCACTTTAGCTTAAAACTTCTAGCATAGAAAAGTGGTGTGGTTATTTGGCTGGCCTCCCTCAAACTCATCAGTAAGACATAAATCATTTCTGAATACTTCTAGCTTTCTCCCCATTCTTTAACTTTTGGAGCCAACTTTCCACTTAATCTATTATTCCTGGACCCTAGACATGGTAATTAACCTCAGAGATGGAATTTAGTCAAAAATGCACTCTGCAAACAGCGTTACATTTGAAAAATTTTAATTGTGTTCAGCAACATTTCTTAATTTAATCTGAAAGGTTACACTATCTTCCATATGAATCAATAACCATTTAATTTCTGGATGAAGGTTAAATTGATTTTCTCTGACTTACTAGCTTAGCATAAGGCTGTGCTTTGGGCCATTAATTCACCTTGTAAAGTCTTCGCTTGAATTCCTCTGAGCTCTAAGAGAGTGGAGCATCTTTTAAGAAATAGGTCATTTTATTAAATGTTAAATTGTAAGACAGACTCAACAACAGCTTCTCTCTTTGAAGAGCATTAGCTCTAAGATAATGGAGCATTTTTATTTTGTGCAATACTTGGAATGAGAAGATCCACAACTCAGGGGCAAGACTATGGGATTAATCATTTCTCTCCCTCATTGAAGAGATTTCATTGTTAGAATTCAATGTCTAGGTGAATCCATAAGTTATTTCTTATTAGAACATAATTCTTTTGATTTAAAATTTTTTTATATTATATAAAGTCTCTGTTTATAGACATTATTAATGATGACCGTTACGTTAATAAATTACAGTGATGATTTGGGAAAACTTCCACCTAGTCCCAATGACTTTTGTTTCATTACCAGTCTGTTGCAACATCTTTTTAGTGTAGAGAATTTGTTCTCAGTTGTAGAAAGAGAAAGAAATATCCATGACTTTCAGTTATAAAAGCTTGAAAGCTCGATAGTCATAAAGTTAGAATTATCATTAATATTTTTCTTATCACTAATACTCGAGGAGCACATGACACTATAGCCTATAATATCATGTAATATATACTTCAATTAAAATACTCTAAAGAAATGAGTGAGAATCATTGCATTTGAAAGCAAGAAAGAGAGACCTTGGAGATCTCCTAGTTCCACAGATCAGGATGCCACGTCTGAGTTAGATTAAGTGACATGTCAAAGGTCACATAATTAATGGCAAATTTGCCACTAAAACCTTACTACGTCAGAACTCTTTCCACTAAAACTTTACATTTCTTGAACATTTAGAACATTTATTTTAAGAAAGAATGGCATAAATTCTGGGCAAAGACATGCCAAGAGTTCCATTATACTTAAGTTTTTAAATGTTGCTCTTCTGGCCTCTGCTCCTTGGCTAGCTTGTCATTTCCCTGTGTACAATTCTCCCTCTAATATCTCATGCAAATACTGATGACCACACTGCTGGTTTTGCCCAGATATCCTGTATTGATAAACAATACAGGAAATTATCTCAATCCACTCTGCCTCACAAAGTAATGACCTAAAGCTTCTCAAGTATGCACTAATTTGTCCTCCAAGCATACCATTAGCCACCAAAGTCTGCTAATTCCACTTCAGGAAAGACTCCAAAATTGGTGCCTTGATTTCTCGTGCTTCTCCTGTCTTCCTCCTGGGATCACTGCAAAGCCCCATCATCTTCAGTCTTCCTATCACATGATCACATGCTTTGACTTCCCAAATACAGCCTCTATACTCTTCTAAGTTAGTTCTTCCTAAAGGCAAATTTGAGCCCATCATTTCCTAACCTAAAAAGCTGCATGACTCTGCAATGCCTTCATGTTCTGGCTCATCCCACCTCCCCAACATAGAGTTCCCCTACTACCTGGCAGACCTATGCTGTCATTGAGTAGACCACATCTCAACCTTCTCCATACCAGCCATAACTCTCATAACCCTAGGCTTGGCATATGATTTCCTTCCTCTGGAACACCTTTTCTTTCCATTTATTGCTTCCAAAACTCTTATCCTGGCTCAAAACAGCAAAGAAAAATACTACTATGCTATATAACATTCCTTGAGACCTTTGGTGATAGTGATTCCTGCTCCCTACTGCTACTTCATTTTATTCATACATTTCTTATGGCATTTACTGAATTATTTATTACAATTAGCTACTTCTCTTATGTTATTCGACTCAAAACTTCCTATGGCCTTGTGAATAAAAGGCAGGCAGCAGAGTTGAGTGGACCTGCCAACCAATCAGCAATGGGTTTGATCCCTGCCAACCAATCAGCAATGATGTGACCTTGGCAAAATCTTGGTAATCCTCAGTTTGTTAATTTGCTGAGGATTGATAATGAAACTTACATGTAGATCTGATGTGTGGGATGGTGGTGACGCATGGAATGTGCCTTAAACTGCTTTGGCACCAGTCATGAGTCAATACATGAGAGACATGCATCGCTGTATTCCCAACTCTTAATTAAGTGCCAAGCACATTCAGCACATTTGCTGAAATGAAAATCATACAGTAGTTATACTGTTATAAACTTAGCTATGTAAAAAATATGTCTTCCTTTGTTTCTTTATACCTGCATACATTCTCAAACTCAGATTTTTGCTGACGGTGAGTGCTTGTCAATCCAAGATCACTCAGCCACTTTCGTTATAAGAAGCAGTATTTTGGAAACTAGTGCTCAGTCGATTCAAGATTCCCTCCCTGATTCACCTTTCTGCCCCACAGGAAACATAAGCAGGATGTGTGTGCTCCAGGCATCTGGGGGATATTGCATTTGTTTGCCATTTGTGCTCCTGTCTTCCTTTAGCTGAGCTATAGCAATTGTCACCTGGTCTTGGAAGTCAGTCTGTAGCCTGCTATATTCACCACTGATGTCCTTAGGTGACAGAAAGAGCAGTGAAAATCCTGAGTAAATTTGAAAGGATTCTAGAACACAAAGAACTGGGGTCTGGCTTTCCAGGCTGTCTTTCCTCTGGAAAACTGTAAACTTTGTAACTAAATCCCATTTCTGCATGACACCAGGGGCTAGAAGTCTGAAATTAAAGTGTCAGTAGGGTTGGTTCCCTCTGAGGGCTGAGCAGAGAGTATCTGTCCAAGCCTCTCTTCTTGTAGATGGCCATTTACTCCTTGTGTCTCTTTCCATTGTCTTCCCTTTATGCACGTCTGTTTCTTTGTCCAAGTTTATTCTTTTTCTTTCTCCATGCGCCTCAGATGCTGGTTTTCTTCAATACACATCAGGTCAAATTGAAGAAATGTTACTTATCATGAACTCTTTTTTTTTTTTTTTTTTGAGACAGAGTCTCACTCTGTTGCCCAGGCTGGAGTGATGTGGTGCAATCTCAGCTCACTGCAGCCTCGACCTCCCAGTGTCAAGCAATCCTCCCACCTCAGCTTCCCAAGTAGCTGGGACGACAAGCATGCACCACTGTACCTGGCTAGTTTTTGTAGTTTTTGGTAGAGATGGGGTCTCACCATGTTGCCTAGGCTGTGTTCAAGTGATCCACCCCACTTGGCTTCCTAAAGTGCTGGGATTACAGGTGTGAGCCACTGCAACTGGCCACAAACTGTTCCTTTCAGCCCAGCTGGAGTTCTGGACCCTTCTCAGGGAACAACAGTTATCTCTACATCAGTTATGTCCTTCCAATTCTCTTTCTGTTTTGCTGGCCAAACACATAACCCTTTTTGAGCAGAAAAATGACTATCTCATCATGTCTTCTTCTCCATGATAGGGTTTAAGCAGAGCTACTCAAACTTTACAATGGATAAGGAAAATTGGGTTGTATGTAAAAATACATTATCCTGTCTTTGTCCTTGTAGACTTAGGGTATGGCTCCTCAACCTGTAATTTATGACACATACTACATGTCTGATACAGATGGCTTACAGACCATTCTTGTATAAACAGTCGTTTTACATTGTGGAAAACAGTGTGGCGATTCCTCAGGGATCTAGGACTAGAAATACCATTTGACCCAGCCATCCCATTACTGGGTATATACCCAAAGGATTATAAATCATGCTATTATAAAGACACATGCACACATATGTTTATTGCGGCACTATTCACAAAGCAAAGACTTGGAGCCAACCCAAATGTCCATAAATGATAGACTGGATTAAGAATATGTGGCACATATACACCACGGAATACTATGCAGCCAAAAAAAAGATGAGTTCACGTCCTTTGTAGGGACATGGATGAAGCTGGAAACTGTCATTCTGAGCAAACTATCGCAAGGACAAAAAAACCAAACACCGCATGTTCTCACTCATAGGTGGGAATTGAACAATGAGAACACTTGGACACAGGGTGGGGAACATCACACACCAGGGCCTGTTGTGGGGTTTGGGGAGGGGGAGGGATGGCATTGGGAGATATACCTGATGTAAATGACGAGTTGATGGGTGCAGCGCACCAACATGGCAAATATATACCTATGTAACAAACTGGAATGGTGTGCACATGTACCCTAGAATTTGGAGTATAATAAAAAAAAATAGTGGTTTTAGTTATAAACTTATGCCTTGAACTTTCAATATTTTTAATATTTAAAACTGAATGTTTGGAATAAGAAAATAAAAACAAACTTTTTTTTCTTAAATGCTTATTTATTGAAAATAAAAGTTCCAACTTTCAAGTTCATTACTTCCACTAGATATTTTCATAATCTATCTGAAATTTTAAAATCCAGCAAATTGGACCTTTATTCTTTTGTATTATCTCTTCTCGTGTTCACTGTACATGGTAAGCTCTTCTTTCTGCTTGAATAGTGAAGGAAAAGACAGAAGGAAATAATTTTTAAAAACCTACCTAGTTTATTTTTGTATATTGTCATGCTACATCCTCACCCACATGTGTATGTAGCACGTGTGTGTGTGTGCGTGTGTGTGTGTGTGTGAGAGAGAGAGAGAGAGAGGAATGTGGGAAAAAATATGAGGTACAGTGTGTAAAGAGAATGGTATATGGAACTCATCACAACTAATTTGGAATCCTGGCTATACTATTTTTCATTTGGGCCAAGTAGGAGAGTCATTTGATTTATCTTAGTTTCAGTTTTCTTCCACTGAACTTTAAGATTCTTTTAGAATGCAACTATGTTTTAATCTATATCTCTTCAATCTGGCACATAGTAGAGAAATTGTCATTATTGAATGAATAAATGAGTAATGTCCTAGCTATCAATACAAGGCATTACAAGGGTTCATTTTACTCCCAATTAATTTACGTTCAGTCCAAAATACTGTGTTTAAGAAATGAGCCTCAATTTGGCCTTGTCTTCCTTTCAGAAGCTGCATGTGCCAGTCTTCAGGAATACACTGATTTCCTGGCTGCTTTAGCAAATATTAGATTGCCCTCCTATGACTTCCAATAGAACTTACTTCTTGTACTCATGATTTAATATGTGGCAATAATGTTATTTTATCAATTTAGGTCTAGTTTTGGATATTTCTCTTTCTCTCTATGAAATGCTCAGCTCCTTAATGGCAGAGACCACACAATATGCCTCTGTTTTTCACATTACCAGCAAAGGGCCCCTTTCCTAGGAAGTGCTGAGTGTGTTCTTGTATTTAAGAATAATAGTAATGACAGTAAAATTAAACTATTGTACACAGTTCTTTCAAGGAAAAAAAAAGACTATGCTGATATAGTTCTGTTGGATGAAGAGACGTAGACTCACAGAATTTCAGTGACTTGAGATATGCCCACAGCCAGAAAGAGGCAATGACTCAGTTGTTCAGACTCTGATTCCAGGGCTGTTTCCACTACACCATGATAAATAAGGTCTGTGTTTTGTGTTAAACATTAGGACATTTGGTATGAAGTTGTTAGATCTGACATGAATTTGTTTCTAATAGGATTGAGATACCCTGAACAGGTCACCAGGGCATGTTACATAATTTACCTTTGCTTGATGCCTTTAAAAGGAGGATCAATACCTGCCTTTTAGGCAGGGTTTAGGCATTGCCCTGCCAAAAGGAAAGAAATTAACTACATGTTTTTAAAGATTCCTTTTGGTTCTACAGCCAAAGGAATCTTGGCTCTTGTAACTTAGTTATATTTACTTTTTTAACTCTGAATTCTGCCTGTTCCTGGGCATTTTGTAAATATTATGCAAATCTAAGGTTAAATCAGCAGTGACAAGTCAAATTTGGGAGGTCAGGGAAGGCAGAAATCAAGTTACCATCCAGAAGAGCTAAATATACATGTCACTACTAATTAGATGAGAAGGAATAACAGCACACAATATTAATCTTCATGTCATGCTTCAACACAGGATTTTTAAGCCACTCTGACAAATTCTAGATTTTAAACACAAATGAGTGGAAGTTTGTGGAGAACCCTGAGAACTTGGAAGTGTCTTTGTTGTTTGCCTTAGTCCACCTCCATTCCGAGTTTTTCCTCACCTTGAACATTAATTCATTTAAATTCTTAACCCCCTTTCCAACCATTTTTACTCATTTGTTGTTAATATGCAGATTACAATGGCTGGTGTTCGGAAAGGGGATCAGCAAAACATTTATCATTCAATGCAGCAACTTGAGGAGTTTTGAAAAGCAAAGCATGTGGAACCCCATTAACAGATAAAGAACACAGGATTGAAAGAACCAAAGGACAAATCATTTATTTCAGTACATCTTGTATAGCAAAGCATTACCAGAGGCAATAGGTACAAAAGATCAGATCAGCTTCAGAAGGGCTAAATGATATTCATTTGCCATCTTCACCAAAATAAGATTGCATGGAAATATTTTTTATTTTGAATGTTGAAGATAATTTTAATAATGTGATTTTTTGACCCACAGTCTAAGGCAAAGCCTTATCCCGGAAGATAATAGAGATGAGATGAATTAGAGGACTATAGCCAGATACAGAAAAAAAAGCAGAACCTTTTAATACTAATAGATAAAACAGGCAGTTCAATGCCGATAAATGCAGAATAATGATGCTTTTGATGGGTCTTTATCACAGAAGGCCATGTTCTTCATAAATTATGAGCCATAAAAGAATTTCAGTCAAAAGACAAGTCTGTTTGTATCATCAATGAATGATGAGAAATAGACAAAAACCAAATAGGAATGCATAAAATAACTGCTTGATGACTTTATCAGCTAAGTTTCTACACTGAAAAGTATAGAAGAACAAAAGACTACCCAGAAAAAAACATTCAAAGATAGCTCAAAATGATAGAAATACTTTTATTTTGAAAAAAATGAAACCATTTTATTTGTGGAAAATTGGTTGATCTAACAACTACTGAAGTCAATTTCACATGTAGATGTTCTTAGTATTTTCTTACCTCAAAGGACATCTAAAATGTATTTGAAGTGATTATTTAATGTGGATTGACATTCACTCTTTTTGTGAAGGAGGTATCCCAGTGTATATACATATGTGCTTCTAAATATTTTGTCACAATTATCTTTAAAAAGTTAGTCAGTGAATTTTTTTTGGTGAAAAATATAAATTGAATTTGAGCTTCTGATTGATGTATTTTCTAAAATATAACATTTAGCTTTCTGGTGATGTTTTTGTAAAGAGAAAACAATGTGTTTGAGCTTCTGTTATATATTTTTTCTAAAATATAATATTTATTACCATTACCTAGTTCAGATTTGTAATATTTACCATCAATAAATACGGGTTAAATTTGCCAATTATATTTTTGGACACAGGTCCTAATATTTCAGGTATTATATCTATAATTTAAGTAGCAACCTGCATGTGGTATCTTTTATAGATCATGATTTGGTAGTGAAAGTGGTAATAATTCATCAAGTAATACTTTTCCTATAACATGCAACTTTATTAATATATCATGATGGATCTTTGATCTTTATTAATATGTCATGATGGATCAAAGTAACTACTCTTATACACCAGCACTAAGAATCAATATTATTTGGAGGAAGATATTTTAAAAAATAAGAAAGTAATGTGTCTTAATGAAATGGGCCATGGTTCAAGAACCAAGAGCCCTAATACCTGACTTAACAGACAAGCTGTATTAACTCTGAGAATGTGCTAACTATTTTTGCCTCAATGTCTCCAAACTTAAAATAAGAAGGCTGAGTAACTAAATTGTTTTTGAATTTTATAACGTTATATTTTACTGCTGGTATATTTTTTGTGACTCCTTTGCTTAGTCAGTACTTAACCTTACTTTTGAAATTTATTTTAACGTGTCTACTAACATCAAAAGCAGTTGTCTTTTGAAACTGACAGGTGTTGGGGAGAAAAGTATTTGAATCACCTAAAAGGCTTTTCCAGCCCCCCTCACTCTATTCTGATCTACCTCCAGAACTCAGAATCACTACTTCTAGGGGACATAGTGTTGATGAGCTTTCTTCTCATCCCTCCAGCATGCAGGGGTGGGAAAAGACGGAAGACCATTGGTCTAACACCTTCACAGAGAGCCTTCTCTGAGGACACAAGTGCTTGTCAAGCATATGTGTTCAGGGAAACGTCTCTTTGGGAGATACTGTCTTCTTAGCATCACTTTTACCTCTTGAGACTCCCATAGTGAGTCAGGGCCAACAACCAACAACTTTCTTTTTTAATGACATGATTCAAAATTCTGTGTTGATGACATTGATCCTCTTTTTCTTACCACATTTGATGTCCTCTCAGTTTCTAAGCTGCCTTAAAGATTCCATATTTCATAATTATTTTGTTGAGAGCAACAGAAATGGTTTTGACTAACAAACAAAAGCAAATTTATTGGAAGGATATAGTGAGCTCAAAGAATGTATAGGAGCCTGGAGACCTGGGCTTGAATGGATGGGGAATCAAGGCAGTGCTGGAGACAAGAAAGACAAAACTACAATAGTGGTCTGGTAGCAATGAGGGCTGACTCTCAGAAAAAAGAGAAAGTGAAACATTTTCTTTCTTTTTATTATGTTACTGTATATTAAGATTCCTGGCAGTGTACATCCAGTGAAGGATACTGGATTTCTGTTAGAAAGGCATGGGGGCATTGGGTAGACCTTAAAAAGACACACATTCATGTATGTTCATATGAGCGTCTTCCTCCTGCAAAGCAGGGTCTGCAAATAGCTACCTATTTCATTTCTTCTTTTGATAAATTGACTAGATCTCTCTTCGTACCATCTCTTTTTTTAAAAGTATGAGTTACCTTCATTTATGATCTCGATTTCATCCTGATCATTGTTTTTCTTGGAAAAGTACAGGTACCCCTCTTAAAAAACCACTATGTAATTGTGTTTAAAATCAGTTCTCCATTATGGTGAAAAGGAAGTTAAAATATTCAAAAGTTAAACTGGGAAAACTTCTATTAAAATAGGAATTATTTGATAAATTAACACTTATAATCCCTAAGAGTATTGCTACCTAAACTGATACATAAGGTATTCTCAAGTTAACAATACTATAAAGGAATATGGTATGTGGGTAACATCAAGTGCGACTACTGTGTGATATTTCAGATGAGCTCATATATTACCCCACGTCTAATACTTTCACAAAATGATGGTATTTTTCTCCTGCTTTCTGACCTCTTTTTGATAGAAATGGTCTGGCATCTTTTTCCTACATCAGCTCCGTTCATCTATTGAACTTTAATGATATGTTTTTCTTCCAGTCCTCTAACAATTTCCACTAGATGTAGCTACTTTTTAAGGAGCTTCTGTGTTTCTTATGGCACTCTATTATTTTCTTTGATCATCTAGTACTTTTTTTTTTTTTAACTTAGGGACATTTTCATTTGCAAAGATCCACCCAAATTGTACTCAGCACAAATCCAGTCAAATAGAAACCCCCCTACAAGTGAAATCTGACTGCCAAATAATTTCTGTCAGCCTTAACACTGGAATTTGCTAAATTTTGACATGATTCTGATAAAAATTAGAAATTATTTGAGTTCCCCCCAATACTGGACTTTTCAGGGGTTTGCTATCCAGCTGGTGGGCTTTCCAGCTCTTTTGCTTCCCTCATTTCCTCCTGCCACCTCTTTAGACCATTTCCATCCATCAGACATGCCTTTAGGGATAAAAAGAGAAGGTGAGATGAAATGCAAGCTGATCCATTTTGTTGTTTAGCTACAGTTCTGGTTAGAGAGAAAGTAGAGGGTTTGTTGAAGAGAAAAGATGAAACGTGGCAACTATTGGCTAAATTGAAACCAGAGAATTAGCTTGGGAAGTCGTTGATTTATGCAACCCATGCTCCCATTTGCATAGATAATTGAGTTAGCTTTACAAGAGTTTAGAGTTCCCTCACTCATCGATATTTTATTCATGAGTTATTGCCCTTAAAAATACTTAACCATAAAAGAAGTCCTCTAAAGAAAACCCAGCCTCTGAAATGAGGCTCACAACCATTACACTGATGATCTGAAAGGCACACTTGCCTCCTTCAGTTTATGATGATATCATTGCCTTGGCCACAATCTCACTTTTGTTCATTTAAATGGCATAGGAGTAAACGCTACTTGCATCGTAGTTTGTACATTAATAGGCACAACATAAAACCAAATTACAAGGCTGTACTCTTCCTCAAGCTGTTAGCTGCCGCTAATGTTTTTCTGTGGCAGTGACAGATGCTCTGATACCTATATAACCTCTAGAATAGGAGTTTAATGAATGTAGTATTTATAGTATTTAACTTTGCAAACCTTGAAATTAGTGAGATTTATTTTTGTGATGCTTTAGAATAAGAAGTTAGCATTTCTTTAAAGACAATCATTTCATATGGAAAATCTCATATATTATGGAAAATCTCAAGAGTGCTTAAAACTCTGTTGAAGAAAGAAAAAACAAGGGCAGTTCAAGCAGAAATATAAAGAGGTAAAAAAGAAACTTTTATATGGCAAAGAAGCATATGAAAAAAAGCTCATGATCATTTGCATTAGAGAAATGCAAATGAAAACCACGAGATACCATCTCCCGTCAGTTAGAATGGTGATTATTAAAAAGTCAGGAAACAACAGACGCTAGCAAGGATGTGGAGAAATAGGAACGCTTTTATGCTGTTGGTGGGAGTGTTAATTAGTTCAACCACTGTGGAAGACAGTGTGGCAATTCCTCAAGGACCTAGGACCAGAAATACCATTTGACCTAGCAATCTCATTACCAGGTATATACCCAAAGGATTATAAATTATTCTACCATAAAGACACATGCACACATATGTTTATTGCAGCACTATTTACAATAACAAAGACTTACAACTAACCCAAATGCCCATCAATGATAGACTGGATAAAGAAAATGTGGCACATATACACCATGGAACACTATGCAGCCATAAAAAAGAATGAGATCATGTCCTTTGAAATGACATGGATGAATCTGGAAGCCATCATTCTCAGCAAACTAACACAGGAACAGAAAACCAAACACCACGTGTTCTCACTCTTAAGTGAGAGTTGAAAAATGAGAGCACATGGACACAGGGAGGGGAACAACACACATTGGGGCCCGCTGGGGGCTGGGGACAAGGGGAGGGATAGAATTAAGACAAATAGCTAATGCATGTGGGACTTAAAACCTAGATGATGGATTGATGGATGCAGCAAACCACCACGGCACATGTATATCTATGTAACAAACCTGCACATTCTGCACATGTATCCTGGAACTTACAATAAAATTAAAAAAAAAAAAAAGAATCCAGCAGCCTTTCCCACATTGCCATGTTCAGTGAACCACACTACTGCACTGATAAATGTGAAAAAAATTTGGCAACCTAAGTACTTTCTATCCCACACCCTATCACTGCCCTGTTTGTCAAACATAGAAAGCACCTGTTGAGACAGAAGCCTTGCTGGGAGTTTCCACAAAGTTTGATGATCCAAAAGATGTAATATCCTGAGCAACAACTGCACCGTCAGAGCATTATCATAATAGCCCGACCTCCTGAGCTTTTCCTGATTACCTGGATCTTACCTCCCAAAGGGAAAATGACTTCAAAGACTGAAGTTCTTGCCTGCATTTTTCAAAGATTCAGCAACTTGAAGCTACAGCCTCTTCCAGCTTGTTTTCAACATGCATAATAATGCCAGAAAATGACACCGAGTTCCCCTAGGAGCCCAAGAGGACATGGAGCAGCACTCTCACGGCTGGTCTTTTCAGACAGATCTGAACAGTCCTCTGTGTTTTCTTAGATACCAGAAAGAGGAAGGCTCCGTGTTTCACTGTTTTTTGTTTGTTTTCTTTTTCGCCTGTTTGTTTTTAATTCAATAGTTTAAAAACAGAGCCTTAGCTTCCTAAGTCCATTTTGAAAGTCAAATGGATTGAAAAGAGTTTCAAAACAGTGCTAGCCCAAATCCGGCTGAAACTTTTAATTAGTCTGATGTTATTTTTAGACTCTCTCAAATCTCTGTAATTGAGGCCTTTGCAGTTGTACAAACAAATAGAAACCTTGTAAGATCTTGAAATTCATGATAGTTTACTAATGAAGTCAGCTTGGCAAACTCTTCATTGAATATTGTAATTTGATTGCCATCTTATTCTGATTGGACCCTGGTTTTGCATTTAAATGAGTATAAATTATTTGAAATGCAAAACAGCATGTTATCTGGGGTATTTTGCAAGAACAGACAAGATTAAAAACATCTAATGTTCCATTTTATAAAAACATTACAAAATGGAAGTGCAGAGCTGACTTTTAAAATTTATTAGTAACAGCTTACAATAATTGGACATTAATTAATCCCAAATTACAAGACATTTCTGTGGAAATGCGTATTACATCCTTTCCATCAGTATTCAGCAGATTCATTAGTATTATTTTTTGTCTGGAACACTGAAGGCATTAACAACAGTTTCTTACTATAGCAGGCATTGTTACAGAATTCACTGTTACGCATGTGAGTTTAACACAATGCATTATCAATTACTGATTCTACAACTACTGACCTTGAGTATCCAATTTAAAAAAAAAAAGTGGCAGCAGTAGCTAAGGCAAGCTGAATTTGTGAATTGGGGTCTGTATTGACTTGTTCCAAGCTTTGACTTTTATCAGCCTTTGTGGTAGATGGATTGGAAAGAATTTTCTGATTCTATAAACTTTTATTTCTCAACTGTGGTTTTTGTGTCTTACATAGAAAATTGTTTTCAATTGCATTACCCCAAAAAAGAAGATTTCCATTTGAGAGAAGCATGGGGGCAGCTATCTCTCTATTTGATTGTTTGGCTTTCTGAAATTTCCATTTCATCTATTTTCAGACACATATAGTAACCCACAATCTAATATGCTGGACTTTTCTCTCCCTTTAGTATTTTGCTGACAAAAGACTGTCAGAATGGGACCTTAAGTTTATAAGTGTATTATCCAGGTCTTTGGAATAATTTTTAATCATTTAGGTATCATATCAAGTGAGTTATAATCTGGGAATTAATACTTTATGTGGAATTTGTACTGTGAAAAAAAGATTTCTTCACCAATTTATGTCTCTGACCTCAAATAAAGGGAAAGTCTTAGTGTAATGGAGGCATTTGGTTCCTTAGGGGTGTCTAGTGATGGAAGAAAGTGGCAGTGACAATGCTACAACAGAGGGAAGAGGGAGCAGAGAAACAGCATGGCTTTGCACTTGTCTTCTATTGCAGGCCTGTGCCATCCCAACCACCACATTAATTCAACCTAAGTCCAGCCTGATGGACAGTTTTAAGAGTTTTACAGAATTGCTCTGTCACCTGTAAAATGCATGCAAGTACCATTGCCATGTAATCCATTTGGTGAATTCTATCAAAGTAATTTTGATTTCTGACATTCTAAGACTAGCAAGGGCTGCACTTAATCTTTCTCTCTGAACTCAGTATCCATAGATGACATAAAATCCTGATTTTTTTTAACTAGGAACAGTTAAATTTTCAGGACTGAAAGATTAAAATCAACTTTCCTGGCTGAAAGAAAGGATGCTTAAAATTTGAGAGCAAATCTTTATAAAGATTGGTCATTCTGCTAAAATAAGGATCAAGTGTTGGGTCTGGACTGATTTTGGCTTGAGGTTGGTGCTATATAGGTCCTCATTTTATGGATCATGTTTTATGCAAATGAGAGCTGTCAGCTTCTTGTATGACCCTATATGTACAAGCAATCTGATGGATTGGGGTATTGGGGGAGCAGTTAGTATTGGATGAATATTCTTTATCTGAAATTCTTGGGACCAGAAGTGTTGCAGATTTCACATACATATATATTTTGATTTTGGAATGTTTGCACATACATAATGACATATCCTGGGGATAGAACCCAAGTCTAAACAAGAATTTTATTTATGTTTCGTATACATCTATACACATAGCCTTAGGAAACAATGTTTTGTCTGCATTTTGACTGCAACTTATTGCATGATTTCAGGTGTGTGATTTTCCTCTTGTGGTATCACGTTGGTGCTCAAAACTTCTGGGTTTTGGAACATTTCAAGTTCCACATTTTCTGATTAGGGAGGCCCACCTTGTATATCTCCTGAACTGGCCCTACAAAAGTCTTTTCTACTTTCTTTTTTCAAATTGGAGCTACAGGAAACAGATTTTTTTTTCTGTGTTGAAGGAAAGGAGATTATATGAACCCAGACTTCAAGTTGCCATGATTCAAGTATCGTCAAAAAAGTTAACCAAAGAGAACATAGTTGAAGTGAAAGAAAAGTATGGTCAGGGGATAAGAAATAATCAGTTGTTCTAGTTTTCCCAGCGCCACTGTTTCCCTTTCCCAAGTCTAATCATGCCTGGGAATACATCCCCTACTTTGGCCTAAGCTTGTTTGAGCTGGATTTCTCTTGCTTGCTACAGAAATGATCCCTCATTACAAAAAACTTATTTCTCCTTCTTCTCCTCATAGTAGGAAGGGAGTAAATTGGAGCTTGGGCATGAGAAATGTATTTTCTCTGAACTAAATCCCCACCTAGCTGTAGAAGCAGAAGATAAATATGCCCAAGCATCATCTCACCTGTTATATGTCAACTAGTGAACTACTTTTCTGATTTTTATAGCTTTAGCCCCATTCCTGATTTTAATATCTGACTCGAAGTTTTCCAGAGTATATTTCTAGAACATCTTAGGCACCTGAAAAGAGACTGAGATGTTCAAATTGAATACTAGATGACAACATGGCAAGTTAAATGTGTCTCTTCTCCCCTGAAGTACACTTCAGGACTTGGGGACTGATTGCACAAGGGGTACAAAGAAGAAGGAAGAAACAAAATTGATTAGAAATCTGTGTGATTGAGAGTGTGGGATTAAGGAGGAGCCACAAATGGGAAGTAGGTAAGAAGTATTTGAAAGGGTAATAGAACAAAAATGTGGCAGTGTCAAAAAAGTTACTGTTACAAAGAATATAAAATAAGTGATAAACAGCACTGAAAAATGCAAGGGTTTAAGAGGAATAGAATTTAGAAACAGCTTGCACTTGCCAATTGTGAGCTCACAGTTAACATTTGAAAGAGCTGCTGTAGATAAAAGAAGTGAATGAAAGTAAGACAATAACAAACAGAATAGAAATGGAGAGGAAAAGAGAGAGAGGGAGGATGAGTGTAAGAGAGAAGACGAGGGATTCAGAAAAAAGTCCCAGGGATTATGGGATGGGAAGAAACAAATGAACAAATTGATCAATTAGATAACAAAGATGGACAAATAAAAATAGAAAAATAACAATGCAATGATATTTTAAAAAGGGAAATAGGAAATTAAGGGAGCGAAAATGAGGTTATTTAAATTTCACAGGTGGATTAGGTCATTTAATAAGACTGAAGAGTGTGGGATGTTGGGAAACTGAAGATTCTAGAGCATTTGGGTAATATGTGCTATGATAGAACTGACTGACTAGAAGTATTATACTATATGTCTGTGAAGTATCAGTTACTATTTTACAGAGTGTATTTGCTTTAGAACACATAAACATATCTTCAAAACTTCTAGTTACAGAGCTACTTCTGGTCACCCTTGACAGTCTGGTAACTTGGCAAAGACAGATGAGAGAAAACGAAATGCAAGAATTCACTAAGATGGCTAATGATGGGGTTTGAGTTTGGTAGTGAAGTAAATGAACTCAGAAATAAACTGATGTCCTAGAATGAGAGGAAGGGTTGACGTACTGGAGGCCATCAATCATTTAAGTAACTATAAATAGCTTCTACAGTGCAGAAGTAACATGCTTAGGAATTGGGGGAGCAATAATGCATAAGATGTGCTCTTTTCACACAGTCACAATTTGGTGAAGGGTGCAGCCACCCATAAAAGCAGAGAGATTCAGTAGCAGTGAGGAACTGGGAGGACCAAAAAGACAGGACATGGTGGTAATAGAGACAAGGCTTACAGTCAGATGTCTGAAAAAAGTAGCAGAAATGGTAAGCAGATTTTTAGGTCTTTGTTGTAATTGCATACTTAGTATTTTGTAACCAGTATATGTACCAAAACAAGAGTTGGGGCAGGGGTGGAAAGAAGAGTAGCTCGGCTTAAGAAACCAATGCTCTCTTTTTAGTGTTGTCCTTGTCACCACAAAGGAATTGGCTCCAAGTCATTTGTGGCATTCTTGTTCCTTCTACTCTAAACTGAATTATGATCCAATGTCAAGTCCTGAATCCATAAATCTGGCCTGACATTTCATGTGCTCCTAATAGATGGTGCTGGAAAAGCAGTTTCTGACCTAAGCTCCATAAAGGAAATGAGGAAAATGCAGAGAAGGCTTCAGGCTAATCTCTAAAGCTATTTGAGGCCTATTCCAGAAGTCTTCCTCAATTCATCTCATTAGGTGATCTAAAGAACCATCACTTCTTTGTGATACACAAAGGTCTAAGTCCACATTAGAAGTTCATAATACATGCAGTAACATTACTATGCCTATAGAATCTCATCTGGAATTATTGGAAAGTAAATAGTTAAACTGATTATATGACATCATAGAGCCAGTGTTCTTCCCCACTGTTTGTGGTACCATTGGAAGCATTCCACTTGATTTTCAGAAAGGTAAATTTAGACCCATCAGCTTGGATGTGGACAAAGTTTAAAGGCAAACTAGAGTTACAAACTCAAATATCTATGAATGTCTAACAACTAGTAGAAATGAGTGAGTCTGGCCAAGTGTGAGAAGACATGAGCAGAAGCTAAATGTTGAATACTGCCAGCCTCTGAGTCCCACTGATGTCAGGGAGGTTGGGAACTGCAGCAAACTGGACGCAGTCCTGGGGCAGCTGCTGCTCAGTATTAGCCTATTGTTGTGATGGGGAATGCCAATCTGGTGTTGCCAGATCTTCCAATTTTTGTTCTAGAGTGGCCAGAAAACTGGATTTTTATCTGAAAAGTACTGATTTTAAACATTAAGGCTTTAAGTGGTCAGTCTGTGTTCCCTGTTTTAGAATTCACTTCTCAAATGGGTGTTTGGATACCGCACAGCCACAGCCTGAAGCACTCATGTGCACAGTCAGGTTACCTTAAACCAGTCTTGGACAAGCAGCATGGAAGAACAATCAGACAAAAAGGATGGTTGCTTTTTTTTAATGTTGTTTTTTCGTCTCTTCTACTTAAGAAAATGTCTCAGTGTATTGTATAAAGCCTCTTGAGATGCATAGATAAATTATAGGAAGGCTCAGCTCCAAACATGTAACAAAGACAGGTAATTTCTGTATTCATAAGCCGTCTAGAATCAGCACCTCTCTGGTATTGTTTTCTCCTGTTACCTTGGTTTCCATTCTGAGAATTAGCAGCATTCAACACCTCCCTCGTATTCATCTTCAAAGAGGAGGGGAATCACACTCCTCTGCAAGAGAAGAAGAGCTTGTACAATGCACTACAAAATTCAGTCCACCCCTTGGCCTCCAGGAGAAGATTAGAAATGTTGACTCCTTAAGCTTGACCACCCTTCAGGCTTTTTTAGTTCAGTCTCCTTATATATTAGATAAACAGAATTGAGGGGTGAGACATTTTAGTACGTAGATTATTGGATGTCAATGCCCAGACTCATCTGTAATCAAATTAACACTGCCAAGGCTTCTGAAATCATATGCTCCTAGATAGAGTCGCATTTGGACTAGGACTCAAGTTTTCTGACTGGTGCTTTTTCTGTTGTATTGGTAGAATGCCCAGGTGAGGCTGCTCAGCCTAGCCTAAGCACTGGATCCATGTAAGTTGAAAATAACAGAACAACCAAACTCAAAAAGAGTTAAAAAATAAAAGGGGTTTATTGACTTCCCAATCTAAAATGTGCAGCAGTAGGATGGGCTTCAGGAAGGATTTAGTCAAGTCCTAGCTTCATTTCCTCTACCACCATCATAACCAATGCTTAAATTGTGTTTATATGGGACAGGTTCTATTCTAAGCACACCCTCATGAGGTAGATATAAGTAACTGCATTTTCATACATGAGAAAACTGAGGCACTGGGTTTAAATACCTGTCCCAGGTTTGCATTTTAGAGTCAGGATACAAACTCAGACTGCTGACTCCAGAGTCCTTGCTCTTAACCTCTGTACAGATTCTGATTAAATGGACTAGGAAATGGCTTAGGGATCTGTGACTAAAAAATACCTCCCAAAGATTGCAATGCACATCCAGACTTAGAAAAACAAATCTGCTATGCAGTTGGCTAAGGGTACCATCCGTGTTTAAAAAAAAAAATTCCCTAGGTTCACTGCAAAGAACACTATGGTGGAATTTAGTCCCAAATTCTTCTCTGCAATGCTTACATCCCAATGGAGAAGAGAAGTAAACGCTATCTACTGATGAAAGAAAATTCGGGATGGAACTGCTGAGCACTGCTGAACACAAAAGCCTGCCACTGCAGGGCCCCTTAGCCTGAAGAACCCAAATATTACAGTCACAGTATGTCTTCAGGGTGTTTATTACCTAGGTATTATAATTCTTGTGTGATGGCAGTCAGAGACTGATTATAATCAGGGGAGAGAGAAGAACTTCCTGGGGACACAGTGCTTCACTATAGATTCCCTGCCTCTAATTCTCAATACAGAAATCTTTGCAAGAGTACTTTCATGGATGTCAATGACAACAATTAAGCTTGAAGAGCATGAGAAGACATTTTAATCAGAAGCTAATTAAGAACAATGGGGGCATATGTATCACTGATTGTGTCTCAAGTACTCTGACTGATCTGGAAGATTATTCCATTAATATATGGATGTAAACAGACACCAACATTTTCTCAGGATGAGGCAACTTCACTTTGAAGGTTCCACCTCCAAATCTGGCATTTATTTATTAGATGACAAATAAAAATGAGCAACATTTACCTGCCTAGGGAAGACATTTGGTGCTGGTTTCTTGTCTTTGGGTAGGACAAGCATCAAGTGTAAGAAATAAGGTGATAGGAGTCAATAAACCAGAATGTTTTTCATATTTGACTATTGAGTGTTGCTCCATTATAAAATGAGACTAAAAATATGTCTGGCCCTAAAGAAAAGGGCATAGATGTTATGAGTAATAGTAATATCTAAGAGAATATCTTGAGCTCTTCATAAAAGAAAAAAAAACCCAAACAAAAAAAGCCCACAAAGTATCAAGCAAAGCATTATGTGTAGTTTTCACTTTCAGATAGTATGTGGCACATTACAAATACAATGTGGTGTTTTCAGGGTAAAGGAAATTCTCCTCCTAGCTTCCTTATCTAATCTCCACTTAAATCAAGCATCAGCCCATTGCTCCCCCACTTACCAACACTGTTGGGTACTGTTTTTTGTATAAATAAGCTTGAAATGTTTTTAGTTCATATTCTTGACTCTTGCTGATTAACAGTGCTTGCTTTGTGGCCTCACTATCCGTGGCCATGTCCCACAAAGGAGCCCTCCAGGGAATTTTATTCTACTTTGTTCTGTTGGTAACAGAGCAGAGAGATCCTCATCACGTAAGGAGTGAACTTTCCATATGGAGAACTCTATCATATGATTTTAGACCAGCTTCCCAGCGTTTTCTTCCAGTTCCTTCCCAAGTGAGCACTGAAGTATGTGTCAGGCAATCTGGGTTGTAATCTTAGCTATGCCAGTATCTCCCACTATAAGCTATTTAAACTCCTCTGAGCTTCAGTTGTCTTTCTTCACAAAACGAAATATAAATGAGATGATCTCTTAGTGTTTTCCAAAGTCGAGGTTGTTTGGATACTATTTATCTTTCCTTCTGGCTTGTCTGTCTCTTCTTTAGTCCGTGACTGTCATACTCATTTGGTTTCCATGTCTTGCCAACTTGTTTTTGCCCAAATAGTAACTTCTGCTCTCATGCTCCTTGACTTAATAGTCTAACCATCTTTTATAGTTCTTCTCCAGTCCCAATTCTTTTAAATACCCTTCCCATTTTGTGTGTGTGTGTGTGTCTGTGTGTGTGTGTGAAGAGAAGATGCTTGTTGGACCATATATCAGGGATGTAAAGATGACTGAGACAGACTTGGCTCTGTCCTTCATGAAGCTACAGACTAATTGATAGTAGCTAACATTTTTTGAGATGATATAGTATCTTCACTTTTTAATTGAGAAAACTGAGGCCCAGAGAAGTTGAATAAATTTCCTAAGGTCCCAGAGCTAACAAGCAGCAGAATCCAAGTCTAGTACATTACAACCACTTTTCTTAACTGTCATGCTACATAGCCAGCACACCATGAAAAAGATGTAGCAAACTGCTGATGCTTCTGATTCTTGTGACATGACCAACATTGGCCCCTAAGCTGTTTCCTTCTGAGTCTGGCAGTCACATAATCACTGGCAACACAGTTTTCTAGGCATCTACTTCCAGTTGATATGAGTGGCACCTGAGGTAAAACTTTCGGTATTTGCTATCTTTGCTGATGTTTTTTTCCCAGAACTTCAAGTCATTTATTAAACAATTCAATTGTATTTAATCATATATTTCATATTATTTTTGTTTATTTCTACTATAAGATACATCTTCAACTATTTTTAGCTCCCACACGGACAGGGACACTTTCTTTAATAGATCTGTTTCCTCTAACATTGTTGACTTGGGTTGTGCATTAGTCTGTTCTTACGCTAATAATGACATACTCAAGACTGTAATTTATAAAGGTAAAAGATTTAATTGACTCACAGTTCCACATGGCTGGGGAGGCCTCACAATCATGGCTGAAGGCAAATAAGGAGCAAAGTCATATCTTACATGGCGGCAGACAAGAGAGTTTATGTAGAGAAACTCCCCTTTATAAAACCGTCAGATCTCATGAGACTTACTTTCATGAGAACAGCAGAGGAAAGACCCACCCCCATGATTCAATTACCTCCCACTGGATCTCTCCAATGACACATGGGAATTAGGGGGGTTATAATTAAATATGAGATTTGGGTGGGGACACAGCCAAACCATATCAGGTTGTGAGGGCACAGTTAGCAGTGTGCAGGAATGCACAGTGAGGAGGAGTAATTGAATGAGTGAATGAATGGATGCATTTGTGCTGCTTTCATGGTGTTAATAAGGAATACCCAAAGGAAAGTTTTCTGCATGTGACCCAAGTCTCTAACTTCTGAGTTGGACAATCATTATATTTTTTCCAGTTCTCCGAGCATTATAGATGTGTGGAAGGATATGTTTTTAGGATTTATTGACGAACGAGAAAGAAGACTTTGTCTTCTAACCAGTTGAATGTCAAACAACGAAAGAAAACTGATGCGTGTCATTAAACAACTCTAGAAAAGTCTACAAGGATATAGGGAGAAAACCTTTCCTGACACCATTTCCTCCCCTACATGAGACTGATTTAAGCTCCATTTTCGGGTGCTCCCATGCTCCCCAGTGAATACTCAGCATCTACACTGCCTTATTTATCTTTGTGCCCCCAGCATCCAGGAGTATCTGACACTTCAGTAAATATTTGTTGCATGAATGACTGTATATTGCTGTAACTTCAGGGGCTTTGGCTGTGGGCTGGGGTAGGAGTTTTCTCACCACTTGATTATTAATGCTGTGGATTTCTTAATAACTTTTAAAAAGTGTTTCTCTTTTCACAGTGAAAGACGAAAGGAAAGATAAAAAGGTTTTGGACAAGGGCAACATTTTGTGAGGACACAATTACACAAACATAAATGACTCGAACTCTTGCTAGAAATACAAGTATGCAAAAGGACAAAAATAATATTGGAGACATTTAAAATATAGAATGAGGTACTCTGGAAGTAGGGATATTTACTGAATTAGTAGACTGGAGGCCCTGAAGATTATAAGAATAGCTAACATATATTAAGCTCTCAAGTGTCATTATTATTCTAAGTAATATTTCATGGATTAACTCTCCATATCCTTATGGGTTAAGTAATTGTATAATTCCCACTTTATAGATGATGAGCTTGGAGCATGAAAGATTGAGCAATACATCCCAAATCACAAAGCCAGAAAGTCTTCAAGCAGAGTTTCAAATCCAGATGACTTGCCTCCATCTCATGCCCTTCACCACTGTGCTGTCCTGTTGTAGAAGATGAGCTTTTCCTGCTTAATTCTGCCTAAAGCCAGCCCTAAAATAGTTCCATCTGATAAATCCAAGGTTTCTGTTTCTAATATAATATGAGGACATGCTCTGCTTTACAATTATTCTTTTACTATTATTCCTAATTATTCTGTTTATGTTTACTTGGAATGCCTGGGGGATTCAATAAAGATATTCCAATATGTGCACAATCCTGAAGAAATCAATAGACAGAATGAAAATGAAGTGAGATGTAAGCAGGCTTTCTATATCGAAATCATATTGTTCACTGGAGACTGTGCCATTCTGCTTCTTCAGGAAAACAAGCAGCCTTGTGCTTCTGTGTGTTAGGAAAGCAGAAGTCCTGGTCTAGAAAGCTGTTCTAATCAACCAGTAGCTGCAAGCTATATTACTGAACTTTGTGTTACAAGCGATGGTGGGTGCATTGTGACACACCATAGTTTTCATCTGATGATCTCAATCTGCTTAGAGTATAATAGTTTCTCTCAACCTTTACCATCTTAAGCACCACTAAGGTATTGAATCATCACAGGGAGGCCAAATGGAATGCATGCAATAGATTGTATAATGGGATGGTTGTTTCTGTTATATAATGTAACAATCATGCCAAATAAAAAATGCTTGGTGTTGCTCTAAGACATATATTTATGCTAGAGCCCCCACATGGGCTAAAGTCACTGCAGGATAAGCAGAGCAGGCAGCTGTCTATGGGATCCGTCTGTGGAATATGATTTTAGGCCTTTTTCCCCCTTCCCCAAGAACTCTCTCCCCTTAATATTTATGCATTTATTCTGTCAACAAGAACTCATTGGGTACCTATTATGGACCAGACACTTTTATCTTAGAGTTGCAGACTTATACATGAGCTAGTTTTTAATTGTAAATAAGGTGTGATGAAAGCTATATTAGGAGGTGCAGACTGTCCCAGGATCCCAGCATGTCATACAAGGCCTTTGCTTTTAAATGCAGCTAGCTTTGTCTTCCTTGCCTCCTCCCAATTCAACCTAGTTTTGCCACATTGAAATTCTGGAGGTATCATTAAAAAGCCACAGTTTTCACATACCATGATTTCTACAAGCTTCTTCCTTTACTTGAAATGATAGCCCCCATCTTTTCTGTTTGATGAACTGTTATCCAACAATACAGATTTAGTTGAAATGCAGCCTCCTTTTTGAAACATTCTCTGATTTTTCCACCTTTTTCTCCTTCCTCTCTGTCAACCTGCCTTTTTTAAAACTCCAAAGCATTTTGTTTTTCTCTATGGCGTTTTTTTATTATATGTCACAAGATATAACCCTGTAGACAATTTTTTACTTTTATTGGTTTATAAACTCTTTAGAGCAGAGATCATGTATTTCTTCCTCTCCAGCATTTATTTTAGAAAATTGCATACTGTTCAATAAATGCTAATTAACATAGTGAATAAATTGAAAAATAAATACCACTTGCTTAGGAGCTATTGTGAAATTTACATATTTCATAACATTTAATTTTTAGAATTCTGCAAGATAAATATTATCCTCACCATTTTACAAATGAGGAAACAAAAATGTTGATAGGCTAAATGAGTTGTTCAAAGCCACACAGCTTGGAAATGGTGAATTTGTCTGGTTTCAATGGTCATCTTCTATTTTACTATCCTGCAGAGAATAAATGAGAATGGTTGTGTAATTATATAAAGGGTCCCTTCATTCTTGCTACTCAAAATGTATTGGACAGATCAGCAGCACTGAAATTACATGGAAGCTTGTGAAAATGTAGAATCTTAGGCCCTAGTTTACATCTATTGAATAAGAATTTGCACTTCTAATGTGACTTTCAGATTATTCTTATTGACATTACAGATTAAGAAGTATCTATTAAGTTTTTCCTAGATTTATCTTGTGACCTAGCCTTTATAAGACTTCCCAGTCTATACAGCTCATCTCAGATACACAGAATATTGATGCTAATTATTACATCCATCCAATAAGCAGAAGGAAGCCTACGGTTATCAGTGAAGGTCTGTCCCGGATTCTGGAAGACTAGTAAGACCTTACCTAACTTTCTAGTATCCTTCCTTCCTTGTTTTTCCCTTCATCTCCCTTAATCATCCTTTGAGAGAAGAGGGCTAAGTAATGCAAAAAACAAAACATCTTTAACTTACTCACAAATGTGAAAATACTCCAAGTACTTTTCACTAGGATTATTTGATTATGAGGAATAAAGTATTACTTAAGCTAGCTAAAGAAAAGCCAGCTTAAGAATACATATGGAGGGCCAGGCGCGGTGGCTCACGCCTGTAATCTCAGCACTTTGGGAGGCCGAGACGGGTGGATCACGAGGTCAGGAGATCAAGACCATCCTGGCTAACACGGTGAAACCCCGTCTCTACTAAAAATACAAAAAATTAGCCAGGCGTGGTGGCAGGCGCCCATAGTCCCAGCTACTCAGGAGGCTGAGGCAGGAGAATAGCTTGAACCCGGGAGGCGGAGCTTGCAGTGAGCCGAGATTGCGCCACTGCACTCCAGCCTGGGCGACAGAGCAAGACTCCGTCTCAAAAAAAAAAAAAAAAAAAAAAAGAATACATATGGAGTGGTTTCAGTAGTGGGCTTTCATAGATATCTAAGTAGATGATCAGTAATAGGACTGGCCCTCAAGGAAATGGATCCAAACTCAAGGTCATTTAAGCATTTTAGGAGTTTTAGGGTCTTCTTTTAGTGATTTACCATTAATAGATTGCAGCTACCACATCTCTGTCCTCACCACCATCACCATTGTGTGCTCCTCTGTCATTTCCTCTTCTCACCATATTTTTTTTTTCTTTTCATTCAGGTTCTAAAGATTGACACTATGAGTGGCTATTCTCATATATTTTGTGAGGCCACATGGATCCTAGATCATTGGGTAGTAGTATATGAGTTGTGAAAAAACTTCTGTGGTCAAATTGCTATTTCCGGTTCCATACCCATGGTTTGAGGTATATCATCATTTCTTTTATAAATATCCTTTTAGCTTCTGAAGAGACTTGAGAAGACCGGTTTCCTTTAAAAGGGTTACATATAGATCACGCTGTGAAACATGTCTAGGGTAAAAACGAATGAAATAAGTTAGCTTTTTCCAAGTCAGTGTTGAAGAACTAGCTAGCTTATTATATACTCCGTGGATATGACTAATTGTTGAAATTCTGCAAGATATGGTGTTACATTAAGAGACAAAACATAGGTTACAATGTCCCATTGGCTTAATTTTTTAATCGAGTATTTATTGAGTACCTACTACTAGTCAGATATTCTGTCATCTGAAATTATAGGGATGCAAAAAACCTAGCTGAGTCCTTCAGGAGTGTTATAATTTACTGATCACAGCTATACAAGGAAATTTTTCCAAGATTTATGTCAACTAAAAAAATACGTGCATAGCCCATGAGCCTAAGATGTGGCTTTTATGTGTATCGCTACTCTTGTTCAATTTTATTCAAAATTTTGTGTAGTGAAATTAACATTAATTTGCTGCTAAGATAATTGTCTTCATTGATCCAAGCAATATGGAAGGAGGCAAGAATGAGTAACTCTAGCTTATGCCTGAAAAACATTTAAAAAATATTGAAAGACTAAGAATTAAATACACAGTTTCTTGGTGGCTATTTTAGGGGCTGTCGTAAATGTTAGGTCTAGGGTATTGCCTTATCCTTGGATAAGGAGGGCACATAATGTAAAAATAATAGTGCTCTGTTCTGTCAGCTCTTTGGAAGTATCTATTCTAAGAACTGTTTGGGGTACAGTTTATTTGTAATGAATATTAGTCCATTTTATTCCAATATACAAAGTCAAGACAACTTTGTAACTCAGTTACAATTGAGGGAGACACACTATGAGTCCTTGCATGAGTATGCATCATGTATGAGCCCAATATTTACCCTGCCCAAAGTACTAGGTTTCAAAGATTATCACAATCCTACGGTGATTTCCTATTGCCAGGTAGGGTGAGTTAGCTGAGACAGTTCTACTTATTCAAAGTCTATTTTCTAGCATGGCTAGAGCTTGGTGATGATTGAGCTATAGAGAATATTAAATCTTGCTAGACCAATTATACCATAATAACAGAGTATTATGCTGCTACATATTTTCAGGGAAAGTATTAAAAGCACTCCAAGAAAAGAACGATTAGAACTGTGTGATAGGTGAAAAGAAATGTCTGGTAAAACCTTTTCTAGGATTCTCCTAGATGTCATCTATGTTAGAGAAGAATTAAGCGTATACTAAATATATAGGCATGGGTTGTTCTTATTTTTGCTTTCTCTTCCATCCAGTTGATTAGGAGCAATTACCAGCACAGAATATTCTCCACAGAGCTCCGGAGAGAACATAAGGAAAGTATTAGAGTCTGCCCTTGACTTCTTTTTCTCAACATTAGAATTGTTATTTTTCTTCTTTTCTTTTTTTCTCTCTGGTGGGTGGCTTTGTAAGGAAGAATCTCAGGGCCTTGTGGCACCTCAGCAGGGATGAGAAACTGATGTACTCAGTGATTGGTTTTTAGTTTATTCTTTGTTTCAAGGAAAGCTTATGCACTATTTCTGCTCCTATATCAACAGTAGCTGGCATATTTGTGTCAAATTTGCCCAACGTGCTTACTGCTTTCTTGGTCCAATGTAAATGGCAGTTCATTCTGGCATATGGGCCCAGACAATGGAAGCTGCTTTGGCAATTAGACTTAAGAGCACTAATTTGGATCTCATGAAGAAACAGGAATGGAAGCCACTGGCATACAATAAATATTTTGTTTGGTTTGTTTTCATTAGGTAGGTTAATTTAAATGGATATTCCTCATTACTATCTAGTTTTATGTTACTCTACATATTATATGTCATAAAATATAGAAACCGTTAACAAACAGTAAACTTCCAAATTGTTCCATCAAACTAGCAGTGAATATGCAGAGGGGTGCCAAGAAGTAGGGATGGAAGATTTTTGCCATTGTCCATAATCCCCTTCAGGCTATCCATTATTATTCCTGAATAGGTATACAATCATACACTCTAAGTAAAAACCATATGATTGCAATTCTTTAATTATCTCTCCCAATCAAATTGCTACCCATAATCTTTTCCAAAACAGAAATTTTGGAAATGCTACTGTTGCTGTTTCATCGACAACATTAGCTGGGACTTAATAAAGTATCAAACTAATAAAGTATCAAAAATATATTTCTGATATTCTGCTTTCCTTTTCAGGACAAAAGAAAAAAAGTCTCTGACAAGTTCTATAGTTCAGAGACTTGGTCAAAGACATTTCTCTCTCTTTCTCTTGGCCATGTCATAGCCTTTTCCAAATATGAGAAAAGCAATCATCAGTAGCTAGAAGAGTCTCTAGACTGAGGTATGTTGTTATAGTCGGGTCAGTTGAGCCTACTTTCAGCTTATTTCACATCACAAAACTGTCATAAGACCAATACTTTCTTTGGAACAGGTACATTCAAATGCCACCAGGTTGCAAGCCTGGGGCAAAGGAAGGTAAACTTGTGTCAGTGAGCACATCATGTTGCAAAGGCATCATAATAATTGTATAGACAGCAAAGGATTGCATTTCACTACTGTGTAGCATCAAATACATAAGGCAAATGCAAACAAACTACTGTCACCTACCAAGATTGGGAACCCGAGAGGAAAAATCCTAAACTGTTCATTACAAGCCTAAATGAGCCCGTTAGACTTACATTAGACTTAAGACAAAAGAGAAAGTAGTGCTACTGAACTGTCAGGGATGCAAAATTTCCTAATACCAGAGAAAGATCACCACAAATTCAAAAGCTGAGTCTATTGTATTAACTATGTTATTTTTAATTTGGAAAATTAATAAGGCCAATATTAATATTAGTATTGTTTTTATGAACTTATTAATAGAGGTGACAGAAGAAAAACCTGAACAGCATCATTTCCATATTTGTCTTTTTTTTCTTGCTAGGAGTATTGCTAAAACAAAATGAGATTTTGGAGAAACTTGTTTGTTTCTGGTATATCTGGTGCTGATCAAAAAGAATCAAACAGAAAAGAAACTTCCGGTAAAATTTTGAAACCTGATTTTCATCAGAAGTTTATTTTGATTTTATTATGTTTGATGCTACTGAGAGATAAGACAATCATGAAAGGTTTTGAGTATAGATTTTTAGAACTGAGTGATGAGCAAAACTGACAATTCATATTATTATCAAATCCTTTTGAGTCTACAAAATAGAAGGTTCCTTGAATTTTCTGACATCTTCACATCTCATCCTGACCCAGACTTAGAGGCTCTGACAAACATAAAAGTTGAAAAATACAAGCAAGAAAAAATTTTCAGCTGCAAACCTGTAAAAAACAAAGCAAAACCCACCAACCAACTAACCAAGCAAACAAAAAATAGTCTAATTCAGTTGAGGCTGAATAGTCTTTTTAATATAAGGTGGCTCCACAAGGGCATTTGATCTAAAATTGAACTAACATAAATAAGAAACTGAAGTAGAATGTAAATTGCAATGTTGAGAATTAGCTTTGCTTTGCTAGTTTCAGGTCAAAATGCAAACTCAAATCAGGAGAAGTATTTGTGTTGCCTAAAAATTTGTTGTACTTTTGTGTGTCCAAGTAATCCCAGGAAATCTAGCTAATTACCTTTAGTTTATTAAAAACATGATAAAGCAAAGGAACATCTAGATAGTCTCATGTACTCTGCACACAGCTCACAGCAGTACTACAACCTCTTTTGATTTGCTTCAGCAAAATGAAACCTCTTCCATTCAAGGATGCTTTCTTTTTTCACCATTGTCATCATGTGGCTATTATTACCACTATTATGACTACCACAATTTTCTGAATATTTGATAAGTGTACATTTAATGAGAGACATTAGGCAGGGGAAGCATGAAAAGCCTCCACCTCATTAGCCTGGATAACTTAACAGACTTAATCAACAACTGACGGCTGTCGTTTTTCCTGATCCTATTGCATCAGCAACATGGATACCATATGATTCAGACAGCTCCCTGTTCAAAGAGAGCTCTAAGCATATCATTGCTTCCTGGAACAAGACGGGTGCTAACACTTAGGAAATTCTATGTTTCTTCTCTGAAGCATCCCACCTCTTTAGGAAACAATCCCAGAAGAGAGCAAAACAGTTCATGAGTCGGAATGATGAGGCCAATAGTGAAAGGAGTTACAAACAAGTAACCAAGTAATCTTCATATTTGAGATGCTATTTATTTACTCATTTATTTATAAGGTATTTTCTCTAATCATAAAGGAATTAGAAAAGGGGTTTTAATTATTTAACTTCTTTGAGGACTAGCAAAAGAGTTGTTTCTTGTATTGTACTGTCTGGTAAGGGACTAGCTTTAACCATATTCTCAATGCTATGACAGATTTAAAGGGTGTTAGCACCACCAATGCCGAGTTTCTAACCTACCTTTTTATGCATGATGCTATTTAGAGCACTGTTTGGAACACTACAGGAGAAATGTATGGGGAAAGGAGCCTGGAGGGACACTGGCTTTAATTTTAATTTCTTCTGAATTAGATAGCATTTTAAAATCCCAAGTGTACACATTAGTCTACGAAGCAGGAATAATTATGAAAGTGCTCCAGCCATCGCTGCGTATGGCCAGGCTGCTTGCTAGAAGCAGGGATAGGGGACAGTGCAGAGTGGTGAGAACATTGTGTCCTGCATTAAGTCCTGCTTCCCTCAGAGGCTATGTGTCAGACGACTGGTACCCCGGTACTTCGGGCGGGTGAGCCAATTAGCACATTCCCTAGTCTGGAACTGTAGTTGCTGTGTATGTGATCTGCATACTAATTCATCTGAGATTTGACCTTCTGGGCGGAGAAAAACAAGAATCCCAGGTGAGAGAGAACATTGGCCTAGATTTTCCTATCCCTTCTCCTCTGTTCTTTATTTCCAGGCATCTTAACCCAGCTACTTTTTATGACTAACTCTGAGACTGGAAAAGTTTATTTCCCTTGAAAATTCAAATCAATGTATAGGATAAAAACTACCAAAAAAATCATAGTTTTTACCTCCCTCTGCTAATGTCAAAAATGCAATGCAGGTGCTCCTTGTACGATTGACACCCTTGGCCCACATGGGGGCAGTACTACGTAGTCAAAAGCCTCTGGGAGCTTTCAGGGCGTACAAAGAGTCTGGTTGGAGACAAATTTGAATGCATAAGGCAGAAGCAGGATAGTTTTTCATAAACACAAGATTCCTTAGAGCCAATCATTACAGCGTTCTAAATGTTCTTGCTGAAGGAATTAGGAAGGAAAGATGTCTACCAAATTTCCAGCTGCTGTTGCAATCACTTGCCGGGAGATGTTGGGGAAATTTTTTGATTGATGATTCCAGTTAATGCTACTTCTTTTAACATACACAATATGAAACAAACAAATTTTCATTGAATTATCAAATTATATTCCAGGTTTGTTCGAAACAGCAACAATATGTCTTAGATATAGATTTTTAGTTTCTTACTGTATGATACGATGAGTTGCTTTTTGGTAAATTTTCAGATAAAGAATTTCTAGGGAAGCTGTAAAAGTAAGAATGCATTCATAGCCAATGGACCAGTATATTGAGTGCATGGAAGTTATTAGTGGCTTGATGATACTGAATAAATGTTTCCTTCAGATCTCTTTTAAGTTACAACAGCTACATAAATAAACATTGGCCTTATTATGCACTCATCTTATCTGAAGGGTTTTTGATGTTGGGAGGGGAAATCTTTTCCACCAAGATACTTGGGATTGATTAAGTTGGTTACTCGTTAGGCATATTTTAGAAATCCATGGAAAGAGCTATAATGGTACATTGAGCTATAGTATCCCAAATCGTATAGTACTGAAAGACACAAAGTCACAAAGCATTTGTTTCCTTACTCAGAGGTGAGACTATAGCAAGTACACCTTTAGATGGTGTCTCATTTCAACCTTCAGAAAACAAATTTTGAGTTAGCTGATGAGCTCCTGATCACGTTAGGTTGTGTCAAAACAGGGACAATGAGTCATTAAGACAGTCTGAGGCACGGTGTCATGGTGCAAACTATACAAATTCTTACAGAAGAGTCAATGGGCTCTCATGATAGTTTCACTGAACAGAACAGAGGAGTATCTGCCTCTGACACCATCAGCATTGGTTCTTGATACCCTTCCTCTCTGTACTTCTTTTTCTTCCTCTGTCTCTTATCTTTTGGATAAAATTAAACACTGATTTCTCTCCGTCTTCTTCCTTAACTTTATTCCCCCTTTCTGCTGATACACATACCAGAACATCCAATTGCACCCATGGAAATTGTTTATCCCTGAGGGGATCATTTGGTACCCAAATGGCTATGGATCCTGTGCCAGAGCAACAAGAGTATTAGAGAAGATTCAGTGTTTGCTTTTACATTCATTTGTTTTTTTCAAAATCTCATTAGTACAAAGGTTATTTCTCCCATTAAACCAGCTACTTAGAATAAGGTATATTAAAAAGCACAACTTTTTGCTTGCTTTAACATGGTAGCTTGAACTGGCATGATGGAAACTATCTTCCTGTTTTGTGAGTGTTTTAAATATGGAAGAAAGCATCTGCTTTGCCTCAGTCTGGGATATGGTAGATGAAATTTCTCGGACTGATTTTTCTATTCTAGCTCAGAAAATGATTTAAATGGCTATGGATTTGAACCTTGCCATAATGTCACCATAGAGTCATCTGGAAAGTTGTGATAAGCAAGTGTTATGCAAAAATTACTGTGTCCACCCCAACCCTTCTGGAAGTCAGTACACGAGCTCCGCGTGACACTTAAGCAAAATTATACAATTGCTGTGTCTGTGTGGTCTGGTCTATTTTAATGAACATACAGGGAAGTGAATTGCATAGATGATATAGTGATAAACAACAGATTAATCTTTTTAATAACTTGAGATTTTGCTTGCTGGATTTTAATTTTTCTCTCCTCTAAAATACTAAGTAGAACTTATAACATAGTAATGTGGTTTTCTATTGCTTTTGGTGTAAAGAAATAGGATTAAGTTTAACTTACCCTTTTTCACTTATCATGTCTCTTAGGGCACCCACCTAAAAGCACGTTCTTCTTTGTGCTTTCTGCTCTGGCAGCACCAGACTCCACCTCTTCCAACCATACTTACTTCCTCTTCCTACTTCCAACTTGATCATTAGCAAGAGAGAGGGATGAATAAGAGGAGAAAGACAAAAAGTAATTAATTCACTGAAGTGCAGCTGCAAATGAATTTTTGAAATAAATTATTAATTTTCTCTTTAATATTTCTGCATTGATACTGCTCTGTATCTGGGGATTGGAAGTGAGAGCTGTTTTGCTTCACAGCAGCAATGCCCTGGGTAGAGACAGCAGCACCTCATTTTAACTAGAATGTGTTGTGCTAACGTGGTATTTCTCTAATCCATCAGCAACATGCTTTTAGCCAGCAGCATTTTAAATATGCGTGGATTTTTAAGTTTATGGCAGGTAGGGGAGGCATGCAGGATGGGGGCAGTTGCAATAAAGGAGGTCAGGTGCCTTATTTTCTGTATCTCCTGGTGCCAGCTTCCTAAAGCACTGAAATCAAAACAAAAAGCAAACGTGTATAATGATTCTTGAGGAAAAGGTGGCATCACAAATCCAAAATCTTTTTTGCTTATTTAGGAGGGAGAAAAGATGCTGAATTGTATAGGAGATGTTACAGTTTGGAGTATTGACTATCAACAACATGGAAAAGAATTATAAGTCTTTGTACTTCCTGACCAACCCAGGGCAGAGATCATGGAATGGTAGCAGGGTGACAGCACAGGTCTGCTCGATTATCTTCACTGGACTCCACGTCTTCAGTCGGCTTTGAATCCAGATTACAGAACGCATCTTTTATCACTCCCTTTGCTCAAATCAAATGTTATCAGGAAATCTGCTTTTCTTGACCTCTGTGGCATGTGGTTGGAAGGTAAACCTTAGCATTTTATGGAAAAACTATTTTTAGCAACAGAAAGCAATGGTGCTGCTGCTTTGTTCAAAGATGTTGGCTCCAAATGGCAGAGGAATGATTGTTTCCACTTAAAGTGATTGATATGTCTACATACACTTGAGAGATAGAATTTCATTACCTATTCTTTCTATGGGGACTGACTGAATACAGTTTCAAAAGAAATAGGGAGCAGATTTGTGTAACAGAGTATCATTTTCTTCAATGAAATGAAGAAAAAAATGCCAGTGTATGACTATGTGAGGGGAGAAATGGTGGATGTTAAATAAAGTGAACAAAGATATGGAAAGAGTGAAGAAACTAACACAAAAATTGTTCAATACATACCGTAATTAGGTTTTTAGCTTTCTGCCCAATGACAGTGAAATATTTCTATTGGTTCACTTGCAAAAGTATTTATTTTAAATTACCTGTAATGATCAAGCACATAAAAAAAATAAGTATTATAAAAGGCTACCTAACAGAATTCAATTCATTCCATAATAATACCTAAGAATTAATGCTTTCATTTTGTATGGCATTTGAAGACTTGGAAACTCAAGTTACCAATACCTTGCAGATGATTTTAGAAGAGAAAATTAAGAAATCCAAACTCTAATTTGGGGTCGAACATAAAGGAAAACAACTTAATGAGCTCTTAAAAATGTAATGCTCTTTTATAAAACAAGAAATACTTCTGCAACATAAAAATCTGTTTTCTCTCAAATGTTTTTCTCTAATGCTGTTTGGTTACCTCCTAAAGCCATTATTTCCAGCAGAGTCACAGAAATCCTCAGCTGTGTAGGCGGTCCCAGTAAATTTAGCAGCCAAGCCACATTTTGACATGTTAAGAATAGGCGTCTATAAATCTTCCCCAGCTTCTCCTGAGAAGATTAAATCTTTCTTTTCAAGAATTTGCTAAATTTCAGGAAATGCTGTAATGTAACAAATGACTTGTAGACAAGGCTGAAGAAAGAGTAGAAGATAATGGAATCTCTTTGTTCAAGAACCAAGGCCCCAGAAACTAAAGGAAACTCCTGAAAGTTCTACATTATCTACCAGAAAAGAGAGAGAGGCTGGGGCAAATGAAATCCATCTTCCTGCAGTAGCAGTTGGATTCATGAACAGGGACGTGTCACAACCTCTAAAGAAGTCCCTATGTTGTCAAGGGAGATTTCTGCTTTCACAACCCATTTCTTTAAAACAGAGATGCCACAAATAAACTTTCAATTAAAAGAGACCTTCAAATAGTCTGAATTGCCTTGTTTTTTTCTTATACCTAGCCAAACGGGGACCCAGGGCCCTGCCCTTTGTCTCCCAAGTGTACTTCAAAATGCATTTCCTAACCTTTCTCTGAACAAGAAGAGCTCCTTGGATCGAGTGACATCTGGAAGAGACTTAAGCTACCTAATATGAACATAATGAACTAGAATGTACAGCATAGAGAGATAAGGAACTTATTGCAGGAATATTGGGAAGAAAAGCGAATTGAAGAAAGGACTATAAGTAGGCTGTGGGAAGGTGAGAGCCAAGGTTTCCCCAAATACCCAAATGAAGGGGCATTACACCAGGGAGTGACTTTGCACCAATCATTTCCCAGGCATATATTATTTTTCTTCAATATTTCTAAATGCCAAGAAAAGATAGTCTAATTGGTTTTCCATGAGTCTTGGACTTACCCACAGGCTGAGGATAAAGCTGAGAAACACACAGCCATCAGAACCACATCAGATGATGGTGGAGTAGTTCTCTAAAAGAAAAATAGACCACTGTTACCAACAGAAGAAAAATAGATCTTGAACAGGAAGAAACAAACATGAGAAAAGAGATAGAATGCCATTAGACAGCAAGTTTAACTTCCTAGTCAGATCATTCTGGGGTGCAAAGCTGATCTTCATCTCTCTTATCAGCACTTGCTCATCTCCCCAGTATCTTACTTTTCCTCAGTGAGTAGGAAAGTTGCTTCATAACTCACAGAAGGATAACTTATATTCTATTGGATGGGGCAGGTGGAAAAGAAAGAGTGGGGATGCTCCAGAAATACGAACATCTGAGTTAGTCTCTACTCAGATTCATGCACATGGGACATAGATACCTAGGCACAGCTCCATATCCTCAGGAAGACCCCAGAACCACACGTTTATCTTTCTCTCATACCTTTGATTACCTATCTCCTACATCTACCTTCAAATTTTGAGTTTTGCTGTTTTAGATCACTGTCTTACAAGAACGTCTCTAACCATTAATTATTGGTACTACTCTGCTAAAAGCCCCTAAAGTGTGGTTATTTGTATCCCTCAGCATCTGTAGTTTCAAGATTATTTTCTCAGGATATCACTTTGGACAATAAATGCTTTTGTTCCTCTGCAGTGACCTCCAAACCCATATGCCAAGCCTGACTCATAAAAAACAAAAAGGACCCACAGCTTGAAGAATTAGTTTTTGAGAAAATATGTTTTCACCTAAGGACAAATATATATCTAATTTTCACTAGTTTCTGAGCTTGTTATTTATCTGTATCCAGGGCACCTAATTTGTGTTTAATACATGTTCATCAAGTAAATAACTGAATAACTGAGATAGAAAATGAATACATATTTACTTGTATCTGACTATCAACCCCTTCTAGAAAGTTTAGAGAAGCAATCTTAGAGGTTATCGTGTCTAACCCTGTCATATGTTATAAACTTGGGCATAGAGGCCAAGAGAAGGAGAATGACTTAATCTCAAATCTAATCTGTGACAGAGCAGAAAATCAAAGTCGGATGTTCTGAGTTTAAATCCAGTACTTATGACACTGTAACACCCAAGTAATTAAAGTTCTTTAAGTATGATATCTCATGTATATATAAATAGATACCGTTGAATAGACTAAAAACCCAGTGGGATTTAAAGGCATAGTGTTAGAATAATAAAGGCAGGCCTTGAGGTTGAGGTTTAGCCCAGAGAGTGCCTAATTACAACATTAGTCTTGTAAACAGAACAAGATGACCCATTCACGTAGAAGGAGAGAGTCCTTCACTCCCCTCTCATCTTACCCATAATCTTCATTGTTCACTTTGCAGACTAGAAACATCCATCTCAGGGGAACATTTCCAGGACATGTCATGATAACAAGTTCCTCTATTTATTGATAATCGTGATCAAGTTAAGGAACTCCAGAGCAATTGTTAGGAGAGGAGAATGACCTTTTATTCTTTCCTTTTGCCTCAGGCTTTTGCCCAAACTCAGAACAGTGATATGTGTCTGTGCTTCAGTTGTAAGAATGAGTAAGAACCACCCCTGCAACAACCTCTGAAATGTCCTGGATCATCCTCCTAAGGGGCAGTGTCTCGTCTTCTGCACTTTCTTCCTCTTCTCTCCATTAAAATGTCTCCTCTGGCTGCATCATATTTAATCTCCTAAAGACTCTTTAATTTAGATTATATACTGATGACTCACAATTATCCATTTCAAAAATGGACCTCCTCCTTGAGCTCCAGACCCATATATTATATAATATGCCCTAATAGACATCTCCAACTGGATGTTTCAATGATACCTCAAGTTCAATTAATTTAAATGGAATTCATGACCAAACCTACTTTCTGTCACCTGTTCTCAAGCCAGTAACATGGACTTTGTCCTAGATTCCTCCTTTACCTCATCAATTACTTTCAGTTTGTAACTAAGTCTCATCAATTCCACCTCTAAAATATTTCTTTGACATCTCCATCATTGTCCTACCTTTCCTTGATCACCTGCAGCTTGTTTTAGTATAATATTCGTCTAGCTGGCATCCCTAAGTCTACCCTTTTCTCCCTTCAATCCACCGTTCATACTGCAAAGAGGGTTACTGTTTTGAAGTGTCAGTCTGATCCAGATACTCCGTGGCCTCCATAGTATTCCATCACAGATGGGTTGGAATCAAGCCCCTTGGCAGGCCAGTTAGGCCCTTCCATGCTTTATCACCCAGGCAAGATCTTTTATCTCACCAGTCTACTCAGGGCCTTACATGACTAACCCTCTGACACCATTGTAACCATCCTCCCTGGAACAAACTGCATCGTGTTTCATTTCTGAGGACCCACTAGATGTTTTGCTTCTGTCTTTTTAAAATTATTATTCTTACTTATTTTTGAGACAGGGTCTCACTCTGTCAGGCTGGAGTGCAGTGGCATGATCATGGCACACTGCAGCCTCTATCTCCTAGGCTCAAGCAATCCTCCCACCTCAGCCTCCCAAGTAGCTGAGACTACCAGCGCACACCGTCATGCCTGACTGATTTGTTTTTTTTAATTTTAAGTAGAGACAAGGTCTCGATATGTTGCTCAGGCTGGTCTCAAATTCCTGAGCTCAAGCAATCCTACTTACCTCAGCTTCCCAAAGTGCTGTAATTGCAGGTGTGAGCCACCACACCCACACTTCTTTTTATGCAGTCTTCCCATTGCTTGGAATGCCCTCCTAAACTTTGTCTAGCTTTGTCTCCACTTAAGTATCACATTTTCTGTTGTTTTTTTAAAATTCCTTCAGCCACTTTCCCACCCTACTCTTCCTTGGATATTCCTTGTTTATGTAGCACCAATAACCCTCCGTTGCAATTCTAACCACTGTTATTATTCATCTTGTTTTTTCTCAATGACTAGCAGAGTGCCTGGCACATGCTATGGTTGAGTAATCAGTTATATCATAATGGGTGGTTTGGAATTAACTTGTTACAAGAAATATGCATTGAACTACAAGAAATTCCTAAAATAGTGCTCTAATCCAAAGGCCTGGATTTGCTGTCACTACGGTAAGACTGGGAAACATGTTACCTCTGGCAACAGTTTGGATGCTTATGAAATTTCTTAAAGGCTAAAGACTGTCAAAGAAATCCATTTCTCTTACCATCCTACCTCTTACCTTGGATTTCCTAGAAATCCAATACCAGAGGCCAGCATTAACTAAATATTTAACACATGCATTTTGTCAACCATGGCTAATACCTATAGAACTTCTAATGCTCTACCTTGAAGCTGATGGTTCTAGGTCCTTCTGAAAGGCCAAGCATTGTGCTGGGGCAGCAGGTCCACTCACCAGCTCTATTCTGTGCACTATTTAATGCAAGGCACATTGCCTGGGATTAACTAGAATCATGTAAAGACACATGGAGTGGCACCTAGGGGCTGGGAAGCCTAAAGAGGAGTTAGACAGTCAGTTTAATCCTCAAAAACAGTTTGAACATATTTGGTTTGAATAATTGTTTTCAATAGGCAGCATTTCTCATTTGACTATGGAGTACTTTCCTCATGGTATGGGTATTGACATAATAAAGATTTGGCTAAAAAAAAAATGGCCTTATTACTCTGATCAGTTATTGACCTACTTTCCCATTCCCTCAAACCTACCCAAAAAGAGCTAGTTTTTTCACTTGAATAAATTTGTCATGGGAAATGTGAAGAAACAATTTTTATCAAATACTTTAATGAAGGAAAAAGAATTTTTCTGACCCCCTTTTGCGTTAACAATGCTGTGTTGGTTTGAGATCACCAAATCTATTCCTAACACTGACAGGCAGCATGAGGCTTAACTATCTGATATGTGAAGTAGAAGGGTCATTTTAATTTTAAACCAACTGTCTTTACCAAACTCCAGGAGGATAGAAATCATATCTGTTAAACTGTTTTGTTTACAGTAACCACAATGCTATGGGAAAATGGAACATTAAACATTTATTTTAGAGATTATATCTTGTTTTCATTTAGGAGTATAAGAGCAAAAAAATATTGTTTTAAGATACCTAAGTTACTACTGGCTTTATAATAGTCACTATCTTTATATCAGTTCTAAATATGAAAAATTAAAAATCAAATTATATTTACTTATAATTGCCCATGAAGTGTTCTCTATTGCCTCCAGAAAGCAGAGCCTTGTGATCTTATCTGTCAACATAGGAAAATAATACAGGTATAAATCCCAAGTCCCAACAGTCAAGGGGTTGCTTAGATCTTGTTCTTGTTATTCACCTTGGAAAATTGATGTCTAATATAAAAACAGACACGTTCCTCAAATAATTTTTTATCAGTCTCACAATTTAGAAGATATTTTCAAGGCAATTTTCAGTCCAACCTTCTGATACAAAAAACTATTCCAAACCCATTCCCTGCCCATGCAGTGAAAGTATGTCACCACCATTTCAGCCTGAACTGGAAGTATCACTTTAAATCTAATCCATTCTTTGTCATTGAAATAGTTGTGTAAAGCCTTTTTTCTTTCTCCTCATCTGCTAAATGAGATCATCTTCACCCACTTAAGACATCTTGATGAAGTGTTATGGCTTTTAAGGAAATTTAAATATAGGAAATATATTTTTAAGAACACTCTGAGTATGATTTTATGTTTTCTACCTAGAGATGTAAAATGATTTTTAATTTTAGATTTGTGTTTTTTTCCAAATAATATTCATTTCCTAAAATAACATTTGCTGGCTAGGGCACTGAGGTTATGAGTGATTTAGTCCCTTTAAATTCTAAACTCTGTATAATATTTTGAGATATTTAATTAAATGAATTTTAAAAAGGTAAAGGAACAAATTATACATGCGTGTATATATGAGAGACTCTTTTTCTACATCAGGCTTTGTAATAGATAATATATATTTGTTCTATAAGATATAAGCAATAATGAGTAAGAAGTGGAGAAGACCAACAAAAAGATGACTAATATATAGTGTGGTAAGTACGACAGAATCATGTGAACAGAGGGATATGCTCTACGAGAAGAAAGAAAAGTCTAAATGATATTGCAGATTTCAGATGGACTGTTCCTTTGTGTAGGATTTCCTACAATTCTACCTTCAACAGCATTGTGATTAAAAAAGCTTATTTCTCTCATGGGGGGAAATATTTTCCTCCAAAGGAGAGCCAAACTGACTTCCATATGTACGTAATTCCTAGGAATAAATCTCAAGAAAACATTCTCAACAATGCATATTTTGTCCCCAAATAAGCACAGCTGTTTAGTATTAGTCTTTCAGTTTATGCTCATCTTTTTCTAGCCTCTTTATAGACAAGGCACTGCAGTTGCACCACCAGAATATAAGTTTCAGCTGTATCTGTGTTCCCATCTACTGTTCTGTTACTAAGCTTCAAAGAGAGGTCTAATTTAAGACCTACGGTGTGTTCAAACCTGTAGTTTCAGATAAGGATTCTCCCTCTTATATAATGCATTTTAAAATGAGAGCAAAAAGCCCACATCCGTGATGGATTTCCACTGTTTAGCTTTGAGTATTCTTGAAGCCTTAAATTGAAGAAAGAGTACAGGGTTTGTGAGCTACAGTAATTAGTGCTGGTGGCAGTAAGGCTTGTAGCAGTGTTGATGAAAAGAAACCATAATTCCTTTTAAACTCCTTAGGGTCTCCTTTCTGAAAGGAAGACTTGCAATGTTTCTTTTTAAAGCTTGGATCAAATAACTTAAGCAGACACTGTGACAATACCATTTGCAGGAAACAAACCTATGATATGACTCATTCACCCACCAAAATGACACTCTATACACCTACTTGTTCCTTGCCTTTGCTTTCTGAGTCCTCTGAGTCAAAGCATTTGAAAATCAGTCTGCATGTCAAAGCCCCATGAAAATTTACTTGCTGACATCTTTTCTGCTCATCCTGGTCCACTTTACCTTCTCCAGCATAGGCAGAGTTATGAACAATGTAGTGATTATTCATTAATAAGGTCTACATGTAACAGAGAACTCATTTTCCTTTCTAAGTTAATATAGGTAATGTGACTTGCTTTGCCATGCTTCATTACTCCATTCCCTAAAGGCTGAGAAAAAATTATTTTACCCTCAGAATTTTACTAATCCTCCAGTTTATCTCAACTCTCCTCCCTGAAAGCATCTGCCAACGAGGAGACAAACTAGCAGACCAAGGTCAGCACATTGTCCTTTGCAGCTTTTACCATATAATACACATCAACTAATTTCATTTGCCTTCGAGAATATTGGGGAAATTCTGAATCAAATGGTGGTAAATTACTTTTAAAAATTAAATTTGGTACTCATGTCATATCCAAATACCACTGCAAATAAATATACTGCCTGGCACATAGTAGGTTTGTCAAATTAATGCTGGAACAAATTGTGGAGCTCATGTCTGGGATTAGGTTCTGCATTCTTTTATTCCAAAAAAAAATTGTATTGATCATCTGTGGGCAGACAGAGAGGCACTGTGCTGTGCACTGTGACCTTGAGTTCATCATCCTGCCTCTAGACTGGAGAGTGGTTTTGATCATTTTATTAATAGATGGATGGAAATTTATATTAGACATACCTCATCTTACACAGTATGTCTGATTCTAAAGAGTATTAAATGCCCTTTATTTTATAAATCTAGACACATTTTAATCAGAAAGAAACCAGCTACCTAAAATTATACTAGAACTAAGTTAATTCAATAGATCCCATTATATACGAGGAGACTTGGACCAAATATTTAACTTACCTAGGTGAAAAGGATAGTTACAAATTCAGGATAAAAATAGCTGTTCTCTTTCCTCCATATTAGGCTATCTCTGTAAACCCTTTCTTCTTATTAATAGTTTTTTAAATTAATCTAACAACTTCCCATATTTGTCATCTATTATCTTAGAATGTTAGTATAATTGTAGGTTTTCACTGATTTTATTGGCTTGAATTGGGGTTATATCTGCTTTTCCATAAACTTCTGTGCATTCTCTCCTAGAAAAATATCCTAGATTTTAACTGTTATCATCAGGAGGTTTTTCTTTGTACATTACTTCATTCTGAACACATTTTACCGTGTCTTTCAGCAGAGGTGAAAACTAATAGGAAGCCATAATTTATTGAATGAAAACAGTTCATTTATTTGAGGACAATTAACTAACCCCTTTTTAGTATTCTATTTTTTCCAGTTAATTTATCTCAATTACCTTGCTTCTATATGAGATAACTTGTTGATATATTTTTGACCCAGAGTGAATGCTTATTAAAATAGGATTAATATATCAGCATTATTTCTCTTTACCAAATATTTCCAAGATATTTTATTCATGAATATCAACAAGAAATGAGAAAAATAGGACATTCATTGAGTGTCTATTATGTATCAGCAACGTTTTAGTTATTTAGTCGTATCTAACCCTCACTGTATCCCTGTGAAAATGGCTTCTGGAATGTTTAAATTTTCAAACACGAGAACACTGAAGCCCAGGAAGGTTGAATAACTTGCCCAATGTCACACAGTTAATGAGAGGTGAGGACAAGATACAAATCCAAGTCTGCCAATAACAAAGCCTATTCTCTAACACAACACTCTGATTCAAATGACAAATGAGAAAAATAAGCCTCCTCTGAGGATGAGATTTGGAGTCTGGGAAGGTTAAATGACATATTTCAAAGGGCCACTTGCAAGCCTTCCTTGGAGCACCAGGTCCCATTCCTGAGTTCTGGACTCCGAGTCTGCCCAGAAAGTATCCTTAAAGCCCAATTTTTCCCATCTGTGCCTGAGAGCTGGAGCACTCAGGAGAGGTTCCAGATTGACATCTGGCGATTTAAAGTTCCCCTAGAGTTATATAGAATGAGAATCTGGCTTATATTTTCTTTTCCCTACATAGCAGCTCATAATGACTCGTCTGTCGCTGGCTGTTAAAGTGGTTGGCAGGCCTGGTGTATGCAAGAAGCCGGGGTAACAGAGCCAGGATGTCTCAGTTGGTTAAGGGCGAGAGTGGAGGGCCCAAGCATAGTCTCTGATTCCAGCTTTTGCTTTGGGCAGTCACTTAACATCTCTCTGCCCAGTCCTCCCATCTGTAAAATGGAAAGAGGAATACTGATGAACCTCTCAAAGAAGCTGTGAGGCAGAACCCATCCATGATTAACACAGTCTTTTGGATACAGAAAGGGCAGTGGAAAAGTTTAAAATCACTTCAGTATGGGATCATTTGATATAAATGTGTTTAAAATTACTATTTGGAAATCCTTGTGCAACAAACCTTTAATTTGGCATTGGCTGTTAGATGTAGCCAGTCTTTTAGGAACTACTGCAGCAATAACTGCCCTGTGGAAATTGTGTAGGAAAATAATAGAAATACATCAAGCAAGAATGTGCATTAGATACTCCATTCCCCAGCCCCTCAGCAGGCTTCTGGAGGTCATACTCTATGTGTTCTTCATGTGTTCTTCATGTTTCACTTGCCCCGTAGTACCTACTTCAGGGCCTTGCACCAAGGAAACCATCGGCTGAGAGTCATTCTTCATGGCATGGTTCAAGGCCACGAGAAGCTATACTGAATGGTCCTGGGACTTTAATTTTTAGACAGAATGGCTAATGGCCTTGATTTGCCTTGTGTCACTTTGATAGATTTTCTAAGTGCCAAATTGTTAAGAGGTTCCATATTTCTAGTTTCCAATTTCTCTGGGCTCTCTGAGTATGCAGTTGCACAGGTGTATGGCTTGGGCACACACCCAATATAACTTTACTTTACCCTCGAACTCATTAGAAAGTAGCCAACTACACCTGTTCAGGCCCGGGTGAGTCCTCTTTTACATCTTTATTTCTCTCATCCATATGAGGAATAAGACTTGCTATTGGCAAGATGTGGTTTATATACTGTGACTGCACTTTGGACAGTATTTTTTTTTAATGTCTTATGAGGGAAAGATAAAAATAAAGGCTGTTTATTGGACTTTACTGTTTCCTGGCCCTGCCAAATTGTGATGCAGTACCATGCTACTGCAGAGGGAGTGCTTGTACTTACAGCACTGATATCAGTTGGAAACTATCAATACTCAGTCCAACCTAGAATTTCAGAATCGGAATTCTTATTCTAATAAGATCTCCAGGTTATTTGTGTACACATTAGGAGTAAGAGGCACTGGGCTAGGATATGGGCTTTAGAATAATTAGGAAAGGTTAAAAACCCAAGTGTCTTTGGAGTTAGCAGTGGTATTGAGTTCTATAACTATCATTGTGGCATAGTCTTATATGAAAAAAAAATTAATGAAGCATAAAGACTGAGTCTTCCTTCCTGTGCAGCTGTGAAGATCTCCCCTCCAGAGTGTCTGTTTCTGCTTTGATACTTGGTTTCTCCTTCCACATCTGATGCTACTTCTGCCCTCTCTTCTAGGTAAATCAGAAGCCAGAGTATCTCCTTAGCCTCCAATACACTCTTCTGCCTTACCTTCATTGAACTGACAATTCTCTGAAGAGCTCAGACTAGTTTTCCTTGCAGATAACTTTGAGTCCTTTAGGCTTGTCACAGGAAGAGGGAAAAAGAAGTAGTGCAACTCCCTAACTAGCTTACTTTGGCTCCTGGATGCCAAGGCAGATGTTACAAATGACACGACATCTCTGCTCAGGGCCTCAGTGTGGAAATTACTCAGCAGAGCAGACATGGGCCTTTCTGTTTTACTGCCAGTTATGAGCTTGTGAATAGCACACCACACTGCCCTGATTAGTGGACGTTTTGACTCCCTCCTCATAATCACAGGACTGGAGCGGAATGATAAGGAGAGCTTCCATGATAGAGTTGGTGATGTGGGGCAGCTCTCCCTCTTCTCCTTTGTTGTGCTTCTCTTAATGCACACAACCCTTTGAAGTCTGATTCTTTATTTTTGCCCGACTCACCTGAGCCATCAGCAGCCCCTCATTTCCAATATAGTTCCCTTATCACTGTCCTGATTGAGGCTTGAAAGCACCCGTAGGAGCGCTTCGATGTTAGCGCACAGCTGGTGGGTTGTACAATTCCCTGCTGCCTACCAGGAAATGTTGATTCTCCTATTGTACTGCAATGAATAATCACCTTAATTTTTATTAGAGGTTTATCTTCAGACCTAGCCTAACTTTTCTGAAAAGTCCAAGGGAATTGGGCAGTTGATTAAGAGTCCAGTTAGTATTACTAAGGGATTTCTTCACGGGGGGCAGGGGCGGGGGACTCATACAAGACTTCAATTCTATGCTTTTCTTTTTTGAGTATGCATGCAAGGGCTGATGAGTGAGCAACAGAGGATGTCTGAACTGGAGCTCATAGTGCTCAGGTGGGTATGACTCATTTTCTTTGGATCCCAGTGGCATAGAACTCTGACTCTCATCTTCCTTTGACTTACTGAAGGGCATAGAAGAAAAACAAGTGGCAAGTGGCTGCATTTAGGTTCTGATAAGAGGGTAAAGATGCTGTTTGGTAATGGAAAATTTACCCAGTCTGTGTAAGGAGGTATTGAGTTACCTCTTACATAGAATCAGACTATTTTCCTTATGATAATAAACATATATGTAATCTTAAACATCTATGGATCAAAAGCCTGCTATTTCCATATATAAATCTTTCTAAAAGCAAAAACAGTACTTGGTTGTTTACATAGATGAAATGTACTTTAAACGAGAGAAGAAAATTGCTTCATCTTAAATTGTTAACCGTGATCAATTTGTAGTGGCTATTTGGAGTCCTGTGTTGAAAAGAATATTGAAGCAATATTCTTTGGGCTCCATGGAAGAGAATACCATGCTAAATTGCAAAGAAGGTAGTGGCAGCATTTCTACTACATGCTTTCTTTATACCATTCATACATATTCTACTTACTATTCAAATAGTAATAGCATTTGTCCTTCCACCAGCAACAAATTACCATTTGGAAGGAAAAATATCTTCAACTGCTGATAGAGAGTTAGCTCTGATTTACTCATAGGTGCTTTCTTATTTCAGAATACAGGGTTTACTGAATAAAACAAGGCATCTTGCCTGAATAAATGCTACCAGCCTGTCTTAAATATACCATACAGTTCATATAGATTAGGACATGCCTAGTATTCAGAATTCTATGCACTTTCTTTTGTTCTGTTTCAATATTTCTCTGGATTTGGTGTCAGAGGGTTTAGCCTAACACTCTGGCTAAAACACAATTTAAGATCTGTATGACCTTGGGTGAGTTCCTCAACTTTTTTGAGCTTTGATTTCTTACTTTGAAGGTGGATGGAAAAGATATAAAACAAGATATGTTAATATAGTCACAGTAGAAGTTACTAGAAGTTACTGGAGTTGTAAAATAGGAAAGGGGGAAAACAGGATGGTGTTAGGGGCACAGACAACGTTAGTTAAATCTAAATCTCAATAGTCTCCTTATGAAAGCGAAACACTAAAACACCAAAAATATAAGGAAACGCAAAGTATTTTAGCTGTAGAATGAGCGTTAAATATTTGAAAAGAATATAACCATTTACGTGTGGGCTAGGCCCCTCTGATGATGGTAACAGATGTCCATAAACAGATTAGTCTCTAGATTGCCTGGAGTCTCGTAGAGTTTCTGAGATACTGTGTCTTTTCTTCGAGTGGGCAGTGGCAAAGCCTCTTCTCCAGTTTATATTGAACAGACACATAAATGTGTCTATCTTTTACATGGCTGAATAAGTTGGGAGTCACTGTTGGTAAATTTCATTGTAAAAGATCATCTGTGAACAAGGCAGCTAAGGCTAAAGGAAGGGATTTGGTTACGTTTACTTGACCAAACTAAGAAAAGATAAAATACAAAGTACAGAAATGGATGTTTATAAAATGGACATGAACTACATTAAGGTAATTAACACCTATGTATAAATGGGACAGGTTCTTAGTATTTATTCATGCAAACAACATAACCTTAATAACTTTCCATACACTATTTCTTCTGGTGGCTTACCTCAGATGTCCTGGGTTTCAGTCCCTGGGCAGTACTTCTTCCCCATGCACGCCTACCTTACTTCCAGGAAAAGATCCGAAGGACAGTTCTGGTTTTGCCACCCAACAATTTTGTGATCTCTTGCAACTTTCTTGACTTCTCTGTACCTCACATTCCTCACTTGTGAAATGGAGACAATAATAGTATATAACTCATAGAGTTCTAGTGAGGATTCAAGAAAATGTAAAGCTAAAAAAAAAGATGTGGCACAAATAATGTTGGCTGCTATCTTTTTTCTGAGGGGAGGCAATATGCATTACCTTAAATATTTGCCTTTTCTATTTTGTATTTATTTTTATTTTAATTATTTTTAAAAATTTATACATAACAGACGAACATATTTTGGTGATAATTTGATGCATTCATATTTTAAAGCTCAAATTATGGTAATTGGGATTTTCATCACCTTAAATATTTATCTCTTCTTTATGCTAGGAACATTTGACTTATTCTCTTCTAGCTGTTTTGAAATGTACAATTGGTTATTGTTAACTATAATCACCCACCTGATCTATTGATCACTAGATTTTCTGTCTTTTGTCTAACTTGCTGCTGTCTTAATCATTAACATTGCCATTAACCTCAGCACCTCCATAGATAAACACTGGCCTGATAGTGTAGATCAGAGGTCCTCAGAGTATGGTCTGCAGATCCACGGGTATCTCCAAGGCCATTTCGGGTCTGTGAGGTCAAGACTATTCCCATAATAATACTAAGATATTATTTGCTTTCTTAACACTGTTCATTTTGCACAGGTGATGCAAAAGCTGTGATGGGAAGAGCTGCTGTAACCTTAATAGTAGACCAACACAGTGCCACCAAATATATACTAGCAGTTACAATCTTCACCATCACACACTCAGAGTTGAAAAAAAAAATCAGTATTTCTTAAGAATCCCATTGAATGAAGTAGTTAAAATGATTAATTTTATTAAATCTCAACCCGAGTAAACATCTGTTGAGTATCTGTTATAAAATAGAAATATGCACAATGTACACTTGCTGCGTACTAATGCATGTGTGTAGCTGAGTTGCAAGCTGAACTAGCCATCATTTTCACAGAGGAACGTTTTCCTTTTTTTCACTACAAAGAACAACTCACAAATTGTGGTTACTGGACTTATATATTTGGCCATCATTTTCTAAAATGAGCTGAATTTGACACTTCAAGGAAAACAATTACAGTATTTGTTGTAAGCTATGAAGTTTAAGCTTTCAAACAATAATTACAATTGTGGAAAAATTTTATTCACTATCATGATCTTGGTAGTGTCCCGGTGTATTAACACTTCTCTAATTACATCAGCAGTGAAGTTAATATATGTGATATGATTGACGTCTAACAAAATGTATCAACATTTAGCTCTGTATAACTTTAAAAAGAAGATTTTGCAAGTAATAAATGTTTACCATTACAAAATTATGAATTAGTGCAAGACAGGCCAATAGATTTTTTTTTTAATTTTATTATTATTATACTTTAAGTTTTAGGGTACATGTGCACAATGTGCAGGTTTATTACATATGTATACATGTGCCATGTTGGTGTGCTGCACCCATTAACTCATCATTTAGCATTAGGTATATCTCCTAATGCTATCCCTCCCCGCTCCCGCCACCCCCCACCCCACAACAGTCTCTGGTGTGTGACGTTCCCCTTCCTGTGTCCATGTGTTCTCATTGTTCAATTCCCACCTATGAGTGAGAACATGCAGTGTTTGGTTTTTTTGTCCTTGTGATAGTTTGCTCAGAATGATGGTTTCCAGCTTCATCCGTGTCCCTACAAAGGACATGAACTCATCATTTTTTATGGCTGCATAGTATTCCATGGTGTATATGTGCCACATTTTCTTAATCCAGTCTATCATTGCTGGACATTTGGGTTGGTTCCAAGTCTTTGCTATTGTGAATAGTGCCGCAATAAATGTACATGTGCATGTGTCTTCATAGCAGCATGATTTATAGTCCTTTGGGTATATACCCAGTAATGGGATAGCTGGGTCAAATGGTATTTCTAGTTCTAGATCCCTGAGGAATCACCACACTGACTTCCACAATGGTTGAACTAGTTTACAGTCCCACCAACAGTGTAAAAGTGTTCCTATTTCTCCACATCCTCTCCAGCACCTGTTGTTTCCTGACTTTTTAATGATTGCCATTCTAACTGGTGTGAGATGGTATCTCACTGTGGTTTCCATTTGCATTTCTCTGATGGCCAGGGATGATGAGCATTTTTTCATGTGTTTTTTGGCTGCGTAAATGTCTTCTTTTGAGAAGTGTCTGTTCATATCATTTGCCCACTTTTTGATGGGGTTGTTTTTTTCTTGTAAATTTGTTTGAGTTCATTGTAGATTCTGGATATTAGCCCTTTGTCAGATGAGTAGGTTGCAAAAATTTTCTCCCATTTTGTAGGTTGTCTGTTCACTCTGATGGTAGTTTCTTTTGCTGTGCAGAAGCTCTTTAGTTTGATTAGATCCCATTTGTCAATTTTGGCTTTTGTGGCCATTGCTTTTGGTGTTTTAGACATGAAGTCCTTGCCCATGCCTATGTCCTGAATGGTATTGCCTAGGTTTTCTTCTAGGGTTTTCATGGTTTTAGGTCTAACATGTAAGTCTTTAATCCATCTTGAATTAATTTTTGTATGAGGTGTAAGGAAGGGATCCAGTTTCAGGTTTCTACATATGGCTAGCCAGTTTTCCCAGCACCATTTATTAAATAGGGAATCCTTTCCCCATTGCTTGTTTTTGTCAGGTTTGTCAAAGATCAGATAGTTGTAGATATGCGGCATTATTTCTGAGGGCTCTGTTCTTCTGTTCCTTTGGTCTATATCTCTGTTCTGGTACCAGTACCATGCTGTTTTGGTTACTGTAGCCTTGTAGTATAGTTTGAAGTCAGGTAGCGTGATGATGCTTCCAGCTTTGTTCTTTTGGCTTAGGATTGACTTGGCGATGTGGGCTCTTTTGTGGTTACATATGAACTTTAAAGTAGTTTTTTCCAATTCTGTGAAGAAAGTCATTGGTAGCTTGATGGGGATGGCATTGAATCTATAAATTACCTTGGGCAGTATGGCCATTTTCACGATATTGATTCTTCCTACCCATGAGCATGGAATGTTCTTCCATTTGTTTGTTTCCTCTTTTATTTCATTGAGCAGTGGTTTGTAGTTCTCCTTGAAGAGGTCCTTCACATCCCTTGTAAGTTGGATTCCTAGGTATTTTATTCTCTTTGAAGTAATTGTGAATGGGAGTTCACTCATGATTTGGCTGTTTGTCTCTTACTGGTGTATAAGAATGCTTGTGATTTTTGCACATTGATTTTGTATCCTGAGACTTTGCTGAAGTTGCTTATCAGCTTAAGGAGATTTTGAGCTGAGACAATGGGGTTTTCTAGATATACAATCATGTCATCTGCAAACAGGGACAATTTGACTTCCTCTTTTCCTAATTGAATGCTTTTATTTCCTTCTACTGCCTGATTGCCCTGGCCAGAACTTCCAACACTATGTTTGGAACTATGTGCCAGTTTTCAAAGGGAATGCTTCCAGTTTTTTTCCATTCAGTATGATATTGGCTGTGGGTTTGTCATAGATAGCTCTTATTATTTTGAGATACATCTCATCAATACCTAATTTATTGAGAGTTTTTAGCATGAAGCATTGTTGAATTTTGTCAAAGGCCTTTTCTGCGTCTATTGAGATAATCATGTGGTTTTTGTCTTTGGTTCTGTTTATATGCTGGATTACATTTATTGATTTGCGTATATTGAACCAGCCTTGCATCCCAGGGATGAAGCCCACTTGATCATGGTGGATAAGCTTTTTGATGTGCTGCTGGATTCGGTTTGCCAGAATTTTATTGAGGATTTTTGCATCAATGTTCATCAAGGATATTGGTCTAAAATTCTCTTTTTTGGTTGTGTCTCTGCCCGGCTTTGGTATCAGGATGATGCTGGCTTCATAAAATGAGTTAGGGAGGATTCCCTCTTTTTCTATTGATTGGAATGGTTTCAGAAGGAATGGTACCACCTCCTCCTTGTACCTCTGGTAGAATTCGGCTGTGAATCCATCTGGTCCTGGACTTTTTTTGGTTGGTAAGCTATTAATTATTGCCTCAATTTCAGATCCTGTTATTGGTCTATTAACAGATTCAACTTCTTCCTGGTTTAGTCTTGGGAGGGTGTATGTGTCAAGGAATTTATCCATTTCTTCTAGATTTTCTAATTTATTTGCGTAGAGGTGTTTACAGTATTCTCTGATGGTAGTTTGTATTTCTGTGGGATCGGTGGTGATATCCCCTTTGTCATTTTTTATTGCATCTGTTTGATTCATCTCTCTTTTCTTCTTTATTAGTCTTGCTAGAGGTCTATCAATTTTGTTGATCTTTTCAAAAAACCAGCTCCTGGATTCATTGATTTTTTGAAGGGTTTTTTGTGTCTCTATGTCCTGCAGTTCTGCTCTGATCTTAGTTATTTCTTGCCTTCTGCTAGCTTTTGAATGTGTTTGCTCTTGCTTTTCTAGCTCTTTTAATTGTGATGTTAGGGTGTCAATTTTGGATCTTTCCTGCTTTCTCTTATGGGCATTTAGTGCTATAAATTTCCCTCTACACACTGCTTTGAATGTGTCCCAGAGATTCTGGCATGTTGTGTCTTTGTTCTCGTTGGTTTCAAAGAACATCTTTATTTCTGCCTTCATTTCTTTTTGTACCCAGTAGTCATTCAGGAGCAGGTTGTTCAGTTTCCACGTAGTTGAGCGGTTTTGAGTGAGTTTCTTAATCCTGAGTTCTAGTTTGATTGCACTGTGGTCTGAGAGACAGTTTGTTATAATTTCTGTTCTTTTACATTTGCTAAGGAGTGCTTTACTTCCAACTATGTGGTCGATTTTGGAATTGATGTGGTGTGGTGCTGAAAAGAATGTATATTCTGTTGATTTGGGATGGAGAGTTCTGTAGATGTCTATTAGGTCCGCTTGGTGCAGAGCTGAGTTCAATTCCTGGATATGCTTGTTAACTTTCTGTCTCGTTGATCTGTTTAATGTTGACAGTGGGCTGTTAGACTCCCACACAATAATAATGGGAGACTTTAAGTCTCTTTGTAGGTCACTAAGGACTTGCTCTATGAATCTGGGTGCTTCTGTATTGGGTGCATATATATTTAGGATAGTTAGCTCTTCTTGTTGAATTGATCCCTTTACCATTATGTAATGGCCTTCTTTGTCTCTTTTGATCTTTGTTGGTTTAAAGTCTGTTTTATCAGAGACGAGGATTGCAACCCCTGCCTTTTTTTGTTTCCCATTTGCTTGGTAGATCTTCCTCCATCCCTTTATTTTGAGCCTATGTGTGTCTCTGCATGTTAGATGGGTTTCCTGAATACAGCACAATGATGGGTCTTGACTCTTTATCCAATTTGCCAGTCTGTGTCTTTTAATTGGAGCATTTAGCCCATTTACATTTAAGGTTAATATTGTTGTGTGTGAATTTGATCCTGTCATTATGATGTTAGCTGGTTATTTTGCCCATTAGTTGATGCAGTTTCTTCCTAGCCTTGATGGTCTTTACAATTTGTTTTTGCAGTGGCAGGCCTGGTGGTGACAAAATCTCTCAACATTTGCTTGTCTGTAAAGTATTTTATTTCTCCTTCACTTATGAAGCTTAGTTTGGCTGGATATGAAATTCTGGGTTGAAAATTCTTTTCTTTAAGAATGTTGAATATTGGCCCCTACTCTCTTCTGGCTTATAGAGTTTCTGCTGAGAGACCAGCTGTTAGTCTGATGGGCTTCCCTTTGCGGGTAACCTGACCTTTGTCTCTGGCTGCCCTTAACATTTTTTCCTTAATTTCAACTTTGGTGAATCTGACAATTATGTGTGTTGGAGTTGCTCTTCTCGAGGAGTATCTTTGTGGCATTCTCTGTATTTTCTGAATTTGAATGTTGGCCTGCCTTGCTAGATTGGGGAAGTTCTCCTGGATAATATCCTGCAGAGTGTTTTCCAACTTGGTTCCATTCTCCCCATCACTTTCAGGTACACCAATCAGACATAGATTTGGTCTTTTCACATAGTCCCATATTTCTTGGAGGATTTGTTCATTTCTTTTTATTCTTTTTTCTCTAAACTTCTCTTCTTGCTTCATTTCATTCATTTCATCTTCCATCGCTGATACTCTTTCTTCCAGTTGATCGCATCGGCTACTGAGGCTTGTGCATTCGTCATGTAGTTCTCGTGCCATGGTTTTCAGCTCCATCAGCTCCTTTAAGGACTTCTCTGCATTGGTTATTCTAGTTACCCATTTGTCTAATTTTTTTTCAAGGTTTTTAACTTCTTTGCCATTGTTTTGAAGTTCCTCCTTTAGCTTGGAGTAGTTTGGTCTTCTGAAGCCTTCTTCTCTCAACTTGTCAAAGTCATTCTCCGTTCAGCTTTGTTCCGTTGCTGGTGAGGTGCTGCGTTCCTTTGGAGGAGGAGAGATGCTCTGATTTTTAGGGTTTCCAGTTTTTCTGCTCTGTTTTTTCCCCATCTTTGTGGTTTTATCTACCTTTGGTCTTTGATGATGGTGACGTACAGATGGGGTTTTGGGTGGATGTCCTTTCTGTTTGTTAGTTTTCCTTCTAACAGTCAGGACCCTCAGCTGCAGGTCTGTTGGAGTTTGCTGGAGGTGCACTCCAGACCCTGTTTGCCTGGGAATCAGCAGCGGTGGCTGCAGAACAGTGGATATTGGTGAACCACAAATGCTGCTGCCTGATCGTTCCTCTGGACATTTTGTCTCAGAGGAGTACCCGGTCGTGTGAGCTATCAGTCCACCCCTACTGGGGGGGTGCCTCCCAGTTAGGCTACTCGCGGGTCAGGGACCCACTTGAAGAGGCAGTCTGCCCGTTCTCAGATCTCCAGCTGCATGCTGGGAGAACCACTACTCTCTTCAAAGCTGTCAGACAGGGACATTTAAGTCTGCAGAGGTTACACTGCCTTTTGTTTGTCTGTGCCCTGCCCCCAGAGGTGGAGCCTACAGAGGCAGGCAGGCCTCCTTGCGCTGTGGTGGGCTCCACCCAGTTGGAGCTTCCCGGCTGCTTTGTTTACCTACTCAATCCTGGGCAATGGCGGGCGCCCCTCCCCTAGCCTCGCTGCCGCCTTGCAGTTTGATCTCAGACTGCTGTGCTAGCAATGAGGGAGGCTCCCTTGGCATAGGACCCTCCGAGCCAGGTGTGGGATATAATCTGGTTTGCCGTTTGTTAAGCCAGTTGGAAAAGCGCAGTATTATGGTGGGAGTGACCCGATTTTCCAGGTGCCGTCTGTCACCCCTTTCTTTGACTAGGAAAGGGAATTCCCTGACCCCTTGGGCTTCCCAGGGGAGGCTATGCCTTGCCCTGCTTCGGCTCACGCACAGTGCGCTGCACCCACTGTCCTGCACCCACAGCCCAGCACTCCCCAGTGAGATGAACCTGGTACCTCAGTAGGAAATGCAGAAATCACCCGTCTTCTGCATGGCTCATGCTGGGAGCTGTAGACTGGAGCTGTTCCTATTCGGCCATCTTGGTTCCACCCTCCATAGGCCAATATATTTTAAGGTAACAGAGAAGAAAATGTTTGTTTATATGGTTTCAGATTTCACGTGGTAACTAACCTTTAAGAAACTGCCACTTGTTGAGCTTTGGTATAGCATCAAAGAACAATGTCTACAAATATATGAAAAGGTTATTGAAATGATATTTTATTGTCCTATTACGTGTTTGTTTGAGGCTGGGTTTTCCTCATGTGCTTCAACAAAAACAACATATTTCATCAAATTGCATGTAGACATATATATGAGAATTCATAAGTTTCCTATGAAGCCAGACACTAAGATGTGCAAAATTGTAAAACAAGGTCTTCTTATCACCAATTTTTTGTTGTAAAAATATTGTTTTTAGAACTCATTAATTTACTTAACAGTTTATTATAATCGTAAATGAATTAAGTAATTTTTGTATTCTCAGTATTCATTTCCAATATAATAGTGATAGATATAACCCACATGAACAGAAGTTCATTGGTGTCCTCACTGATTTTTAAGAATAAAAAGGGATTCTAAGGCAAGAAGTTTGAGAACTATTGGGCTATATAATCTAGTTTAGTATTTCTCAAAATGTATTCTTCAACAAGCCTCATCATAAACATCTGGATTTCTTTTTATAAACTGAACTTTCCTAACCCAAGATCTACAGGATCAGAATCAATAGGTGGAGGCCAGTCCATTAAACCTGAATTGCAAATAAACCCTGCTGGTTCAATCTTATACATAATAAAATATTACAACTTATACTACAAATAAGAGACCTTCCATACTTTCTAAGATATATAATTTAATGAGAATCACATCTCATTGTGGGTTCTCTTCCTTTAATAGTTGTAGCCGTAACTCCATTTCCTTCTCATAGGTAAGTGGTAATTTTTATCCTATCATATCTGGCATCTGAAGCCCTGCATTTAAGAGCTAGGATCGAATCTTTTCTCCTTCACTCAAGTACACATGTATACCTTAAGCACATCCCACACATGTGTCCCTGTTTCTATGGATACCCTCAGAAGGAGACATCTTCTGTGAGAGGAAAAGGGAAGACCCAGAAGGATCTGGTAAGCAGTTATTTTATGATGAAGATTTCATTATGGATATGCTGACCAAATTATTGAAAATGCCCAGGGGATGAATTTAATCACTCAGAGTGAGAATATCTGGGTTTCTCTTTTTAAATTTTTTTCTTGTGGTAAAATACACAGAATGAAATTTACCACTTTAACCATTTACAAGTACACAGTCTTGTGATATTAAGTACATTCACATTGTTATGCAATTATCACCACCATCCATATCCAGAACATTTTCATCCTCCCCAGTTAAAACTCTGTACCCATTAAACAGTAATGGGTAGTAATGGGGTAGTAATGCTCCTACCCCAAGTCCTGGAACCACCTCTAAATTTCTTTTTTGGTCAACCATTCAGTCTGCAGGAGGGATGTTACAGGTGGTAGCTGGGATAATTGTGCTTCAGCATACCTGCATCAAAGTGTGTAAGCATAAAGACCATCCTTCCTTGACAGGTGCATTTTTATATCACCTTTAGAAGTGAAAATTTTAATAAAATCTCCTCATTACATACACTGGGTAGATAAAATGGAAGCTCCATATTTTCCATTGTTCAGATGCATTATGAATTATATATTTTAATGTATCAGTCCATTATATATTTTGTTGCCTTTGACCAGGGATATTATGGTTTACTCTAGAAAGTTCTAGAATCATAATTATAAACTTTGTTTAGTAGGGATCTCAAAGACTAATTACCCATCTGATACTTAGATCTAGCAATGGAGAAACTCACTACCCACAGAAGCAGTACATTTAATCTTTGGACTGCCCAGATTGTGAAAATTGTGTATTACATAAAAATCTGGCTCATATATCTTCAAAACATCAGCCCTACTTTTATCACTAAGGAAACAGTGAAGACAACTATTGTGTTTTCCCTTGATCTTTTTTCTCTAGGCTAAACATCACTAGTTCTGTTAGATGTTCTCAAACTAAAGGATAGGTGTAATTCCTTTAGCACTCTGCTCATCTCACTGGAATAAACTCATTTCCTACTCTCTTTTCCAGGAGATTCTATATCAAGAAGTGTAGGTGATTTTTAAGTTCAGACAAGTGAGACTGTTAGAGAATGTCTGACCAGATAGATTACATCCAAACTAGCACCTTCTTTATTCAGAATCCCGTAATTATGTGAATGCAGCCTAAGGCCATGTTTGCTCCTTTATCAGATGTGATACATAGCAGATTCTTATTGATGTTGTTGTTATAAAAATCTATAAAAATAATTTTCACACCTTTCCCAAGCTGTTCTTTCACAACTATGTTTATTTTTTTCTAACCTAAGATCAGGAATTTGCATTCTTACTAAATTTAATTTTGTTGGCTTTAGCCATCTTCCCAAGATGTTAATATCTTTTTGGAACCTCATTCTATTGTACAATATATATTTTATTCCTTACAGCATATACCGTCTGAAAATGTGGTAACCATTCATTTGATTTTCTCATTGAAGTAACTGGCAAAATCTGTGAGGAGGGCAGGGCCACTGAAAGCGGAATCCTTTGACACCTTTTAGAAACTTTCCAAATTAGTAGGGACTTAGAAAATCTACATACTTAACGATTCAATCAATTAGACTTCATTTTTTAAAATTTTATCTGTAAGCTATCATATATCCTCTTTCAAAAGACTTGATGAGGCCATTTGCTATCTCTGGGTTTTATTTACCCATAGCAATTTAATAGAAATTTAAAATGTATCACCTCTCAGGAGTAGGGTAACTATTTGTAAGATAAGGTCAATTAGATGTTGTGAGTTCCTTGGAGGAAAAGGGTTATATATACCTATGATTATTAAGAATAACACAATAATTCACTCTGAAGAGTTCTAATCCTTCTGTAACTATTCTCATTTACTGGGTAAATGACTACATAGAACCAGGAGACTAAGCTAATACAATTCTGAAACTCATATTGTGACCAGTAGATTTTGAACTTGAGTGTTTTTTTTTTTTTCCTTTAAGATCAAGGGCTTTCCTTTTCTAGTAAAAAAAAAAAAGAAAGAAAGAAAATGAAGAGCATCACTAGCTGTTCATGTTCTCATTAGTCCCTCACTTATCATTTATGCACGCATGGATCAGTGATTGCTAGTATTTCTTCATGGAGGGGAGAAACAATCCCAGACATTTTTATATGAGGGCCTGATTTTTAGGCTCAAGTGAATCATCTAGTTATAAACACCAGGAAAACGGGTCATATGGCAGAGAACCTGACAGACCCTTTAATGACTGGGACAGACCCTTTGTTTATTGGAGTGTGTTCTAGATTTGAAGGTCAAACTTCTCATGTATTTTTCTTGGTCCACTTAACTGTGTTATCTAAACTTGATTAAAAATGACCTTACGATGGCAGTTATTTTCTTGAAACTATTAGGAAATACTGGCAAGCAACTGAGAATAGTAGGAAGGCAAGCACTTAATGGGTTGGACTATCATAAAGACTTTGAGTTGAAGAGTGTAGGGAGGTGACTTTGCTGTACAGAATATGAATCAATTACAAACACACTCTCTCCTTCCAGGTCTGGGAGCCCAGAAGCCCCTTCACACCAGACTAAGGATGCCAGGAAAAATCAATAAGCTATTGAATTGGGTTCTCTGGGGGAAAACAGTGTATTTTGTAATTTCAAAATAGCTCT